>NC_000011.10:21310000-22560000 GCF_000001405.40 Homo sapiens | reverse complement strand
GGTCTTTCTAGAAATGGTGATGAATGCAGCTATTTAATGTATTTAATTCAATTAGTCTGTAGAACTAAACAGATATTATGACTGCTTTTATAAAGATGATTTTCCCCCATTGCAACCCTTGTAAATTACTTGTCACATAATATAGTTAAGTAAAATGATATTTTTCAAAATTTTTTTTCTATCTTCTTTCCTCTGACAAATGTACATTTAAGGTGAGATTTAAATGTAAACTTCCAAACCACTACTCAGCATGAAAGTGTCTCCAAAGTACTTGCATTTATACAGGGCTATAGAAAAGTAAGGCATGGAGAGTTATTATAATAAAATGATTTGGTGATGAGAAGAAAATGAAACAGCTGGGACAAGATGAAGCCACGGACTCATGAGAAAATTAAATTCATGTCCACACTAATGCTCTTACTAGCTGACTCGTTGGAAAACAAATACAATTTATTAGATAATTTTGCTGTAGTGAATGCTTTTTGCAGAATCACTCATTCACTGCTGCTGAATATTACAATAGTGGAATAATAAAGATTTTTAATCAAAATGATTACTGATTTTTTTCCATTTACTTTAAAAGCTGTGTTAAAAAAAAACACAGTTGCTTGCTGTTTCACTTGGCTTGATGAAAAAGTGAAACCCAATATATAAAGAATTATGAGTTCATTTTCTTTCTTTTTTGGTGTAGATTTTCAGCACATAATAATTTATACTGCATTTCCTTCTAATTAGACTGAACAGAAATTTCAGCTAAAGCAGGCATGAGCCCCCTATTGTTTTATTTGAATAATGAATGATCGGCAACCTGGCATTTAATCTAATGCAGAATGGGGAGCAGGTCTAGAAGGTTACCATTGAGAGGGGGAATGGCTGTTTTTATTTAAATGGAAACTTCGTATTTGGTGACCTTGATGTATAATGTTTTATTTTTATGTGTGTGTGCAATTTTTATTTTTTCACAGGGAGGTAAGACCGTGTGCTGTGGAGTTTTCTCTGGAGGCCTGTTCTCCTGGCTGGATGTATATGACAGGTTTAGGCATTAAATGGCTTTAAGCTTGTCAAAGAAAGGTTATTAAAAATGTCCCTGCCTTTCAGGCTCCATGCTCAGTAGGAGCCCAGATGCAGTCCTCTGAGGCTGTCTTTCTATTTAGTCATGTCATTTGGCTCTTTGCCTATAGCAAAAAATGAGACACCATCTGTTATTTTTCACTAATGGCTGTCGGTCCCAAGCTTGCCTGGGTTGCTGTGCTTACCCTTTTCCCACCAGCCGCTGGACACAGGTTCACTAACATGATTCTCTATAGAGAAGTGTGTTTCATTATCAACGGGCTAAGAAATGTGGAAGTGCTTAATTACTTGAAAACACTATTCGAGTCTAAGCTATTGTCCTTATTTCACTACCACATTGAAATGTACATATTTTTGTATTGGATTGATCTACATTTTATGGGAGAACTAGCGTTTTTGCTTATGATACAAATAGCTTATATTAATTTGAGGCATACAAGAGTTATCCTTTTAATTCTCACAAATCCTCTGTACTGGGCATTATTACCTCCATCTTACAGATGAGAAAATAAGCACAAGTTTTCATTACTTGCTGAGTTCCATATCAATTAAGAGCACGATTAGGATTCATCCAGATCACACTTTCCTCCAGAGCTGTGCTCTCAACCACAACACTGTTGCTTTTCGACATAATGTACTGAGTTACTTGAGGTAATAATGTGAAACCTGAAGCCTAAAAAACACTATATGCTGGGAGCAAATTACTTTCTCTGGGGTAATTTTTGGTGTCTGCATTTATTTACGAGTGAAGAAACACCTTCTCTTTTGCTTCAGGAACCATCTTGGATTTCCAGCTTTGCAGTTGGCCTTGCTAAAAATTCTCCTCGGCTTACACATGGAGTCTCGGAATCCCAAAAAGACCCTCGATGTCAACCTGTTGTCAGACTCTTGCAAACAGCACTCACTTGAAAAACGGTGGCTGAAATGTCACTTATCATCAAGGCCGTGATGTCTTTTCCATTTCAAAACCTCAACATGAGACAGTGCTTTGGGGATGAACCTTTGTTATATAGCAATAGATAATTGTTGTATTAGACTAAATCTTGGTAAATTTTATAGCTAGTATATATTTTGTAGCTGAAGTTACAACATTGTTACATAGTTTAAAAACTCTGACTGTGTATTAGTTATAATGATGGAATTGAAAATACTGAAAAACCTAAAAGAATAAAAATCAGTTTGGTTTTCTTTGTCACTTCAAATTAAAATTGTTTCTGAAAAACTTCATTATGATTTATGTGAAGCTAAAAAATAGGTTAACTGCATTTTTAGAGTGTCATTATTGGCAATTTTGCTGGACATTTAGTGATGAGTTGGGCAAACTAAATTGTTACAAATTAAATTACTATGCAGAAAGCTAGATTTACAGTATGTTAACAGAGGTTGCCAAAAAGGAAGATTCCATTGTCAAATACATTTGTGAAACATTACCTTGAAAATATATGGTTCTTTCTACTAGAGAAAACAAAACAATCAAAACCCCTTTGATCTTTAATACATTGGTGTGCATTGTAAATTTTTTCTAGGGCATAATGTTCACACTATTTCCTAAGCCTTTTTAATCATGGAAACTTATTTTTTTGAAGTTTTTACATGTCTAGTTTTCAGTGAATATGCTTTGGAAAATACTTAACAAGTATGCTACCTGCACATTCCAAAGACACCTTAAACTCGTATTTGTACTTTCTCATCTCGCAATTAAAGCCTCTACTAACTCACTTCCTTAGTTGTCCAAAGCAACAGCTCATAAGCTTCACTCACGTATTATTTTCTTTCATTTCCCACATCAAATTAATTGCCGATTTTTATACATTTTACCTCCAAACAACTTCTTGGAAACAACCTCTTCTTTTCATTCCCACTGTTTATGCCCCAGATCACATCATTATGATTTTCTGTCTCTGTACTGGCGTTATAGCTTCCCAATTGATCTCTGTGCTTTCTATCTCCACATATGACCAGAATGATCTTTATAAAATATAAATTGGGTTTTGTAAATCAGGTCCTTGCATAACTTCACAGGGTCTCCACAATGAACAATAAAAGTCACAGTCCTCCCTGTGGCTTTTAAAGTCTTCTGTGATCTGATCCACACTCATATCTTTTCTTCTCCCTATACTTTAATCATTTGGGCTGCTTGTTGTTTCCCAAATACAGGGCGACTTTTTTCATGTGTTTGTGCTTTTCCTGTTTCACCTTCTTAGAGTGTCCACCTGCCTGCTCTACCCACTGATTAATCTCTTGCAAAAGCTTTCTAGCTACTCCATGCACTGTCATTTATTTTGACCTCTTTTCTTACAGGGTTTCTTAACCCAGGGTCTGTGAGGCATTCTTCTGGGAAGAGGTCCAGGAGAATGTGGTAGTCAACCCTAAAGATGTTCTCTGATAATATCTGCCTCCTGGTATTTATATTCTTTTGTAGTCTTCCACATTTTGTAGGGTCACATGGAATACTGTATAAAGGGTAGTATGTCACTTCTAATGCTAGGTCATAAAAAGCATTTTGGCTTTCTTCTTTATCTACTTCACGGATCACTTGCTCTGAGGAGAGCCAACTGTCCTATCATGATCAGTTCTATGAAGAAGCCATGTGTTTAAAAAATTAATTTTTCTGAGATAGCCTGTAGAGAACCCCCTGAGGCCTCCTTCCAATAGCCATGTGAAGTGAGCCATCTTGAAAACATGTTCTCCAGCCCCAGTCAAGCTTTCAGCTCATAGTAGCCCCAATTGACCTCTTTACTACAACCTCATGAGAGACCCTGAGCCAGAACATCCAGCTAAGCCACTTTCAAATTCTTGACCTCCAGTAATTCTAAGAGATAATAAATATTCATTGTTTTGAGCTGCTAAGCAATCAGGCAAATATTTGTCACATAGCAACAGCTAAACAATTTAGACCATCATTTTCTCAAAAGGGTCCATGACCCAAAAAGGATTAAGAATCTCTGGCATGCATATTATTCATACTGTACTTCCATTAGTATTTGCCACTGTGTGTCATTTAACTATCGTGTGTTTGCCATTCTTTCCTTACAGGAAGCTGCCCCAAAACAGCAAAATTACACTTATCTTTGCATCCTCAGTACTACCTCTGAGCTAGAAATTTAAGACAATATTTTAAGAGATTTTCTGATTAAATAAAACTTTACATTTTATATGGAGCTTGATGTGGATATAGGCTTACAGGAAACGTTATAAGAAAGGCAATGAAGGTCATCTTAAGGTGCTTTGATTCATTAGCTTACTTACTGAGAACTTCTAGAGAATTTCAAGGTATCTGAGACTTTTAAAGAAGCTCTCTCAGTAAAAGAGATACAGGGAAAACAAAATGTATAGAAGCAAAACATTTGCATGGAAAATACTTGATTTTTCCTCTCTTTCAACAGAATCTAAACCTGTGTCTCCTATGATGTAAGAGCCAGGGAAAAAAATATCTCAGCCATTTTCAGGTGATTGGGCCCTCAATGAATAAGGATGATATAAACTAGGTATGGCCTCAGACTAGTCCGTGTGTGTGTGTTTGTGTGTGTGTATTTCACACGTGTGTGGCTAGGAGGCATTTAAAACGTGTCATGTTTCTGTAAAAACCAAAGTCTGGTTTGCAGAAATGTTTATGGGAATCTATAAAAGGCACACAGGGCTTTTGCATGGAGTTAGCGGAAACACATTTGCATACAAAGAGAAGTTCTTTAAAATTGGCTGTAACAACTGGTTAAGATGTATTTTATATCAATTCTATTTTATTATAAGGCAGTGTTGTGCTTTATAATAAAAATATTACTTTTTTGTTTTCCTTGCGTTTTTTTTTTTTCCAAGAGAAAGAGCTCCCTGATACGGCAATAACTGAATGGGCGGTCCAGCAAGTCTGGCTCTGTACACTTATCATTCACAATCAAAGAAAATTCTAGAAATCCCAGATCATTTAAAAATACCAAACAAAAAGCATGTGAATTAGAAAGAAAGAATAGGCTTATCAAAACAGATCTACTTGCAAAGTCCTTATGGCAATCTATAATTTTAAGTTTGATAACATGGGTATTCAACAGTTGAATAAACGCTTACAATTTTGTAGGGACAGATTGATGCTATGCGCTCATACTCTTGTTTCCTCATCACACTTGAGATGCATGCATGTTGTTGACACCAATCACAGACAATCAGCAAGATTTTCCATGTTTTGACATCTCTTTTAGAGGGAAACAGCAATGAAAAAGAGATAGATATACCTCAGAGATATCATGGGTTTGGTTCCAGATTACTGCAATAAAATGAATATCACAACAAGGCAAATCTTGAAATAAAGTGAGTCACGAATTTTTTGGTTTCCCAGTATGTATGAAAGTTATGTTTAAGTTATACTATAGTATATTAAGTGTACAATAGCATTATGTCTAAAAAGACAATGCATATATTTTCATTAAAAATTACTTTACTGCTAAAAAGTGCTAACAATTGTCTGAGCTGTCACTGAGTCATCTTTGTGCTGGTGAAGAGTTTCACTTCCATGTTGATGGCTGCTTTGAAGCCAGGCATTGATTTCTTCTCTCTAGCTATGCATGTCTTAGGTGACATTTCCTTTCAATAGAAAGCTGCTTCATCTGCATTAAAAATCTGTGGTTTAATGTAGCCACATTTGTAAATGATCTTAACTACATCTTCTGGATAATTTGCTGCAACTTCTCCATCAGCATTTGCTGCCTCATCTTGCACTTTTGTGTTATGGAGATGTCTTTCTTCTTTAAATCTCATGAACCAACCTCTGATAGCTTCAGACTTGTCTTCTACTATTTCCTCACCTCTCTCAACTTTCATAGAATTAAAGACAGCAAGGGCCTTGATCTAGATTAGGCTTTGGTTTAAGGGAATATTGTAGCTGGTTTGATCTTCTATCCAGATCACTAAAACTTTCTCCATATCAGCAATATGGCTGTTTCACTTTCTTACAATTTCTGTGTTCTCTGGAATAGCCTTTTTAATTTCTTCATCAACTTTTCCTTTTCATTTACAACTTGACTAATTATTTGGTGCAGGCCTAGCTTTCCACTTATCTCAGCTTTCAACATACTTTTCTTATTAAGCTTAATAATTTCTAGCTTTTGGTTTAAAGTGAGAGATGTGCAACTCTTCATCTCACTTGAACATTTAGAGGTCATTATAGGTTTATTAATTGGGCTAGTTTTAATATTGTTGTATCTCAGGAAATAAGGACACCCAAGGAAAGGGAGAGAGATGGGGGAATAGCCAGCCCACAGAGCAGTCAGAACACACACAACACTTAGGGATTAAGTTCCCCAACATCTCATTGTGTCTTACATGGGCATGGTTTGCAGTGTCCCCAAACAAGTAACAACAGTAACACCAAAAATCACTGATCAGAGATCATCATAATAGATATAATGAGAAAATTTGAAATATTGTAAGAATTACCAAAATGTGACACAGAGACACACAGTGAGCACATGCTATTGGAAAAATGGTGCAGATAGACATGCTCAAAGCAAGATGGCCTCAAACCTTCAATTTTTTTAAAAAAGCAATATCTGCAAATCACAGTAAAGTGAAGCACAATACAATTAAATGTCCTGGTGGCTTTTTAAAAATGTAAATGCTGTATTTTCAGGACTCTATAAGTATAGCAGGACTGATGTTTCTTAAAAGCTTGCAATTGTCTTATTGGAAAAGAATTTCCAAGATTCTCTTGTCTTTGGGGAATTTTTAATAGTATGTACCTTCATCAGATATTTACCCCTGAGGACTAGCTTTTTCTTTTTAACTGAAAGTAAGTGATTCACAAAATCTCCTAAATGAGATGGACTTAAATATTCAGCATTTCCAACACTCTGAATCATCTCTACAAAATTCTAACCAAGTTGTGATACAGCCTCCATGCAAATGGATCTAGAGACAGACGCTTACTGCCTTCAAAACACTGACTCAAGAAGCAGGACGTTTTCCATATTTTAAATTAAAATATCATTCTATAGCTTTCACACAATGGAACTGTCTCAGTCTAGTCCCTCTTCCATAGGACAAGTTATCTGGAACTCTCACCTTGCTCAACTTCACCCCATTCCCATCCCACCACCATACCCCACTCTTCTCTAGACTACATATTCAAATTCCTTGGCTTAGCTTTTCTTTCAGTCAGCTGATGGGTTTCTCCCTCTTGGTTTAAGACCTCAGTGCATTCACTTTCCCCATCCTGAAAGGCTACCTCATCCTTTACTTGGTTAACTGTTACCAGTCCCTCAGGGCTCAGTTTGTCATATCGTCAGAGAAGCAGTCTCATGTACTGCCCAAGGGGCCCCCAATATACTCTATTAAAAGCACAGTGTACATTTTTTATTATTCCTGTGGTCTGTAATTCTATATCTGTGTGACTGCTAGATGAATGCTTGTGTCCACGTATTTGTCAAATTGAGCTGCTATAACAAAAAACCATAACTGGGTAGCTAGAACAACAGATATTTATTTGTCACAGTTCTGGAGGTTGGGAGGCCAAGATCAAAGTCAGGAAAATTCACTATTTGGTGAGAGTCCACTTCCTAGCTTGCAGAAAGCCACCATCTCATTGTGTCCTCACATGGCAAAGAGAGAAATATCTGGGGTATTTTTTTCCTTCTTATAATAAGGGAACTCATGAAAGCTAATAATAAGGCCTCTTTATGGGAGCTCCATCTTCATGAGCTCAATTAAACCTAATTAATTATCAAAAAGCCCACCTCCTAATACCATCACATTGAATGTTAGGGCTTCCAAGTATGAATTTGGGAAGGTAAACAAAACATTCAGCCCATGACAGTCCCCTGCTAGACTCTTCTCTACAGAACAGAGAACTCTGTATCTCCAGCACTGGCACAGTGCTTAGTACATAATAGACACTCAATAGTTGTTGAATGAATGAAAGAATTCCTTATATGTTGTTTGATCATCTTAATATCCTAAGGGTCCCTTCTCCTTAAAAGAGAATTTCCTAGGATATTTTTGATCAGTAGCATTAGAATGAGCCTGTCACATCCTGTATTTAGATATAATGATTGCATAGTAGCCCAAGATCTCATTAGCATTTTGGTGTTTACAACCCCTTGTATCACCCTGCTGACATACAGAGGGACTTTTCTTCCAGTGGTAGTATAGGATCTTCACCTTTACACCTGCAACTAAAAGCAGAAGGGTCAGACTGCAACTAAAAGCAGGAGGGTCTTGTGCATATGAAAAATGTTGCCCAAATTTTTCCAGGGCAATAGGGAATTAATTTTAGTCCCTTGTCAAGGTTTTGGTCCAGATCTTTAGTAAGATTACTTGAACTCCAACAGGGTAAAACAGGTTCCTAGTTTTACAGAAGGTTTGACTACCAGATAGGATAACTAACAGAAACTGTTGTGGTACAAACTAGCCAATGCTCAGGTTTAAAAGTTAGCTCAATCCAGGATGAGTAAAAACCATAATTTAGTGTCTACACGAACATCTAGGTGCCATCCTGTTTTGTGTGAGACCTACCGTCTGGCTGGAAGCAAATAAGACTCTAGGTAGGAGGTAAAAAGAGGTTCAAGGACGTGAAGACCCAGAAGCATTGCTGGTGCCACCGTACTCCAGTTCAAGTAAGGATAATTAGGTGAACTTATAACTCACATTAGAGAGTAAAAGGATGGGTTATTAATAATTAACATAATAATTAATGTCAAATGTAACCTGGAACTGTCTTTGGAAAACCAGGCTCTATGGTTGTCCTAGTGATGGCATAATTCTTAGTCCCATTAGTCTCTGACACTGTTTAACTGTTTCCTGTGTTCTTTTTTTATCATCTGTAAAAAGTGAGCTGATACTGTTTATCTTATGAATAATGCCTAACAAACTACCTGACACACTGTTAATGCTCAAAGTTAATCATAGTAGTTACCTTCCTTCATTCTCCTCTAACATCCCCAGTACTGGCTCAGAAATTGAAAGATTGCTCCTGAATAATGGAGGGTAGAGGAGGCATCAGCAGACCCAGAACAGTGTTGGTAGAGACGGAGGAAACTGGGTCTTCCAGCTTGGAGCCATATTTTTTAGCTTAGGTGTGTGTGGGTTGTGATGTTGGCTTTCTAACCTTCATAAAACCATAGAAGGTAAGAAACTGCCATTCACCTACTCATGTACCAGTACCAACCAGAAAGGGTTAGTGTTGCAGTAATTTTTAGCAGGAGATATTTTTGACAATTAACACCAAAGGTCAAAAATAATTAATGTTATAGCAATTTGATTTATGGGTCAAATATTTAGGGAAACCTGTTAAGGAAAAAGAGAAAAAAAGAAGACATGATCAGTCAGCCCTTAGATGTAGAAGCCCAGGACCCATTAAAATGAAACATTGCAAAGCCATAGCACTCAGTCCTCCCAAACCCACACTTTATTTTCTTGGTTTATATATTCAGAATGTTTATGATTTTTTATTCTCTGATCACCTTTTTTTTCCAAACATTTGGGTCTCAAAAGTAAGTTTCCAGGGAAGGAAAACAACACACAAAATGGATAGTGGCTGTTTTTTTTTTCCTTTGAAAGCTTTCACATAGATTACCATCTCAAAAACAGTGACATGCTAAGAATGCAGAAATCAGATGAAAAATGAGCCAATGGGCAACAAAAAGTAGCTGTGAGAAATGAGGTTTATTAGCATCTTCCCGGGGGATGTCAGAGAATAAGGGAAGCTTTCAGGACTTTCTTCCAACTCTTCCTTACTATTGTTCATGAGATGGAGCTGATAGTAAGGCCCTGTGGGGATCAAGAATGTTAGTGATCAGAAAACTAAATTCACTGTTTCACTGCTCTAAATAAAAGTGGATGGACTTCTGCCTCAGCTCAGCTTCGAGAAGGTGGAAGAGGAGCGGGAACACTGGAAAACTGTTTCTCCTTTTTCTCTCCTCCGGCCCTCATGGTGAGAGGTGAGATATCTTGATGAAAAAGAGGATCCAGGTTTGCTGGGCTTCATCTCGGCTCTGCCAGTTACTAGTTATGTGACCTTGGGGATATTATTTCACCTCTCTAAATCTCATTTTTCTTATCTATATAGTGGGGGCAATTCAAATGCATGAGATTTTTGAGAACTTTAGATTTAATGTACTTACATTTTATAGAACAATGTTGGGCACAGAGTAAGTATTCTGTGAGTGTGGTCTTTTATTTTCCTTTATTGTCAGTAAAATACTCTCTTATCCTCACTTTAGATGCATCAAGAACCCCATATACTTTCTCATACGATTCAATGAGTCCTATAATTGATTAGTCAGTAAGGTGAGGCTTAGTTAACCTATCAGGTGGTCCTGAAAAACTTGAGCTAAAATAACATTCATGGACCGTTTCCTGCCCTTCACCCAATCCTCCCAGAATCAGATGTGCTTTATCTGATTGCTAGAAGGGGTAATGAAACCAAGCATGCTCAGTTCTTTCTCTGCTCATTCTGCAATCTGTCTGTGCAGATAGATGGCATTCTAGTCTGCTTTCTAATATCCAGTAAGGTTACTAGACAGGGTCTGTCTTTAGCAAGTAAGGAGATGAGATACAGGTATCCAGTTGAGTCACAGTGGGTGGGGTAATCTATTTACTAATGCATCAGTGAAATATCAGCAACTCATTTAGCCACATATCTAAGCAATATTCTCCACATGTCTTATACTTCTTTCTGAACTTGAAGGTAAAGAAGGGGAAATTAATTGGCTTTGTATCCTCCAAAAATTATCTGGCTGGATACATCAAGTGAAAGCTCCCTCAAAATAGGCAGTTGCTTTTTTTTTGAGATGGAGTCTCACTCTATTGCCCAGGCTGGAGTGTGATTCTCCTGCCTCAGCCTTCCAAGTAGCCGGGACTATAGGTGCCGATCACCATGCCCGGCTCATTTTTGTATTTTCAGTAGAGACAGGGGTTTCACCATGTTGGCCAGGCTGGTCTCGAACTCCTGACCTCAGGTGATCCGCCTGCCTCGGCCTCCCAAAGTGCTGGGATTACAGGCGTGAGCCAGTGCACCCGGCTGGCATCTCTTTTATTAGTTTTGAAAATTAGATTTTAGAGGATCGATATTACATATACTTGGTCTTCTTTGTTTTAACATTTCTTTTCTTTTCTTTTTCTTTTTTTTTTTTTTTTTACTTCGGTGCCAACTGCTGTACTTTAAGTGTGATTGTCTATTGCAACCTGTCTAATGAAGATAGACAAATGGTAGTCATGCACTCTCTGCCTTTCCCTGACCCAGATTTTGATAGTTTTCTTACCCAAAAACCTCTCAGGTTTCACTTACTGCTGTGATTCATTGCTCTGGTTTGCTCATTTATCATTTTCTCCATCACTGCTACTATCTAGCCTCTATTCTTACCCCAAAGCTTATGGCAAACTCTATAAAATGAAGCACATTGTATATGGAGAGGGAACTTTAAAGGTATTCCTTAACAGTGTCATTTTCCCTGGTATTTTGAGGGTATTTGATTAATTCCATTGTTGTTCCAATATTTTTATTTTATCCAGTCTTTGCAACTTTTTTCATTTGTGTACCTTTTGCAGTGCCTGCATTGCAAACTATTGATATCACAGTCCTGTCATAAACATTTCTGTATTACCTGCATGGCTTAGACTAGTGCCTAGCAAATTATAGTTATTTAATATGACTGTCTTTGACCAACACGTAATTCTAGAAGAACCCTTCCAGGTTTTCCTGGTATCAGTTTCCATCATTCTGACTCTGTTGGCTCTGTTTGTCTACCAATGCCTTTGGATTCCTGAGAGGTAGAACAGACAGAAAATCCAAACCAGAGGCATGTTCTTCTGATGACAAGAGTACTACCATAAATCTTATGTTCAACGCTGGTGAGATAAATGAATTATTGGTGGAAACTCAACCATCTCTGTTTAAGAAATTCTCAGTCCCTGGGAGATGGTGTCAAAATTATCTTGGAAGTGGGGTGGGTGGGAGTCATTAGTTTTCTAAAATCATGAACTTGAGTGTTAATTAAACAGTTGGTAAAATCGAAGTTAAGTAGTCAGTGTCACTTCTTCCCACAACCCCATCTACTCCATGTTAGAGAGTTGGAATTACTGAGGGAGGGGATGTATACCTCAGGCATGAGCAAGTAGGCAAAAAGACCCTTCCCAAGTAAACGATGCATTTATGGCATCTCACTCCTTTTCAAAAGAACAGGGAAGAGAGAAAATGCTTCAATCCAATATTTATTTTTCATCTCTTCACTTCGGGCCACTACATACGGTCTTGTGGGTTATTCCCAGAGTGGCAAGTTTGGGTTCCACTCTCCAAGTCATTTGTCCATAGTATAGCAACTCCACATCATGAAAGATGGTACTTTTCACAAATTTGAATACAAGTATTCTATGTGTAGCTGTATTACTACCCTCACCCTTCCAACCAAAGATTTTATCCATAAACCTAGAAAGTAGGACATTTGGAGACCTGCATGATAAAATTATTACACCAGAGCCCTTCCCAAGGTTAGGCTTGATGGGTCAATGTTGAGGGGATGGGTAGACAAAGGGGAAGGTGATCAATTGCAGTTAAAGAAGATTTTGGCTGGAAAATCTAGTCTGGATTACACAAAGATGGGGAAACTCATTAATTGGTGGAACATGTCAGAATAAGTTATTCATCCATACAATCCAAACAGACTTTTCATCTGTAATTCATGATTTTGGCTTTAATTTGATGCTCCATTTTGGAGGATTTGCTCAAATCAGCAGTTAATTGAATTGATTCACAAGTGAAAAGCTTGCATGACTAGCTCTTGTTTATGTTTCATTACAAGCATTCACCAACACTCCCATAACAATCAAAAAAGACCCCTTCCCACAAACTAAAAATCTCTTATTTCTCAGATTGCTTTTGTGTTGTTGCTTTGGTTTTTATTTTAGGCTGCTTGAGATTTTTTTTTAATTTGGACACAGTATTAATAGAATTCATCATTTTTGTCTGCTAACTTAACTCTACCAGGAGGCATCATCTGGCAATTGTCCCTTGTGCATCTAATTGCTTAATTAACATTCAAATACAAGGATTTAGGAAAGGGTTGGTATTATTTTAACTTCTGAGTTAGTTAATTGCCACCATAACACCTTTAAAGCTGTCACACAGCATCTATAAAGAGATTCTTGGGAGACGGATCTAGCTTGAGGTAAAATAAAAAATCACAGATTTAAAAATATATGTGAATACTAACTCAGAAATGAGTACTTTTCTTCTAGAAAAATGATATTTAGGCATGAAATTTATAAATCAGTACTCTTTATTCAATCCAATTGATGAATAGTTCTTAAAAAGTATCTATGTATTCTAAAATGATTTTATGTTGTTTCAATCAGTATTTACAAAAGAAGATGGTTAAGTGCCAGTATACTTAATTCATTTATAAATTGCAGAGGACCCATTAATAATGAGTTGATTTGACAAAAAGATGGCACAAGCAGATTCAGTGATACGTATTTGGAATATATACTCCATAAACAAGTGTAACTTCTTTGATCCATGTAAAACATATTGCCTGAAAAATACTGTTTCCTAAAAATAAATACAGTAGGCACTATAGAAATAATTATTCACAATGTAACATTTTACATTTTGCAAAATGGAAAGCAGAGATGATAGGGTATGGAATTTCTTAAACAAATTCAAATCTGAGAAAAATGAGTTGTTGGAAAAAAAGCTCAAGATTACAATGGATAGATAGATTAAAAGTACAAATACAAGACTCATGAAGGCAGAAATATTAAAAAGGAATGTGTAAATAACATTAACAAATAAATAACAAAGAAATACAGATGGAAACACAGAGCAATGTTCTTTACATCTACATCCATCAATTTACCAATTAAAAATAGTAATATTTAATGCCACAAAATTGTGGAAAAATTTGTACATCCACCACTTGTCACAGAATAAATTGATATAACACATTAAAAAATAATTTGGTGATCAATATCTATCAAAACCATAAAATATATAAAGAAAGAAACTGTAAGACACATTAACATCTAAAAATAGGGAAGCTACTCAATGATTTCCATTTGTCAGCCAATACATATAGAGTAACAATATTAATAATATTTCTGATATTAGTTGAACTATGGAATATGAAATTATATTTGTGCCAACTATAAGGAAAATATGCACATGACAAAAGAGCATAGAAATATAAAAATTATTGCTGTCTTGGGGTGGTAGAATTACAGGTGGCAGCTTACTAGTAGAGGAGAAGGAAACAGATGTAGGCTGAAGTGATGGTTTTTGTTAGCTGTGTTACTGTATAAAATTATATAGCCTCTCTGAATCTCAATCTGGTTTTTTTTGCAAAATGATACTAAACCTACCTTATAACTTTGTTTCGGTGTTATATGACATAATGCAGGTACAGTGTTTAAAGGAGTCTCAGAAAACAAAAACCTATAATACTATGTCATTCTTGGCAGTCTTGGTATCAAGCAATATATGAAAGAAGTTGAATAATAACATTCTTATACCAGGATAAGAATCACAGGTAGAGTGATGACAGGGGCTGAGTGATAATGTAGATAGCTTGCCTATCCCAGGAAGGGCCTCTGATAAGATAGCAGAATTTTAGTAAAATATTGAAGAAGGCAAGAGAGAGCTCTGTAGATATCAAGGAAAACATTTTCCAGGTAAAAGAAAGAGCAAATACAAGTACTTTGAAGTTGAAATTTGCTTGCCTTTTGTTGACAATCACCTATATGACATAATAGCATCAATTTCTGTTTAATATTTTTCGTTACCATCTCCTGGGTGCCAGGTACTGGTTGAGTATAGACATAAAATACCCTTCCCCTTAATGGGCTCAAATTATAGAACTGAAAATATGTAAATTTTAATCAATGCATTACAAATGCCACAAATGTCAATGGCTAAAACTGATATTTAGCTACCATTATAGTTCATGCATCAGTGAGTCCACTGAGAGTTGGCTGGTCACTTGGCTGATCTTGGCTGACTTGTTCATGCTTCTGCCAATTAGCTGGGGGCATTCTATCGGTTGGGCATAACTTAGTAAGGCAGCTGTGCTCCACATTTCTCTCATATTTTTCCTGGGACCAGTTGGTATGCTCTTGTCATAGCCTTGAAATAAATGAAAGAAGACTAACAGTTTTTTTTAAGTCTCCAGGGTCTGAGAAGAACCCTGAAAATGAGTCCTCCCTTATAGTTTTCACCCTAGGTACTTCACTTGATGCTCTATAGTCCTGGCCTGCAATTCTTCACTTACACCAAGTCTGCCAACATCCCACTAGCCAAAGCAAGTCACATGGCCAAGCCTGAGGGTAGGAGTTAGGGAAAGAGCACTACAAAGTCACATGGCAAAGAGTATGAATAGAGGGAGAGACTAAGAAATGAGACTATTTAAAGCAATCTAGAAACAATTCATCATAATTTATTTCATCATAGCAAATATATAATCGAATGCTTTCCAAAGCATGGTATTCTTTACACTAGTGGTATGAGAAATGATTTTTGATAGTATTTCAAATAATAAACATTATTTATAATTTACAGTCATAAACAGTATATATTTATGTTCATTTGTTGAATAATACAATAAGTGGCCTGAGCTTATAATTTTATGAGTATTACTCCATAAGATGAAGTCGAATTAAGTAAAACAGAAAGTTGATTTATTGAAAAATACGTAGTTAATAGTGGTAAAAGTGTATGAGCGTATAGGGAAAAAACTCAATAGACACATAGAAGAATGAAGTGTAGAAGACATTGCTGGTTGGTATATGAACCAACCAAGAGCTTAGCAATGAGGAATATGGAGAAAAGGGAAGATTACGGGGGTGGGGGGTGACATTAGAGCAACATCTTGAACAAGTTGAGGTTTATAAACCAGGGACGGGGAGGAAGTATCTTCCAGATTGAGAAAGCAGCATGTTCAAAGTCCAAAGATATAGAAGTACATGGCACATAATATAATAATAGATCCCATTGATCAGATGCTTATTGCACCAGGCATTAGGCTAGAATCCTTCTGCACAGTATCTCACCCCTGGGTGATTAGAGAGCCTCAACTCTTTCCCTTATTTAATAGGCAGGGTTTTGTATGCAACAGGTCCACAGCAAATATCTGTTGGCTGAAAAAATTACTCATGAACTATTTGGGAAATTTATATAATATCTTAATCCAAAGCCCAAGACTCTCAAAATCAATTCTCATTTTCAATATTCCTACTCCTTGGAAGGAGCAATTTTATGTTTTTTGGGTTGCCTCAATTTGTTTTTCAGAGTGAACTCTTTGATTCCCAAATGGCTGACGTCACCCAGGGCTATCAGAGTTGAATGCACACAGACAAAACAAGAGCACATTCACAAACTGAGAGAAATATTTATAAACGAAAAGACTAGAAACCATCTTCAGAGAAATAAATGAAAACCCTTCCTCTCTTTAAGCCTGAGCCTGAGGAACAGCTACCATCTGCCTCTCTTGGCCCGGGAGCCTGTGTTTGAATTATGCTGCTGAGTTCCCTCACAGAAACAAGTCAAAACAAGGTTTTCAAGGCAATTGCTCTTTTAAGTATAGTTTTATTTAGTTTGGCTGTGCTATATGTATTTTACGCATTATTTGGAGTTCCAAGACTGCTCCCTCTTCAGTGTTTTCCATAGATATAAATAGCATCACCAGTTATCCAATTCCTCAGGACATAAACCTTGGAGTCACTCTTGACTTCTCCTGCTTTTATGGTCTACATCCAATATAGCTGTAAGCTCATCCTACAAGTTATACCCCCAAATTCTCCTCACTTCTGCTGCTGCAGCTTTCTCCAAGCCATTATCACTTTCTTAGGGTTCCTTGCTTCTACTCTTGCCATCTTGCAATGTGGTTTATTCTCTACATTGCAGCTACAAGAATTCTTATAAAATATAAATGGGATCATGTTACTACTTTTCCCAAAACTCTCCAATGGCTTCCACTGTGGTTAGAATAGCATCAATGTCTCTCCATGACTCAAAAAACAAAATGATATAGCTATGCCAAAGCGAGCCAAGGACAAAAGCTCCCAATGGGTAAAGCTGGAGCAAAGTGACCACCACCATAAGTAATGTAGTATTGTATTATATCCCAAAAGATAAAGTCAATATCCACGAGTCCATGATGATATAAATACACAACTGAACAAACATATAAATGGAAGATAATAGGCAAAACTTTCATGTGGAACAATTCCAAAT
The DNA here is from genome assembly GCF_000001405.40 of Homo sapiens. Lineage (NCBI taxonomy): Eukaryota > Metazoa > Chordata > Mammalia > Primates > Hominidae > Homo > Homo sapiens. Next base: position 22,542,722 of record NC_000011.10, on the reverse strand, counting down.
AGGTTTTATTAGATACCCTTCCTTCAAGGAGATGAAACACAACACCCTGCCCCTTGAATGTGGGATGCTGATAGTAATGCCCTTGTAAACAGTATGGTATGAAAATGAGGAAAAATTACTTTACAGTCATTTGACAACAACTGTCTCAGTCAGGTGACCAAGGATAGACGTCAGTGATCAGGCATGTTAATAACAGGTATTCCCAATACAATGTGATGAGAAGAGCACTTTACCTCTGTAGTCTTCCTGTCAAGAACGCGCAAACCATTCTGAACACGCACAAATTGAGGGACAATTTATCAAATATCTGACCAGTACTTTTCAAAACTCTTAAAAATTATCAGAAACAGGGAAAGGCTAAGAAACTGTCAACACCAAGAGAAGCCCAAGGAGATATGATGACTAAATGTAGTGTGGCTTCTTGAATAAAATCCAGGGACAGAAAAATGATTGTTATGTAAAAGCTAAGAAAATATGAATACAATATGGACTATAGTTAGTTATAATGTATTAACATTGGTACCCTGGTTGTGACAAATGTACCAGACCAGTATAAGATTAATAATAAGAGAAACTGGGCCTGGGGTATGGGAAAATTATCTGTATTATCTTTGCAACTTTTCTGTAACTCTAAAGTTATTTTAAAAAATTTAATTGAAAAAAATCACTTCCTGGCCCACAAGGCATTGCATGATCTGTACCCTGGCTTCATCTCTATATTTTACCTCCTTACTCGCTTCAGCTACAGTGACATTCTTGTTATTCCTTGGGCCCATCCAAGCATTCTTCTACTCAGGGCCTTGGCTCTATCTGTTTCCTTTGCCTGGGATGCCCTTTCCCCCAGATATTCACACAGCTCTCTCACTTTATTCAGGTCTTGGCTTAAATGTCACTGCTTCAGAGAGCACTTACATGGCCATCTGATAAAAAATTGCATCATCTGTCATTCTCTATCCTGCTTTTTCTTCACCACAATGAATTTGGTATATTCATATATTTCATATTCATTTTTTACTCATTTTTTCTTTCACTGTAATATAAATTTCAGTAAGATGGAAGCTTATTTGTTTTGTTCATGATTGTATTTTCTGTTCCTGAGAGAATGCCAGGCATATAATACATGCTCAATAAAATATTTGTTAAATAAGTGACTGCATGAATTTAAAGATTTCCAACAAAGTTGCATCATGACACTTCCAAAAGCCAGATGCTTTTAAATTTAAAAAAGCTTCAACCCTTGGAAGTCCATTATATCTGTCAAGAATGTCACATCCATTGTTTTATTTGATTCTATGCATGATGGTTCTGTTTGATAAATAGGGCAAGTGGGAATAGGGATGTTCCATTACTTGCTTCAGACCATGTGGTGAGTTTGTTACAGAGTGTTCATCTCAGTTCTCAGATTCTTAAATCTGGGGTCTTTCTACTGGAACGCATATTGGTAGTGTTTTTCTCCTTCTCCCTTTTTACATACACACGCACATTTTAATTTATGAAACAATTTGGACACTGAAGTGTCTGAGTAAATTTTTACTTCTCCCTTGGTGTAGCACAAGTGAGAAGATCATTCTGGTCCCTGCTTAGAAGGAAGAAAATAAGTGTGAAATCAGCTCTTGTTGGTGTGACACCTGGTTTCCAAGGAGAAAAAGGCTCTGAAGAGCTCTAAACTCCTTCCTAACTAGCTTTTGGGACTTAACTGGAGCCTTCAGTGGGATTTGGACCAGTGGATATAATCCATCATTATCATGAGTCTCTAACGTCACAGGTCAGGTTTTTCATGAATTTGTTCACTTGCCGCGTATTTCCAAATGCCCATTAGGCACCAGGTGCTGTGCTGGGTGATGTGGAAGTGACAGAGATGACCGGGGCACAGCTGGGTCTCCCAGAAATATACAATCCAAACAATCTATTGAGATACAAATTACAAGAAAAAAGATTAACAGTGACAAGAAAATAGAAGAACAGACACCAAAAGGAAGATTTTGTGAGCCAGGGAATGAATGATCAGAGCCCTGGGAGTTAGCTGTGGAATTAACTAACAGAGAGGAAAAGCCAAAGCTATGATAACGAGGCAGAATGCAATTTTAAAAACACCTAAAACTGACATTGATCAATGTGTGTGCAAATATGTAATTTGCATTTATAAACTTCTTTTGTCTTATTCACATGCATGTACTATATATAGAACATGAGAGTTCTGTTGAAAATTATTTCTTACCATCATTATGGGAAGACAACAATGAACTCTGCTCCTGTGAAAAGTAAAATGACCATAAAATATAGGTAGCTTTCAGCTATACACACTGTATTTCTTTTTAAATTGAGGTGTTCTACCTATTAAAGGAATACAGTCATTCTCTTCCAGACATTTTCTGGGTAGAGAGGAACAAGGGGACAAGATCATCTGTGAATTCTACCATTTACCTGAAATATCCCACAGGTAATTTTTTAAATCCACAATTGGTGGTATATTGTCCAGAATAAGAATCACTACTGCTAATTCCAGTGCACCTCCCTGTCTTCCAGCCTATCTCCTTCTACCACTAGAGTGCACCAGAATATTTATTACCAGCATTGAGAGCCCAGTGACTGAGCTTCAACTATAGAGTCTCATCTTTTCTATTTGATAATTCTATCACATCAACATTCTCATGTCTGTGAGAGATTAGGCACAGTCCAGGACCCCTAGTTTATAGAAAAAAAATCCAGTTGGAATCAGACAAGGATGATGACTTCATTCAGTGGCCAAAATTGTAACTAGTCATTCTTTTTGGTGTGTATTTTGAGTTAAAAATTTGTACTGGATGTGGAGGAGAGAGTCTGCTTGGCAAGTGTAATAGAACAGCTTGAAATACACAAAATCCTGGAATGAAATTTGGCAAAACATCCTTTTAACACATCAGTGAACTAGTGATATACTTTACAAATTCCTGGAAAACTCTAGGGAATATGCAGCTTAAAAAATCCAAACTATTATAAATATATTTTAGTATTATGCAGTCTGCAAACATCATCTTAACACCTACTATATTCTTGGCACTGATGGGCTAGGTTTTAGGGTGGATTTGGCATTCTTGTTGAAGACTACAAAATACCCTGCTTCCAATAATATTTCTCCTATAGCAAATCCTCCCAAAATGCTTACCTTCTCCTTCAATTTTGTCATTTGAGCATCATTATCTTTGAGTTAAGTAATATTTCCAGGACACTTTTATTAAAAAGAAAGTTTTTAAGCAAGAAAGGTTACCCATAGAGTTATTAATGATGATGGTGATCTTGGCAGCTAATATTTATTTACGCTTAACACAAGTAAAAACTTTTTAAGTGCTTTGCTGTTTAGCTTATTTACATAAGGTCATTGCTATCATCATTATTATCACTTTACAGATGACAAGTCTGTAATTCAGATAGGTTAAATAACTTGCCCAAAATTACACAGCTAGTAAATTGCAAAACCAGATTAAAACTCAGAAAGTCTATATTTAAAACCATACTTTTAACCACTGTTCTATATAATAACAATTCCCAAACTTATACTTCCAGTATATACATTTTCTGTAAGTTGTAGACTTATGACTGTCAACTTGACATTTCCAGTTGGATGTCTCAAAGGCATCTCAATGATAATGTGTCAAAAATTGTTCCCTTTATTTCCACCACCATTTCCCAGAAGTTACACATGAGTACACCCCAAGACAAATATTCTCTCTCTCTCTCTCACACACACACACATACACACACCGTCATTTCAATTAAAGTTACCACAATCTACCCAGTATTAAAGTCAGAACCATGAGAAGCATGCCTGCTTCTGAATGGTCTCTTATTCTCATATCCAAAACACCTGCAGATTCTATTGGTTTTACATCCAAAATGTATACCAAATATGCCCACTATCTCCAACTTGATCCAAGCCACCAGCATCACCACTGAATTAGCATCCTATCTGGTCTCTGTGTTTTCTTTCCCTATCTCTCCATCACTACTAAATCCCTTTTTCTATTGAAATTATTGTGAACTTTCAGAAACCTGAGTCGGAAATGACACATTGTTAAAAAAAAACCTTCAAGAGTTTGTACTTAAATAAAAATTCTTTATTATGACTCAAATATTCTATGTCTTTTCTCCCTTCTCTCTCTCTGTCTCTCTCTCTCTCTCTCTCTCTCTGTCTCTCTCTAATATCCTCTTAGGACCCACCAATCCCTTACTTACAATGTTCAAATGGGGGGTGATGATCTGCTTGTTCGTAGGGCATGCCAAGTTCATGATGGCACAGGGTGTCTATGTGCACTTATCCCTCTGGTTATGTTTGATTTTCCTACCTTTTCACATGATTGACTTTTTGTCCTTCAGGTTTTAGCTTAAACATTGGCTCCTCTTGGTCATCTTCCCTAACCACCCCATCTTAGATAGTCTATACTCATTATCCTTTATCCTAACACTTTGTTTCTGTATTTCATAGTACTGATCACAATCCATAACCATTTAGTTACTTGTTGTGTACTTATGTATTTATTTCTCTCATGTCAATGTACATTCCAGAGTATCAGGAACCTAATGTCTCTTCTTCATTGCATTCCTAGTGCCTAACCAAGAATATGGCTTCCAGGGGACATTCAACAAATAGCTACTGAATAGTCTATCTACAAGAAAAACATGTAAAAATGAAGGACATGAAAAAGCTAAAATGTAAAGGATAGTAAAAGATGTACCAGGCAAAGACAAATCAAAAGAGCTGAAGTTACTTTTATCAGCAGGCAACGAAACCAAAAACAAAACACACTCATCTTTAAGAGAAAAAAATATATAAAATGCACTATATTAACTGGTTAAAAATATATACTCTACTACATAAACTGATTCAACCTACACCTTACTTAAAAGATAAAACATGATCATTTCAAAAGATGAAGTAAAAGCATTTGAAAAAATTCAAAGCTCATTTATGATAAACACAGCAAACTAGGAATAGAAGGCAGTGTTCTTTATTTTTTTTTTAATTTTATTATTATTATACTTTAAGTTTTAGGGTACATGTGCACAACGTGAAGGTTTGTTACATATGTATACATGTGCCATGTTGGTGTGCTGCACCCATTAACTCGTCATTTAGCATTAGGTTTATCTCCTAATGCTATCCCTCCCCCATCATCCCACCCCACGACAGGCCCCAGTGTGTGATGTTCCCCTTCCTGTGTCCATGTGTTCTCATTGTTCAATTCCCACCTATGAGTGAGAACTTGCGGCGTTTCGTTTTTTGTCCTTGTGATAGTTTGCTGAGAATGATGGTTTCCAGTGTTCTTTATTTGATGAAAGGTAGCTTCAATATGTTTTCAACAAGCCTCATGTTTAATAACGTAATGTTATAAGCTTTCTTTTAAAATTAATATACAAACAAGTTTAACCACCATCACTCTATTCAAATAACAATAATTTAAAAAATAGATATATTAATATTTGGAAATAAAAAAGCATGTCATTGGTGACAAATATACATGTTTACATAAGTAAAAAGATTTTCCATTGGAACATTAGAATTTATAAATTTAGGAAGCTGTGTGCTTATTAAATTAATACATAAAAATAAGCTGCATTTCTTTACAAAGGATGGGTACAGTTCTTTAGAGCTTTTAAAATGTGAGCTAATCTATTAAAATGCTATTCTTTTCCCTTTTTACACAACTAACTAAAAATCAGAGGGCCACTACAGTCCTCGAGTTGTCCTCATCTAAGTCAAAGGGAAAGTTTTGGATTACAGGGTCATTAATTTCTGTTAAGGAAAGAACTAATGTAAAGAAGAACAATTATATTTCCTAGAGATGGATGTGTTCTGCAGAAGGAAAATGAGAACCTAATGACATTACATTTAATTTCTCTGCCTTTTCTTACTCTACAAATAACCAAGATTTGAAATATTAATACTTTCCCTGATTATAAGACTCACATAAGACTTTATGAAGGCAGGAAAACTAAATAAAAGTAATGCACAGAATAAGTCCCTGAAAAGCAAAGGTAACATTTGTTTTGAAATTTTCCAACACAAATCTTTCACCCAGATTTTCAACCTGAAATAATTTTGGAAATAATTTGGAAACATTTTGGATTACATTCAAAATACAATCATTCCCTCCCAGAATGGATTTTTAAGGTATGTAAGAATCCCCAATGAAATATTTATCAACATTCCTTTGGTATAACAGCATTTTGTAATGGGGTTTAACCACAACAAATTCCATATATTATTTGTTGTCTGTTTCATTTTAAATTATTTTCTATCAAATAAATTTTCCTAATTACAACTATGGATAACAGTGTTTTCTTCACCACTTATTCATCCAGTAAGCTTTCCTTGAATCCCTGGTATGTGCCAAGTACCTATATTGGTAACAAGACCCAATTTCTACTTTCAAAGTCTTGACAGTCTAACGGATGATCAGACAAATAAACAGATTATTGTAATATGTAATGGTTAATTCTATGAAGGGCTAAGACCAGAAAAGCCAGAAAAATGTATGAGTCACTTCCCCACAATAGAGAAGTAGTCAAGGAAGGCTTTCTAGAAGAGGTAAGGATTGAATTTAAGCTGAAAGATTAGCTGAGCTACCTAGGCAGAGAGAAGGCAGCAACTGTGATAGAACACTGTTGAGGAGGTGTTTTTAGTGCCATAATGAAGACAGGGAGTAGAAGAAGAGTGATAGCAAAAGACAAAGATAAAGATGTAGACAGAGTAAAGATTACAGAGGGTTTGTATGCCATAATTCATCCAGAGTAAAACATTTTTGTGGATCCACTGAAAGATTTTAAGTTGGAAGGATCATCCCCTAGAGGCTTTAGAAAGAGCACGGCCAAGCCAACACTTTGATTTTATACTTCTAGCATTCAGAACTGTGACACAATGAATTTCTGTTGTTCTAAGCCACCAGGTTTGTGATTATTTTTTATGGCTGCCCTAGGAAACCAGTATGGAAGCTATCACAGTGCTACAGACTGAATTGTGCCTCTGTTCCCTGTCAGATTGATATGTTGAAGTCCTAGCCTACAATACCTCAGAATATGACTATATTAGAAGGTAGAGTCTTTAAAGGGGTTGAAATGAGGCTGTTAGGGTGAGCCCCAACCTAATCTGACGTATATAAGAAGAGGAAACTAGGACACAAGAGGAGACATCAGGACCGTGCGTGCATGGAAGAAAGACCAGGTGAGGATGTGGCACGATGGCAGCCATTTGCAAGCCAAAGAGGGAAACCTCAGAAGAAACCAAACCTCGCTGACACCTTGGTCTTGGACTTCCAGTCTCCAAAACTGTGAAAAAAGATGCATTTCCATTGTTTAAGCCACCCAGTCTCTGGTATTTTTTTACAGCACCGTTAGCAAGCTAACACATACAGTAATACAAATACAAAGAACTAAAGCCTTGAAATAAGTTTGTGACTATGGGGATGGGGAGAAGTGCACAGGCTGGAGTTTAGTAACAAGAAGAATTGACATATTCTGTGTGATGAGTAGGAGAGTGAGGAAAAGGACCCTGATCTGGACACTGAGAGAGAAGAAGGAGCTGTAAGGAGGAAAGAGGAAGACATGGGTTTCACTATTAGACAGGCTGGGAGTGTGACGTGCTGTGGATGGGTGAAAATGGAGATGGAGGTTTGGACGTCAAGAGTGATCAGGTCTAAATTTATAGCTCTTAGAGTCATCATTATACAGTAAGTCTATGGAGTCACAGGAGATGATAGGATCACTTAGGAGAGCCCAGAGAGAAAGGAAAGAGAACTGAAGATCTAAGGAACACCAACATTAAGGGACAGGCCAAGGAGGAGGAAGCCACAGCAGTGGCAGTAGAGTGTTAAGGCAATTATGTGTCTTCCATGGGTAGAGAGGATCCATCAGATCTGGCAGTCAAGAGTCCACTGGCATCCTCTGCCAGAATATTTTTATTTGAGTGGTAGTGGCAAAAGGTAGACTTCAAAGATAGGTTGTGGGGCACATGAAACAAAAGGAGTAATATGTGTAGGTGACTCAGGATGGGAAACAGCATAAATGTTATGGTATCTTAGAATGTTCCCGCATCAAGGGATAATTTACTTTTTTAAGGTTGGAGACAATTAAGTTTGTTCAAATCTTGATAGAAAGGAGCCAGTAGAGATGAGGAAGAAAAGGAAGTATTTAGTATGTCTGAGCAAATGGAAAAGCATAGACATCAAGAACAGAATTGAAGAAATCAGTATTACATAGGAGGAGCAAAAACTAGTCCATTTGGGAGAACAATAATGGAAGTAAGATGGAGTGAGGAGAAGTAATTTGAGGGTAATATGAATAAACTGATGGATGAGGTTGCAGGAAATAGAGTTCCTAATTTTGTCGTGAAATAGAAGGGCATAGGTCATGGATAGAGTGAGGTGGAAGGTAGAGAAGCAAGACATTTGTGGAAAGCTGAAGGGTTTAAGTGGCTACTGTGATGAAAAAGATAAAGTACTGCCTAGGGGCAGATAGAAAGCTAACAGGGCAGTGTGGGGGACTGCTTATTTTCTGGGCTCAGACTCGTCCCCTGTGTAACAGATTCACCAGCAAGTCTCAATGGCTCGGGACTGGAAGCTGAGAAGACATCCTGTGCTGGGGAGTTACTCAATTCAAGTTAATAATTCAAGTATTTATTAAGCACGCAGATAATGACAGAGTATTAGGGCCTGATGATACTATACAAAGAAGAATACAGTATGGTCTTAGTCCTTAAAATTTTATTATCCCTGAAATATTTACTGGATAAACAGGGGGATTAAGTCAAGCACACATGTAACTTCAGAAAGTATAAAATACAAGGGTGCAACAAAGAAACCACACAGGACTATGAGGGTTAAAAAAAGGAGTTTGAAGATGTATTGAGAGCCCACTATATGACAAGCTCTAAGCCAGAAGTTTTGTATACAGAATGTAGTCCTTAGCACAATTCTGTGTGTTTGGTATGACTATCCCAATTTCACTGATGAAGAAACAGGCTCAGAAAGAAGCATAATTTAGAAGGAGAAGGAAATTATTCATAGGGTAATTGGTATGTAGAGAAGGCTTTAGAAGGTAAGAGAGGTTTGGCCAGATAAAGACGAAGGACTGACCTTATCAATTCCTGCATGCATTTGTGAAATGGCTTGATTTAATTCTGCTTGATTTAATTATCGGAATGAAGGATCAAGTTATTTTGCATTTGGGCCTTAAATACTAGCCTAAGGAATATGGTCTTTTATTTTTTAGGCACTGAGAAAGGATGCAAAGCCTTTTAAACAGACTGACTTCGTCAAAGTTAAGTGGCTTTGGATAACATGGATTGAAAAACACAAGAAATTGGACATGGTGGGACCACTTGAGAAGTCAATTTTGCTATCTAAGGGAGACAGGCCAAGAGAAATGAGACCAGGGTACAGTTCTCAGATTCCCATCTATCTAATTCTGCACTTTGGACACATCCCTTATCCTCTTTTAGTCCCAATTTTTTATTATAAAATTGAAGAGATTGGAAGAAATAACTTCTAAGGGCCCTTTCGAGGAATATAGTTTTATGATTCTGAGGTTCTGAACAAGAATGGTGGCAGTGGGAAGGGAAATTATAGGGAAGAATGGAACAAAATCTTTAGAGCTTTTGAAACCTTAAACACAATGTGAATACAAATAAAGTATCTTCCGCTTTAACTCCATACGCAACCTCCACCCCACTTAGGTCTGTTGATGTCTCCTCTTGCATCACAAACACACATGTATACACACACACACACATAGCCTCTTCTATTCAGAAAATGAGATGAAAATTTGCTATTCATTATTCATCTGGTTGACTGGTCTAGCTTTTTTTTTTTCTTTCTTTCTTTTTTTTTTTTTTTTTGAATCAGGGTCTCACTCTGTCACCCAGGTTGGAGTACAGTTGTGTGATCATAGGTCAATACAACCTCAAACTTGAGCTCAAGCAATCCTCCCACTTCAGCATAGAACCTGCCACTGCACCCGGCTATATATATTTTGTTGTTGTTTTTGTAGAGATTTGGTCTCACTTTGTTGCCCAGGCTGGTCTCGAACTCCTGCCTTCAAGCAAGCCTCCCACCTTGGTCTTCCAAAGTGCTGAGATTACAGGCATGAGCCATTGCACCTGGCAAGTTAAGCATGTAGTTCATACTTATTCTTTTACCTCAGATTCATCCATCCTCTTTTAGAAAGTTTTCTCACACTCAAGATATCCAAAGATGAATTTATAATTTCATCACCTTTGCCTTCTTTTAGCTGGTTTTCTCTTCTTCCAGGATTCCCCCTCTCTGTACAGACTACCATTCACCAAATGTTCAAGTCATTATGATTGCCTCCTTCTCCCTCATCCTCTCATCTGCCAATCACTTCTCCTTCATCCAATCCATCGCTAATCTCATAGAGTCTATCTCCTTGCATATTTCTTCCTCGGTCTTTCCCTCTTACTCCTCCCGGCAGAAGTACTCAACAGCTTACAGTGGGATCATTCCTGTTGTCAACTAATTCATTTTACTTATTCCATTGTAACTCATTATCTTCACTTTATTGCTGAAAATTTTCTTTTCTTTTGTTTTCTTCTTTCTTTTCCTTTTCTTCCTTTTCTTATTTTCTTTACTATTCTTTTTTTATTTCCTTTTTTTATTTCCTTTACTCTTTCTCTTTTTCTTTCCTTCTTTTAACTTTTCCCAGCTTTATTGAGGTATAATTTACAAATAAAATTATATATATTTAAGGTGTACAACATAATGTTTTGATGTACATATGCATTATAAAATGATTACCACAAATCAAGCTAATTAACATTTTCATCATCTCACTTAGCTACCTTTTTTGTGTGTGGCGTGAACACTTAAAATCTATTTGCTTGGCAAATTTCAAGTATACAATACAATATTATTAACCATAGTCACTCTGCTGTACATTTGATCTCCAAAATTTATTTATCCTGCTTAACTGAAACTTTGTACCCTTTGACCAAATGAAAATTTACTTCTGATAATCTTACTTTTCTACTTAAAACAGTTTAGATACTTGACTTAGAAGTTCATGCTCTTTCCACAATATATTTTGTAGGTTTTCATTTATATCCACTTCCTTCTTCATTTTTTCAAAAAAATATATTTAAGCAGGCTTTATTTTCTAGACAGAATATCTATCTGTCTGTCTATTATCTATCTATCTATCTATCTCTCAACTATATATATGTATGTCCCACAGAAAGACACATGTAAGAGTATCTGTAGAGGTATTATTTTAATATTCCAAACTGGATATATCCAAAATATCAATCAACCATAGACTGATTAAATAATTATTAAATAAACTGTGGTGTATTTTGATGGTGGAATACTGTAGATCAATGAAAATATTCGTACTACAGCTATATAAAGGTATAATACTTTGAAAAATTATTTTGATTTTAGAAACTTGTGGCATTATTACGGAAAATAGATGACTCTCACAAACATGTATTATTGAAGGGGAACACAGTAGACCCAAAATAGTATATATTATGATTTTATTTATATAGAGTCAAAATGTGGCAAAACTAGGAAAGTGGGATTGGGCTTTGGAGAAGGCACAAGTGATGATTTCTGGTGCTGGAAATGTATTTTTTCATCTAAGTGGTGGAAACACAGGTGTTAACACTTAGTGAAAAGTCATCAAGGCATACCCTTTTTAGTGTGTATGGTTATTTAATAAAAATTTGCAATTATGTAAAATATACAATAAAAAAGGAAAGGTTGAGAGCCAGGAGAAGTGACACATGCCTATAGCTCTAGCTACTTGAGAGCCTGAGGAGGAAGGATCACTTCAGGCCAGGAGTAGTTCAAGTCCTGCCTGGGCAACATAGAGAGACCCCATCTCTAACACAAATAAATAAATAAATAAATAAATGTTGACGAAATCGGGGGGTGGTAAGATAATGAAAGTAGAAAAGTAGAGAAAATGTCAGCATACAATGTGTATATGGTGAGATCTGCATCAGTGTCTGTACCTGACTCACAAGTTCATTCTGGGCTTCCTAGCACATCTTTCCTTACTTTCCCAAACTGCTCTAACCAACAATGTCCTCAATAACATCCCTTTGATACAGGATGTATCTACTATAATGTTCTACAGTGAAGGCTGTTGCCATCACAACCAGTGGCAGTGTAGTAAAAATAATTCAACGAGATGCTAAAACATGCTGTTTGGTCTTTTAGAATATTCAGAGTAATATAGATTACACGTCTTTCAGATAATCTTCTATGGATGTTAACTACTTTGATTGGACTTTCTCTAACAAATGAATGGCAACAGTTTGAGGTCACACTTTCCAGTAAAAGCCTATAGTGCAGATAATCTATGTTTCCAATTAAGAGCAAGTCTATAGATTTCCAATCATTCTAAAACAGGGTAAGGTTTACCCATAATAAGGAAAATGAAGGCACTTACCTGGCACATTTGGCTGACAAGTTGGCCACAGTGATTCTGAACAGAGGTTGCTCAAAGGAACCCATTGGGGCTTAGGTCCACATTTTGCTTAGGAAACAGATTTGGCTCTACTATAACATGGAAATAAATGGGTAGCCAAGGCTCAATGTTCTACTCTATTAAGAATCACTGGAAAATTTTTAAAGCAGATATTAGTAATCACTCACCAGAGCCATAAAGAACTCATCACAGGGCAACTTCCTGGTGATCTCACTGAGGTAAATTAATTGCAAAATATACTTCATTGATAGCTGCAAGATTTGACCTGATGAATAAAATGGTCGAAGGTGAGTCAAGTAAACAGTGGGAGACTTCTGCCATGAAAAATTATTTTGGTTTCAGAAACTTGTGATGTTATTACAGAAAATAGAGTATGTGATCAATGCCTTATCTGGCAGGCCTTAGTATGCCACTGCATAATCATGCCTTTATCAAAGAGAAAAATATTTATCATTATATTCTCAGTGGCAGAAAGGTATATGTCTATTTAATCAAGAAATATCAAGTCATTAATGTACAATTTCCAAAGGAGGAAAGTTAAAAATGAAACGTATTTCTAGTTTTTATGCTGCTTAAATTGTCATCAAAGTACTGTTACTCTCTGCGGCATTAGGATGCATTTTTAGATTAGGATTAAAAGTGAGTTTATACTGCTAATTCCATGTCCAAAGTCTCAATGGGCTTTTGTTCATATTTACCTATGAACTAATACAACAAACAAACAAACAAAAAAGCCAAGATCCAATAAAAGCAACTAGGTTGTATCTTTAAACAATTTTTACTCAGGTATTTAGTGTATGATATAGATAGAGTATAAATGTAATGGTTGACTTGATCATATCTTGAGAAATGCACTAAGTTAAACATTTGTCTTGGGTGATATAAATTCAGTTCAGTAACCCATATCAACCTGGTTATGCAAGGTTAAATCTTTAAATAATATTTAGCTCTCCCTCTCACCTTATTTTTCCTAAAATGCCTTTGCCTTGGGGTAGCATAGCATGGTGATTAAGAGTATGCTTTTTGACTCGGAGGAGCCAGGATGGCCGAATGGGAACAGCTCCGGTCTACAGCTCCCAGCGTGAGCGACGCAGAAGACGGGTGATTTCTGCATTTCCATCTGAGGTACCGGGTTCATCTCACTAGGGAGTGCCAGAGAGTGGGCGCAGGTCAGTGGGTGCGCGCACCCTGCGCGAGCCAAAGCAGGGGGAGCCATTGCCTCTCTCGGGAAGCGCAAGGGGTCAGGGAGTTCCCTTTCCTAATCAAAGAAAGGGGTGACTGAAGGCACCTGGAAAATCGGGTCACTCCCACCCGAATACTGCGCTTTTCCGATGGGCTTAAAAAACGGCGCACCACGAGATTATATCCCACACCTGGCTCGGAGGCTCTTACCCCACGGAGTCTCGCTGATTGCTGGCACAGCAGTCTGAGATCAAACTGCAAGGCGGCAGCGAGGCTGGGGGAGGGGCGCCCACCATTGCCCAGGCTTGCTTAGTTAAACAAAGCAGCCAGGAACCTGGAGCTGGGTGGAGCCCACCACAGCTCAAGGAGGCCTGCCTGCCTCTGTAGGCTCCACCTCTGGGGGCAGGGCAGAGACAAACAAAAAGACAGCAGTAACCTCTGCAGACTTAGATGTCCCTGTCTGACAGCTTTGAAGAGAGCAGTGGTTCTCCCAGTACACAGCTGGAGATCTGAGAACAGGCAGACTGCCTCCTCAAGTGGGTCCCTGACCCCTGACCCCCGAGCAGCCTAACTGGGAGGCACCCTCCAGCAGGGGCACACTGACACCTCACACTGCAGGGTACTCCAACAGACCTGCAGCTGAGGGTCCTGTCTGTTAGAAGGAAAACTAACAAACAGAAAGGACATCCACACCAAAAACCCATCTGTACATCACCATCATCAAAGACCAAAAGTAGATAAAACCACAAAGATGGGGAAAAAACAGAACAGAAAAACTGGAAACTCTAAAAATCAGAGCGCCTCTCCTCCTCCAAAGGAACGCAGCTCCTCACCAGCAACGGAACAAAGCTGGACGGAGAATGACTTTGACGAGCTGAGAGAAGAAGGCTTCAGACGATCAAATTATTCCGAGCTACGGGAGGACATTCAAACCAAAGGCAAAGAAGTTGAAAACTTTGAAAAAAATTTAGAAGAATGTATAACTAGAATAACCAATACAGAGAAGTGCTTAAAGGAGCTGATGGAGCTGAAAACCAAGGCTCGAGAACTACATGAAGAATGCAGAAGCCTCAGGAGCCGATGCGATCAACTGGAAGAAAGGGTATCAGCAATGGAAGATGAAATGAATGAAATGAAGTGAGAAGGAAAGTTTAGAGAAAAAAGAATAAAAAGACACGAGCAAAGCCTCCAAGAAATATGGGACTATGTGAAAAGACCAAATCTACGTCTGATTGGTGTACCTGAAAGTGATGGGGAGAATGGAACCAAGTTGGAAAACACTCTGCAGGATATTATCCAGGAGAATTTCCCCAATCTAGCAAGGCAGGCCAACGTTCAGATTCAGGAAATACAGAGAACGACACAAAGATACTCCTCGAGAAGAGCAACTCCAAGACACATAATTGTCAGATTCACCAAAGTTGAAATGAAGGAAAAAATGTTAAGGGCAGCCAGAGAGAAAGGTCGGGTTACCCTCAAAGGGAAGCCCATCAGACTAACAGCAGATCTCTCGGCAGAAACCCTACAAGCCAGAAGAGAGTGGGGGCCAATATTCAACATTCGTAAAGAAAAGAATTTTCAACCCAGAATTTCATATCCAGCCAAACTAAGCTTCATAAGTGAAGGAGAAATAAAATACTTTACAGACAAGCAAATGCTGAGAGATTTTGTCACCACCAGGCCTGCCCTAAAAGAGCTCCTGAAGAAAGCGCTAAACATGGAAAGGAACAACTTGTACCAGCCGCTGCAAAATCATGCCAAAGTGTAAAGACCATTGAGACTAGGAAGAAACTGCATCAACTAACCAGCAAAAGAACCAGCTAACATCATAATGACAGGATCAAATTCACACATAACACTATTAACTTTAAATGTAAATGGACTAAATGCTCCAATTAAAAGACACAGACTGGCAAATTGGATAAAGAGTCAAGACCCATCAGTGTGCTGTATTCAGGAAACCCATCTCACGTGCAGAGACACACATAGGCTCACAATAAAAGGATGGAGGAAGATCTACCAAGCAAATGGAAAACAAAAAAAGGCAGGGGTTGCAATCCTAGTCTCTGATAAAACAGACTTTAAACCAACAAAGATCAAAAGAGACAAGGCCATTACATAATGGTAAAGGGATCAATTCAACAAGAAGAGCTAACTATCCTAAATATACATGCACCCAATACAGGAGCACCCAGATTCATAAAGCAAGTCCTGAACGACCTACAAAGAGACTTAGACTCCCACACATTAATAATGGGAGACTTTAACACCCCACTGTCAACATTAGACAGATCAACAAGACAGAAAGTCAACAAGGATGCCCAGGAATTGAACTCATCTCTGCACCAAGCGGACCTAATAGACATCTACAGAACTCTCCACCCCAAATCAACAGAATATACATTTTTTTCAGCACCACACCACACCTATTCCAAAATTGACCACATACTTGGAAGTAAAGCTCTCCTCAGCAAATGTAAAAGAACAGAAATTATAACAAACTATCTCTCAGACCACAGTGCAATCAAACTAGAACTCAGGATTAAGAATCTCACTCGAAACCGCTCAACTACATGGAAACTGAACAACCTGCTCCTGAATGACTACTGGATACATAAAGAAATGAAGGCAGAAATAAAGATGTTCTTTGAAACCAACGAGAACAAAGACACAACATACCAGAATCTCTGGGACGCATTCAAAGCAGTGTGTAGAGGGAAACTTATAGCACTAAATGCCCACAAGAGAAAGCAGGAAAGATCCAAAATTGACACCCTGACATCACAATTAAAAGAACTAGAAAAGCAAGAGCAAACACATTCAAAAGCTAGCAGAAGACAAGAAATAACTAAAATCAGAGCAGAACTGAAGGAAATAGAGACACAAAAAACCCTTCAAAAAATTAATGAATCCAGGAGCTGGTTTTTTGAAAGGATCAACAAAATTGATAGACCGCTAGCAAGACTAATAAAGAAAAAAAGAATAATCAAATAGATGCAATAAAAAATGATAAAGGGGATATCACCACCCATCCCACAGAAATACAAACTACCATCAGAGAATACTACAAACACCTCTACGCAAATAAACTAGAATATCTAGAAGAAATAGATAAATTCCTTGACACATACACTCTCCCAAGACTAAACCAGGAAGAAGTTGAATCTCTGAATAGACCAATAACAGGCTCTGAAATTGTGGCAATAATCAATAGCTTACCAACCAAAAAGAGTCCAGGACCAGATGGATTCACAGCCGAATTCTACCAGAGGTACAAGGAGGAACTGGTACCTTTCCTTCTGAAACTATTCCAATCAATAGAAAAAGAGGGAATTCTCCCTAACTCATTTTATGAGGCCAGCATCATTCTGATACCACAACCGGGCAGAGACACAACCAAAAAAGAGAATTTTAGACCAATATCCTTGATGAACATTGATGCAAAAATCCTCAATAAAATACTGGCAAACCGAATCCAGCAGCACATCAAAAAGCTTATCCACCATGATCAAGTGGGCTTCATCCCTGAGATGCAAGGCTGGTTCAATATACACAAATCAATAAATGTAATCCAGCATATAAACAGAGCCAAAGACAAAAACCACATGATTATCTTAATAGATGCAGAAAACACCTTTGACAAAATTCAACAACCCTTCATGCTAAAAACTCTCAATAAATTAGGTATTGATGGGACATATTTCAAAATAATAAGAGCTATCTATGACAAACCCACAGCCAATATCATACTGAATGGGCAAAAACTGGAAGCATTCCCTTTGACAACTGGCACAAGACAGGGATGCCCTCTCTCACCACTCCTATTCAACATAGTGTTGGAAGTTCTGGCCAGGGCAATTAGGCAGGAGAAGGAAATAAAGGGTATTCAATTAGGAAAAGAGGAAGTCAAATTGTCCCTATTTGCAGATGACATGATTGTATATCTAGAAAACCCCATTGTCTCAGCCCAAAATCTCCTTAAGCTGATAAGCAACTTCAGCAAAGTCTCAGGATACAAAATCAATGTGAAAAAATCACAAGCATTCCTATACACCAACAACAGACAAACAGAGAGCCAAATCATGAGTGAACTCCCATTCACAATTGCTTCAAAGAGAATAAAATACCTAGGAATCCAACTTACATGGGATGTGAAGGACCTCTTCAAGGAGAACTACAAACCACTGCTCAATGAAATAAAAGAGGATACAAACAAATGGAAGAACATTCCATGCTCATGGGTAGGAAGAATCAATATCATGAAAATGGCCATACTGCCCAAGGTAATTGACAGATTCAATGCCATCCCCATCAAGCTACCAATGACTTTCTTCACAGAATTGGAAAAAACTACTTTAATGTTCATATGGAACCAAAAAAGAGCCTGCATCGCCAAGTCAATCCTAAGCCAAAAGAACAAAGCTGGAGGCATCACACTACCTGACTTGAAACTATACTACAAGGCTACAGTAACCAAAACAGCATGGTACTGGTACCAAAACAGAGATATAGATCAATGGAACAGAACAGAGCCCTCAGAAATAACGCCACATATCTACAACTATCTGATCTCTGACAAACCTGAGAAAAACAAGCAATGGGGAAAGGATTCCCTGTTTAATAAATGGTGCTGGGAAAACTGGCTAGCCATATGTAGAAAGCTGAAACTGGATCCCTTCCTTACACCTTATACAAAAATCAATTCAAGATGGACTAAAAACTTAAACGTTAGACCTAAAACCATAAAAACCCTAGAAGAAAACCTAGGCATTACCATTCAGGACATAGGCATGGGCAAGGACTTCATGTCTAAAACACCAAAAGCAATGGCAACAAAAGCCAAAATTGACAAATGGGATCTAATTAAACTAAAGAGTTTCTGCACAGCAAAAGAAACTACCATCAGAGTGAACAGGCAACCCACAAAATGAGAGAAAATTTTCGCAACCTACTCATCTGACAAAGGGCTAATATCCAGAATCTACAATGAACTCAAACAAATTTACAAGAAAAAAACAAACAACCCCATCAAAAGGTGGGCGAAGGACATGAACAGACACTTCTCAAAAGAAGACATTTATGCAGCCAAAAAACACATGAAAAAATGCTCACCATCACTGGCCATCAGGGAAATGCAAATCAAAATCACAATGAGTTATCATCTCACACCAGTTAGAATGGCAATCATTAAAAAGTCAGGAAACAACAGGTGCTGGAGAGGATTTGGAGAAATAGGAACACTTTTACACTGTTGGTGGGACTGTAAACTAGTTCAACCATTGTGGAAGTCAGTGTGGCGATTCCTCAGGGATCTAGAACTAGAAATACCATTTGACCCAGCCATCCCATTACTGGGTATATACCCAAAGGACTATAAATCATGCTGCTATAAAGACACATGCACACATATGTTTATTGCGGCATTATTCTCAATAGCAAAGACTTGGAACCAACCCAAATGTCCAACAATGATAGACTGGATTAAGAAAATGTGGCACATATACACCATGGAATACTATGCAGCCATAAAAAATGATGAGTTCATGTCCTTTGTAGGGACATGGATGAAATTGGAAACCATCATTCTCAGTAAACTATCACAAGAACAAAAAACCAAACACCGCATATTCTCACTCATAGGTGGGAATTGAACAATGAGATCACATGGACACAGGAAGGGGAACATCACACTCTGGGGACTGTTGTGGGGTGGGGGGAGGGGGGAGGGATAGCATTGGGAGATATACCTAATGCTAGATGACGAGTTAGTGGGTGCAGCACACCAGCATGGCACATGTATACGTATGTAACTAACCTGCACAATGTGCACATGTACCCTAAAACTTAAAGTATAATAATAAATAAATAAATAAATAAATAAAACATAAACCATTTCTCAGTCATATAAAATTTTAAATAAATATTTTTGGAATTTATTAATGTGGCTCTTGCCTTTCATCACCACTACTTCCTATTATTTCTTAGTTGTATATTTAACATGTATCATATCTCTACTGTTTGTCAGATACTATGTTCACTAAGTTTATAATGTGATGACTTTTATGTTACTATATTAAGTAAAATGAAACCTCCCAGGTCCTATTAAAAAATAAAAAGAGTATGATTTTGAAAAAATATGATCTCAGTTTTGGCCTTGGATCTGCCACTTTCCAACTGTGATCATAAGCAGAGTACTTAAACTCACTCAATTTAATTTCATATTTCATAAAAGTTAAAATTATCATAATACCTACTTCCTGAATTTATTAGGAAGATTCAGTAAGATAATACATGTAAAACATTTAGTGTAGAGCCTGGCACAGAATAAATGCTTGACACATAGGGGCTGAATGAATGAGTAAATGAATGAGCGATTGAGAAAAGTCAACACATTCCATTTTCTTCTCTGTCTTTGGCATCTGTGATCTGCACCAGCACTTATTAAAATAACAAAAGAAAGAAAAATTATAAAAATTATAATGAACTATGTGTCCTTGTGCATTATGATAGAAAGTTACCAAGGACAAATTGTGCATAAAGAACTCACTAGTTCTCCTTCCACAAACGGACACATTTAATGGATAAAAGTTCTATAGTTAATATAATTTTCCTTTTCTTCAAAGATATGCTGACCGTAGCAGTTAACTTTAAATGTCAGTAAGTTAATGCATAACTTTAAATGCTACTTTAAACAAAGGTTTTATAAAGACATGCTTAATAGTCCTTAAGACAAACTGAAGTCCACAAAAAACAAATTTGAAAAGTTTAGGGCTTGAAACATTAATTTTGTAAGCTTAATGATTGCTTTCAAATGACAGTGATGATACAATTCACTCCATAAATATTTATTGACTATTATATTACCATTAATGATAAATGTTTTTTATTATCTATTTTATGCTCTATATTATTTATTTTTATTGAATCTTCAGAATAGCCCTTCAGGAAGAGTATTATAATCCTTTAACAGTTGAAGAACTTATGACTGGTGTACATGGGACCAGAAATTTGATTGCAATGCCTTGATCACTCCTCTACCCCTCAGTCCATAATGCTGCAGTTCCTATTATTATTATTAGACATTTGATACTGTGTAGATGATTATTAAATAGGTTCCTCCTTTAAAAGCCTTTCAGAGTTTACAAAGTAATCTTATATATTATCGACTTTAATCTTTACCATAATTGAATAAGAAATTATTCTTTCCATTATATAGAAAGTAAACACAGGCTGGAGATATTAGCTAATTTACTCAAGGACTCACATCCATTAAATGTAAAACTAAATTTAAGCAGGATCCTTCTTTATTAATTATCAACTAAATGTAACTTTTAGAAATAAAACATTATTTTTTCCTGTCAAATTGGCAAGTATAAGAACATGGTAATATGCAGTGTTTGCAAAGCATGTGGAAATCACCACTTTCATGTATTCTGGTGGAAACATAAACCAGTGAAACCATTCTAGAGGGCCATTTGACAAGGTATATCTCTCTATGAGATGCTTATACTCTCCTGCCTCCTTGCAGTCAGACTTGACCACATGACTTGATTTGGCCAATTAATTTCAAGAGTCGTCATGTGCTTCACTACTCTCACCTCACTGCCTTGATAACTGGCAGTGTACAAGAGAATGACTGCTCTGACAGCTTAGTTCCAGAGTACACAATACGAAGCAGAACCCAGGCAACCCTGATGACTCATATCACAAACCACTGTCTTAGGTCTCCAAGATTTTGAGTTGTTGTCATGCCAATACAACCTAACATAGCAGAAATTTTTCCACAGAGAATTTATCCTAAAGGAATAGTTAGGTATATCCACAAAATGTATCTTAGTGTATCTTCATGACAGTAAACTTAGAGATAAACTATATAAATCAGGGTACTTTTAAGTATGTCTAAAACATGGAACATCTGCTATAACACTAAAAGAAATTTGAGATGATAATAAATGAAAAAGAAGATCAGACTTAAGTATTACATAATCGTAATTTTCTTTTTTTAATTCAGAAACAGTATACACCAGGGTGTTTACAGGATTATTTCTAAGTGTGTTTCATTCAGTTTTAAATATTTTTTCTTATTTGCATTTTCTAATTTCTCAATAAACTCTTTAAAAATAACAAGAAGAATAGCACTAATAACAAGAGAAAAACATTTTATACATTTTTATCTTAAGTCCTATTCTCATTAAGTTATAGTATGCTATGTCTTTAGTGAAAACTATATATTTCCATAATGAATAAAAGAGACTCCAGGAAGGCTTGACTTTGGACACTGGAACTCTTATTTTTCTTTTAGAGGCAATGATTGGACACTGCTTGGAAGGAGTCCAATCATCATAACAGCAGTTTACTGGAGTACCCCTGCAAAGCTGGAATATGATGCTCTGGCAAGTTAAACAAGTATTTTGCCCTTCTGTTTTTGCTTATTGACTGAAATAAGAAATGTGATGTACTCAGAGTAGGGGTGAACTGTTAAAACACTGTACCCTTCAGTATTCCTCAAACTGAGACAATCATGAAAATGAAGGAAAGACTGTGAAATTTCCCTAGTTTAGAGGAGACTCAGCCCAGAAGACATGACAACTAAATAAAATGTGGTATTGTGGATTGGTCTTGGAATATAAAAAGAACATCATGGAAAAACTGTGAAATCCAGATAAAGTCTGAAGTTTAGTAAATAGTAATGTACCAATGTCAGTTTCTTAGTTTTGCCAAACGTACAAGGGTAAAGTAAAATAGTAACAATGAGGGAATTTAGATAAGGGGTGTGATAGGCAGAATAATGGCCTCCAAAGAATGTCCATGCCCTAAACTCTGAGACAGATGAGTATGTTAAATTATCTGGCAAAGGAGAATCAAGGTAGCTGATGGAATTAAGGTTGTTAATCAGTTGATCTTATGATAGGGAGATAATCATGAGTTTGTCCAGGTAGACACAAGATAATAGTAAGAGTCCTTAAATGAGGAAGAGGGAGAAATAAGAATCAGTGTCAGAGTGACGCAATAGAAGAAAATCTTGACTGGCTATTGCTGGCTTTGAAGATGGAAGGCAGCCACACACCAAGCAATGCAGAAAGCCTCTGAAAGCTGGAAAAAGCGTGGATATAGGCTTTCCTCTTGAGCCTCCAGAAGTAACGGAGCCTTGGCAACACCTTAATTTTACCCAATAAGCGCTATTTCAGACTCCTGACTTCCACAATTGTACAGTGATAAATTCATGTAATTTTAAACCACCAAGTTTGTTACAAAAGCCATAGAAAACTCATAATTTGTTATAAAAGCCATAGAAAACTCATAATTTGTTATAAAAGCCATAGAAAACTCATACAAGAGGTACACAGGAACTCTCTGTACTATGGTTGCAATTATTCTAAAATCATTACAAAATCAAAAGTTATTAAAAAGAAACTTCAAGAAAAGTCACTGTGAGTTTATGGGGCTCAGTCATTCAGGGGACTGCTCAACCTAACAGAACACTCAACTCTTAAATATATTTGGGTTTCCTGATTGTAGGCCCTGGTTTCTTGGTGCTACATCCTCTTCAGTCTTTGCCAGGCCTGCCACCTTAGTCAGATGCCAAGTCTAGGTGACTAGGATTTGACATCCTTCCCACCTGTCACGGATCTCTAACCTCTCTGTCTTTCCTAGTTGTGGCTTTGCCACTACTGTTTAGGTACTGACAACTCAAAGTTGTCACCATCTCCTACAAAGTTGGGTAAAACAACCATTTTTATGTAACAAACTTTAGAAAAGAGCTGAGCTGTATTACCATAGCAACAAGCTAGAAATGGAAAATGCAGTCAACTCTTTTGTTTGGGCTACAGAGTATCGAGAAATGATGCGATCATCAGATCATCAAACCAGTTTGAAAGGTCCTTTTCCCTAGATCCCAGTCACTATCACTATTCTTTTATTTATTTATTTATTTTTTCGAAATGGAGTCTTGCTCTGTCACCCAGGCTGGAGCGCAATGGTGCGATCTCGCCTCACTGCAACCTCTGCCTCCTGGGTTCAAGCAATTCTCTGCCTCAGCCTCCTGAGTAGCTGGGATTACAGGCACCCACCACCACGCAAGGCTAATTTTTGTATTTTTAGTAGAGATGGGGTTTCATCATCTTGGCCAGGCTGGTCTTGAACTCTTGACCTTATGATCCACCTGCCTCAGCCTCCCAAAGTACTGGGATTACAGGTGTGAGCCATTGCACCCAGCCCCAGTCATTATTCTGATTTTGTACCATGCTGTCAGTGTGAGACTTTTTTTCAGGTGAAAGGCAGTGTTACCCTTAGAGATACAAAGAGTAATTATACTGCAGGAGTAAAAGAATGACCTTTCAGGAAAGGGACATCCTCAACCAAAGAATTTCTTTAATTTTTGTTGGTGTTCATGTGATTTTAGGTGCTTTTTTTGTACTTATTTTCTCAAATATGGTTATTTTATGTGCCTTTAAAAATTGTCTGTCAACGGGTTCTGGGAAGTCTTCTCTGTCTTGAGTCATTGTTCCTCTTCCATGTGTAGGCAGCTGAAATGCCATCATTAGTGAGTCATCACTTATTATTGTTATACTTTAAGTTTTAGGGTACATGTGCACAATGTGCAGGTTAGTTACATATGTATACATGTGCCAAGCTGGTGTGCTGCACCCATTAACTCGTCATTTAGCATTAGGTGTATCTCCTAATGCTATCCCTCCCCACCCACCCCCACCCCACAACAGTCCCCAGAGTGTGATGTTCCCCTTCCTGTGTCCATGTGTTCTCATTGTTCAATTCCCACCTATGAGTGAGAATATGCGGTGTTTGGTTTTTTGTTCTTGCGATAGTTTACTGAGAATGATGATTTCCAATTTCATCCATGTAATAAAAAAAAAAAAGAATTGTGTTTGGGTCTCAGTTCTACTGAGGTATATAGTAGACCTTGCCACCTAAGGTTAGTAAACCATGCAGAGTACTCTACCTCTATTTTGTTGTGAAATGTCAATGCCACATAACAGGTGCTTAGTTATGGTTAACTCTCTTTTTCTTCTCCTTTTCCTTATCTTGGGTTTTATGGTCTTACATGTACCTGTAAAAATGCAGGAGAGATAACCTGGAAAGACAACTAAGATTATGAGTTTTTCTGAATTCTAAACACTCGTAAAGATACTTTACAACAAACCCCCATGACACTCGTTTACCTATATAACAAATCTGCACATGTACCCCTGAACCTAAAACAGAAGTTAAAAGCAAAGATACTTCAGTTCAATTCTTCATCATGCAGACATGGAAACTGAACCCTGGGAGCTCTTCCCCAAATTGGAAGTTTAATTACTGGAAGACCCAGGACCGAAAGCTAGGTCTTCCAAAATTTTATTTTCTTTCTCGTAGCAGAGAAGGTCCTAGCAAACACTCTCAGTATGGGGCATGTGGGGGTAATTCGTTGATAAATTCCCATGAGTTTACAGAAAAGACATAATCCAAATGACTGGTTGGATCCTAAAGAATAATTTAGAAGACAGTAAATATCAAGTTTTCTTCAAAGACCTGTTTATGTACCTATGGAGAGTTTCTCTGTTGCATTTGTAGTTTACTCATCACAGTAAATAATTTCCATGCATCTAATTGTCTGGTTCACTCACAACTTTTTATGTACCCTGGGGAGAGAAAACATGCTAACCTTAATTATTTTAGCAATGTCAATATCTAGTATAATGCCTATCTTATATGAAAGGCAAATATTTTATTTGATATTTTTCTGTTAATTTAGATGCTTCTGTAGTGAAAAACCTCTCTGCAAAAAGAATGCAACTAATTACTATAACTTCACATCTGTTAGTTATTTACAGATAGCTAATAGTCATTCAGTCAATCATTAATCACACATTTATGACTCTCTAATATGGAAATTAGATAAGGTCTGAAATTGTATAAGGTGTGTATAAGTATGTGTGTAGCCAGGAAAATACCATGAGTACTTTTAATAAAATAAATCTAGAAGCAAGACATTGTGGATTGCTTTGTAGTTTTCCATCGTAATTTGTCTTGTTTTCCATGATATTATAAGATGTTTTGTCAATTAAGACAAGAATTTTTTGAAATAAACTTGTGGAAGAACAAAATAATTCCTATCTGGCATGGTCTGGAATTTGTAGCTCCTTCAACTTTACCTTTTCTGGGTCAGCACAGATGGAAAAACAAAACCCACAAAAAGCATTCATTTTATCCTATTATTAATGGAGAAAAATTAGAATATACAAAACAAAGTGTTCACTGAAAATAGACATCTTTCCTGGATGCATTTTTTACGAGGATAGGCTGTGTATGACAATGAGTTTAGCTTTCTTCTCATTTCTAGAAAATCAACAGCATTCTTTAATAAGATTTTATTTGTATTGTAAAAAAGGAAAATCAAGGTATGGAGATATATTTTTTTTTTACCCTAAAATATTTCTTGAGGTGTGGGGGATGAGGAAGAAGAATAAATAGATTTGCACAGCCCCACTTAAATTAGTTTAAATCTTAAAATAATATGTCCTTTGGCAATCACTTAATCTTACTATTGGTTCAAAGCAATAAATCTTCCAAGGCATTGAAAAAAAAAAAAAAAAAAAGGAACACCATTGTACTAATGAGATTACCCTGAAAATAAAGCGGTGGATTAGCAAAATCTAATTTGGAAGTGATGAAGTACATGTGATGTCCAAGTAATTATTCCTGCACAGTCCCCATCCGTGGGGAGCTTGTAGTTATTGGACACTGCACTATGTTAATGATGCCACTGCCTGACATTTGAGTGAATGTGCTGACCGTCTGCTGTGTCCCATCTCCTATTGTCGATACTCACTACTGGGTCCAGCAGCTGCATTCATAATGCTACCACAGATACAGCCAGAGCTGAATGTGTGCATGCATGTGTGTGTGTCCCGTTTCTTAGGCCAGTGTTTTTACCATTTTGAAATCTGGGCTGAGACAAAAGAGCTATCCGGAATACTGCTTTGTAGAATCCAAAATCCAAATTAATTTCTCTGAGTTTTATTTAAGCACCGAAACCAAGCACACAATTTGAGTCCTCTTTGTATTCCCTTGTCTTTCAAAAGCATATACCTAGACCCACAACTGGCCAAAAGCAGGCTGTCAGGTAACATTAGGTCGTGTGGGAGTGAAAATATTTCTAATAAAATGTTTTACTCCTCTGTACCTTGATAATGAAAAATCTCTATGATTAGGCACCTAATGAAGTACTTTTTGTGATACAGAATTTTGTGCTTTAATACATAACTAATCTGACTTCAAGTTAAATGTATAAAAATTACTGAGGGAAGTTGAACGATCACAGTCAAAGTAAAAAAAATAGAAAATACAAAAAGCCTTTTTATATTTAATCCATCAAGAACTTAATCAAACTGCTCATTTAAGAGGCATTCCAAAAGGCTAACATTAGGTATGGTCAGGGAGGGCTTTTCGGAGAAGGAGAGATATTTGTGGATGGATTATAAAACGTAAAGTGGAGTAGGAAGGGAGGCAGTCTCAGGAGAATGACTTCAGCAAAGGCTCAAAGGTGCACTTTATTTGGCATACTTAGAGTTAGTTCTTTTATTTCAAAAACTAAAATTTAACTAGAACTATCTTTAAGTAAAAATAGGCTATTATAAATATATTGTAATATCCCATGAGAGTCCCTTTTTTATGTCTATTCATTCTTCTCTTTCTCTAAAGATTGGCTGCTGCTTCTTTTTTGTACATAGTAAAAAAACTTATCTAGTATAAATCCTCAGCATTATTTCTTAGACTTTAAACTCTATGTCCAAATGTCCTAGAGAAGGGGTTCATTGGCCCAGCTTGGGTTAGATTTCTTTCCCTAGGTCAATCTGTAATGCCAAGGGTCAGAAAAAAATTAAAACATAGCTGCTGGCCAGGAATGGCGGCTCACGCCTGTAATCCCAGCACTTTGGGAGGCCGAGATGGGCAGATTACTTAAGGTCAAGAGTTCGAGGCCATCTTGGCCAACATAATGAAACCCTGTTTCTACTAAAAATACAAAAAATAGCCAGACATGGTGGCAGACACCTGTAATCCCAGCTACCCAGGAGGTTGAGGCAGGAGAATCACTTGAACTCAGAAGACGGAGGTTGCCCTACTGCATTCCAGCCTAGGCAACAGAGCAGGATTCTGTCTTAAAAAAACAAACAAACAAACAAAAAACACAACACAGAAAAAAAAAAGGAAAAAAAAAAGAAACAAGAAACAAGAAAAAAATCCCAGCTGCTTCCACTGCAAACATAAGTTTGGGTGGAACAGTGATTCCTGGAAATGGAGTATTGAGCAGAAAATACCATATATGTCTACTACACACAATGTTTCTTTAACTGCTTTATTTCTAACAATTTTAAGGCCACAAAAACCCTATAAAAAGCCACTGCTTTCTTCAGAAAGGAATTGTCCTAGGTTACACCTCCCACTCTCCGAAGCAAACCCTTACTGTCCGTTCTTACTGGATCTCCATAGAACCTGCAATGCTCTGTTTCATGTCCTGATTCTTTCTGAGTCCATCCTCTTTGGAGTGCTGACTGATTTAGAAGGTCCCACCTAGCGCCTTATTCCACTTCTGAAGCACAGCCCCTCTGGTTACTCTAGCTTCGTGCTTTACTCCAGCCCCAGATACAGCAACTTGGTTCCATCTATCTTGAGAGATAGTCCACTAATCCATGAGTACATCAAGTCCAAATAAAAGATATCCAGTCAAAAAGATATCCAAGATTGCCAGAGGGCTGGAAATATATTCAGTGCTAAAGAATAACACAAGAATTAAATGCTAGAAAAAGTGAAAAATTGGTAACCAGGGCAGTCAAGAAAATGAAGTGAAAAGTATAGCATGGAACAGTCGAGTTAGAGGTTCAAGAAATCAGATGTCCAGAGTGCTATAAATGCAGTAGGGAATCCTTTTCCCACTGAGCAGGATCTGTGCTGCAGGGAGTGGGACACTTAAAAGGCACTCATACTCTGGCATGGACACAGCTCATTTTCTTTCCACCGCAGTAAAATATATGATTATCAAATGGATATTATGGATTGAGAAGACGAGAAGGGAATTCCCTTCCTCTAGGGGCAGAGAACAAGTGCTATATCCTGAAAAAAAAGAAAAAGAACATTACGGAAAAAATGGTTGGTGGTGGGGTGGTTGAGCGGTTGTGATGATCAATATGGTAAAATTTTTGAGGAATCTATTAGAAATACCCATTGTAGAGAAGCGATCAACATTTGCTGATTTAGACACTGCTCTAGTTGCATTATACTCTTTATATCATTTAGTCAGCAAGTGAAATCTGCAAGGTAGATATAATTCCTGTTTTATAGAGAAGCAAAATGGAGGCTACATGAGATTAAAGAATGGACAGTGGTTAGATATGCCAGGACCAGAATTTTTTTTTTTTTTTCTTTTTTTTGAGGTGGAGTCTCGCTCTGTTGCCCAGGCTGGAGTACAGTGGCGTGATGTCCGCTCACTGCAGGCTCCGCCCCCCGGGTTCATGCCATTCACGTGCCTCAGCCTCCCGAGTAGTTGGGACTACAGGCGCCCGCCACCACAGCTGGCTAATTTTTTTTTTTTTGTATTTTTAGTAGAGACGGGGTTTCACAGTGTTCGCCAGGATGGTCTCCATCTCCTGACCTCTTGATCCGCCCGCCTCGGCCTCCCAAAGTGCTAGGATTACAGGCGTGAGCCACCGCGCCCGGCCCAGAACTAGAATTTTATACTGGTTATATCTGATTCTTAATTCTGTATACTTTCAACAATGTAATACTGAAGGCTAATTAAATTCTTATTATATCTGGGACATAGTGTGGAATGTGTATCCTAATTAATCCATAGCAATCCAGTGTGTGTGCACGTGTGCGTGTGTGTACGAGTGCATATCTATCTATCTCACCATTTAGGGAGAATCCTTGAAACACTTGTGTTTAAATAATAGAAGGGCATCTTTACTGACTTTGCTGTCTTTCCAAACAAGTGGCTCAGGGTGGGTTATGTGTTGGTGGGGGATGGGTGGGAGGCAGAGGGAGGGACTGAAAAAATAACGGCCTTGGTATTCATGAAGCAAGAGGAAAAAATAAACAAATCCTTTGTTCCAGCCCACTTCCTTTCTCCCACTTCTCAGGTCTCCAAAGTGTAAATTCAGGCAATAGATTTTCGGTTTTTCTTCTTTCTTTATAGGTTCCTTAAAAGGCACAAATAGTTGGTGCAAAGTACCTCACTGCATAGCCATCCTGGACCATGGAACCCCCAGCCTACCTCAAAGCCTGACTGATTTGCACATCCCAGCCAACTTTTGAGCCCTGGGCTGGTCATATAAACCCATGCTGACTGATGACTGGCAGTCAGCCTCACTTGGCAACTCCACATGAGTGAGTAAAAAAAAAAAAAAATTCCCCTCCTCAGACTGAGACGAGAACTCCCCCTACACACACAAACATGCATTCAACTATGAGATCAATCTTTATTTTTAACAAGTTGTGCTGATCCTGAGGCTGTGGTGAGGCACTCTTCATGCATTACCTTAGTTAAATCTCAGAACAAGACAGGAAGGAGAAATTCTGACCTCCATTTCACTGACAAGGAATCTAAAGTTCAACAATATTAAGTAATTTACTGAAAATCACAGAGATACTATAGTGATGTGGTTATGTCCTAAATGACCTGGAATGCAAATCCAGGTGCCTCTTACTAGCTGTCTTACATTGGATGAGTTGCTTAACCTTGCTAAGTCTCAGGCTACTCACCAGTGAAATGAAAAATACTCGTTAACAAAGCAATACTATGCTTCTATGAGGTTGTTCTAAGAATGAGATAAAACTCTACACACACACACACAAACACACACACACACAGTGCTTATCACCTTATTAAAGTTTCAAAAATAGTAGGTATTAATTTGAGGCAGAGTCAAGATTTGAATCCAAAGCACTGTTTTATTCCTCCTACCCTACTGACTCCCTCTAAATGTTAACCACTTCAGGAAGATTTTAAAGCACTGGCGTAGTTCTGCAGAAAGAGGTAGTGGCTGCTCTGCTCTTATAGGCCAGCGTTAGGTTTCATCATCCTCAGGGGCCATTGTTTCTATCTTGTCCGGCCATAGATACCCTGAACTCCCAGCATACCTCTTGCAGTCAGAATAGACAACATTATAGAAGTCACTCAGCTGCTTCTGCTAAACATCTTATTCATCTTCCCACCCTTATCTCATTTAATCCTTATTATACACCTATGCCCACTTCATGATTGAAGCCTCTGAGAGGTTAAAAACACCTACGAGATGGCATGCTGAGATTAAGCTCTTCCTCCTTCTCTTATGTCACACAGCACACTGCAAGATTTTCAACGAAGATCCTCATTACAAAAATCTGGAAGAATTTATAGTTATTAATCCATGATCTACTTGCGAAATATTCCAACTAATTTTACTGATGATTGTGTAGTTAGAGTGTGGGGAATAAATAAGTCATCTTTTACAATCTTACGGTGTTAGATATTCCTGTAACACTTCCAAGCCAGTAATTCCAGTGTTTAGCAGTTAATTCTGAAGAATGCACCTTAATTAAATCAGATTCCTTGTAAATATTTCTTCCTAATACGTTGAGATATTTGGCCAAACCAATTTTCCAAACAGGGACGTGTTCCAAAAATTATCTTAGTTAGAATCTCTAAAAGCATTCGATTCCATAAATGTCTCTCAGAGCCTCTGCTTTCAAAAGTAATGGGAATTTTGGGCCGGGTGCAGTGGCTCATGCCTGTAATCACAGGAGTTTGGGATGCTGAGGTGGGTGGATTGCTTGAGGTCAGGAGTTAGAGACCAGCTTCACTGACATGGTTAAACCCTGTCTCTACTAGAAATACAAAAATTAGCTGGGCATGGTGGCATGCGCCTGTAATCCCAGCTACTTGGGAGGCTGAGGCAAGGAGAATCGCTTAAACCTGGAAGGCAGAGGTTGAAGCAAGCTGAGATCATGCCACTGCACACCTTGAGAGGTGAGTAATAAATGATTAATGTTTTTATAAGTTACTTTCCAATATAGGAGATCCACATGCCAACAAATAATTAGAATAGAGTGACTCATGCTGTATAGAAGTTGGTGCAATACACTGTGAGTAAAGATGTAAGTGAGCAATCCTGATGGGTGGGGAGAGACAACTAAGGAGAAGTTAAGTTTTCAGAGCTGGCTCAGGAAGGCTCTGTGAGAGTTTGCCAGAAAAATTAGAAAGAAAGGGCAGACGAAAGGGTATAAACAAATACTCTGAGGCATGATAAGCATGACATATTTTAAGAAACTGAAGTATTCAGGGTCTTGCTTGGGGTCAGGGATATGGCAGGAATTGATTGGAGAATGGAAGACGAAAGCACGTCCTACCTGAAGGAATGGCAGGACCATTTAAAGAGTCTGGACTTTCCTATAAATAGCAGGGCCTTTAAAACCAAAGTTCTTAATCTGGATATCAGGGGTTATATAAACACTCCAAAATTGCACAAAACAATGTGTAGGGGTGTTTGGAGTGCTGAGCGGAGAGGGAAGAGGGCTCAGAGCTTTTCTCAAGTTCTCAAAATCACCATTATTTAAGAAAAATACTCACATATTCCACTTTATAATTTCTTGGCAAGAATGGATTCAGAAAGAATTGGAGTTGAGTGCATTGTTTGAATCTCTTTAATCATGCTAGAGTGTTCCAGGTTTATGACAGAAAGCAGAAGGGATGTAGTAGTAGTGCTCTGCCAGTCTCATCCCTGACTGGCTCAGGGGCAAGGGGGTGAGGGAAGAAAGAGCATACTTTAGGGCCTTCAGAAATATTATAATTCAGCAGCCGTTGTTTGAGCCCTGTCATATTTCCTCTACCTCTTCTGTAACTTGGCTCTTCACAGCTTGAGCAACACACAGGCTCATTCCCGCTCCACTCAGCCTGTTGTAATTTCAGATCTGGAAGCAATAAATGAAGACCAAAATCAACAACACATTTCTCAATATCTTTAAATATTAGCTCTGCTCTCTTTCAGTTAATTATCAAAACATATCTGCACTCAGTTTGTGCTGGAGAATATAAACTATAATTCTTTATTTACCGGTTATAATCAAGTCTGTTTGTAGGAATTAATATTTCCAGGTTAGCTTTTTCATATTCCCTTCATTTTTTCTCTCTGCATCATTCACATTTTGTTCTTAAATGAACAAAAATATATCGGAGAGATGAATACCTGTACTACATTGTTTTGACCCATCTTAATAAAATTGCTTTTACTAAATTGTAATTGATATGGAAGAGATTAAACTTCATTCAGGAATATTAAAAATCAGTTTTAATATTGATTATAGGATCATGACTGAAGATGTTGATCACTGTAATCTCACAGAGAACTCCGTTACAGAGACCCCCTCAATGTGCTGTTCCAGGAGAAATTTATATCAAATCTCATTATTGTGTAAAATATACTGCCAAGAAACTAGAAAGTTTATACCATATGTCTATAGTAAACTTTGAAATTTGCTTTAAGTTTTTGCTTTGGCTGCTAGAAAATTTAGAGTCACATAGATGACTTATCTCTAGCGATGATGTAGGATTGCATGGTATAGATTTTGGGAACAATGCTTTTTTAATTCCTTACTTTAGTTTCATTGTTACCTCTATTATTATTATTATTTTTTTTTTTTTGCCTCATATCTGTGTTACCCAGTGGCATTACATGCATTTGTGTAAACTGGTATTTTGGATCAGGTTGAGTGTTATCAATGTATACAAGAAATACATAATTTTTAGAAGCATATATTGCTTTAAATTTATGAACTGAATATGAACTAAATAAAACCCTAGGTGTCAGACCTGTGTATTGTGTTTCATCTTTAAATTTGAAATATCTTTCCTCTGTACTCACTCCACAGAGGTGTCTGTCACAGTTCAGTGAAGCACCCAGAGGTCACTACAAGTGACCTGTGAATTTACATCCCCATAAATAATCATTCGCAAGCAGGCTATGGCCCCAGTGTTCACCCCAAGCACAGAGGAACCTTGCATGGGTTAAATTAACCAGCCAGGAGAACATGTGAGCTGAACATATGGTGAAGTGTTTAGAGGTTTAGAAAAGCAAGTTTCTAGTGCAAACAGAGTCTGGCCTCTGAGACCCCACTGTCAGCATGAAAAAAGATCTCCTTACTTACCAGAGTGAAAAGAAAGGGGCGCTTTCAATTACTTCACCTTCTTAGCTCTACACAATGAAACAGGAGGAGAAATTGCACATTAATGGAGAGGAAAACAAGTGTAAGTTCCTCAGGGAAGTCATACAAGGCTGCAGAAGGTGCATAAAAAGTAGTTTGCAGCTCTGATTGGAAGTGAAAAGAGAAGAAATCGGAAGTGAAATCCCACAAATTAAAATTAAAACTGCAATTCCCTTGAGCGCTCTGATCCACACATCCCCCAGACCATCCCCCACACTGCTCTAATTGTACCACTTCAAACCTAATGAGTTGGGTTTGGAAGTACCAAGGTCTCTAAATGAAACCATTTATCATTGTAACGCTCTTATTAGATATTTGATTGAGCACTTGTTTTTAAGGCTTAGAAATACAACATAGAAATCAGTCATTGGAGGCATCTTCACTTGTGTTTAGAAAAAAATGAAAAAAATATGCTTAGACTAAGAAACAGTGAGTTGTTAAAGATATTATTTGGCTGACTCCTTAATTTACTCTTAGGAAGATTTGAAGCTGGAATTTTAATTCCTATTCTACTCATTGAGATTGGCATTTTAAAACAGTTGTTGGTTGATTTCAACATGTGAGAAATAAGAGGAGTCTCCTCTTGCAGCTGAGTAGTTAGTAAAATATCTTATTTTCTCTATTTATCTCTGAAATTATATGTAAAATGAAGATTATAACATTACCTATGTCATAGAATTATTACAATTAAATGTTATAATATGACAAAAGTGCTTAGGGCAGTGTCTAGCACATGGTAAATGCTTCACAAGTAGTAGCTGTTATTATTCTTGCACTTGTGCCCAACCTTCTGGAGTTAGAATAGCAAATCAACATTTGTTTGATAGCATAACATTATTCCCCATCATTCTCAAATACATAATTAAAGAAACACAAAATTAAAAAAATACAATGCCTATAATCTTGGCAAAGATTTAAACATTTGCTAATTCTCAGTATTAGTGAAAGTAAAGATACTTTCAATAATTATAGGTAGAAATGCTTTTTGAGCCTTTTTTTTTTTGAAGTGAAATTTGGCAATATCTGTCAAACTATTAAATGCTGATACACCTGAATGCAGGAATTCCACTTCTAGGAGTATTAATCACAGCAATTTTTATAGTTGCAAAAAAATTTGGAAATGACTTAAATGTTTATAAATGTGCTAACAGTTAATTAAATTGTGGTACATCCATACAATGGGATTTTAGCTAGTTATTAAAAAGCAGGGTAGATCTTTATAATATTTTGATTATGAAAAAATAACCAAGATAAAGAATTACGTGTCAACAGAAGGTTATAAAACAAAATGTATAAATGTATAAATGCATGAATTATATTAAAAATTCCTGTAATGTATGCATATGTAAATTAAACCATCGTGTTAACAGGTTAAAAAGTAAAAACTGTATGATAGTCTTAATAGATTCAGAAAAAGCATTTAACAAAACTCAATACCCATTGATAACTAAAAAATAACCTCTCAGAAAGCTAGGAATAGGCCAGGAGTGGTGACTCACTCTTGTAATCCCAACACTTTGGGAGGCTAAGGTGGGCAGATTGCTTGAGGCCAGGGGTTCAAGACCATCCTGGCCAACATTGCGAAACCTTGTCTTCACTAAAACTACAAAAAAAAAAAAAAAACCCAGCAGGCTGTGGTGTTGCACACCTGTAATCCCAGCTACTTGAAAGTCTGAAGCAGGAGAATCACTTGAGTCCGAAAGGCAGAGGTTGTAGTGAGCCCAGATTGCACCTGGGCAATGGAGCAAGACTGTCTCAAAAACAAACAAACAAAGCTAGGAATAAAAATAATAATTTCTCAATCAGATAATGAATATCTATGAAAAACCTGTAATTAGTATCATAATTAATGGTAAAAGACTAAGTGTTTTCTTCTTAAGATTACAAACAATACGGGGCCGGGCACGGTGGCTCACGCCTGTAATCCCAGCACTTTGGGAGGCTGAGGCGGGTGGATCACGAGATCAGGAGATCGAGACCATCCTGGCTAACACGGTGAAACCCCGTCTCTACTAAAAATACAGAAAATTAGCCAGGCGCGTGGTGGCGGGCGCCTATATTCCCAGCTACCTGGGAGGCTGAGGCAGGAGAATGGCGTGAACCCAGGGAGGCGGGGGGGTTGGGGGTGGTGGGGTGGTGTGGAGCTTGCAGTGAGCTGAGATCGCGCCACCGCTCTCAAGCCTGGGAGACACAGCAAGACTCCCTCTCAAAAAAAAAAAAAAAAAAAAAGATTGGAAACAATACAAGGATGTCCTCTCTCTACACTTTTACTAAAGACCATATTGGAAGTCTTAGGACAAGAGGAAGACATACGATTGTATTATATCCAGTTAATATTGATGTTTATACAGAAAACTCTATTTGACTTATAAAAATAAGTTACTAGAATTAATAAGTACATTAACGTTACTGAATATAAAGTATGCATAATAAATGGATTGTACGTCTATTAGCAAGAAGTAGAAATTGACCTTTAAAAATAATAGCATTTACAGCAGCATCAAAATTATTAATATTCAGGAATAAAGTTAACAAAATATGTGCAAAAGCTGTGCACTGAAAATTACAAAATATTGCTGAGAGAAATTGAAGAAAACCTAAATAAATAGAGAGACTGGAAGAGTTAACATCAAAATGTTAGTTTTCTACAAGTTAATCCACAATTCACAGTAAAATCTCAGTAAGGTTTTTTTTTACGTGGTAGAATTGATGAGCTAAATGTAAAGTTTATTTTTAAAATGTGAAGGACCCAGAATAACAAAATGGGTTAGAAAAAAATTAAAGTTTAAGGACTTTTACTACTAAATTTACACACTTAATATAAAACTCCGATAATTAAAACAGTATGGTACAAATGTAAAAATATATCTAAGTGGAAGAGAATAGAGATCCCAGAAATAGGTTCCTTCTTATCAATTGATGTTCAACGAAGTCACCGAAGCAACCTAAAATATAATCTTTCAAACAAATTATGCTGGACTGATTAGATAACCATACACAAAAAATTAGCCTACACCCTTGCCACATACTACACACAAATTTAATTTGAAATGAATAAAAAAACTAAAGGTAATAGTCACACATATAAAACTTCCAGGAAAACAAAGGTAGAAGAAAATCAATGTGACCCTGGGTTGAGGAAAGTTAGCTAGGACACAAAAAGCAATAGATGATAAAGAAAACATGATAGATCTCATTAAAAGACATTGTAATGAGAATCAAAAGGCAAGCCACAGCATGAGAGTAATATTTGCCAAACATATATCTGATAAAGAACTTTGTTTCTGAACCAAACAACACAGGTTCTCAGTTATAACTGGGAGCGGGACAATGAGAACACTTGGATACAGGGAGGGAAACAACACATACTGGAGCCTGTATGGCGAGGGCGGGGGCTGGGGAGAGCATCAGGAAAAATAGCTAATGCATGCCAGGCTTAATACTTAGGTAATGCGTTGATAGGTGCAGCAAACCACCATGACACATGTTTACCAATGTAACAAACCTGCACATCCTGCATATGTACCCCAGAACTTAAAATAAAATTTAAAAAAAGAATTTGTTTCCAGAATATATAGAAAGAACACTTTATTAATCAATAACAAGAGTAAAAATAGCCCAATCAAAAATGGAAAAAATTTTGAAGAAATATTTTACCAAGAAGATATAAGAATAGCAAATATGCATATAAAAAGATGCTCAAAAACTTTAGTTGTTAGAGAAATGCAAATTAAAATCACCACAATGGCATACAACTACATAGCCACTAAAATAGCTAAAATTACAAAGATTAACAATAGCAGGTGTGGCAAGGACATATACACTAGCAGTGTATGAGACTGTAGCCTTCATACACTGCTAGTAGAATGTGGTTTGGTGAAAATAAGTTTGGCAGTTTCTCAATGACATACACTTACCACATAAACCAGCAATTCCACATCTAGGTGTTTACCAGGAGAAATGAAAACACATATTTACACAAAGATTTGTGCTTGAGTGTTCATAGTAGATTTATTTAAATAGCCAAAAATTGAGCACCATGCAAATGTCCATCACCTGGTGAGTAGATAAATAAATCATGGTATATAGAGATAACAGAATAATATTTGGCAATGAAAAGAAATGAACTATTAATACATGTAACAATTGGATAAACCACAATGGCATTTTGGTAGGTGAAAAAAAAAAAAGCCAGCCACAGAAGATCACACGCTGCATGGTTTCACTTATTTGAATTGTTAGAAAAGGTAAAACCAATAGAGATAGCACATCAGTGGCAGGAGGTCTAAGAAGGAGCTTCATTGTAAAGAAATTTAAAGGAAACTTTTAGAGTAATGTAAATATGACTGTGTCGGTGACTATGTTAATACACACATCAAAACTCAATAAAATGTACACTTAAAATTGGTGAATTTTCCTCTATGTAGATTATACTTCAATAAAGTTAAAAGAAAATTGATGTTTTAATGGTGAAAAGATAATCAAAATATAGAATTTAGTGTCAAGATCATTATGAACTATTACGTATAAAATGATCAATTTATTTTAAAAAAATCTATATGCATATGTGTGTACCTTTCTAGAATATAAACAAACAACAAGTAGTTACTTCTGGGGCAAAGTAGAAGAGTTTGAGGGTGGAGAAAGGGACCTTTAAAGTTTAATTATCTCATTCTCTTCTGTACTCTTAATTCCTTTTTACCATGAATGTGCCTTCTTTATTTATAAAAAATTAAATGAGTAAAAAATGAAAAATAAAGCACCGGTTTGAATACTAAGACCATACTTTCTTAAATAAAAAATCAGGGCATAGGGATTCAGTAGAGGATGTGAAGTAGATATTGTCTCCACAGAAATTCTGGTAATCATAAGAATAAATTATATTTATTTTCATAAAAATGGATTCTGATTTCTATAATTTAGAAACTCTTGGCACAGCTGGAAAAATTCTTGGGTGCTATAAATCGATAATGGTGATCATTGATTTATGACAAATCAAGCATTTACTATAATGATGCCTATTAATTTTTGGCTTAATATACCAGTAACTCATCATTTGTATATAGAGGCTAGTTCAGAAATAAGAGGAAGAATATTCGTAAGATTATTTTAGTTCAAAATGAAAAAAATATTTTATTAGATACTATGGGGAAAATTGATTTTTTCACAACTCTCTATAATATATTAATGACATTATGAAAATTGACACCATTTTTAGCCTCTAAAATGCTAAAGCCTGGTTATATTTCAAGTGGTAATATATAGGCCGCTAATATCCTGAAATTAGTTAGACACAGATATGGCAAAGCCAGGCAGGCCACTAATAACCAGGCAGGGAATGTGAGGTGCTCATCATGTGTTCTCTAGGAAGGCAGAGATTTTTGTTCCGTTCAGTACTGTATCCCCATAGACTAGTACAATGCCTGACACATACAGACCAATTCATTAAATATTTTTTGAATGCCTGAAGTACCTAAAAATATGGTTTGTGTAATTGATGACTGAATAAGGTCAATAAATAAATTTTTTCAGGTTATTTGATTCAACAAGTTATGATTACATTCTTCTTAAGGATAACACTGTGCAATGAGCACCATGGTGGGTAGAAGCTTCTTTAAAGCTTTTGGCTTTAAAAAAGGTTTGGCACAACTAATGTTTGTTAAATATATATTATGTGTCAAGTGTCACAGTGGACACATTATTAGCAATCCTTACAAGCCTCCTGGAAAATCAATGAGACTCAGATAATTCAAATGATTTGATAACGTTCACATTGTTGGAAAGTAGTTGAATCCCTGTTCAACTTCCAGTTGGCTTGGACATTACTATGTGCTTTCTATTATCCCAAGTTTTTTATATCTGGTCAAGGATATAATAAAGCAACTAATATGTGTAAAAAACAATATACGACCAAGGATAAAATGCGTAACTTATGGAGGAATCAAAAATAGTATGTGAGATCATTGCAGGCTGGAAAAGTTGAAGGTTATTTTTTATTTATCTATTTTTTAAGAAGACAGAATTTAGCTACACCCCCAAAAAACATGATAATGTATTAATGCAGACTCTTCTGGAAGCCATGAGAAAACAAATGAAGATTTCTGACTTGATGTGTGGCATGACGATGGTGATGTTTTGGGAGGTTCATTTTGGATCAACAAGGCAAGCTGTAAGAAAAAAGGAAGCCCTTTGGATTCCCAAGATCTAAGGAGTATTTCATTTCAGTCACTGATGTGTAGTAAGTTGGAATATCAATGAGTACAAGTTTTATTGTGGATTGCTACTGTATTCTGCAATAACTAAAACATAGATAATCAAAACAATCAGAAAAGAGTATCTAATCACCACCTATGGCATAGAAGTCTGATATA
Organism: Homo sapiens; assembly: GCF_000001405.40. Taxonomy (NCBI): domain Eukaryota; kingdom Metazoa; phylum Chordata; class Mammalia; order Primates; family Hominidae; genus Homo; species Homo sapiens. Next base: position 22,502,454 of record NC_000011.10, on the reverse strand, counting down.
TAAAAGTGATTTTTTTTTTTTTGGAAAAAGGAAGAGCTGTCCTCATATTCTCTTGGAATTAGAACCCCAAAAACATACTTGTCTCTCTGAACATTCCTATGGAGCATACTTTAAAAAACGTTTGATATGCACTAAAATATCATTTGGCTCCTCAAGAGTCTAAGATAAAGTTTGAATCCCTAGGTCTTTGGTTTTCAAGTTCTTTGGCTTCACTTTAATAATAATTTGTACTATAATTCTGATTATAACTGATAACACTGTTGTGAGATGTTCTAATCATCTCATTTAAAATGTGACCTCCAAATCAGAATTTCCAAGAGAATATTGCATGACTAAATAAATATTAAAAACACAAAAACCAAAATTGAGTAAGAGATGTTAAAGGCCTTAACAGGGCAATAGTCAGTGACAATTTCCCAAAAAGTATGTATATTATAGAGTTTCCAACTTTTTTGATCATTGAAACTTTCATTGGCTACTAAGTTGAAGTACTAGAATTTTTCAAAATGTATTTTAGTAAATACTGCTCTGAATGTAGGTTTTAAACATTGGAGAAATTAAAAAGTAGAAAACAATTAGTTATTGATATTCTCCAGGTAATAAATTATACTCTTCTCTGCCCTTTGTTGTCGTAGCCCTTATTCCTTTGTAAGCAAGATACGGTGGGAAGAGTATGGGTTTTGTTATCAAATAAATCTGGGTCTTATTCTTGTTTTATAGTGTGTGTGTGTGTGTGTGTGTTAGTGTGTGTGTGTATGTATGCATGTAAAAACATTTAAAATTTTTCAGTTTGTTTGATGTTGTTTTGCTTATTTTCTCTGAGACTTAATAAATTTAAAATCTTTTATGAATGATTGGTCCATAGTAGAACCAAAGTCCCTACCCTGGTTATATAATGTTAAAATTAAACTTACTGTGCTTTCTCCCTTGATGGCTGGCATTTTTGGCACAGATTCAATGCCAACAGTATGCCTAAAAAACAGGGATCTAGTTAAAATGAGAAGACCTGAATTCCGTTCTTTTGAAACTCTGGACTTCCCGTCCCCCCGCTTTTTTTAACCAAAGGAATAATTTCCACAGACCTCAAAGAGAGGAGAAATCCAAATAATTCAAATAAAAATTCATCTCCCAGATCTCTTTTCTGATGGTCATGTCTCTAGATAATTAGTAACTCAATGGGAAATTCATTAGTTTGGGCACAAGGCCCAATTTCAGAAACATTTTATTTTCACCTTCACACCTTTGAGGAAATTCTTCTTTTAGGTGTCTGGGTTTGGGATCTGAGTGAAACTGTCATATCTTAATTATATTCAAAGCTACTCTCTTGACTTCTATTTCAGCTGTGACATTAGCCTTCACACTTGGATTGGCTTGAATTCTCTCTGGCTTGAGAGTGAGAATTTCATATGTTTTCTTTTCATCTGCAGACATCTGTATTCTTTTTAACTCAGGACTGTAATACCTACGGAGCAGGAAGGGCTTGAGCACATTGTGATCACTGTGGGACTTGATCCTTTCAGGCCAAAAGCTACAAAAATCCTTTTACCAGCACTCCAAAGAAATTTTTTCACACCAAAGACCAAGGATAGAGAACATCAAATTATTATAATTATGATTTTAGAAAACACGATTTTTCTTTAACTGTAGTTTACCCGTCATTACTCACTTTGTCCACACCAGCTGTATTAAATGAATTATTAGAAGAAAATCTATTTTTAATTTAGAGAAGTAGCTAACCTCCCTTGGTGCTGTGGAGACACAAACGTGTTATTAATTTATATGTTAGATGTACTTACTAAGTGCATTCTTGTGAATGAGGAAGAGTCATGGTCCCATAATCTGTACAGAGTTTTATAATTGTTAGGGTATATTTTTATTCATTACATCATTTGATTTTTTTTGCAATTCTATGAGGAATGGAATGGGTATTATTGGTGGAAAATATGAAACCCAGAGATTTAAAGACTTGCTAAGGTTACGTATAAGTGGGTGAATTAAGACTATAACACAAGTTGTTTTTTTTTTTTTGCATTTTCTTAGCTCTTTGTATTTGTAGGTCTACAGCTTTATGTTGCCTCTTAAAAATGTGGCCACTAACTTTGAGGAAATAATTTAACTGAAGAGAAATGATAAATAAAATAAAACATAATGAAAATTTAAGAGATATCATAAAATTTCATTTTAGTTAAATTAATGTGTGTTTTCAGTTCATTACTGGACTTGTATTTCCAATTTCTGCCCAAGAATTTTGTCATTAGATTGGGCATTTGACATCTTCACTAATCCATTCCCTAAAGAAACAGTTAGAGATTTTTTAGACTGGATTAATAAATAATAATAATGTTCTAACATAAGCAGGAATTACTGATGTTTTTCAAGCTGATCACATTTCAACTGGAGCCATTTGTTGAATTCATTTGATAAACTAATCAGCGACCTGGAATGGCCATACAGAAATATCATGTTTTTCAACAAACAACAGAAGAATCTAGGGAAAAACCAGCTGTGTGTCTACCTTGGAAAAGAAAGACTCTAGAGAACATAAGTATCACCTAAATTTTTGAATGAGCCTCATGTTTAAGAAGGCATAGATTTAGTCACATATTTTTTCATGTTTGCATAACAGGGATAAATAACACTTTGAGTATTGTCAGAAAAGAAAGGAAATACAATATTTGTATATGCTAATATCCATGTAATTTATCAAAATTATTCTTTACAGAAAATCTTATATTTTGTGATGCTCTTGTATTGTTCAATATTCATCACAACTTTGGGGCTTTGATTAATGATTTGAAATTTTACTTTATTTTTCAACCATTAAGTTTCATTTTCATGAAAATATACTACCAGAAATGCAAAGTTCATTTTTCTATAAATAACTTGGAGTCCAAAAGAAGATAGTCATAATTTCAGTTTGGAATAACAGAATTGGGACTTCTTAGCAAGTGGTTCGTGTGTAATGAAATATTAAATATTCTGTGTTGTTTTGGTATTTTCTGATGAGTCAATAGTGCTCCTAACAATGGATTCTGAAAGTCTAGTGGACTCTTGCAATCTTAAAAGTGACTTATTTTCTACAGTAAATTTCCTTGCTAAAGGGAACTGGCTGGTAACTCCTGAAATTGAGAGCCTGAGCATTTCTGGATTTCCAGTGGAGATAAAACAACTCAGGGGACAATATGCATGATGGATTTTGTGCCTGTATCTAAGAAATGTAAAAGTAATTAGGTGAAAGTGATCAGGAAAAGAATAAGATAGAGATGAAGGACATGATAGAGATGTGATGACATCCAGGGATTTTGACAGTATTGCTCTTGGTCCTTCACAGGACCAAGATACATAATGAGTGAATGAATACACAAATGAGTGAATGAATAAAGTTATGCCTTCTCAAGTATTCATTTTAAGGAAACTTTAAAGAAAAGGGAAAGAGAGACTTTGTGACCAGTTAAGTGTAACATTATTTGTCCACTTTAAGGGTTTTACAGCTTTAGGAAGCACGTACAGACTTCCAGTTAAGACAGCACTATTCTAGGCCAAATGTGGCAATGATGGATCTTGCAGGGCACCGTCTGTAGGCAGGGAGTGACCAACAGACATAACAGATCAAAAAATGAATGTGGTTGGAAAGTGAACAAAACTAGAAGACATGAATAAGTGTCAGAATTATTTATCCATCATGAACAATTTCTTTCTCTACTTAGAGTCCATCCAAGTCTTCTTTCAACCTTCCTTTTAAGCTTCAGGTCCTACAGCTTTCTCTTGCTGCATTCTATTTATCCTAGATTGTTTACTCTTTCCCAAAATGGCTTATAAACATAAATGCTATTCCTTCTGCCTGAAATGTACTTTTTTCTGGTTTTTTTTTTTTTTTTTTTTTTTTTTTTGAGACAGAATCTCACTTTGTTGCCCAGGCTGGAGTGCACTGGCATGATCTTGGCTCACTGCAACCTCCACTGCCTGGGTCAAGCAATTTTCCCGCCTCAGCCTCCAGAATAGCTGGGATTACAGACGCCCGCCACCACACCCGGCTAATTTTTGTGTTTTTAGTAGATATGGAGTTTCATCATATTGGTCAGGCTGGTTTTGAACTCCTAACCTCAGGTGATCCACCTGCCTCAGCCTCCTAAAGTGCTGGGATTACAGGTGTGAGCCACTGTGCTAGGCCAAAATGTACTTCTTATCCTCCTCTTCTCACTTGTAAAACTACTCATTCCTTACGATTCAATTCAAACGTATCGTTCAATGAGAATCCTTGTTTCATTTCTGTTCCCCAAACTCCAGCAGAAATAATTTTGTTTTCCTTCAATAGAGTTCCCACTATAATGTTACTACACTAACCATATTATTTCATAATTAGATATTCACATCCTTTCCTACTAGATTAACAATTATTTGAGAGACTTTGTATCACATTAATGTTGAAATTTCTAGCACCTACCATAGTCCTTAGCATATAACAAATCTGGTAAATAAATGAATAGATGATGTGAAAACTAGATGGTGAATATGCACCTTTGAATGACATTTATGCATCCCCTAGCCATTTATTTATTCATGCAACCATGCATGCATTTATATGGCCAAAAATAAAAAAATATATTGAATAACTCCTATGCTATTATTTAGAAATATTATTTCCATCATGGGGCTGAAAGGATTGACTTTTGCCCAGTTTTACCCACCCCCAAACCATCCCTGACATTGTGAGCTGTTCAGTCTCGCAGTCCATAATAACTAATAGCTTGCTCCCATGCTTTCTTTACCCCAGTGACTTGCTGCTGCATAGCTGGTAGCTGAGTTCTCTAGGGAACCTCTTTCCAGATTTGATTTATGCCTGAACAAAACCCCGGTAGCCATTTGGAGGTAAGGTCAATACTTCTGCAAGGGTTTCTGCTCTTTGATACCGTGCAGTGCCAGCCTGTGAGTAATGTGGCAAACTGGATCTAATAGCAGTTAATGAAGCCAGTCCACATTTCCTTGGCAGGCACCTTAGTCCCTGTTCTCCATATACTTGAACTAAGATGCCTCTTGCTAGCTTAGCGTGGTGCAGAGGGGAGGGCATGGCCTGCCAGATGTGAAATTACGGGGGCAGAGTAAATTGGTACAAAGCACCCTGTGAGTGCACTACTTAATAATGGAAACGTGTTTCAATGAGTCACCACAATAACCCTCTGCAATAGGGATTATGATCTTCCTTTTACAGAAAGAGAAAATGAGGTACTGAGATACTGAGTAACTTAAGTAACTTAAGTTAGAGCCACAGCTAGCAAATGATAGAGTCAGGATTGAAGGCCAGACCCAGTTGATTTCAATGTTCAAGGGTACATTGTTTTTCTGTACAATCAGGTACCATCCCAGGAAGGTTAATTTCAACTCAATACGAAACAAGACTTTCTAAAAAATAGAGCTATCAAAAGAATAAATGTCTTCAAAACTCAGTGAACTCATTAAGCAGAATTCAGTAAGAGGTCAGAAGAACATGACAGAATAAAACTGTCAAAGAAGCTGGAAAATGAATTACTCTATTTGTTGGAATGTTGGTTTATATATTCCCCTTTTTGTCTAAGATTCTGTGATTGCATAGCAATTATAGACAGACACACACACACACACACACACACACACACACACATAGAAAGCCCTCACGTTAATGCGTAAAAGATTAACATATGTAAAACTGTGTGTGTCCCAAATGTAAGTGCAGACAAAATTAATAATAGTAGTTAGTATTAATTGAACCTCTACACTACACTCTCCTTTATACTAGAAGATATGCCTAACACATTTCATGCATTATCTCAATTAAGGGACACAACAATAGTAGCTACCATACAGGAATTTTATACAGATTAAATTAATACATGTAAATTGCTTAGAACAATGCCTGACATATAGTAAGTGTTAAATGTTAAATGTTATCATTATTACTATTAAATATTAAATTACTACCAAATGTTTATTACTATTACTAATACCTAATAAATGTTTAACTATTACTATTACTATTAATGTTATTAATAGTTATTACTATTACTATTAATTGTTATTACTATTAAATGTTAAATTACTATTAAGTGTTAAATGTTACCATTATTACTATTATTCCTTGTAGCAAGGAATAATAATAGAACATCAGTAAGTCACATATTTTGGTAGACTGCAAATTCAGTAAGGAAAGAGGGAAAGAAAATGAGAGGAGAAAGGAGCAAGTAAGTTGTCTTACTATTTACTATGATGTGGGTAAAGGCAAGTTGGTATTTTAACCCAGAGTAAATATTTAGGCAAGTGTCTTAATCTTGCAAAGCCTTAATTTCCTTACCCCTAAAAAGGGAATGATTATAGCACCTACTTCATAGGGTTGTTTTGAAGATCGTATAATATCATGCAACCAAAGTACAAAATTTGGTGCTTTGAAAATACATGTCTTTAGAAAAATCTCCAAACACTTAAAATCATGTAAATTCACAAGTTGGCATAAAATAGCTCCAGATATTTTTTCTTTCTGTTCTCACTGTTTTCTCTCCCCTAGATAATTCTATTGAATCTAATAGGGCTTATCAATGCCCAGTGCGGTGGCTCAAGCCTGTTAAGCCTAACACTTTAAGAGTCCGACACGGGAGGATCGCTTGAACCCAGGAGTTCAAGACGGCCTGAGTGACACAGGGAGACCCCCATCTCTACAAGTAGTAATAATAAAATTAGCCAGGTGTGGAGGTGCATGCTTGTAGTCCCAGCTACTCGAGAGGCTGAGCAATCAGAAAGATTGCTTGAACCCATCAGGTGGAGGCTGCAGTGAGTGATGATCACGCCACTGCACCCGAGCCTGACTGACAGAGCAAGACCCTGTATCAAAAAAGAAAGAAAGAAAGAAAGAAAGAAAGAAAGAAAGAAAGAAAGAAAGAAAGAGAGAGAGAGAGAGAGAGAGAGAGGGAGGGAGGGAGGGAGGGAGGGAGGGAGGAAGGGAGGAAAGGAAGGAAGGAAATTAGCCACTCATGGTGGTGCACATCTGTAGTCCCAGCTACAAGGGAGGCTGAGGTAAGAGGATTGCTTGAGCCTGGGAGGTTGAGGCTGCATGAGCTGTGACCTTGCCACTGCACTCCAACCTGGATAACAGAATGAGATCTTGCCTCAAAAAAAAAAAAAAAAAAAAAAAAAAGGCTAGTAGGATTTATTAGAAAACAGAAAAGAACAAAGAAACAAAGATTTATATGGCTCCAAAACGAATTTCATGATTTTACTAAAAATATGATTCAATAAAAATTTATTAAGAATTTATTATGTTACCAGAGCAATTGTATTTTTCTCAGTAATGTGAAGGAAACATGAGTATATGAAAATGCATAACATGGAAAAGGCATGCCTTTAGTAGCCAGAGAGCCTGACTTGAAGTCCCACATATACATTGAACAATATTTTGGGCCAGTGTTTTAACAACTCTTGGCCTCAGTTTCTCCATTCATAAAATGGGAATGATAACAGTATCACATAGACAGTTGTGAGGATTAGTTAAAATAATCATGGCAAATGCTGGTGCATAACAGCCATTCCATGTGTGTTAGCCATTAATTGCATATAAAGCAACAACAATTTCCAAATAAATATCGCTATACAATGACAATTTTCATGTACATTCATAGTAACAAAACAGAATATTTAAAAACTAAAATTGGCATGAAATTTTGTGATTTAGGATCATTCCCACACACACAATGCAACCTCCAAAAATTTATAATTTTGATGAGAATAGAATACTTGCACATAAGTAACAACCAAGAATAAGAAGCACATGTAAATAATGATATATTAGGCCGGGCGCAGTGGCTCAAGCCTATAATCCCTGCACTTTGGGAGGCCAAGGTGGGCGGATCATGAGGTCAGGAGATCGAGACCATCCTGGCTAACATGGTGAAACCCCGTCTCTACTAAAAATACAAAAAATTTAGCCGGGCATGGTGGCGGGCGCCTGTAGTCGCAGCTACTCGGGAGGCTGAAGTAGGAGAATGGCGTGAACCCGAGAGGCGGAGCTTGCAGTGAGGCGAGATCCGAGATCACGCCACTGCACTCCAGCCTGGGCGATAGAGCAAGACTCCGTCTCAAAAAAAAAAAAAAAAAGAAAGAAAGAAAAGAAAAAAAATATAAAGAAATGTGAAAGATCTCAACTACAGAAAAAAAGTAAGTATAAAATGGCAAGTACAATGGATGCACCCTGCACTAATGATGAGCTCTATAAGGACCAAGACCACACTTCTTTCACTGTTCATTGTTCATGTGAGGCCCCCTCACATGGGGCCTATCACAATGTCTTTTTTCAATACTGTACTTATTGTATAAATTTTAAAAGTGCAAAAAGTGATGGTTATAAAGTCCACTGTAGAACCACTAGAAATGTTAATTTATTGTATCCTAGAGAAAAGCACAATATAATATTCTAATTATATATTACTAAATACATTTATTTACCCGTATAAACCTTAAATAAAAGGATTTTTTAAAAAAATCTTGCTGATATGTTAATACCTTAACATGTTTTATTTCAACCCACAAAGTTTGAAGGCATCTTAAAGAAATACTGATTCAATCTGCTGAGGTTACAGACAAGGAAACAGAAGCCTAGAAAGGAGAAGTGATTTACCCAAGTTTGTTCAGGATCGAGTATCAAAGGCCAGATTTCTCAGTCCCCTGTTTCTTTCTACTGGACCACACTGCTTCATTCCTACTCCACCAACACACACACACGTGCGCACACACACATGCACACACAGAGTTAAGCACTTGCTTTAAGTAAATTTTATCTATTTATCCAGTATTTCTCCATGAAGTTTAGGAAAATAATTCGTCTATATTACCCATTATAATATAGGGCACGCAGAATGTGTTCAGTAAATGTTTGTTTAAATATTGATTCCCTCCAACGGAATTAATATAGAGTTTCAAAAGATAAGATTTTTCAGATCTGGAAAAGGGGCAAGATTAGAGCCCATTTCAGTAGATAAGAATTTGACAATATTCTCTCAACAAATATTCATAACATACTTACATATTAGGCTCTAGGAATAGAGTGAAAAACAAAAACTTGTACTGTTCCTGTTCTCACAGTTGTCCCTGCATTGTCAGGGAGGTAACATCAATTAGTTAAATAGCTGTACAAGCAATGTATAATTACGAACTGAGAAAAATCTATGGAAGTAATTTAACATGATTTTGTGAAAGCTTATAACGAAGTAATCTTCCACTAGAAAGTGATACATGAGTTTGAATATCTGCTGAAGGATCAGTAGAAGTTACGGAATGACACCAGTATAACATGAAGAATCTGAGGCTCTATGAGGAGACTGTCTGATCAGAGTGATGAACACACGGTGATGAGAAATGAGATATGGGAAGGATTATTAGAAATAAGAATGGACAGATGGATGGAATCAAGGCAAGATTATAAAAAACTTTGAAGATATAATAAAAAGATTAACAAAAAAGGAGACATTAAATAATAGTAAGCAATAATAGAAGATATAAATAATAGAAGATACATATACAAATATAAGTAAGAAATAATAGAAGAAATAATAGTAAGAAACAATAGAAGATACTTATATTTATATGTACAAATATAAGATGACCCTGATTAAGTGCTTTACAGACATTATCTCCTTTGACCTAATTACTTCCATATTTACTGATGAGGAAACTGAGGCTCAGAGATACCAGACAATTTACTGAAATATGTCAATCAGTAAGTGCTCACTTCAAGCCATGACTGCCTGCATTTGAGTAGAAGTTTTCCAGAAGAGGACTGAAGTAACGACAATTGATCATGCCTTATACGATAGATTGGAGAAGCTATAAGACAATTGAGTATGGCTTCTAGAAGGGATTGGAGGAACTAGGATCAGGGGGCTGTTTCAGCATCCAAATGGGAAGAAATCTGGGCCTTACACCAGAGTATTGCTCATGAGAGAGGATAAATCCAGCCAAATTGACAGAATAAAATGTCTTTAAAAGGAAATTTTAATAAGAAACTGGTGTTCAAGGAGGCGGGTGTTAAATTAGGAGGGGGAGAAGTCTATTTAAATTTTATACATGGAGTGCACTAGTAAAAATATAAAACATTTTTAAAAAGTTAGTAATTCAAGGTTCAAGGTTCAAGCTTGTCTGAAATGGGCTTTCAAATATTCTTCAGAATTTATGACTCAATGCCAAATGTATTCAACTAATACATATGTTAAAATGCACACTACACGTCTTACTTTTGACTAATGAGATTTCAAATCCACCCCGATTCACTCCCGTTTACAGAAGGAAATTAAAAAATTGATTGGTTACTTCCTTCGCTGCATACGAACACCTTGATTGGCCAGCTGCCGTGGCTAGGCAACCAGGCGGAGAATCTTTGGAACAAGTAGCAGACTTCATCACAGCAGGAGCCGTGAGGCAAGAAGCTCTGGGATCAATTAAAATGCCAGGCTTTTCCAGGCTGGTTTCCAGCGCATCTGTGCATGATTCCACATAAATTTAGGGAATTAGAGATCAGACAAAGGTAAACATTTCTGTGCTTTGCTTAGCATTGATTTAGAATGCGAAGATGAAATATACCACAGTCACCCAGCGTGGAGGGGGTATACACCTTCGGCTGATTTTTTTCCCTCTTCAATTGCTTTATTATTTTAGGTATGTTGTAATCGAAGGCTGCTTAAATCATCTGTGTGTTCCTCTGGGGAGGGGAGGAGAAAAAGAAACAAAAGAAAAACCAGTTCCTACTTTCATAGACTAAACAGTAGAATGACTCATTCTTTAATTTTATAATCACACCTCTTAAAAGAAGAAATTATTAATGATCTTCATTTTCCAGCTATTCGGTTTCCTGAGCTTCCGTTAGATAAAAAGCTCACTTGCGTCCTCCTAGAAAATGAAAGACCGTTTCTCCCATAAATCTGGAAAGTCTAACCTTTTGTGGAGTCTTCTCTTCCTCTGTTTTTTTTTTTTTGTTGTTGTTGTTGTTTGTTTGTTGTTTTCTGTTGGTTTTGTTTGTGTCCCTAGTACAGAAGGTCTTTTACTGCCTGTGTGTTGGGGAGAGGTTTAACTTCCGCACTTCCTTTGTACCTGGGGTGAGGTGAGGGTTAGAGGTTTATCTTTGAAGTACCAAGCAGCATGACAAGGACAGTACAGAGATAGGAAAAGTACAGACAAGTGGCTGGAGATAATGACAAGGCAAACAAATATAATGAACAGCAAATTATAGATTTTAAAATCCTCCAGAAAAAGACAATTCCTTGATATCACAGAGGTAGCACAGACTTACCCTTTTATTAAACAACAAGAAGAAAAGCAGAAAGCCATCAGTCTTTAGCTGAATATTAGGAAGGAATAAGAAGTGGGGCTTTAAGCCATCTTCTATATGAACATGACCAACTCAATATCTCCTACCCTATTTCCACACCAGTAATAAGTGTTACAAAGATGTCCAAAGTTCTTTTCAGCTTTATAGTTGTAAAATTCTGTGAATTAATGCAAAATTTTAGAAAAGCTGAGGAGAAAATTAACATTTATTGAGCTCTTAGGGCTGGCCTCAATGCTCAATACATTTACTCTATTTTTTAATTCTGATGACAATCCTGTGAGGGAGACAGTATCTCAATTCTACAGGTGAGGAATCTGACGTTTTCATACAATGACAAACGACAAAGCTCTTGTCTTTCTGAATATCAATCAAGCTCATGTGATTTCTACTCCCTCTACCCTCTGAATTATGTCATCCTCAAGAATTCTTATACAATGAGGACTACCCACCTAAAGTTTGACTTAGGTGAAACAAATCATTCGTTCTATATGTTTTATACCGTAAGTGCAGTATGATATAAATCTATAATGACCACTTCCAGGAGAACGTAAAAGCTTAAGAAAATATCAGTTTAACCATCTCTTGCCATTTGGTGAGCAGACTGTGTGAGAAATGGAAACCTCCCAACAGAACACAATATATGAGAGGGTTGAGAGTCGGACTCTCAAGTCTGATATTCCAACTCTAGATACCTTCAGAGTAAGGTGATACAGATCTTGCCAAAGTACATGGTGAAATATTTTAATGCAAAAGTGAATGTAGGTTAAAACTCTAGCAGCTTGGAGTTTTAATATTCTGTCATCTACGAGTGCCTGTAATTAATGCTGCTTACATTCAGTTGGCATATTTATGACTTCAGTTTCCTCCTTATATCCATTCTTCAGTTTTTCCCTACCTATTAGCAGTGCTCAGAGACCAGGGAGTAATTGACTGCAATTCAGTGGAAGCAGAAAAAATTGCCTAAGAAGACATCAATAGAAGAGTGATTTCCATAAAGGAACAATTACTTTTGCTACATTCTTTGAGCTGATATAAATCTAATTTTAAAAGTTTTTCATTAGTTTAGAAAAATTCTGCTTCTTCTCAAAGGGAGTTTTGCTTTGCTTTTGCTTCTTTAGAAAGAGGAGTTCCTCAGTAATACAATGCTAGATGGTAAATTGGTATCTTAGTTCCCTACCAGAAAAGGATCATACCCCTGAAGCTTCAGAAATCCCTGCCCCCACTGGGCCAGGCTTCTGTTGGAGCTCTGCTCTGTCAAAACTTGATGCTCTCTGAATTGCCTTTGGGCAATTCTTTTTCTTCTTCTTTTTATTTATTTTTTTGAAGAATAGTACAAATTTACAGCTGAATAGTTTTATCATTCTGTCCTGTAGAAGCAAAGAAATTTGAAAGTCTTCCTTTATTTCCATTTATTCCACTCTCTCTGTCCCTTTTAATTCAAATTGGCTGTGATTCCACTCTCTCTGTCCCTTCAAATTGGCTGTATCTTTGCTGTATAAACCCATCTCTATTCCTGGCCTCTGCTGAGATAGCTGATTAGGTTCATGGTTCATACCATCACTTATCAACTTATCAAAATGTTGGTCAGTTACCCCCTTAGTGTTCTCTTGTGGACATACCTTCTCATTTTTACAACATAGATAGGCTGAGAATTTTCAACATCTTTAAGTTCTGGTTCCTTTTTGCTTAACAATCTCATCTGCGATTCATTTCCCTCTCCTCTCATTTCACTATAAGGAGTCAAGAGGAACCAAGATACTCCTTGAACACTTTGTTTAGAAATCTCTCTAGCTAAATATCCAATTCTATCACTCACAGGTTCTGCTCTCCACAAAACGCTAGAATACAAACACATTTCAGCTGAGTTCTTTGAAACTTTATAACAAAGAACAACTGTCATTCATTGTCCAATAATATGTTTCTCATTTTCATCTAAGACTTCTCTAGAATGGCCTTTATCATCCATATTTCTACCAACTTTCTGTACGTCATTATTTGCGTATTCTTCAAGATGTGCCCTTTCTCTATAGTTATTTTCCTTTCTTTCTGAGGACTTAACAGATTCATCTTTAATATTCCCTTCATCCCAATATTGGCTTTTTCTAGCACGCACCTCAATCTCTTCCAGCATCTACCCATTACCCAGTTCCAAAACTGCTTCCACAATTTTATGTATTTGTTATAGTGGCACCCTGTTTCTTGGTAATAATTTCTGTCTCAGTTTAGGTAGCAATAACAGAATATCATAGACTAGGTGACTTAAAAATATTAATTGATTTCTTACAGTTCTGGAGGCTGGGAAGTCTAAGATCAGGGTAACAAAATGGTTAGGTTCTAATAAACCTCAGTAGCCCTCTTCCTAGTTTGCATGTGGCCTTCTTGCTGAGTCCTCGCATGGCAGGAGGAGAGGAAGAGAAAGATAGAGACGGAAAAAGAGAGAGACACAGACACAAAGAAAGAAGATCCCCTCATGTCTCTTCTTATGAGGGTACTAATTTGATTATGAGAGCTTTACTGCGATGTCCTAATTACCTTCCAAAGGCTCCATCTCCAATACCACATCACAGTGAGAATTAGGATTTCAACATATGAATTTTAGGGGAGCATAAATGTTCAGTTCATGGAAATTATTACAGGTTTTGAATTTAATGAAATAAACAAGCTGATTATAATAGGATTAGACATTGAATTTTCAACAATGATCCAGGGAAGGTGCATTGCACTTATTGCTAATTTTGCACAAAATGTATATTCACAAATATGTAAGAAGAGACTTCTGATTTTGGCAACATGAATAACATATCCAACACAGACTCCTCACCCCCTCAAAAACCCACTATAGTAGAAGTTAACAATAGCAACAACAAATGCACACAAATGAATAGGTGTACTCAGGAAAAGAAGTAATAATCCCAAATTTTAGAAAAAAAAAAAGAGAGAACTCAAAAGAAAAAGGTAAGCAATTTTATTAACCGTGTAACATCATAGGAAGGAGAAAACCCTGATATAGGCCCTATAATCTAGTACTTAGGGTATATTTCTTAGGGATAGAAAAACAGTGGTTTAAAGCTGAAACTTGGGGCCCTGAGTAAAGCTAGAAGAGCATTAGAGTAGCCTCCTTCATGTAAGTGAGACTAAAAACAACTAATCCATAAAAAAGCAAGAAAACTTGACTCTGATTGGGTCTTAGGGTATGAAAAAGTCTCCAATTAGCAACCCAAACTCAGCCTATTCCACATGCAGGTGTGGAGTCTAATTTTAGCTATCTTCTATTAATCTATATATTTGTCAGCTTGAACTACCACAGCAAGACACCTTAGCCTGCTTAAGCAACAGAAATTTATTTTCCCATGGTTCTGAAGGCTGGAAGGCCAAGATCAAGGTTCTGGTCAATTTGGTTTTGATGAGGGCTTTCTTCCTGGCTTGCAGTTGGTTGCCTTTCACCACGTCCTCATGTGGTTTTTCCTTGGTGCATGCAGGTGGGGAGGCAAACAAAGAATGAGAGATGATCCATATAACTAGGAAATGCAAATTAAAACTACAAAGCCATACCATTTCACATTCACTAGAATGTCTATAATATAAAAAAGACAGTATTATTAATGGTGAGAATGTGTAGAAAATGGAACTCCCACATATTGGTGGAAATGTAAAACTGGCACAGCCAGTTTGGAAAAGTTTAGTGGTTTCTTAAAAAGTTAATCATAAACTTACTGAATTAGTTTCCTACAGCCATCATAACAATACCACAGACAAAGAGATTTAAATAATGGAAATTAATTTTCTGACAGTAATGGAGGTTGAAAGTCCAAGATCAAGGTGTTGGCAGTTTTGGCTTCTCTTGATGCCTTTTTGATTGTAGACATTGGGCTTCTCATTGTGCTCTCACATGGCCTTTCTTCTGTGCACATCCCTTCCTAGTGTCTGTTCCTCTTTTTATAAAGATACCAGTCATATTGGGTTAGGGTCCCACTCTTATGACCTTGTGTCACCTTAATTAACTCTTTAAAGATGCTATCTCCAAATGTAGTCACATATACATTTTGGCAGAACACAATTTAGTCCATTACAAATACAATCCAGAAACTCCACCCCTACTTATCTACCAAAAGGAAATGAAATATATGTTTACACATATATTTTACACATATAAAGACATTTATGTGCGTGTCACAACAACATTATTCTCAGTGGCTATAAACTTGAAATAATTTTAATGTTTGTGAACTGGTGAATACATAAACAAAATGTGGTCTATCTATCCAATGGAATAATAGCCATAAAAAACTACTGGTCTATGCCACAACATGGAAGAATCTCAAAGCCATGGTAAGTTAAAGCAGCCCCTCACAAAAAAACTACATATTGTATGATTACATTTGTATGAAATATCCAGAAAAGACAAGTCTATAGAGACAGAAAATAGATCAGTGTTTGCCTGAAGCTAGTTGTGGTACTAGGAATTAATCACAAAGGTGCACAAAGGAACTTTTGGGAAGGATATAAATGTTTTAATATCAGATTTTGGTGATGGCTGCTCAACTCTATAAATGTCCTAAAAGTCGTTGAATTGTATATTTAAAAATGAGTGAATTTTATGTTATAAATTATACCTTAAGCCGGGTGCAGCGGCTCATGCCTGTAATCCCAGCACTTTGGGAGGCCGAGGTGGGCAGATCACCTGAGGTCGGGAGTTCAAGATCAGCCTGACCAACATGGAGAAACCCTATCTCTACTAAAAATACAAAATTAGCCGAGTGTGGTGGTGCATGCCTGTAATTCCAGCTACTTGGGAGGCTGAGGCAGAAGAATTGCTTGAACCCAGGAGGCAGAGGATGCGGTGAGCCGAGATTGTGCCATTGCACTGCAGCCTGGGCAATAAGAGTGAAACTCTGTCTCAAAAAAAAAAAAAAAATTATACCTTAAAAAAGCTGTGAGGAAAAAGAAGCATATAAGGAAGGAAATAGTGTAGGTGTTCATAATCCTTGCACTTTCTCCTTCTCCTTCTCCATATGCCACATTCCTTTATGAAAATGACCTGCTTATTTTCCAAGTATTTCTGGTCATTTTTTAAAAAAGCAACTTTGAAATGAGCTATTGATCATGAGCCCTTGGTCTCAAGAGAAATTACACAGTCAGTGGTGACTTTCTCTTATGGAAGCATTCATTATATGGCATCTTTTTTTTTTTTTTAGCACTGTTTTGTTTTGATTCAAAACTATACAGTTAATTTCTTTCAAATGTTAAATTAAAAATATGTTTAAGCATTACTCTTTTCTGGTGGCCAATTAGAAGTCAAATACAATATACAGTTCTAATTAACGACCAAGGACACACTAGATATCATAATATAGGTAACATGTAAATTTGTTTTCTTAATAAATTGCATGTTGACAATTACATTAATTTATAAATTTTCCTTCCAGACTTTTTCCCTTAAAGGAAAAATCATAGACCATGAGATGTTCTTTCACATTCATATTTCAATTAGAAAATTTTAAGCGACTGTGGAAAGGTTAATGCCACTATGGTGCTTTCTCAAATCCCAAAAGTCTTCACAATCCCTTTGGACCTGGCCCCATTTCCCAGAGCCAAACATCATTTCCATCTGCATTCTGAGAGTTTCATTGAGCTTTTAGATTTGTATTGTGCTACTTAAAATTTCATACAATTTGGATACACTTTTGCATCTAGAGGCAGTTTATGTCTTAGGCCAAACCCTGAACTTAATTAACTTACCATAAACCTTTTTACCTTATAGCTATATCAGACCATAACACCAGTGCCCAGTTTGTGAAATAGAAGTAACGCATGCAGTAGGAATATCTTTCTGTGTCAGCTAATGAGGCATTCTTTTCAAACGTCAAAACCTTCTAGCAGGCCGGGCGCGGTGGCTCACGCTTGTAATCCCAGCACTTTGGGAGGCCGAGGCGGGCGGATCACGAGGTCAGGAGATCGAGACCATCCCGGCTAAAACGGTGAAACCCCGTCTCTACTAAAAATACAAAAAATTAGCCGGGCGTAGTGGCGGGCGCCTGTAGTCCCAGCTACTCGGGAGGCTGAGGCAGGAGAATGGCGTGAACCCGGGAGGCGGAGCTTGCAGTGAGCCGAGATCCCGCCACTGCACTCCAGCCTGGGCGACAGAGCGAGACTCCGTCTCAAAAAAAAAAAAAAAAAAAAAAACCTTCTAGCAAATAGGCATTTTTAATCATTCTATTTTGATAGTACAGGGGTCAAATTTCAAATTATAATTGCTGTAGGACAACAGTAAGAAGCAGATCTTTTCCTAACTTCCTTGAATTGCAAGTTAAAAAAGTCAGATATTAAGTGATAAAAACAAAAACTGAAAAACTAGATTTGAAGTATGATATGATTAAAAGTGACCAAACTTCGATTCAGGTGGATCTGAATTTAGTTTCAGTATTGCTTCTCATTAGCTATGTGAACTTGGGCAAGTAATTATTTTACTTCTTTAATCTTTTATTTTTTTAATTGATAGAAGGGTATAAGAATATTTATTTCTAAGACTTATTCTGAGGAATAAGTGGGAGTTCTTAAACTGAGATATTTGAACTACTTTCAGGGTTATTGTGAAGCACTGAAACTGCAAGAAAACATTTGTAGGTTGTTTGAGTGTTCATAGCTTTCATCAGTTCTCAAAGGAATTTCTGTGTTCATGAATCACTAAGAAGGGATACATAAGTGTTTGTAAATACAACTTTGTCAACACTTGAGAATGTGTCAGTAATGTCAATAATCTATTTCCTTCTCCTTTCTGAAACAAATGATTAGATTAAAATTACAAACAATATAAGATTTCATATTAAATACTCTTTTATACCACATGTATAGATGTTTTCAACAGACAATGAGAAACAACACTCATTTTTGTTCTATACAGGCCTTCAACCGATTGAGCAAAGCCCATCTACTTTGGGGAGAGCAATCTGCTTTACTCAGTCTACTGATTCAAATGTTATTCTCATCCAGAAACACTCTCCCAGATACACCCAGAGAAATACTTAGCCAAATATTGAGTTCTCATGGTTCAGTCAAATTAACACATAGAATTAATAGTAGCACAATAGATTATGAAATAGCTGTCCCTAGAGGTAAAATACATATTCTTAATATAACTTAGCAGTTATTCATGCAATAGTTTACTTCCAGTATTTAGCCTTATAGAAATCACAATTGAAACACGTATTTCCTACGTTAAATGCTTCCATGTTGACTACAGTTTGCTGACATCTAGAACTTTTATTTGTTTATAATCTGCTTTCTCCTGTTTTAATTTCCAGTTATTATCCTTGCAGAGTTTCATTTTGTCTAATAGGTTATTTGTTCTGCCCTGTAAAGTTGCACTATTTTTTTTTGTAGTTTCTCAGAGTTTTGCAAACCATTCAGCCATTTTCTTCAAACTTTTAAACTACTAATAAAGAAAACCTTGAAAAAGTATGCGATGCTTACATTTTTATGCATTGAAACAAGTTCAAAGTTACTGACACAGAATTTGTAAACTTATTTTCAATGAAATTAAGTAAATAAATACTCAGAAACACACATAATTCTTAACAGCAGTAACTGCATGTCAGTTAACATTTCTAGGTTGAGCATTCCAATTCTGAAAACTCCAAATCTGAAATGCTTCAAAATCCAAAACTTTTTGAGCACTGATATGACAATAAAGGAAATGCTCATCATAGCATTTGGGATTTGGGATTTTCAACCAGTAAGTAAAATGTAAATATTCCAAGTCCAGTATGAAATTTCCAAGATTTGACTGGTTTGGTGTACAACTTTAGCAGTTTCACCTAGTATACACTTTAGATTTAAGACTTATTTTTCAGGGTCTTTTCACTTAAAGAGACACATTCTCTCTTTTTTTATGAAATATTATTTTTCAGGTTCTTTTTATGATGATTCTTTTATCCTTTGAGTTTTTAGGTAAAACTTCATTTTTCTAAATGAGGTCTTTCTTGACCATAAAATGTAAAAGCACCAAATCTCACCCCCAGTGAAATTAATACTTTTTACTTCTTTAGACTCACCAGTATCTGAAGTGCTCCCTTGTTGGCTTACTAAAACTTACCCTGTCTCAAATGAAAGCACTTAGT
The DNA here is from genome assembly GCF_000001405.40 of Homo sapiens. Taxonomy (NCBI): domain Eukaryota; kingdom Metazoa; phylum Chordata; class Mammalia; order Primates; family Hominidae; genus Homo; species Homo sapiens. Next base: position 22,482,996 of record NC_000011.10, on the reverse strand, counting down.
ACTTTCTATACAGAGATTGAGTATCCCTTATCCAAAGTGCTTGAGACCATAAGTGTTTCAGATTTCAGGTTTTTTTCAATTTTGGAATGTTTACGTTGTACTTACTGATTGAGCATCCCAAATCCAAAATATTCCAGTAAACATTTTCTTTAACCATCATGTACTCAAAAGGTTTTTGATTTTGGAGCATTTCAGACTTTGGATTTTTAGACTTGCGATGCTCAACCTGTAGAAATTACACAATAAACACTGAATAAATAAATGAGCTAATGAATGAATGCTTATGCTTCTGTTGCTGTGTTAGTCCATTTATGTTGCTGTAAAGGAATACCTGAGACTGGGTAATTTACAAAGAAAAGAGGTTTATTTGGAGTCACAGTTCAGCAGGCTGCACAGGAAGCATGGCACCAGCATCTGCTCAGCTTCTGGAGAGGGCCTCAGGGAACTTAGAATTACAGCAGAAGGTATATTATATATATATATATTGCCTAAAATGAGTTTCAAAAACTTTTCTCTGATGATAAGAAGACGTAAAAAGATGAAAGCCCCCAGGCACCTATAAATTAAGGGGAACAAAGATGGAACTGTGCTGAGAAGTGTGTGAGACAGAAGACTCTGGAAGAATCAGAAAATGAGGATTCAAAAAGTAAATGCTTTGGGGACATTGTTATCCATGGATCTTTCTCATTTTTATACTGTTTGCAAACAAAGGCACTGGCTGCCATTGTTCCCCATTATATTTTCAAGGCTGCTTGTATAGCAAATGGCCTTGGTAGATATAGATATAATCCCCCCAGCTCCCAGAGCAAAGGGTAGCTTTGATCATGTCTGGTGTACTAAAGATAATGTCTCTTCCTCGGGCAAAGGTCACAGGAAATGTGAATGCTTAGAATCAGACTATCTGGATATGAAATCTGGTTCTGACACTTATTGATAAGGTATTTTACCCATTTTGGGTATCAGATTTCTAATTTTGTGTGGCAGTTTTAAGAAAATATGCCTCAAGAACTGTTTAAATAAATAAATAAGATGACATGATGACTTGCACCATGTGTCTTAGTCTGTTTTGTGTGCTGCTATAACGGGATACCACAAACTGAGTAATTTATGATAAACAGAAATGTTTTGGTTCACAGTTCTGGAGTCTGCAAAGTTCAATATCAAGGTGCTGGTATCTGGCACATGGTTTCTTGGTGTGCTATCCTATGTTGGATAGGGCTATCCTATGTTGGGAAGGTGGTAGGGTAAAACAGAGAGAGAGATGGAGAAAGAGCCCACACCTGAAAGCCCTTTTATGAAGGCATTCAACCTTCAATAATTCCCCATGGCCTAGTTATCTCTTAAGTCTGTACAATGGCAATTAAATTTTAACATGACTTTGGGAGGGAACAATCATTCAAATCATAACAGCATGATAAGCATATCTTTCCTGCACAATTGCTTACTGTTTCTATCTTTGTTTCACCTTCCTTTTTCTCTGCCTTTCATCCTACCTTCTTTGAACTGTCTTTAGAAAATCAAAATGCCCCCATTTCCTTAGAAGGTCACAACCCACCTCAGACTGATAAAGAAACTGATATTTATAGAACACATCCAAATATAATCAGCCTAAAATTTTTTGGACAAAACAAACTAACAAACATAAGTACAAAGCAGAGATTATAGAGGCTTAGACAATTAGTCAAACTCCTCTATCACGAAGTATGTCCTTCACCCAGTTATGTTTCCCTGACATACTAACCATCTATTGAGCACTCACCAAGCAGGTGTATTGAGAGAGAAGAGGGGATGTAGTAGTATGAAATGAATTCAGCTCCAGATAATAGGAAACCCAACCAACAGTGGCTTGAACAAGTAAAGGATTTATTTGACTCATGCAAAAATAAGCCCAAGGTCATTTTGTTTAAGTGTAACAGTGCCATCAAAGACCCCCTCAACATGCAGTTCTTCAGCTTCTAATATGTCATCCTCAACATGAAGGTCTTCAGCTTCAAGCTTGTCTTTTCTTGGTAACATCAGATGAACTGTGTGAATTACATCCATTTAACTCTGGTACCTCTTGAACTCTCCCTTCAAAGTTCTGTCAAAATTCCCTAATAGTATTTATTGACCAGAGATCTCAAATCCTACTGGTATTTAGCCTCAGAGACATTTTACCCAATGGAGAATGGGGCTGTATTCCATTACCAGAATGCTGAAGGCTGCCACCAGCCTTATACAGCTTTCTTTCCATCAGAAGATCCATGGAATTTTCTGTACCCCAATATGGAGCAAGGATCAGGCACCAAGCTCTTTCATGTTCTCTTGCCCTCTCAAGTAAAATTCTCTCTCTCTCTCTCTCTCTCATTTTTTACCCTGACTAATATCTTTATTATGTTGAAATTAAACAGATTGTTGCAAGTGATCATATCTCAGGTTACATTCCTTTTCTTTCTCTGAGAACATCAAGAAAATCCATCATAATCAAGAATGGCAGTTGCAATGGAAGGAATGAGCCCTCTCGATCCCTCGGCACAGGCACAACTAGGTGGAAACCTGTCAACTCCTAAGTTGAGGCCACAAGAAGGGCGTGGGTAACAGGAAAAAGCACAGTGAGAGTATTTCTAACAGGCTCAGAATTAGGCAACTGTGTACACATACAAATATATATATATTTTTTTTTTAGGAAACAAAAAATTCTGTGCCTGAGTAGTTACATGTAGCTACAGCAGCTTCACAATGAATCCAGAATCTAGACCTCTCCATCTTTCTGTGTGGCTAACCATAACTAATGTTTCTTGCTCATAGTTATAAGACAGCTGTTGATGTCCCACTCACCAGTTAGGAGGATTGAGAAGAAGCTGCTTTCCAGGAAATCCCAGTCGACTTCCAGATAGATCTCTTTGGTCAAAAATGTGTCACAGCTCCAACTCTTTTTTTGTAAGGTAATATGGGGAATAAAATATTTTAGTAGCAAAACTGGGTCTCTGCCAATAAGAAAGAAGGAGAGGTTAGATATTGGGTAGATAACTAGCAGCATCCTCCATGTGATAAACTGGAATGGGAGACTATGCTAGCTTTGATAAATTATATCTGGCCTACATTTGTTAGCTCTTGCCACTTGTTAAACTATTTTCTATTGAATCCAAGGAATGCACTTAAATTACATTCGAATTTTCAGTTTGAAATGAAAGTACCACATTTGTTCCACTCTACTTTTATTATTTCCACCAAATCCTGAACTTCTCCATTCCTTACCACTATGTTCCATGGTATTACATTCAAAGCCTCAGTCACAGCCCACTGAAATCCATAGCGGTCAAATGGTTAAAAACCAGAGTTCCTAGAAAATCCACCTGAGATGATTAGTTAAAGCAATCTGAAAAAGCAAGATATTTCACTGCCTGCCACATAATGTTTCTCCAGCCCCAGCCCCTGTAAAAATAAAATATCTTTAATGGAAGCCAACTCATTACCCCATAAAATTACTACAACACATGTGCTTGAAAATTTAAGACAGATATTGTGAACTTGGCATGCCACAGGGAACCACAGAAATGTTCTCCAAGAAATGATTTCATTTTGTTGGTTTTATATTTAAAGTCACATTTTTGGCAGGCAATCCCAAAGACAAAGTTCCAAGAGTAAACTGGCCTATGGGATAGAACTCAGATTCTGGTCACTTGCCCACATGTGTTTAAATCGCTTACCTGTCCTTGTATACCTGACATAATGATCTGGGAGCCTGGCTCTGTTCCTTCTAGTTGTAGACTTCTTTTTGCCATCTTTCCTTCTACCCTCCATACTGAGTGTAGTTTATTACTTTAGCACACATATGCGGGGTTATAAAACAGTCTAGATTTGAAGTGCTACTCTGGCACTTAATAGTAGTGTAACTTAGACAAATTACATAACCACACTTTGCTTCAGTTTACTCATCTATAAAATAAGCATCACAATAATGTCTGCATCATAAAGCTGTTATGAAGATTGAATCAGTTAATGTATTAAAGTTCTTAAAATAGTGCCCAGCATGTAGTGTGATATAGGTGGTAGCTGTTATTATTATCACCCAGCTGGATAATAGGACATGGCCTAAATTAGCCAGCAAAATGACTCCCCGAAGTAAGTCAGCCAAAACCAGAATAAAAGAATTGTGTGGAAATGTGTGTGGAAGCTGACAGATATTCCCCCAAATACTGCAAATATAAGGGACTCAGCTGAGTGATCAGGGAAAGTTACCTGGGATTCAAATTCACTATTTCCTCTGCATGCTTAAGGACTGTGAAATTTTAGTGAACAGAAGAATCTCAGGGTTTATCTCATATAGTCCCTTCATTTTATAAAGAAAAACCGAATCTATGAGTAAATACAAGGTTACATAAGTAATTAGTGGACAGTTTCCTGGGCCCTGATGCAGTGACTTTTTTTCTTATATTAAGGTAAGATAATTTCTTTATTCCCTCTCAAGTGAAGATGGGAAGAGAAAGACAAGAATCTCAAACAGGCTATAGATCTCCATAATCTCTGCTTACAAAGAGGTCCATTCCAACTCAGAAATATTTACTTAACACAGAATCTTGAAATTGTAGAAGTCTTTGGGCTTGGAGCTTTATAACTATTTACTCAGCTGATTATCTCCATTTCTTACAGTGAAATGTGAAACTTGTTTCTTAAGAGTGTATGTGCAGCTTGAAATCTTCCAGATAGGCAAAAAAAAAAAAAAAAAAAAAAAAAAAGTGAGTTAGTTTTTCCCATTTGGGCGCCAAACTTACAATCTTAACCTTTTCCTCTTCTCATCTTTGCTTCTATTATTCTGATTTCAGAATAATGTCCAGCCCCATTATATACATTTCTGTAGCATTTTCATTTTCCCAAGGGTCTTCCTCATTTGACTTATATCTCTCAACAATTGTCATCAGCTTTATCATCCTCACTTGACCAATGAGGAAATCAAACTTTGAAAGGATTCAGCGACACTCTTCTATGATCACATGAGTAAAGGGGAAGCCTGATTAAAAACCAACAACAACAACAAACAAAACAAAACAAAACAAAAAACAAAGAGACAGGTTTTCTGAGTCATTCTGTCTTTCATTTATTCAGTATTATCTTACTAATATGACCGTGTGTTTCCCATGTGAATTGAGGATAAGTGGTTTTAAAAACAAAGTCACTCAAGATCCTTTCTTAAAGCTTAGCTTATATCCAGGTCAGTTATGTTTTATTCTAACACACAGTAAAACTATTGAGTGTTATTAATGAGTTTACAAACAAGTCAAAAGGTAAACTATACCTGAGATATCAAGTATACATAAATAAGAGGTTTTTAAGGTGACTTAATATAAAACAAAGTATAAATGTGCTGAGGTCAATAAACCAGTGACCAGAAAATTAGAGCCAATCAGAACCATAGACATGACTGAGAAAGACTATCTGTAGGTCAGCTTCACTGCTTCCCTCCCAGCCTTACTGCCCCAGTCACTCTACAGCTCCCAGATTTAGTCACACCAGACTGGTTTCATTTCTTAGCACACCTCATGCAATTTCATCATGTGTTCCTACAATTTGTATTTCCTTTTCATCTTCTCTTGTGCTTCTATTTTTAAACAATGACTTATTTTATTTATCCTTCAAAGCCTACTTCAGAAGTGTCCAAGACTGATAAAATTACTGTTGTTTAGGAACCCTCCACCAGTAACTGGGGCCTCCTAGGAATGTAAGAGACTCTAGGAGATAAGAAGGAAAAGTCAGTTAATAATAACTTCTCAAAGTTTCTCATCCTTGTGAAGTCAGGAGACTATTAGAGACTAAGAAAGTCATGATGTGATGTTTCCAGTTCATCCTCTAATTCAGCAATTTTATTGAGCATCATTTTATTTTTCTAAGTAAAAATGCATCATTAAATAAGACAAAAATTATCCTCTTATGATGTTTTTATTATGATAGCAAGGCAGACAATTATATATATACATATATATACAAAACAACACATATAAATATATAACTTAAAATTGTGATGAGTGTAAAAACTCGAAAAGACAATAATATTATATTTGAGGGAAATGTAGACATTTTGGTTGAATCTCCAGCACTTACTTCATCATCTCTTGATGAATAACAACAATACATGATTTGGAGAAGGACTTCAGTTCAATTGGTGATGACTCCTATCTCATATTTATAAATTATTCCCATCTACTTTATCAATGATTGGTTCAAGCATAATCACGTGACCCAGTTCCAGTCAATAAAATGTAAAACCAGTTTACTGCAGGCATCTGAGAAAGTTTAAAAAAATTATTTTTTATGAAAGAGCCATAACAAATTAATAGTTTTATAGTATTAACAAGGAGCCTTGTGGCCCAGATTTTCCCTGAAATCATTTTTACCACCACGAAGGGGGAACCAGCTTTAGGAGGAAGATGATGATATGGAAGCTGGAGTTAAAAAAGGAACAAACTTGTTAGGGTACTAAGCCAATCACCTGAAACTCACCTGACCTCAGGATCTCCTCTTGTAGGATCTCATATTTCCTGCTCTTAACATAAACTTGAACCACATTTTCTTTTACCTGTTCCTGAAAACAAATGACACAAAAGGCTAGATGGTCAGGCAAGATCTCTCTAAAAGGTGACGTTTAGAGTGAAACCTAAATGATGAGAAGTAGCTAACTGGCCAAAGATCTGGAGGAGTTGGAGACAGTCAGGATAAAGAGTCTAAGGAGTAAAGAAAGAACGATCTGCTTTTTGAGGGACAGAAGGAAAGCCAATGTGGCTGGTGAAGTGTGAACCAAAGAGAGAATGGGATAAGAACCAACTGAAACATACACAAGAGTCAGAGTTTTAACTGAGGTTTTAATAGATTCACAACATCTCTTCTTTGAAAGGTTTAGCAGAAATTGAAGTTTTTGTTATTCTTTCTGAAGTAATATATTTTTCATGACATCCAATACAAAGAACATCTTAAATGCTCTCTAGCCCTTCAGCTAAGATCCACGTCTCAAATTTGAAGATCATAAATTAGGTGATTCTTATAGAACGCTGACTAATTTACATCCTTTTGTTGGGTTATAAAAATCCAAGAACATAGGCAGAAAAGTTTTGATGGTAAAAAATGTATTGTAAGACAAACGGGAAGAGGAAAGAGACAGTCAATATTCTGACTTCCGGGCATACAAACAATTCTGCTTTAAAGTGATTTTAAATATCCAGAACCAAATGGAGAATTAGAGACAGTGTTAAACTATCACTGTTTATCTTCATAGTTTGTTTTATTATTGCTTCTAAATCCTTAACATATTGTAAAACTAAATGTTCCATACTTTACTGATCTGTATAACACTTGTACGTATTCTATTTTAAACCTAATTGCTTAGTTATGTGCATATGTATCTATGTCTTTCCCAGTAGATTGTAAGTTCCTAGAGAAGACACAACTTTGAAATCTCTTTTATATTCCCTCATCCTCTGACAGCTCTATCAATTTAATAGAAACTCAGTACATTTTTGATGAAATAAATGCTCCTTTGTTGCCATTTAACACTGGCAGACAGGTACTAAGATTCCATTTCTCAATAATTATAATATATAGAATGCATACTAGGTAAGCTCATTCCAATAGTTTGTGACAAAATTTTATATAAAAGAAGGATTCTATTTCAGTTTATGAATAATTGCAGGTTTTTTTGGTCTATCTTAGAAATTTGACTGATGACTGGTGAAAGAGTTACAGTGCAAATTCTAAAGTTTTGAAAGACGGGGGACATTGTAGGGGGAAGCAATTTACACCACCAGGAAAACTCTTCTATTTCCCTACCATTTGGAATTCTAATGGAGTGTGCACTCTCTTACTAACACCTGTTTATTTTTAACCAGAAAACAAATGGTTGGATTTTTCTGTACAAACAGAGCAAAAGTTTTTCTGCACCTTAAAATTTGTATTTAGTTTTTGTTTCACTTATTTGCATAATTAAACTAGTTACATATTAAGAGGGGAAAAAAAGAAATTTGACTGATGTCTGAGTTTCTGAAACCAACTATTCCTTCATTTGTTTCATAGAAACAACTGCTCTAAATTGCGAACAACTGTCTAAAAACGTACCCTCATTCATAGGGTACGTTCACCTCATTCTTCAAATACTGGTTTCCTTAAGTAATCAGTTTCTGGCACCCAACATTTGGTTTTGATATCCTTCCTATGTGTTCTCAGAGAAACCTGGTTTGTATGACTCAACCTATGTAGTTCAGTCTTACTCTGATAGATACACAATACATGTTTGGTTGATTAATTAAGAAAAAGTCTGTGACATCCAACTTCCTTCCCATCCACAAGCTCTTACTGGGGAGATAGCCAACGTAATAATGTCTGCCATGTGACAGATACAATAAATAAATAAATAAATATTAATGCTGTTGACATTTGCAAAGTAGCATATATTATGCTAAGAGCATTCACACACATTATTTTGTTTCATCCTCAAGACTTCTTCTAAAGCCGGTGATCCTTCTTCTGTTCTTCTCCACTTCCATCTTCAGGCTAAGGCAATGGAAATTGAAACTCAAAATGATTTTTTTTTTTCTGAAACTGAATATAAGTCTGAAGGATTCTAGAAATATATATATATATATTCTCTTGTGTTCAATGTACTCTATTCATTGAGTCTAAGAATTCCTTGAGAGCCAGGGGGTTATTTATTTATGGTATTCTTTTCAGCCTCCTACTGTAATGTCCAGCATGTGTTATGTGCCCATTAAAGGCCAATTGAATTTAAACAAGGAGCACCATTTCTTAAAATTCTCAACAGTAAGGCTACAAGTACAAGAAAAATATACTTTATTTTCTAGCCATATCAAAGCTTTGCTTACTCAGATTTTTTTTTCCATTATTTTGCATAACCAAGATTTTACTGAAGTAAAATAACCCATTAAATAAAATCAGTTTCTCTTGCAAGCTAACATTTTTCATTTTGCTTCACATTTTCATTAGTAGCCTTAAAGTATGCTATTTTAAATATATTATTGATATAAACTTATATATTTAAAACTGAATATATTACCATGTTTATCTTGCTATTTGCTGGACATCTTAACAAGTAAACTTGATTCATTTTCAAGCTTTTGAGTGAAAATGTTCTTGCAACTGCTAGTTGATCTTGGGTGAATCAGGACTAGCTCCCACAATTAACTTCTCAGGTTTTAAATCTGTCAAAGAGAAACTGCAAATGATTTAATGTCTGGAAGAATGTCAGTGTCCACTGTATCATGATCTGCTAGTAAGCAACCTCAGTTCCTGTTCCTGGTTCCAGTTGAGGTTAAAATGAAACTTTCTGGATCTGCTTCTAAATGTTCTCTATTTTCAGAGAGAAGAACTACTAAATGATTGACATCTCAGTTGGCTCCGTAACTGATATATTTCAAACTGTGTGTTGAATTTAACTTATTGCTTTACCTTTACAAATTTAATAAAATTTAAAAATCCCTTGAAAAGTAAGTTTAGATTTTCTCATTATTGGGTTACTTGACATAGAATAAGGAAAATAAAATATTTTTATCTGTTTCAAACAAATGAAGATATAAAAGATGCTGCCATATTTTCCCTGGCTTATCATGTAGTTGCTGTTATACAAAGAGGAATGAATTCATCATCAAACATCTGTACTTCAATGTCAACATGTGGTTCAATAGCAAACAAGTGATTCCATGATTTAAATGAAGAGCTAGCGGGTTTGAATTTTATGTTGAATCAGTTTCTAGAATTTCTTCTAAAATTTGAGCCAACAATTCTGGGAAAATCATCTGCGATAAGTGATAAAGATAATATTTCATTGTTGTTGTTTGTTTGGTTTATTTGTTTGTTTGAAAGACATCCTGGGATTCCTGAGGAACATAAAGCAGCCAGAGTCACTATCACATCAGGCTGGGATTCTTTAGCTCTAATGCCAGTCCAGATCACTGTTGAAGCATTCTCACCACAGGTTCCTCTCTTGTTAAAGTGGCAATTTGAATATTGCCTCCAAACCTTTTGTTTTAATTATTAAATAAAATTGCCCAGAGAGATTTTTTGTTGTTGCTGTCAGACTTTATATCAGGTAGGCTGTATTCTCTGCATTCCCTGAAACATTTCGATATCTCAACAATCAGCTACTTGGTTGCCTGTCAGTTTCTTAAGAAGGACAGTCACATGTCACAAGAGAATTCAGCCAGGTATAAACAGACAATGAAATCAAAGCTGTACCAACCATTCCACTGTAGAATCAAGGACTTTAAGAAGTTTCAGGGACCGTCTAGTCCAATATTTCATTTTACAGATGAAAAATTCCGAAGGTCACGTTGGCTCAAGACTTTTTAAAGATCATAGCGTTTACTAGCAGGTACATCTTCTGGCTCCTAGATTTGTTCATCCTAAATCTCGTAGTTTAGTCCTCAGATCTTCTCGTCGCCATTCTTGTATCCTCCTGTGAAGGACTAGCAACTTCCAGACTTCTTTTTCATATGGCTCCTGCTGGTTTAGGCCACTGGGAGGCACTGGTGGAGGACTAGAGGACTAGAGGAAGAAAGAAGCAAACAGTGTCTTAACAATGTCTGTACATGATAATGACATAATATTGTATTTTTCATCTATGAGTATGATTCGAAAATCAAGATTTAATCTTTTCATCACAGATGGAAAATTTCAATGTTTCAAGGGGCTGGTTAGGTCACATAGATGAATAAAGCAGGCACAGTAGACACCATGGAGAATGCTCAGCCTATCTAGAGAAGATGAACTAACACACAGCTCCAGAAAACTACTGCCCTGTGAAAAGCTGGCCTATGCTGCTGACTTCTCTGAATTTTTCATTGAAAGGAAACACCTAGAACTGCATGTGAAATTTTCTTTTTTCTAAGTGATAGAAAGCATTTCAATTTTTAAAAACCACTATATGGCCCAAATGCAATTTAACTGTGAGAGAAATCTGGCAGGCAGTTTATGATTCTGGCTTTGGAACAACAGCTCACCTCTAGGGAGGAAAAGTACATTTAAATATTCACCATGAAGTGCAGGGTTAAAGCACTCACCAGAGTACTTCCTTTCCCCCACTGCCCTGCACATCTAATATGTGGTTATTTCAAATAATCATTCTATCTTGCTACAACATCTTAACATAGCTGCTTAAATATTGTACTTTACTTAGTGTATTTAAACACAGACTAAGCATGAGCATACAGAGTTTCGGGGAGTTAAAAGGGCAACACTTGATAAAGACCATTAAACTGAGTTGCCAAAAAAACCAAACAAATGCGTTGTAAGTACATGGCATACCTTCCGTTATTATCTACAAATAAACCCTGGTAATGAGGTTTGGGATTCCTCTCAGCTGCATGTTGATGATAGATTCTCTGTGGAACTGACTCTAACCCATTAAGCAAGCTTGTTCCTGCCACCATGGCTGTTAATTTGACAAGACACTGTCACATTAAGTAGAACAAACATGTTTTTGCCCAGTCAGCCATCCAGAACCAACATGGCTGTTACTCTAACAACTGGATATTGATTGGAATCACTCACCCCTTCTGACCCTCCACTGGGAGGTGGAGACCAGGCTCAAGCTGACTGAAGATTTGCCTCATTGGCACACATGGGTAGCATATTAAGGATAGCCACAAATTTTAAACCATTTAGCTCCTTGTCATGTTCAACCTTCAGGCACTGTCTGGTTCTCAGTTTCTTCAGTGGAGCGATAGGCTCCCAATAAATCATTGTTTATTAATTTTATAGATCTACACATCCATTGGTGAGGATGAATTTGTGCTGTTTTAGCATTTACAACTTCATTAATGCAAAACATCATAAGGCACAAAAAGAAATTTTACAAGAAGTCCAAAAGATAAAAAATTAAAAATTTTTGAATTCTAAAAGGTAGGATGGAGTCTTCCCTCTCTTTTTAATCTATGTGATTGAGAGACAGCCACTTAGTTTTTGAATGACCAATCCATTTAACCCAGATATAATCGTAAAAGACTGTAAATCAAGCTTACTGAAAATAGAAATGATATTTACCTGATGTTAACTGTTTTTAATCTGGCTATTTTTAACCTGCTTATTAATATGGGTACCTAACATTTAGCAGAGATTGCTTTTCACTCAGTCATTCATTTACCACAGATAAATTTTAACATGTGAAATTGCTGGGGTATCATTTACCTGTGTCTGTGTGTCAATCTCGGCATATGTTAGGCCCTGCTCTGTTCACTAAACTTCATATTCGTGAGAGAATCCCATGGTTGAAAAGGACCTTAAAGGACATTTAATCAAATTGTTCACCAGACTCCCTTGCCTGCTCTGGAACAGTCTCAAGAAGTGGGCATCCAATGTTTGCTTGAACACCTCCAGTATCGGTAAACTCATTAAACTCATAACTACCTGGAGAATTCTATTAAAATATTAGACATAAATCCTCCGTTTTTCTAGTGTAGGTCAAATCCTTCTTCTGCAGGAAAGTCATTCAAATATCCAAAAATAGTAACGGTGGTCTCTTTCTGTCTTCTTCAAGAGATATGGTTTGGATTTATGTCCTCACCCAAGTCTCATGTCAAATTGTAATCCCCAGTGTTGGAGATGGGGCCTGGTAGGAGGTGATTGGATCATGGGGGCAGATTTCCTGCTTTGATGCTGTAGAGTTCTCATGAGATCCGGGTTTTTAAAAGCGTGTGGCACCTCCTCACATCTCTCTTCTGCTCCAGCCATGTGAAGTGCATGGCTCCTTCCCTGCCTTCCGCCATGATTGTAAGTTCCCTGAGACCTTCCCAGAAGCTGATGCTGCTATGCTTCCTGCACAGCCTGCAGCACCATGAGCCAATTAAACCTATTTTCTTTGTAAGTTACACAGTTTCAAGTATTTCTTTATAGCAATGTGAGAATGAACTAATACACCCAGCTAAACACCTCAGTTCTTTGAACTATTTATCTTATAGCAGCTGTCTGCAAACTGTGATCCAAGAGCTGTATCCAGCCTTTCACCTGTTTTTGTAAATAAAGTTTTATTAGAACATGTCCATTCAATTACATATTTTCTAAGCTGCTTTTATACTAGAATGGCAGAATTGACTAGCTGTGAGAGAGAGTGTACAGCCCCAAAATATTGAATAACCTGGCCCTTTAAAAAATAGTTTGTTGGCCACTGTCTCATACCATAGTGTGTCAAGAACCCTTGTCATCTGTATTCTGGATGTCTTTCAGTTTTTCACTACTGCTGTAAGACTGTGACCTGCAAAACTTGAGAAGCTTGTATCAATTGTTCTGGATATGTTTTCTATTAATGCAGAGAAAAGTCCTTTGGCTTACAAAAATTCTCCATCCTAAAGCACAAAGAAATCCTCAGTTAAACCATTGAGATTAGCCTCATTTATAACAGAAAATATAAATTTTTGCTGTTTTTCTCCAAGTGTATTCTTATTTTATTGTTCCATCATTGCTTTAAAATATACTTTTGAGTACCTGTTATTGCAGAGCATTGTTCTAGACACTACATAAAATACTAAATAAGACAGAGTCCTTCCCAAAAGAGTTTGCATCTGGTTGTATGGAGGAAAAATTTATAAAATAACTGATATATTTGGGGTTTTAAAAATCTCCCTTCACTAGCTTATCAGCTCCATAAGGTCAGGCTGCTTTGTCTGCTTGGCTCTATAATGTCTCGCCAGTGCCTAGAATGGTGCTTGGCACATGGTAAATTATCAGTAAATATTTGTGGGATGAGGGAAATGATTAGAAGAGGGAGACAAAATATAATAAAATATTAAATTATGTGATAAAGACTATACAAAAAACAGGAACCCTGGGAAGAAATAGATCAGCATGGTCTGGACATAGAGCTGGATGGAAACTTCATCATGGAATCTAACTTCTCCTTTAAAAATAATTATCTCTTTTACAATCTGCAGATTGTTACTCCTAACCTGCATCAGAATCCTCTAGTTCGCTTATTAAAAGGAGAGATTCTTGATGCTTATGAGGACCTCCTGAGCCAGAATCTGGCTGCCATGCCAGAAATTATTCTTATGAATTCTAAAATTTGAAAACTACCCCTCTCGACAGAAAGTGACATGGTCTCTGTGTGAATACCTCTAGTGATGAAGAACTGACACTACCACAAGCTTCTGCATTTGTTAGCTTTAGTTGTTGAAAAATAATTTTTTACTGAGTTGCAATCTGCCTCCTATCATTTCCAATGATTGGTCTCAGTTGCATTCATTAGAATCACAAGGGACAAATTTATTTTTTCTCTTTCATATGACAACTCTTCAAATGTGGACAGTTCTATTAAATGTCTTCTCCTAAATCAACATGATGTAGATGCTCTTATCTTTGTAGTTGTTGTTCACTAGCAGAACTTCCCAAGATCTATCAGTTACCCCAACATTCTGCTGAGGTGCCAGAGGAACCTGGCACTCAGAGCCAAGTAAGTGGTTTGGGAATCTGCAGATGAATCTCTTTTCCTTCTATACCAAGTGAAACAGTCTGCCATAACCCTTTCATCATTCACACCTGAAGCCAGAGTTTGTACCTCCCCCTCTAGCCCTTTATGTTCAGTCTCAGCCGACTCATTGGAAGGGGTTGAGGAGAGACGTGCTCATAGATTGTGGATTCCCATCTCCACACCGTTCTTAACACTCCTGTCAAGTTCTATATTTCCCAACATCCATCTTAAAATGTGTCTCCCAGAACAGACTCATGTAGAGGTCAAAGTCTAAGTCGGAGTTGGACTTCACCACTAGTTAGCTGTGCAACATTGGGTGATTATTGTTTAAATTCTTTTAGCCTCCATTTGCTTAATCTATAAAATATAAATAATAGCACTTCCTCATATGGTTGTAAGAATTTAATGTGGTAAAGAAATTAACATAGTACCTGGTGGTATACAGTGAGAAATAAAGGTAAAGCAATTAACATAGTGCCTGGTGGTATACAGTGAGTTTTCAATAAATGTCAGCCATTATTACTACCTTCTTGGTAGAATGAGACTATTACGTCCCAGCAATCCTGGGAGTGTTGTAATATTTTTATTTACATTCCTGTCTCCTTGTGCAGATGGTGAACACAGGCAGGGGCCACATCTGACTTACCTCTAGCTCCAGGTACTAAAGAGCCACTGGGGAGAGCTCAGTCATGTAATCCAATACTATCTAAGTAAGTTTTCAACCTCTCTAGTATTTTGCATATTACCAACCCTCTACTTTGTGCTTCTAAACTGGGCCAACCTAATACATGCAACTCTGCGGGTAACCAATTTTAGAAAGCCACCATCACAACAGCCTCTTCTTCATAACTGTCTGAAATCCAGCTTCCCTGCCCCTGCCCTTGCACCTATGCTGAGTCCATCTCCCTGTCTTACACCTGATCCCTTGGCTTGGTCATACATTTTTAGTTCTGTGCTCACTTATGGACATATGGACTAGATTTGAGCTTGCTCTCTGACTTGCCCATATTCTGACCCTTATGAGTAGCCATGCTGGTTTCCTGAGTTGCAAAATCCTAGAGCCTAGAGCAGTACCCTGTGTTGGACATCTGGCCAGCACTCCAGCCATCCCTGCCCTATCATCCCAGAGAAAAGCAGTCAGGGAATAAGAAAGATGCCACGATACAGGGTTGGCTACACATCAGACTGATCTGGCTCACCATGTTATTTTAGTTTCAACCCTTTTGCTTTGCAGACAAAGGGTAAGAGCAACACGTCATTAATATGTTATTGCATTATCAGTGATGAAGTGCTAATAAAGTTAGTTCAACAAGACATGGGTTACATATAGGTAGGTGTCAGAAAATTGTATCAGCATCAGTTCTGGAAGTCAGGATGATGATGACATCAGGTCTTAAAATCAAACTGCAGGGGCTGAATCTGACCTCCTTTGTCTTTGTGGCGGTGGCTCAACACCCAATCAATCTTACAACAGGAGTGTGATGCTTTGCGCAAAAGGCTGGCGCAATTCAGCTGAGTGGGCGGGTTGATGGAAAGTGACTCTGGCATTACTGAGTTCAAAAGGAATTAAGGATTCATGAGAACGCTGCACAGGCAGGCAAGCATAGATCCCCGGATGAATGCCGAATGAGTCACAAGGGAGACCTGGCTGGGCTTCGAATCCCACATAAGCAAGGAATTGCTTTTTGATGATGCCGAACTATAAATATCATCACCTCAGAAAACCAGGTTCTCCTTTTACAGTGTCAGGAATCAGCAATGAGGACTATAAGACCAAATGTGTACGTTTTTGACAAACATAACGCTTTACATGAAGAACACTGCCACTCTAAAACCAGTTACAAGGCAATTTTGAATTTTTCTTAATATTTTAATTGTATTTTAATCATAGTAAAAAAATCATGGGTGGAATTCAAAAAATTTCCATTTTTTGGGCCACTTTACTGGCAATATAATTACCAGCATTTTCTCTGGTCTTACTCTGGGTCTGGTTATGAAATTGCTAATGTCTAAGTATCACATGTCATAAAAATGAGTGTGTTTCAGGTTTGCCTGCCACTTTTTCACTCCAACTCCTTAGACTTTTTTGAATTTCTTTCTTTCAACCATGGATGGAAAACAAAGAAACAAAAACTGTATTTTTTGCAAAAATTTTCCAAAAGGCATTGAAAACAATGTGTCCAAAATCCTTGGGTTTTAAATATTTGTCTCTGTTGTGCTTGTCATGAGCAGCTCTTGTGGAATCCCTCACTGCAGGACTTGATGAATTAGTGCAGACCTTGCTCACAACCAGGACAGGTGTTAAGTGCTGTATCCTTGTGACTTATTCAATTCTGCAAGGGTGGATGGGCCTTATTTTCAGCAAAGCTGGGCCTACATAATTGCCAAAATAGAAGAAGTTGATATCCTGCTTAACATCCAATATTTTTCTGTAGTCATCAAATGCCTGGGATAGAGTGATATGCATCAACACTGGAGCTCTATGTATAAATTTTTAAAGTATATACAGAGACACATACATACATAAACCTGATACGGTACCATATTCTCACCATTGCACTTTCAATATAATGTGTCAAACAATGGGAACTTAACAAGACCTAATTTAGGGGAAATAAATTATGTATGTAGAGACCTGGATCAACATGGCTATACTCAACTGTAATGTTCAGCAAGCTGATTAAACCAAGGCAGGTCTGAGCTCTAGACTATGTGAACAGAATTCCATTAACAGGGCCCCTGCATCATCTGGGAAGAATTCATCTATTTTCCCTGCTCTCTTCCAGTTTCTGACCGTTCTCTCTGTAGTTATTTGTCAATTAAAAGGAAGGAGACAGTGCTGCTGCTACACTGTGTTCCTATCTTCACTAACATCTACTAAGAAAATTTCAGCACCTTGCCTGACAAATGCAAATAAATATTGTATCATTTTGATTAATCACAGTAATATACACAGACCACTCATCTTTTATTAAAAAGAATCACTGGCTTTTCAGAACTTTCTGGCAGTTTTTATTGTTTTCATCCATTTTATGGTAATGTAAAGGAGAGTCATGCTACAAAAATCGAATATTTATCTTTTCCTTGAATGCAATTTACACCAGGTAAACTCCTCTTTGATACTTTAAAATTACTCTGTTGGCTCCTCACCTGGGATTTTTATAATATAAATAAAATATTCTCTGCATTAAGACTTAGGTATATAAATAAATAAATTTATACATTCTTTTCCCTGAAAAGAGTTACAGATCAGAATGTACAATACAAGATATATTTTTTTCTTTCAATCTTCTCTCACAGCATGCCTATACATTGTACATTAGAACCAAGTTTGGGCCCTGCTAAACTACATCTGTGCATGTGACATATATTAATGAAAAAATCTTATTATTTTCCTCATAATAGAAGCACATGAAAATTTGCTTAGAATCTCTAGAAGCAAATAATAGAAAAATTGATATCTAAGAAAGTTGGTGGAATATCAGAATAGCATTGAAGGCCTTTTTGAGTTTTAGCAAAAATGAAAGAAAGAAAGAGAGAAAGAGGAGAGAGAGAGAAAGAGAGACCCTCCTTCAGCAAGGTGTTTAGAGGTTTAAGCTTTAAGATACCATTCACCATGCGCCGTCTGGCCTCAGTCCATCTTCCCAGTCCTCCCTCTCCTCCTTACCCCTTCCACTAACCTACCTCTCCTGTCCTATTGGCTAATGTTTAGTCCCTGAATATATGCACTATCATACCACTATGACTTTGCCCATGCTGCTCACTATCTTTCCACCTCCTCACTTCTTCTCTACCTACTGGGGTCCACTTATTTTCTGAGACTTAATTCAGATCTCGCCTTTTCTGTGAAATCCTCCTCAAGTATACCTTGTTCCACATCTCCTACTCACCCAGCTGAAAAGAATGTCAGCCCCTGGCACAGCAAGTACAATTTGTCTGTGTCCTTCAGCCCCTAGTACAGGAACTGGCATAAGCAGTGGATTATGAACAAATTAACCAATTGACAATGAACAAACCTTTCTTCAGTCTTTATGACCTCTTCTTTTTGAACCACATTTTACATTTTATTATTTTTGTTTTTTTAACTTTTATTTTAAGTTCAGGGGTACATGTGCAGGTTTGTTATATATATAAACTCGTGTAACAGGGGTTCATTTACAGAATATTTCATCACCCAGGTACTAAGCCTAGTACTGAATAACTATTTTTTCTGCTCCTCTCCCTCCTCTTACCCTCCACCCTCAACTAGGCCCCAATGTATGTTGTTCCTTTTTTTGTGTCCATGAGTTCTCATCACTTAACTCCCACTTACAAGTGAGAACACGTGATATTTGGTTTTCTGTTTCTGCATTAGGTTTCTAAGGATAATGACCTGTAGCTCCATTTATATTCTCACAAAAGACAAGATCTTGCTATATAGTATTCCATGGTGTGTATGTCTCACGTTTTCTTTATCCAGTCTGTGACTGATGAATATTTAGGTTGATTCCATGTCTTTGCCATTGTGAATAGTGCTGCAATGAACATTCGCATGCATGTGTCTTTATGGTAGAATGCTTTATATTCCTCTGGGTATATCCACGGTATTGGGATTGCTGGGTTGAATGGTAGTTCTGTTTTTAGCTCTTTGAGGAATCACCACACTACTTTCCATAATGGTTGAACTAATTTACACTCCCATCAATGGTGCATAATTGTTCTCTTTTCTCTACAACGTTGCCAGCATCTGTTATTTTTTTCCTGCCCTAATTTCCCAGTGAACTCTGCTGCTTATTGCTGTTTTAAGTGTCCTTGTCAAGCCCTGGACTTGTCCCTGTTGCTATAATATCCACATTATCCCCAGTATTAGGCCCTCTACAATTTCTTTTGGAGGTTTCTGACATGTCTTAAGACTATAGAACACCATACTGAGTAAGAGTTAAGAAACTGACAGTCTGGACCTTAATATTTTACTTATTTACTCCAAGGCCTAAGACAACCACTATTTATTTCTGAGTATCTGAATACTCATAAAATTAGGAGGATATACTGAGTGTCTAAGGTCCTTTGCAATGCAAGAAAATCTGTGGCTGGTAAGTTTTTCAAGAGTAGTGCCTCTGGTAGGAATAACTTCAGCTTGATAAAGATTCAATTTATTCATTTATTCATTCAACAAATATTCAGTAAGTACCTTTTTCTTGTCAAGCATTTTTTCTAAGATCTGGGAATACAGCAATAAGCAAAATGTAAATGTAAATACCATCTATGTAGCTTACATTCTGATAGAAGTAGAGAAAATAAATTATAACTCATCTATGTATATGAATGTGTGAATGAATATTTATTCTATCTTTCTATAAAATCAGGCAGTTTTAAATGCTGTAGAAGGAAAAAGTTTAAGCGCAGATTAACGTGGAGAGAGAGGGACTATTGTTCAGGGCAAAGGTAGAAAGATAGATGGATCTATGATTTCATTCAGTGTACCCAGTGAGAGAGAGAAAGAGAAAGTGTGTGTGTGTGTGTGTGTGTTTGTGTGTGTGTGTGTGTGTGTGTGTGTCCCAGGCAGATGGGACAGCAAGTACAAAGGGCCTGTGTGGTCGGAGTACGACCACTTGCTCAAAGAAGATAAAGAGGTTAAAATGCAACAGAATTAAAGAGTGAATGAGAAATGAAGTTAAAGAGGTTGAGGTAGAAGAAATAGGTCACTAGGGCCCTGTGGGCCATTGTAAATGCTTGGCTTTGAGTGCTGAGAGACTGTTGGAGGAATTAAAATAAATAAAATAAAATAAATAAAATAAAAATACGGTAGAATGCTTTATATTCCTCTGGGTATATCCCAGAGGAATAAAGGAGTGACAAGCTCAGATTCAACCCCTTGGAAAGATCACTGTAGATGTTGACTTGAAAACAGACAAGAGATGGTCAGTGAAACAGGTAAAGATAATTAAGAGGCTATTATAATAATCCACATATAAAACTACAGATAACTTGGACTTGGGAAGAAACCATGGAAACGGTGAGACACTGTTGGATTCTATTCATATTTTGAAGACAGAGCTGACAGAATTTCCTTAGATTATTTATGTGCAGTGTAAAGCAGAAAAGGAGTTAAACATTGCAGTAGTTGTGGCCTTAAAAGGTAAGGAGAGAGTTGGCACTCAGTGAAATAGGGAAGAGTGCAAGAGGAGCAGGGAAGGAATTCAGGAGTTTAGTTTGGGACAAGGTAAGTTTGCAATGCCCCTCGAATATCCAAGTGGATGTTTCAAGTAGGCTGCTGGGTAAGAGTCTGGAATTCAGGAACAAGTTCTGTGCTAGAGATACAAATTTTAAAATGATTAGGATAGAGATGGCTTTAAGAGGTCTCAGAATGGATGATATTACTCAGGGAGTGACTATAGATAGAGAAGAGAATAAATGCCCTAAATACCAAATACAGTCCCAGACACTCTCAGAATAAGAGATTAAGATGATGAGGAGAAATGGGAAGGAGTGATGAGTGAGGTAGCAAGGGAGCCAAGCCAACATGTTCCAGAAGCCAAGTGAAAAGTGTTTCAGGAAGCAGGTGGTGTACCATGTCCAATGCAACTGAGAAGTAAAATGTGATAAAACTTGAGTCAACTCTCAATTCCCATTGAATTACTGGAGTCTTTCTGACTGTGGTTGTTTTAGATCCTGAGCAGATATACATGGCAGCCTAGGCCAGATATAAAGAGCCAACAGAACCTCGCCTCAAGGCCTCTTAAATTAGCATGAGGTAGGGAACTAGATAATAGCCAGCGTATAAGCATTCCTTTCCACCATCATCACCATGACCATTACAACATACACACACACAAAGCTGTCATATGTAATTCTAAATGCAAAAAGCAAATGAACTTTGTAACAACAAAGTGTAACTTTGGTGTGAGTTATAGCACATCAAATGTTTGATGAATTACAAAGTATAACTTTGTAGCACTAATTGTTAATGCTGCTATTATGTTATTACTATTAACTGCTTACATTGACTGAGTGATTAGTAATTATCCGGCACTATATTAATCATTTTACATATATAATTTTGTTAAATCGTAACGATGCCCTCTGAGATTGTTATTAGTATCACTCTGATTTTCAAATGAGTGTATGAAGCCTTAGAGAGGGGAAGTGGCTTGTCTAAGGTCACATAGCAAGTAACTGGCAGATTCTGTTTCAAAACCAAAAGTCAGCTTCTAAGTCTCTCAGCCAAGAAATAAGAATGGGAATGTTCAGTTCTCCTAAATGACCTGTCCTTTGGATGATACATGTACTTTCAACTGTCTATTACCAGATTTTCTTTTCTGTGATTCCCAGTAGGGATGGGTAATCTGGAACTAACTCCAGAAGTTTCCTGATGTTTAAAATACAGGCAATAGCTAGCTTTGCCATTCTTTCTTAGACAGTTAGTCATTGCTGAAACAAAGTATTCCATGGTTAGACTGACCCATGAGTGGCCAAGAGCCATTTGAGTGGTAGCCTTCCATTCCCTCAGGACTGTAAAGCTGACCCAAATAAAGTTATTAGCTAGCATTTCTAGAATTACATCACCATGTGTTTACCAGCCTCTGAGTTTACTTTTAAGAAATCATACTCCAGAGGTTAGATACCAGACCTCTAATGACTGGGCAGTAGTTGGAACTTTACTATTACCAAGTATTGATTTGGTAAGATATGATAGAATTCTTTTTTTTAAGTGACTAGTGGTTGAGATGCCTATTTGAAAAAAAAAAAAAATCCATACAGTAGAAATGCCAAGCCATTTGTTAGAGAGGGAAAGGAATCACTCAAATCCCTTAATAGACAGAAAGAACTTTAAAGTGTCTACACTATTAAAAAACTGATTTAGAGCACCTTTCCCCCAAAAAGAGACATACATATAAGTTCAGGCTATCAGTTTACCACTTTGTTTGCTATATAAAATGTTCTTGGAAAAATCTTATTTCATGGAGAATATAGTGAAATGACACTAAACTCCATGTTTGATGAATATCAAAATACCTTTCTTGGACTGTTTTCATTATTCTTTATGCTCTTCCATTTCCTATGACAACCTTGACCTGTTCAGGTGAACCTTTGACGTGTCAGAGAAGAGAAAGAACAACTGACTCATTCTCAGCAAGGCAAATATGGCTTGAAATTGAATTTCCTAACCAATGTGACAGGTTGTACTGAGTCATCCATAGGCTCATCTGGTGTCCTCTATTCTTCACCGAGACTTTCCACATACCATTGGTAAAAGTCTCACTGGGATCAAGCATGTGATGTCTAGCTGTGATTGTGTGTGTGTGTGTGTGTGTGCATGCGCAGGGATGTGCAGAACCATTGGCCTTCACTAGGAACAAGACTAGGGGTCCTAATTCATTAACAGAACAGTCTACCTATGAGAGAGAGAGTTGCCTGATACAATTTAAATCTGGGCTCTGATCCCATCTTTCCTTCCTCAGAGGCATAAGGTAACCAGAACACCAGATTTGAAGCCAGATACAACCAGGTCCAAATCCTCATTCTGCAGTCTTATTCCTGTAGCATCTTAGAAACTCATTTACATTCTCTTAGCTTTGGGGCTCTCATTTGATCAAGGGGAATAAGTAGACTCGTGGCATGTGAAGTGTACTTATATATAGCAAGTGAACACATGCTCACCCCTTTATTTTGGACATCAATGAAACTTGAGCAGTAGTATCTTTTGTCACTTTTTTAAAGATTATCATCCTGCTCTAGAAAATAAAGTTATCAAGCTGTTCTTTATAAAGTGAGAGCATTTAACTCATAGCTAGTTCTAAATTTAGAAACCACCTCAAAATCAGGTCAAAGCACTAACGCAAAGGGGTTTGTCCAGCTTTAACCAACTGGAGCTTTATGGGATTCGAATTAAAAGGTGGGTGTGCTCAGGTGCCTCAAAACAGCTACTGAGAGTGAATGAATAATAATAATGGCTAACAAATATTAAGTGCTTATTACATTAATCATCATCTGCTGCTGCATAACAAACAATGCCCAAATGTAAAGCAACAAATACTTATTATCTCTCACAGTTTTTGAGGGTTATGAGTCCAGAAGTGGCTAGCTGGGTAGTTCTAGCTCGGGGTCTCTCATGAGGTTGCCATCAAGATGATGACAGTTTAGTCATGTGAAATCTGTAGGATCTGCTCATAAACTCGTTCACATGGTTGTTGGCAGGATTCAATTCCTTGCTGGTTATCTCTGAAGGCCTTAGTTCCTCACCACGTGCGCCTCTCAATTCATCAGCTAAGTGTCCTAGTTACATGCAATTGGTTTCTCCCTGGAGCAAATGACCCAAGAGAGCAACCAGGACACAGGAAATGACTAGCACAGGAAATGATATGTCATGAAAACT
Source organism: Homo sapiens (assembly GCF_000001405.40). Lineage (NCBI taxonomy): Eukaryota > Metazoa > Chordata > Mammalia > Primates > Hominidae > Homo > Homo sapiens. Next base: position 22,459,201 of record NC_000011.10, on the reverse strand, counting down.
TCCATAGCCTATTCATTGGAAGTAAATCACTAAGTGTAGCAGCTGTCAATGGAATGTGAACTAAGCTCCACATCTTAAAGAGAAAAGTATTGAGGAATGTGTGGACATATTTGAAATCCACCACACCTATCATATGTTCTGAAGCTATTCCAAGTATGTGATATAAATTATTTCTATTTAGTTTGTACCATAATTCCATGAGGTTAGAAATTATCATATTCCCCATTTTGTAGATGAGATACATGAAACTTAGAAAGTTTGACATTCACTCAAAGATGCAATAGTGTTGGGCTTCTAAACCAACTAATCTGAATCTAGAGATAAAACATTTTGAATCATCAAAAAAATTAGTTTACTTCAGTAAAAATTCTAATATTTTTCTTTGAAATTGATAATTCATATCTAGATTATTTAGCATGCTTCAGTAAATAGAATTTTGGATTAAGCAGAATATATCATTTTCTGACAATGCTAAGTAATTATTTACTGTTTATGAATTAGGATGTATTGTGACAGTTAAATCTGAGTCTACAACATTTTTCTGTATGGCTTATACTTCATTCTCAAACAACATCTATCCCAGAAGACTATTATTTAAAATATAAGCAGTAGTGAAGGAATTAAGCCATGTATTAAGGTACAGAAGTTAAAAGTTCTAAGAGATTCTAATGGAGTCTGGTGTAAAATTATCTTAGTATCTTTTCACTCCTTTTTTTTTTAATGCTCACAGATTTATTTCCAATTATCTCATAAACGTGAGGGGAGAAAAGAGCCCCAGTGAGAAATAACTTACACTGTCATTTAAGAGCTGCTTTTCTGCCAGCAATTGCTTGAGTTTAATTTACCAGGAGACAAAATTGCAGTTGTTGAGACAGTCAAAGCAGAAGGGGGAAGAGTCAATGATCCAGATCAAGGCTTCAGTAGCGGGCAAGAAAAATGTCAGAAAGATGTTAATAGGATAAGTAGAAGAAGTGGGAGGGGAGAGGGAGGGAAAGGAAGGGAGTAAAGAACGGAAGGGCAGAAAGAAGTGAAGGAAGGAGGACAATGAACAAATGAATGTATGTATAAGAGAACAGATAAAGGAAGAAATCGGTGCCTGCTATGATCTGATTTGTCCCCCAAAATTCATGTGATGAAATTTAATGGCCAATGTGATAGTATTAAGAGGAGAGGCCTTTAAGAAATGATTAAGTCATGAGGGGGAAACCCTCATGGATGGAACTAGGTTCCTTACAAAAGCTTTGAGAGAGTGGGTTCAGCTTTTCTTTGCCATGTAAAGACACAGTGTTTTATCTCCAGAAGATGCAGCAACAAAGTGACATCTTAGAAGCAGAGAAACTTGGCTCTATTAGAAACTCAACTTGCCAGCATTTTGATTATAGACTTCCCCATCTCCAGAAGTGTAAGAAATAAATTTCTGTTGTTTGTATATTACCCCATGTCAGGTATTTTGTTACAGCAGAAATAATGAATGAAAGGAGGGCCTGAAAGTAAAATAATGGTGTAGGAGAATGCCCTGTGGTGTCAGGGAGAACGCACAACTTTTGTGCAAAAGCTTTCAATGGACCTCCATTGTCTAGAGCAAGTATGAATGAGCAAACTACTGCCTACTGCCTACTGCCTGCTGCCTGTCCCCAAGAGGGCTAACAGCTGAATGGTGACAGCCAGAGCTTGCCAGCAGCCTGGGGAGTAAGTTATTTATTTCTAAAGTGGGATCTTGTAACTGCCCAATAGGTTCTTCCTGCCTGCTGCACAAGTAAAGACCACAGTATTTCAGTAAAGAAAGAGTTTAACTGATATAAGGCTGGCCACACCATGTGGGAGATGGAGTTATTACTCAAATCAATCTCCCTGAAAATTTGGGGATGGAGTTATTAAGTACAATTTGGTGGGTAGAGGGTTGGAAAGTGGGGAGTTAGGTCAGAGATAAAATCATAGGGAGTGGAAGCTGTCCTCTTGCACTGAGTCAGTTCCTAGGTGGGGGCAGCAAAACCAGAAGAACCAGTTTATGGATATGGTTGGTGCCAGCTGATCCACTAAGTGCAGGGTGTGCAAAATATCTCAAGCACTGATCTTAGGTTTTACAATAGTGATGTAATCCTGAGGAACAATTTGAGGAGGCTCAGAATCTTGCAGCCTCCAGCTGCATGGCTCCTAAACCATAATTTCTAATCTTGTAGCTATTCTGTTAGTCCTACAAAGGCAGTCTAGTCCCTAGGTAGGCAGGGGGTTTGTTTTGGCAAAGGGCAGTTATCATCTTTGTTTCAAAGTTAAACTGTAAACTAAGTTCCTTCCAAAGTCAATTTGGCCCATATGCAGGAATGAATGAGGATAGCATGGAGGTTAGAAGGAAGATGGAGTCAGTTAGGTCAGATTTCTTTCACTGCAATAATTTTCTCCGTTATAATTTTTGCAATGAGAGTTTCAATCCTGAGGGCACAGCATAGAATCCTTCCCCATCCAATTACCCTTTTCTGCTTTAGACAGTACCATTTTTATGTTGCTTTATCAATAAAGGGAAATATTTTAATTCAGAAAAGATACAAGACTAAAATCTCAGTTGTTTATCGAAAGCTGAAGATAATACATGTATTCATCAAAACTAGTATAATGAAGATTCATTGAGATAAAACAAGTAAAGTATTTACCACAGTATCAATGTCAGCTGCAATTATTATTATTACTGTCTATATTGCAGGCTTTTGAAATACATTTCTCTAGAAAATGCTCCAAAGTTAAAGATGAATATATAGTTCACAAGATATCCAAATGCTCAGTTTATGGCTATTAACATCTTTAAGCCTGCTCAATAAATGGCACTTCTGTAATTTCCCCAGGATCTGAATAAATTAAAAAAATAAGACCAAGGAGTGACAGGTGGTTGCCCATATATCTCATTTTGACAGATGAAAGTTGAGCAGGGCCAGTTGATGTGTGTATCTGGGAATTAGGCAGACTTACCAACCTAATGTCAGCCTCAGTGAACTGTGACAAGCCCCCTTTCCTGTCCCTCACAGGTGAAGAGCCTAGCCTTGGAGGAGCAGAGCAGGAAGACTATTTCAAAAAGTAGATGAAAGTAGGAGAGCTGAGTATGCGTAAGCCCTGTTCACTCTTTTCAAATGTACTAAGCAGATAAGTCACCTCTCCTCCTTCTCTAGATTGGAGTAACCCAACATGCAAGAAAAATGTCAGAAAGATGTTAATAGAATAAATAGATGAAGTGGGATGGGAGAGGGAAGGAAGGGAATAAAGAAAGAATGGGAAGGAAGAAGGGAGGGAAGGAGGACAATGAATGAATGAATGTATTAAAAGAATGGATGAAGGAAGTAATGGGGGCCTGCTATAGTCTGATGTGTCCCCCAAGAGATAGACTAAGGTCTGCAGATTCACTGAGTTCCCTTCACATGGAAGCAAACAACTAGCATGCTAGATGAGTGTTCCCCAAAACAGATTTTTACAGAGAAATTCTGAATGTTCCCACCCCTGGGTTAGGCCTCAACTGGCCAGAACATTGTACCTTGGAACAAAGACACCAAAAGGAAATTCAAAAGTTCTTAAATTCTCTAGATTTAATACAGTGTGTACTCTATAACAAACTTTTTAAATTTTAGTAATATGCTTTCTTTTTTGCAACATACTTTTATTGGAGAGTTCATTACTAGTTTTAAAACCTGAGGAATCACTTTATTAAAAAAATCTAAAATATATAACCAAGGAAATAATTGCATTAACAATTACCACAATCAGGGAGAGCCCTAAACTAGTAACGTGAATATCTGATTTTCTATCCCAGTTCCACCATTTCTTAGCTAAATATCCTTGACTAGTCATTTAAACTCTAAATCTCTGTTATCACATCTTTAAAATGCAAAGAATACTAGGATGCGTAAGATTTTTCACATGCTGCTGAACAGATCACTAAAGGATATATGAGAAAGCACTTTAAAGGTGTTGTGAATGTAAATACGGCATCTTCAAGAATGCCAAATGTATTTTAATATAATAGAAAAAAAATTTTTAATCCTGTATATTGGAAACATAGACAAAAAAAAAGCATCAGTGCTTTAACAGTATGTAACAACAAAATACAAAGAGAAAAGAAAAAAAAAGATTCCATTTCCTCCCACTCATAAATCCATTAATTTTTCATGATGGGCTCAGCCCTGGAGAGATTTTATATAGAAGAGGAGTTTTTCATTATGCTGTCCAAGGACCAAATATTTGGGAGTCCACAAATAGCCAAACAATTGGATATTTCATATAAATGTAAAACCACTATATTTATCCTTTTTTAAAAAAAAGTCATACTGAATCTACCACAAGCTTCTTCTTTCAAATGCTTTTCATTCAAAAATGAAACAAAAGACGTGCTGCTGCTAAGAGCTTCAAGGTCTAGAATGCCTGTGTGCTCCTTATTATAATTCCTTTCTTCAAAATAGGCATTTTGTTTCCCATAAGGACAAGCCTTGTATTCACTCAGCTCTAGGAATTGATTAATGTCTCGGGATGTGATGTATATTTAAGCCAAACTCGTGGCCTATTAGCAATTCACAAACCATGACTTGCACAGTGCTGTGCTCAAATCTATTTTGCATTACAAAATGTTTATAAATCAGCCTCTATTCCCAGAATGTTATATAAACACGTCAACAAATCACATGTGTATTAAGGGGAGAGAGGTAGAAGGTTGGGAATTCATCATAGCCTCAGGCTGTTCTGGGACAGATTAAATACTACCCTGGCCACTGAGGTCCCCACTAGGTAGTCGTTCAGAATGAACTGTAGATAAATTGAACTTCTCTTATTGGAGACAAGCCAGCAGCTCACCCAAACATGAAAAATTGTATCCCCACACTAAAAAAATTAAACCACGCTAAACACAAGCTTTTCATTTCTGCAAGACTGCAGTTTTCCTATTTCTTTAGAAAATGAAGGTATTTTATGGCTCAAAAATAAAAGTCACAGGAAGTAGGTGAATAACAGGGAGAAAGGTTGGTGAGGACATTACCTATTTGTATTCCCAGCACCCGAGACATTTTTTGTGGGGAGAGCTGGGAAGGGGGCTTCAGATTAATTGAATATATATAGTCAATTACATATATTCAATTTTATATATATATATATATATGCATACACATACACACATATATGTAATCACATATTTTAAATGTAGAGGATGCCAGTTTGCCTAATACATATATATAACGTTTTTAGCTGGTGAATCATTTTTCCTATTATATTTGGAAACTTAATTTAAAACCATTTCCTCTTATATTTCCTCTTATATTTGGAAACTTAACTTAAAATCATTTTCCTCTTATATTTGGAAACTTAACAGACAACAGAAAGTGGATAGAAGAAAGACCCCTAAGCAAAGGGCTCACAAATTGTCCCTGAACCCACCCAAGAAATAACTGCATAGATTATGGTCTTCAATGGGATTTAGTCTCATACAACCTTCATTTTTCTCTGTTAATCTAAAAGTATGCAATTGGACATAAAATGTAAGTGGTTTCTGTGCAGTGGCTTGTGTGAAGATATGCTTTGATATGAATCAGCTCTCCTAAAAGGTATTTTAGTCGATTCAAAGGTTCATCTGATGTAAAACTTTAGCTTATAAAATAAGGTGTGTTCTTTTATGTTATACATATTTTACCACAATTTTTTAAAAAAAGAAAAACTGGTTTCTCCTGGAGAAGTATACACACTAACTTATAAAGGGGGAAATGTTTTTTGTAATTGGATCATAGAATTGCAGACTTTCAGAGCTGAAGGGGCTGGAAACTCATCTGCTGCAGTTTTCCAGAATGCAATTCTACAAGCCAGTTATAGTTTTTACAATAATAAAGAGTTCCGCAGTTGTAGTCATTAGTCCTGCTCATCGCCATCCAATTTTTCTGTCCTCTAGGCTCTTCCTATCTTTCTCCCTCTTAGTAGACCATGGTCATGTGACTACTTCTGACCAGTGAGTTGTATGTAGAAATGAGATGCATCATATTTGGGAGGTAACCTTTAAAGACTGCTTTGAGACTCTCCTAAACTTCTTTTCTTACTAGCAAAGTGACCTGCAAGTTTCATTATGGCGTCTACTCTACTAGCTGGTATCCCTAAGTAGCCATGAAAAATAGAGCTTTTGTCCAGGGTAGTTAAACCATGTTAGACATATCATGGGTAGGGGGAATATTTCTTTTTTTAATCCAATGAGATTTTCATGTATTTTTTTATTTCAGCATAGCCTAGTCTATACTGACTTATATAATGGTCAGTTAAGTTTGAAGAATACAGATTTACACAGGTTTCTTTACTACGTAAATCTACAAGGCTTCAAAATGCTAATAGGAAACATAAGTCATCAAGAGAGGAATATATTAGGAAGCATTTATCACACCTGTTTGACTATGATAATTTTTGTTTTGCTTTATTTTAGAATTTGTGTGTTGTGCAGAACACGTGTTAGGATGTCAAAGATCACAGTGTTCCACAGAGCAATTAGGGAATCACTTTTGGTCCAATTTCAGCACTTTACAAAATAGTTTAACAAAGTTCTAAGGAATGAAGGTCTTCTCCAAGGCCATCCTCAGCGAGGTAATCAGTGAGTGGCAGACATGGGAGCTGATGCCTCTTGGTCATGCCCTGGACCTAGTAAAGTGGAGTAGCTTTACAGGTATACCAGGTGTTTGCTAATGATCACTTCTTTTTTTTTTTTAAGACTGAGTTTTGCTCTTGTTGCCCAGGCTGGAGTGCAATGGTGTGTTCTCAGCTCACTGCAAACTCCGTCTTCTGGGTTCAAGTGATTCTCCTGCCTCAGCCTCCCAAGTAGCTGGGATTACATGCACCGCCATACCCGGCAATTTTTTTGTATTTATCAGAGATGGAGTTTCACCATGTTGGTCAGGCTGGTCTCGAACTCCTGACCTCAGGTGATCCACCCGCCTCGGCCCCCCAAAGTGCTGGGATTACAGGCATGTGCCACCACATCCAGCCAATGATCAAACGTTTTACAGAAGTTTTTAAAGAGCCACACCAGTGGAAACATTCATAACACCTTACCACCCAAATTAACATCAACTCAAAGTTATGTTTGGCCCACAGAGAATTAATACAAAGAAATATCTATAAGAAAACCTCAAAAATTTCACATCTAAGGCAAAAGCCAGAGATTACAGAGTTAACATTTTTGGAGCTGAGGGGGAAAAGTCTCTCAGCTTAGATCTTCTGAACCAGAGCTCTACAGCTTTCTGCAAAAGATCATTTCCCCTGCTAAAAACCTGGCCATAAGAACCTCCTTTTTTTGGCGGGGGGTATTATTTGGCCAAAAGTGAGATTTCAGCCAGAAACAAGGGGAAACTGAACTTGTTGTTAAGCCACTGAAGACACCTCTTTCCTTTGAAATAACTTATTTTGACTGATGCTAGAGGCGCTGGTAGAATTTCCTTCCCTTCATAAAATCACTGTAGTTGCAATGATAGCTCTGAAGTTGTGGGAGTAAAGATCTGCTAAAACATCATTTGGATTTAATCACAATACCAGAGGAAAAGAATAAAAGCTGTGTTTTTTTTTTTCAACAACAGCAAACTGCTGGATGGATATTGCCAGAAATTAATTCATCAAGAAAAGCTCCTAGAAATCTTTTTTTTTTCCAAAACGTACCTTTTGTGACAGCTTCAAACTTGATCTCTGAGCTCCAGTGAAGCACAAATTACTGTGTGGCATTTTATCTCACAGATTAGAGAAGGTCCTAAATAGCATGCTGTGCCTTTCTTAAAATGCTGTCCCCAATACAGGTTTTTTTTTTTAATCTTCTTTGAAATTTCTCATATTGCATTGGGTTCTTCACCCAAGGGAAATGACATTTTTAGTTAAAAAGTAATAAAGTATAATTAAAACATAAATAATTTAAAAAGATTTTGATATAAGCCTGAAAATGGGCATGTGAATAAATTTGCACCATGTCCCAGGAAGTATATTGGTAGACATATTTGGGAAGGAGGAATTCACTGCCTGGAGGGGTCCAGACGTAAGGGCTAGTACCCCAAGTTCTCCAAGTACTCCCTTGAGGTTTCCAGATAAACTGCTTTTTTAGTCAAAGAGCCTCTACAGAAAGCCTGCTGCTGCATTGCCTCATGGAGAAGAGAGAGCCCCACCACTTCTAGTCAGCTGCAAAAGCCAGGAGTCCCACCACTTCTAGTCAGCTGCAGAAGCCAGAAGTCCCACCACTTTTAGTCAGCTGCAGAAGCACTCTCTCTGCCTCAGCAAACACAAGTAACTGCAGTATCTAACCAGAGAGGACCTTCCTACAAAACAGGAGGTGGAATTAGGATAAACAGGACTTGGGAAAATAATTGATTTTACAGAATGTGGCTGCTGTCATAAATGGCTTCCTTGGAGGACCTAAAATACAGAGGGAAGCCGCAACTAGAAAACGGACAGAAGCAGTAGACCTGAACCTGGAAGCCTACAAACCCTTTTTCTGGTAACATTTCATTCACATATCCACCTCCCTTCCTCTCCCAGCAATAGGATACACACAAAGGGGCTACTTGTCAAACAGCAACAATTATACAATGACTAAGCATCGTTGTCTGCCTTCCACATTAAAATGTGATTTAAAAATAAAATCTAATTGGAGGCCCTTTTCTTTCTCCTGAGTTGTGTCTAAACCTTGCAAAGAGGTTCATTTCAAAGCTCATTTTGCCTTCTTTTGTTCCTTGTGACCCAGTTCTTTCATTTTCTCTTTGTCTCTGATTTGATAAATGTATTCTCAGGAAAATATCCTGGATTTAACAGTTATTCTTTCTAGACCTGTGGCTTCTAAAGAGATAATTCGTCCACAATAATATGAAGTAATGAATCTCTAATGGTGAGCTTTTTAGATTCACCGTCATTGATTGATAGGGAGAGAAGGTAGACCTATCTGCTAACCAAGCCATGAGTATTAGGTATTCACCAGTTTGATTCAGTCTCTCACTCACTCATTTATTTAACAAACATGTTATGAACTCCAGTAAACCAATCACTGCACTCATTATTGATACAGAGATTCTTAAAAAGACACAGATCTTGATTTAAAGAACTTTAGAGTAAAAAAGACGGATATCTAAACAAATATCTATAACACAAAGCAAAAAGACATACGACATATGATAGAGGTAGCTGCAACATACTATTAAAGACAGAGTGAAGAATAATTCTGATTAGGATGATTCAGGCCTCAACAGAGCCTTGAAGTAGAAGTTGCAGCTTCATACATGGAGTAGAAGGGTGGTGCAGATGCACAGAACTGAGAAAACAGCATAAGTGATGAACAAGAAGCCTAAACATAATCTGGTCAAAGCACAAAAGGTCAGATCATGGGAGTCGCTGTGTGCTGTGCTAAGTACTTTGGGAAAGTCTATTAGTAACTGTATTAGTTTCCCACTCATGCTGTAACAAATTACTACAGACTGGTTGACTACAAGCAACAGGAATTTTTCTTCTGCTTTTCAGAAGACCATAATTCCAAAAGCAAGGTGTTGGCAGGGCCATATCTCTGAAGTTTCTAGAAAAGCATTCTTTCTTTCCTCTTTCTAGCTTGCAATTCTTAGCATTCCTTGGCATGTAGTTGAATTGCTCAAATTCCTGCCTTCTTCTTCACATGGCTATCTTCCTTCTGTGCCTGTCTCTGTATCTCTGTTTTCTCTTATCAGGACACTGGTCATTGGATTAGGGCTTACCTTATTTCAGTATGGATTCATCTTAACTAATTCCATTTGCAAAGACCCAATTTGCAAATAGGATCACATTCTCAGTTCTGAATTTCCAAGTGGACACAAGTTTTAGGGAGACACTAATTAACTCAGTACAGTAATCAATGTCCTTTACCATATTTGAGGCCAGTGGTCAAATAACCTAACTGTTACAACTTCAAGCAGGCAAAGTTTGTGTCTAATATCTCTAATAAATTTTCTCAGTAAAGACAAGAATACTGGCTACTTCAAAAGGAGCACAGACTGAATAGTCAGTAAGACATGGAAGGATGAAGCTGAAGGGAAGTGTCAAGGATAACGAAGGTTTCAGTTGGAAGTGATAGGATGATGATGATGACGATGATGCTGATGATGAAACATAACATTTGTTGAGAGTTTCTTATATGCTGGGCATTTTTCCAATTGCTAGTACTTTATTTATGCTCATAACAATGCCAGTAAGAAAGATTTTATCATTTTGCAGGTGGTAAAGTGTTAACAATTTTTCAAGTGATAAAATTGAGGCACAGAGCAGTTACAGTCTGCCCAAGGTCACATAATAATCAATGTGAGTGCTGGAAATTGAAGCCAGGTGATCTAATTCCAGATCCTGTGACATTAACCACTACAGTAGAACTGCTTCCCTAAGAAACACGGTGATATTATATTGAACTAAGAGAACTCAGGAGACGTCCTATTAGGGCAGAAGATTAAAAGGGGGGAGAAATACATGAATTGGAAGAAGATTCAAAGAAATGTGTTTCCTAGCATTTACTTCACAATTGCAATTACATTTGATGCATTAGGATGAGCATTATCTCCCTAACAAAAATGTAACTTGGGTAAAAGATCCAAATGTTCAGAATGAACACTGTGTTACAACACAGCAACATATCAGGAAATTTTAGCATATTATCAGAAGCAGAAATAAAATTATAGAAAACATTTTTCTGAGATTCCCTTTGGACTTCCTTTTCAAATCTTTATCTCCACATTATGGCATAGATTCCATGTTTTGCTCTTCTGCAACTTGCATAGGTGACAGTGGAGGCCTTGGCCACTAGGATGAAGGATTGCAGTATCACATTCCACATGGCTTTATTTTCTTCTTTGTTAATTATCCTACAGAGTCACCTTATCATCAGAAAGGGTTTTGTATGTTGCATCTCTCTTTCTTTTTAAAGTCTTTTTTAAGCACAGATCACCTCTATTTAGCACACACTCTTCTTTCATCACAACAGGACTCTTTTTAAAAAGTCGCCTGTTCTCACTATTTTTACTCCTTAACTTCACTCTTCTATCTACAGTAATCTGCCTTCCACTCCCCTAGAGTAAGGCAATTGCCCTGCCTAGATTACGAATGATACTCTCAAGGGTGGCTTCTGATATTTCTATAGTATTTGACATTATTTCCCAAAACTTTAGTGGTTTTTGGAAGCCCCTTCTGGCTTCTCTCTTACCTCTGTAGTTTCTTATGTCCCAGTTTCCATTTTGAGCTCTGATTTCTCTGCCCATGATTTAAATCAGTGGTTTTCAAACAGGTTATTATGGTGTCCTAAGAAAAGGACGCCATGGAATAAAGATTTTGATAGGAGGCCTTAAAGACGAATCTCACTGATCTCTAATTTATAGTATTCATGTCCTTGAGTAATCTCCTCTTCCTGAGGGTCAACTGGACTTGCTGACTCTGATATAGTTTGGTTCTGTGTCCCCACCCAAATCTCCTCTTGAGTTGTACTTCCATAATTCCCACATGTTGTGGGAGGAATCTGCTGGGGATAATTTGAACAATGAGGGCGGTTTTCCCCCAGACTGTTCTTGTGGTAGTGAACAAGTCCCATGAGATCTGATGGTTTTATCAGGGGCTTCCACTTTTGCATCTTTCTCATTTTCTCTTGCCACCACCATGTAAGATGTGCCTTTCACCTCCTGCCATGATTCTGAGGCCTCCCCAGTCATGTGGAACTTTAAGTTCAATTAAACCTCTTTTTTCTTCCTAGTCTCAGGTATATCTTTATCAGCAGCATGAAAACAGACTAATACAAACTCCCTTCTAATGATTGGAATACCACAGATGTGATATGATGTCACTTCTGAGATTAGCCTATGAAAGGACTGTGTCTTCTATCTCTTGGATTGCTCACTCTGGAGAAGCCAGCCATCATGCTGAAGGTCCATGTGACAAGGGACAGAGGCCTGACAAAATCCATGTGAGTGAGCCTGCAAGAGGGTCCTCTGCAAGATAATCCTTCAGATGACACCACAGACGTAGTTGACAACTGGACTGCAATCTAATAAAACACCTTGAGACAGAGGCACTCAGCTAAACCTAACCCTGATTCCTGACACATGGAAGCTGCAAAGTAATGACTATTTGTTGTTTTAAGCTGCTAAATTTGGGATTGATTTGTTATGCAACAATAGACAGTAATACGGGACCCTACGTGTTAGGTTTCATCATTCAGGTCATCTTTAATATCTTACTTTCACCCCCCACTGTTCTTCCAATAGTCATTTTAAATTCCCTAAAATTTACTTTCTTAATATACCTTGGATTTATATCCCTTATCTCTACTATCACTCTGTTAGTTCGGGCCACCATGACTTCTGCCTTGATTATTTTAACACACCCATAAATAGTCTACCCACATCTATACAATACAGAGGTGAAGAGCTCAGGTTCTTATTTCAGACTGCCAAGTTTGAATTTAACCTCTGCTACTTACTATCTAGGTAATATTAGACAAATCATTTAACCTCTCTCCTTAGTTATATCATCTATACAATGGGAATATTAATATTAATAGTACTTACTTCATGGAGTGGTTCTAGCATATTAGCTTTTGCTTGTAACATGCTTAGAACACTGCCTGGTATACTGAAAGCTCTTAATAAATGCTGTAGTTATTGAAAGGCAGTCTAACATAGTGGTAAGAACATGGACGGCCAGCCTGTTGGATATGAGTTGTTATTCTGCCATTCATTATTTGAGTAAAGCTGGAAAAATTGCTTTACAGTTCTGTGTCTCCATTTCTTTATCTGTAATATTGAGATAACAATAGTACTCAAGAATAAAATTGTCATGAGGATTACATGAGTTAGTGCCTAAAAAGTAGGCTGAAAAAGACTGGCATTGAACATTACCAAGTGTTTTCAATTATTATTATTGCTGACCATTCTGCTGCTTTTTGATTCATTCATTACCTCGCAAAAGTGATATTTCTTAACATCAGATCTGATTATGGCATTCTCCTGTTTAAACCTCTTTGATGGTCCACCCATTACCCACTACTTTGCCTAACAAAACCTTCATAATCTGGCAAAGCTCTCAAACCTCAAGTGTCTCCACTCTTCCCCACTAAACCTTAAACTCCAATCAGACTAAGCTGCTTGACCTTCCTCAGATGAGCCATGTTCTTCTATATTTGTCTGTCGTTGCAAATGCTCTTTTCTAGCATAAATACCCTTCCTACTCTACTGCCCTGGCTAACTGCCACTCATCCTTTCAAAATTCCATTAATAGTATTATATTTCACAGGAATCTTCTCTACCATCACTGACATTCTGTGCAATACACACGTATACACACACTAACACACACACGTAGGTGGATCCTCCCGTAAGCACCCATAGTTCTCTGTGCACACCTCAATATCTAATATCTAAGAGATTGTAACTAACTATGCACATTTCTATTTCTCTCCACTAGACATGAACTACGGAGTCCCCATCCAAGGCACTGAATGAGAACATCTGGAACACTCAATAAATATTTCATCAACAAATAAATGAGGGCTTTAATTTACCATTTCCTTTTTTCTTTGAGAAGCCATATGAACTTCCTTTATTTTGTTCCTACAGTTGACTTTTGTGGCACTACTTTGATATGCGGGTGGCAAAAACCCCATATCAAAAGGGTTCTTTGTAAAGATCAAATAAGAACATGCTTTCTAGACAACTAAGAACCCCAAGAGGCTCCAGAGACTTTGTACCCATGTGTTCAACCCAACTCAGGGGAATGAAGTCATAACAATCTCTTTAAGCCCGTATGTTCCATAGCTCTGAGTAGGTGCATACCTGGCTAGAGTCTCTTATTTTAATTCCCCATTCCCACAATATACTATAAGAATTTGGGGCAAGGTGCGGTGGCTCACGCCTGTAGTCCCAGCACTTCGGGAGACTGAGACAGGCGGATCATGAGGTCAAGAGATCAAGACCATCCTGGCCAACATGGTGAAACCCTATCTCTACTAAAAATATATAAAAATTAGCTGGGCATGGTGGCACGTGCCTGTAGTTCCAGCTACTCAGGAGGCTGAGGCAGGAGAATCACTTGAACCCAGGAGGCAGAGGTTGCAGTGAGCTGAGACCACACCACTGCACTCAAGCCTAGTGACAGAGCAAGACTCTGTCTCAAAAAAAAAAAAAAAAAAGAATTTGTATGAAATTGAAAGTTGTTGAGTGCTTCAAACAAAAGCCTCAGACCAAAAACTCCAATGTGGTAGGTTTTGCATCTCATCTTTCAACAACTCTCTAAGTAGGCAGGTGGTCTTGTATTGGTACTCCATTAGCCAGGCAATGTATTGATTTCCAAATGTGGGGAGGGTCAAGGTCTGAATCACTTCAAAAGTACCAAGAAAAACAAGTAAAGAGACCAAAGAGTTTCTTGTCTTTTTAGATTTGATCAAGGAACGGCTAAGTCCCTGGTTCTTAAGAACTTATAACAATGAGGAAGTTATGCTTTTTTCTCTCCCAATACCACTTGCTCTTTTTATATATCCTGAAAAAGGAAAATAACTGATGAGAAATGACATGTGCTGCTGGTAGAAATGGGAAAAACTGTCGAGATCTCACCAAAAAAATGAGCAGTGTCAGTGTTACTAATAAGATCTCCCACTGAATTCCCTCATTTCATAAAGGTTCTATCTATGTGAGATGAGCAAAGATTTTTCTTTTCAAACAGAGCCTATGTTCTATAACTAGGATAGAGAAGTGAAGGGAAAATATACCTATAAAACTGACTTAAAAATAAAGGAAAAGCTCTCCCTAAATTTGTAATACAGAGAAATTGAATCTTTTTTAAGAATGTATTTTCATTACTAGAGTAAGTAGATCAGGGTAAGAGTGAAAGACAGTATTTGCATTTCTTGCAGTATATACATAGTGAGATCTTTGGCACTTCCTTCGACACAAATAATTTTCCAACAGATGTTGGCTTGAAATTTCTATGCTACTGAAGAAATGGAAAATAGAAGTAATAAACAAGTGACTGGAATGTTTTATGTAAGAAAATACAACTCATAAAAAGTGATGGCAAATAGCAGACTAAAGTGTTGATCAGACTAAGAAACAATATGTCAATTTCAGTTAAAAACGAAGAAATGTGTCCAATAAAGTATATACAGAGCTACACAGTGTAATTCAACTCACTCTGTACCATAAAACCATTCTAGAATATAGAGGGAAAGGAGTTAATGCTTTTCAAAATATGCTTTGCAGTCTTACCTTCAAATCTGTGACATATCCTTGTTAAATGATCTCCCTGTAGAAGATACTGACTTTATTAGCTCTCAAATGATATATTAATGAAAGCCAGTCTTGCCTGGAGAGGAGAGTCTCAAGATATTTATTTGTCCAGAGGATGACATCACAGATGATAGAAAGGACAGTGGAGGAATAGACAAGGGTACTAAACAGATATGTGACAGAAAAGGATATATAAGTGGCCACTTGGCACATGAAGAAGCTGTTCATCAGGGGCATGCAACTTAATAAACAATGCCATGCCACTATGCACCCACAAGAATAGCAAAATTTTAAAGGACTGACCATAACAAGTGCTGGTGAGAATATGGAGCAATTAGTACTCCCATATATGATGGTGAGAATATTAAATTGTACACTTTGAACAAAAGTTCTGAGAGTTTCTTATAAAATTGAATATACATTTTATGATTCTTCACACCAAGATAATTACCCAAGATAAATAAAAACATATGTTTACAAAATGACTTACTAAAAATTGCTTATAGCAGCTTCATTTATAATTAGCCAAAACCTGGACAGAGCCAGAATCAATAGGGTATTTTAGGAAATTGGTTCACATGATTGGGGGGCTGGCAAGGCCAAAGTCTGTAGGGCAGACCAGCAGGCTGGAAATCCAGGCACGAGTTGATGCTGCAGTCATGCTAGATTTCTTCTTCAGCAAGCTCAGTTTTTACTCCTCAGAACTTCAACTGATTGGATGAGGCCCAATGACATTATTCAGAATAGTATGTTTTACTTAGAGTCAATTGACTGTAGGTGATAAACATATACACAAAATACCTTCACAGCAACATCCATATTGGTGTTTGAGTGAACAACTGTGTACTATGACCTAGCCAAGTTGACTCATACAACTAACTATACAGAGGCCTTGCATAAGATACTATACTGTCTGATTTTATTTATTTAAAATTCTAGAACAAGGAAAACTAATCTAGAGAAGCATAAAATTAGAAGAAAGTTTGCCTCTTGGGGTTGAGGGTGGCGTGATGAGAAAAGAGCATGAGAAAACTTTCTATGGTGATGGTAAGTTTCTATGTATTGACGTGAGTTTGAGTTACACAAGTATGTGCATGTGTTAAGCGTCAGTGAATGTACACTTGAGATTTGTTCATTTTATTTTGTAAATTTTATAAGAAAAGAAAAAATCTATAAACAACATTCAAATCTATTTAATAATACATGTGATGGTGTATTTAGGGAGAAAAGTACTGATATAAAATGAGACTGATGGATGGATGTAGCATTGAAGAGAGAGATATGTAATAAGGTAAGTATAGTAGAATGTTTATGGCAGAGTATAGGTCAGGAGTACATAGAGGTTCGCTGTAAAATGCTTTTGGTTTTGCTGGCTGTCTAAAATTATCACAAAAAAATGTTGGGACAACAAACCAATCTCTCAAAATAAGTTATACATATATTTTCTTCAACCAACTGGAAAGCAGTGTTTTATGAGTGGTGAAGACCATCTAATTTGCGGTTAAGTGACCAGGTTTCAAATCCCAGCTCTGCAGTTATGCTGATTATACAGCCTCGACTATGCTATTTAATATCTCTAAGACCTAGTTTAATCATTCATAAAATGTGAATAGCAAATGGGATTTGCTCATGTGGGTGCACGTGTGTGACCAAAGTATTTAGTGTGGTATATATTAAGTGATCAATGTGGCATGGTTATATTATTTTGCCTGAAATGACTTTTCTGCATACTTTTCTGGTGACCAAAATGGCCTACTGGTCTCTTCTGCTTGACTAACCTTTAGACAGGTTCCTTCCTGACTTTAGGTCCCTGACTTCTATTTTATTAGAGGGTTTGCTTTAGAAAGCTTGTAACTGTAAATCCTTCCTCTGCCTTTTAGAAATGTAAATCTTCTCCCAGTCTCTTGCCAGTTTTACAAACCAGGAATGTCTTTCTTCAGGATCTGAGAGCCATGTATTTGAAATGCAATCATCAAGGAAGATAGTGCCCCTATCTCCCCTATTTCATAGTCTGTCTTGGGAGAGCAGGAGCCTAACTTTAGTGAGCAGCTTGTTCCATGTAGTACAACGATGTCCTGTCATATACATATGGGAAGTTTGTTTTTTCCTTTGGACAAAGCCAATTAGCAAATATCAGTGGGCTATGACTTATCTCTAATGTCCCACAGTACTTTTCCACTAGCTCATCGCAGAACTTAAAACCCCTCCCTCCTTTTGTTTCAGTGGAATTGAGTTCAGACTGAGTTCTTTCCTCTTTCGCCTATTTAAATAGCTTGAATCAAGCCATCTTTGCCTGTTTAACTTTCTCCAGCACAATTTTTTCTTTGACATAGGGTAATTGTTACTTATCCTTTTAAGGGTCAGCTTATATGTCACCATTTTAAGGAAGCTTTAGCATCCTCCACATTACCTTCCTCACAAAGATTTGATTGCCTTCTTAACTCTCACAATACTTGGTATTTGCTTCAAATAAGATATATTTGTTTTTGCTTATCTGCTTCATCTCCCACACTGGGAATTCCTTGAGATGCAAGTACTTCTTGCATTTCTGTATCTCAGCTTCCAGAACAACCATTAATCTATAATAAACATCAATTAATGGTGGCTGAATGAATAAATAATCAAATGAACAAAGATATCAGGCCCAGTTCTTGCCATAACATGATGCTAAGCAAAGGATGACCAGAAGGCTAGCAACTGCTTATTTAATGTCTGATGAATCTGAGGCAATCACGAATAACATAGTATCTGATAAATGTAAATCACAAACAATCTGTACTCAGCTAGTGGGAAAAGAATATCCGTCCTTCTCTTGGAATGCATCTCATTTTATGCTGTCTACTAGTTTCTAGCATTTTTGGATTTTAAACATCTCCCTATCCACTAAGCTGCACTTTTGGTTTAACAAACTTATACATATATGGGTTAAACCATTTTTATTTTCTTTTAGATAAGGAATAGCATTACATCTTAGCTCAATTGCTTAAGCTATAAGTGTGCTGAGCTCAATGTTAGAGCATTGTGAGTTACATGTTTGCCTTGACAGTGTTTTTCTAAAAAGGAACACAATAATCTCAGTCTTTTATGCCTCAAAGCTTGTGCATACCAGGAAAAGACAGATTTCAAAGCTGATAGAACACATAGTTTCACCACATACACAAGTAACACAGGCTACATTTATTGGGTGCTAGGTAGCAGGAAAAGTATTGAGCTAAGCACTTTATAAGCATTATTTTATTTAAACACCAATTCTGTGATTCAGATATTATATTATTTTTACTGACCAAGCTCATCTTGAAATCTTCCTTTGCTCACTTTGTCCTATCCATGTGACCTTCTTTCTATTCCTGAACTTCCCACCTCTGAGCTTTGTATTAGCTGTTTTCTCCATCAGAATTCTTTCTTCCTGCAAGTCTTCATTTGGCTGGCTCCCTCTCGTCTCAGCTTAAATCTTGTCTTCTTAGAGAGGCTTTTCCTGACCACCCAAGCTAGAGTTGCTGCCTACCCTCCCCAAGTCAATTGATGGACCTTCCCCTTGAATTATCTTTGTTATATCAGTGGTTCTCAAAGTGTGGTCTACAGCCCTGTGGGAATCTCAGGCTCTTTAAGGGCATGCATGAGGACAACCGTATTCTCATAATAATACTGATATCTTATCTGCCTTTTTTGCTGTATCTACATTTGTACTAATGGTGTAAAAGCAATAAGAAAATAAGTAAATAAGACTCTTGGTGCCTTGGCGTGAATCAAGGCATTGGCCCCAAGCTGTCCTAGTGGTCATTGTGTGTTTCACCACCATGCAGTTCTAGATACAAAACAAGCAATCCCATTACTGGGTATGTACCCAAAGGATTATAAATCATTCTGCTCTAAAGACACATGCACACATATGTTTATTGTGGCACTATTCACAATAGCAAAGACTTGGAACCAACCCAAATGCCCACCAATGATAGACTGGATAAAGAAAATGTGGCACATATACACCATAGAATACTATGCAGCCATAAAAAAGGATGAGTTCATGTCCTTTGCAGGGACATGGATGAGGCTGGAAACCATCATTCTCAGCAAAGTAACACAGGAACAGTAAACCAAACACCACATATTCTCACTCGTAAGTGGGAGCTGAGCAATGGGAACACATGGACACAGGGATGGAAACATCACACACTGGGGCCTGTCAGGGAGTGGAGGGCTAGGGGAGGGATAGCATTAGGAGAAATACCTAATGTAGATGATGGGTTGATGGGTGCAGCAAACCACCATGACACATGTATACCTATGTAACAAACCTGCACGTTCTGCACATGTATCCCAGAACTTAAAGAATAGTAATAGTAAAAAAAGAATGAAAAACAAAAAGCGTCACTAAAGAATATCCTTGACAAAATAGCAAAATCTATTACTTTTATTGAACCTCCACTCTTAAATACACATCTTTTCAATATTCTATGTGATGAAATGGGAAGTACACATAAAGCGCTTTTGCTGTACAATGATTATCTCAAAGTAAAACACTTATGTAATTGAGTTGAGAACTGAATTAACCATTTTTCATGGAGCAGCATTTTATTCAAAAGAACAACTGAAAAACTTGAGTATTTGGCAGACATTTTCTAAAAAATAAACAAAGCGAGTCTGTCGTTTCAAGAAAAACAACTGACAGTATTTGTTGCCAGTGACAAAATTTGAGTTTTCCAACAAAAATTAGAATTTTGGAAAATCTGTATATACCATCATGAGCTTGAAAGCTTCCCAGTGCTTAAGACTTATCTGATGATAATATTGATCATATTAACAAATGCTTTCTGATATTTTAAAATGAAATATGTCAAAATTTGGAATATGTGCATAATTCAGTAAAGTAATACTTTCCAAATGGCCAATACTTGATGGTACAAAATCATAAATGGATAAAAGATTTACTCAGAGTGCAAGGCTGACTGATGGTTTCTAATGTAACCAAGTATGGAAAGTTCATTGATATGATTTTAGATTTTACATTGTAATTAACATTAAGGAAACAACCACTTGTCAAGTTTTGATGTAGCATTACAGAACAGCCACAATTACCTGAAAATACTATTACAGTAGTCTTCCCTTTTCCAACTACTTATCTGTGTGAGGCTGGATATTCTTTTTTTTATATATTTATTTTTTAGACCCAGGGTCTTTCTCTGTTGCCCTAGCTGGAGTGCAATGGTGCAATTATGGCTCAGTGGAGACTCCAGCTCCTGGGCTCAAGCCATCCTCCCATCTCAGCCTCCTGAGTAACTGGACTACAGGCACATGCCACGATGCTTGTTGTTTTTTTTTTTTAATTTTATATTGACAGAGTTTCACTATGTTGATCAGGCTGATCTCGAACTCCTAGATTCAGGTGATCTTCCTGCCTTGGCCTCCCAAAGTGCTAGAATTACAAGTATGAGCCACCATGTTGTATTCTGTTATGCATATATTAAAGAGATTTGCAAAAATGTGGAAAATGACACTCTTCCCACAATTTGTTTTTAATTTGTAAACTATAGTCATTTTCAATGAAAAATGTTTTTATGTTAACATATGATGGGGTAATTCTTATTATTTCTAGATAAACTAATAATTTAAAAATTTTGTTTTAGTTTTTAATATGACAAATATCAATAGATATAACCTATACAAACAAAATTTCTTTGGGTGTTTTGTAATTTAAGATTTTCAAAGTCCCAAGACAAAAAAAATTAAGGATCAATCCCTTATAGCAGATATCACCAGTTTACATTCTATTCTATATTTTTACTTATTGTGTATTGTCTATCTCCATCTATCAGATTATTAGCCATGAGAAGAGGGCTAGATCTGTCTTGTTTGTTAATATCTTCTGTGCCTACAAGAGTGACTTGCATATAATAGGTGCTTCATAAAAAATATTTGTTGACATGAATGAATCTTAACTCTAAGGATGAAGAAATGGCATCTGAAAGAGGTTTTAAGTTATGTACCCAAGGTCACATCTCTAGTAAGTGGCTGAGGAAGCATTCAAATACAGCTTTGTCTAATTTCAAAGCTCATGCACTTAATTAAATTATTCAATGAAATTGCCTCTGCAGTGAGGATTTGGAGGTGGTCTTATCACAGCAATATTTAGCTTTAATGTCAAAAGACTTACAGTCTTTATGAACTTCTATAGTATTTTGTCTTAGACATGAAATTATTGTAAAACTACAAAGAACTTTAGAGGGTATTTATTTCAACTTCTCATAGAGTTGGGTCATAGAGTTAATTATTTATAAAACTTAAGGACTAAGCCCCAGAGCTTCCATCCATACCCATTAGGGCAATATGTTGTGGAAGCAAAGTCATGAGAATCACATGAAGTCACTTTCATTTCTTCTGCCTCATCCCAGATTTCTTTTCTAAAACCCCAGATGATAAGGAACGGCATGGAAGAAATGGAGCCTGGCATGCTAAGTTGAGAACTTTGATTTTCTGACCACAGCAAATCTATTTTTCCATCGCTGACAATTAGGCCACACATCCTTTAGAGGTGTGCCTTGATCAATGACACCCAGCTACACAAAGCAGGCCCTGCCCTCTGAGCGATCACTTCATCTAAAATGGATGCACATTCTAGCTTTCCTGCACTAGGCCACTAGGCCGAGGTGCAGCGTATAGGTCTTTACCAACAGTCCTTTGGTAAGGCCCTTACCAAGTCTCTCTTGTAATTGAATTGCTTTTCCTTTATATTTGATACTTAAACCAACAAATAAAAATGTTTTATTTCCAAATCATTTCAAATGTTGCAAGGCAGCAACCAGAGCAAATGTGACTCAAATCATCACTAAAGAATATGTTCATGGGAGTGTGCACATGAAACATTGCTGAGTAGTTGTAGAATATAATAAAAAAGGGCACTGTGCCTCCTACACTTTGCCATCACAGTGCTCAGGGCAATACCTATTTCACACCAATTCCAATGCCCAGGGAAACACCCATGATCAGTGTTGGCTTTAAGCACTGAGTAGCTACTTAGGGTGGTAAGCTCCCCAGCTTCTAGCATATAGCAGAGGATCAATAAATAATCATTGAATGACTAATTTTCCACAATGTCAGTACATATTTCAAGCATTCACCATGAGTATGGCCCCTCTAATCTGGAAACAATATGCTTGTGCTGAAGACCAAACAAATCCTGCGGTCTGTAGCACAGAAGCTTAAATTCGTAAATCCTGGAGGTTTACGTACTTCTGTTTGTAAAGATGATAATATTTTACCTTTAGAGAGATGTTACATCCAGATCACTGCTGTCAGATGAAAATATTGGCTTAGCCTACAGCCCTACTACAAAATATAAAATGGTAACGTCTAGAGAAAACAAACACATTATCATTTGGAGGGAGGGGTGTGCTTAGGAAAGCAATAAAGAAGCCGGATAACTAACTTAAACTGAGTTAATAATGGAAGGTTTAAAGTATCCTAATTGCTACTGTCTGAATGTGTTCCCCCAAAATTCATGTGTTCAAACCTAATCACCAATGTGATAGTATTAGGAAGTAGGACCTTGGGAGGTGATTAGGTCATGAGGGAAAAACCTTCATGATGGGATTAATGCCCTTGTAAAAGAGGCCTCAGATGAAGGTTGGGGTGAAATCATAGCATATAGCAGATGCTACAAGATGGTACCACTGCACTCCAGAGCAAGACTCTGTCTCAAAAAAAAAGAGGTCTCCGAAAGCTGTCTTGCACCTTCCACCATGTGAAGGACACAGCAAACAGTTGCCACCTATGAGCCAGAAAAGGGGCCCTCACCGGACACTGCATCTGCTGGTGCTTTGATCCTGGACTTCCCAGCCTCCAAAACTGTGAGAAATGGATGTTTGTTTATAAGCCACCCCATTTATGGTATTTTCTTATAACAGCCTGAATGGACTAAGCACAAATTATTGCATTTTGTAGTTATTTTTCCCCACCCTTGATATTACTCTTTTATTTCTGTATTTCAATACATGTATTATCCACACATTAGCACAAACTAAGTGCTTAATAATTTTTGTTGAATTAACTTCATACACTGGTTGTCCCATTATGGTTTGAGGATCCCTGGAGGTAGTGGTGTGCTGGAGCAGCTTCTGACATCTCTTGAGGACCCACTGTCAAATTTTATTTATTATTATTATTTTTTTATTTTATTTTATTTTATTTTATTTTATTTTATTTTATTTTATTTTATTTTATTTTATTTTATTTTATTTTATTTTATTTTTTTGAGACAGAGTCTCATTCTGCCGCCCAGGCTGGAGTGCAGTGGCGCAATCTAGGCTCACTGCAAGCTCCGCGTCCCGAGTTCACGCCATTCTCCTGCCTCAGCCTACCGAGTAGCTGGAACTACAGGTACCCGCCACCACACCAGGCTAATTTTATTTTTTTTGTGTATTTTTAGTAGAGATGGGGTTTCACCCTGTTAGCCAGGATGGTCTCAATCTCCTGACCTCATGATCTGCCCACCTTGGCCTCCCAAAGTGTGTATTTTATTTTATTTTAAGTTCTGAGATGTATGTGCAGGATGTGCATGTCTGTTACATAGGTAAACATGTGCCATGGTGGTTTGCTGTACCTATCAACCCATCACCTCGATATTAAGCCCCACATGCATTAGCTATTTATCCTGATGCTCTCCCTCCCCCAACCCCCAGCAGGCACCAGTGTGTGTTGTTCCCCTTCCTGTGTCCATGTGTTCTCATTGTTCAGCTCCCACTTATGAGTGAGAACATGTGGTGTTTGGTTTTCTGTTCCTGTGTTAGTTTGCTGAGGATAATGGCTTCCAGCTCCATCCATGTCCCAGCAAAAGACATGATCTTGTTGCTTTTTATGGCTGCATAGTATTCCATCATAAACATGTACCACATTTTCTTTATCCAGTCTATCATTGATGGGCAATTAGGTTGATTCCATGTCTTTGCTATTGTGAATAGTGCTACAATGAACATACACATGCATGTACCTTTATAATAGAATAATTTTTATTCTAATATCCAGAATCTACAAGGAACTTAAACAAATTTACAAGAAAAAAAAACAAACCTTTCAAAAAGTGGGCAAAGGACATGAACAGACATTTCTCAAAAGAAGACATGTATATGGCCAACAAACATGAAAAAATACTCAACTTCACTGATCATTAAGGAAATGCAAATGAAAACCACAATGAGATACCACTTCACACAAATCAGAATGGCGATTATTTAAAAATATAGAAACAACAGATACTGGCGAGGCTGTGAAGAAAGAGGAATGCTTTTACACTGTTGGTGGGAATGTAAATTAATTCAACCATTGTGGAAGACAGTGTGGCGATTCCTGAAGGATCTAGAACCAGAAATACCATTTGACTCAGCAGTCCTCACTGTCAAATTTTAAAGAATTTTGTGAGTCAGTCCTTAAACATAATCATTATTAAAAAGTATATTATAAAAACGTCAATTAAACAAATTATATTAACGTAAAGATAATAAATATTCACAACCCATCATTTCCTAATCATTTTACTACATTTTATTACAATCTTGTTAGGCTCTTGTGGTTATTTCTAGCTGTTGTATTTGTATGGTAGAAATACTATAGAATAATGTGCTACTGCCTGTCTTTTCCCAACTTTGCATTACCAGCCATGTTGGGAGTATTTACACCAGAGAAATTGGCAGTGCTACAAAGTGGGCTTTCTCTTCAATGATGAACTGGTTATTAAAACACTCTCCACAAGTGGAGCAGCACACCTCTTATTGAGAGTTCTCAAGACTCTTTCTGGTACCAGGTCCTCTCTTTTGGTATGAGTGGCTAGATTTCTTCATGTATGTTAATCAAAGCAACACATTAAAACAGATTGAATGCAGAAGCAGAGATGAGACTCGAACTATAAGCTCCACACTAATTTTCAAAAAATGGAAATCTATGTATCCCTTCTCATTAATTTTCTTCTTCATAAAAATGAGTTATTTGGGTTATCATCTAATGTTTTATTGCTATTTTAAAATGAATTAATAAGTATTTTTATTCCAAATTTTGCATTTTAGCATGATAAACAGTGATAGATACAGTTCACAAAAACGAAAGCCCTTAGGGTCCTCAATAATTGAGAGTGTGAAGGAGGCTGAGATAAAAAGTTTGAGAATCATTCATTTTTCAATGCAGTTAATTCCATATCTCGCTTTTTTTGACTTAGCGTAGTTAAACCAGAAAAGCAGGTCTGTATTCCTACGGCTTTGTGACCTTGGTAAGTTAATTCTTTACCTCTTCAAATCTTTATTTCTCCAACTGTGAAAAGGCAATGTTAGAAAAGATTTTGTCTCACGGAACCATTTTTTAGCTTTTAGTTTCTGTAACTATGAGAATTATAAATGAACTTTGCTCCTAGCTTGAGGGCAGTGAAGTTATTTCTGCTTTGTCATCCTTTTTATACCTCCAAATCCCATCATCACTGCCTTTAACAATCTTTTCTGCCTAAGTTCTTCCCCCCACCCAAAAGATTTTTCATTGGATTACATCACTGTACAGTAATTACAGAAGTTACTATTTCCAGTTGTCAAAAAAACCAGTTCTGCACTAAACTGCATGCCATGTAGCACATACAAAACACAGTGCAGACAAAGAAAATGCCACAGTTTAGTGTCACCCCATCCATCAGGTGGAAAAATGAAATGCCTAAAGCAGGCAATGCGACCGAATTTAATCAAGCATACTATTACTCAGGCCCTGCCTTGCATCTCCCCACTGCAGCGGAGTGAAATAGAAAGACATGTGCTGCCTGTGCATTTTCTCTTTTCTGTGAAAACACCACGGATTAGTATCTGCTTGGCGTCCTTAACCAATGTGTGAATACGTGTCTTAATTCCAGGCTAGTGCGCGTCTGCTTTGCCTCCGAAATCACTGCGGCAGAATACAAATAATGTATGAAATAAAAAGCCTTTGCCAAGTGCGCCAAGACTACAGCCTTCACTTACGAATCACATCTGCGTCTCCGTTTTCTTTACGCACCCGCAGTAGGATCAAGATGTGAGATCGCAACCCAGTCTGCCGGGAATTTAATTTCCATTTCCCCTCCCAACATCAAACCACCACGAAAACCAACCCTTCCCGGCGCGAAGCTGCAAGTAAGATGGGGAAGGCCAAGGGACCGCGTGGCGAGCCCGCACTGTGGGGCGCGCCCGCCTCCCGCCGCAGACCCTGGAGTGAACTGGGCTTCACTGAGGCCTGAGCCGGGAAGAAGCCAAAGAATAAGAGATGCGATAAAATGGCTGCCAGGAGGGGGTTTCTGTATGCTAAGGGCAGCCTGCCTTCCCCAAGGGATCCAGTGTGCTTCCAGCCCGGCTCCAGGCAGCGGCCGAGACGCCTCAAATTTGGGCCGCATCCCAAGGCCAAGGAGAGGCGACTTCCACAGCTTCATTTAGCTCTGCAGAAAGTCACCTCCGCCCCCACCCCCATGCGGCACGTGCGGCAAGCCATCACCATGGCAACCTTCCTTTCTGCCCCTCTCTTGTTATTGAACAGCTGAGACACCCAGCGTCCCTGAACTTGTTACTGCACAAGTTAATGCGGTCCTCTGAGGGCTTGGTTTCCTAACTATTGTTCTTTGGGCAACTGACTGCTTCCTGAAACAAAAAACAAAACAAAACAAAACCCTATGCGTGTGTCTCAGACGTTCTCCCCACCACTCCTGGCCCCAAATGTCAGCGAATCTGGTCATTCTCCTCCTAGGAGGCGCAACAGAATAAACTGGAAGGAAGCAAGGATTCATGTCCAACCCTTATTTACTGACACTAATGTTGGAACCATTTTGACGTTTGCAGCCTTCAGTTTCACTAGATATAAACCATTAATAGTTATATGACTACCTCTTATATATGGTTGGTGAGTGAGCAAATTGATGCAGTCTTCCTGTGGGCAACTTTTTCAAGAAATAAATAGAGGTTTGAACAAAATATAGCTACAAAGATACTCATAGGAGCAAATGGTTATAATAGTTGTTTTTAAATCAAGCTAAATGTAAGAAAACGGTTGAAGAAATGAATACAATGAGATAACCACTGGGTGATGCAATTACAGGTGACTTTTTCCTTATACTTTCTTTGACAATTATAAAAATTATATAAGAACAAAAACATGTTTTGTTTTATTGTTTCAACATGTCTGATGTGGTTTATAAACATATAAATGAATCTTTACTTATAGATTATACATAAAAGTATTTTCCTCAAAGGAAAGTGTGAAGATTAAAATGGAAGAGCTCTGGATCACTTGGATCATTTGTTATTGTTTTTGTTTCTTTCCCCTCAGATATCTAAGTATTTGCATTTGGTTTGGGAAAAATTATTTTTAATTATTTATGTTCTACCAAAGAAAACAAAATGATTTTCCATTGAACACATAATAATATTAAGAAATACTCAAAATCACCTTATTGTCATAAACCTTCATTAAGGATAAAGGCTTTCATTTTGTTCTTATTCTCTGGCTATAGAATTTCAATTCAAAGAGCAGTTGTTGTTTTAAAATGGAAATTCATGAGTGCTGAGAGGCCTGGCTGCAGAGCCAGATTGTGCTCAAAGTGGAATCCTTCAAAACCGCCTTCTCTGAGGTCCCTGCACCCCAGCCCTGGAACGGCAGGGAGTAGCTTGCCATATCATTTACACAGAACTGCGTGATCCTTCAGGGAAACCACTCTCTTCCCATTGTGGGTAAGAGTGAACCTGGCTGTTGTCAAGTAGCCTGTAAGAAGCCCTGCAGTATCACACTCAAGGCACCTCATCTCTGAGGAGGGCTCAGGGAGCACCCAGGCCTGACCAACAGCTGCAATTAAATCAGGGCCTTTTAAGACTTGAGAAATGCTCACTTTGAATTATTCTGAAAGAAAAAAAAATCATAGACCCGGGCAAAAATTTAGCTACGCGAATTTAGTTTTTATACTATTTTATAACAGTAAAATTTTAGAATCCACATAAATGTCGAAGAATTTAAAAAAAAATCTGTGTTACAGCTGGATGATAAAACTATATGCAGCCATTAAAATTGAACATATAGGAGAATATGCAGTCATGTGGAAAAGTGCTCACTGTGCAGTGTTAAGTGAAAAGAAAGGCATGTTAAAAATAGAATGTACTTCATGACCCAATTTTTATAAAATATTTTGTAATGCACACAAGATTTAATGTGTTACAAACATTACTTGAAATTTAAGCTCCAAAATTGAGGGTTGCCAGTTGTATTTTTTCTTTTGCCTTCTCTAATAAGTCAATTAATAATAAGGTATTGATGGCTGAAGTGATTATTAATAGGGCATTAATGAGAGAGAGTGTATTTTATTAGTACCCAGGAAATGGTACTACACACTCTGATGACTTTTCTGGAATGCATTTTGCAGACACTTCAAAACATTTCCAAAGCATACATTTTATAAGCTTAGTAATTAGAGGATGATAGATTGCCTGAGTCACTTTACCCACTTCACATATCCATTCATCTGGACTAAAGCGTTTGCGCCTTGTGTTTCTTTCCAACCTAAGTTTTGGAGCACATATAACACAATTTTCCTGAAGACATCTGTTTACAACATTGAAAAGATTAAATCAAGCTAAGGATTGTCCAGGCACCTAGTAAGCACATTCTAGTATCCTCAGAGTGCACGTGTGCTCTGGATTCAGATCTGATTTTCCATGAACCCCTCATTTATAATTGGAGAAGCAGTTGCCCACATGACTCTATAATGGAAAATCCACAAAGGCTATCCCCTCAGGGTGGATGGCCAAGCTTTGCAGCCCAGCCCAGCAGGCCCTTTATTTCCTGGTTCCTGCTAACCTCTTCATGTCTCAACCCTGCCTTTCCCACCTTCTGTGCTCAGCCACAGTGAGACTATCACAGTGAACACAAAAGGAATCTTCCTATGGGCTGAACATTTTTATGGTTAGCCAAACAAATCTATGGGGTAGATATTACTCTACTAATATTCCTCCCATTTTACATATGGAGACACTGAGGGACGGACAAATCAAACAATCTCATCATCCACAGTTCCTATCATTTACAATTAATAAGTATTAGGATGTGAACCCAGGAAGCCTGGCTCTTGATCTTAACTGTTATATCTCCACCGAGGTAGCATGTAGATTCCCAAATTAATTTTTAACTTCAGTGATTTTCTGCTTCAACCCTTCTGCGTAGGCTTCTTCTGTGTAGAAGTTCTTTCCACTTAGCCAAACTCTCATTCTTCTTTCAAAACACAGATATAATATATCTCCTCTGGAGAGTCTTCCTCAGTGCTCCCATATGTGCCTCTGTCGTGGTTCTTATCACTTTGCTGTAAAGCATGATTTACCTCCTGCCTCCACCATGTGTCTTCAAAGACAAGTTTCAAATTTCTATTAATTTTTATACCTCCAGTGCCCAGCACAGTGTCTGACACATAGGAGGTACTTAATCACTTATGCATGTATGAATGATTACGAACAGCACCATAGAGTTCTGCTTGCCGAAAACTATCATCTTTAATGTCCCACCATAACAGCCACTGTAACACCATTGGAGTTGGTGTTATGCAAACAAACACTGGACAGGTATCCAGAAGAACAGTGCAGTGCCAGCTCCTAAAGAACAGGCTTTTCCTTGGTGGGCTCTAGTTAAATGTGGACATATCCTTCGGGAGGGGAGAGAGAGTGTTAAGAAGAACTATTAAGATATTATCAGGCATTATTTTTGACAATTTGTCAGGGCCCCAAAACGGTGGGACAGAGGATGAGTAAATCTGATATCGGGCTTAGGGCTTGGCCAAGAAAACACACCTGTTTAATGGGGCACTGTACTCTGCAACCAACACAAAGAACCAGAGATGTCTACCTAGGACAGTTGACACTTCCCCTGTCTCACAAGTTTCATCAAGACAGTCTTGAAATTCATGGCATATTCATGTCAATGTTCTTAAATAGTAAACAATTACTTTTGCTCATTTTAGCCAGGGCAATAGTAGGACAGACTGAAACAGTAGAAAACAACTGATATTTATGCATTAAAAGCAATACTTAATGAATATTCAACATAAAAGCATGTTTCTGCTTGCATCATTCTTACTATTTGCATCATTTTCCTATTAAAGTCTGTATCTTTTTTTGCCAAATAGTTTATTATTATTATTATGCTTTAAGTTCTGGGATACATGTGCAGAACGTGCAGGTTCCTTACATAGGTATACATGTGCCACGGTGGTTTGCTGCACCCATCAACCCGTCATCTACATTAGATATTTCTCCTAATTCTATCCCTCCCCTGCCTCCCACCCCTTGACAGGCCCCAGTGTGTGATGTTTCCCTCCCTGTGCCCATATGTTCTTATTGTTCAACTCCCACTTATAAGCGAGAGCATGCGGTCTTTGGTTTTCTGTTTCTGTGTTAGTTGGCTGAGAATGATGGTTTCCAGCTTCATCCATGTCCCTGCAAAGGACATGAACTCATCCTTTTTTATGGCTGCATAGTATTCCATGATGTATATGTGCCACATTTTCTTCATCCAGTCTATCATTGATGGACATTTGGGTTGGTTCCGAGTCTTTGCCATTGTGAATAGTGCTACCATAAAGCTATGTGTGCATGTGTCTTTATAGTAGAATGATTTATAATCCTTTGGGTATATTCCCAGTAATGGGATTGCTGGGTCAATTTCCCCTATTTAATAAATGGTGTTGGGAAAACTGACTAGGCATATGCAGAAAACTGAAACTGGACCCCTTCCTTACGCCTTATACAAAAATTAACTCAAGATGGATTAAAGACTTAAACCTAAGACCTAAAACCATAAAAACCCTAGAAAGAAAACCTAGGCAATACCATTCAGGACATAGGCATGGACAAAGACTTCATGACTAAAACATCAAAAGCAATTGCAACAAAAGCCAAAATTGACAAATGGGATCTAATTAAACTACAGAGCTTCTGCACAGCAAAAGAAACTATCTTCAGAGTGAACAGGCAACCTACAGAATGGGAGAACATTTTTGCAATCTATCCATCTGACAAAGGGCTAATATACAGAATCTACAAGGAACTTGAACAAATTTACAAGAGAAAAACAACCCCATCAAAGGTGGGCGAAGGATATGAACAGACACTTCTCAAAAGAAGACATTTACGCGGCCAACAAATGTATGAAAAAAAGCTCATCATCACCGGTCATTAGAGAAATGCAAAACAAAGCCACCGTGAGATATTATCTCACGCCAGTTAGAATGGTAATCATTGAAAAGTCAAGAAACAACAGATGCTGGAGAGGATGTGGAGAAATAGGAACACTTTTACACTGTTGGTGGGAGTGTAAATTAGTTCAACCATTGTGGGAGACAGTGTGGCGATTCCTCAAGGATCTAGAACCAGAAGTGTCTGTATTTTTATTAAAATAAAGACATTATCTCAAATGTCTTTTGAATAAACCTGGGAATAAATAATTATATAAGATGAAAATAAACATCCTGTTGTTTCATTTTGAGGGACTGGTTTAAACTTTGCTTTGAGTGTTTAGGTTTATTTGTGATCACGTTTATAAGGGAATCTAGTATATCTTCACAGATGTCAAAACAAATGCTTTGAAAGAAAGTGTCAAAATCCTAGGAGACTCATGTCTACTGATTTGGAAGAAAACAAAAAAGATTTTCATCCAAACATATTTCCTGCACTTTAATTATAGAAATTTAAATATGGGATTTAAAGTTTCATTTGACCATTGTTGAAAATTTTATTTTGTGTTGTAGTGCTATTTGCACATTTAAAAAGTTATTTTTTGAAGTTTTGCAAAGTTCTCATAGATATCTAGTGACTCCTTGTGGAGTTTCCCTGCACACATAATAATTCACTAAAAAGGTTAAGAAATCACAGAGTCTCAGAGTTGAAGGGACCGTAGAAGTACTTAATGCCAACTTCCACCCAGTTGGGTGTCTATTTTGCAATAACCATGAAAGATGGTCAAAAATGTCTGATGACAAGAAGGAGTCTTTTGGATTGCTGCCTACTTTCTGCTCTTCTAATGGTGACAAAGAGTTACAAATTGTGCTGCAGTTTTCCTGGGATTTTGTCTCAGAGGTAATCATTTCAACAAGGCTCAGAATCAAAGTAAAAAGAAGAAAATTTCACATTGGCCAAAATCTATGATGCCCATTGTGATTCTATGGAGAATTAGATCCTCATGGAAGACTTGATTTCACTTAGAATCCAAGAAATTCACGTTCCAAGTACAAAGAGGTGTGTCTAACCCCCTGAGCCCCAAGAAACAATATCCCTTTTACTCTCAAATTGTACCATTACTTTATGGGGTTTTTTTGCCTTTCATTAATATCCAATAATCTTGGTAATAGATACCTGTCATTTGGGTCTCTCAGTACCTAATCTCTTGCCCTGATAGTACCCTAATCACCTTTTGCGGAACAACTTTCTCCTATGTTGTGTGTAGTCTACATGGCACAGTAAAACTGATTGCCCACTTTACACACCTGAAGCTTCAGTATAGCCATTATAGTCATGAGATAATAAAGACATTATCTCAAATGTCTCACAGTGGGTGACCTGAAGCTTCGGTATAGTCGGGTGGTTATAAAAGCCAATGAGACAGCTTCTCCCAGATCACTGAATCTTAGGCAAGAAATAAAAACCATAAGAAGCCATTTAAAACTGTCATTGCACCAGTGTTGCCCAGTCAGACTCTTCCAGCTTTGAGGCCATCTCTTCACTTTACGGAGGCACCTTGGATCTTGCCTGGTTTCAAGCCTGGTTCTTTGGGCTTTCGGTCCTTTCTTGACATTCCTGAATCCTTCCAACATATTCCCCCTTTTAAAAAAGTTAACCACATTCTAAAATTGATCATGGTTATGTTTGCACCTCTGTGAAGGTACAAAAAAATGCAAAATTGCACACTTTAAACAGATGAATTATTTGGTACAGGAGTTATATCTCAATAAAGTTCTCTGTCTCACACACACAAAATCAGCTAGAGTTGGTTTCCATTGTTTAAAACATAATAAGATCTAATTGATATTCGACTCCTGTCAAAATGCAAATATCTGAGCTGTAAAGGATTTCATATCTCATGTCTTTTTAACAGTGGGTTTACCAGGAAAAAGTATCAGGGCACTAGTTTTGATGTATGTTGAACAAATTTAGCAAATATAATGTCATTCCAAGAGATCAGGCAACAAGGAGGCACCTCATGGGAGGTGACTTTAGACATTTAGACTAGCATGAGGACATTGAATGGTGGGGATGTTGGAGAGAGTGGTGTGGAAGTATGTTGTGGTAGTCCAAAAGGAAAGGTACATTTTTTGGTCACTAGTCCCAAATCCAAATTAATCTTAAGTCATAAATCTAGTGCCAACTGCATTATTCCCCCGCTGCAAATCATTTAGTATCTACTCTATTATTTCTATAAAAAGTGTAGGGTTTGAAGATAAAGGATACACATGTGAAAATGCATAACTAATAATAAAACACATTGCAAACCCCGAGGTAAAAGCTTTCTATGTTTTATTTTTTTACAACTCACAAAACCTATGTACTTCTACTTAGAATATTTAGTGGTTTTCTCAAGTTTACAGAGCCAAGGTAAAGGAGATGAAACTCAAACTGGTATACCTCTGATTCCAAAGGTCATTTTTTCTCTTAATGCCTCCCATTATGCTTGCTCTTTCAAGGTTCTAAAATAAAATTTTCATTCATAACTGAGGGCAAGAAGAACTAGATAATGACATATATAAATCCCTACTAATGAAATATTAATTTTTCAATTAAACCAACAGGGTGATAAACGTTTTTTACTTTTTGACACATATACACATACCAAAAAATACACATTTTCTGGGAATATGAGAATATTTTGTCCCTAGCTTACCTCTTAGCTTCATCTCTACTTACCTGCACCCTATATATTCCGTACACCATGAGTTATTTGCATTGAGTTTGTATATACTTTTTTCTCTGCTCAAAATACCCATCAGACGCCCCCAGTTTTGTTTAATCGTTTCAAGAAAAATGTGTTCAGTTTAACCTTCTTTTAACTAGACTCTCACAGTGGGTGACCCTAATACTGTCTACTCTTTTACAGACTTTTAACATATTCTGTGCCCACCTCCAGCATGGAATATTTTAGTCTGTATTGTATTAGCGGCTTGCCTTTGTCTGCCACTAAAAGGCAAATTACTTAAGCCTACAAGCTGCATCTATTTGTCTTTAAACTTCAGCTTCTATCTGGTTGGTGCCTGGGACATATTAAAGCACCTAATAAATATCTGTTAATAAATTGAATAATTAATCATTCAGTGATTTGGAAAATGAAAACTTTTTTCCCCAAAGTCTAATAAACTCAGTTTGGTTTATGATAGGATGTTTTGGTTAAACAAATAACCTGTCTAAAATATTATGTATAATATAAATGTTATAATATCATAAGAAACATAAAAATCTTACAAAACATAACTTCATTTCTCCTTAATAAAATAATTTTGGGTAGTATGATGGTTGAAAACATCATAGGTCCTCATTGGTTGTCATCAGTAAGGATGTTTCAGCATCATTTAATAAAAAGGTCTTAGCAGGGTGTCAAATTCCAGGAAACTTATATAGTGGCATCATGTCAATTATTCCAAAAGTTGATATTCATAAACCTAGAAAAAAAAGTTTATTTTGGGAGAGCCTGTAGAGTTTCAGTAATTTTCTGAGTATCTGTATCTTCTGATACTGTCATCCTGTTAAACTGAACTTAAGTATGTCACCAGTATTAAGGTTGTTCAAGGCAAAAACTCATATTTGGAGACTACACCAAGGATCTCTTGTCTACGTATTTCCAATTTACTTGTTCTGTCTTTATTTTCCAAGTCCCAACTCGGGGTTTGATATCCTGACTTGAAACCACATTTTCCCGCCTCATATTTTAACACCTTTCATTCTGTCCCTGGCACTTAAGACTTCAGTGATCAGGAAAGGTTTTGGTTTTAGTTCCTCCTTAACTTTTGGCTTTCCATATTGCCTTTACTGGGAATTCTATTCCAGATTCCACTGGACTTTCCCTTTGCCTGAATCATTGTTTAACTTACTCCAGGGAGAGTGAGAGGGTAGAAGAATTAGACAGGCAAAGCTTTGTTAAGTGTTATTCCTCTTTGCCATCACAAATATGCAATAGAAACACAGTGACTCTTAACCAATTTTGAATAACAAGCAATTAACAGTGAACTTTGCATGGGGAAAAGCTGTGCTCTCAGCATTTACAGAATTCTAACCCTGACTTTGAATATTTGTGTTTGTGCACAAGCATGACAGTTACCTTTAGTGTCTTAAAAATCCTCTGTAAAATTTATTGTGAGAATAAAGCGATTTCTTGAAAAAGCAGTTATCTAGATTTTCATTTGTGGATAATTATAATGAAATTTTAAAGGCTTCTATAGGCTGATTTTTTTTTTCCATTTTATTTGGGGGAATACCAGAAAGTCTTGATGAAACTTTTAGTGCTTTTGTGTGTGTATAATGCCATAAAATATTTATATATTGAATTATGTCATATAAACTAGACACATTTTAGCAGAAATTATGACTGTTATATGTCTGCCATAAAATCACAACCATGGGTGCCAGGGTGTTGAGGGTTTGGGGAGTCAAGCAGTCAAAGCAAGCATGAATTTCCATTTCTCAGTTTTCCCACACGCTTGTTCCTCAATCATTTCTTTCCTTTTTGTTTTTTAAGAGATGCCATAGAAAGTATCAACTATCAAGAAATATATATGGAATAAATTTCAAGAGTGAGCCATTACTGCACTCAAAAATCATTTCTCACTTTTGGAAGCAGAATGCTGCAGCCTGGTTTAAAAAGATCACAATATCCACACAAGCATAGTTTCAGAATCATGGTGCTCACATCCCATGTTGAGCCTCTAAAACAAATACTATCATTTTTTCCTTAACATGAGCAACAAGTTAAAATTAGATAGTTTTACTCAGGTAGGAATTGAGATACTAATATTTCCGAAGAGAATGAACATAGAGTTTAGCACAATACATAATAAATACAGTTCTCATTCTTAATAGTCTTTTAAATGTTGACATAGAGCATTCACACTATACTCATTCATGGAATTGATGCCTAATTTGAAACATATTTTCTATTACCAAGATGATTGTATATGGAAAAGGAAATAACTCCCTTAGTCCCACTGTGTATATCAAAAGAGAAATCTGGAGCCATTATATAGTTTATGCTTAAGATTTTGATTAAAAGATATCATGAAAATCCCATGAGAGCTCAGTCCAAGGTAGAGGATTTGAACTGAACATATTGAAAAAAGATTGGGTGCCCAAATACCAATTTTAAGTATCTTTTCTTACTGAATTGTATATTAAACAATCCACGTGAATGTAAAAACCAGCCACTTCCTGAATAATGGCCACATCTGTTTTCAAGTCAAACTTAAATCCCCTATCTCTAAATTTGGTGAATGATTCAATTTTAGAGCTAGAGGGGAATTTTGTCCAATTCCCTCAAATTACAGATGAGGAAATTGAGGCACAGGGAAATTCCTTTTTAATAAC
The DNA here is from genome assembly GCF_000001405.40 of Homo sapiens. NCBI lineage: Eukaryota > Metazoa > Chordata > Mammalia > Primates > Hominidae > Homo > Homo sapiens. The sequence continues at coordinate 22,422,372 of NC_000011.10, read as the reverse complement.
CCATAATAATCCTTCCAATCTTATCCTGAGTCACTCCATGGGGAGGTCTTTTCTGCTTCCTGTCACCACCAAAAAATGAGCCTCCCCTAACATACACTCACAAATTCCTCCACATTTTTGCTTCATAGTACTTAATATAACTTCTGATTATGCAAGCGAAAGTCGTGATTTTTGGCTTAACATCTGTTGCCACAAATAAATGCTCCATTAGCTTCATAATCTGGGTTCTCGCTGCCTAGAACATTCAAACGCATAGAGGGTAACCAATAAACATCTAATGTTTGAGCAGCATGCAATGACACAAACACATATTATTTCATTTATTAAATGAGCAGTTAGACTGGATTATCTTTAAAGAATATTCCAATTCAAAAGGAATGTATGAATGTTTGGTGAATCTGATGTTCTTTGCACTATGCCACAAATGTCAGAAAAGACACATTTTGTTGCTATCATAGTTTCTCCATTTTCTATTTGTATGACTTAATCATGTCCCATTCAAATAGTGGAATGTACATTGGGAGGGGAGACTTAGCCCAGATGTGTGTGGAGAGTTTGCCTTAGTCTCAGTCACTAGTAAGACTTCACACTCCAGAGACCTTAGGTTAAGCCAGTGTCTTATCTGTGTAAATTACAAGTCAGATATACAAAGCACTCAAAGAGGGGTGCAAGAAGTCTTGTCTGATAGTGTTGAAGGAACAAATGTAATTGACATTTTGATAGGAATACATGTGTTCCCAGAAAGAACCATTTTGAAGCAAGCTACTGAATAGAGATTGAACTGAGATGCAAATAAATACCACTTTCCTCTTCGACCTCTGGAGAAGCTTGATTTATTAAAATCACAGGAAAACAGAATGATGTGACTCCTGGTGTTAGCATAGACATTGCAGTAGGATCATGGAAGGATAAGAAAGTGGGTTTGTTTTAATACATATTGCCTTATCCCTCTGCAGGCAAGCCTGTAGGTTGCCCATGCATAACAAAGAAATGTTTATTGTATATTAGAACATAATTCTTCCTGCCACCTCCCACACTGTAAATTTCTCATGAAGGATGAACACCTTTTGAATTAAGAGATAGGCAAGAGTGAGAGAAAGGTAGAAATGGCACTGACTTCTTTGAACATGGAAAACAGCAAGAAAGATAAAAATAAGGATAGGTGACTAAATGTTGGCCTTATGTTATAGACAGTCTAGATTAGAATGAATATATTTGTTATGATCTTTAAGATAAATCCATCCTTCATTTTAATAACAATCAAGGAATATTAATTAACAAGGTATAATGTTGAATATCTTATTTCTGCCCTGAGTAAGAAAAATATTTATACAGCAATTATAGTATTAATCTCTCATTCTTCAGACATCAAACTTTACTTCATAACCCTGTGTTAAGACCACAACTTGTGGACCAGGACAAAAATACAAGAAACACACTAGACTCCACTTGTCCTTGGCTGATGTGCCATCAGGCCCATCTCATTAGACTTAACTATATTAGCCATTGTGTGAGATCCATGTATCAGTTGTTTACTAGTAATTATATAATTATATTTTATTTATTAAATAATTCACTCTCACGTACCTTAACACACTCATTTTATTAAAAGCTTATTTTCAAGAACCTTTCTAATTACAGGTGACCTTTCTGGAAACTGGGGCTACAACAAGGCAAAGAAAAGTAGAACAATTAGTTAGGTCTTCGCGTAGTACTCAGCTTTGCTTTGCTGAGCACTTAGTGTGGTGTCTAGTTTCATGTCAACTGACCAAAGCTCTGGTTCTCAGTTGATTAGTCAAGAATTAGTCTGGATGTTGTTGTGAAGGTATTTTGTAGATGTGATTAAATATGTACAATCAGTTGACTTTAAATAAATGAAATTATCAATTATGTGAATATGTCTCATCCACTCAGTTGAATGCCTTTAAGAGCAAAAGCTGAAGTTTATTGGGAAAAAAGAAATTCTGCCCCAAGACTGTAATATGGAGGTCCTACCTGAGTTCCCGGCCTGCCAACCTGATCTATAGATTTCACACTCAAGACTGCAACATCTCACATACCTGTTGGTCATCTTTAAGTCTTCTTTGAAAAAAGGATGGATTGTTTATTTATTTATTTTTGCTATTGTGTTGTGTGAGTTCCTTATATATTTTGGATATTAACCACTTATTTAGGTATAGGATTTGTAAATATTTTCTACACATCTACAGGCTGTATTTTCATTTGCTGTACAGAACCTTTTTAGCTTGATGAAGTTCCACTTTATTTTTGCTTTTGTTGGTGTGATATCAAAAATATCATTGCTGAGGTCAATGTGAAGGAGATTTTCCCCTGTGTTTTCTCATAGGAGTTTTATAGTTGAAGGTCTTAACATTTATGTCTTCAATTCATTTTAAGTCAATTTTGTGTATGGTGTAAGAAAAAGATCCAATTTTGCTCTTTTGCCTGTGGATATCCAGTTCTCCCAACACCATTTATTGAAGAATCCTATCCTCATTGTTATTCTTGGTGTTTTGGCCTAAGATTAGTTAATTGTACCTACTCGGGTTTATTTCTGGGCTCTCTATTCTGTCACAATGGTCTACATATCTGTTTTTATATCAGTATTATATTGTTTTGATTACTATAGTTTTATAACAAAATTTTAAATTAGGAAGTGTGGTGCCTCCACCTTTGTCCTTTTTTCTCAAGAATTGCTTTGGCTATTCAGAGTCTTTTTTGATTCCATGAGATGAAAAGGTACTCAGTATCACTAATCAGAGAAATGAAAATCAAAACTGTAGTAAAATATCACCTTACGTTTTTTACGATGGCCCTTATCGAGAGGGAGAGAGAGAGGGAGAGAGAGAGACACACACACAGAGAGAGAGAGATAACAAGTGTTGGAGAGGGAATGGTAAAAAGGGAACTCTTTACGCTGTTGGTGGGACTCTAAGTTGACACATCCATTATGAAAAACACAATTGAGTTTCCTCAAAAAAATTAAAAATAGAGCAACCGTATAACCCAGCAGTGCTTCTTCTGGGTATATACCATAAGAAAATGAAATAAACACTTCTTAGAGATATCTGCATTTCCATGTTCATTACAGTATTATTCACAATAGCCAAGACAAGTAAATATGTATCTATTGATGGGTGACTGGATAAAGAAATTATGAGATAGACAGATAAAATGATAGATAGATAGATAGATAGATAGATAGATAGATAGATAGATAGATAGATATTATTCAGCCTTTAGAAGGGAGATCCTGCCATTTGCAAAAATGCTGGAGATCCTGGAGGAGGACATTATGCTAAGTGAAATAAGCCAGGCAAAGAAAAATATTGTATGAGTTCACATATGTGTACAATCTTTAAAAGTGTTGAATATCTAGAATCAGAGAGTAGAACTCTGGTTAACCAGGGGTTGGAGAGGGGAAATGGGACAACATAGGTCAAAGGGCACACAGTTGCAGTTATGTAGGATAAATGAATCCAGAGGCCTAATATACAGCATGATGACTATAGTTATTGTTGTATAGTATATTGGAAATTTGCCAAGAGATTAGATTTCAGGTGCTCTGACTACACAAATACATCCCTCTACACATAGGAAATGTAGCTACGTAAGGAGATGGATATGTTAATTTACTTGACTGAACAATTTTTTTATGTATGTGTTTATAAAAACATTGTGTTTTATGCCTTAAATATATATAATAAAAATAAAGACTGCAGCGTCAATTCTTGCCTGAGTTTACAGCCTGCTGGCTTACCCTACAAATTTCAAATTTTCCAGCCTCCATAATCATCTAAGCCAATTCTCTAAATCCTCTCTCTCCTCTCTCTCTCTCTCTTTGGGTGTGTGTGTGTGTATGTGTGTGTGTGTGTGTATGTGTGTGTGTGTGTGTGTGTGTGTTTGTGCATGTGTCTTCCAAATTTCTAGTTACTATCTTTCTGTAAGTAGAAGATCCAGATATACGAGACTTGAAGCTAGTTAATTAGGAAGGCCCTTTTGAAGAAAAAGAAACACAACATTACAAATACAAAATTAGGTACTGACTTTGGAGAAAATCTGCACAAATGAAACATCAAACATTAACCTTTATTGGTGTCATGGTAGGTACCTCTTTTTATAACAACCTTTGAGATAAGTACTATTATTTTTGTTTTTCCCAACTTACATATAAGGGTGATGAGATTTAGAAGATTGACTTGCCTGTTCCATGTTTTAGAGCTCATCATGAGTCAATGTAAAATCCTAAGATACATTATATGTCATGCTTGAGGCTTGCAGCTCTTTGTGGTAAGTATGCTAGGTAACATTTCAAGCAATAAGTTTTTCTATTTGTTTAAAAAGAGGCAATTCTAAGAGATCTGTGTCTTCCAATTTGATGTGGCTTTTAAATTTCCAGTTCTAGAGTATACCACCTCCACCCCTGACCAAGCAGAGAACATAATAAAACAACATGTCATATAACTAAAGGCTTGAAACCCTCATGGTGCTGACACATTAAGATTTATGGGCACAAAACAGTTATGATGCATTTTAAAAAATGAAACCAAAATGAAGTGGTTTTAGTACTTTTAAGTATGGAAGCAGAATTTCTTTTCCTTTCTTTATTCCCAAACAAATGCTATATATTAAACTCAAGATACTTGGCTTTAAAACAAACACCCTTGGCTGGGTGCCATGGCTCACGCCTGTAATCCCAGCACTTTGGGAGGCTGAGGTGGGTGGATCACAAGGTCAGGAGATCAAGATAATCCTGGCTAACACAGTGAAACCCTGTCTCTACTAAAAATACAAAAATTAGCCTGGCGTGGTAGTGGACGCCTGTAGTCCCAGCTACTCAGGAGACTGAGGCAGGAGAATGGCATGAACTCAGGAGGTGGAGCTTGCAGTGAGCCGAGATTACGCCACTGCAGTCCAGCCTGGGCGACAAAGCAAGACTCTGTCTCAGAAAAAAAGAAAGAAAGAAAGAAAGAAAGAAAGAAAGAAAGAAAGAAAGAAAGAAAGAAAGAAAGAAAGAAAGAACAAAAAACCATGTGTATATATATGTGTGTATATATATATATATGTGTATATATATATATATGTGTATATATATATATGTGTATGTGTATATATATATATATATGGAGAGAGAGAGAGAGAGAGAGTGCCTCGCTTTGTCACTCAGGCTGGACTGCAGTGGCATGATACTACAGCCTCAACACCCCAGGCTAAAGCAATTTGCTCACCTCAGTGACCCCAAGTAGCTAGGACTACAGGTGTGCACCACCAATTTCGGCTAATTTTTTTTGTTTTTTGAATTATAAGTAGAGGTGAGGTCTCACTATGTTGTCCAGGCTGATCTGAAACTCCTGAGTTAAAGTGATGCTCCTTCCTCTGCCTCCCAAAATGTTGGGATTACAGATGTGAGCCACCACGTCCAGCCCTACAATAAGCCCTAAACAAATCTTGATATTTTGCCATACTTGTTTCAGAATTTTAAAATAAAATGTTAAACACAAAAATTAAGCCAACATTTTATCTCCTTCTCAATCACATTTCTTTCCACTTCATTATTTTCTGAATAAATGAGTGAACTAATGCATGAATAAATATACTTGCAGTAATACACAGTCATATATCTCCCCTTTTCCTTCTCAGCAAAGCTCTAAGTGCTTCCATCCTCCACTCTACTAAAACACTAACAAACAAAAACGTCCTGCAGATTTGATGATGAAACTTGGCATGGGTATTCTGATTCATTCAAAATGTCGAAAAACATCATTTGGCAATATCATCAGTTATTGTGAAACCCTAATTGGAAAATTTTGAATCAACTCAGGCTTTGTCCATTCCTTAATCCGTGATCAATTTACTGGCACTGTATGCATCCTTTAAAAGACTGCTACCAGTTTACCCACGTCCATTTTTAGAATCTCTTTCATTTCTAGTGAGATCTATAGGGTTACGTGAGGACTAACACCAACAAAGATTATTAAAAATCAGCATCTATATGTGAAAGTAACTTTTTAGCATTAAAACCTGTGATATTTTGTACTCTGTTAGAAAGAGGAGTATAATATAGACATAGGAAACAGAATTACATCAAAAGTTGTGTGACCTATAACATCTAAAGAATTCCTGTCTTTGAGTTCAGCTTTGGCTTTTGGTTCAAGAAAGGATTGCTTGCAATCTCTGGCTGGCCTAAACACTGGAAGAAGAGAAGAATAAGCTATTCCCCCACCTCTACAAGGTACAGACTTCTTCCTCTAAGTGAAGGCAAGTAGAATTCTGGTCTGTGGCTGAAGGGGACTTAATTAAATTAAATGTCCATAATAACCAACAGCTCAAACTCTGAGCCAGGCAATCCTGGTTTGGTATTATGGCTTCTCACCTAACTGCATGAAACTTGAGCAAGTGACCCTTTCTCCAGAGTTTAGTTTCGACATCTTTGACAAAGAGATAATAAGAGTAATGACCTCCCTAGGTTAACATTTATTAGGTAATGAATCTAAAACTTTTACATGGTGCATGATATATAGTAGATATGTACCACAGATAAGAAATTTTAATTAATATTATTAAGAACCAGGAACCGGGCTGCCTCTCCAGCTCTTTTCCCCTTCTGGAAACTACCTCCCGCATCAAAGTCATTCCAGGAACCACCATGAGAGTACATTATGACCTCACTCTCTGGCCACAGTTGATGCTATGGAATAGGAATCTGACCAGTTGTTTCCTGAGACTTTTGGAACTATAACTGAGAAAAACAAACTGTATTTGAGTAAGATTTGGCCAAAGATATAAAACTCAGAAGCCAACTTCTTGGGAGGCCACGTTCATCTACTATGAGTAGAAAGCTCGTGTCTACTGGGAGGAAACAGTAACATCTACATACAAATGAAAATAGATATGAGAAACAGTAGTGTCCTAGTGGCATTTGAATCTCTGATTGCAGTTGGTCTTGAGACATGGCCATATCCCTCCGTTCCATAAAGTCTATGGCATATCCCAATAACCTTGCAAATCATTGCCTTTTACACGTAAACTGGCTGACGCTGGATTTCTATCACTTGGTAACAATCAAGCTCTTTACATATATTATCTCATTTACTTTTCAGTGATGCTGAATAATAAGTATTATTGTCCACATTTTCCAGATAAGTAAACTGAGGTTCAAAGAAGACAATTGCTTGCCCAAGGTCAAACTACCGATATGGTAGAGCCACTATGGAATGTCATTCCTCTGATTCCAAGCTCTCCCTTCTGCCTGTCACGTTCTTGCCTTTTCTTTCTTTTCTCCTTTCTCCCTTCAACTAACAAACTTCTATAAGCCTTTCAGTGGTCAGCCTATCATCGCTCCTTCCAGAAGCTTTCCTTGATTCCAAGGACCAGGTAAATGTTTCCGTTCTATGCTCCACAGTTTTTACGTTTCTCCTTATTATAACATTTATCACTTTGTATCCTAAATGTCTCTTTTCTGTAGGCTCCACTATACTGTAAACCATCTAAAGGTAAGATGCATCTCTTTCCTCTTTGTATCTCATACCTTGTACAGCCCCTGAAAAATGTAGGCCCTTTATACAAGTATTTTTAACTGAATGAATAAGGGTATGTTTAGAGCAGGGGGGAGAGTTCACCATGTCTCCAAAATCACACAGCTGTGGGAACCACACACATTCTCATGCAGCAGATTAGCCCAGCACACAGAGCCTTCTTTTTCTGGGCTTGATGATCCAGTCCCATAAAACAACATAATTCAAGTCATCCCTTTCCTTAGCAACCTCCAATTTCCCTCTCAATTCCCTGCAGCTTGGCAGTTCTGCTCTAATTGGGAGGTGAGAGTGAAAATAACACATAAACCAAAGACAGTTTAAACACTCTGAGCCATCTCATGGCAGGTCAATAGCATGGAAAAATGCGTCTTGGGCTAATAATATATTCATAAAATGTTTGTCTTCCAATTTGGTCATTCTGTTCTTGTACCCTCCAGGAATAGAAGCCATTGTATTTTTCAGTATTACCTCAGAACATAGCAAATTGTCGGGTTTTTATATTTTTTTCTTGATACCTAGGGTAATATATGCAAAAGCACAGTATACAAAAGAGAATAAATATTTTCAACAAAATAATCAAGATATAAAATAACAAAAATATTATTAAAATTTCCTCAAAATTAAATGAATCATAAGAAAGAAAATTTAAAGGATAATATTTAAGAATATAGTTTTTTAATTAATTTTTTAAATTGACAAATTAAAAGTGTATATATATTTATCAGGTACAACATGATGTTTTGAAATATGCACACATTTTGGAATGGTTCAGTTGAGCTAATAAACATATACATTGCTTCATATCCTCATTTCTTGTGGTGAGAACACTTAAAATCTGCTCTCCTAGTGATTTTCAAAATAACAATTTGTGATTAGCATAATCATTAATTGTGCAGAAGATCTCTTGAACTTATTCCCCCTGTCTAACTGAAATTTAGCATCCTTTCTCCCCAGCCCTCATCACCCTTTAGGCTCTGGTAACCATCATTCTATTCTCTGTTTCTATGAATTCAACTATTTAGATTTCACATACAAGTGAAATCATGAGGTGTTTGTCTTTCTATGTCTGGGTTATTTCACTTAACATAATGTCTTCCAAATTCATCCATGTTGTTGCAAATGACAAGATTGCCTTCTTTTTGAAGACTGAAGAGTATTCCATTGTGTATATATACCACATTTTCTTTACCCATTCTTCTACTGATGGACACTTAGATTGATTACGTCTTGGATGTTGTGAATAATACTGCAATGAACATAGGAATGTAAATAGCTCCTTGAAATACTGATTTCATTTCCATTTGATATATATACCCAGTAGTGGGCTTACTGAATCATCTGGTAGTTCTATTTTTAATTATTTTTTTAGGAATCGTCATACTATTTTCCATAATGGCCATACTAGTTTACATCCCCACCAACCATGAGCAAGAGTTCTCTTTTCTCCAGATCCTTTCCAACACCAGGTATTTATTATCTTTTTTAAAAATAGTCATCCTAAAAAGTGTGAGGTGACAAATCATTGTGGTTTTAATTTGCATTTTCTTGATAATTAGGGATATTAAACATTTTTTCATATAACTGTTGCCCATTTGTATGTCTTATTTTGACACATGTATTCAGGTTCTTTGACCATTTTTTATTTTTTTCTTGCTATTCAGTTGTTTTAGACCTTATAAATTCCTTATAAATTTTGGATATTAACTCCTTGTAAGACTAATGATTTGCTGATATTTTTTTCTTATTCTGTAGGTTGTCTCTTCACTCTGTTGATTGTACCCTTTACTGTGCAGAAGCTTTTCAGTATGATGTGATCTTATTTGTCTATTTTTGCTTTTGTTGCATAGGCTTTTGGGGCTATATCCAAAAAATTACTGCCCAGGTTAATGCCATTGAGCTTTTTCCCTTTGTTTCCTTCCCATTGTTTTACAGTTTCAGATCTTATGTTTATGTCTTTAATCCATTTTGTCTTCTTTTTTTTTTTTTTTTTTTTTTTTTTTTTTTTGAGACGGAGTTTGGCTCTGTTGCCCAGGCTAGAGTGCAGTGGCGCGATCTGGGCTCACTGCAAGCTCCGCCTCCCGGGTTAACGCCATTCTCCTGTCCCAGCCTCCGGAGTAGCTGGGACTACAGGCGCCCGCCACCAAGCCTGGCTAATTTTTTTGTTTTTTTTTTTGTATTTTTAGTAGAGACAGGGTTTCACCGTGTTAGCCAGGATGGTCTCGATCTCCTGACCTCGTGATCCACCCGCCTCGGCCTCCCAAAGTGCTGGGATTACAGGCGTGAGCCACTGCGCCCGGCCTTGTCTTGATTTTTTTTGTATATAGTGTGAGATAAAGGTCTAATTTTATTCTTCTGCCTGCGGCTATACAGTTTTCCCAACACCATTTATTGAAGAGACTGTCCTTTCCCCATTTTGTGTTCTTGGCACCCTTACAAAAAATCAACTAACTATAAATATGTGGATTTATTTCTAGGCTTTCTATTCTGTTTCATTGATCTATGTGTCTGTTTTTTGCCAGTACCATGTTGCTTGATTACCATAGTTTTGTAATGTATTTTGAAGTACTGTATGATACTTCCAGCTTTGTTCTTTTTGCTCAAGATTGCTTTGGCTATTTGAAATCTTTTGTCGTTTCCCATAAATTTGAAAATTGTCTCTTCTATTCCTCTAAAAAAATTATTGAAATTTTCATAGGTATTGTATTGAATCTGTAGATCACTTAGGGTAGTATGGATATTTTAACAATATTAATTCTTCCAATTTATGAATGTGAGTGATATTTCCATTTATTTCTCTCTTCTTTTATTTCTTTTATAAACGCTTTATAGTTTTCAGTGTATAGATCATTCTCTGTGGCTAAATTTATTCTTAAATTTTTTTGTAGCTATTGTAAATAGGATTGTTTTCTTTATTTGTTTTTCAGATAGCTTGTTGTGCCAGGCACTGTGGCTCACACCTGTAGTCCCAGCACTTTGGGAGGTCGAAGTGGGAAGATTGCTTGAGGCCAGGAGTTTGAAACCAGCCTGGTCAGCAAGACCCCATCTTTACAAAATAAAAATAAAGAAAATATCCAGGCATAGTGGTGTATGTCTGTAATCCCAGCTCCCCAAGAGGCTGAGGAAGAGGACTGCTTGAGTTCAGGAGTTTGGAGCTGCAGTGAACTGTTATTGCACCACTGCACTCCAGCCTGGACAGCTGAATGACGAGATCCTAACTCAAAAAATAAAAAATAAAAAACAACAACAGATAGCTTGTTATTAGTATATAGAGATAACTACTGATTTGTGTATGCTGATTCAGTATCCTGCAACTTTACCGAATTCATTTATTAGTTTTAACAGGTTTTTGTAATTTTTTTTTTTTTACAGTTTTCTGTACATAAGATTATCTTGTCTGCAAACAAACACCATTTAATTTCTTCCTTTCTGCTTTGGATGACTTTTATTTGTTTCTCTTGCCTAATCGGTCTGGCTACAACTTCCAGTACTATGTCAAATAGAAGTGGCACAAGTGGTCATCCTTGCCTTGTTCCTAATCTTAGAGGAAAAGCTTTCAAGATTTTACCATTGAGTATGATGTTAACTGTGGGCTTTTGTTATATGTCCTATATTGTATTGAGATGCATTCTTTGTATACTTAATTAGTTGAGTTTCTGATGAAAAATGTTGAATTTTGTCTAAAGCCTTTTCTACATTTATTGAGATCATATTTGTCCTTCATTCTGTTAATGTTGTGTGTCGCATTTATAGATTTGCATATGTTGCACAAAACTAACCTCTGTGAGATAAGTGCCACTTTACCTGGGTGAAAGATCGTTTTAATGAGCTGTTGAATTTGTTTTGCTAGCATTTCGTTGAGGATTTTTGCATCTATGTTCATCAGGAATACTGCCCTGTAATTTTCTTTTTTTGTAGTGTCCTTGTCTGGCTTTGATATCAGAGTAATCCTGGCCTTGTAAGATAACTCTCAAAGTACTACCTCTCTTTTAATTTTTTGGAAGAGTTTAAGAAAGATTGGTACTAGTTCTTCCTTAAATGTTTGGTAGAATTCAGCAAGATGCCATCAGGTCCTAGGCTATTCTTTGGCAGGAAAGTATTTGTTACGGACTTGATCTCCTTACTCCCTATTGGCGTGTTCAGATTTTTCTGTTTCATCATTATTCAGTCTTTGTGGGTTGTATACGTATAGGAATTTATTCACTTATACTAAGTTATCCAAATTTTTGGTGTATAATTACTCATAATTATCTCTCAAGATCCTTTGCATTTCTGTTGTATTTATTATATTGTCTCCTCTCTCATTTCTGATTTTATTTCTGTCTTCCCTCTTTTTTTTTCTCAGTAAGACTATCTAAACTTTTAAAATTGTGTTTATCCTTTTTAAAAAATTAACACTTAGTTTATTTGACATTTTCTATTGTTTTTCTGGTCTCTATTTCATTTATTTATGTTCTGATTCTTATTATCTCCTTCCTTCTACTACTCTTGGGCTTAGTTTGTTCTTGTTTTTCTAGTTTTTTAGGTGTAATGTGAGGTTAATTGTTTGAAATCTTTCTCCCTTTTTGATGTAGGCATTTATTGCTAGTAAACTTTCCTCATAGAGCTGCTTTTGCTGCATCCCTATAAGTTTTAGTGAGCTGTGTCTCTGTTTTTGTTTCTCTCAAGATATCTTAAAATTTGGCTTTTAATTTCTTCTTTGGCCCACTGGTTGCTCACAAGCATGTTGTTTAATTTCTGCGCATTTGTAAATTTTTACCAAATCCTTTCTGTTATTGACTTCTAGTTTTATACCATTGTGGTCAGAAAAGATACTTGATATGATCTTAATCTTCTTAAATTTCTTAGTACTTGTTCCTGAAGAATGTTCTATGTGTGCTTGAGAAGAATGCATCTTCTGCTGTTGTTGAATGAAAGGTTCTATATATGTCTGTTAGATCCATTGGTCTAAAGTATTGTTTAAGCCCAGTGTTGCCTGATTGATTTTCTTTTTAGATGATCTTTCCATTGCTCAAAGTGGGGTATTGAAGTCCTCTACTATTATTGCATTACAGTCCATCTCCCCTTTCAGATCCATTAATAATTTCTTTATATATTTAGGTGCTCTGATATTAGGTGCATATACAGTTTTACATTGTTTAAGGATGGGAATATATTCTAAGAAATTAGTGTTAGGTAATTTCACTGTTGTGTGAACATTATATTGTGTATTTACACAAACCTGGATGGTTTGTGCTTTCTGAGTACATATACAAGCTATATGGTATAGCTTATTGCTCCTAGGCTACAAATCAGTGCAGCATATTACTGTACTGAATACTACAGGCAATTATAACATGATGATAAGTATTTGTGTCTAAATATATCTAAACTTAGAAAAGGTACAGTAAAAATGCAGTATTTTAATCTTATGGGACTACCATTGTATATGTGATCCACTTGATTGAAACATCATTAAGGGGTGCATAACTGTATATTTACCACTGTTATATCCTTGATAAATTGACATTTTTATTACTATATAATGATGCTCTTTGTCTCATTTTACACTTTTGATTTACAGTCTATTTTATCTGATATAGCTACCCCTGCTCTTTCTTGTTTTCCACTTACATGGAATATCTTTTTCCATCTTTTCTATTTTAATCTATGTCTGTCCTTAAAGATGAAGTGAGTCTCTGTGGGCAGCACATAATTGGGTATTGCTTTTTTTATTTATCTATTCGACTTCTCTGTGTCTTTTGATCAGGAAATTTAACCCGTTTACATCCAAGGTAGTTTATTGATAGGTAAGGACTTACTATTGCCATTTTGTTGTGTTCTGGTTATTTTGTAAATCCTTTGTTCCTTTCTTTCTCTCTTCTTGTCTTTCTTTGTGATTAATTTTCCCTAATTTGATTCATTACTTTTTTATATCTTATATATCTACTATAGGTTTTTTGCTTTTTGTTAGCAAGAGCCTTACATAAAACATCTTTGAGTTATATCAGGCTATTTTAACCTAATAACTTAATTGATCATGTACACACACTCTAGACTTCTACTCCACCCCTTCCCCACATTTTATGTTTTAATGTCCAAATTTGTATTAGTATATTGTATATCACCTAACAAATTATAGCAGCTATTATTATTTTTAATAGTTTTATTTTTTAACCTTTGTACTAAAGATATGAGTGATTTACATACTATCATTATAGTATTAAATATTCTGAATTTGGCTGCACACTTATTTTTACCAGTGAGTTTTATACTTTAAGAAGATAAAATTTTAATGATTACTGTCCTCATCTAATTAAATTTTTCTCCCAGAAAACTTCTCAGTTAAAAGAAGAGTCATTGGAATGGATGCTAAAATGAGCTATCAGACATAGAGTTTTTATATGTGTATGTGTTTAAGTTGGTGAGCCTCATTTCTCAGCTTGATAGAGAAGAAAGCCTGTCTTTTTGTAGGAAGAACATATGAAATGGTTTTGAATTATTAGGACTTCTGGTAAAAATGTGCTATTTTAGATAGGTGAACTGTTCTGAAGCTGTGAGTCTGTCATCACCCTTATTAAATAAAATCCTGAAATTTCAAATCCTCATGCAGGTTGGAGCCAGATTTCAAACAGCTACTGAGCAGTGAGGGGCCTACTTTGTGCCCAGTAGCTATCCTAGATGTTCTTTGAAAGCATTGTCTCCTAAGCAAATGGAAGGAAGGCGCAAGAGCTCTTCAGCGGACATAGCAAACAAAAAAGCTGTGTAGCTTGAGTGCTTTCAGAGTACTGCAGCTTAGCTCTGCAGCACTGAGATGTCACTTTTCTTCTTGTGGGCATGGGGGATGGGGGAATGGGGGAAGTCACAAAAGTACAGAGGGTTAATGTAATTAAACCAAATCTCTCAAAATCCAGAAAATCTAGTTTGAGTGAAGGAACATATTCCTCAATCACCATCAACAATATTTTCCACAGGACACTTCCTGTTTTTTAAGCTGCAAGATTTATTGTATTGAAAACCTTCTATACTCTATGTTCACTTTCTTTAATTTTTTTTTTTTTTTTTTTTTACTGAAAGTTGCTATTTCAAAATTTTGGTGTGTTAGAAGAATTTGCTCAACTCTAGTTCTTCATTTGCTGATTATAATGAGAGAATGATTAGTTTTACAAATACAATTTGTCATAAAAGGTGCTAACTCAAAGAGATAAATTAAACTGATGTTTGTATTTATTGCCATGAAGATGAAAAGAGTTACTTGGAAATAAGCTGCAAAACTACTTCAATCAGAATCCAAGTGGAAATCAATAATTCATCCTCATACATCTTCTTACACTTTGCTGGCAATTGCAGACAAAATTAACAGCAACTCTGACAGCCAAAAGGAATGACTCTAGTGTGTTTCCCCAGGAGGGTAGAACCATTTCAGTTCCAAGGATATAGTCTCTACATTTTTCATACTCCTTGCCCTAGAAATGTATGAGTTAGATATTCTCTAACTTTGCTTTATCTACAGCTTGAGCAAATACTTTTTTCTTCTTTCTTTTAATTATTATTTGTATATAACCAAAAAGAATAAGTAGATTCTGTTTACGATGAACTGTTATTCTTTGAGTATATCAGAAATTCAATAACATCAAATCAGTAAAGGCCACTTATGAGCTGTGGAAGAGGCATTAATATTTTACAAGGTCTGCGGGCCATGATAAAAAAGGAGTCATCATGTGTCATAATCAGGGATCATTTGATTGCCAAGAACAGAAACACAGAAACCCTTTAATTCTAATATAGATAAAATAGCATTTATGATAAGGAATAACAAGCAATTGCACATGCATCTTAGGTCAAGAAATAAAGCAGATTTATGCCCTAGGGTGACTAAAATGTTATGTGAAACTCTCTCTGTCTCTCTCTTTTTCTCTTTCTGTTGGGTTTACCTCACTGAAGAATGGACCCTCTATCAAAAATTTAGTTCAGATGTTGAGACTAATAATGCCACACACACATAGCAGGAGGTTATGCAAAGGTTCATTATTCACTTAATAAGGCTTTCTGGGGAGAGCAGGGCAGGCTCTCAAGCCATTCCAAAAATGACTTGAGGAAGTAGGAGCAATTGGCTTTAAAGTTTATTGTGGTTTGTGTGGGGCTGGGGTATGGGTTCTTAGGCAGGGACTTTCATGGTTGAACTTTCCACTAATGTGAAGGGAGGGAGCACCAGGGCTTTATCAGTTTGCCAAGGTGTGACATAGAAGAGAAAGAGGGAGGAGGGTGAGACTTGAAAGCTGTAAGCAATCAATCATCAAAAATGTGGCCAGACTCATCATTATGCTCTCTTTCTTCCATTGAGTACAAATACTTTGAGATTTGATATTCTCTCTACACGTCTTTTCTTTCTTTTTTTTTAATTTAAAATTTTATTTTAAGTTCTGGGGTACATGTGCAGGATGTCCAGGTTTGTTACATACGTAAACATGTGCCATGATGGTTTGCTGCACCTATCAACCCATCGCCTAGGTACTGACCTTGTAAAATATTAAAGCCTCTCCCACAGCTCATAAGTGGTCTTTACTGATTTGATTTTATTGAATTTCTGATACATGGAAAGAATAACAGTTCATTGCAAACTGAGACTACTTATTATTTTTGGTTATATAAAAATAATTAAAATACCATCACCTAGGTATTAACCCATCACCTAGGTGTTAGTTATTTTTCCTAATGCTCTCCCTCCCACTACCCCACCCACTGACAGGCCCCAGTGTGTGTTATTCCCTTCCCTGTGTTCATGTGTTCTCATTGCTCAGTTCCCATTTATAAGTGAGAACATGCAGTGTTTGGTTTTCTGTTCCTGCATTAGTTTGCTGAGAATAATGGCTTCCAATTCCATCCATGTCCCTGCAAAGGACATGATCTCTTTCCTTTTTATGGCTTCATAGTATTCTATGGTATATATGTACCATATTTTATTTATCCAGTCTATCATTAATGGGCATTTGGGTTGATTCCATGTCTTTGCTACTGTGAATAGTGCTGCAGTGAACATACACATGCATGTATCTTTGTAATAGAATGATTTATATTCCTTTGGGTATATACCCAGCAATGGGATTGCTGGGTCAAATGGTATTTCTGGTTCTAGATATTTGAGGAATCTCCACATCATCTCCCACAGTGGTTGAATTAATTTGCATTCCCTCCAACAGTGTAGAAGCGTTTTTATTTCTCCACAGTCTCCTCAGCATCTGTTGTTTTTTGACTTGTTAATAATCGCCATTCTGACTGGGATGAGATAGTACCTCATTGTGGTTTTAATTTGCATTTCTCTAATGATCAATGAGGTTGAGGGTTTTTTCATGTTTGTTGGCCACATGAATGTCTTCTTTTGAGAAGCGTCTGTTAATATCCTTTGCTCACTTTTTAACAGGGTCATTTGTCTTTTTTCTTCTAAATTTGTTTAAGTTACCTGTAGATTCTGGATATTAGACCTTTGTCAGATGGGTAGATTTCAGAACTTTTCTCCCACTCTGTAGGTTTCCTTTTCACTCTGATTATTGTTTCTTCTGTTGTGCAGAAGCTCTTTAGTTTAATTAGATCCCATTTGTCAATTTTTGTTTTTGTTGCAATTGCTTTTGGAGATTTTGTCATGAAATCTTTGCCTGTGCCTATGTCTTGAATGGCATTGACTAGATTTTCTTCCAGAGTTTTTATAGTTTTGGGTTTTACATTTAAGTCTTTAATCCATCTTAAGTTTATTTTTGTATAAGATGTAAGGAAGTGGCCCAGTTTCCATTTTCTGCATACGGCTAGCTAGTTTTCCCAGTACCATTTATTAAGTAGGCAATTCTTTACCCATTGCTTGTTTTCATCAGGTTTGTTGAAGATCAGATGGTTGTAGATGTCTGCACATCTTTCCTATTAACTTTTTGGAGCATGTGCTTCTTCTCTAAGTATCATTCTGGAGCTCTGTTAATGATGGCAAAAACTAGTGATAACTCTCAGTGGCCTTATATAAATAACTAAACCTCTTTATTTAAATTCAATAATGAGAAACAGAGCGTCAGAGAGACAAAGGAGAAAAAATGAATCCTATGCATAGGTACTCCTGGGCAACATCTACACTCTGGCCCATTCAATTCTAAGGAGATAAGGTCATGTGGTCAAAATATGGATACTCTGGTATCCTCTCTCTAAAGGTCCTGTGGTGGGGGTAAATTTCAATACAGGAAATGCCAACAGGGAGGCTATTATAGTGTATCATTAATACACAAATGAGTTTTAATGCTAATACTAATACAGTAATACACCAACTCAGTGACGAGAACTGCAATGCCAGATCAAAGGAGGATCACTACAAACATTGATCAGAGAAGGTGAAAGGACAGAAAGAGATGTGGTCAGCCAAGGACATGGTAACTCATAGATAGCACAATGTGCTGTATAAATTGGGCAGACAGGTAACCTTGGTTATTGATTGAATGAGGTCAGAAATAAGCAAAAGGTTAGACTTATTAGTAAAGAGAGACAAACTGATCCATTACTCAATAAATGCTTACTGAGCACCAGCTACATTTTAGTTATTGTTCTGAGTGGTATTGATATATCAGCAAACTAAACAGAAATATCCTGTCCATAGAGCTGTAGTTAGGAAAGAGAGACATGTAATAAACAAAGAAATAATTAATTTATAATATGATGTTTTGTGGTGATAAGAATATGCTTATACAACACAGACAACAGAATTCTATGCAAGCTAACACATTTGTTCAAGTCAGTAGCCTTCAAAGCCAGATGATATAATCCAGATTGTGAACCAAACTCTGTGTCACCCAGAACCACCTTTTTTTGCACTCACTTTTGAGGAAGATCCATAACTTCATTGTACCTAAATGAAAAACTTATAAGTAGATTTGAAGGCAATGAACCATCGTTAAGCCTGCCAAATCTTGTTGGGATTTTGAATGGAACCGATCCATTACCATTTTGCTTCTTATATAGAACTCTAAACAAAATTGTGGAGTTTGCCATCACATAGATGCTCCACTAACATTCAGGACTTCCTTGACTGCCCCCATGGAAATCTTCTCCCATAATTGATTTTATTTAAACTAACTCCTTACTTTCTGAGCTGACAATATTTTAAGAGATGAGGCCAGAGATTTCTTCCATTTCTGTTTTTGTCCTAGGAAGAACTACATAAAATACAACGACATATTTGTTTGAAGGCAAGAGTGAGCTGCTGAGGCAGCCAGAAATTGAGGTGCCAAACCCTCAGATGTGAAGTTCATTGAGGTGAGTCCAATATTATTTTTTTTTCAGGTAAAATATGAGTCATAGTCCTTTTTAAAGTTAGGCCTATAACTCACATTATGAAAGAGGGACTATTATCGAGATAAAAGACAAATGGGTGTTCACGTTTGTCTTTAGGGATTTCATCTGGTAACTTTGGTTTCTTTGCCTGATCTCTATATATGCCATGATATTCAGGCTCAGGCAATCACTTGGAGTCTTTCATTTGGACTAGGGCGCCTGTGATGTTTTGGCCCCAGGGATACTGCTCAGAGTTATAGGTATACTCTACAGTGTCTACCTGAAATGCCTAAAGTTTCAAAGAGGAAACAGAAAGGAATAGTTTTTAAATCCCTATGCTATATATTTGATGATAATCTAATTGGAACAGAGACTAAAACAGGGAACACAAGATATCAGAAGGCAACACTATTCTTCCCATCAAATGTGCTTTTTTCTGGTGTTCCCACCTCAGTTAGTGAGCCCTCTATCCAACGACATATTTTCTTATGCCAGAAACTTGGAAATAATCTTCAAATAAAATTTAGCAGTTTTACTGACATATCATTGACATATAAAAATCATATATGTTTCAGGTGTGCAACTTGATATTTTGATGTAGCACATATATTGTAAAACTATGTTGCAGCTAGTGAACTTATGTGTCACCTCTACATAATTACTCTGCGTGTGTGTGTGTGTGTGTGTGTGTGGTGAAATTTAAGATCTATTCTCTTAGCATATTTCAAGCATAACATACAGTATTTTTAACTATCTTCCCTATGTTGTACATTAGATCTCTAAAACATGTTCATTTTTCATAATTGAAACTTCTAACACTCAACTCTAACATCACAAATTCCTGTCAATTCTTCAATAAAAATATATCCAATTTTAATAAAGTTTATTTATAAATATTTTTTATGATGAGTGTTTCTTGTATCCTGTTTAAGGTGTATTTGCTTCATTCTTTTTTCTCTGGAAACTTTATTGTTTAAACGTTGACATTTTCTATTAGGATACCAACTTGTTGTATTTTGCTTATTGAAATGACAATTTTTTCTATACTTAATTGAAAGTGGAAAATTTGTAATAAACCAGATGACTGTAAATGTACATGTATGTGACCAGGCAATCTGCTCTGGATTGACCAATTTGTCTATTTTTGTGTCGTACTGCATTGTCTTAATTGCTGTAGCTTTATAATGAAATCTTGGTATCTGTTTGTATAAGTTCTTACTTTCTTCTCAGTGTGTCTTAGATATTCTAAATCCTTTGCATTTCTTTTTTTTTTTTCTTTTTTTGAGATGGAGTCTCGCTCTGTCGCCCAGGCTGGAGTGCAGTGGCACAATCTCAGCTCACTGCAAGCTCTTCCTCCTGGGTTCACGCCATTCTCCTGCCTCAGCCTCCCCAGCTGCTGGGACTACAGGCGCCCGCCACTACGCCCGCCTAACTTTTGTATTTTTAGTAGAGACGGGGTTTCACTGTGTTAGCCAGGATGGTCTCGATCTCCTGACCTTGTGATCCACCCGCCTCGGCCTCCCAAAGTGCTGGGATTACAGGTGTGAGCCACCGCGCCCGGCCTGCATTTCTAAATAGAACATCTTGTCAATTTCCATGAAAATATTAAATAGTAACTTGGATTATATAAAATCTATACATATGTTTGAGGAGAATTGACAAAGAATATCAAGTCTTCCAATACATGAGTAGAGAATAAACTTTCATTTCTTTAGGTCTTTCTTAGTTTATCAAAAGACAAATTTAAGGATTTAAATTAAAGCTATAATGGGGAAAAGATTTTTAATACTTATACCTGACAAAGGATTGTATCCATAATAGGTAGATAACTCCTCAAATCAATAAAATCAATTTAAGTGGGCAAAAAGATTCAAAGCTAATAGAATGAATAAATCTGGTATACTGATACCAGATTATGCTGCATAATGATATATTATACAGCACTGCAAAAGGATGAACTACTGGTAAAAGAAAAAATGTGGATGACTCTCACATACATAGCAGTGAGAATTAAGCTATATACAAGAGAAAATAGGCTTATGAATTCATTTATATGAAGCTCAAAGACACAAAAAACTAACATATGGCAACAGCTATTAGCTTGTGGGATTACTGAATGGTAGGGAGCATGAAGATGTGTCCTGTAGTGCAGAAAATGTTCTATGTCTCTATTTGGCTTGTAGAAACATTGCTTAACTGTACTTCACATTTGGAAAATTATTGTGCTGTACACTTGTTTTGTTCTCTTTTCAAAATGCTCATTATATTTCATAAAATAACATATGTAGCATATATGTGTGTATGTATATACACACAGTATCCACTCTTTACCATCCGCAATGCCACTTTAATACCAAAAGTCTGCTATAATAGTCTATTTCTTCCCTCCCCCATTCCAGTAGCCAAGGTAATCATTTTAAAGTGTAAATTGGTTACTTTACTATTTGCTTAAAGTCTCTCAATCGTTCCCATTGAACTTAAAATAAAATCCAACATTTTAACTTGGCCTACAAAGCTTCACCTACTTTGCCACCTGGCCCATGGTAGCTGTAAAAATTCCTTATAGGAAGGCCTTTGGTGTACGATTCGTGATCTGTTTTCATTTTCTTGTATAAAACTCGTGAAAAGTATAAGGTGTGGTAGATTGAATTATAAATTGTGATTCTTTACCCTTCGCTGTATCCATGCCCTTTGTCATGAGATTTTAGAGTTCCTTCCACAAAGGTATGAATGTCCCCTCCTTATCTTTGGCTTCAGATATGTGAATCACTTTATCTGATGAGATATTAGCAGATGTGATGGGGTTCAGAATATGCATGATCAGTGGGGTTTCCCCTCTTGCACTTCTGCCATCACCATCAGCTTGTTAGTCCCAGAAGAAAGATCAGAGTTATCTGGAGCAGGTCCTTAGCGTAAAGCACAGCTGCCTCAGTTCATTAATAGATTGTAAGCCAGAAATAAGTGCTTATTGTTGTATGCCACTAAGACTTTACAGATGTTTCTCAAGAAGAATTATTGTAGCATTGACATAAGAGCTGAACTTCACCCAAACTACTTTTATTGCAATTGTCCTTGCTTACCTAGTTATTCTCATTTCAGATTGGTCTTTCCTTGGATCTATGGCCTTCCTTTGGCTCATAAAATTTGCAAAGTTCTATTTAGCCCAAAGTCCTCCAAATATGCTATGCCTCTTTTTGAATTGTTTAAGGCCAAATATTGATAGAGCAATACAATTTAAATATTGTTAAATTTTTACAATATCTACTAAAAATAGAGATAAAGCATATGAAGAAACATTCCTCGAAACAATAATTAATTATAAGAAAGGTGAGGAATAAAAGATACAATGTAAAAATAAATACTATGAAAGCATGAGTGGAAAACAAAAATGCAATAATAGTGTATCAAAAATACCAGGAATGAGAGTAAATTTGAATGAGTTATAATCTCCCAATCAAACTCAAATTCTCAAATCTTGTCCTTAAAATAGTCAGGAATATATCTAGGAAAGGCAATAAA
The DNA here is from genome assembly GCF_000001405.40 of Homo sapiens. Classification (NCBI taxonomy): domain Eukaryota; kingdom Metazoa; phylum Chordata; class Mammalia; order Primates; family Hominidae; genus Homo; species Homo sapiens. The sequence goes on along the minus strand of NC_000011.10, from coordinate 22,400,038 downwards.
ACAAAATAAGACAAAGTTTGGAAATAAATAATGGAACAATGATATAAGTAAATGCTAACAAAGAAAAAATGGAACTGGCAATATTAATGTCTCAAAAATATAATCCAACAGGGAAAAATAGATTGAATAAACCAATTATTTTCTAAAGGTACAAGTGAACAAGAAGATACTACTTCCTTGAATTGCATCATTGTTGTCTTCTGACCTTTGCCTTCCAGTTGGATTTGGCCAAAGGAAGATAGAGCAGTGGATAGAGAATAGCTGGGTAATAAGCAAGGTATTATACTCCTCAGTTTCCCTCTGCAGGGTCATAATGGATTTGCTGTTCCCTCTACAGAAGCCATAGGTGCAGTCAGGCCCTTTTTGCTGAGTCTTCTCCTATGGCTACAGCTACAATTACAGCTATCATCTCCAGTTCACTGAAGTGCTCCTTCACCTTGCTTCTTTGTGTCTAAGGGCAGTAATAACTCCCTGGATTTCTGTGGTTACTAACTCCGAAGTACTTCACTATCTCTTGGTGGTTTCCTTTAACCAAGCCCACACCTGGTAAACAGACCCAGTATCAAACTATTTTCCTTTACTGTGTTTGAGTGTGAGGTTTCCTGATGAGAACCTGGCTCTGTACACACACATATAAACGTGCATTTCAAATATATACACATATATTTGCTTAATATAAGCAAATGTTACTTTGACTTTCCACATTGTGTGAGATAAGCTTAAATTTATAAATTGGTTATTCAACTGTCTATAAATACTTTTTATTTTTAACAAAGTCAAATAGTAAACTAGTCTGTGGTTAGCCCTCACATCTTAAGAGATTAAACCTTAGAATACCAAGTGGACATCATTGTGTCAACCAGAAACATTCTCCTGAACATTAAAAATGCTCAGGTGCTTAAATACATATTTTATCTTACCATATCATCATGTGCAGAATATAATTCTGATTTATAGAATTTTTATTTTTTATCACTTCTTTTTCCATAAATTCAAAGAATAGATATATTGCTGAATTGTATTATCGCTGAGAATGTCTGCAGACCTAAAACCTAATGAATAACAGGAAGGAAATGACAAGAAAGTGAAGTAAATAGTTGTCACGTCCAGGTTCAGGTTTGACCCTCAGAAACGTTGTTATTTTGACAAGGTCTTCTCAGCTCAGACTTAACCCCTCCCAATCGCGTACCTAACAGGTTTTCTCTATTTTTTATCAAAACCTGTCTTCAGGCATTTCATTTTCACTCAGATTTTATTAATTGATAAAGTTAGAAATTCCAACTTAATTTATTTCAATACTCTCCTCTAATGTCTTTGAATCCCTTTTTTTGCTGGCTCGTCAAAGACTTTCAAAGCCAAAAATGTTGTCAATTATCACTGAATCTCCAAAACATAGTACTGTTTTACGCGAATAACCTTTATTTATTGAGTACCTACTAAATGACAGTCCCTGCCCTAAATTCTTTAAGCATGCTGTCACATTTAATCCTCACAATCTCTATGATGTAGGTACTCTTATTTAACATGAAAGATTGTACACTTAAGTTCTCGGTTGTCTTGTGGTCATTAGAAGGTGTACAATGCATGTTTGTTTAATACATAAATTGGAATATCAATTACCAGTTCATCCTAATGAGAATTCAGTGGACCTGTTTAGCTATAGAATACTCTGTGTTCCAATGGGCCTGGGTGTCTCTTTGTCATTCCAGTTGTCTTTGTAAAGAAGCGCCAAAACACCTTGTAAGCCAAAGAACAAATTGTGAAAGTTTTCTTGATCACAATTTTAGTGGGAATACAATTCACATCAAGTAGGTTTGAAAAATGGAAGTGGCTGAATTTTAAATTGTCTGTCTTAATCAAACCTTTCTTTTAAGTATACACTCTTCTCTTGTATTTAAAGAGCACATATTGCTGCGGTTCTTAAGCTTATCCAAAGGTCAGGCTAAGATAAATTATAAGTGGAAAAGGGGAGAAATTGCATGGGAGTGGAGTGAAGATTTGTAGCAGAAGGAAATAGCAGGCCCAGTAGGAAGATACTTGGATCAGTGGGGGACAGTCAAGGTTGATGAATATGAGGAAGAAAGTCAGTCTAATTCCAATAAATGCCCATATGTGTAGGAGTGAGAAAAGCAGATCCAAAGCCCAGTCCTACCAAAGAAGCCATGCTTAGAGTGGAGGAAAAGAGCCTAAGAACAGTCTGGATCCTCCTCACAAGTCCTATCTCCCACACAGCTGACAAGGTCTTATCTGGAGGGAGTTGTATCTTTCCAGGGTGAGAGGGTTTGAATTAAGACCACTGAGGCTGGGAAGCTGCAGTCTTGGTGTCAGATTCTTTTCCTTATTTTACCTTTCTTGGCTATCTTTTCTTTTATTTATTTGTTTCTCGGAATCTCCTAGCTCAGAGATTTTGACCACAACACTGTCAGCTCCTGTACCTGCCTAAAACTCTGTTTCCTTAATGAGTAGCAGGACTAGAACTCATGAGAGTCAATGTAGTTCAGTTGATCCTCTTTATCAATGTACAGCAAAAACCTGAAGATTTCTTTCACTCACTCAGGAGTTTAAATTATTAATGTACCCTGTGAACCTTTTTCTTTTTAACAAAGAGGGTAATTTTAACACAATTATATACAATAAACTACTAGTAATAAACAGTGCAGATTGAATTTCAATTTTTCTTTCTTCACCAATACTGTTAATTCTGGGCCCATCTAATTCTTTCCAATTTTTCCTCTGTTCTAATTGCCCAGGATTCTTCTCTGTATGTTGTGCAATGCTAGTTAACACCCAATACTCACTCTTACTTTCTTTTTTTAAACAAGAGAACTTTCATAGTATTTATGGTCACTAGGTAAAGATTATTCAGGCTCCCTTGAAGATATGTACAGTTTGTTTAAGTTTGGGCCAATGCAATCTGAGCAGAGCAATGTGTTTAATTTCTAGATTATGCCTCTTCTCATAGACTGGAATATGGAAGTGGAGGAGAGCCATCTGCAAACATGCAGATAAGGCAATACGCTCAAGATGGGAGAGCAACCAAATGAGCAAGCTTCCATCTTCAGTACTGTCAAATAATTCTACCAGCCTTGGACTCCCTTCTAGGAGATGAATAAGGCAAACTTTGATCCTGTTTAAGTCAAGCAAGCCAATATGTTTGGAGGCCTTATTCTTATAACAAGCAAGCCTGCATCCTAAGTACTGTATTGTATTCTTGTCCACACCATTTTTTCACTGGACTGGTCACTCCACGTGCCAGGGTTCTTTACTACTAATCAGGTTCTTGATTTGAAAGTGCCCAAAGTTTGTGTTTTAGAGTTGCCGTTAACCATATTTAAACAAGATTTTCTTCATTCCAATGCACCTAATGAAATCTCTTTTATATGTTGGGAGTAATCTTTGTTGTTCTAGATCTACCGGGAGAGTAGCTTGCAGATATAAAAGTTCCCTGAATGTTCAAATGGAGATTCTTTAGGAAGTATTTGTCTGTGCAATCTCTTTAAAACTTAATCACTCAGCTTATGCTCTGTGCTCCAGATCACACTCCAAAAATCAAACCAATACGGAACACAACATTCAAACATCTCTCAACACCTTTCCCATTTAGCTTTTCTTAAAATTTTGTTTGCAGCATATAATGTTTATTTTACTTTTAAAAATTGCTTTAAATCCCAGACAAAATCATTTTAAATTGCAAGTAAGCCCAGCACCTGGAGTTAACCATTCTTACTGTTTTTATTTGTTTTCTTCTTTTATTTTTTAAAATAAATGTTATAATACATACTTTTCACATTTAAAAAATGACTCAACTCTATATTATGTAAAATAGTAAAGAATGCCAAATGCTACAACAAACAACTCCACCTACAGTGCTTTACATAACTAAGATGTATTTCTCACTGAAACCATAGTTGAGAATAGTTTAATAGGTATATTTTTTGCACTCAGTCATTCGGAGACCCTGGAACCTTCCACCTAGTGGCTATGCCCTCTTCTGGTGCTTCAAAGCCATATAATGGATTCTCTGGATCTGGCTAACAGGTAAGACAAGGTTTAGTATGGAGGCATGAAGGATCTCATGGGAGATTTCAGAAGTCATCCTTGAAAATGATACCTATGACCTCTGCTTTCACACTATTGACCAACATTCAGTCATATGAGAACACCTAAATGCAAGAGGCTGAGAAGTGCAATTTAGCTGTGTGCTCAAGAAGTTGAAATGTGACAGTTTTGGTGAGTATTTTATCTCTACATGTTCTCATGTCAATACATATCTCTGAAAATGTAATTATATAGATGATTTTTGCCTACTATAATATTCATATCCCTGGCTCTGATTCCTGACTGTATACCCCAGTATCCATTTCTGTTTTTAGATGGATCTCATTAAATTTCCATTTGTTTTTCTACCCATTTCTTGTTTCTGTTCTCTCTCGTTGCTTCAGCATCTCACCATAAACTTAGCGAGGAGTTTTTCACTTTAAACCTCAGTCTTAAAAAACCTAATTATTTCCCAAAAGTTGATATGTATGTGGAATAATAGGTGGCAAAATGGACATTTGGAAACTGCCAATCATTCATTTTTACTTGTCTGTTAATAGCTCCCAGTTCTGGAGAGGGAGGGGAATTTATCTCCTCCACTGCTCTCAGATCATGAACTTCAATTGGAACTGACTCCACCCTTAATTCCAGGGATAGGAATCAAACCTACGTCCAATTGATTAAAATATCAAATTTCCTTTCCAAAGTTGTTATTTCAAGGAAAGTAGAGTCTCCTTGAGAGTGGCTAAACCTTAGAAGAAAGCAAAGTCGATACATACCTAATTTCCACATTTGAGAGATTAAATAAATATTTTCCTCAAATCTGTACACAAATTGATGCTTTTTTTCAGTTTTATATGAACTATTACATTCTAATTTGGGTTAGACTTCTTTCTCTTTCACCAAATAGTTCTAACTAATCATAAGCCTGAAAACATGGGGAGTGATTCAGGTTTTTCAGTTCATTGAAATGTCACTCCAGGAGGAAAAAAAAAAGTGATATCCAGGAAGCAACAGAACATATTTAAAATAAGAAAAAGATTCTTAATGAATAAATCAGTAAAGTAGAAAAGTACGCAAAAGAGGAATAAAATAATGATCAGAGTATCAAAATAAGTCCAATGTAGAAAAGATAAAGTTCGAAAGCTGGTTCAGTAATTAATTCCAGGAATATTGAGTGTCATGGTGTAATGGTATCCTTTTTCACATTGCTAGGAAAGCTTCACCAATAAAAACAGGAGCATATCCTAAAGTTTCAAGTTAACATAGCCCATTTTTGACAGGATTAAATTTCATATCTCAAGTTACCAAAAAAAAAAAAAGTTTAACAGAGTGTTTTAGCTCAACCTGAGTAGAGAGTGGGTGTAGACTTGGCAAAAAGGTCAGCTAACAAATACCCAGGGAAAAGGCAGTGATTCTCCAGAGAAAGATTTGGAAAAGCAAAATGGATTCTCCATTGCTATAATCTCAGAGCTTAGATGCATTTCTGTATCATGGGCCTGAGCACAGATTTCTGGATGAATACGTGGTAGCTTACACCTAAAATCTGACCAGTACTACCTCTTAGAGCATTTAAATCTTAATGGCACTGTTAAAATCTTGAGAAATTATTATGACAATTAATGGCTTCTCGGACTTTTGGCTAAGATCAAGTGAGAAATTATTATGACAATTAAATAAACCTTTGTGGCAGATCATTCTTGTTTCTTGGAAAATCACACAAATCAGACATTTTTGTACAACTGTTTTATGGAGATGACTATTAGAAATTGAAGTGTCTCAGAAGTTGCAGAATTCAGGTGCTAAACTGCTTGATGTGCTAGTCTGAGTGTTTGTTGATGTTGGGCAGAGTTGCATATCTGCACACTGTGTTACCTTCAGAGAAGGTCTAATTTCCAAGTATGGATTTAGAGTGATATGCATTCAAAATACCTAGTATCTTGTAAAATTATGTGTGCTTCCTTTGAACTACTTTGCCACAGGAGAAATGCCATTTATCAATGTCATCGACAGTATCTATGTTGTAAAATTCGAGCACTAATTTCTTTCCTCCTTTAAATTAATCTCAGCAGCATTTGACACTGTGGTCACCCTTTTCTTCCTGAGATACTCTTTTCTTCTAAATTTTGCATCCATGGGAGGGCCCTGGATTGCAAGTTACTGAACTCTAGAAAATCTGGCTTAAAAAATAAAGGGGTTTTATCAGGTCATTGACAAAATACAAATATGAAAAGATCAGGAGTAAAATGGGATGCCTTCAAATAGAGTTTGGTCTGGCCTCTAGCTCCATTTATATACAGTCCTTTGAGTTCTGCCCTTCCTCCAAGAGTCAATTTCATCCATGAGTGTGTTCTTTATAATTTCAAGACAGCTTACAGCCAAATCTAGGGCAAATTGCTTTCTCACCTACACCTGGAAGAAAAGATAGTTTTTCTTTATTTGTGGAAAAATAAAACCCTGAGTTTTATATTTATTAAAACAGCCTGGAATAGAATTATATAGTCAAGATAATGACTTGCATTATTTGAATTAAGCCAGTACTACCAAAACCAACTCCTGAGTCAAGGGGGATAATATTATCCTGACAGATTTGCACTAATTGGGAACTTTTTTGGAGATAGGATAGGATCAATCCCATCTAAATTCCACAGCTACCACACCAGGAAGAAGGAATGAATTAGAAGAGAGTTAGTGAAATAGAAGGTCTATTTCAACTTTGATGAAACCACACATCTCTCTCTTAGTGCTCATGACTGGCTCTCCTCCGTTGAAGCTGTACATACTGGATGTTTCAGAGCTTGATCCTGGGCCCTCTTCTCTATACTTTTTCTCTTGGTTGGTATCACCTTTTTGATGACTTTAAATATTATCAATTGGTAAATGACTCTCAAATTTATGACTGTAGCCCTGACCTCACTCTTGAGCGTTAAACTTATTTGTCCAACTTTTTACATAACAACTATACTAGAATTCTAATAAGCATCTCAAATGTAGCATGTCCAAAAGGTATTCATTTCCCTGCATTGTTTTCTCTTTCCCTTGTTTATTAACCCAAGTTAGCCAATAACACTGTCAACTAACAAATGCCAAAAATTCTGAAGATTATCCCTGATTCATTTTTCCCCTTACCTCAGAATTCAATTCATCAGGAAATCCTGTCTGCTTTTTGTTCAAAACATTTTGCAACTCTGATAGATTCTTATCTTTTCTATGGTTACTTTCCTAGTCCAGTCTCTATTGTCTGTCAACTGAACACTGCAGTAACCCAGCTGGTCTCCTGTCTCTATTCTTACTTCCCCTGAGAGCATACCTTCAACAATCACTCATAGGAATCCCCATCTTGGGCTCTGCTTCTCAGAAACTCTACTCAAGATTCCTCCTGTGTTAGTCAGGGTTCTCTAGAGAGATAGAAGTAATAGGATATATGTATATATGAAGAGGAGCTCATTAGACATATTGACTCACATGGTCACAAAGTGAAGTCCCACCATAGGCTGTTTGCAAGCTGAGGAGCACGGAAGCCAGTCTGAATCCCAAAAACTCAAAAGTAAGAAAGCCGACAGTGCAGCCTTCAGTCTATTGCTGAAGGCCTGACAGCCTCTGGCAAATCACTGGTGTAAGTCCAGGAATCCAAAAGCTGAAGAACTTGGAGTCTGACATTTGAGAGTAGGAAGCATCCAGCACAGGAGGAAGATGAAGACTGTAAGACAGCAAGTCTGCTCCTTCCAGGTTCTTCTGCCTGCTTTTTCTAGCCATGCTGGCAGCTGAGGGGATGGTGCCTAACCAGGTTAAGGGTGGGTATACCTCTCCCAGCCCACTGACTCAAATGTTTATCTCCTTTGGCAACACCCTCAGAGACATACCTGGGAACAATATTTTTCATCCTTCAATCCGGTCAAGTTGACATTCAATATTAACCATCCAGCCAGGCACAGTGGCTCACGCCTGTAATCCCAACACTTTGGGAGATTGAGGAGGGTGGATCACCTGAGGTTGGGAGTTCGAGACCAGACTGACCAACATGGAGAAATCCTGTCTCTACTAAAAATACAAAATTAGCCAGGCATGGTGGCACATGCCTGTAATCCCAGCTACTTGGGAAGCTGAGTCAGGAGAATCAGTTGAACCTGGAAGGCAGAGGTTGGGGTGAGCCCAGATCGTGTCGTTGCACTCCAATCTGGGCAACAAGAGCGAAACTCCATCTCAAAATAATAAAAAAAAAAAATATATATATATATATATATATGTATATATATATGTATGTATATATATGTATATATATGTGTATATATATGTATATATATGTGTATATATATGTGTATATATATGTGTATGTGTGTATATATATATATGTATATTAACCAGCCACCTCCTTAGAGAGGCTTTCTTGACAACCCAATCTAACCTCAACCCACCACTATCCTCTCTATCTCATTATCCTCTTTTATTTTTGCCCAAATATATACAATTTTGGGACTTTTTCTTATTTATTTACTTTTAAAAATATGCCTCCAGGACATGTAATAAACTTTGCATGTCTTGACATACATACATATGTGACATACATACATATGTCATGACGTACATACATATGTTTGGAACAGTGCCTGTTTATGTGTGGTCACACAGTCAATGTCTATTGAATGGAAGAAATGCAGGCTTTAAATACATATGAAGAGGGAAAGGCTTTCTCTCCCTGGACTTCAATCCCTTGATCCTGGTCTCTGAGGTAGGTAGATGTTTTTAATATAGCTGCAGGTAAAGAAGAAAAAGGTGATCTCTACCTCAGGGACATAGACCGAGAAGAAGGCATGACATTAGCCCTGAGCCTTGCCAGGAAATCAGCCTGGAGTATTCTGTAAGAGATGCCTGAGGAAGGCCCAAATCATGCACCAGCCCAGAGATTTCTGAGTCCAAATCTGAGGGCCAAATTGGCCTGGAGGCATTTAAATAAATGCCAACATTGTGAACCCAGGAAGCGGAGCTTGCAGTGAGCCGAGATCGCACCACTGCACTCCAGCCTGGGCGACAGAACAAGACTCTGTTTTAAAAAAAAAAAGAAAAAAAAAGCCAACACTTAAATAAATGTGAAACGTCATACAAACATCTAGATTTTTAGCCTCTCTTGAAAATAAGTGATATCATTCCCACATGGCCGCAATCTGCTGGGACTGAGGTGTTGCTACCCCTGTTCTGCCGGGTGTGTTTTCAATGTTACCATATCCCCACTAGCCATTCTTCTTTTATTGCATAATATATGTGGTCCCTATATGCCTTCGAGTTTGTAATCCTCACAGTGACAGTTAAAAATCACTGTATTTAGAACTTTTTCTATAATCCCATATTCTTTTGGGAAATAACCTATGTTTAAAGTTTAAACTGTACTGTGAGTAACTAAAGGGAAAATTTGACTGGTAAACAGGAGATTATAGAAGAACCCCATAACTTGGTGTAAGGTGTACCCTGCACAAAGGGACTAGGAGAAGAGATCTGCTGAGAGTGTAAACTCAGCCGGAATTCCACATGCCAAGCAATGTACCCAAGCATGAGACAGCCTCAACCGGAAGAAGGGGTGTCGTTTTCAAAAATCATCTGCCTCTTTGTAATTCATTGGCCAATCGTGGGTCCTATGTAGCGGGTAAGGGCCAATGACCCCTTAGGACAGCATGAGAGTAGCAAAAGGAGTCCTTGCTGAAACTCTTAGTAGTTGTACAAAAAGTGGCCTGTGGCTGGGGATCAGTTCTCAAGCACTTAATGCAGCAAAGGCCCAGGTAGTGGCTCAGATAGACATGAGAGCCCACGGGAAGCTCCCCAAAAGGAAAACTGGACATTGAGACAGGAGTAGACTTCAGGTTCAACTGTTAAGTAACCACATTAGAACCTAGAAGCAGAATGACTCATGGGGATTCTGGTTTTGCTTTTCAGGCAACTTTTCAGTCTCATATATTCTGCAGATCTCACATTGAGATATACACAGTTGGTGGTTCTCAAATAAATACATTACCCCAAGTAATAGCTCTGCCTTCTGCATGACTGATGTTGCTGTTACACTGAATACTTTCCCTGAATTTTCTGAGTGAAGTTAAATGTAGACTATGATACAAACTGCCAAGTGGAAGAAATCGGACTCTTGAGTCATTTGAGATGCCAGTCACACAGCCGAGTACACTTGTTTTATGCCCTTGTCTCCAGTGCTCATTTTATTTATTGCCCTTTGACATAGGACTTCTGCCATCTGATCCTTAGGGAACCGACAACATGTCTTGTCAGACAGACTTCTTGTCAGAAGAGTGGCAGTGTAGCGTCAATATGATGTCTTCCTCACCATCAAGAATTCATGTTCGCTTTTCCATTGCTGACTAGCATTTCACATTCTGCATTTCAGATGGTATTATGGTAAAATCAGATGTTCACATTCCTGCACATCTTGGAGACAATGCTAGAAAATCAATGCCCATACTAAGCCAAGTATAATGGTATTGGTCAAGAATCTTATTACCCATAGTAGAGGAGAGAGAAATGGAGAGATTATAAAGAGTAGCTGTTTGTGGTCACTAATTGAACAAGATCTTAAAAACTAAGACCATGATAGATTCTCCTAAGAGCAGGAGGAGGCTGCTATGCATTGAATTATGTCCCTAAAACCTCATATATTGAAGTCCTTACTCCTACTGCCTCAGAATGTTACCTTATCTGGTAATAGGGTCACTGCAGATGTAATTAGTTAAGATGTGGTCGTACTGAAGTACAGTAGTAACTAATTCAATATGATTGGTATCTTTATAAAAAGAAGTGCATGTGAAGAGACAGACATACACACAGGCAGAACACCATGTCAAGATTAGAGTTATGCTGCCATAAGCCAAGGGACTAACAGAAGCTAGGAGAGAAGCCTGGAGCAGTTCCTTCCATAGCACCTTCAGCAGGAGCACAACCCTGTTGGCATCTTGATTCCAGACTTCTGGCCTCCAGAGCTTTAAGACAGTAAATTTCTGTTGTTGTAGGACATTAACTCTGTGATATTTTGTTAAGACATCCCTATGAAACTAATATAGAGGTGTTGTGAGTTTGCAGATTTTGGATTGGACACTATTCTCTTTTGTGCAATTGTGTATTAGTTAGATAGGAGTTACAGTTTTGGGAACCATGGGAAAATATAAGAGACCTAAGAGATGGTTCTTACCTTCAGTGAGTTTGCTGGGGAGCAAAATAATAAGGCAATAATAAATAATATATAATAAATAAAATATTAATAATAAAATAATAATAACTTGCTGTCAGTGAACAGAAAAAAGCATGATAGACAAGCCCTCTAGACCCATTCCCTTCCTTCTTAGTGCTACCTTTCTCACCACCCTACACAGGGTTTCCATGCAGTCATGTGACTGCTCCTGCCCTCCACAAAGGGTGTTCCTAGGACACCCTTTTTCTAAGTAGGTTCCTAAGACCTATTTTTTCTGGAAAGCAGCTCTTTCCAATTACCACTGCTCCTGGGATTCATTTCACTTGGCTCTATCCCAAGAATGAGTACTGTGTTGTATCTGAATTAGCACTAGTCTTGTGTTCTAGTCCGAAATTGGACAAATCATAGAAAATCCCTGAATCTTGATTATTTTTCATTTGGAAAAGGGGGAATAATGACTCTTCTCCATTATATGTCAAATCATTGGAACAAGGATCAAATAAAGGAAAATGTTCGAAGGTATTCTGAAAATCTGCCATATATGATAAAATATTCATAGTTGCAGTTAGCTTAATATGTTTACATGCAATTAAATATTTATCTCTTACTAGAAGTCTCTGGGAGACCTACCACCTTCAACCAGATGGAAGAATTTGAAAATTTTGCATTTGTTTGGTACCTTAAAAAGATTTACAAAGCTTGAAAATCAAATAATCTTATTTAATTTTTACCACAATTCAGTGAGTTATGCATTGTTATGCCTGTTTTGCAGATGAATGTACTGGATCTTGGAGATATTAGGTAGTTTGTTCATACATGACTAGAGGTTGTGATGTGAAGTCAAGTCCAATGCTTCTCATATTGCATTTGTAACCCCTAGTGAGAGGGTAGTTTGTATTACCCCAGCCTTTCTATGGTTTTTAGAATAAATCCTTAATAAAGGCAAAACTAATGTTCATTAATACAGATGAAGAATGAGATTTTGACTTTGAAAGCCTTCCAATGACACATCAAGTTTTCATACATGTTTTTAGGCACATTATAAAGAACTATGCTGTCAGAAGAAAAGAAAGAAAGAAAATCTTTTTAAAGGCACAAAAAATGATGGGGATATGGTCAGAAGCTTAAGTTAAATCTACCGTTACCGTTAAGATGAGTCTATTGTTCCCAGGATTGAGAGCACTGATTTGTTTGTTTGTTTGTTTTGTTTTGTTTATTTTTTGTTTTTGGAAAGAGACTAAACTGGAGATATCTCTAGCATAAATATGTCTCTAGGTATGAGACAGAAAACAAAAATAATATTGATACACTTTCTCTTCTCCTTGTGTATAATCTTAATGTTTGAGACTGGATTTCAGAAAAGAAGAAAGAGAAAGAGAGAAGTGTTCTCATAATAAATATTGTGTGTGGTTCTTTTTGTCCAGAGTTATGGAAGTCAGGGACAAGTGGATCACTGTGCCTTTGAATCATTATGCAAGATGCAGAAAGCATGAATTATGTCTTTGTCAGTCTATTTTGAATATCTACATTCTGCTCTGGAGTTTGAGTTGTAAGTGGGTGAATAAGGAAGGAATAAATATGTCAAGTTTTGGCTTGACATCTGGAAACACGCCACCATTCCCAGGATATACCATCTTCCCCCTCCATGTCTTCCTTGGCACTGTAATACAGAAGCCACCTTCAGTCTCTCTCCACTTCCATGTAATGTCCTAGACATATCTGATCATCTTAATCCCCACCTAAAATCCCTTCAATTATAAGATAAAATTTGAACAATTTAGTCTGGCATCTAAAGCATTGCACAACCAGCTTAATAGTCCTACCAGCCTTGTTTCTGCTCCTAAACATACTTGATCTTCCAATCACACTATCTTTTCACTTATCTCCAAACAGTATGGTTGACACGCCTCCACAATTTGTTAATGATGTAGTCTCTACCTCTATGCCTTTCCTCCACCTATAAAATGGACAAACACCTATTTCACTTTCAAACTCCAGTTCAATGTCTTCTCTTTTTCCCTTTTCAGACCTTTCTTCTTTCAGAAAGGTTAATTTAATGAGGAGGATAATATCATTCTCCCTATCTCTATAATTTGCTGGCCAAATCAAATATAACCACATTTTCTTTCATCCATAAAGTTTTTATTGAGCTCCTAATCTATGTTATGCCCTGTATGCAGCATTTAGAACAAAAGATCTGCCATATGAGTTTTACGTGTTAGTAGGAGAAATACTTTAAATTCCTAAAAAGAAACAAATACCTCATTGCAAATTATGATAAACACTGTGTTAAAATGCTCTGAAAACTGTAAAGTGGTATAATCATGTAAGAAATTATTTACCTGTTGATATGTGGAATTTGCTGCCCAATTAGGATATGTATAAAAAAGTCTCTTACATTTGTGTGGATGACATTCTCTTCCTACCTCTGTTTACATTCTTCTCCACTAAACCATGAGCTTTTCAAGAGCAAAAACCATGTTTCATTCATTTTTGTATCCCCATAGTGCAGTAACAGGCCAGCACATAGCTCAATAGATGTTGAATGAAGTAATGAATAGGCAGAGTGTAGCTCTTAAAATAATGTTTTAGTATTGTACGTTTAAGTTCAGTTGTTTAGCATTTCTGTCTATTAAATAAATGCCACTTGCTCTATATGCATACTCACTGTCATCTGGGTAGTGCTAACACTAAAATACCAAATACATATCTAACTCTTTTCACCTTAGGGTGTTTTTCACATGCCATTTCTTGTTTCTGAAACTTTCTACCTGTCATGCTATGCCAGGCTAACTCATATTTATCTCTGAGGTCTCATGGTATATGTCACATCCATGAGCAAATTTTTCCCAGCTTATAGACTGGGTCACGTGCCCTGTTTAACCTTCTTAAAACACCTAACTTCTCTTTTATAGCATCTACCAGAATTATAATAGATTTTTCTGGTTATTTCTTTATTATCTGTAACTCACACTGCATTGAGAGTTCTGAGGAGGCAGGGTCCACTTAGTCTTTTCCCTCCACAATATTCCTGGTACCTGTCACATAATACATTCTCAACAAATATTTGCTGTTTGGCAAATTAATGGACTTACTGAATAAAACAGTGGTTTTCAGTTATGACAGAAACACTGTTGTGAATCCCACAATGTACGTTTGAGTTACCTTCTGTCACTAACTAGCTGGGTGACATGAACTGTCACTTCACCTTTCTGACTTCAGCCTTTCCATTTATAAAGTAGGCCGGGTGCAGTGGCTCACACCTGTAATCCCAGCACTTTGGGAGGCCAAGGTGGGCAGATCATGAGGTCAGGAGTTTGAGACCAGCCTGGCCAACATGGTGAAACCCCAGTCTCCACTAAAAATACAAAATTTACCTGGGCGTGATGGCACACGCCAGTAGTCCCAGCTACTCGGGAGGCTGAGGCGGGAGAATCACTTGAATCAGGGAGGCGGAGGTTGCAGTGTGCCAAGACCACGCCGTTGCACTCCAGCCTGGGTGACTCCATTTCAAAAAGAAAAAAAGGTAAAGAATTTTCATATTATTTTCATTCTTTCCAGCATGCTAGTGTACTATAATATATTCCATTAAACTAGTAAAAGTTGAGTGTGACCAGTTATTAGAACTCAGACTCATTTTTTTTTATACAAGTATTCCAACTCACAGGAAAAGATTTAGGTAGTAAAGAGTTTACTGAAATTCTAAAATTCAAAATTCTGTAAAAATATACAAGATATTCCTAGACAAGTCAGGGAGTAGGGAGTATCATACAAACAAGCCTATCAGGTTGAAAGAAGCCCCTCTCTCCCATAATGTCTATCCTATTAGTTATCAAAATGAGTGGCTAATAAAGTCAGTAGAAATATAGGCAGAAAGTAAACATGTAGTCTCATATTTGATTGAATTCTGAGAACAATTTACTATATTTCTTCAAGTTGACCTGAGGAACTCAGTAATTTGTCAGAGAGATTAAAGCCAGAAAATTTTGGAACTGAGATTTTATGAACCATTGAAGCAGACCAATTCCTTATTTTCCAGATGGGGAAGCTGAGGCTCAGAGATCTGGTATGACATGCCTTGTATTTACCAAAGGGAAGTGGCAGGTTCAGGGCTCAAACCCAAGCAGTTCTGTTTCTTCTGCTATCCCCATTGCAACTGAAATTGAGACAATTAATGTGCCTTTAGCCTAATGGTGACATACTAATTTCCACCTTCCATTTATGGAGACAGACAGCCCGCCCCGACAATGCCCCCCTTTTTTAAAATCCTCAAGAAGCAGTCCAATAGACTCTGATGAGATCTGTGGGAAAGATGGCTTTTATCTGTGACATTTATTCTTATGCACACTTTTGTTGGCTTTGTGCAAAAGAACTTCATTTGGATTCATAAACCTGTTCAAAAATGTGTATAACTCCTTTTTTTACCTTTTTTTATAAAATGAAAACATTCTGCCAATGCTTTAAAATTTATGGCTCCAGAAAACTGTCAAATATTCTTGAAGATCATGGCAATGTCTTAATTGGCAGCACAGAGATTAAAAATAAAAGACTGGAGAGCAATAAGACTATATCTGGTTTGCTGGGTTTTGTATTTTGAAACACAGAAAAGTAGCATAAAATATAATAAAAATAGATATGTGGATTCCCAGAATATAGAAATATTGATATTTTATTCTTTGCTTCAGATATTCTTTCAAATTGAAAAAAGGCCAAATTTGAACTTTCTTTCACGCTTTCTGGCTTCAGCAAAAAAAAAAAAAAAATCAGTGTTGTGGTTTATAGTGCCTATTGTTCTGTAGTTGTTTCATGTCACATAAAATTTATAAAATATAAATAGAAAAGTAATTTAGGTAACCAATCTGAGTTACTTAGTAGTGTTAAAAATAAAAATACCTCAAGAGAGTTTCCAAAATGGTCCATTGTGATGGATCTGACATTGTAATCATACTTGAAGAGTTCATACCTTATATTTACTTAGCATCATAAGGAAAGGGTGCAGAGAAATGACATTTGTTAAACACTTACATGTTTACATACATTAAGCATTTATTACACTGTTAACACACAGGGTGCTGTGTTAAGCATTTCATACTATTTGATTTAGTCAAAAACTAACCACTAATTGGGTATTAAAGTACCATATTATGGATGAAAAAGCAAGGCTCGGATAAATTAAGGAACTTCTTTTTTTTTGAGACGGAGTCTCACTCTGTCGCCGAGGCTGGAGTGCAGTGGCGCTATCTCGGCTCACTGCAAGCTCTGCCTCCCGGGTTCACGCCATTCTCCTGCCTCAGCCTCCCGAGTAGCTGGGACTACAGGCGCCCGTCACCGCGCCCGGCTAACAGGGTTTCACAGTGTTAGCCAGGATGGTCTCGATCTCCTGACCTCGTGATCCACCCGCCTCAGCCTCCCAAAGTGCAGGGATTACAGGCGTGAGCCACCGCGCCCGGCCAAATTAAGGAACTTCTAAAAGTCACACAACTAATCAGATACAATGGACTGTAGTGATAAAGAGTTTAGGATATGAAGCCAGATGGCTTGCGTTCACATTCAAACTTTACATTTTAGCTCTGTGACCTTGGACAAGTACCTTAACTTCTCTGTGCCTGAGTTCCTTTATTTATAAAATGAAGTTTACAATAGTACCTACCCCAAAGGGTTTTTGTAAAGATTAAGCAAGTATATATATATACATATATGTTTTTGTATATATATACAAAAAAAGCAAGTATATATATATATACACACACACACATATACACACATATATACATATACATATGTGTGTGTGTATATGTGTGTGTGTGTAACTGAGAACTGTGGCTAGCATTTCAAAAGCCCTATAAAATTATTTCTATTATTATTATAATCATTCTTGAATACCTCATTCACATGGTCTTTTTAAAATTAAATCAAAGGTAAATACCACCTAAACAAGGAAACAGTAAAAGACAGAAACCAAATGTAAATGAGGAAGGAAGGTAACAAATAACAACCGAGTCAAAAAGTGTATCTTGGAGCTCCCTAGAAGAAACAAAGAAGGAAACATGACCGGCTTCATGTCTTTCATGTCTAATTGTTGACAGCACACGAGTGCAACACAAAAAGCATTCCTCAAACTATTAGAAAGGCAAGGATCTTTATCTAATGCACATTGGGCAAAGTGATAAAACACGTCCTCAAATGTAGTTTAACAAGACTGAAGAGATTTCTTCATTTTGCTTGCTCTTGGTGAAAGCTAAGGGTTTCATTCAATCAATGATGCTGAATATGGGCAGGGGTCAGGATTAAACATCCAGATAATGCAATTTTTGGATGCCTGGCTGCATTTAGGGAAAACCTTGGCGAAGCTTGAACACTTTAAGGGACTGAACAGTGTTAGACAAACCTTTACAAATAAGGTGTTTTTGACAGTAGCTGAATGAAAATTCAGGTCTGAGTTCTTGAATGAAGATAGAAAGAAAAAAAATTAAAGTCCCTGCTAATTATATCACTACCAAAAGAATTAAATCTTAGTAGTCTCTATTTGTGGTTAAAACTGAGAGTAGATGAAGGAAGAAATGGAAAGGGAAAATTTACAGCTCATGAGAAGCCCAGAAAAGGAACACAACAAAAAGAAATTTGAAGAACTGGAAAACACACTTAAAAGTTTAGACCATCTCTTCTTCTACAGAGATTCAGGTATTGGAGACACTAGATGCTGATATCTCCCATGACCTAGACTTCCTGCAGCATGAGGCTTTCTGAGGCTGAGAGAAGCTTCCTTACCTGAAACTATGATCAATCAATCAATCAATTTGATATGGGGAGCAACTTGAAGGCAATTCATCTTCAGGAGTATGGAAGTTTAAGAAAATTCCTTTTTCAGAGTTATTACTTAGGGCCCTGTGTCCAGAAGCTTCTCTCAGTCACATTTGTGTGGTCTTGCTGGGCAACTAGGGGCCACGTAAATAAATGCCTCAGAGACTGGGTCATCTTCTCACCCGTGAATCCTCAGTGCCTCACATAGCATGAGTGATTAAAAAACATTTATTGAGTTGAACAAATCAATTAGTAAGTGAACCCCAGAAAATAACAATTTGCCAGTAGTATTTCCTGTAGATAAATACAGAAATAATAAACCACTGATGTTAACTTGATTATCCATCATGGTTATAGAGGTTGAAGATGTGTATATGTCACTTTGCATTTCCCAAAAGGGTTCATACATTATAAAGGTAAAAGGGTGCAAAGATGATAACACAAAGATATTCATAACACCACTGATTATAGCAGCCAATATTGGAAATAACTAAAATGTTCATAAATGAGGTATGGGATAGATAGATGAAATATAGTTCTTATTAAATAATCGAATATTAGATTATAGAACTTTATTATTCAAATAAGAAAATGAACAGGCTCTACTGTTAAATGAACATTAGGTAACAATAGTAAATCAAGTATAATTTTGAACTTGCAAACTAAATAATATGTAATAGTATTTAATTAATAGAATGTAAGTTTTATGTGTGTTTTTCACAGAAAGGATTCTCCAAATGTTAACAGTGCGTATCCCTGGGTAGAATAATTATTGATTACTTTATTTTCATTGATTTTAATGCTGTCCTACACCTAATGAAGCTCCCCGACTCTCCAAATACTACATTTATATTCAAAAAAGTAATAAAATGACTTAAAAGTAAAAAGAAAATGCTCTCTTGCTGTGGCCAGATAGTCGATATTCTAGTTCTATCTTTGCTGGGGAATCTTTAGGAAGTTTACTACACTCTTTTAGACCTGCCCTCCTTACCTGGAAAATAGAAATACCAATAATGATACTTGGCCTTTTAATTTTAAAAGGCAGATTGAAGACAAAATGTGGCAATTCATAGGAAAGCATTTTGCAAACTGCAAAAAAAAGACACATATGATAATGAGAGGAAATTGAGAAAAAAAGGCAGAGGAAGAGGAGAAGGGGACAATGAATTTTTAGGGTTGAGAGATGAGAAAATGAATGTGGCTGGTGGTAATATTTGGAGACATCATTAGAACAATTTTTTTTAGAGATGGGTGTCATTCTGTTGCCCAGGCTGGAGTGCAGTGACTATTCACAGACACAAACATAGTGTGTTACAGCCTCCACTTCCTGGGCTCCAGTGATCTTTCTATCTCAGCCTCAGGAGTAGCTGGGACTACAGGCATGCTCCATCTCTCCCAGGTAAGAACAATTTTCTTATGAGAAATGTAAACTTTTTGTTATGGAATTGGAGAAATTATATAGTGTTAAATTCAAGTCATTTTTATTCCTATTACCAAGTTCTGCAGAGAATGGCCTGTGAGCCTCCTTAAGAACTAGGCTGGGTCTCTGGCCATCGTTTCTTTATGCAGAAGATTAGAAGATGTGAGTGGTGGACATGGGAGTAGTGGTAGAAGCAATAAATGGTCATTTAATTAACTCAAATGGAAACCTTCTTTAAAGAGAAAATAAAAATAAATGCACAGCTAATCATCAAAATTTCTTTCCAATTCCATAACAATCTCTGTGTCCCTTGATCAAGTCTGTTCCTTTTATTGGCCTTCAGTGTTCTCATTCATTCAACAACAGATATCAACTAAATCATCTCCTAAATCCTCTGGGCAGTAAAGTTCTATGAGTCTTAGATTTTATAGATTCTATACATAGATTCTATACATATTTACCCCTATTGTCTTTTACATATCTATAAGATAGGGAATCTGAGCTAAATTATTTCCATTCCAGTGACAAAGACATTCTTTTGGCTGCCTTGATAAAGCCTGCTTACTGCTAATTGGTTTGGCTGAAACATTATAATATAATGTCATTATACCATTTTAGCTTGATAAAGCTATGCAAACCTTCTGAATTTCTGTTTCTTCATTTACAAGCTGGGAATAAAAAGAGCACCTACTTTGGATGGCCACTGTGTAGTTACATGAGATCCTATATCAAAAAATGACTAGGACAGTTACCTAGCACAGGGTATGTGTGCAATTAAAATTAGGTGGTAATATTGATGTGACCTGTTTTTAGTTTTTTCCTAAATTCTTCTTTAAACTTAGCAGCAGTTGTGAGAAAACTCATTGAAATCTGGAGTTTCACTCGGAGACCTTTTTATTGATTTAAAACTCTATGGAACCACATTCCACACAATCTAAAGAATGCCATGTTCTTTCATTAGATCCCCAATGGCTCCAAAGGTTGTTGTTGTTCTTGAAGCCTAGATTTGGCTTCATTGGGGCCTCCACCAGCTAAATTCACATTAAAGCTAAATACTAAATAAATCCAAATTAATGTATGATTAATGCACTGCTTTTTAAAAAAAGGATAAATAGAGCATTTTATTAACACTTTTTTGCTGCAACAAAATGACAGTCCACATATTTTCATTCAACACAACAAAAGCTGTGATCACATTACATCACTTTGAGGCACAAAGCAAAGGGTATTTTTTTTTTCTTAAGGTAAAGAATGATTTGCATTTTTTTAAACAAACTTTATGTTTTATATTTGCAGTAGCAGGGCCTCCAGTCACTAGCACAGTACATTGAACAGATCAAATATCCAGAATAGACAAAATACACCAATAATATTTTGAGTTGAATTGGGAAATGTATTATCATAATTTTAGGACATTATAAAGGGGTCTGATGTTAGCTTTTTTAAAAGAAAAATAAAATTATTCCAACCACCCAAACAGCTACTACAAGCAAAATGAAGGTAATATACAGACAGGAAATTTTATGCATTGCACTTATTGCTTGGTACACAAATGTTGCAATTCTTGTTGAGTTATATTAAGAAATGACAAGCAAAATGCCTCTTCCCCACCTAAAATTCTATGACTCTATGAAAGTAGAAATTGCAATTCCCTAACCCAACATTAGGTGTATGCTATTTTTGGTTTCGTGTGAAGATTGTTTATTATGTTTCTGTGTATGGACATGTATAAGATATACAGATATATATAGAGAGAGACCATTTTAATATAATGTATTGTCCTATATATTTAAGACAAATATTTCTTAATAGGACTTTAAATAATAAAATTACCTACTTACAATATCTCTATGAAGTTAATCTTTTCATATTATATATAGCTCTGTGGCACAAGTTTCATATAGTATTTAATTATGAAGGAAGAAAGATATCTAAACCATTTTCTATTTCTTTGTTCTTAATATTGCATTTTAAGGGCTATATCTCCATAATAAATTTCTTATTAGATTCTTTGTGGTGTATATATCTCTTTTTTTTCTAATGCAAGTTACAACCAGTACAAAGTTGTAATAAAAAATACATTGAAGTTTATTTCTTTTTATATTTTTTGCAAAAAAGTTATGTGATACGCTACATGAAAAGTTTGATTTTATTGAAATGTGAACTGTTTCATACTATTAGGTAAATGGATGGAAGAACATGAAGCATACCCCTCAACTTACATGTTCTCTTTCACAGAAATAAGTGTTTGTGCCCAAGCATTTCATAGAAAACACTGCAAGATATTCCTTTTGAGGACTAACAAAATATCTCACATTATGCAATTCTAATAGTTATTCAGTACAACTTTGTAGCTGATAGTTCACAATGTATTTCTTTAATTGAGAGATATCCCAACTCCATGATTTTCACTTAATAAATGTCGCCTCTACTTGACGCAGCCAACTTCTGTGTGCTATCTTGCAATACAGTGTAACAAATATATAAGTGCATTTTGCATGATCAAGTAGCTTTGGCTTCTTAACTTTTGTAGGATGAGATGTTGTGCTTTAGTAAATAGTGATGAGTTTTAGCTCATATGAATCCAATGGGTAACTACTTGTTTCTACAATTTTGACCAGTCAACCTTTAAGTCACAAATGCAAGAATGGATGACTTGAATGGAAATGATGGAACTTCACAATTTTACAGATTGCACTTGATGGTAACCTCATGGGTTTGTTTTGTTTTCATTTTTACAGCAAGACTTGCCTGGTTGATATGCTTGCAAGTTTACATCACGTGTTTTTAAAATTTTTGTGCAATCACAATGAATTTAATCACAAACACTAAAAATAAATCCAGTAATTAGTTTTGTTATGAATAATCAACTCGGTCCTTATAGCTATGTGAGTCTTGTACTTCTCCTTGTACAAATTCCTCTTTCTTTTCCCAACCACTAGGCCAACCTCCATTGGCCTGTGTTGTGGCACCATAAGACTTGGTGGTACCATAATTTATATAATTTTGAGTAATGTCCCCTGTTTCTTCATCGAGTTCATCTTCATGAATAAATCCACATTTTTCTTCACTTGTTTCCTCCGGGTCTGCCCAGGGTTGTTTCTCTCCTGAGGCAAATATTGCATAAAATATAACTCCACCATAGTGGACTAGGGCAGCGATCAGGAAGACATACTGCCACTCTTCACGTGACTGCAGTGAGAAAAAGCAGCACTGTGAGAACTGACTCCCCATGATTTAAACGCCTAACATCTTCTCTGAATGCACCACCACTGAGTTTTCATAAAACACTATATTTGGGAAAAATCCATATCCTGATTATGTAAAGCAAAAACTATATAACACTTCTGTAATACTATTACTTTTATTATTTAATGTTTTAAATCTAAAAGTTTAGAAATAAAATTACAAATATATCTATGGCCTGCTGATTTTTAAAATATTCATAATCTCTTTTTTTCCATTGATTTACTTATCTTTTTATTCCATTTCCTTTGTTTCTTTACTTGTAGTAAACCAGAATTTTAAAGCTCTGCATACACATATAAGTACAAATAGCTGATGATAATATTGTTCCTTGGACAACTGCAGAGGAGTCTGAATTGAGGTTTACAAACAAAGCTCAGAAGACATCTGCTTGAGTATTTTAATAAGCTAGAGACAAAAGGGGTTTTTATCACATCAGGGGTATTAGAATTATTAAAAAGGGTTGAGAAACATATTGGTTATTGGTTAGGGAAATGGACTTTCTTGGAATTCTTAAAAAGATACTGTATTCTGAGCCTCATTTATATTTCCCACTCAGAGATGTGGTGACTGGACAAGAAAGAAAATGCTAAGGATAATATTTTAACTCTTTTCCAAAAAGATTATCATTTTGAGAAACTGTCTTCTATGACTAAACATCTGTTTTGACCATCTTACCTTATTCTTTGTCATTGCACCAACAATGATAGGACAAACCATTCCTGACAATGTGCCAACACCATTCGAAATGCCCATTAAGATACTGGCATATCTTGGAGCGATATCCAAGTGGTTAACATTGAAACCTGAAATACACACATAAGTTTTGACTCAGGGCATCCTAAACGTCTTAGAAGTAAATACCTATAGAACCACACATCACAACTCCTTAAAATATACTGGGTACAGAACACGTGCTTAATTACTTTGTGATAATTTCTCTCGGGGATATAATGAGAATAGAATGAGGTATGAATTCTTATCTAATACTTAATATGTGATGTTCACTCCACAGAGAAGAGGTAATGTTTTCTTAACAACAACAAAAAAAGGCAGTCCAGGAGGAAATTGAGTATTAACAAATCTAAATGTTTTCTCAATATTTTATTTTTTTCATTTTCTAGTGGAAATATTTGACTATTATTCAACATATAGAATATATATATGAAGATATCTATAAAAAGGTATATGTATGTGTCTTTTATCAGCAGTCAAAATCAGAATGTCCCAAGTACAAAGAAAAAAAATTATATCTTACCAGATATAGCAAATCCACTGAATCCCACTGCAAGTACCAAGAATGAGATTGCTACCCCTCTAGTATGAGAATAGCCAACGACCAGGAGCAGTGTGGCTTCCATGCCAAAACCTTCAGAAGCAAACACATAGAAATTCTTCAGAAATTTTTGAAATTTTACCAATGAGCCAAAACTGCTAAAAATGTTCCAACTTATTGACCTAGAAATTCCACTTCAGAGAGTCTATCTTCAAAACTAATAATAATCATAATAATCATAATAATTTACCCTAGAGATTCATGAAGCTTTCCTTGTGTTTAATAAAAACATCCAGGCCAGATGCGGTGGCTCATGTCTGTAATCCCAGAACTTTGAGAGGCCGAGGCGGGCAGATCACCCTAGGTCAGGAGTTCGAGGCCAGTCTGACCAACATGGAGAAACCCAGACTCTACTAAAAATACAAAATTAGCTGGGTGTGGTGGCACATGCCTGTAAACCCAGCTACTTGGGAGGCTGAGGCAAGAGAATCGCTTGAACCCGGGAGGCGGGGGTTGTGGTGAGCCGAGATCATGCCATCGCACTCCAGCCTGGGCAACAAGAGTGAAACTCCATCTCAAAAACACAAAAACAAACAAAGAAAAACATCCAAAACAACCTAAAGTTTCAATGATTGGAAGAGGTGAGTTAGTTACAATAAATACAAATGGCATTATTATTTATTTTTTTTATTTTTATTTTTTGAGACGGAGTTTCACTCTTGTCACCCAGGCTGGAGTGCAATGGTGTGATCTCGGCTCACTGCAACCTCTGCCTCCAAGGTTCAAGCAATTCTCCTGCCTCAGTCTTCCAAGTAGCTGGACTTACAGGCACTCACCACCATGCCCAGCTAATTTTTTGTGTTTTTAGTCGAGATGGGGTTTCACTATATTGGCCAGGCTGGTCTTGAACTCCTGACCTCGTGATCCACCCACCTTGGCCTCCCAAAGTGCTGGGATTACAGGCATGAGCCACCGTGCCTGGCCACAAATGGCATTATTAAGCAGTTACTTAAAACTAGGAGTTATGAAAAATTTGATGTAATATGAGGAAGTTATTTTAAGTGAATAATGAAGGCACAAATGTAACTGCATCTAAGTAATTTGATATGTGTAGAAAAAGTTATTCTCTCATGTAGGTTAAACTGATTGAACTAAAAACATGTCCTTAGTGCCACTTATGTACTTACCACCACAATTCATGATCTTTCTCACTGTCGTAGTTGAAAGAATCTGCTTGCTTCTTAGAAAATCTGCAATTTGTCCCCCAATAGGCACAATAATTGTCATTACTAAGTGTGGCACAGCAGATAGCATACCAACCTGATGAAAAACAAGAAGGGAGAGAAATAGACATAACCATAAATAATATGGGCAATTTAATGGCCTTTGTTTCTGAATCTGTCATCACATCTTTATGGACAAAGGAAGGAAAAATAATCTTTCCAAATGATCACTTACTCATTCCTAGAAAAAGTAATGCCTTCCACAGAATAAATTAGAAAAGCTAAATTTACTTGGATTCCTTTAGAAGGTAATTTTTTTTTTTTTGCCACGTAATGCATCAGTAAATTTTGAGTATGAATCAACTCTTCTGATATTGTTAAATGTGTTTGCACGAATACACCCTTAGTGAAAGAGAGGAAAAGTGGTGAGAGAGAGAGAGAGGAAAAATACATTTGTCACATCCTGAAGAAGCTGTATTTTAAATTCATGTTTAATTCATATGGGAAAAATGCATATTTGCACTTTAAATATATATATCATGAGTTTTATAGCACAGACATAATTTCTATAGAGTAAGATCCCAGGTAATGCAGATAATTTCTTCAATTTTAAGTATTTTCTGTGTCAAATATCAATACTTGATCACATTTTTGTATGGTGGCATATAGTTTCTGAATTAATTTCATGCTAAATAGCCTAATTTAAAACTTTACGCACCAAGATCAGTTAAACACATATTTTTACCATTACTTACACACAAAGCACTGTGTTGTAAGCATTATGGGGACAGTAAGTATACATAAAATGCATTTGAATTATGTATTACCGCATACGTGGACTTAATAAACTTTGAATGTAAACACATAAGGAAGTTTTTTACTAAGTATACTTTGAAGAACAATTGTTGGCAGATGGCATTCATAATTTGTGTTTAAGTATGTCTTTCCAATTAGATTATCGAAGGTTTGAGACAAAGATTCCATTTTATTTTACACTGGTGTATAGTAAGGTATCACAATCATGGATTTGAGTTGTAATAATTAATTGAGACAGTAAATGACTCCACAGTAGGTTAACTGTTCAGGCTATAGAATGATCTCTTCCATCCCAGATGGATGATTTTAATAGTGTTCTTATTAAATAAAAAAAATTTAGAGTCAGAAGACTTAAGTGATTGTGAGAGCCAAGTTTTGAATCAGTTCTACGTGAGTCGAAAGACTGGGCTCTTAGCCTTTATGCTGAGCACCACTGCCATGAGAAGGAAAAATCAAATAAAATCAGACAATATATATTAATGTGCTTAGTCTAGTACAAAACTTGGTATGTAGCAGGGGCTCAACAGGTACCTAAATAAAGATGTCAGGTAAACTGACATTAAAAAAAAAAATCATTATTGCTTTTGAGACTAGCATCCTGAGAAAAGTACAAGGCTTTTTATTCTTAATATGGAGTAAATATATTTCAAGCAGTCAATGTGTAGAAAGAAACCTTTGAACAACAACAAAAACATTCTGAAAGACACTATGTTAGGATTTGTATAGAATTACATGGCATATTTTTGGCATTTATAAAGGCAGGCTAAAAGTTTGGGAGTAACCACATTGCCTAAGTCCACATAAACGACTTTCATTCTGACCCAGTATTTAATACATCTGAAAAGTTTTTTAATTGAAAATCCTCTGTTATTTACTATCTATTTGAACAATCATTTTGACTACTTTGGATAAGAAAGGAACAAAGCTATGGTTATTTTTTCACACTTTCAGCAAAGGGTGTGCAAAGCACTATGGAAAATGCAAGGTGCTAAAAATCTACAGGGTTAATGAGATAAGTTTTAGACTATTTTAGCATATTGATTTAACATTTAAGGGTATTGACTCTCCTATTTTCTTAATATGTGGATATACTCTGTATTTGACCTCAAAAGAGCCAAAGAGGTTTCAAGTTTTTGAGCTATTCAGTGGTCTTCTTGGCTTTTGGGGACTTATCATGAGTAATCACTTGACACATGATCAAAATGATCAAAACCTTCCTAAAGATCATTCATGTCAATCACATACAAGTGTGCTTATTATTTTAAGGTTTTGCAAGGCTAGGATAAATGTTTTTGAGCTTATAATTGATTTATTCTTCATAGAAACTCCAGGTAATTAGATTTTTGCCTCATCCTTCTTTTAGCTTTTCTGGGTCATAGTCTAGATCGTATGTCTTCCTATCTGATCCACGTCTTGTTCAGAAATAGCAGCAAAGCACAACCAGCCAACACTGTTCTTCTCCTCCCCTAAATAGGAAGCTCAAAAGGAATGGATGTCTATTCTCATTTGGCTTGCCCCTATAATCTGACCTTTGAAAGTGCTGGTTAATCCTAGCACTGACCCGCTGATATGCCATTTTCAAGGGCCTGAATATGTTACATATAAGCATAGGCTGATATAATATATTAAATTATATATATATATGTGTATGTGTGTATATATATATATACTTGTTTTAAAAAATGAAAAAAGTATTTACCTGATATATATTGTATTAGCCTATGCCAATATATAATGATATATATATGTATATCTCAGTTAACTAATACAATTAACATATAGCTAACTGATATAAAATCTATGTTACAATTTTATTTATATATACAGTGCTGTCTGAACTAAGTCAGTATACTTAGAATGAAGGTTAAGCCATTGCACTCATATTTTTTTCTGTAGGATACCCAATTTAACTAAAGTTGCAGAGAATGACCCTCCATGTAAATATTTTACTTACTTCACCTAAATTTGGCTGCACTTCTTAAATAATATCATTATCATTTAATGGTATTAAGTTAATACCATTATTTAGAGATAAGAAAATTGAAGCCGATAATTATTCAAAACGCTGCCCAAGATTATATACCAATACTTTGTTGTAGAACTTAGATTTGAAGCCATGTCAGTCTAGACCCAAAGCAAATTCCCTATGTTCTCCATCATCTCCTATACAATTTTTTCAGCTAAGTCAGAATTTTTTAAACTAATCTAATTAGTATCTGAAGACCAATCTGTGTGTGTGAATTTATCCACAATTTTATTTAAAAATATAACTAATGAATGAAATAAATCAACCCATCTGCTGGTTGATTTATAATTACTTTTTGCAAAATACCATTGCTTTTACTCAAGCATTCTCAATTAATTGGAGCTACAGGACCAAAATGACCACACAGTTTCATTAACATCAGTTGGCTTCCTCACTCTGCCCCCGAGAACTGGCTTTATTAATAGCCTGTCGGTATCATATTTGTCCTAGATTATGAAAATGGACGCACACCTCCAGCAGCCTTTGTTGAGAAGTATAACACCTCTCAGAGTTCCCAAAGGCTACCCTGGAATGTTTGATCAGCTCTAGAGAGAAGAGCTCTGTCTAAAGCAGCCATTCTTCTCGGGGATGGAGGAAACAGTTTCCTTAGAAACAGGAATTACAAAAGAGCTCTTAGAATAGCTACTCCTAAACTGAGGTTTTCTTCAGTCCCAGGTCTCAGATAGTCTTTCAAGTAGAGATAGAATATGAATAGCGAGCCCAGCTGGACTTATGTAATGACATGAAGAGAGATAGCAAGACCATTGCCAGCACAGACAATGTATTCAGGACTTAGCAAAGGGCTTGGCACAGAGATGGCATTGAGCAGATACTCACTAAATACTTGAATGGATATATGATTTACCTGAATTTGAATGGCATAGTAAAGATAATTAAACAGAAATCAAAGAATCTTTGTCTAAACTTGATTTTGTCGTGCATTACTAGCGTGGCTTTAAGCAATTTAAATGCTTTCTCTAGTTTCTGTTTCCCCATCATTTCAATAGAAATGACGATTGTTGTTCAACAGGTCAAACAACAAAGGTTGTTCATGAATATGAGAGTAGTTTCTAAATTTCGAGTTCCTATATAAAGATAGAGTAGTATTTTTGTGTTCATTTTATCCTCATAGAAAATCTCAAAATGATTATATTCCCATAGCTCTGAACAAATGTCTGTGGAAGTTAGCATGCTGTATTCTAATTGGTAACTTACTTTCACGTTTACACCACCAAGCTGTGAGCATTTTGAGGACAGAAACCATGTTTTTATTTCTGCATCTCACATAAAGTTCTGCACATTGTGTTCAACAAATACTTGTTAAATTAATAGATTGGATGGACAAAATATAAGAGTGTTTTCAGATTTTCTTTTTACAATCCTCATATCTTGTAGCTGGACAAGAGTTCTAAGAGCATTGAAGAATAATTAGATTGGAAATTTGTAAGTAGAATTCTATTTGAATGGAATACTTTTTTTGTTTGTTACATTGTCTGTGAGCTGAGACTTAAAGGGAGTTATGTTTATTTACAGGGAAAAGATTACACCGCTGCTCGCTCCAACTGGGCTCTAAGTTCCATGAAGGCAGAAACTAGGTTTGTTTTGCCTGTATTCTCAGTACCAGAGAGCAATTCTAGCAGACAACAGAATACAGTAGACAATGAAACATTTTACTTTGCTTCTATTTCCTAGCAGTTATTTGTTTAATGAATAAATGAATAATCTCTGAAAATTAGAAGATAAAAATTTTTGCAAATGAATTTAGTATTCACTTAAATACACAGGTAATCCACAATTTATATAAGAATACATTTTACATACCTTGCTAATTTCAAATCCAAAGACTTCCTCAAAATATGCTGGCTGACTAATAAGCAATAAATAAAAAGTCCAGCTTCTGCAGAAGTTTGCAACAATTATTGCATAGACTGGCATGGATGTAAAAAACTTCCTCCATGGAGTCTTGAATTTCTGAAATTCCAAAAAGAGAGACATTATGACCATTTTAAATATTTTCAAACCTAAGTGGGAATAATAGGTGCTTTGCATTTTCAGGATGTATATGACAGGTCATAAGTAGGAAGTAGGAAGATGTAGTGAAGCATTAATTATAACCACCCAGTTAACCTTAGCTACGTAAATAATCATTGGAAGAGAAAAAAAATAAGATCTCAATCACTGCAACTTATTAGATTGTTCCAGCTTTAGGAATATGCAGGATTACATAATTATAGAAAATTGATTCCAAAAGCATAGGTCCTAGTTTCTTAAGGTTTTTTTTTCCATTTGTTTTATTTTTTTAATGGTGATAGACCATATCTCAGCAAAAACTCACTGCCACATCAGTGAGCTTGTGATATCCAAAACATTTCATTTAAAACGTTGAAAATCCAATGTATTCATGAAAAGAAAGATACAAAATCTTAAGAGTACAGTATTCTAGACCCTACCTGAAGTCAATTATTCTACTACCAATCAATCTAAGTCAATTATTCTACTATCAATCAATCATAAATTATCTTGATAGCTAGTAGCTATAACTATAAATTCTGTGACACTGGAGTTCAAGGTTCTATAAAACTCAGAACAGCTGGGTGAAAGCATTTGTCTACCCCCAGCGTACCTTTGGCACATAATTAGTTACTTAAAATATTCAAAGCATTCAACATTAACAACCTAAATATGATCAGCTTTGCATATGACCCCTTTAAAAAATTAAACCTAATTGTACTTAAAGTTTCAGTGTATGCCAAAATGTAAGCAAGTACATATTCTCCCCCAAGACTAATATTTTTAGCCATTAAAATATCTCTCATATTCCCTAATTATTTCTCAATTACTTTATTCTGAACACCAAAATACTGCTTGGTGAGGAAACAGTAGCCTAAAATAACTTTGTTAAAAGTTAACTTGGGATCCTTGACCTAACTAAATTACTGAAAGAGGAAGCAAACACCTTTCACGTGGATTTAACAATTATTCCTGAATGGAAAACCTCATAATTGCTAGTATTGGTTGTGGCTGTAATTAAGCCTTTTAAAGATCACTTTAAATGCAACACAGTAGGAAGTTATGATGTGGTGATCATAAATATATGCAAGACAAAAAAAGAAACAAACAAAAACAAAAATCTGTCCTAATACTATGTAATGAATTCTGTGGCTTTGGATAAAAAATTTTAGTGGCAGTGTCATAAATGGGTTCCAAAAGTACAGTTTTTAAAAAGAAATCAATATGTTCTGGGAAAATAATTCCAGATGCGTACACTTATTTCAAAGATAATAAAAATGTCAGAAGACAGAAATGTCTGCATTATAGTATTATGTTAGCATAAGAAATGACTCCAGAATACTATTAAAAGTAAAAGAACTTTTCCCTGTTGGGCAAAGATCCTTTCATTCATACCAGGATCATCTTTCCTAAGAACTTTATTCTTTACATGGTAAAGTACTTCATCAAAAGCAATAGAAAAATATCTCACCTTATACCTTAAAAAATTGTTGGCGGATTAAAGGGAAGATTATGGTATTCTGATAATGTTCTATTTATTGAACTCCCTGTTTATGTTTAGTTTATAAAAATTAAGCAAGCTGATTGTTTACTATTAGTGTTTTTTTCTGTACATATGCTATATTTAAATATATTTTAAAGAAAAACAGATTTAAAAGACTTTGCAATAAGTTGCAATGTGTGATTCTTGATCAAATTCAGATTCAAAACAAACAGCTTAAAATAAATTTGAATATAGGTTAGATATTAGAATATAGATGGTATTAGAAATTTGAATATGATGTAGGAGTTAAATGATGATACAGAATTGTTTTTAATTATGTTAAGTGTGATAGTAGTACTGAGATAGTGAGGGAGAATATCATTTTTCTAGATATGCATATGAAGTATTTATGGATAAAGTATTTTGATGTTTTATTTACTTTGAAATAGTTCATCAAAACAAAAGTGAAATAAATATGACAAGACGATAATTGTTACACCTATGTGATGAGTATATGATATTCCTGTCAGTACTCTTTCTCCTTTGCTGTATATTAAATTCACTCACAATAAAAAAAGTTCAAATTAACTAAAATGCAAGTTCTATTCCCACATAATCTCATTTTAAAATTTACTTTGAAGCTACAGGAACATATGAAACATCAGTAAGAAGTAAAATATTGTCTTTAGAAAAGCAGTGAGGTATAGGAAGTGGGGAGCTGAAGATTATGCTGTTTTTTCATTCTCCTGCTGTTCTTTCTGGGGTCATTTGTAGGAATTAGTTTTTACTTAGGCAGAATTTCTGATTATTTTTAAAATTTATTTCTAATCTAGACATATGACCTCTCAAGAACTGGCAAATAAAAGAACATAATGAATTAATAGGATATAGGCTGATCACATTAATTTGGGGCTAGAAATTGAGGCTAAACTCAGAACTTCTGCTCAAAATAACTGCAGCTAGTGGGCACCAGTGCATACTAGCAATCTTCCACCCACTCCCATATCACCTCTTGCTTCTGAGTAGCCACCGTAAGAAATTATTAGTCTATTTATAGAAGGAAACACAAAGAGGAAAGTTCTAATGCCAAGCTAACTCATGGAACAACTACACAGTAAAGATTTGTTTAAACCATTGAAGTTTAACTTCTGAATTATATATGATATGGGATTTTTCTTATTCATTAAGGGCCAATTTGGCTCAACAATAATGGGTGATAGACTTTTTTTTTTTTTAACCTATGATGAGATGTCAAAGACAGGCATTCTCTTACAAATGAAGTAGAGAATCTGAGCTAGAATCAAACACACCTAGACTAGGGAGCAGGAGGTGTTTGTTTTAAAAGAACAAATGCATAATATGTAAGGGGCATTGTTTCTTCAACTAGTGTATGACACCTTTCAGCTCTTAGCATAAGGAAACTATCATTGATCAGATCGCCTAATGCCTCAATATGTCTAAATACACTAATTTTACTAAACAGTGTTCTCCTTTTTTTTTTTTTTTTTTTTCGAGACGGAGTCTTGTTTGTCGCCCAGGCTGGAGTGCAGTGGAGTGATTTCAGCTCACTGCAACCTCCACCTCCCTGGTTCAAGCAATTCCTCTGTCTTAGCCTTCCGAGTGGCTGGGATTACAGGCTCACACCACCAGGCCCGGGTAATATTTTTGTATTTTTAGTAGAGACGGGGTTTCCCATGTTGGCCAGACTGGTCTCAAACTCCTGACCTCAGGCAATCCACCCGCCTCGGCCTCCCAAAGTGCTGGGATTACAGGCGTGAGCCACCGTGCCCAGCCACGACGCCCAGCCACCTTTTTAAAATATAACATCAGGTGGCTTTTGTATTAATTACTATGTACAATGTATCAGTGTTATGTGGAATAAAACATTTGCATTATTGAAATAGAACTATGTTTTCTCTCTTTTTTAGGTAAATCAGAAGAAATCAAATCATCAGAAAAAAGGGCTTCACAACATTGTCTTTATAATGCTTGATATTCATAGTAATAATCCTGAAAGATAATGATATTTTATCAATAAAATAATTAAATTATGTTATAATTCTTTTATATCAGCTGTCTATTATTGGCATTCTAATGCTTCAGTATCTCCTAAACTACATATGACATAAATACACATGTATTAAACTTACATTTAGAATATAGTAGTCCTCCCTTAACCGCGGTTTCACTTTCTGAGGTTTCAGTTACTAGTTGTACAGTACAATAAGATATTTTACAGGGTGGGGGGGGCACATTCACTTAAGTTTCCTTACAGTATATTGTTATAATTCTATTTTAGCATTAGTCACTGTGGTCAATCACTTACTATACCCAATTTATACATTAAATTTTATCATAGGTATGTATGTATAGGAAAAACATTATATGTAGGGTTCGGTAGCAACCCGGGGGGTCTTGGAATAGATCTGTTCAGGATGCGGGGGGACTACTGTATTCAACAAACCAAAAATTGCCATTTTCATGGCTGATTTGGATTTTTTTAACGTAAAATGAACAACTATTTATTGTATTTGTTTAAATATAGACCATATTGAACTGTTTAAAAATATTGTTTAGGTTTGCAGTCATAGTTATCACCCAGTGTACATTTTTAAATGCTTAAGAAAGGATAAAGGAAAAAAATAAATGACAGATGGAGGAAATAGCTATTATTCCTAAGTCAGAGAATATGGATGGACCAAAATAAAAGAAGTTATGATTGATACCAAATTAGTTTTGCTGAGGAAGAACTTGTAAGATAGTTTGGTTGGTCAATGGGGGCGAGATGGGAATAAGATAGGAATATACACCATAATAAATTTCTTACTTCCATTGCACCTAAAAGATTTGCACTCTCTCCAATGCTTTCTTCTATGTACCTACGTTCTTCATCTGTAATAGTAGGATGCTTTGCAGGACTTTCATAAGACACCAAAAGCCAAAACATGTACCAGACCATTCCAAAGCTTCCTGCAAGCAACAGTTCAGAAGGAGAAAGTCACTTCCATTTAACAGTGATGTGCTGCAATAAAACTGCAATCATCTCAAGACAAACATATTCTATTAGAAAGAAGAATTCAAGCTTATGTTTCTCCAACTGACGTTAGCCATCTTTTCTTCTCTTTTGCCATTAAGCTTCAAACTTCTTAAAGGCCAGTCCTGTGGTTTTATCTCCTTGTCTCTATGAAATAGCACTGATATACAATAAGCCATAAATAATTATTAGAATGGTGTAGTTTGGAAGGTATTCATTCATCCGACAATACTTAGCAGTTAGCATTCTAGGCACTCTGGTTAAGTGAGAGAAATATAATGAAGAAAACAAAATTCCTGTCCTCAAAGAATTATTCTGGGGGCAAATTCTTTTCTTTATTGCCTGCCTAGAATATATAAAAGTGGTTGCATTTCCAGAGAAAAGAATTGCTCTTTTCCCTCTCCTGTTAGCACTTCCAGATCTGGCAAACAGACAATTAAATAAAACCTAGAATATTTTAGCATGAGTGGCTACATTACATAAAAAGTGGGCCTCTGTACTTCATGTGGTAACAACACTTTACGTGACTGTATACCATATTATTTTCAGCACATAGTATTGCCTATTGATCCTTCTTTGGGCAGACAAAAGTTATAAATTCCAAGGCCCTAAGCTGTAAATCCTTTTTCATCCTCTTCTTTATTTAATACTCTTACCATTAAAACATGTCCTTTTTGTGCGATATAAATCTGTAAGCATTAATAATAGCAAGAATCTCAAGTGATTTATTCTAATTTCCCAGCAGTTGGCCATTTCATTTTTCCCTCACACTGTTCTGTTTGTCCCTTGGGTAACAATCTAAATGCTCCTGATCCCTACAACACTTTTTCTTTGGCCTGTTCAATCTCCAAGAAGGGTTTCCTAACACCATACATAGCTTCTGATGAGCTGTGTTCCTTTTAACTACTGAACATTGCAGTAAACATGATTTAGGTTCAGATAGTGCTTAAAAATTCAGAATAATATAGTGTTTACAGAATATAACTCCCAGATTCAAATCCTGACTGTCATTTATTCGCTATATGATCCAATCAGTAACTGAATCTCTCTAAATCTCCACTATAAAATGAGATAATAATTCATTTTTATGGGAATATAGAAAAGTTAAAGGAGGTAATATATAAATCAACAAGTAGAGTGGATGGCACAAAATAAGCTTTCAAAAAATGAGAGATATTGTAATTTTATAATAATTATCATTACCACTAACAGAATTCACCTAAAGTGCCAGATACGCTGCTAATTACTTTATATGTATTATCTTTTTTAACTTACCCCACTATACTGATCTTATCTCTTTAATCTTTAAAATGCGAAAACTGAATGTGTGACTCCAGACCAAATTATTGTTACACACAGCAAGTAAGAAAGTACTATGATATGGTATTTTCAGATTATCTGTTTACTTTTTGTATCATTCAATGATAAATATCAAATGAGATATAACTTGAAATAATGATATTGGTTGTTTATGAGTGCCTTGTTTAAATTTGTATTCTTACTTTAAGGTCACATATCTTCACTTAAGTAATGGACAAAGACACAAAACATAGTATTTAATTGGATAGCCATACCAACTTGTACAATACATCCTATAAAACAAGTGCTTTTAAACTTTGTTGAATTATGCACTCCTTTGAAAATGTAATGAAGAGTATAAATTAAAATCTGATTTTTAAAAAATCTCCCTAAGAAAAAAAAAATGTTCACGAATACCTATATGACTTGCAATTTAGGGCATTCATGGATCCAAAAACCCATCCATGGCTTTTGAACCACAAAAAGAGTCCCTATGATAAGTGACATTTAATAACCTTCTACAAGCATAATAATTTGTTCTGATGAGAACATTTCAAAATGGGAATGAATTAGGGCAAATTTAGAAGCAGCCAGATACTGTTCTACCACATGACTTCATTAATATTTCAGATTCTCATGGCAATGTCCAAAGATGATATTAATCAGTGACAATATCAGTTGGGATCCAGCTTTCCTTTATTTTTCCTTTCCTCATCATTAAAAAGTGCCTCTTAGAAAGAAAGACTGTAGGGATATTTTGAAATAGTTACAAAGTGAATATCAAGACTGTTTTAGACTTAGGATTACATATTTTATTTCAATGTGGAGGCTTAATTGCCTTTAATTCTGGAGGACTGAGATATGCTGCTACAGCAGCTAACTGCTGATATTTCATTACGGAATTGAATAGTCACTTTAGCACCACCACCCCCTTTCAGCTTTCCACCCCCCCTTTCAGCTTTCCACCCCCATTCAATCTTGAAGAGGCAGAATTAGGAAAATGACCAAAAGGCAATAGCAAAGGGAGGTGACTGCTGCCTAACTCTTTCCTCTTCATCAGCTTTTAATCAAGAGCTAATTTAATATTTTTTCATAATGAAGGACATAGATTTACTAAATGACAAAGTTCCTGTCAGCAATGTGGTTGCTTTTTAAAACAAGAAATAGCAATCTAAGAAAAATAACAGAGATGAAATATTTTCCTAATCCTCTCAGAATACAATGGAAGGATTCTTAAGAGAAGAAAATAAGTAAGTAAACATAGAAATGTATTTAGTGATTGATCTCATTGTCTGCAACCATTTTCTTTTAGCCTATGCACATTTCCTTTAACTCTATTGCATAGAAATATAACATACCGTAGACATAAAACACTGAAGACCAGCCAGTGTACTGCACAAGAATGCCAGCTAAAGGCATTGCAATCACAGCTCCGGCATAGGAACCTAAAGTGTAAGGAAGAATGGGAGAAAGGTGAGTGAAATCAGTAGAAATTATTGATATCATCTCACATTCCTTTGTTGATTCACACAGACGCTGGAACACTCAGGTACATGGGCCTCACACCCATGCACATACCCTCCATCACCAAACACATATATGTCTACATACGTACACAGGAACACGGGATTACACAAGTGGATAACACCTACCTCCTACCCAAGACACAACAGAGATTTAAAAATAATAATGGAGACATGCTGACTGGCATGCTGATTGGCATGTGTCCTGCATGTCTGTGTGCTGGACTTGGGACAGAGTATGGCAATACTAACCAGACACCTAAAATCTATTCTTGCGACCTCAAGCATGTATCTCCTTGTAGCAAATTCGTGCAGTTTCATGTTTGTGTAGCTTTTACTGACTTCATTTTAATTGTTTTTCTCTGCCAGCGGTCTCTTTGTTAGTATCCATGATTGAAGGCATATTGCTTCAGTTCTCAAAGCATGGCCAGAAGATGTCATCAAGGTAAGTTATCACGTTTTTCCCCTATGGCAAATTTGTTTTCTTTGCTGTCCCATAAAATAGTTTAAAACATACTGACAATTCTCATGATAATAGGTAGCATTCATTAGCTTTTCTAGTGAATATCACCTAATTTATATCTCTTTGAATTTTACATAGTGGGTTATTAAAGGCAATTGTAAAAAAAAAAAGGTCTTAGACATATAGACAGAAATGGCAATATTTATGCCCTGTGATTTAGACTCAAATGCATGTAAATTCAAATGCTACAGGCAATAATACTGTTAACCTTATGGCTTAAGTATACAGCAAAATCACAGCAGCCTTAATTTCCTATTACTAGCATTATTTACAGCAGTTCTAATATCTGATTTGGAAAGGGAATTGCTCTCTTGCCTTACTGCTCTGGTAGAAAGAGTAAAACGTGCATTCTGAAGGCACAAAATGACCTTAAATTAAACTGATTGTCTTAAAATGTTTTAAAAGTTAGCAACAAACAAAAAGTAGCTTCAGATTAGCAGAAAGAGCTCTACACTTCAAAAGCTGGGATTGAAGCTTTAATACATGTTCATTAATTCTATTTCCCAAAATAGTAGTAAGGTCAGTTTTGATCCCAAAAATAAAAGTTCCAATGAATGGGAAATTATAGCAACAGTGCTTAGGAGAATACTTAAAGATCACATTAATTTAATTAATTTAAATTATAATAGTTATTTTCTATAGGCATTTTATTCACTATAATTCAAACATATAGCTGTATTAAATATAAATTCTGAGAAACTGTTAGATTTTAACCCCAGGCAGAGTTCAAAGTAAATTTAATATTTATTTGTAAAAATAAATACATAGTCTAATTATGTTTTTATCTCTGTAAATGTGTTTAAAATTTGTATTTTTATATCTTTGTGTCTAGGTATAATAAAAAGAAAATACTGAGGTTCTCAAAAAAATGGACTGCAGTATAAGAGTATTATAAAAACCACCCATGAATATATTTGAAATCCTAGATGAAATGGATCAATTCCTAGAAAAATACAAACACAAGAATAAATAGAAGATTTAAGCAAAACAATAAAACTAAAGAAATGGAAATGGTGGTCAAAAACCTTACCACTCACAGATGTTCATACAAAACCCAGATGGTTTTACAGGTGAGTTTACCAAATTTTCAATTCTTATTCAAGTTGTTCCTAAACTTTTAGCCACCATAGCTGCATCTGCACACAGTACTCACCACAAAAGGAGGTGGTTGCCAGTCTACTCCTCTCTAGAGGTGGGGCCCATTTGCTCCATATCCCATGACATGCTGGGTAGGTCACACCCTGTGATGGGGGAAGATACTCATCACTGTCACCATTTAGGATCAAGAGTCTTTTTAGTATCCTGTACAAATCCTCCCTGCCCTTCAGACTTCCTTCCACCTCAATTTTCTTTTTTTCTGATTAAGGTAAAAGAAAAGACTGTATATTAATCAATTTATCTGCAATTCTGAACAGTTTGAAAAAATTTGGGAGATCATTTTGTAGGGCATTAAATTCAGTAAATTCCAAATATAAATATCTATACAGAGAAAAGTGAAGTTTAGATCCTTGGAGCTCACACTTCCTGAAAGCAGTGTCTAAAATTTAAGACCTTTAAAATTATTAGTCTTTTTCTGTTATTTTGAACCTATCTTTTTTTTGGGGGGGGGGGAAGGAGAGCGGGTTTTTTGGTTTCGTTTTTTATTATTATTATTTTTTTAAGTTCTGGGGTACATGTGCAGGATATGCAGGTTTGTCACATAGGTAAATGTGTGCCATGGTGGTTTACTGGACCTATCAACCCATCACCTACGTATTAAGCCCAGCATTCATTAGCTCTTTTCCCTAATGCTCTCCCTACACTGCCCTTCCCCAATAGGCTGCAGTGTGTGTCGTTCCCCTCCCTGTGTCCATGTGTTCTCATTGTTCAGCTCCCATTTATAAGTGACAACATGCAGTGTTTGGTTTTCTGTTCCTACATTAGTTTGTTGAGGATAATGGCTTCCAGCTCCATCTGTGTCTCTGTAAAGGACATGATCTCATTCCTTTTTATGACTGCATAGTATGAGAAAGGGTTTTTTTTTTTTTAGTGCCTTAATATTTTACATTATTTATCTATTTCCATTATACTCCATGGAAAGAGAAGGGGAAATTGGTAAGCCGAACTCGAGTTTTTAAGTGGAATTCTTTCAAAGTCTGCAGGCTGATGGAGCAAGAGTTGATCATTAGAATTGAATGCCTCAAAAATGCATTCGATGAAATATTTCAGTGAAAACTCATATCGTGATTCAAGGCCATCAGGAACTTACTTAGTATAAAACTCCCAAGATACTAATTCATGGTTATCACCAGCAAAGGACAAACTCTAAAATTCTTGTCATGACACATTAACAAAAGTCCCTGTTTTTTTTTAAGTCAAATAGGCATTAAAATATTTCTTTAATCCCACTCAATTCTAGAGAGAAGGAGATAAGCAGTGATATTCATGGTTTCATATCATTTATGGACAAAATATCTGACTGTCTAACATTTCCAGTGTTTCATTTTTTATTTTAACTCTATTTAGATGCAACCTAATACAATATATTTATTTACAGATAAAGACAAAGATAAACTGGTGGTTCTCAACCAAATGCCAATCTTAAAAAGGCTTCACCCTGAAGTTACATACCTCAACAAGTCCCTGCAGTATTCTGACAAAGATGACACATCCATAATGCACTCTGGCTGCTGATGGAATTAGCATATTTAGGGTAGAGGTAAGAAGTATGGCAGCTCCGAAAACCCTGAAATAGAAAAGATGAGAACACTGTTTAAATGATTCAGCATCTTATATATACATATCTAAATTTCTCAGGAGAAGTGAAACATTTAAAGTAATAAAAAAATCGCCAATAATTTTAAGGTAGATTGTTTTTTCTAATATATGTTCTGGACTTAACAGGCTAGCCATTGTGAATATATACATGGGCCATCTAGAAATTCTATATTTGATGCTTCAAAAAATAAAAGGAGTCAATACATTTGGTTATACTATTATTTTCTTTATAGACTTAATTACAAATTATAAATATTTAATAAATCAATATATGTTTTGGACTCTATTTCATTCTACAATGTAAACTGCTTAAGGGTAAGAGCTTGTTTTTCACATCCATTGTATCCTTGACACTTAGCACAGTGCCTGACACACAGTTGGTAATAACTGAAGAGTTACTGGAAATAATGAATGCATAAATAAAGTTATTCCTCACATTATGCAACTACTTGTAGCTTTCCTAGAAGCTGCACATACAGAGAAATTTTATAAATGAACTCGTATTTTAAATGAACCAAGAAGTCTCTTGATTAAATCCCTTAGCACATGTTCTCGAAATAATGCAAATAATTATACTTAGTATATCTCTCTCAGGTTTCTCATTTTTTTCTTCTGTTTGAGACACATCTCGAGCAGCCTACATACAACCATTCAAGAAAAAAATGCCAGAAACGTAATGCTAAAGCTTTTATCCATCTACAAGTAAAAATTCCATTCCTTCGTTAAAAAAAGAAAAAAAAATCTTCTGGTCGGGTGCAGTGGCTCACTCCTGTAAACCCCAGCACTTCTTCGGGAGGCCGAGGCGAGCGGATCACAAGGTCAGGATCTCAAAACCAGTCTGGCCAACATAGTGAAACCCCATCTCTACTACACAAAATACAAATAATTAGCTGGTTGTGGTGGTGTGCGCCTGTAATCCCAGCTACTCAGGAGGCTGAGGCAGGAGAATTGCGTGAACCCAGGAGGCAGAGGTTGCAGTGAACCAAGATCGCACCATTGCATCCTGGGCGGGCAACAGTGTGAGATTCTGTCTCAAAAAACAAACAAACAAACAAACAAACAAACACTTCTATAATGTTTATACCAAGTAAGAAAAGTATTCCTTTAGCTCGGTTACTTTATAACTATTCCCTTGCAAAGATGTTTTGGGACGTGCTAACTCCAATGAGCTAATCTATATATTTTAGGCAAATTTTATCAAGCCAAACACGAGCCTTAAATTCAGTCAATGTTGGTTGCCTCATAGAAGCTCTAATCTTTCTTGTGGGCACTTTTAAATGTTACTGTTAAAGACCTGGATTTCTGAAAAGGACCCTCTATGATTATTATTAATCAGCTACAGAAAGGTGAGAAATGACATCCCAAACAGCAGTGAATTAAAACTTTTTCTATTGATTATATACTAGCCAAATAATTTTGTGTAAAAATATATGTAGCCTGTACCCGCCTTCCCTTAGTGGCTTCTCTCCACTGAGATAAATGATCACTCATGAAGTGAATATTCTGCTCCATTCTTCCTCTGTGCTGTTTGCCCAAAATAGATGTCCTTTTGTTTTAAGCCAAAGATAATTTTGCATGCTAAGGTTTGAGGACAAACTTTTATCCAGGTTTAGCTAATATGTGTGTCTTATTTTATTATAATTGTTTTAGAGGTACGATGAATAAATTTTATTTTCTGTGAATGTAACATTCTATCATCACTGTCTCTCCCTTTTTGAAGGGTTTGTAAATACGATTGTCTCGTGATAAGCTGGTGAGAGATGAATATTACCCATTCTTTAGCTTAGTTTCTTAACCTCTTCATGATTGAAATTTGGGCGTAGATAACCGTTTGTTGTGGAGTGCTGTCCTGTGTACTGTATGACAATTAGCACCATCTCTGGCATTTATTCACTAGATGCCAGTAGCACACACCCCTCCTCTAAGTTATGGCAACCAAAAATGTCTTCAGTAATTGTCAAATGTTCCCTGCAAGAAAAATCACCCCCTTAGTAAAGCTGAATCAAGTATGAATTATTTGTTGAATGTACACTATAGTCAGAGCTAAATTTAATGAGTGCTTATTCGACTTGCTAGATACCATATTAACGCTTCACATGCCATAAACTCCACAAGCACCTAACAACCCAGAGACATGGGTATTATTCATTATACCATATATCCATTAAAACATATACCAATGTTATAGATGGAGAAACTAAACCTAAGATAAGTAAAATCACTAGTTCAGGTGCTTAACCAGTTTTAAGTAGAGGAAACCTGTTTCAGATATAGTTCTGTTTTATTTAAAACCCAATGAGTTTTGCCACTAGGATTTATACCTGATTATGCATATACTAGGTAGTTAGTAATATACTTCAGCATTCAAACTGTAAATTTAAATGATAATCTTCACAAAGCCACTTGATATCACACTATTATTTCTGAAATAAAATGCCAAAAGATTACTTTTAATGTTTACTTTTCATTCTTACTCTGAATAATGTTTCTAATTATACAATATCATGGCATAATTGAAGTGGTTTTAATTTTAAGTTCCTTAATTTCTACATGGTCTTACTCTGTCACCCAGGCTGGAGTGCAGTGGCACTATCTTTGCTCACTGTAACTTCTGCCTCCTGGGTTCAAGCAATTCTTATGCCTCAGCCTCCTGAGTAGCTTGGAGTACAGGCCCACGCCAACATGCCTGGCTAATTTTTTGTATTTTTAGTATACACTGGGTT
This sequence comes from Homo sapiens, assembly GCF_000001405.40. Classification (NCBI taxonomy): domain Eukaryota; kingdom Metazoa; phylum Chordata; class Mammalia; order Primates; family Hominidae; genus Homo; species Homo sapiens. The sequence goes on along the minus strand of NC_000011.10, from coordinate 22,356,657 downwards.
TTGCCAGGTTGACAAGGCTGGTCTTGAACTCCTGACCTCAAGTGATCCACCCTCTTCAGCTTTCAAAAGTGCTGAGATTAGAGGTGTGAGCCACCATGCCTGGTCTCTTAATTTCTTTATCTATCCTTTTTTTCATTATTAGTGGGCGCTTCATCTCAAAATCCATTGAATTCCCTGTAACTAGTTAAGAATCCATCAAACTTTACAAATCTCATCTTCTTATTTAATTTTATATAATTGTTATCCTAATTAATATCTAAGTAATTAAAATTCTGATTATCAAAATTCTTGCCCTAAATGGAAAGCCTTTACACCTTGTCTTGCCACACAGCCAAAATTGAAGCAGCCTCCCCATTCAATATTCATTCATGCATTTACACTTCAAACATCTGTGAGACTATATTCACAGGAGAGTATTGTGTGGAAGAGAAGGTAAGAGTTACAGGTCATTTACTGTAATTTCTCCATTTGTATTGACTCATTTAATTCTCACAACAACTCTCTGAGTTGTTACACTTTCCTCTCATTTTATAAATAAGGAAATTGAAACAAAGTGTGGCCAAGAAAAAAAGCAAGTAGTAAAGCTCAGATTTAAATCCAGGGCTCTCTGACATGAAAATCTGTGCTCTTTCAGTCACATGATGTCAGCAGGCACTTAGAAAAAGAAGAGGATGGACCTCAGTGTAGTAGGAGAGGGAGAGACCAGTAGTCCAGAGACAATGTGTGCCAAAGGCCACAACAGAAGTACAGATAGAAAACAACAGAGGAAAACATTCATCTCAGCTGAATTGACCAAGTCACAAACCTTTGGTAGGGAAACTTTCAAAGATTAATATAAAAAAGAAGAAAGACTTTCCAAAAACAAGGAATGGCTCAGCAAAGCTTCACAAATGGAAGAGGTTACCTTCTGTACCAGAAACTAAGGAAGTATTGAAAATGGCTGAACATAGTGGCTCAGGTTCTTAGGAGAAGGAAGAACATCTAGAGTGGGATGCTGGATGAGGAGGCTTTGAGGAAGTGTTAGATAGTCCAAGAAGGTGAAGGGTGAAATCCATCAGTCTGTGACATCTTGGAGATTATTGAGTTTGGGGTGACTTCAGAGGGTGACAATTATACCCCTAAAGTGAGGTAAGTGTGAAGCTTAGTGGGATTGAGGAGAGAGGGGTCTAAAAGCCAGGAAGCAGGAGGTGGTTAACAACCACCTAAGTTCAGCCAGGATGATGGCTTGCAGAGGAGCAAGGGGTCAAAGTCACTAATGGTAGAAGAGGGTGGGGGGAAAGGCTGATATAATGCTACAGTAATTTTTGTAGGACCCCAGCTTTGTCACTTAATAATTATGTAACTAGTACGTTGTTTAACTTCCCTAAACTTCTGCTTCCTTGTCTTTAAAAACGACATCACTAGGTAATGGTTCAGAGCATGGATTCCTGAGCCAGACTGCCTGGGTTCACAGTTCATCTGACACTTATTACTGAGTGACCTTGAGCACCTTATGTAACTTTCTGTTCCTCATTTCTCATCTAAACAATGGGAATATTAACAGAACCTATGAGTTATTTGAAGTAAAACAACCAGAAGAATGGCTGGCACACTCTAAGCATTTAAAGAATGTTGGAACTTGCATGATAATAATACTAATGTGTTGTATCTCTTAGGATTACTGTTAGGCTAAATAGAATGGTGTACCTAAAGGACTTAGTCTGATGCTTGACATATGACAATAAATTCATAACTATGAGCCAGTCAGGTAGAGACAGTAGTTGTCAATTGTTATTGAATTGTTAGTGTGGATATCACTTCTAGATTCTCATTTTTACTGAACAACAATATTAGAAAGCTCTTACTGCCATCTTTACTTCACAGACGGTGTAACCATGTCCGAGTGAGTAAAAATAACTTGCCAACATCATATAGATAGTAAGTAGAGAACTATGGTTTACATTACTTATCTGTTGTAGATCCTGGATATCTAACCACTAAGATCTACTTACTGTAATAGCCGCAGAATGAGTACTGGCATTAACAATGCCAACAGCAATATATAAAATAACATAAACTTTGAAAGATGAAAATTTTATTGAAAGATGGATGGTAGTAGCAGTGGGAAGTGAAAGCAGAATTCTACCCCATCTCTCTTATGTTTTGAAGTAAGTAGTTAAATGGAGAGGGTCATTTATGAAAGTTTTGTATTTTCTTAAACGAAGTATAAGTTTCAAAAAGAAATGAAAGAAGTAGTGGAACTGAATATGAAAAAGAATTTTAAGAGTATAAAATTGCCGGGCGCGGTGGCTCACGCCTGTAATCCCAGCATTTTTGGGGGCCGAGGTGGGTGGATCGCCTGAGGTCAGGAGTTCAAGACCAGCCCGACCAACATGGTGAAATCCCGTCTGTACTAAAAACACAAAAATTAGCTGCGTGTGGCGGTGGGCACCTGTAATCTCAGCTACTCAGGAGGCTGAGGCAGGAGAATCACTTGAACCCGGGAGGCAGAGGTTGTGGTGAGCTGAGATCGTGCCACTGCACTCCAGCCTGGGCAACAAGAGCAAAACTCTGTCTCAAAAAAAAAAGAAGAAAAAAAATATAAATTGTTTAGCACAGTAGTTTCTAGACTTTCACATGCATGATATAAACCTAGGCCTTGTTAAAATACAGATTGCTAGGTGTTAGAGTTTCTGAGTCAGTAGATGTGTTTGGGGCCTGAGAATTTGCATTTCTAACCAGTTCCCAGGTTATTCTAGTATTTCTTGTTCTGCTTTGGGAATCATTGGTTTAGCAGTACCATGCCAGATATTCCCCCAGGACATCACAAAAGGGGCAGATATGGGGTGAAGACCCAGACCTAGAAAAAACAAAGCTAGACAAAGTTGGACATAGTGGAAACAAAGGGCTTACATTTTGTTATAGAGGGTAGAGGCAAGGGTAGAATAGAAACATTGCTAAAATGGAAGATGTCCTTTAAAAAACACAAATGGATATTAGATTGTTAGATCAAAAATGAAAATGAAGTTCTCTGTTCTGCTTTTGACCATTCTTATTGACCAAATTGACTGAGCAGCTGCCATATTTTTCTTGGGGACATTTAAATAGCATGATACAGTATTAGTTAAAAAGACAAGTTTCTTTTTTTATTACCCTGTGAAAATCCAAATTCCAACTCCAATTTCTTGCTAAGTAAGACTTTGAGCAAGTTGTCATTACTTAAATTCTTTTAGCCTCATTTCTCAGTCTGTTCCTTGTAGGCATTTAAATAGTATGATATAGTATTAGTTAAGAATGAGAGGTTTTGTTTTGTTTTGTTTTGTTTTGTTTTGGTTACACTGTGAAAATCCAAATTAAAATTCTAATTTCTTGCTAAGTATGACTTTGGGCAAGTTGTCATAACTTAAATTCTCTTAGCCTCATTTCTTGGTCTGTATAATGGAAATGTTTCCATACTTCAAAAAAGTATCATGAAGACTAAATAAATCAATTATGAAAGGGGACACTGTATGGTCCATAATAAATGGCTTGTCAAGGTTAGCCATTATTATACAGAAATTTCCTAATCTTTAATAGACTTTTCAAAGAATGATTATTTCGCATCTTTTTCTCCAGAATGATTTTGCACTGATTAAATAGTGTTAATTCTGTGCCCGTGAACACATGGTTGTTCCATATCAGGCTGAAATTCTAGCAGCTTTCATTAAGTGCAGAAGACATGTAATGGGAATTTTATCTTCCATTCTGAATTCATACAGAATTGATTGAAATGCATCAGCCTCTTAGTCTGTGCCTCAATAGTCCATCTAAAGTATCTCATGGGAAATGACCAGAAAAGAAAATTCACAGTCTTTTTTAAATCAATAACTGTCTCAGTGTCCTTCCACTTTATCCTTCAATACTCACTCATGCCCCCACCCTCAAAAACACACCTCTTTTTCAACTAGTCTCCTCTCAGATATTGCTAAACTACTGTAGATCACCTTTGTAAGACTTAACTCATGAGGTTGTACATTCCCCAAGCCGTCCCATTATTTTTTCTCTTGGAGAATTGGGTCCAGGTCTCCACTTCTTTAAACTCCATGGTGCTAGCACAATGCTTTTCATATGGCATGTTCTCAGGAATGAGCATCCAATTCTTTTTGTGCAAAGACTCTCAACTGAGGGTAATTATAACTTCCTCTTCTGAGGTATATGTAGGTGATAACAGATCTTTCTTCTATGAATATTTATTTCAAGCAGTTTATCATTTATTTCTTCTCTAGCTTTTAATAGGGACAGACTGCTGTTCTGGGTATCCTATCAATTCTAGGAAGCTGAGTTATTTTCATAGAATAACTGTAGGTTGACAGCTATGGGCTATAATTTAGAGTACTCCTGTAGATAAATCCTCACTTGAGATAGTTGCTGAGTTCAAGTACATGACCCAGTGTGGCCTCAGTCTTGCATCTTGCAAAGAACACTGGAATCCCCTGAAACTAGCAGCCATCACATTGCCTGTTACTGCCTGTTCATCACTAGATCCTCATCAGCCTCTGAAACCACTGTCTCTGAAGCTCTGCTTTCAAAATTAAATTAGGAAATAATGCTTCAGAGGCGATAAGGTGTCCTCTTAAAGAACCTCACCATTCATTAATACTTAATATAGTTATATATATTATATTATGCTTGTTTCATCATTTTTGTTTGGTCTGATGCTAGAAGACAGAAGCATTAAATATATTTTCTGTATATTAGCAGACAGAAGGAAATAGATTATATAACAAGAAACATTTAATGTTCATGTGAGTTTTATTATCCCTAGGATTACTCTTAACTTTGACACTTATAATTGGGTTTCACAGCACTACTGCCCTGAAAATGATGTTCATCATTAAAACGTTTTAAAGTTATTCTCTGATCAAAAACTTGTCTAACAATGAAAACCTCCCAAGTAAATCATTTCTCAAAATTGTTCCACAGGCTAGTTCTTTCCTATTTACCTAGCCCAGCACTAAATAATATAGTGATTTTTTTAAGAAGCTGTAAAATACAATGTTTTTAAAGAAAACACACAGTAAAAATATTTAATAAGAGAAATGTGTTTAGTAAAGAATGATATAATTTGAAATCAGACATCCTGGGGTCCATAACCCAGCTCTGCCTCATACCATCTAGTGTATCGGGGAAAACGATTCTGTATTCAGTTTTCTCAAGAGTAAAAGAAGTATCAGTATGCCTGCCTTCATGGTCATAAACATAGAAATTATAGGCACTGGGGACTCCAAAAGAGAAGAGTGTGAGAGTGCTTGGGGTGGTGGTGAGGGTGGAAAAATTATCTCTTAGATATAATTATCTATTTAGGTGATGGGTACCCTAGAAGCCTAAACCTCACTATTACACAATCTATCCACATGACAAGCCTGTACATGTATCCCTTGAATCTGAAATATAATAAAAGAAAGAATGTCTGCCTTATAGAGTCATGTGCGGGATAAAGATAATGTACATTACGAATTTTGTGATATATATACTTATTATTTGATTCAATTCTAATTTCACCTGCCTCCCGAAATGTAAAACAAAGGCAATTATGAAGATGATTTTATAATATAATTTATATATTCTCTTTCCACTCTAGAAAAAGCATTTTCTAGAAATAAATACATTTTGTAAAATTAAATATTTATTTTTTGATTTTTTAAATTGTAAAAGTAAGTTTTATATAATATCAGGCAGTATATTTTTATCACTATATATGAAAACAAACTATCAATGAAATACTCTAGCAAATTACACAATTTTTAACAGTAAACTCAGTAAAACATGGCTTTCTCAGAAGAAATAAAGAAGTCACATATATATATAGCTGAAATTGAAGTTCTAAATAGTAAGATGAATCTCAAGCAGTCTGGTATTTCATTTCACTTAAGATCTTTCTCCTTATAATTGGCACCTAAGGTGTTAGATTTAAAACCCACTTCTGGTGTGAATATAAGTCAGAGATAGGCTGTCAGTAATTGGGCTGGGGAAAAAAAGGAAAGAAATGTGCAAACTAATGTGTAAAATAACAATTTTATTATTTCTTAAGAAAAGACATAGAAATTGATGGGTGTTCTTAATTTTTCAAAGGACAGTATTACAGTCGCTGTGAAATAAAATAAGGGCCATTTGCTTATTAAAGATGTTTTCAAAATAATAAACCATTTGAAAACCACTTAAAATTGTTGGGTTTTTTTTTGTGATTTCCTCTGCAGCAAATAACATTCTCAAATAAATTTGCTGATTATTATCAGGTTAAAGCCTGATTTCTGCTTTTCTTCTACTTGTCACACACACATACACTTTCCCTTCTTTTACAGTATGAAATAATCATATGTCATTATTTTATGCACATTGATGTTCTTAAATGGCAGGAAGCTCTATACCACTATAGAGATTGCCAAAATCAAGAGGTGTAATAGTAATCATGACACAGAAATGTTTGGAAAGGCAAATGCAGCTGCTGAAAACCTGTATCACAAACTGCCTGATGATTAGCATTCAATATGGCCCATAATGAGTTCGCTTTGAAATTCCTAATCATATTTTCTATGACCCACAGCCACAAACACCCTCAAGTATCAAGCCCACCCCAAAATGATTTGCCCAGAAAAGGTGAAAGGAGCACTGGTGACTTGTCACTTCTACAGATGATGTTCATTTTCCCTAAATCAATCAATCCACTTCCATTTGGGCAGTGGATTGTCACTTAACAGGAGACTAGTGTTCCTCACCTCAGGTGTGGAACTAATTCTTTCCTGGAGGGTCTGCAGCAGACTGACTCAGGCTGTTTAATCTATTTAATCTAATCAAATCAGGGCTTGGATGCCTCCCTTTGTCACATCTGATGCCCCCACTCCCATATTAAACAGGGAATACACAGGCATGAGCCAACCCTCTGAGTCCCTTGATACATCATTAAGTTGTAAAAATGACTTCATCACTCATGACAGAGAGATGAGACAGTCCCAGTGGTAGCATATGGCAGTAGGAGCATCACTCTACCAGCTGCCCACATGACTCTCTCCTTCCTCAAATCATGTCTCTCCCCTCCAGAAGCTGCCTCTGCACTGCAGTAGCAGAATGCTGCAGCAGCGGGAAAAGCCAGAGCTAGTAAGGGGTAAGGGATTGGAGAATGAAAAGAGAGCTAGAGAAACTCTTATCGGCAAAGTACATGCAAGCCCTTGGAGACCCCTCCCTCCTCAATCCATCTATTCATCTTATGGTAAAGGGTATTTTCTTTTGTCAGAAAAATGCAGGCTTCTCCTGACTTACCCCAGATACCTAACCTATGGGGCCCACAATAGGAAGGCAGCTAGATGTTTGATTGGCAGCTAGATGCACGAGATAGAAAAAGTCACCTCTGGCCTTAAAAGACTGGGTGCTTATAAAGCATTTCCACTGGAACAGGATGGTGGTCCCTTTCAGCAGGATTTATGTTCATAGTCTGAATTATTTTCTCACACATAAGGAATTCACAAATATTTCTCACTGGAAGGATTGAGGAACTCCTTCTTGCAATGGAGGTTGCAATGGATAGGTAAGTAGAGAGGAAAAAATATTACATAGACAGACCAATAGCGTGTGTGTGTGTGTGCATGTGTGTGTTTGTGTGTCCGTGTGTGTTTGATGATGGTGCTTAGGAATTCATTTCCAATGCTTATTCCAACAAATAAATAAAAGCACATCTTTACTGTTGCATCTCTCTGAAGAAAAAAGACAGAACAGCACCAGTAAAATTGCTCCTTTCTGGGCTTAACACATGAAGATATTATGTTTAAAATGTCTTCTTCTCCTTTCGAAAATTATTCTAACAAGAGATGTTTCATAATTATGCCAGCCAGAATATTTACCTAAAGTATATTAAAATTTATTTTTATAAATACAAATGTACACTAGTAAATTTTAAAGCCATGCTTTTGGGTTTGCTCACTTTTAAGTATAAATTACTTTCTATTTTATACAGCATGTAAATTGAGTTGCATCAGTCAAAACCCCAAGGATAAATCCCTTCATTTCTGCAGACAAAAGTCTAATCTACACCCAGTCATGTTCAAATCTCTGCAATTTTAGTTCTAAGAGCCCAAACTGACAAGGTGTCTGCGTGGCAGAAAAAGTTATAAATACCATGTTCTCTGTTACAGAATATCAGATTCTTCATCTTAGTCATTATCAAGTGTGGAGTTTGCCTTTTGCGGAGAAAAGGGCAGAATCAGCTATGTTGTCACCAAATAGCTTGGGAGCCAGTACACACACACACAAAAAATTCAGTATGATTCTCCTGCCAAAATAAAATCTAAGGATCCCTTGGGCCCGCTAAAGGCTTCTCTCGCTAATTCATGAAATTCTTCCCTGGATTTGGGGCATGATAGATTGTAATCACTCATTCAGAGAGCAGATGGCTCAGCCTACTGCTGAAAGCAAACTTTGCAATGAAGCATATAGTATCAGAGAGACATGTTAAATTTCATTGTAAAGGTACCTTGCCATCATGTATCATCAGACAAGTGAGTTCTAGTCACAATCCCTTTGTGACCTCAGATAAATCACTACTCCCTCAGTTCTCTATTTCCTGCTCTGTAAAATGAGAGGGTTGGATTAGATGAGCTCTGTCCAGCAATAATATGGGTTCTTCCTGTTGTGGGGTTCACTATATGCTACAACCAAGTGTGATCCTAAGTGTCTTACTCAAATAAAGAAGTATTTTTTCTTTAGAAAAAGTCAAGTTAGAAATTCAAGAAATACTTGAAAACACAAAAATAAAGGATTACGGTAGGGGAAAATAAACTATAACTTTGAATAGAGAAGTCTAACCTCAAGCTAAAATGGATTTCTCTAAGTGAATTTATGCTTGGCTAGAATTCAAAGATTGGATGTACTGAATCATTAGCACTCTATACACTTGGCTAAAAATATTTTTAAAACAGCTCTTTAAAGGCCTTCAAATAAAATTTACGGAATTTTTAGTGAACAATAATTTCAATTTGAATAATGTACATGGGAAAATAATTTTAAAGGTAGAAATATGACTCATGAAAAAAGGCATTTTTATCACACTAGAAATAAACCATTTGCATTATTAATGCTTCAGGTAAATTCATACAAAAATAAGCTGAATAGTCACAGAGGTTTTATTCCTTCCTTTTTTTTTCCCGAAAGTTAAGATTTCATTAATACTAAATAATAACGGCAAGCAATTACCTAGTTCCAGGCACTTCAGAAAACTTTACATATATTTAGCTGTTACGACCCACATGAGGTAGGTACTTTGATTAGCCCTCCTTTACAGAAATACAAACTAAGGTGTAAAGGGGATAAATCACATTTTATATCATTCAGTTACTTAGTAACACATTCAAGAGCCTGAACCTACAGTTTGGCTTTAGAGCCTAAATCTTACTGCTTTTTTTTTTAATCCCCAAACACCTTGTTGTGATATTTATTTTATTTATTTAACGAGTATTTATCATGAGTCAGGTACTCTCTGAGATACTAGTAATATAGCAATGAAAAAAACAACAACATGGGCAAAACTACCATTAGAGAAACAGATAAATAAGTAAAATATTGATATGACAGGTGGTGATAAGTGCCATGTAAAAAAATAAAGCAGCGTTGAGAAATCAAGAGGATAGGAGCAGGGTATTAAAAATATTAAATAGAGTTTAAATAATATCACCACCTAAATAAAGGCAAAACAGTTTTGTGATACAGTGCTATACATTAAACATATAATGTTCATCAAACTCCCTTTGCTGTATCTGACCTTCTATGGTTATGCCTTTTGCAAAAAAAATGTATATTTATATATTTTATATATTTATATATATTTCATATATTATATATATATATGCTATTTATGCCATTAAACACGTGTCCGTGTTCTTCACAGCAATTTAAATACAGGGTAAAACCAGTGCTTAGGAATTTCATATTTGTAAATATCTGGATTACTATAAGCCGATGTCCTGTATTATTTAAAGACAAAAATAATTTGCCCCCCACATTTTTTTATTACCATATTAATATGTTCTCATCTTAAAACATTAAAGATTTTGTAAGGAATTTTCCTTTGACCCCCCACCCTAAGGCCTTTCCTGGAGGTGACTAAATTCTCCAGCCCATAATGTGCAATAGCTCTTTAAGGGAAGACAAAGGAAAAAGTGATGCAAGAGCCATCCTTCCTCTGAGACTGGGTTTACTCCCCTCCTGACTCTTCCAACTCCTCCTCTCAATGATCAGGAAAGTAAATATACTTAGAATCTGAGTAGTATAAGAACCAGGAGTCTGCATTGTGACCAAGAGTGGGGCTGTCTTTGCTTAATCAATAAACTGAAGAAGCCAAATAATTGCTCTTTGTTTTTCATTGAGAAATTTGCCAAGAGATGTAGCCAGGAGCCCTTCTCTCTTGAGTGGCTGTCTCCACACACCTCAGTTTATCTTCCTCAGTTCCACCACAACAGTGGTGGCAAAACTTTCCAAAGTGAGACTCTTTTACACCTAGAGGGAAAGGAATCTGTCCCCAATATCACATGCAAAGGAAATCTCATTCTATTCTTAAGTGATCAATATAGAGAAGCTTATTTGAATGGGTACATGATGCTCATAAGTGGAAGATTGGTTTTGCTGTTTTGTCTTTACTGTTTTTGAAAAAGAGATCATAATAGGAAATATACGTCTTTCAAACAACTTGTAAAAATCTCTGATTTTGTGTTTATTAAAAGTCTTCTAAGGTAAAATTCTATGTAGCATTTGTAGTACTAGTTGGACATTCACCATGTTAATAATAGGGGTATCAGGCTGATTAAATTTTTATCATTTTTATAATTTTTTTCTTACTAATGTGCAATATTGTTATAACATGAAAAGAAAATGTTATACATGTTTAAAAACCATTTTCACACAAGGCTTCAACTGCATTTTGCAATGTTTTGTTATATTTTCAAAATGAAGCAAAATGTCAGAATCTTCAGGCAAGATAAGGTAGTTGATCTCTATAATTTTCTATAGGTTCATGATATTTTACAATACATTTTTAATTTAATTTTCTCAGTATCATAGAACATAACATATCATATATGAAAATATTAAGGCCTTTCCCTTGAATACCCATTTAAAGGTAAGATTAATTTGGATCCAAATAGGAATTCCAAAAATTAAAATTTTTTTCTATAAAAAAATTAGCTGGGGGTGGTGGTTCACACCTGTAGTCCCACTACTCGGGAGGCTGAGGCAGGAGAATCACTTGAACCCAGGAGGTGGAGGCTGCAGTGAGCCCAGTTCGTGCCACTGCACTTCAGCCTGGTGACAGAGTGAGAATCCATCTCAAAAAAAAAAAAAAATCTTTTGAGTAAAATCTACCAGATAAATTAGAACCTGAGTCAGCATCACTCTTTTCATTGCTAAACATGACACAGATAATAATGAGTTTGCTTTTTTTTTTTATTTAAATAATCGGAAAAACCCGTTTACTGACTTCCTAGTGTTACAAAGAGGAAAAGCTGGAGCATCCCTGGTGTTTTTTCCCGGCAGGAAAATGTTAGCATTTTAATATTTGACAAGGTGAATATTTTGACTCTGAAAAAAACCCTTAAAGTCACCACCATTATATTTTCATTTGACATCATATTGAGATCTTGTATCATTTTTGTTTTTTGGTGAATTGTTGGATTTTTTTTTCTCCTGCAGTGAAAACATTCCATGCATGTATGTTTAGGGTATCTTTCTGAAAACTTTGTTTTAATTTAGGAAATACTTTTTAGGGAAAAAAATGAGTGAAGACTATATATATTGGGGATCTAAAAACCAAAAATATAACATGCTCATAATCAATAATATTTGACAGAATGTCTTTAATTTTTGCCTACTATCAATGTTTTGTTTGATTTACCACATCCATAAAAAGGGGTTCTCTACATAGTTAATGAGTTTCATCAAGTGTCCATCAGCAGATGAATGGATAAATAAAATGTGGTACATATACACAATAAATTGATTTTTTTAAAGGGACTGTTTGTCTACTACTTGCTCTTAGTGTCAGCCATCCGTATTTCAAGTAAAGACGATACTCGAAAGGCATTATTCCTAATGTATGGCACTCTCCTCTTGACATTTTAAAGCACTGCCCCAAAACCCTCACTCTAGGGATCCTTAAGCCTAAAATAAATTTCCAAGAATTCCTCCCCAGGCCCTGAGGACTCTGAGAAGCCTTGGGCAGAAATGACACCGCTAGTGAAAGGGATAGTAATTGACAAAAGATGCAGTATGGGGCCTGAGAGATGAGGTGTGCCCAGGTTACAAAGGGCCAGGTTGCATATGACCACTATTAGGGAGATGCCAACTTCTAGTCCTCTTCCTTTAAAATGTGAGTTTTGGGTGTAGGAAGAGGAATGAAGTTTTAGGTACAATAAAGCCTGGAAGTCTTTATTTGCGGTATCTAAGCAGAAAGACCAGAAAGAGCTGGTGCATGTGTTCTGTGTGGGTTCAACAATTCAGACGTGAAGAGCATTTAGTTTTGCTTATCAATGTACACACAGTGAAGCAAAGGAAGCTGCCCCTCACCTTCTGGTGGCCAAGCGTGCCCCTCGACACCTCCACCCCATCGGTCCTTAGGTCTTATGCTTTAGGGGTGTCTCTCCAGGTGCCGTTGGTGGCGCTTCTGGGAACTGGCGCTAGGACCTTGGTTGTGGACACCGCAGCAAGGCAGGAGGCCACTGAAAGCAGCTGAGGGCTCCCCCAACGCCCGCCCCTACGCAGCTCATTAACAGGTGAAATCGCATCGCTGGTGCCTGCCCCCCTAGAAACAAATACTTCATACCCAGAGCACCAACTGGGCGGGGGACGGGGCCAGGTCTTCGAGGCGCCTTGCCAGGAGGTCAGACCCTCGGGGAGCCTGGGAGCCTGCGGGGAGTGCAGGAGAGAGCGCAGCATCTGCCGTTCTACACCCCTTTGTGCACTCAGGCGCACTGTCCCTGCTCTGCCTGCTCCCGGTCTGCCCTCAGCTCCTGTCAGGCCATACAGCACGTCGATTATTTCGCCAAAAGCAAGTTCAGCCACAGCAGAGGGAAGGAGGCCGCGTGCGCTGGTCCCAGAGAGCCTACATTCGTTTAGGCGACTAATTCAGGAAGGAGTCACCAGCAGCTCCAGCCCTGAGAGGGTGTGTCAAGGGACTAGAAGACTTCGCCCGGGAGTCCTCAAACCCCTCTGGGCTGTTGTCTCTGCTCCAGCTTCTGCTGCCCCTTCGGAGGAAACAAACACCACGCCCCGAGCCCCAGTCCCGCCTGGCGCATTACCTGTTGGCTGCCAGCCGAGACGCGATGTAGCCTCCCGGAATCTGAGTGATGATGTAGCCCCAAAAGAAGGAACCGTGGATCATCCCCACGGTTTCCGGGTCCCAGTTGAATTTGGCTTTCTATGGAGGGGTAGGAAAAAAGTGTGAAGGGAAAGAGTAGAGTCAGTACCAAAGGCTCACTTTCAGTGGTTCACAAGCCAAAAAGCCCCCAAGGCTTGGGCGCTTCATGCATTCTGGGGATAAGAGTGGCTTCATTTTCGTTTCCTAACAAAATTGCCTCTTGCAACGAAAAAACCCTGCTCATTAACAAAATGTATTGTGATTAATAGTGAGGCCAGGCGCACTGGCTTTGCTCCCTGACTACTGTCAGGCAGATCGAATCATCTGAATGAAGGAGGAATCTAGAGGGCCCCCGTCTTGGAAATTCGGACTCCCCATGAAGAGATTTGTTAGCCAGATGTGGAGACGCCTGTCAGGGGTCCACTTAACGAATCCGGCCAATGCAGACACAGTAGTGTAGTGACTTCCAACCCTGGAGACTTAAATCGGGAAATTCTGAGGAAGGAAGGTGGGGAGCAAATGGTGAAAGGTGCAGGGCTTTTAGTGGCTAAGAGAAAGCGTGTCCCCACAAATGGGGACGGATATGGGCCTGAAGAGTTTGGAGTAGTCGGTGAAATGGGAGGAGTAAAGGGAGAGGGAGTCATTGCTCAGGGGTTTTAATAAATACGGGGCAGGGGTATTTCTGAAGGGAGGTCTAATTCCGCCCTGAGCAGCCTGGGTGACTCCCCGAGGGGAACCTCAAGGTAAACTGGGGCTCAATATTTACATCCGAAAGGTGGGAGCGCGCTTTTCCCGCCTGAGAACTGGGGACCCTTTTTCCCCTTTAAATAATATTTTGACACCCAGAGGATCTTGCAAGGTCTCCCGGATTCCAAGAGTCTTCCCCAGTTTCTCCACTCAACTCCTGCTTAGTCTGGTTTACGGCAGCTGGGGTTTCTAAGAAGGAAGTCTGGACCCAGGGGTTCTGTGACCTTGACGTGACCCTCCCCTCTCTGGGCGCGACTCCCTGCCACCCTGGGACCCTCTTACGTTGTGGCTCCTCCTGGGGGAGGTAAACCTTCCGAAAGACCACTCAGCTGAACCTGCTGATATGAACACAGCTGATTTTGTTTTCCAGTTTGTTTCATTGTGAATATTAAGAATGTTTTGGCTGGGACTGAAGTCCTGGGAAAACTATAATTAATATGCTACACTATTCATCCAAGTAAAACAAACACACTTCTATTTAGACTTAGTGGACATTGCTAGTCACCAACGTCTTGTATTAAGTCACAGTTCACAAAACCTGGTGAGCTAGACCCTCTTTTCCACTTTGCAGTTGAGGAAGGGGAGGCCCAGACAGCAGAGCGAAAAGGGAACTGATAACACTACTGGGGTCCATTCTAGAACGGCAGAGCCAGAGAGGAGCTTAGGGAGCACCCAAACCTTCCTCTCAGTGGCGGGGGAACGGGGCTCAAACAGGAGATGTGGTTTTGCGAGGCCGCATGGCCGAAGGGCAGGAGCCAGGGCGGCCAGACGTTGCCCACCTCCTTGATGACCTTGCCCCCGCGGTGGATGGTGCTGTTGTTGACCATGTCCACAATGGCCACGCCCAGGTTGCAGCGGATACCGAAGGAGATGCAGAAGCCCAGGCCGCTCATGATGGCGATAATGTAGCGGCGGGGCAGGCCGAAGCACGTGCAGTCGCACAGCGGCGCCTTCCTCTCGGGCACCTCTAGGGGCTTCCCATCCTCCGTCAGCTCGATTGTCTCCCCGGTGTCTTGCTTCTTCTCCAGCACCCTGCGCGGCAGAGCAGGGGCGAGTCAAGGACTTGGCGGCTTAGGTACCCCCGATGCTGACCCATTCCCATTTTTCAGGACCCGTCGGGGTTGGGAGGAGGGCCGTCGACCTCCCCCCACCCTCGGGGATTAGGGTGGTGGGGTGACACCAAGCTGCAAGACCTCCCAGGCTCTCTCACATTCTGCAGGTGCCCTTGGCCGCGGCGGCGGCGTCTCTTCAACTTTAACACCTTTAGGCCTAAGGTAGCGAGTCCCCATCTCGGGATCCACCCCTGGGCGCTCTGATTGAGATACACAGGCCGCTTGGGCCTAACTTTCTTGCAGGATCTGCAGGGTCTGCATTTTGTGAGGGCAGGGGTTACCAGCGCCTCCTCTGCACCTGAGTAGGCGCCTCCCACTCCTACACGCGCCCAGCAGGGCTTTACCCTGACTACCGCGGTGTCCTCCTGCAACACAGCACCAGAGAGCTGCTCCGCTGCAGGCGGGCCCAACTAGAGAGCCTTTCCCACCCGCGCTGCCTTTTCCGTTTCTAGCAAGTTGAAGCTTTCCAGGTTGACGATGCTGGTATTCCGCTCCCCAATCCACCCCCTGAGCTGAGCCTGGAGCACCCCCTGGACTAAGGCCTCTCTAGGCTAGTGCCTGTGCGTGAGGAGAAGGCCTGAGAGCTCTCGCTGAGAGTGTCATGCACTCTCCTTCCCCTTCATCCCGCCCCAGGGCTCTAGTTCAATGCTTACTCCCCTGTTACACTTCTTACTATTTTTTTTTTCTTATTACTCGAGTTGGAGACAAAGGGCTCCACAGCATATGGCCGACACCTAAGCTTCCTACTGCCAGAACATGAATAATTAATTATTCACAATCTTGCGTCATTACTATCTCTCTTACAAACACCGAAAAATGTCAAGGGTCCATTTCCCAAGACGCAAAATGCGACTCCCAGATATACAAAGGCTCCCCCAAATCAACTTTTGTAAGATATTCCACATCAAAGGGGAAGATCTCACTTAAATATTTGTTTTTGCATAGTGTTTCATAAGATTTCAACCATCAATTCATTTTTGGCTTTGGTCCTTGGGAGAAGGGACAAATGAAAAGGGGAATGCAGAGAAAAGGAATGGTTTTACTAAAAGGTGGTAGTGTTCTAGTCTACAACATATTCATGAAATTTCTATTAACAACAAACAAACAAAAGGAATGTATAAGGTAACATCTCTGTACGTAGCCCCTTGCGATTGATACTTTCGATATTTAAACAAAGAGCCTTTCCGTTTACAATTTGCAGATATTTTTTCCAATCTACCGTGTAATTGCTTTTCACCTGTGCTGTTTTAAGTGCTATGTGAACACCCAATTGTTTTCACACACACGGGTAAAGCAAGTGAAATTTTTAAACTAATTTCAAATATGCATAGCTTGGAATACTGCTGTCAAGAAGTTTGAGGCCACCCGAAGAAAAATGTCAGGCTTCCGAATTCTATAACGTAGCACCTGGAGAATAAGTCATAAAGGTATTTGTGGCTAGGTTAATGTTTATTCTTAAAGTCCGATCACAATGTTAGAAAACATTGCAATTTATTTTTACTGGGAGAAAAAAATTCAGCCAATGCGGTTTTTTTTTTTCATTTCCTGCATTTGCTTCGTGTGCTCAAATATACGAAGTTGAGCTCTGCACCGGATGGCAGTTGTACTGGGAAAGAACATCCCTTTCCATGGTAGCTGTGGGACTGCAGGGCCCTTGCGGTATCTACTGCCGCATAGGTGCATAATCGTGCCTACATGAAGCCCGCCAAACCTGAAGAGATTTGGAAAATCTGGGAGTGGTTTGATCATTTTCTTTACATTTCTCATGCATTTACAGAGACTTCAATTTCCCAAATATTAAAATTAGTGCTCCTTTGTAATTCTTTTTCCTTTTATGTCTGCCCTGTCGTCTTGATTTTGCTCTAATTATTAAGAAAAGCTGTATCCATATAACATACTTGAAATGATTTAAAGTTTTGCAAATTACAGCATAATTAGTATAGTGACTACAGGAGGATTAAATAATTAAATCATTTCTAGGACTTTCAAAGTAATGTTGCTTGTTATATTTATGGCTGTTCTTCCAGGCATTGACATTTCCTATGCAAGAAATAGACTCTAGGAGATGAAAATAATTAAAAATGCATATACATTGTTTCAGGCTCAGAGAAAGGAATTGCTTCAACTATCAATTATTGATATATTTTGATTCTTCTTCATTCAATACAGAAGACATATTTCACTAGGGGATTCTCTACTATGCTTTTGAAGCTGAGACCTCTCTCTTTCTCTCTCTCTCTAACATATATATATATATATATATATAAAACATATATATATAACATATATATATAACTATATATAACATATATATATAACATATATATATAACATATATATATAACATATATATATAACATATATATATAACATATATATATATATAAACCATTACTCTTTGGAATTTCTTGGTTATTTTTTTAGATGGTTGTGTTTTATATTCATTTGTCTGCATCAAAGGAATTTAATTCGGGGTATCTATAAGCACCAAAAGAAACGCTGTTTGAGCAGGGGCTGGCCATTTCTTAACTGTAAAGAAGATAAATCCTGTGTAGTAAAGGACAAAAACTCTGCAGGCACCAAAGCAAAAATCAAACACACACACACACACACACACACACACACACACACACACCAGACAGGTTCATTTAGTGCAACATTCCTGCATTAATAAGCAGGTTTCCAGAGCACCCCCGCTCCAAGCAATGGGCAACAAAAAGACTTTCCGATCATATTACAATCTTTCTGAGCCACCAGGGTTTACGGAAACGGCCCTGCAGATTTTTTCATGCTGAGCCCCAGGTAAGCAAGTGTTCGCTTTGTCTTACCTGTAGATCTGGCCGAGTGATTTTCCAGCAAAATTCTTTAGCCCCTCTTTTCCTGGGGCCAAAATCCTTTGTTTTACGGATTCCATTCTTGCAAAGACTGTTGTCAGTTCTTGCCAGATTTAAATAGTGATTGCTAGGAAAGGCGAGGATTGCGCATATTGTCTTAATCTCTTAAAGTAGTTGCGGGCTTTTCCTTCTCAGCAGAATGGTAGTGGCTCGCCTCCAGCAAGAGTGAGAGTGAGAGAAGGGAGGGAGAGTGAGAATGAGAATACAACAGAATAGCTGCATGCAACCCACGGGTTTCCTAATAGGAGAGTTGGTAGACACAATCAGAAAGTCTCATTGGAAGGGGAGGATCCGGTGGCAAAGAGCGCAAGCAGTGCCACGGTATTTGGGTAGATGCGGTTGAGTCCTTTTCCTGGAAGTCGGTCAGCTGAAAAACAATGTAAATTCCCGGTTTTGAAGACTTATTGCTCTCAAATCTGATGGCTTTTAAACGGAGGGGCCGGAATATCACAGAAGCCTTGGGAACAGCAAAGTCAAAAGAATGGTACTTTTAAAAATGGTGTCTTTGCTGTAAGGAGCAGAGCATATTCAAAACTCATGGGAGCATCTCAGGTCTCAGGTGAGCAATGCTGCTATTAGTTTTTCCTCTCTGCCCATGATCTCCTCCCATCACGCCAGCGTAAGTCTGCTCTGCGGTAGAGTCAAATTAAGATGGAGAAGGCTTGCTGCTCTTTGAGGACGTGAGTAAATAAAAGATACACAGTTCTGATTTGGGCAGCCTCGGGGAAGATTTTTTTTTTCAGCGGCTGACAGCGCCCGTCTGGGCGGGTCTCGGTACAATGTTTCAGCACCACGGACAGAGTAAGTTTCAGGAATAGGGGACTCTTCTTTTGGCTAGCTAGGTTGCCAACTTTCTAGGGGAGCTGGGCGGATCGCCCTGACCAAGGACCATACGGGGGCTCTTCAGGAACGGATGCTATGGAAACCATTGGGAAGATGTCATCATCTCCAGAGTTTGCAGGGAGAATGGTGCATTTAGCTCTGCTAGGGAAGACAACTTTATTAAAAATTCACAAGTTACTTCTAGTTTGCTACGTTTTGTCCAGCACGCTGATGCCAGTATTGCAGGGAAGAAAGATTTCAACATATTTAACTTATGCTTGTGGTGTTCCAAGACACCTAGGCTCCCTTGAATATAAAATATGTGCACACAAAATACATAATTACATTGTTCATGTGTTTGTTTTAACTCCTGACAGGAAAAAGATGAAAGAAAGAAAGGGAGAGAATGAAGAATAGAGGAAAGGAGAGATAAAGAAAAAGAGGTGGGAGGTATGGAGAGAAGAAAAAAGAATAGCTATAAACTCAGTGAAGTTGATTAAATAAAATACAGTTAATTTAATATAAATTCCTTGGAATTTTAAGCATCTTTATTTAACTAATTTACAATACACTACTGAAATACCAATATACTGATGAAATATGTGGCTATACCTTGTGCTTGCCAACAAATTGTAATTGATAATTTAAAGATTTATTTTTAAAAAGATTTATTTTAATTTACATATATTCCATTCAAATCTTATTTTATTTTTCTTTGTATGTCCTTCTCCTAAAGCATAAATTTTGAAAGACATTCATGTAAGAGTTTTGGCTTTATATATACAGGTACAGCATCAATGAATTTATCTCATTAAGCAAGCAAGAAAACTGCTAGATTAATGTAAATTATTAATCTCTTTCACATGAATCACAAACTTCTTAAGTACAATTCAGGCCAATGCTTACAGAACAGACTGGCCTTGAACCACATTTTCAAGGTCAAAACCTTGGATGTCACATAAGCCAACAGAGGGAGTCAATTTTACTTAGGATCCTGAGACAAAATCTCAAAAATATGGATCTAAATTGAGAATCAAATAAGAATATTACCTGAATAGTTCAAATGATATAATGGCTATGTATTCACTGAATGGATAGCTGGAAAAAAATGTCAAAGTAGCTAAAACCATCTGCCATTATTAAGTTTGATAGTTGTCAAATTATTTCCATTGTGAAATATAATAAAGAAAAGGATAATGAAGACATTTTTATCTTTTTTGATAAATTTGTGTTAAAATATGTATCTTCAATAAAACAGTGAATTTAATTTTTCTCTAAAACCATGGGATGCCTCAGAATACTATCTATTTCTCAAGATCAAGTATAAGGAGACAAAAAAAAAACCCTCATTAAACTATTTCCTTGCAAAAAAAAAAAGAAAAGAAAAAGATTAAAAGATTCAAGCTATTCAGGACTTGACTTATCTAGGTGTTTTCAAAATATCTGTATTTTTCAAATCTTTAATAACTAAGTTCATTAAATTATATTTATTTAGAGATATTAATGATTTTGGAATTCTGGGAAGTTATACAAAAAAATAGAATTTACAACAAATATTTGTGAAGCTGGGGTGATGATATGTAAATGATTTTCCTAAGCACTCCAGCTTAAGTTGCACCACAAATGACTAGAGATCTATCTAAACCATCAGTAAACATGATAGCTAAGTCTCCAATACACAAATATGAGGGGACACTAAGCAATATAAATCCAACACAAAAGCATTGTTTTTAAACAGTTATATTCACCTTTATTGAAATGAATGTCATCCTCCTCTCTCTTCCACTCTCTTGATAATAGGGTGAGCAACTGAATCAGAATAACTGGTAATATTGATTTACTCATTCTAAAAATATTCATTGAGTGTCAAGAATAATACTAGATCTGGGAATTCTCCCTGAAATATCTCACAAGCTACTTGGGAGATAGACACAAAAATACAATTTCAAACAATTATGGGTGAAATTACACAAGTTAAATAACCCAGCCCGGGAGTGAAAATGTCCAGAATATATTTCAAGAGACAATGTTTTCTTGTCTGTCTTAATAGTTAAAAGAAATGTAGTTCTATAAAGATGATGGCAGCCCAGTGGAGTTTGGCAGGGTGGAGTGGTGGTATTTGGATAGCACCCTAGCCAGAAGGGGTGTATTTAATGGTATTTTCATAAACAATGAAAAATGTTATGTGTGGAAAATTACAAGAAACGTTACTAGACCACCTGCGACTGAAGAATGTCATTTAGGCTGGCTTTAAACCCATAGCTGCTCCCAGTGTAAGAAACATATATTCAGACACCATTTGCTAACCCAACAGATTTTCTTCATGAGTGGACACAAATTGCAAACGCTGAACGTGTACTTTTGCAGCCCTAAATTCATCAGATTTATCTTTATGCAAAGAAACACTAGTAGTTATATGTAAGATATTAATTTAAGCATATCAGAAAAGGCTTCCTTTCTCTTGACACCCTCCTTTATCCCCAATAACTTACATCCAATTATAACAAGTCCTGAATTGCATTATTAGACCACTTTTCTTCTAGGGGAAGAATTGTCCCTCTTGTCAAGAACTGTTAACAATAAAAGGAGAAGTTTTCACTGAATATAACTAATATAATATGTGTGCAATATTACAATTTATGAGTAGCTTTTATTTACATGATAAACGTATTTATTCCTTATAATTATTCCTTAAACTAAAATAGTTGTATTCCCATGTTATTGAGGAGGAAAGTGAGATTTAGTAATTACCTGAAGTCATGTAACTGGTGATGAGAAAACAGCTCAGGTTAGAGGAGTTTCTCACAGTTTAAGGTCTTGTTAAAATACAGATTCTGATTCAATAGGTCTAGAGTGGTGCCCAAGATTCAACCACTGTAACACGTTTCTACAACTGCTTGCCTAAGGATCACATTTTGAACATCAACATCTCGGAGTATGAAATGTGAAATCAGTTTACCTGAGTTTGGGTCCTGGTTCCACTGATTATCATCTCTGCAATTTTGTATCAATCATCGAACACTAATAAGCCAGTTTGCTTACTGGCACAAATGAAGGCTTGTATCGTGTGGTTTCTATTATCCTTTCTGCTTGTAAAATTTTATGCCTTTTCATGACTTTAGATGAAAAGTCTTTAGATGTAAAAAGATGTAAAACTTATTTTCTTTTGTTTCTCCCATCCTAAGTTTTTTTTATTATATTTGAGTTAAATGATTAATAATAAACTGAAAAAATACTAATATGTAGAAATGTGCTTTCTGAAAGTTCTTTTTACATATTTAAAGAAGAGTTACCTTATTTGTTGTTTCACTATATGTATACACTGAGTTTTATAAGCAATTGTTTAAATAATTGTATCCATACTATTTTTCAAGATGTACATAAGGTATTAGCCAACAGCAATGTAATAGGTTTCTATTTGTTTATATCCCTGTGGGAGGAAATACTTTTGAGTAATCATTTAAATGTCTTGCAAATGTTGCCCTCTGGTGGAAGGATATGTTAATATTTTAGAGACAATTGTGGTCCTTAATTATGCAATTACACCTACTGTTTTCTCTCTCTTTCTTCTTTCTTTCTCTTTCTTTCTTTCTTTCTTTCTTTCTTTCTTTCTTTCTTTCTCTCTTTCTTTCTTCTTTCTTCTTTTGGATATTTGTTAAATTAAATCTACATCTGAAACTATAAAGTCTTTTTTGTGGGCAACACATTTGCAGTTGTCTTAGTACTAAATGTATTTAGAAATAAGTTGATTGAGAATCCCCCAGTTAACCAAAAAACTAGTACTAAAGGAAACTTCACTGTATTAAGATTTAGTAATGGTGTGGTAATCACATAGGTAAAAATGATATACAATAGAATAAATTGTGATAATTTTATAAATATTTTGAAATAGTAACATAAATTTGATGTTTTGCTCCCTATTACCAAAAATACAAACATGTTTTAAAGGCATTCTATTTAAGATCATTCAAAAACTATTTCTGTGGTATTTTTAAGGCAAACTGATTTTTAAGAAATACCTCAAGTACATACCTCAAGGTGGTGGTGTGCATCTGTAGTCCCAGTTACTAGGAAGGCAGAAGTGGGAGGATTGCTGGAACCCAGAAGTTTGAAGTGCATCTGGGAAATATACCCAGACCCCACCTCAAAAAGAGAAAAACGAACCTTAAGGTGACTGTTTCTGAGGCTATTTTGAATGCAACATCTTCAGTTTATTATTTCAAAAAATATTCACTCAATAGGTATTTTTATCTACTGTTGGCTAGGCCCTTTTCTGGGATATAGTAAATAAATGGACTCAATACAGTTTTATAGCTTTTTATATTATATGTAGAGAGTGGACATTCCTAAAGACAAAACTGCTTTGAAAAGCTTTTTTACAGTATGGCTTTATTTGACTTTGAATTCCTAAGTAAATGTTCAGCCTAATAATTACACACTTCTTTCAGTTCGAAGCTATACAAATAAGCCCTAGAATTCATCTGTGACTTTTTTCTTACCAAGGGTTTTTAAGCAGACAATTTTTAGTTCAGCTTTATTTGATTTTACTTTGCAGTGTTAGCCTCAGAGACAATTTCTAAGAAATTATCATTATATAATTTCCTTAGAGCTGGAAAGAGAAGAAATAATTCAGTTTGTCTTAAAAACGACAATCTGTGCACATAGCCCAATACTTTACACTGCTATATTTAGTGGCCTGGTGTAAGACGTCTTTTGACTTCTCTGTGAACTGTCTGATTAAAAAACTGGAAGCAGGAAGTATTAAATAAGCCTATATTGTTACCTCAAACATATATTTTAATTACCAAAAACACATGTATGTAGTCATATATGCAATGTTTCCTTTTCTCTGTGCATCTACTCTGTATTTATAATTTACAATGAGAAAAGTGTATACATCTTATTCTACCCTTTTATTTCTGCATTAATGGGAGAAAATAGCCTTAATTCACTACAGGCCATTGTGCCTTGGGAAAATTAAGATTTTAAAGTGAATGGAGAACAAATGCTGCTCCTCTAATGCCAGAAAAATATTTCTAACTTTGAATTCCACACTATACACGTAGAGCAACATGATAAATTACAGAAAGACTTTGAAAGCATCAGTGTCTTCAACTCTAAAAAAAATTCTTAAAGTAAAAGTTTTAATTGTATACAGAAAGTTTGAGAAAAATCTAAGAATAGAAAAGAACTGCAAATCTGTAAAGGAAGTAAAATAAATATACACTTCAGTATGAAGGAGATCAAGGCAGAGACCACCAGGACGTACGGTGTTTTACAGATAAATAAATAAATTGAATGACATGACAAAACATACCTAATTGAAATGTCTATCTAGGTCCCATAGGGATCCTATTTTGCCTTTACCATCCTAGATTACTGATTCTCTTCCTTTGGCTGCCATACATTTTGTTGTCACAAATGGTAAAATACCATCTTCTTTGAAGGAAGGCTTCTAATATTATTGAAATTTCCCACTTGGCTATTAGCATCTAGGAAGTTTCTGTTTAATTTCACACTATTTTCTAAGTTACTTACTCTACTAGAGGCAGAGGGTGGGATGGTTTCTACTTCTATAACATTTAGGGTAAAATTTTCCAAAGCAAAAAATCTAAATACATAGTTTTGGAATAGAACAGAACATAAAAGATCCAGAATATTTCACCGCTGTAAGCACAAGCTAATTATAATTTTGAAGAGGTAAAAAAATATATACAATAGTAGTCACTATTAATATTTCCTAACTGCTGCCCGCTAGTGGTAAAAACGAAAAATATTTATTTGAGTTAAAAGGCAGACCTACAACATTGACTTAAATCATTTGAAAATCAGTGGGTAAACATGCTTCCCATGATATTAACATTGTATGTGGCCTTTTTTCCTAGTACAAAGAAGAAAAGGTTGCTGATAAATCACTGAAAAAGCGTGCCACCACTTATTCTTTTGTGCCTGCTTGTGGACTTATAATAATGGTAAAGACACCATTATACTGTGGTGAGAAGCATACTGGGCAGATCTTATTGCATAGCATGAAGAGTGTTTGTTCACTCATTGCAGCTCTTTTGATATTGAGTGCTAATTCATTCAATTCGTTCCTTATGGAGAAACAGAGTCAGAGGTCTGATCAAACGACACTAAGTCCTGCTAACTAGACTGACTTTTCAAATTTTTCAGCCAATGACATTTTTCTGTTAATATTTCAGCCAGTTTGAGTTAAGATATCTACTGCTTGCAAATGCGAACATCTTGATATATCATCCTTTAGATATTTGATAGATGGATAAATGAATGGAAGAAGGATGGATAAACAGAATCAAAGTTTAGAATACAAAGTTAAAACACTGGAAAGAGGAAAGAATCATGTAAGAGTAATTCTAAACCAAAGTATTAGAAAGAAAGAATAGGCCCAGACAAAAGAAAGCCTTGAATTTTAGGGTTAAATTAAATTTTTATTTAACATTTCTAAGTTATGACTATGTGCCCGGTCTTTGTTGAGTACCAGAGAAACAGAGATAAGTAAGTCACAGATCTTGCTCTCAGAGAACTCAGATTTTTAACTAAGAATGTAAAACTTTTCTTATGGTCAATTGAAAAGTTTTTTAAAAATGTATAAGCAAATAAATAATTTGCTCAAGGACAGTAACATTCTTAGAAGTTTAATCAGGCAACTATGTGATAAATTGGGTAGAGAGATGGAGGCAGGGGTTTTAGTTCAGAAGATGACCATTGCAATAGTCTGTGTGTTAGCTGATAAAATATTTTTTAAAATTACTATTCTTCCCCATATAATGATGAAGCTTTCAACTCATTCAGGGGTGGGGAAAATTACCCATATACACACAGATGGTACACAAGGGCTGGAATTAGAACACAGGTCTTTTGCTTAAATCAATATGAAAATCGTAACTCAAATAATATTGGGAAATTGCTTCTGTGGGTTCATTTGATTTATAATAAGGATATTTGCTTTATCCTTAGCCCACTCTCCTATTTCATCTCTGTTATAACACCAAACATTAGGAAAAAAATTAACACACTTATTTGTGAGTAGAAAAGAAAAAAATGTCAATGACAAATGGTATCAATCAGCAACTCTAACTCATCCTACATTTTAGCCCAAGGTAGAAGATGCCCATTATGTAAAAATATCCTCCTCAGGGCAGATGATGCTCTCATGGATCTGATATGATGGACTCCTCTTGAGTTGAAATTTGTAAGCAAATGGACATTTACATTTTTACCATTTGTATTATTCTTTTAGAGAAAGTCTTTAAGGTTGAAATGGATCTTAAAACAAAATCAGAACATCCAAAATGTGTCAAACAGTAGCCCTGCCATTTGAGTGGAGCTCGGGTTTCTTACAGTGCTTTCTAAGAGGCTACAATATCAAAAGAGGGGACAGAAAGAGGGGAGAATTATTTTCAATAGCCCATTACTTCATATTACATCCATTATGTGAAGAGAAATTTTTGGCAATCACAGAATTTAAAGCACTATTCTAACATAGCAAGTAAGACAACAGAAAAGTTTCTTTAATCCATTACATATTTTATGTCTCAATTAGCTTTTACTTTCTCAAAATAATACATGTACCAAGATGTAAAGGTGAAATACTTTAAAAAAAAAAAAAAGAAGAAGCAGTTATTTCACTCAATCCATTTACTGGCAACTCTTGCTACTAGGAGTCATCGCTTTAGAGGAGAAAATTTGTGTGTGTGTGTGTGTGCGCGCACGTGTGTGTATCTTACAGCATAAAGGAGTGTTTGGCATAGAATTAACGCTGTATGTTTTAGCTATTATGATCATTATGCTGCTATTCGTTGATTTTCTTTTTTTTCTTTTCTTTTTTTTTTTTTTTTTTTGAGACGGAGTCTGGCTCTGTCTCCCAGGCTGGAGTGCAGTGGCGCGATCTCAGCTCACTTCAAGCTCCGCCTCCTGGGTTCAGGCCAGTCTCCTGCCTCAGGCTCCAGAGTAGCTGGGACTACAGGGCCCACCTCCACACTCGGCTAATTTTTTGTATTTTTAGTAGAGACGGGGTTTCACCGTGTTAGCCAGGATGGTCTTGATTTCCTGACCTTGTGATCTGCCCATCTCGGCCTCCCAAAGTGTTGGGATTACAGGCGTGAGCCACCACGCCCGGCCTGTTCGTTGACTTTCAATATTTTACATGTCTGTTGACATCTTCCTATGAAAGATGAGGAACTAAATTTAATTCTCTATCTCTCTTTCAACTGTCTCTCCCTCTTCATCTCTCTTTCCATCCCCGACATTCACATCCTATCCTCTATCTTTTAACTAGTTTTATTGAAATCAAAATTCTGTTTATACAATTAGTATTGTTAAGCAATTGTCTCAAGGTCACACAATTCAGTGGCAGAGTTAAAATTGTAACTCAAGTAGCCCACTTCTTATTGCTTACAACCCAACCATAGGGTTGCTTTGTTTTCATTTCCTTTTGCTTTTTTTTTTCGTTTTCTTTTACGGAGTTTCTGTCTAGTTACCCAGGCTGGAGTGCAATGGCGTGATCTCGGCTCACCGCAACCTCCGCCTCCCGGGCTCAAGCGATTCTCCTGCCTCAGCCTCCCGAGTAGCTGGGATTATAGGTATACACCACCACGCCAACCTTTTTTTTTTTTCTCTTTGGTAGAGACGGGGTTTCTTCATGTTGGTACGGCTGGTCTTGAACTCCCGACCTCAGGTGATCCGCCTGCATTGGCATCCCAAAGTGCTGGGATTACAGGCATGAGCCACCGTGCCCAGTCCATTTCCTTTTTTATATAGCATTTCCCCACCCCAGGGTTTATAATTGCATTTCTATTTGTTAATGTTACCTTATGTTTCTGTATTTCTGTCATTAACCCACCTCAAAATGATCCAGGAGAACTATAAAATTCCCTTAATATAATCAGACTTGTCAGATAATATATCAATTCTACTTTTTTTCACTAGATGCTTTCCTCTTGGAGCTCTCTGCCCTTCTACTTCAGTTTGAACTAAACGCCCTCTATCCTGCTACACAGTTGTTGATTTGGGGTCCTCCATCACCATCATCTTGGGAGATCCCCTCCACTTCTCTTCTATGTCACCCCCTCGCTTTCTGGATCCCATAACTTTCTGGATTATATACTCCTGTAGTTTCCTTAAACAGGGGCCTGGGATGTAAACTCTGAAAACTTGTGTATCTGAAAATTGATTTTTTTTTTTCCTTTTCATACTTGATTGATAGCTGTTTTGCTTCTATGAATCTAAGAACAATAATGTTTTTCTATTTTGTCAGTTTTGTCCCATTACCTGTTATCTTCTAGTATTGCTATTGGGTAGACTAGTACCATTCTGATTCCTGAAGCCTCATGTATGCTTTTAATCGTAAATCTCTCTAGAGACTTTATGATACTCTATCTCTAGGGTTAAGAAAATTTATGACATCTTAAGAAGAGGCTTTTTAAAATGTAATCTTGTGCTTGTCTCTCAGAGGCCGACCCTCTCATATCCTTCAAATCTGGAAGTGAGCTAGATACGGTGTCTCATTTCTGTAATCCCAGCACTTCTGGAAGCCAAGCAGGAGGATTGCAGGTTCCTCAAGGCCAGGAGTTTGAGACCAGCCTGGGCAACATAGTGAGACCCCATGTGTACACTTTTTTAAAATGGGCTGGTTGTAGTGGTGGGTGCCTGTAGTTCCAGCTACTCAGGAGGCTGAGATGGAAGGCTAACTCGAGCCTAGGAGTTCAAGGCTGCAGTGAGCTGTGGTTGCACCACTGCACTCCAGCCTGGGCCACAGAGCAAGACTTCATCCCTTGGGAAAAAAAATAAAAACAAAAACAAAAAACAAACAAACAAAAAAAAAATGGAAAATGTTCTTACATCATCTCCTTAATAATTTCCTTTCCTCTAATTTCTCTATTCTTTCTCAAAACCTTGTCAGTTGGATATTCGCCATTCTGGATTGATCTTCAGTTTTTAAAATCTTATTTCTAATTGTTTATTTCTTTTGATGCTTAATTTTTTCAAAAATTTTCTTCTTTTTCTTCCAAACCATTAATTTTGAAGTTTCTACTAATATATTTTTAATATGCAAGAGCTGTTTATTTTTTAATCTTTCTTTTTTTCAATAGCATCTTATTTTTGTTTTAAGGCTACACTATCTTTTCTCCCTGAAAATGTTAATTTTAGTTGTTACTATTTTAATTTTTTTCTGGTCTCTTCCAATTAATTTTCCCATGTTTGATTAGCTTGTTTTAGCTTCTTTTAGGGTCTTTCCTTAAATACTTAGTGGTCCTTAGGTGTTCATTTGTATATAAGAGCAAGGCACTGTGGGTATATAAGATTTGTTAACTGGGATTATTTTGACAGTCCTTTACTTGTGGGCCTCAGATAGCAATAAATTCATGCCTTTTTCTGAAGTTGATAAGCTTCTCTATATAGGAGTTCTTCAGCCTCTTTCCTAGAGATGATTAGACATCTGGCAACCAGCATTCTAGAAACTAAGTAGAAAGGAAGTTGAGGATAGAGTCTTACCATTCAGTATGCAACCTTCGATTTTTCTTCCTGATTTCAGTAAGGCATCCAACCCCACACCTCAGCAATGCCTGCTGTTCTTGAGGACTGGGTTTACGTGATTCACTCTGAAGAGATAAGCTTCTGTTTCTACCATGATTGGTGAGGTCTGTTTGTCTTACTGCATAGTCTGGGCTAGGTGTA
The DNA here is from genome assembly GCF_000001405.40 of Homo sapiens. Classification (NCBI taxonomy): domain Eukaryota; kingdom Metazoa; phylum Chordata; class Mammalia; order Primates; family Hominidae; genus Homo; species Homo sapiens. The sequence goes on along the minus strand of NC_000011.10, from coordinate 22,327,033 downwards.
AGTCCTCTTCATGTAGACTTGCAGCAAACCATCCTGTTTTTAGCCTGGGCCCACAATCCTGGTAATTCCAACTCCCAAGCTTTTCCATGGTTTGTGCATGACTTGAATTGCTTTCTGCCAAAAGGCATTTAGGTTTCATCTTTCTTCACTATCTAGGTCACTTTCCCCTTATCCGTCAGCTTTCCATCTTCTAAAATCCTGTTAACATCTTCTAAATGCTATGGCTTCATCTGCCATTCTCTTTCATAGCTTTTCAAAAACTGCTTTTCTATCATTTTAGTGAGTCCCAGGAGAAAGTGGACACAAACTCATATGCTCAATCTTCCAGATTTAATTGGAACTCTGTGTCCATTCATATTTACCCCTGAAAAAGAGATGTAAACTCTGAAAACTCGTGTATCTGAAAATTGATTTTTTTCCTTTTCACACTTGATTGATAATTGTTTTACTTCTATGTGTAAACATAGAAGCAAACATCTCTTTTTCAGGGCTAAAAGAAACATAACACACAGAAAAATTCTAATATTTCAGTTTATACAAGTGTTAAATTTCCTTATTCTGACTAAGACTAGATGACCACATGCAGAATTTTGAAGCATTTTATTTCTAGGGAAGGCTACTTCTCCATCATCATCTTAACTCTTCTCTTTCTTGCTCTTATATACCATGAACACAGGCCAAGTGTGTCCCTGTGTTAGTGCCTTTTCACTGGTTTGCTATCATATTATCCTTTTTAACTTTTCTTTATTCTACAACTTTTCACTATCTAAAGTATCTTATTTTTCTAATTACTATCTGTTTTGTTTTCCTATTGCTGTTGTGAGGAAGGGCCACAAACTAAGTAACTTACTAAAACACAAATTTGCCACAAGTCTGTAGATTAGAAGTCTGACATAGGGCTTCCTGGGCTAATGTCATGCTGTCAGCAGGGCTTCATTCTCTGGACACTCTAGAGGGAATATATCCTTGCCTTTTTAGCTTCTGGAGGCTGCCTGCATTTCTTGACTTGTGATACAACCAACCTCCGAGTTAACAAGCAAGACGTCTGCTTTCATTATCACATCTCCTCCTCTGTCTCTACTGCCTCTCTCTTTCACCCATAAGTCCCCTTATAATTTCACTGGGCTCAGCCAGATAATCTAGAATAATTGCCATACTTCAGGATCCTTAACAAAATCACACCTGCAAAGTCCCCTTTGGCACATCAGGTAATGTATTCACAAGTTCTGGGGATCTTGAAGAGAACATCTTTGGGAGGCTATTATTCTGGTTGCCACAGTATCTGTTGGTTCTTTGCTTTGTTTTTTGTTCTGCCTTCCTAAGTCAACTAGAGAAAACTTATAAATGGCAGGAACTGTGCCTACCGTATGCAGAATTCTATTTCCAGCACATGGAATATATTCCCTGCAAAGTGCTTAATGTTTTTTTTTTTTAAGAAATGAATGTTTATTTTTTGTTGAACTTATTCATATATTTCTGTTTAACAGCATATGGAAGAACAGCTTAACACCTCTCAATCGTTGTTCCTACTCATTCAGTGGCCAGAACAGTGGGAGCTGCAGACCAGTCTTCAGTGGTAGGCTTGTTACCAGTGGAGGGTGTCCAGGTTCTTGGCATATTGAACAAAGTGAATTCTTGGAAGGAATTTGAGAATATCCTCGTCCTTCATCTATAGGACTCCAGACATTGTGAAAGTGTCCATTTAAGTTACTGTGGGAACACAGGACAATGTCAGATGGACCCTCTTTGGGTAGCATGGAAAAGGCTCAACAGGTATTTTTTGAATAAAAGAATAATTGAGGTTTGATCATAGAGTTGTTTTCCAAGGAGTGAATGGATTTTGTCCCCCTCTCTTGTGGCATTTGTCTCCCTAAATGGATACCTGGTCACTAATCTCTCCTAGTCTCCAGTCCATTGTCACATTCTTGAGGAATTCATCTCCCTGAAGAAAACCCTGATCATTCACTTGTTTTAGCAAAATTTTACAGGACTTTAATCTATTTAAGGAAAAATTTCCCAGCTCCTGACATTTGCTTATTAGTCAGCAACTGGTCTGAATCTACAATTTTAAATTGATTTCTCACTTTTCTCTCTTACTGTTCTATGCACTCTGACAAACTGGAGTCTCTATTACATACAGAAACTCCATTCCCTGATCCTTTGTCTTTAAGCTCACTATTATTCTCACCCATAATGACATTGTCTTTGCCTCCACTTATCAGTGTCCATCATTACTGATCATTCAAAACCCTATCAGATACATTTTCTTGAATTAAGTTTCCTCCTTTATCCTCCCATTAGAAATTGGAATCTAATGCTGTCATTGGTAGAAATGCACAACTTTGGAGAAGGTAATTCAAATTATTTAAGACTCATTTTATTTATCTAAGTGGAAAGAATTATATATACCATTTTCAGATTAAATAATGCATGTAAGCCACCTCTCAGTGTCTGACACATAAGTATACTTAATATATGGGAGTGGCAATTATTGTTCTTTATCTAAATTTTTTATATCACACATCAGTTTCTACCTTGCAATCTTTGAAAATGGGGTCTATATTTGCATAATCTATATTGTTCATAACTCTTGCCAAAATATCTGACACATAGTATAAACAGTAAAAATGGTTGAATAAATAAAACCTCCTAAACTTTGTTACAAGGCTGTTCTGTAGTAAAGGGTGTTGCATTAGTTCCCTGGAGCTGCCATAAAAATTACCACAAATTCAGTGGCTTAAAATAACATGAATTTATTCTCTCATAATTTAGAAGGCTAAAAGTCCAAACTCAAGGTATCAGTAGGATTGGTTCTTTCTGTGAGGGAAAATCATTCTATGTCTCTCCTACCTTACAGTGGTTGGTGGCAGTCCTTGCAGTTCTTTAGCTTAGAGATTTGTCATTCCAGCCTTTGCCTCTAACTTTACACTGCTTTCTTCTCTGTGCTTTTGTGCCGTCTCTTCTTATAAGGGCATAATGAGTCATTAGATTTAGGGCATACACTAAATCCAGAATGATTTCTTCTCAAGGCCCTAATTACATCTGTAAAGGTCCTATTTCCAAATAAGGTCACATTTTAAGGTTTTGGGTGAACATGAATTTTGGGGGGATACTATTCAAGCCATGACAGTTATACACAAAGTTCCTCCCCACTTAAAAAATTGCATTTATATATTTAAGAATATAATTTTAGAGCTAGACTGTCCAGGTCCAGGCACCTGCCCATCCTTACTGGATATAAGGTTTAGGCTACGTTACTTTAATTATGCCCAGTTTCTCTTTCTGAGTAAGCAAAATGAGGATAATGGTATCTACCTGGAAGGGTTTCCATGAGAGTCAAAAGATATAATCCTTGTAAAGGGCTTCGTATAGCCTGGTTGTCACAAATCCATCAATAAATGCTTATTGCTTCTTTCCTTTACCTTTTATGAGGTGGGTCCCTCTGCCTGGGAAACTCACCACCACTCTCACTTTTTACCTGACTAAATCCTTATAAACATCCGTGTCTCTGCTTAGGTATCACTTTCTCGGGGAGGCATTTTCTGACATCCTCAATAGAATCTAATCACCCACAATACCTGTTTTCATCCCTTATCACAATTATATAACGATTGATTGTTACAATCAAATCACAATGAAACAAATATAAGAGAGTTAATATTTAATATCTGGTTCCCTGATAATGATGTACATCTCATAGTGACAAGAATTCTGTTTATTTTGATATAAACTCAGATTGCTTGAAATTGAGCTCGGTTTCTTCACTTTTTCTGCTTGGATAAATTCCTAAATCTGCTTAAATCTCAGTTTCTTCATATGTAAATGGTGATAATAATATTAATTATTTCAATCAAGTGTTGTGAGCATTAAATGAAATTCTGTTTATAAAACACATAGTTCACTGTACCTGGCACATCCTCCTAAGTGCCTACAACTTGCTAATTAGTATTAATATTTTTTCAACTCTTGGCACTAGCCAGTTAAATGAATGAATTAATACTGAATGAATGAGCCATGTTATTGGCCTAATCTAGAAATACAATCTGTGCGACAGCATTGTGTGAAAATTCAATAGGTTCGAGTTACTTTGTCCTCATTAGAGGCTTTCTCCAACCAAAGGGACTCGAAACCCCAGGGGAGGAACTGACTAACACCACCGCCCCCAAATAATTTCCTGTATTATAACCCCTACAATCCTATTTAGAACCAGAATTGAAAAAATAAAGGAAGGTTCGAAGAATCCAATTTGTTTCTAGCCCTAAGGTGGTCTTTCAGAAATGGAGAAAGGCTTCTGGGAAGGTAGTAAACAATATCAGGCTAAGGCAAGTTTTGTTCCTTAGCAGGTGAAGCATGCTTAGAGAGAATAATACTTTGGTGTGAGGAGAGATGGAAACTCATCAGGACTTTGCAGATTTTAACGTGTATCTCTATGGTCTAGGACAACAACACTGTTGAGTAAACATTAAAAAGTAGCTTTAAAGTTTAAAAGAAAACTGTTTCCTATCTAAGAATAAATTGGTGCTCTAGAATAAATATGCCCATTGAGGAACACATTTATTTCCGCATTGCCTTTGCGGTAGAGACAATTTAGTGGCATAGCTTTGCCATCAGACTGACCTGGTTTAAAAATCTGGTAGAAATGTCACTTTCTTTTTAAAGTGAGTCATGAATCACACAGATTTTAAATCTACTTTTTGGAGGCTGACAGTTTGATGGTTGAAGTCATTTATATTTCTTTAAATAGAAGGAGCTGAAACAACGACAATTTTTGCTGAGCCACATAATTTTAGAACTTAAGCCCAAAGCTCTCAGTTCACCAGTGATAAAACTGAGGAGCAGAGAGGTTACTTGATGCATCCAGGGCCACATCACAATACCCACACTGGTATTTTAGATTCAGAGTTGAAAACCAGGTCTATTGTGCACTTGCCAGAGACTCTCTCCTTACCTTGGCTCACTTACTAAGGAAAGCTGTTTCGTTTATAGTTAAGATGCAAGATCATCCAACTCCTGGACTGGAAGAGCTTTGAGGATTTATTTCATCTGATTACTGAGTTTCAAGGTCACAGTTCTTTTATCTCCAATATGCAAGAGTCTATTTTTAGATTTTATTTGTATAGTGACCCAGGAAATATTATAGACTGTCACTCTCTTTCTTAGTAACAAACTGTGTTTAATAACTGGAAAGGATATGTGGATAAAATACAAAGACATTTTTATGTATAGAAACACACACTATATATATATTTTTTAATTTAGGAGGAGGCATCTGACTTCCTTAGCTCCACCTCTGTTCTTGTTACTCCCTCAATTGAGAATGTATTACCCAGAAAAAATTTAGAACATCAGTTAGGCCACATGTACCACTTGAGCACGTTACTGACCTAAAGTATCAAGCACTTCTTTTGCCTTTTATACCTTTGTCATTAATGCAACTGAGGGAGTAAGTTAAGCAGATATGGCCTTCTTGTTTCCTTTGTTTTGTAATTCTTCTTTCATATGGCTGTACAAAGCTTGGTACAAATTTAAGAATTAGATGGAGAGGAAGGCATCCAGTTTCACCCACAAGCTCCATCCAGCTGCATGTCCCATCTCAAAGGTCTGTATATGGACACCTAAAGTTTAACACCTATAATAAAACTTTTAATAAAGGGGTTGTTTGGTTTATTTTTGGAAACTAATGTATGAAATTCCTACAGAGGAGGGGGATCATTATTAGTAGGACAAAATTTAGGCATTTTTTAGGTTCTTCAATATATTTCCATTAAAACGCAATTAATTCATTTACACAAAGAATATTTATTAAGCATCTTCTATGTGCCAGACTCTATTCCAAATACTGGAGATAAAGAGGTGAGCAAGACAGACAATTTTCCATCCTGATGGAGCTTTTATTTTAGTTGGAGAGACAAAAACAAACAAATATATCAATATGTCATCCAATTTCCAAAAGCATTGTGTAACTTTGATCATTTATCAAGATTTAGGTACTGCTTGAAGTATTTCTGAATGATATATCATTTCTTCCTTATTAAGTAGGTATATAATAAAGTATAACATGATATAATATGTTATACTACTATACTACATAATATAATAATGCAATATTTCGTAGATGATAAAGCTACAAATTATCCAAGTTTCCACTGCTCTTCAGTGTCTGAACTAGAACCTAAACTCAGAGTCATCTGAATCAAACTACATATAAGTGAACTGATATTTTTCATTTACCATTATTATGAAGCAATCACAATGTCTTGGGTGCTATGAAAATAGTGGAAATATAAAGATAAATAGGAATGGTCTTTACTATCAAGAAACAGCCAGCTGGTAGAGGAGACAACTGTACAAGTAAATTATTGTAATGATGTGCTATAAGAACTGCGGCTGAGAGCTGTAAAAGGGGCAGTGGGAGAAAAAGCAGAGAAACAAAGTGATGCAAATTGCTAAGAAGACATGGTTTCCGAGTTGCATCTATCACTGTGTTGAATAACCATTTACATCTGAGTGCCATTGCGTTTAGAGTAAGGCAGTTATGAGATTGCAGTGGAAGGAAGGAGACAAGTCACCAGTCTTCTAGATAAAACTTTGTTTCTAACTCACAATATGAGAAACAGCTAAAACCTCTAATATTCTGAGGGTTTGTTTTTCATGTATTTTTTTTTGTATTCACAATCAAATGAAACACACCTGCCTTATCCCCCCCATGGAGCTGTATGCTATAAATACAGGATAACTTCTTTGCTGTAATAGTAGAATAAGAAGTGAGGAGTGATTTGGCAAAAGATAATGTATCATAAGAATATGCAGCATGTTTAATATTCATAAATATTATTAAATAACTTTTTCACTTTTTAATGTTCTCTCTTCTAGGCCAAATCATTCAGCCTGTCTTCACACAGCCTGAGTACAGTTATTTATATAAAAACTGTTTCTCTTGTGCCATCACTTTTTCACTGTGTGTCATCAGTTTTTGTTTGGAATTTGGCATTATTTCTATAGAGTTTTGTTCTCCTTCCTTATACATGTCATCCATATATTTATCCATTCTTTCCTTTATTTTACTTTGATCAAAGTATGAGTGTTTTGTCTGATTCTGCCTTTGCAAATTTAAAAACTGCTCTAAAAATTATTCTTGTGCATTCCAAAAATTCGAACAGAAGAATAAAATTCTAAATTCACCTAGAAACCTACTACCAAGATATAGCTCCCGTTTACATTTTGAAAGCTCTCTCTCCATACTGGTAATTCCCAGGCTTTAATATGCCTCAGAATTACCTAAGAAGCTTTGTAACACTGCAGAGTCCCTCAGGCCTTCACTCCTAGGGGTTGTGCCTTAGTTCATTCAGAGTGAGTCTAGTATTCTGAATTTAAAATATCAGGAGACTTTTTAAAATCTGAGGCAATTCTGATAGTGATGATCTGCATACCATATTTTGAAGAAAAAAGAAAACAACAAAACTACTGCTACAGACAACATCCTGTGCCAATGTAGGAAAAGGTATACAAATTCACACAGATGTTCTTGCGGTAGATATCACTGGTTGACTCCTCCGATGCGATTTTCAACTTATTTCCCCCGGAGTTGGGAATCCCAGTATTAATTTTTCTAATCTCCTCTGCAGCTACAGTTGGCCATGTAACCCAGTTTTTTCCCAGCAAGAGCTTGTGGGAAATCTAATCTGTTTTCTGATAAAACAAAAAGGTACAGGAGCAAACTGATTGTCACTGCTCCCTTACACTTTGAAGTACATGTTTATATTTGTAACTATCCATCATCTTTTGGATTGCCTAGCATAGAAGTTAGGATCTTGTAACTGATCAGGCGTACAATCTAAGCCCCATCAGACACCCTCATGAGGATGATTTGAAAGGAAGCACTGTTTAGGAAACAGCCTCTGTGTGGAGTTTCCACCCTGTTATAGGTGGTTGATGGTTGAGGTATCTGGATTTAGGCATCATCAGTGGCAATGATGGCAGTTTCCTAGTGATAGTAAGATAGGGTAACCTACTAATACTGGTAGAAAGATAGGGTAACCTACTAATCTTAATCCTTAGTTTTGCTACTGGAAGTCTTGTGTCCCTAGGAACTCCCTTAGTCACAGGCAAACCTGAACAGTTGGTCACCCTGTGGCTACGATGAAATTCCTGAAACAGGTGTGGCATTAGTTTGGTGCAAAACTAATTGCGGTTTTTGTCTTTTAAAAGTAATGGCAAAAACCACAATTACAAGTGCACCAACTTGAAAGTAAGTGCAAGTTTCAGTGAAAACAAATTCCTAAAATTTAGAGCTAAACAATGGCAGTAGCTGTAGTTTCCATACTGTTTTGTGATGGGACTTGGGGATTTTTTCTCCTGAGAGCTGAGACTAGGCCCTGTTTTCCACCAACCTCCCAGTGGTTTCATGGGGTGCTGAATAGATTGTAAACCATTTTTAAGCTTAAACTAGCAGGGATGAATTCGTTGTTTTCAACTAAGGTACCTGACTAATGCTCTTTACTTTTGCTTTAAATACCACCATGGCATCTAGAGCTAGAGTAGTCATCTTATAATATGAAAAGATGAGAATGAGGATAAAAATAAGCAGTTAAGGAAGGCAAAGTGGAAAGGAAGAATGAGCTTGTGTTCTTGCTGGTATAATTGAAACAATGAACAAGTCTTGGAACTGCCTATCCATAAGACTTCTTTTATCTGAGATAATATATGTCTGGTTTTGAGAGACAGGAGTAGCTGGACTTCCTAGGCCAACCAAGAATCCCTAAGCCCAGCTGGGAAGGTGACTGCTTCCACCTTTAAACACGGGGTTTGCAACTTAGCTCACATCTGATGCTAATTAGGCAAATGCTAGTTAGGCAAAAACAGGAGGTAAAGAAATAGCCAATCATCTATTGCCTGAGAGCACAGTGGGCGGGACAAGGATTGGGATATAAACCCAGGCATTCGAGCCAGCGACAGCAACCCCCTTTGGGTCCTCTCCCTTTGTGTAGGAGCTCTGTTTTCACGCTACTAAATCTTGCAACTGCACTCTTCTGGTCCGTGTTTATTACGGCTGGAGCTGAGCTTTCACTCGCCCTGCACCACTGCTGCTGGCTGCCGTCACAGACCCGCCACTGACTTCCATCCCTCCGGATGCGGCAGGGTGTCCGCTGTGCTCCTGATCCAGTGAGGCGCCCAATGCCCCTCCCAATCGGGCTAAAGGCTTGCCATTGTTCCTGCACGGCTAAGTGCCTGGGTTTGACCTAATCAAGCTGAACATTAGTCACTGGATTCCACGCTTCTCTTCCATGACCCACGGCTTCTAATAGAGCTATAACACTCACCGCATGGCCCAGGATTCCATTCCTTGGAATCAGTGAGGCCAAGAACCCCAGGTCAGAGAACATGAGGCTTGCCACCATCTTGGAAGCGGTCTGCCACCATCTTGGGAGCTCTGGGAGCAAAGACCCGCCAGTAACATTTTGGTGACCACGAAGGGACCTCCAAAGTGGTGAGTAATATTGGACCACTTTCACTTGCTATTCTGTCCTTCCTTAGAATTGGAGGAAAATACCGGGCACCTGTCAGCCAGTTAAAAATGATTAGCATGGCCACCAGACTTAAGACTCAGGTGTGAGGCTATCTGGGGAAGGCCTTTCTAACAACCCCCAACCCTTCTGAGTTGGGGATGTTGGTCTGCCTGGAGCCAGCTTCCACTTTCAATTTTCTTGGGGAAGCCGAGGGCCGATAGAGGTAGAAAGCTGTCATCCTGAACTCCTGGCTGGTTGAGATCATGGTGCAGCCAGAAGTCTCTACTCAACAGTCGCCCATGTGTGCGCCTTACCTTTTCTTCTGACCCATACCTCCTAGGTCCCGACACTTCTTGAAAGTGTAGCCCCAGAATTCTCCTTACCTCTGAATCTACTTCCTCTGATCCCTGCCTCCTAGGTACTAATGGTTCAGACTTTCATTTCCTCTAACAAGTTGTATCTCCAAAGGGATCTAAGGAAGCTCTATGCTGCGTCCTTAGGCATCTAGATGATAAACCCAGGGAGTCTTATCCCTGGTGTCCCTCCCAATTTAGGTATACAGCTCTCGACATGGGCAGTTATGTGGGACTGTTCCCCACCACCCTTGCCAGGGCCCCAAGTTTGTAAATGGCTGAGAGAGGAGAGAGGGAGAGAGACGGGAGAGAGAGATGGGGGAGAGAGAGAGAGACAGGGAAGAGAAAGAGAGATGGGGGAGAGAGAGATGGGGAGAGAGACAGAGGTGGGGGAGAGACAGAGGCAGGGGAGAGAGAGAGAGGCAGGGGAGAGAGAGAGGCACAGGGGAGAGACAGGCGGGGGGAGAGAGAGGCAGGAGAGAGACAGAGGCAGGGGGAGAGAGAGAGGCACAGGGGAGAGAGAGGCGGGGGAGGGAGAGAGAGAGGTGGGGGAAGGGAGAGAGAGAGGTGGGGGAAGGGAGAGAGAGAGGCGGGGGAAGGGAGAGAGAGAGGCGGGGGAAGGGAGAGAGAGAGGCGGGGGAAGAGAGAGAGAGAGGCGGGGGAAGAGAGAGAGGAGGGGGGAGAGAGAGAGGCGGAGGGGGGAGAGAGAGAGGCGGAGGGGAGAGAGAGAGACGGGGGAGAAAGAGAGAGACGGGGGAGAAAGAGAGAGATGGGGGAGAAAGAGATGCGGGGGAGAGAGAGAAGCACAGGGGAGAGAGAGAGAGGCGGGGGGAGAGACGGGCAGGGGAGAGAGAGTGGCACGGGGAGAGAGAGAGGTGGGGGGAGAGACAGGCAGGGGAGAGAGAGAGGCACAGGGGAGAGAGAGAGAGAGAGAGGCACGGGGAGAGAGAGAGGCAGGGGGAGAGAGGCAGGGGGAGACAGAGAGAGAGAGAGGCAGGGGAGACAGAGGCAGGAGGGAGAGAGAGAGGTGGGGGGAGAGAGAGAGAGAGAGTTTGGTGATCTCTGGTATCTCAGTCAGGTCAATGATAGGATGACAAAGAGGAAAGAACGATTCCCCACAGGCCAGCAGTGTAGACCCTCACTGGGACACAGAATCAGAACATGGAGATTGGTGCCACAGACATTTGCTAACTTGCATGCTAGAAGGACTAAGGAAAACTAGGAAGAAGCCTATGAATTATTCAATGATGTCCACTATAACACAGGGAAAGGAAGAAAATCCTACCGCCTTTCTGGAGAGACTAAGGGAGGCATTGAAGAAGCATACCTCCCTGTCACCTGACTCTATTGAAGGCCAACTAATCTTAAAGGATAAGTTTATCACTCAGTCAGCTGCAGACACTAGGAAAAAACTTCAAAAGTCCACCTTAGGCCCCGAGCAAAAATTAGAAACCCTATTGAACTTGGCAACCTCGGTTTTTTATAATAGAAATCAGGAGGAGCAGGTGGAATGGGACAAACGGGATTAAAAAAAAAAAAAAAGCCCACCGCTTTAGTCATGGCCCTCAGGCAAGCGGACTTTGGAGGCTCTGAAACAGGGAAAAGCTGAGCAAATCAAATGCCTAATAGGGCTTGCTTCCAGTGTATTCTACAAGGACACTTTTAAAAAGATTGTCCAAGTAGAAATAAGCTGCCCCCTCATCCATGCCCCTTATGTCAAGGGAATCACTGGAAGGCCAACTGCCCCAGGGGAAGAAGGCCCTCTGAGTCAGAAGCCACCAACCAGATGATCCAGCAGCAAGGTACTGAGGGTACCAGGGGCAAGCGCCAGCCCATGCTGTGACCCTCACAGAGCCCCGGGTGTGCTTGACCATTGAGGGCCAGGAGGTTAACTGTCTCCTGGACACTGGTGCGGCCTTCTCAGTCTTACTCTCCTGTCCCAGATGACTGTCCTCCAGATCTGTCACTATCCGAGGGGTCCTAGGACAGCCAGTCACTAGATACTGCTCCTAGCCACTAATTTGTGACTGGGGAGCTTTACTCTTCTCACATGCTTTTCTAATTATGCCTGAAAGCCCCATTCGCTTGTTAGGGAGAGACATTCTAGCAAAAGCAGGGGCCATTATACACCTGAACATAGGAGAAGGAACACCAGTTTGTTGTCCCCTGCTTGAGGAAGGAATTAATCCTGAAGTCTGGGCAACAGAAGGACAATATGGATGAGCAAAGAATGCCCGTCCTGTTCAAGTTAAACTAAAGGATTTCACCTCCTTTCCCTACCAAAGGCAGTACCCCCTTAGACCCGAGGCCCAACAAGGACTCCAAAAGATTGCTAAGGACCTAAAATCCAAGGCCTAGTAAAACCATGCAGTAGCCCCTGCAATACTCCAATTTTAGGAGTACAGAGACCCAATGGAGAGTGGAGGTTAGTGCAAGATCTCAGGATTATCAATGAGGCCATTGTCCCTCTATACTCAGCTGTACCTAACCCTTATACTCTGCTTTCCCAAATACCAGAGGAAGCAGAGTGGTTTACAGTCCTGGACCTTAAGGATGACTTTTTCTGCATCCCTGTACATCCTGACTCTCAATTCTTGTTTTCCTTTGAAGATCCTTCGAACCCAATGTCTGAACTCACCTGGACTGTTTTACCCCAAGGGTTCAGGGATAGCCCCCATCTATTTGGCCAGGCATTAGCCCAAGACTTGAGTCAATTCTCATACCTGGACACTTTTGTCCATCGGTACGTGGATGATTTACTTTTAGCTGCCAATTCAGAAACCTTGTGCCATCCAGCCACCCAAGTGCTCTTAAATTTCCTTGCTACCTGTGGCTACAAGGTTTCCAAACCAAAGGCTCAGCTCTGCTCACAGCAGGTTAAATACTTAGGGCTAAAATTATCCAAAGGCACCAGGGCCCTCAGTGAGGAACATATCTAGCCTATACTGGCTTATCCTCATCCCAAAACCCTAAAGCAACTAAGAAGATTCCTTGGCATAACAGGTTTCTGCCGAATATGGATTCCCAGGTACGATGAAATAGCCAGACCATTATACACACTAATTAAGGAAACTCAGAAAGCCAATACTCATTTAGTAAAATGGACACCTGAAGCAGAAGTGGCTTTCCAGGCCCTAAAGAAGGCCGTAACCCAAGCCCCAGTGTTAAGCTTGCCAACAGGACAAGACTTTTCTTTATATGTCACAGAAAAAACAGGAATAGCTCTAGGAGTCCTTACACAGATCCGAGGGATGAGCTTGCAATCAGTGGCATACCTAAGTAAGGAAATTGATGTAGTGGCAAAGGGTTGGCCTCTTTGTCTACAGGTAGTGGTGGCAGTAGCAGTCTTAGTATCTGAAGCAGTTAAAATAATACAGGGAAGAGATCTTACTGTGTGGACATCTCATGATGTGAATGGCATATTCACTGCTAAAGGAGACTTGTGGCTGTCAGAGAACTGTGAGGAAAGTAACTAAAATCGTAAAACCCCATGGCCCTCCCTTATCATATTTTTCTCTTTACTGTTCTCTTACCCTCTTTCACTCTCACTGCACCCGCTCCATGCCGCTGTACGACCAGTAGCTCCCCTTACCAATAGTTTCTATGGAGAATGCGGCTTCCTGGAAATATTGATGCCCCATCATATAGGAGTTTATCTAAGGGAAACCCCACCTTCACTGCCCACACCCATATGCCCCACAAATGCTGTAACTCTGCCACTCTTTGCATGCATGCAAATACTCATTATTGGACAGGGAAAATGATTAATCCTAGTTGTCCTTGAGGACTTGGAGCCACTGTCTGTTGGACTTAACTTCACTCATACCGGTATGTCTGATGGGGGTGGAGTTCAAGATGAGGCAAGAGAAAAACACGTAAAGGAAGTAATCTCCCAACTGACCGTGGTACATAGCACCCCTAACCCCTACAAAGGACTAGATCTCTCAAAACTACATGAAACCCTCCATACCCATACTCACCTGGTAAGCCTATTTAATACTACCCTCACTCCCTCACTGGGCTCCATGAGGTCTTGGCCTAAATCCCTACTAACTGTTGGATGTACCTCCCCCTGCACTTCAGGCCGTACATTTCAATCCCTGTACCTGAACTTCAGCACAGAAATAAGCACCACTTCCGTTTTAGTAATACCTCTTGTCTCCAATCTGGAAATAACCCATACCTCAAACCTCACCTGTGTAAAATTTAGCAATACTATAGACACAACCAACTCCCAATGCATCAGGTGGGTAACTCCTCCCACACAAATAGTCTGCCTACCCTCAGGAATATTTTTTGTCTGTGGTACTTCAGCCTATCATTGTTTGAATGGCTCTTCAGAATCTACGTGCTTCCTCAATCATCTCCCACCAGGTTCCTCCCATGACAGGTGGGAATTGTGGGAGTTAAAATTCAAGATGAGATATGGGTGGGGACACAGCCAATTCCTGTCAGTGAAGTTCTTAACATAGTGCCCAGCACATAATCATAATGTAGATTTTCTCCTCCTGATCCCACTTAACTTAGGCTGGGAGTTTCTAAAAAAGGCTTATGTTTTGCCCAAGTAGAAGTCTAGAAGGAATATTCTTAGAAACATTTCTGACAAATAGAGTGGCAATAACAGACTCAAACATTCTGAGTCTGGAGATGAAGAAAGTTTTCTGGAATAGGATATGATATCCCTTAAAACAACCTGTTCTAGCAGAAGATAATATTAGAACTTTGTCAAAGACTTTTTTCTTTAGAAATGTCTCCAATGAAGAAATTCATGTAGGTGGACATGTGGTGAAAAATGTAGCATAGTAGTTAAGAACAAGTTTCACTTCATCCTGAGTCCAAATTCTGTTTCTGAAATTTTCAACAATACCTGGGTAGATGATTTTACCTCTCTGGCTAAATTTCCCTCTTCAATCAATGGGATAATAATACATGAAATACAGGGATAATGTATGGATGAAATATGATGTTTATGATGTAGCCAACATATCTTGAGACTTCTCAGCCTCTCTAATTGTGTGAACCAATTCCCCATATATATTTTTTCTCTCTCTCTCTCTCTCTCTCTCTCTCTCTCTCTCTCTCTCTCTCTCTCTCTTTCCACTCTCTCCTCTTTCTCTCTCTCTCTCCTCTCTCTCCTCTCTCTCTCTCCCCTTCTACTGGATCTACCTCTCTGGAGAAACTTTATTAATATGGTGTATTTGAAACAGCAAGCATTATTAAGTTTGATAAAGTTAAATTTACCATTTTCTTTAATGATTTGGGTTCTTTTAATGTGTGTGACCTCTCTAGGAAATTTTTATGCAGCCAAAGATGCAAAGATTTTCTCGTGTGCTTTTACTTCTGAAAGTTCAAGCTTTAACTCTTAAATTTGGCGTCATATATTTCAACTTACTTTTTGTATAAAGTGTAAGGATTGAGACTCATTTGTTTCCATGTGAATATCCCATTATTGTAGCAGTTTGTTTAATAATGTATCATTTCCCTATTGAATTTTTTTGACACTTTTATAGAAATAGATACACCATTTAAGTATAGGTCTATTTTTTTGTCTCCACGTCCTGTTCTATTTATTTATATGTCTGTCTTTATGCCAACATCACACTGTGTTTCTTACTGAAGTTATACTTTAAGTCCTGATATCAGGTAGTGCAAAGTTCATCATAATTTAGTTTTCCTAGGCCCTTAAATATAAGCTTAAGAATGAGTTTGTTAGTTTCTAAAAACAAAGCAAAACACACTAAAACAGCCTTCCAGACTTTTCACTGGTTACATAATAAATCTATCGATCAATTTGGGAAGAATTAACATTCTGTCAATTTTGACTCTCCCAACCTGTAAATATAGTATATCTTACTCATTTATGTATGTTATTCTTAATTTTACCAGCAATATTTGGTAGTTTTCAGTTTACAGGTCTTACCCATATTTTATTATGTATCTCTAAGTATTTCATGTTACACTGCTATTTTAAATGAAATTGATTTCTGTATACCAATGTTTCTTACCATTTGAGTAGATCTAAGCTTCCATCTGGTAGAAGTTTTTGTTTTGTTTTTATTTTTTCAGTATGTGGCACTTTAACTTTTCTCATAGTGCAGGTCTGCTGACAAAAGTTTATTTTTAAAGTATTCATTGCATATTTTTGTATTGTAGAAGTTCTCTTTTATTTCTAGTTTGCTGAGCATTTTTACCAGGAGTGGGTGTTGAATTTTTGTCATAGATATTTTTTCTCCCGGATCTTAATTAATATAATCACGTAGTTTTTCTCCCTTATCCTTTAAGTATTGCTAATTTCATTGATTAAATATTGAATATAAAATCAACCTCACACTTTGGGATAAATCTCTTTTAGGGATGATATATTATAATATGTGGATGTTGCTGATAAGAATTTTTGTTTCTATGTTAATGAAGGATGTAAGCCTGTACTTCTATGTTTTTGTAATATTATCTTTTAGTTTTGGTATGAGAGTAACACCATATTTTATGGACTTACAAAATAAGTTGGAAACTATTCCCTCTTTTATTTTCTGAGACAGTGTATATAAGACTATTATATCTTGCTTTATGATTGATGGACGTCACCAATGAAACCATCTGGGCTTCTAATTTTCTTTGTGGGGAGAATTTAGATTACAAAATCAATGTTTTTAATAGATTATAAACTATTACAACTTTCTATATGTGTTTTTGTGCAAGTTTTGGAATTTGTGTTTTTAAGTGCTTTAATAATTTCATCTAGGGCTGGGAGCGGTGCCTTACGCCTGTAATCCCAGCACTTTTGGGAGGCTGAGGGGGCAGATCACGAGGTCAGGAGATCGAGACCATCCTGGCTAACATGGTGAAACCCCATCTGTAAGAAAAATACAAAAAGTTAGCCGGGCATGGTGGCGGGCGCCTGTAGTCCCAGCTACTTGGGAGGCTGAGGCAGAAGAATGTCATGAACCCAGGAGGCAGAGCTTGCAGTGAGCCGAGATCGCGCCACTGCACTCCAGCCTGGGTGACAGAGCAAGACTCCGTCTCAAAAAAAAAAAAAAAAAATTTCATCTAAATTCATAAATTTATCATTACAAATTTTTCATATTTTCTTAATATCTTTTAAATATTGTTGACACTTTTGTAAAAATCAATACATCTTTTTGAAACTGTAATGATATTCCCTTCTTTGTTTCTGATACAAGCAATTTAATGCCTTCTCTCCTTTTTTTCCATTAATCTTTCTGATGGGAAGGGTATCAATTTTATTGATCATTTAAAAGAACCAGTTTTTAATCTGAATGATTTTCCCAATTGTTTGCCCATTGTATATTTTATTGACTCCTCTTTATTATTTAATTCCACTTATCTTGGGATTAATTTAATTTCTTCTACACCTCAAGAAGAAACCGTAAGTCATTGATTTGTGTCTTCTTTTCCAATGTAAGTAATTAAAGCTATAAATTTTACCTCAGCCATTTCTCTAACCATACCCCACAAATTTAATTATGTTGTGTTTTCATTGGCTTTCAGTTCAACATATTTTAAATTTTGTTTTGAGTCATAGGTAATTTAAAAGTGTGTTAATTTTCAAATTTGTTGGAATTTTCTAGATTTTTTGTAATATACATTATTCAATTATATTATAACCAGACTGTTTTGTATAATTTTAATTATTTTAAATTTATTAAGACTATTAAGACTATTTGATGGCCCAGAATACAGTTTATCTTAGTAAACAATCCACATATTCTTCAAAAAAATTAGGTTTCTGCCCTTTTAATTACAGTGATATAATAGAAATTAAACCAGCTGATAGTATTTTTCAAGTTTTCTATGTCTTAACTGATTTTTTATATACTTGTTCTATAAATTACTGAGATACAAGTATTAACAACTTCAACTATAAATCTCTCATTTTTGTTTTAGTTCTATGTATTTTTGCTTTAAAAACTTTGAAACTCTGTTATTAGGTACACATGCATTTAAGTCTTCTTGATCAGGACTTCCAGTTATGGATTCTTGATGTACTAGGGATCTATATTCATGTGAACACCACCACAGTTAAAATATAAAACAGTTGCCTAATAAAGATTCCTCATGTCCTCCTTTTATAGGTACAACCTATCTCCATATCCTTCACAGCCACCAATCTTTTCTCTATCCTTATAATTTTATAATTTCAATACTATGATATAAATAGAATCAAACGGTATCTAACTTTTGAAGGCTGGATTATTTTACTCAACCCAGTTTACTTGAGGTCCATTCAAGCTGTTGCTGGTGTATCAATAGCAGTTCCTTTTTTACTGCTGAGTAGTATTCCACTGTGTGGATGTACCACGTTTGCCTACCCATTCACACATGAATGATATTTGGGTTTTTTCCACTATGGGGCTAATATGAATAAAGCTGGTATGAACATTCATGTACTAGTTTTGTGAAAAAGTTTAAGTGGTTTTTTTCTTGCATAAATGTTCAAGTATGCAATTGCTGAGTTTTATGGTAAATAAATGATTTATTTTATAAGAAACTGAAAAACTGTTTTCCTGAATATATATACCATTTTAGATATTCAGTAACAATCAGAATGATCCAGTTTCTTTACATCTTCACCAGTGTTTGGTGTTATTACTATTTTTTATTTTAGCTATTCTGATGGGTGTGTTGTGATGTGTCATTGTGGTTTTAATTCACATTTATCTAATGATGAATGATGCTGAACATCTTTTCATGTGCTTATTTGTCATCTGTACACTCCCTTAAGCAAAATGTCTTTTTCCCACTCACTAATGGAATTGTTCTTTTCTTTTTTGACTGTAGCTTTGAGAGATTTTTATATTCTATATATAAGTACTTTGTAGAATATCTGGTTTACAAATATTTTTGCCCAATATATAGCTTGTCTTTTCATCTTCTTTACAAGGTCTTTCATAGAACAAAATCTTTTAATTTTGATGCAGCCTAATTTATTCAACCTTTCTTTTGCAGATCATGGTTTTGTTGTAAGGTTTAACACTAATTTTTCTAATCTTAGGTTCTGAAAATTTTCTCCTATTTTTTATTTAATAGTTTTATGTTTTATTCAGGCAAGGCTTTTTTTTCTTTTGCCTATGGATGTCAAAATGTTCCAGCACCATTTATTGAAAAAGCTATCCTTCCTCTATCTACTTGCTTGGTACCATTTTCAAAAATCATTTGGACATATTTATGTGTGTCTAGTTCTGGATTATTGATTATATTTCTTTAATATATGTTTTTATTCTTCTGCCAATATCATGCTGTCTTGATTACTGCAGCTGTCTTTTAAGCCTTAACTTGAAGCAAAGTTTAATGGTTTTATCTCTTCTAGCTCCTGAGCATTTCCATATAAATGTTAAAACAAACTTATCTATGTCAGCATAAAAAAAATGCTATTTTTTGCTTAACAATTTAATAAACATGATGTTACCAATATAGTGGACGAATATAATGTTCTGTGTTTTACAAGATGATCAACATACTTCAGACTAGATTGTGGCAGAGAATTTAAGAACTTATAGAGCTGTAAGTGAGGTAAAAGATACACTCTTGTTATCTTTCTAGATTATATATAATAAAATGTATATTTATTGTACATTTTTTAAAAGCCAACTTGGTTGAGGTGTTCTGTTGTTTGTAACTTAAAAAGTCCTCTTTAATGAATAAGATGAATGTTGGAGTAAGACTAACTCGGATTAAATTCTTGCTCTGACATGAATTACATAACTTTGAGCGGAATACTAAATATCTTGTGCCTTAGTGATTTTGAGCATGAAATAATAATAATTAAACCTATCTTATAGATTTCTTCAGAAGATGAAATAGATCATCTGCCTTAAGGTTCTGGACCAGTGTATGCAACACAATAAACGTTCAGGAAATGGTTGCTATGATGATGACGACGATGATTATGACAACAATGATGATGATGAAATGAGTTGGTAAGTTATGCCATCGAATTGGTTCTTGAGATTTCTAGTTTCCAAAGCCAAGAGAAAATCATGTTTCCAAGATTCCATAGCAGCCCCACAAAGGCTGTGACATTAATTTTTAGTTTAAAAATACTTTGGAACGGACCATACACAGAAATTACTAAAAAGCTTAATAGCTTAATAGTCTATGATTTCAACAATAGTTTTAGAGCAAGGCAGTGCAAATTTAACTGGGATATTTTTAGTTTTCAAATTTAAAATTGTAACTCAGTTAAGGTATCACTTCAAGGCATTCACCTAATGTGATCTAAATATGTGAGTTCATTCTAGAGAAATATTTGAATTTTATAACATTTTGGCTAATTTTCAATATATATTTGTATCACCTAGCCTTTAAAAATGAATCTATTATATACTTCTTGTAATAAAATTGAAACAACAACTAATTTCAGAAAATGAATAATGGAGGTACCTCCATCCTACTCTGTAGAAGCCACTGTTGATATGTTAGTGTGTATTCTTATTAAACTTCTTTTAAGTTCATACAGACACTGATATATATATTTACATACATATAGAGAACAATATTTTGAAAATTATTTGTGTACTTTTCCATATTTCTAAGTATGCAATATTTAACTTAGTCAGAGTAAGATGTTTGTCTAGTCAGGGTAATTAAAATTTATTCAAAAAAGAATTTAAAGACAAAGTATAAGGTAATATTCAGTTTCAAGGACACAAGATGCAGTTTATAGGACTTTAATAATCATAAAATAAAGGCATTATATATAGTAAAAGGATAGGTATCTAATACATTTATTTGGTTTCTTAAATGATTAAACATAGATTTACCATTTGACCCAGAAATTCCACTCCTTGGTATATAGCCAAAAGAAATGAAAACTATGTCCACAAAAGACCTTGTTCATGAATGTTTAAATCAGCATTATTCTTCATAGCCAAAAGGCTTTAAATGGGTGAATTCTATGGAATGTATTTACATCTCCACAGGCTTTTAAAAAAATAAATTCATTCAGCTTCCATTTAACAAATCAAGAGCTAAGCCTAGAGAAATCACCCATAGAGTTCTTCCAGTGTATAGTTGAAGTCAATCTTGGTTTGGTATTTAAATCCTAAGTAAGACTGGATGTAGAACTGGGAAGAAACAAGGTATAACACAGTAGAAAGATGTCTCACTGCTTGTACTGATAGAGGATAGTGATAATAAAGGTGAAGTCAGAAGCAGAATGGCATATTGATAAGACATAGATCTCTAAAATTAGATTATAAATTAAATTAGATCATATATTGCTGCTAAATTCGTTGTAAAAAATACTTCCTGTTTTCTGAGGTTTTGAAGTTCAGAATAAGGCAAAAATAAATGCTTTAATTATTGAGCAGTAGGAGAAACAAATTTTTTTCCCTTTCCTCTTTCTAGGCTTCAGCCCAGAGCAGAATATGTTCCCTAATAAAGTATGAGGATGTCAGCACATGCCATTTGTGTCCCACCCAAAGCTGCAAACTTACTTAAAGTTTATCTGTAGCTTCAGGGGACAATTTCCATAATGACTGATGGCATTTTACCCTGGGTATGTACTTACATCTTTTTACCTTAATGATTTTTTTCTAGCCATGGGAATGTACTTGGCTGGTTGGGACATCTTGGACTGCTGAGGACTTATCGTTCCTAGAATCAACCCTCAATCTATGAGGGGGAGCAGTAGATAAAATCCCCATCTTGCTCTTCTCTTCTGTGTGAAACTTCTGAGCTTTATTTCAAAGTCTTTCAAAGGGCTTCTCAGTGGGACATACCTCTGGTTTCCCACAGTGATAACCCACTGATAAACACTTGCTTTATTCCTTTTCTCACTTGCTCATTCCCTAGAATCATATCCTAAATACAGCACTTCACCCACATACTTATTGCACTTTCTACAACAAGCAGGGGAACACTGAAAGCAGGGAGGTAGTTGCCCAGCTTTCCAGCTGGGGTATCCAGTAGGAAACCAGAAGTTGTACAGAGGACTCCACATAAATATGGGTCAGCTCAGCGTAACGCAAGGAGGAGTGGGTGGGTACAATCAGATAAAAATATATAGTTGTCCTCCTCAAGCCTCCCTCAATTTTTTGTGTTCAGTGGACCCTAAGCTGAGAATCTGTGAAACTGCCATTGAATGCAGTGTGGAAGAGTGAAGGCACTATCTAGAGAAGCTGATAGCAGAACACTGGACCAGGGTATGTATGAGGCACATAGCATAAACCCAGGAGATTTTAGCTAGCAAAACCTAAGGAGAGTAGATTTGGCAAGAGGAATATAGTTGCCTTTCTCGAAAAGTATTATCCAAGTAAAAAGAATATACTACAGATTTATTTGCCATAGGCTGCCAGTAAGGTTCTCAGTGACCAGACCTACAAGGGCTATTTTGCCCAAATAACAGTGGCGGCCTGCACCTGCAGCTTGTACACAGTCCATTTTCATAAACCAGAGGCCCATCTTTTCCCATGCCATTTTCCTCCTATTAACAAACTGGGACACCATATTTGCCACAGAAGCATGAGGGGGATGCAGGTTCTTCAAGAAACTAAGCACTTTCATTTAGGAATTACCGAAAACCACCTAAAGGGACTATTCATTTCTTTGGATCCAATCAAGTTGGAAACCTTAAGAACTTTTAAAATTGTATTTCCCCATACTGACCAGCAGGTGGCAATCAAGATAAGAGTTAAAACATTTTTGCCGCTGATGTGAGTTTCTAGTGTGAGTTAAATTGGGAATTCAACTGTACACAAATGAGATTACACTATCTCTACAGTTTTGTAGCTAGTTATTAACTCGACAAATATAGTAGAATACTTATGTTAATTTTAATGAATGGATTGTGTTATATCCCATAATATTATTTTTAAAACTAATTATTGTTAGGTTATTTCCTATATTTGCCTATTACAAACAACACTGCAATGAATAAAATATACTTGGACTATCAACCTTCTACCCACACCTTTATATCTACAATTTACAAATTTGAGTATTTGTGTAATGTAGATTTCTAGAATGAAATTGCTGGTCAGATGTATGCAGTTTTTGTGCTCTTTTTAAAAACTCTTTATTGTAAAAAAATTCAAACACATACAAAAGGGGAAAGAATAGCATTTAAAATCTATTTACTGAATAGATACAGTAAGGAGGTTTACTAAAATCTCCTTACTGACCTTCAACAAATATGAACAGCTTGTAATCTTATTTTATTTATCCCCTCTGATTTCACCTCCCCACCCCCAAAATTATCCAGGATAATTTTGAAGGAAATCCCAGGCATCATGTCATTTCACCTGCAAATATTTAGGGTGTATATTTAAAAGATGTGTGCTCTCAAAGTCGTGGCCATTAATACCATTATTATACCTAACATTAAAAATAATTCATCATTCATTTTGAAGTAAACACTAGATAGTCATGGCTCAAATATGTTTTCCTCCTAATTTTTCTACTGCTGTTCAGCTTTCTCTTCCTCCTTTCTTTGTCTTCCTCTCTTTTCTCTCCTCCTTCTCCTCCTGCTTCCGAACCTCCTATTCTTCCTCCTTTTCCTCTTCCTTCCTTTCTTGAAGTTTGCTCAAATCAGGATCTAAAGAAGATGCATACATGAGTGATAGGTTTCTTAAGTTTTTGTTGTAGTTGTTGTTTTTCATACATTTCCCTCCACCTCTTTTCTTTCTGCTGGTAATTTATTTGCGAAAGAAAGCCAGTTATTGGTCCTATGGAGGTTTTTTAGTCTAGATTTTTGTGGCTCCATCATGTTTAATAAGTTCCTCCAACCCCTGTATTCCACGTAAATTGCTAGATATAGATACAAATAACAGTTTTGTTGATTGCTTTATGAGTTATACATATTTTCTTTTTTTAACCTATATTTTTCTGGCTACAACATCCATGTGGAATAAAAAGGGTAATTGTGTGATTTTTTTTAAACCAAATTTTTATTTTAAAAATTTTCAAAAGTACAAAAGCTTGAAAATAGTATAACTAAATGTCAGTGTACTCACTACTTAGATTAAATAGTTTTTAATAATTTGAGTCATTTTCTTTTATCTCTTTACTACGTAATTGAGGAGTCATTTGACATTAAGTTTTAGACATCATGTCACTTTGCCTTACCTACTTCAATGTGCGTCTTTTAAGAATAATGGTATTATTCCTATTTAACCAAAATACCTTTATCAGAATTAACAGTGAGGAATACTGTCTCATAATCCATGTTCACATTTCTCCAATTGTCCACAAAATGTCATTAGTTTTTTTAAACTTTATGTTTTGAAATAATTTCAGACTTACAGAAGAATTGCATCTATAGTGCTACCCTTTACCCAGCTTTCTCTAATATTAGTGCCTTACACAACTGTAGTACAATTTTCAAAAGCAGGGAATTAACATTGATACAATAGGATTAGCTACACTCTACACCTATTTTCATCTCACTAGTTTTCTCATTGATGTCCTTTTTCAAGTCTAAGATCCAGCCCCAGATCCCATATTTCATTTAGTAGTTGTCAAGTCTCTTTATTCTCCTCTAATCTGTCAGTTAGCTGTTCATTCTGTTTTGATGATTTAATCCTTTAGTAGAATGTATCTCAATTTGACTTTGTCTGATTTTTTTTTCATAATTAGATTGAGGTAATGCCTTTTTGGCAAGAATACCAAAGTACTGATGTGTCCTCAGTGCCTTATACTGGGATACATGATATTAATATGTGTTATTACTGGTGATGTTAATCTTGATTACTTGGTTAAAGTAGTGTATGACAAGTTTCTCTATTGCAAAGTTGTTATTTTTTTCTCTTTGAATTAAATAAATACATTGTGGGTGGTGATACTTTAAGTCTTTTCAAATGTCCTATTTTTATCATGCTTTCTCCTATTAATTTTAGCCTTTAACAATTATTTCTGTGGTTTATGTTTAATATGATTTGCCTCTCTGATTCCTTCCAATTTATTAGTTGGAATTCTTCAATATATTTTCCCTCATTTGTTAATTTATTCAATTATTTGTTTGTATCAGTGTTAACTACTGGGTATTATTATTATTATTATTAATTTTGTTGCTCTAATTTTTCCAAGTTTAGCTATTAGGAGTTCCTTCAGGTTGACTTCTGTGTCCTTTGACACGTCCCATCCTTGAGCACTCTTACTTTCTGTCACCAAAAAATGTTTGAGATTCCTCTTGTATTCTCTCTGCTCTAGCCTTTAGAATCAAATATTTTTCACCAGAGTCCACTCAGGCTAGATTGTAGTCAGCACTACTGTAGTGTCATTGTTTCCTGTGCTCTCTCAGAGAACGTAACTAGAAAATATATGCATGTACATTAAAATATGCACATCTACATTTTTTATATTTGTCTATCATTTATCTAATCTATCATGAGTATTTTGTTACCTTTAGTTCCGACTTAAAACCGTAGAGTTCATTTCTGCTTTTCT
Source organism: Homo sapiens (assembly GCF_000001405.40). Lineage (NCBI taxonomy): Eukaryota > Metazoa > Chordata > Mammalia > Primates > Hominidae > Homo > Homo sapiens. Next base: position 22,301,769 of record NC_000011.10, on the reverse strand, counting down.
CTTTCTGTTATTTATAACTTCTTTCTCTGGCAGTGATAAACCCTATTCTCATTATCCACATTATATTTACTTATTTTTCAATTCTAGTATATACATAAATAATTTCAGAATTGCCAGGTCATATTCCTGTGAGAAAGACATTTACTAACTAGAGTATAATATGTAAGTATACTTCTTTCTGTATTTAGCCTTACAGTATAGAGTCAAATTACATTGTTTTCCAGGTACTTAGGTTATTTTTTTTCTTCCCCATGCCCTGTAAAGTGGATTTATTATTCACTTTTAATATAGTTGTTTATTTTTAAATTTGTATTCCACCTGGAGTTTCTACCCTACATCCTGATGGACTTCTTTCTTTTTTAATTTCAAGGTTTGTGAAATATTACCATACTTATAACAGTCAGAGGTATTGAAAAGGTATGCCTGGAAAACATTGTTCCTCATCATTCCTTCTACCAAATATTTATTCTATTCTCATCATTTCCTGTAGGTAAGTAATATCATTAGTTTCTGGTTTATTCTTCTATTTCTTTTGCAAAAATTAGCAGATATACGATACACATATATATTTGTTTTTTATCCAATTCGCTTTTGTACCAAGTGTAGCACACCACAGGACCTCTTTTGGATTTTGCTTTTCTCACATAACTGTGTATCTTGCAAATCATTCCATATCCATTCAGACAGATCTCTTTATTCTTTTTTACACAACTGAATAATATTCCATTGTGTGGATGTGTTACAGTTTACTTAAGCACTCACTGTTCTATGTATGAACATTTATACTGTTTTTAATATTTTGCAATTATAAACAGTGTTGTAAAGAATAACCTATTGCATATGTATTTTTGTATTGTTCAAGATATGTCTTTAGGATAGATTTCTAGAAGAAGAAATGCTAGGTGAAAAAAATAAATGCATATGTAGTTTTGTTGGGTGTTACAACCATGATAATATTTCACAAACCTTGAAATAAAAAGAAATTAAAATCAATCAGGATGTAGAATAGAACCCCCAAATGGAATAAAAGCAAAACGATAGGCCGGGCACGGTGGCTCACACCTGTAATCTCAGCACTTTGGGAGTTGGAGGTGGGCGGATCATGAGGTCAGGAGATCTAGACCATCCTGGCTAACACGGTGAAACCCCGTTTCTACTAAAAGTACAAAAAATTAGCCAGGCGTGGTGGTGGGCGCCTGTAGTCCCAGCTACTCGGGAGGCTGAGGCAGGAGAATGGCGAGAACACAGGAGGCAGAGCTTGCAGTGAGCCGAGATCGCGCCACTGCACTCCAGCCTGGGCAACAGAGCGAGACTCCGTCTCAAAAAAAAAAAAAAAAAAAAAAAAAAAATGCTAAACGATAAATTATCTTCTCAGTGGGTTGTACAGTTTATATCTCACTAGGAACATAAAAGAGTGCCTTTTTCCCCATAGCCTCATAAAAAGTTCGTCATCAAACTTAAATGTTTACAAATCTGATAGGTGAAAAATGCTGCCTCAGTGTTGTTTCAATTTGCATTCCTCTAATTATAAGTTCAACACTTTTCATATATTTGAGGACCATTTTTATATATTTTTCATTAATTATCTGTTCATTTCTTTGTCCCATTTTTTCTATAGGCCCTCAGTCCTCTGTACTTTAATTTTTAGGGTTCTTTATGAAATAGAGATATTTGTCCTTTGTCTAAGTTGCAAATATTTTCTCCCAGTTGGTCATTTCCCTTATGGTACCTTTGTAATGCATTTTTAAAATTTTTTACAAAATCAACTTTACCAATCTTTTGCCAATCCAGTGTCTTTGGATTTTGAGTCATGGTTATGAGGCTCTTTTGAAGTAGCACATTCTTTGAACTCCCTTCCTTGCATTCTGTGTTCTGACCTGCCCAGACACTTTTCGAGTATTTTTAGGCTTTGATGTACTCAATTTGGGGGCAGCACTTTTACATCAACCTTAGGCCCCTTTGATAGCTTTCATTTTGTCTTCCCTGTGGTTTTTCCATTTGTTTGTTTCTGGTCTAACTTCGTTCACAGTAAAGCCTTGCTGTAGGATGGGTGTAGAGCAGGAATATGAAAGATCATTAACTGGGATTTGGCGACTTCTCTACCTTTACTCACAGTTAATGTGAAATTTCAACCATTCTCTTTCTTCAAGATATGCTAAAGCATGCATTTTGTATACAGTTACTTTTCTCTTTTTGCTGTTTTGTATTGTTTTGGAAGAAAATATTGACAGACTGGTGGCACTACTATTATCTTCAGCTACCCTGAAGTCTATAGTTTGTGTCACTTTTTAAATATCAATATTATATCAAGGCTCATGTTCTCTTTTAATCTACAACTGCATTCCTCCTCCATTTTTCATTACTTTTTTTTTATGGCTATAGGTCTTATAGGAGTATACTATATTCTGCATTGGTTTCATTGTTCCTCACCGTGTTTGTGCTTCTATGTCCTAGAGTTCCTATAAACTAGAAGTCTAAACATACCTCAGATGTTATGCTCTGTACTATATTTTTATATCTTATTGTATAATATGATCTTAAGTTGTTCCACAATTAGTGATGCTAAGTTTGATGATCAGGAAAAGGTGGATAACCATAAGATTTTTCCATTGTAAAAATACATAGTTTTCTTTGCAATTAGCAAGCGGTATGTGAAGTGATACTTTGGCACCATGTAAATATTCTCTGCTCACAAACCCTTTTACTATATAGTATATTTAACAATTAATGACAATACTTTCACAGATAATACATGAGAGGACTGCAAAATAATGATTTTTTTTTCTTTTTTTTGAGACAGAGTTTTGCTCGTGTTGCCCAGGCTGGAGTGCAATGGCGCTATCTCCGGCTCACGGCAAGCTCGCCTCCCGGGTTCAAGCCATTCTCCTACCTCAGCCTCCCGAGTAGCTGGGATTACAGGCATGTGCCACCACACTCGGCTAATTTTGTATTTTTAGCAGAGATGGAGTTTCTCCATGTTGGTCAGGGTGGTCTCGAACTCCCAACCTCAGGTGATCCGCCTGACTCGGCCTCCTGAAGTGCTGGGATTACAGGCATGAGCCACCTCGCCCGGCCCAAAATAGTGATTTTTAAAATCACTTCTTCCAAGTTTATTAGCCGACATTCTTTAAGTTTTCTAAGTGTTTTATAGACCCAATATATATATATATTCAATGTGCTGTAATCATATATAGTTAGTATGTTTTTTGATGCTCAGACTTTCTCAACTTTGGCCATAAGGCTCTCCTTCAGGCTGACTCTGTGTGTGTGTGTGTGTGTGTGTGTGTGTGTGTGTGCGCGTTTGTGTTGAGCCAGAGTCTCGCTCTGTCACCCAGGCTAGAGTGCCATGACATGATCTTGGCTAACTGCAACTCCCCTCCCCGCCCCCTCCCCATAAGCCCCAACCTGGCTCAAGAGGTCTCCCACCTCAGCCTCCCAAATACCTGGGACTATAAGTGAGCGCCACCACACCTGGGTAATTTTTGTAGTATTTTGTAGAGACAGGGTTTTGCCACATTGCACAGGCTTGTCTCAGACTCTTTTGACGTGATCCATCAGTGCTTAAATTTTCCTTTCTCCTTAAAAATGAATTTAAGGTTTATCTTATTTTCTTCCATAAACTTGGAGTCAATCTCTTTTTTTTTTTTTTTTAATGGGGAGACCTATTTAGAAGCCAAGATCTGGGTGCTACATGTCCTTATTTATAATAGGTTCTAATTTCTTCTTGACACTTTCAGTAGATATATGCAAGACATTAAATAATCATGAGTTCATGTGGACAGTTCTCTTTCAAATTTAATATTACAGCTTAAAAAACTGATTTTACATTTTTATTTTTTAATTGATAATTTTCATTCCTAATATAAACATATTTATGTGTTTGTATAAATGAAATAGTTTCAAACTCAAAATACCAACATTTCTACCAACAATAAAACTACAGAGTGAAGTTTGCGGTATCTTTGCAGTTCTTTTTATATTTAGAACATACCGCACTAAGGATACACAGAATTCTATGCACCAAATCACTTGAAATAATTATTTTTCTTTTGTTCAGTTTGTTTAATTTCCAACATATAGTGTGATTTTTTTAAAAAATTTTGATCTCTCTTTTTTATGTTTAAAATATTTACAGGGTTCAAAAATCAAAACATTACTATCAAAGAAGATGTATTTCCATTTTTATTTTTAAGGGTCCATCTACCACCCTTAGGTAACAATTTATATTAGAGGTTTCTTTCTTTCTTTGTAATTGACAAGTGAAGTGTGCATGTATTTATGGTGTCCAATATAATGCTTTAATATAGGTATGCATTGTGGAATGACTCTATCAAGCTATTCTACATAGACATTATCTCACATACCTTTTTTGTGGTGAAAACACTTAAAATCTACTCTCTTAGCAATTTTCAGCTACACAATATATTTATTAGCTCATTGCCATGACATACAACAGGTCTCTTAAATTTACGTCTCCTGTCTAACTTCATGTTCCTTGATCTACATCTCCCCAATACCCCACCTGCCCCAGCCTCTGGTAACCACCATTTTACTCTCTCTTCCTATGAGTTCAACTATTTTATACTACACTTATAAGTGAGATCATGTAGTATTTGTCTATTTATTCCTGCCTTATTTTTCTTGACATAATGTCATCCCAGTTCATTCATGTTGTAGCAAGTGGCAGGATTTCTTTCTATTTTAAGGATGAATAGTATCACGTTGTGTTTATATACTACATTTTCTTTATCCATTCTTCCAATGATAGACACTTAGATTTATTCCATATCTTGGGTATTGTGAACGGTACTGCAATGAACATAGGAGTGCAGATATCTCATTGACATACTGATGTCATTTTCTTTGGATACATATCCAGTAGTGGGATTGCTGGATCATATGATAGTTCGATTTTTAATGTTTTGAGGAGCTTCCATACTGTTTTCCGTAATGGCTGTCCTAATTTACACTCCACCCCCAACAGTGTGCAAGTGTTCCCTTTTCTCCACATTCTTGATAACACTTGTTATCTCTTCTCTTTTTGATAACCATTTGACAGGTTTGAGGTAATATGTCATTGTGATTTTAATTTGCACTTCTCTTATGATCAGTGATTTTGAGCATTTTTCATATATCTGCTTTCCATTTGTATTATTCTTTTGAGAATGTCTATTCAGATCCTTCACCTATTTTAAAAATCTAGTGATCTGTTCCTTACTATTGATTTGTTTGCATTCCTTATATATTTTTAGATGCCAATCTCTTATCATATGCATGATTTGCAAGTATATTCTCCCATTTTATCATATTAGTTTTTTGTTTATAATTCCAGTATTTATTTTTTCCTTCACAGTTCTTTAGTGTGTATTTCCTGTAAATACAGTTTCTGTAGAAACTCAATACAACCTTCAAAATTAGGATATTAACATTGACACATTTCTCCAATTTAATCCTCAGATAATGTTCAAGTATTACCAATTACACCAATCTTGGTTTTTGTAGCAAAAACATCTGGGTCATAATGACACGTTGTGTTTGCCAAATTTGTCAAATTTCTTCAGTATACTTTGATCTGGGATAGTTCGTTAGTCTTTTCATGAGTTTTATGTCTTTGCTACTTTGAGAATTAGAGTTATTTAGTAGAACGCCCTTCGGGTTGGGTTTGTTCAATGTTTATTCATGATTAAATTCAGGTTATGCATTTTAAAGCTGGCTCCTATATTCTTTTTACAACACGTTGAATCATCCTTTGAGAATTTTCTTGCTTTCTAGCATAACGAAATGTTTCAGGGTCACCTTGGACATTGCCTGCCCCCGTCTTGCCATTTTGTATGTGAGTGTATGTACTCACATTTATATTTATTTCTATATCTACATATGAAAAATCCTTAGTTCTATCCATTACCTCCAATTTCAAACACGAGAGGAGTCGTTCTAGGGTTCTCCTTTAGAGATCTGTAACTCCCATCTCCAACTGACTATATCCTTAGTGTTTTCACATACTTGATTAAGCCTTTTTATATAACCTATCTCTCCCATCACTCCTACCACCTCTACCACCCCTTCCTCAATGTGCATGACCTCCTCATTCCTCTCTGAGCCCCAAACCTCAAATCAGCCACCACTATCACAGCCTGCAAGAATGGCGTCCCATCCTCGTAATGCTTCACATTGTTTCCGACACTTCCAGATAATTTGGCTACCTGTGTGAGTCGCAGCTCACCCCGTCCAGCTCCATCACACTATGTCAGGTCATGACAAGTTCCCTTCCCTCAGCCCAGTGTCAGGACTATGTGGGTACTCTCTTCACATCAGTTGGGCCCCAAAACTCCATGTCATGTTACCAGCATGTGTATCCACACTCCTTGCCACAATCTGACTCTCATTTCTTCCTCCAGGCTACACTTTTTCAGGGATGTGATCATCACCGGGTTTGGGCTCTGACTCTCTATGCTGGCTTGGCATTGCATAGATGCCCTCCTCACCCTTTTAGGATCTAATACCTACAGCCAGGACCACCTTCATCCTGTGTGAATGCACTTATGCCATTCCTACCATTCCTGGACTAACTCCCCGAATCAAGCTGTTCTCCCATGAATTCACCAACCTCACTCTGTTTGGGCTTTGAGACCCCTACTCTGGGTGCCCCTTTTTTGGCAAAGTCTGTTTGGGCTTTGTGACCCCTACTCTGGGGTGCCCCATTTTTGACAAAGTCTCTTTGATCTGCTTGGCCTTTGAAACCTCACGCTGAGTCACCCCTCTGCGTGAATTTTTTTCACACACTTGAATTCTCTAAAAACAGTGATTTAGCTGATTCCAACAAATTTGAAAATGTAAATATTCATTTTTATTTTCAAATGTTATCTAATATGCATTGAGATTTCTTCTCTGATCCATATATATTGAGAACTGTGTTTTGCTTGCTTAGTTTCCAAACATTTTGGTGATTTTCTAGTTATCTTTCTGCTATTGAGTTCTAGTTTAATTCACTATAGTCAGAGAAATACTCTAAATGACTTCAGTCCTTTGAAATTAATTTCATCTGCCTTAAGGTCCAGGATATGTTTCATTTTGGAAATCTTCCATGTACACTTAAAAATGTGCATGTTGCCATTGTTGCATGTTATTTGTCATGTTTGTATGTATATATATGTGTGTGTATATACATTATATATGCATATATATGTATTTGTCAGTTGTCAAATTGATTGATTGTACAGTTTAAATATTCCATATCCTATTGCATTTGTTTCTGGTGGTCTATCAGTCATTAAGAGCATGTTAACATCTCCAGATAAAATGGAGGGTTTGGCCAGGCGTGATGGCTCACACCTGTAATCCCAGCACTTTGGGAAGCTGAGGTGGGCAGATCACGAGGTCAGGAGATCAAGACCATCCTGGCTAACACGGTGAAACCCCGTCTCTACTAAAAATACAAAAAAATTAGCCGGGCGTGGTGGCGGGCACCTGTAGTCCCAGCTACTCGGGAGGCTGAGGCAGGAGAATGGCATGAACCCGGGAGACGGAGCTTGCAGTGAGCCGAGATTGCGCCACCGCACTCCAGCCTGGGCGACAGAGCCAGACTCCAATTCAAAAATAAATAAATAAATAAAAAATGGTGGGTTTACCATCTCTCAGTTCTGTCAACATTTCTTGATACGTTTTCCTGTATGTTATTAAATACATGTTTAGATTAGTTATGCATTCTTCTTAAATTCATCACTTTATCATTATACAATATCTCAATCTCTACTATTACACCTTGCCTCACATTCTACTTTGTCTGATGTTAGTATAGATCAATTTTATCTTATTTTAGTGTTTCCAAGGAATTTTTTTTTTCCACATTATGTTCATTTCAACCCTTCTGTGTCTTTATATTTAATGTCTCCACAGAAAGTACTGAAATTTTACCAGGGCTTTCTATACTTGCTAGACCCTAAATATTTCTCCCAAGATATAAATCTGTTGAAAGCTCCACAGAACCTCCCTTTCAGCCTTTTTTTTACCTCTTGAATCTACAGTTTCCTCAAGGGAAAATATTGTCACAAAAAACAGGCTTACTTCTCTGCTTTTCTCTCCTAGTTATTGTTTCTATAAAAACCCTTTGTCTTATATTTTTCGGATGCTTTTAATCATTTTAAAAAACATGTTACCCAGTTTTTCTAGTGGTTCTTGGGGTTGCAATAGTCTGAAAAACTGAGCTATTATTGCTGGAATTGTGCTTTCTTATTGCTAATTATAAAGAGAACAAGTCTAATATGTTCCCATTAAGGATATTGTTTTCTGTATACTTTTCATTAACTTCTCCTCTTAAAATGATTTTCCCTTCCTTTTACTTTGTTTATATTTCTGTTCTCTAACTTCTTTAGATGCTTCTTTTTCCTGTCTTTTTTTAATAGCCTAATTAAATGCTATACAGTTCTTCTAAAACCACCACAAAATATATTTAGTGTATCCCACAAAATTTGAGCTGTACAGTATTTTTGGTACAATGTAATTAAAAATTATCTTCTAAACTTTGCTTTGATTACTTTTTTGTGTTATTTCAAGATTTGTTACATAATTTTTGTAGCCATCTTTTTATTTTTTATAATTTCATTTTATTGTGGACAGAGAAAATCATCTGATTTATATTGGTCATTTGAAATTTGCTGTTTTTTGTTGTTGTTGTTGTTTGTTTTTTGGGTGGGGCTTGGTATTTGACCAGATTTTGTTAGTGTTTAGAATGTACTTGTAAAGAAATTCCTTTTCCTTATTGAGCACAACATTTAATGAAAGCACATTGTGTGTGTTTTATTAATCATTTTCTTCAAATGGCCAGTAGCCTTACTAAGTGAAGCTGGAACTGCACTGCCCAGAAGTCTTTTCTTTATCTGGTATCAGGTTAGATTTGCACAAGAAGCAAACAGAGGTGAAGCAACAGAAAGACTTCTTTCTGGTCTTTGAGGACAGATGTGATAAAGGACATGCAAATTGGAGTCTAGTGGGCTCTATGCTCTCCTCACTCTTTTTCACTCCATGTCCAACTATTCCTGACCAGCAGCGCGCTCCAAGTTTGTGTATGATTCTTGGCTGCAGATTCATAGAAAGAATAGCTAGACATACGTGTGCATGTGTCTTTATAGCAGCATGATTTATAGTCATTTGGGTATATACCCAGTAATGGGATGGCTGGGTCAAATGGTATTTCCAGTTCTAGATCCCTGAGGAATCGCCACACTGACTTCCACAATGGTTGAACTAGTTTACAGTCCCACCAACAGTGTAAAAGTGTTCCTATTTCTCCAAATCCTCTCCAGCACCTGTTGTTTCCTGACTTTTTAATGATCGCCATTCTAACTGGTGTGAGATGGTATCTAATTGTGGTTTTGATTTGCATTTCTCTGATGGCCAGTGATGATGAGCATTTTTTCATGTGTTTTTTGGCTGCATAAATGTCTTCTTTTGAGAAGTGTCTGTTCACGTCCTTCACCCACTTTTTGATGGGGTTGTTTTTTTCTTGTAAATTTGTTGGAGTTCATTGTAGATTCTGGATATTAGCCCTTTGTCAGATGAGTAGGTTGCAAAAATTTTCTCCCATTTTGTAGGTTGCCTGTTCACTCTGATGGTAGTTTCTTTTGCTGTGCAGAAGCTCTTGAGTTTAATTAGATCCCATTTGTGAATTTTGTCTTTTGTTGCCATTGCTTTTGGTGTTTTAGACATGAAGTCCTTGCCCATGCCTATGTCCTGAATGGTAATGCCTAGCATTATTCACAATAGCAAAGACTTGCAACCAACCCAAATGTCCAACAGTGATAGACTGGATTAAGAAAATGTGGCACATACACACCATGGAATACTATGCAGCCATAAAAAATGATGAGTTCATGTCCTTTGTAGGGACATGGATGAAATTGGAAAACATCATTGTCAGTAAACTATCGCAAGAACAAAGAACCAAACACCGCATATTCTCACTCATAGGTGGGAATTGAACAATGAGCTCACATGGACACAGGAAGGGGAATATCACACTCTGAGGACTGTTGTGGGGTGGGGGGATGGGGGAGGGATAGCATTGGGAGATATACCTAATGCTAGATGACGAGTTAGTGGGTGCAGCGCACCACCATGGCACATGTATACATATGTGAGTAACCTGCACAATGTGCACATGTACCCTAGAACTTAAAGTATAATTTAAAAAAAAAAAAAAAAGAATAGCTAGACAATTGTAACACTTCCCCATAGACTTCTTCATTAGTTTTCCTTCCTAGTCTCACTTTAGCACATCACATGGATATCTCTGCAAGCTTCAACTTCTCTACCCATGGCAGTGTTTCAGGAGAGCTGAATGGTTCTTCTTCTCTGACTCTCTGTATTAGTCCATTTTTATACTGCTGTGAAGAAATACCCAAGACTGGGCAATTTATTAAAAAATAAAGAGTTTTAATGGACTCACAGTTCCACATCGCTGGGGAGGCCTCAAAATCATGGTGGAAGGTGAAGGAGAAGCAAAGGCATGTCTTATATGGCAGTAGCCAAGAGAGCATATGCAGGGGAACTGCCCTTTAAAAAACCATCAGATCTTGTGAGACTTATTCATTACCATGAGAACAGCATGGGAAAAACCCATCCCCATGATTCAGTTACCTCCTACTGGGTCCCTCTCAGGACACATGGGGATTATGGGAGCTATATTTCAAGATGAAATTTGGGTGGGGACACAGCCAAACAATATTACCCTCCAAATCTTTCTTCCAGACCGTTGCTTTCCAGTTTCTTTCACAATTTCAAAAGGCCTGTTTTCTATAAACAACCCTTTATTCCATAATATTCCTAACAGATTTGCTTTCTTGATTAAATCTTGTACATTAAACTATTTATTCTATTTGTTCTTAGAATGTGATATATCCACCATAATTTCTGTCCAGTCTACACCTTTATTTTCCTAAATATATTGGAAAAGCAAATTAATTTACTACTTCCTTTTTTTTTCTTTTTTTTCTTTTATTATACTTTAAGTTTTAGGGTACCTGTGCACATTGTGCAGGTTAGTTACATACGTATACATGTGCCATGCTGGTGTGCTGCACCCACTAACTCGTCATCTAGCATTAGGTATATCTCCCAATGCTATCCCTCCCCCCTCCCCCCACCCCACCACAGTCCCCAGAGTGTGATATTCCCCTTCCTGTGTCCATGTGAACACATTGTTCAATTCCCACCAATGAGTGAGAATATGCAGTGTTTGGTTTTTTGTTCTTGAGATAGTTTACTGAGAATGATGATTTCCAATTTCATCCATGTCCCTACAAAGGACATGAACTCATCATTTTTTATGGCTGCATAGTATTCCATGGTGTATATGTGCCACATTTTCTTAATCCAGTCTATCATTGATGGACATTTGGGTTGGTTCCAAGTCTTTGCTATTGTGAATAGTGCCGCAATAAACATACGTGTGCATGTGTCTTTATAGGAGCATGATTTATAGTCCTTTGCGTATATAACCAGTAATGGGATGGCTGGGTCAAATGGTATTTCTAGTTCTAGATCCCTGAGGAATCGCCACACTGACTTCCACAATGGTTGAACTAGTTTACAGTCCCACCAACAGTGTAAAAGTGTTCCTATTTCTCCACATCCTCTCCAGCACCTGTTGTTTCCTGACTTTTTAATGATTGCCATTCTAACTGGTGTGAGATGGTATCTAATTGTGGTTTTGATTTGCATTTCTCTGATGGCCAGTGATGATGAGCATTTTTTCATGTGTTTTTTGGCTGCATAAATGTCTTCTTTTGAGAAGTGTCTGTTCACGTCCTTCGCCCACTTTTTGATGGAGTTGTTTGTTTTTTTCTTGTAAATTTGTTTGAGTTCATTGTAGATTCTAGATATTAGCCCTTTGTCAGATGAGAAGGTTGCAAAAATTTTCTCCCATTTTGTAGGTTGCCTGTTCACTCTGATGGTAGTTTCTTTTGCTGTGCAGAAGCTCTTGAGTTTAATTAGATCCCATTTGTGAATTTTGTCTTTTGTTGCCATTGCTTTTGGTGTTTTGGACATGAAGTCCTTGCCCATGCCTATGTCCTGAATGGTAATGCCTAGGTTTTCTTCTAGGGTTTTTATGGTTTTAGGTCTAACTTTTAAGTCTTTAATCCATCTTGAATTGATTTTTGTATAAGGTGTAAGGAAGGGATCCAGTTTCAGCTTTCTACATATGGCTAGCCAGTTTTCCCAGCACCATTTATTAAATAGGGAATCCTTTCCCCATTGCTTGTTTTTCTCAGGTGTGTCAGATCAGATAGTTGTAGATATGTGGCGTTCTTTCTGAGGGCTCTGTTCTGTTCCATTTATCTATATCTCTGTTTTGGTACCAGTACCATGCTGTTTTGGTTACTGTAGCATTGCAGTATAGTTTGAAGTCAGGTAGCATGATGCCTCCAGCTTTGTTCTTTTGGCTTAGGATTGCCTTGGCGATGCAGGCTCTTTTTTGATTCCATATGAACTTTAAAGTAGTTTTTTCCAATTCTGTGAAGAAAGTCATTGGTAGCTTGATGGGGATGGCATTGAATCTGTAAATTACCTTGGGCAGTATGGCCATTTTCACGATATTGATTCTTCCTACCCATGAGCATGGAATGTTCTTCCCTTTGTTTGTATCCTCTTTTATTTCCTTGAGCAGTGGTTTGTAGTTCTCCTTGAAGAGGTGCTTCACATCCCTTGTAAGTTGGATTCCTAGGTATTTTATTCTCTTTGAAGCAATTGTGAATGGGAGTTCACTCATGATTTGGCTCTCTGTTTGTCTGTTATTGGTGTATAAGAATGCTTGTGACTTTTGTACATTGATTTTGTATCCTGAGACTTTGCTGAAGTTGCTTATCAGCTTAAGGAGATTTTGGGCTGAGACATTGGGGTTTTCTAGATATACCATGTCATCTGCAAACAGGGACAATTTGACTTCCTCTTTTCCTAATTGAATACCCTTTATTTCCTTCTCCTGCCTGATTGCCCTGGCCAGAACTTCCAACACTATGTTGAATAGGAGTGGTGAGAGAGGGCATCCCTGTCTTGTGCCAGTTTTCAAAGGGAATGCTTCCAGTTTTTGCCTATTCAGTATGATATTGGCTGTGGGTTTGTCATAGATAGCTCTTATTATTTTGAGATACGTCCCATCAATACCTAATTTATTGAGAGTTTTTAGCATGAAGGGTTGTTGAATTTTGTCAAAGGCTTTTTCTGCATCTATTGAGATAATCATGTGGTTTGTGTCTTTGGCTCTGTTTATATGCTGGATTACATTTATTGATTTGTGTATATTGAACCAGCCTTGCATCCCAGGGATGAAGCCCACTTGATCATGGTGGATAAGCTTTTTGATGTGCTGCTGGATTCGTTTTGCCAGTATTTTATTGAGGATTTTTGCATCAATGTTCATCAAGGATATTGGTCTAAAATTCTCTTTTTTGGTTGTGTCTCTGCCCGGCTTTGGTACCAGAATGATGCTGGCCTCATAAAATGAGTTAGGGAGGATTCCCTCTTTTTCTATTGATTGGAATAGTTTCAGAAGGAATGGTACCAGTTCCTCCTTGTACCTCTGGTAGAATTCGGCTGTGAATCCATCTGGTCCTGGACTCTTTTTGGTTGGTAAGCTTTTGATTATTGCCACAATTTCAGCTCCTGTTATTGGTCTATTCAGAGATTCAACTTCCTCCTGGTTTAGTCTTGGGAGAGTGTATGTATCGAGGAATGTATCCATTTCTTCTAGATTTTCTAGTTTATTTGCGTAGAGGTGTTTGTAGTATTCTCTGATGGTAGTTTGTATTTCTGTGGGATGGGTGGTGATATCCCCTTTATCATTTTTTATTGTGTCTATTTGATTCTTTTTTCTTTATTAGTCTTGCTAGTGGTCTATCAATTTTGTTGATCCTTTCAAAAAACCAGCTCCTGGATTCATTAATTTTTGGAAGTGTTTTTTGTGTCTCTATTTCCTTCAGTTCTGCTCTGATTTTAGTCATTTCTTGCCTTCTGCTAGCTTTAGAATGTGTTTGCTCTTGCTTTTCTAGTTCTTTTAATTGTGATGTTAGGGTGTCAATTTTGGATCTTTCCTGCTTTCTCTTGTGGGCATTTAGTGCTATAAATTTCCCTCTACACACTGCTTTGAATGCGTCCCAGAGATTCTGGTATGTTGTGTCTTTGTTCTCGTTGGTTTCAAAGAACATCTTTATTTCTGCCTTCATTTCGTTATGTATCCAGTAGTCATTCAGGAGCAGGTTGTTCAGTTTCCATGTAGTTGAGCGGTTTTGAGTGAGATTCTTAATCCTGAGTTCTAGTTTGATAGCACTGTGGTCTGAGAGATAGTTTGTTATAATTTCTGTTCTTTTACATTTGCTGAGGAGAGCTTTACTTCCAAGTATGTGGTCAATTTTGGAATAGGTGTGGTGTGGTGCTGAAAAAAATGTATATTCTGTTGATTTGGGGTGGAGAGTTCTGTAGATGTCTATTAGGTCCGTTTGGTGCAGAGCTGAGTTCAATTCCTGGGTATCCTTGTTGACTTTCTGTCTCGTTGATCTGTCTAATGTTGACAGTGGGGTGTTAAAGTCTCACATTATTAATGTGTGGGAGTCTAAGTATCTTTGTAGGTCACTCAGGACTTGCTTTATGAATCTAGGTGCTCCTGTATTGGGTGCATATGTATTTAGGATAGTTAGCTCTTCTTGTTGAATTGATCCCTTTACCATTATGTAATGGCCTTCTTTGTCTCTTTTGATCTTTGTTGGTTTAAAGTCTGTTTTGTCAGAGACTAGGATTGCAACCCCTGCCTTTTTTTGTTTTCCATTTGCTTGGTAGATCTTCCTCCATCCTTTTATTTTAAGCCTATGTGTGTCTCTGCCCATGAGATGGGTTTCCTGAATACAGCACACTGATGGGTCTTGACTCTTTATCCAATTTGCCAGTCTGTGTCTTTTAATTGGAGCATTTAGTCCATTTACATTTAAAGTTAATACTGTTATGTGTGAATTTGATCCTGTCATTATGATGTTAGCTGGTGATTTTGCTCGTTAGTTGATGCAGTTTCTTCCTAGTCTTGATGGTCTTTACATTTTGGCATGATTTTGCAGCGGCTGGTACCAGTTGTTCCTTTCCATGTTTAGCGCTTCCTTCAGGAGCTCTTTTAGGGCAGGCCTGGTGGTGACAAAATCTCTCAGCATTTGCTTGTCTGTAAAGTATTTTATTTCTCCTTCACTTATGAAGCTTCGTTTGGCTGGATATGAAATTCTGGGTTGAAAATTCTTTTCTTTAAGAATGTTGAATATTGGCCCCCACTCTCTTCTGGCTTGTAGGGTTTCTGCTGAGAGATCTGCTGTTAGTCTGATGGGCTTCCCTTTGAGGGTAACCCAACCTTTCTCTCTGGCTGCCCTTAACATTTTTTCCTTCATTTCAACTTTGGTGAATCTGACAATTATGTGTCTTGGAGTTGCTCTTCTCGAGGAGTATCTTTGTGGCGTTCTCTGTATTTCCTGAATCTGAACGTTGGCCTGCCTTGCTAGATTGGGGAAGTTCTCCTGGATAATATCCTGCAGAGTGTTTTCCAACTTGGTTCCATTCTCCCCGTCACTTTCAGGTACACCAATCAGATGTAGGTTTGGTCTTTTCACATAGTCCCATATTTCTTGGAGGCTTTGCTCATTTCTTTTTATTCTTTTTTCTCTAAACTTCCCTTCTTGCTTCATTTCATTCATTTCATCTTCCATTGCTGATACCCTTTCTTCCAGTTGATCGCATTGGCTCCTGAGGCTTCTGCATTCTTCACGTAGTTCTCGAGCCTTGGTTTTCAGCTCCATCAGCTCCTTTAAGCACTTCTCTGTATTGGTTATTCTAGTTATACATTCGCCTAAATTTTTTCAAAGTTTTCAACTTCTTTGCCTTTGGTTTGAATTTCCTCCCATAGCTCGGAGTAATTTGATCGTCTGAAGCCTTCTTCTCTCAGCTCGTCAAAGTCATTCTCCATCCAGCTTTGTTCCGTTGCTGGTGAGGAACTGCGTTCCTTTGGAGGAGGAGAGGCACTCTGCGTTTGAGTTTCCAGTTTTTCTGTTCTGTTTTTTCCCCATCTTTGTGGTTTTATCTACTTTTGGTCTTTGATGATGGTGATGTACAGATGGGTTTTTGGTGTGGATGTCCTTTCTGTTTGTTAGTTTTCCTTCTAACAGACAGGACCCTCAGCTCCAGGTCTGTTGGAATACCCTGCCGTGTGAGGTGTCAGTGTGCCCCTGCTGGGGGGTGCCTCCCAGTTAGGCTGCTTGGGGGTCAGGGGTCAGGGACCCACTTGAGGAGGCAGTCTGCCCGTTCTCAGATCTCCAGCTGTGTACTGGCAGAACCACTGCTCTCTTCAAAGCTGTCAGACAGGGACATTTAAGTCTGCAGAGGTTACTGCTGTCTTTTTGTTTGTCTGTGCCCTGCCCCCAGAGATGGAGCCTACAGAGGCAGGCAGGCCTCCTTGAGCTGTGGTGGGCCCCACCCAGTTCTAGCTTCCTGGCCGGCGCCCCTCCCCCAGCCTGGCTGCCGCCTTGCAGTTTGATCTCAGACTGCTGTGCTAGCAATCAGCGAGGCTCCCTGGGCGTAGCACCCTCCGAGCCAGGTGTGGGATATAATCTCGTGGTGCGCCGTTTTGTAAGCCGCTTCGAAAAGCGCAATATTCGCGTGGGAGTGACCCGATTTTCCAGGTGTGTCTGTCACCCCTTTCTTTGACTCGGAAAGGGAACTCCCTGACCCCTTGCGCTTCCCAAGTGAGGCAATGCCTCGCCCTGCTTCCGCTCGCGCACGGTGCACACACCCACTGACCTGCGCCCACTGTCTGGCACTCCCTAGTGAGATGAACCCGGTACCTCAGATGGAAATGCAGAAATCACCCGTCTTCTGCGTAGCTCACGCTGGGAGCTGTAGACGGGAGCTGTTCCTATTCGGCCATCTTGGCTCCTCTTCTACGTCTTCCTTTTTTTTTAAATAAGTAGAAACTAAAGGGCTAGAGCTCTTAGGCTGTAGGATTTTAACTACTTCCGTATACAAGAGAATTGGAACAGTTCTACAAATTTGGAAACCCTGACTACATGTCTTAATATACTTCTTTAATGGGCTGGAACAATAAATTAATGTTTAAGAGTCATTATAGAAATACTTTGGGCTAGGGAATTTGGCATCTTCTGAAATTCTCATCATTGTTATTGCTCCCCCACCCCCATCCCCCAAAACACACCTGGAGAGATTTTTTAAAGCATCTCTTCCAAAGACTCTGTTTCTAGAGATCTGGGATAAGACCTAGGGATATGCATTTCTAACAAGCAGTCCAGATAATTCTGATGAACAAGGTTGGGGACTTCTTTTTGAAAAACATGAGACTAGAAAAAATATATGGGAGCTATTTCTGTTAGCAGTGGCAGACATCCAAGTTACCTTGAGTGACCAGAGGCGAATCCGTATGGGTCCACAGTAAATTCAGTCCTTGCCTCCTCAGAAGAAAGAATTCAATTGAGGGGCATAAAGCAGAACAAGAGACCAAGGCATTTGGGGGCAGTAGTGGGAGTTTATTTTAAAAGGCTTTAGAATAGAAAAAAAAAAAAAAAAAAGGAAAATTCACTGGGAGGAGACCTAAGTGGGCACCTGAATCTCCAAGGGAGAAAAAAGAGGCATTTAACCACGATCCTGGGACTTTATCAGCTTGCCGCTTTCCCATGATTCTTCCCTTAGTGTGGGCTTTCTGCATCTGCAGTGCTCTCCTTACCCTTTGGAATTAAACATGTGCAGTGTGTTTAGGGAATTATACACACGCCCACCTGAGGCTTTCTTCCTTTTTCAGGTGGAGCGTGCCTGGAAGATCATACTTCGCCATTTTTGTCTCTTAACATGCATGCCCAGGAAGTTGCTTCTCCCTGGGGCCTGCATTCAAGTAACACGTTTAATGTTAACAGGTGTGGATCTTCAGGAGGTTGCCTCTCCCTGGCTGCAGAATTATCATTTTTAGAGAAGCAGTGTGATAATCGTGGAACCATCCCCTACATTCCTTGTAAGTGTGTCGGGAGCCCTCTCCTGCCCCGCTCATTGCCTATCTACCTGTAACATTTCAACATGCAATTTTTCTTTTTGGGGGCCTTTCTGTTCATGCTTATCTTCCAAAGTAGTAAAAATACAGAGACAAAACAACAAAAACTACCACCTTCTCAAATTTTTCTGGATTATCCAGCTTCTTACTTCAAGGAATTTACATCGTTAATATGCAAACATCTAAATGTGCAAAAATATGTAATTTCATGAGCTAAACACGTTATATATATATACACTTTCATGTTTCTAAACAACAAATATGACTAAAAAAGGAGTACTTACACTCCAAAAAGTCAACATTTTACTGGAAGAATAAATTGAGTTCATGTCAAAATGTAGTTTAATATTATTACTTTATTCACTCTGTGAATTTGATTCTCTTGAGATTTATGTACACATTATTTAAGAGAGCTTTTCCTGCATAACTGCATATTTCTCTTCCTGGAAAAAAAAACTTGGAAGAAAGAAATTTTAAAAAGGAGCACTCATTTCCTGTGTTAACACCAGGAGACATAATGTCACACATAGGAGAGATACACCCAGTCAAACCTTTGAGGAGGAGGAAGCAGGTATCTCATACCAATTAAACCACACTATTATTTTCTTTTTAACATTCTTATCATTTTTCACATAATGCTGAAATAAATAGAATACTGGAATTATTACACATAAAAGTAGAAGAGTCAAAATTTGTCTAGAAAAAGAATAACACAGTAGTTATACCGACTCATTGTGGCTGACTTGTAAGGCTGGCCAATGGTACTTTTTGCAATGCTATTTTTCTTCATAACATTCTTTAGTTGCATAACAACTATTAACAATTTAAAGGAAATATGAGAGAGTTTCTTTCAAAACAATAGATTCCCTTTTTGAATGATTGGTACAGATTTCTCACCTTCAACTGGAGTCAATCAACAGAGATCCATACCTACTCATAGCACCCAACACTACAAAACCACTTTGGAATCTAAGTTTTATTTTGACACATAATAGTGGTCACATTGAAATTTTCTTTAGCTTTTCTCTCACTTTCATTAGGTGTCTTTTTTAAGAGATATACCTCTTATCAACCACAGCTGGACCAAACTTCCTCGGAACAGCTCTTTCTTCCAAAGAAACACACAGGATTCATAAGGAAATAACTGTTTCCTCACTCCTCTTCTTTCTCATTTCCCGTCACTTTCATCTGTCCTCCTTTCCTTCTCCTCTTCTTTGATAACTTTGCATAATGGCTTGGTTAAAAGAAGAATGTTAAAGCTAAGAGGTGTCAAAAGACACAGCAAAAATAAGACAGCATTTCATTTAAGTAAAACAATCCTTTCTTAATGGATTCCTCTAAAATAAATGTCTTGAAGTAGATTTTGCTTCCTGTGTGCAAAGGAAAGTTGACGAAGGCAAGGATGAAAGAGGGCCTTTGAAAAGAGTTAAGTATTTTTTTGGCTTTGGCACTTAAAATTTTATTTCACATAAAATCTCAAATGTTCCCTAGAACATTCTGAAAACAAAACAAAACTATGCGCTTGGTCAGCAGATAAAATCACCTGCCATGCTGGTAATTATCAACTTACATGTGGTGGTTGGGTGCTCTTAATGCAGCCCTCCCATAAAAACCAATGGGTTTAATTAGATGAGACACATCTATCTGAATTGGTTTGGCTACTGATTTTGGTTAGCATGGTTTCAGGAAAGTGACGAATACCTGTATTTCATTTTTAAATCTGAAAAACAAAGATAAACTTCTTGATAAGAAATTTAAAGGTGAATAAAAAATATCAGTCCATAACATTTTAAAAGGAAAATATTTATCAATCCATGGGAATTATTTACTTATCTTAAAAACGATTTCTTCCCTTGCTGTTTTCTCCATTCACTTCCAGAAACCCAATAATTTAGTTGGTATATTTTAAAACTGCAGTGTACAGATAACTTTGTGAATTAAATTTGTTTTTATTTATCATACAGTCTACCTCTATGAATACTTTTAAGCCTTAAAAATTAAAGCTTATATTCAAGAAACCAATTTCCATGCTCTTTCTTATTTTTATCAGCACCCAGGAAGGAAGCAATATGAGCTGTGTGCACTGTACACTATAGCAATGGAGAATCTGATTTGACAAGCCAAAGATCCTACATTGGTTGCACACATCATGGTAAGCCTGACTTGTTTTTTCAAGAAAGAAATATTATCTTCTCTACATATGAAATCATCTTTCAATAATGAGATCATTTCAAATTACCCAAAATATTCATAAAGTCTACTCAGTGGATGACAAATCAGTACTGGGGATTAGTCCCAGTCCAAACTGGGGTGACTGTCTCATAGTTTATAAAATCCATAATCCCCAGTTCTGTATGCTTACTATTGATCAGTAGTTAATACCATCTGCCATATATTTAATACTGGCAGTACCACAATAATTTATTAGCATTAGATAATGAAATATTAGTTTTAAATATTGTGATAAAATTTCTTATGTGTGTGATTAAAAAACTATTCTTTTGGAGGTGAATTATAATTTGAAACTGGAGATTTAAATACTACATAACTGGACTATATCCCTCTAGTGCTAATAATTATATATATAGATGTGTGTGTGTGTATACACAAAGTTATACATATTTAGTTTTTTTAAGTGAAAACAGAACAAGGATTTTTGTGCATGTAACACAAGCCTAAATTTGAGAGGAATAATTCAACAAACATTTTTTCCCCCTTAGATTATTAAGTCCATGAACTCATTCTTAGTTGGTTGATTCACTTTTGGTTTTCAAGACTGTAGTTGTTATTACACTGACAATTTCATTAAGACAAGCTTACATTTAAGATGTTACATCACATCAAATCACTAGCTAACAACATGACTTCTTGTGTGTCAGAGGTATTGGAACAAGGCACTGAGCATTGTATAAGATGATACATCAATAGAAAAGGTTGTAAACTTATTAAAATATTTGCAATTATTTTAAAGCAAAGAAATGTTTATCATAAACAACTCGTATCTAACTTATACAAAAAGGCTTCATGATGTGAAATTGGCATTCCAGAAGAAAAGTGATTTTTAAGAAATAATTTAACAATTTTCTAAATTAAAATCAACAAATTAATCAATATACATTGTCCTGCATCCATTAACTACTAAGAAAACACATTTACTTCTGTATTGTGTCTTTGCTTGAGAACCTGAAGCAATCTAACAGCTTCATAATGTTGCTTTCCAGATAAGATCAGTCTTGAAACTATTATAACCAAATTATTATCTCTAAGAACCAAGTTGTTTTATGTTGAAACCCAAAATTTCAGTCTCGAGAAAAGGAATTCTGCCTTTACCAGGAAGAACTATCTGGGATTCTGATGGTAGTTGAATGTGTTAGGAATAAACCTCTGCTATGATACATTAACACCTTAATGTGTGAGTTTTCTTATGTCATCTGATCTTGGCAATTCATTTGCATATTTTAAAATGATAGGATATATAGGGCTCAGTCAGTCTCTTTGATCCATTTCTTTTTGCCCCAACATTTTTCTTAATGGGGAAGGAGGTATCAAATAACCCAAGAGAAGACCACAAAAATAAATAGATGCACTGGAAAGTGATGGGACAGCCCAAGGCCAGTGTTTCTTACTAAACTGCAAGACTCCATAATTTCCCAGTATTCTGATTCTACCTGCACTTTCAACAGTCATTTACAGCACCTCAGAAAACAACATCTGGAGAGGGCCCAGTCAATGAAGCAGAGAAGTAGTACATTTCCAACATCACAAAGTTGGCCTCTATAAAAGTGTATAAAAACTTTGAGTTTAAAAAAAAAAAGAAAAAAAAAAAAAAGAAAGGGTAAAATTGACACATGGCTTCTGGCGTCTGGCCCTAAAACCAGAGGATAAAGTGAAGTAAGGCAGATCACCTGCTGCTTCCTCACTATACTGATTAGAGTGTTGATTTAGCCAGCTGTGCTTTGTTTTCCTCAATCATGACATGCTTGGCAAATTCATTAGAATTAATTCCCAAGTTCTCTTTTAATTTGTTGAGCTCAAAATCATGGAGAATCTTGATAGTCATTAACTTTTCTCTCTTGATTCTCTCCACAACATCTTTTGGAACATCAGGTATCATCCAGGCCAGCAAAAATTTAACTAAAAACACAACATGCTAGAGGAAATATAAAGGAAAGATTAGACGCTGTTAGAGGTGTCACATGCTCAGCAGAAAGTCTTTACAAATCATTTCACTTATTTAAGAAACTGCTCAACATATGAGGTAGAAAGGCAAGGAAGAAGATATGGTCTCTGTCCTAGAACTTTCATACAAAGATCAACATCAAACAAATAAATATATACTTAAATATGTAACTAGCAATATTCCAGTTGAACATGATTATTGAATATACTCTTTATCACTGCTCCTTCCTGAAAACCTGATAAAATATTTATAAAGGAATTAGACTCAAAAGAGTGAAAAAGGCTAGCAAACTTGCAAATGGTGATGTGGTGACTGATAGTGGAAACCAAAAAGACAAAAGCCAATTTTGTTTCAGATGGTCACAAAAGTTCAGGAAAGAAGGCAATAAGGACTTTTGAAGGTATTAGTTTGAGTTGGAGTTGAAAACAAGAGGATTAGATACAAATCTGCATAAGGAGCACTTGAATTTTTGGAGCCTTTCTCCCATCTGTATCCAGGTATTCTTTCACTCCATGCTATACCCTGGAAGCAGCTGAAGAGTTTGTTTTCTGCAGAAATTATACCACAAAGCTGTGAATCCAGGGGCACCAGACACAGTGGAGGTATGACAACATATTGAAAAAAAAAAAAGTAAAAACAGTGAAATTCAGCACAATGAACTGTGAGATACATAGCCCCTCTGCCTTGCTCAGGTCTTAGAAAATAGGTAGCCACAAAATATCTCAATAGACAGCTATAAAGGGCTTTCTCTGGGAAAAATAACTATTCTGTAAAAGCAGAACTGTGGATGTCAAAATTTTGTAAGGATCCAGTGAAAATATCAGCTCACTACGTTATCAACCTACAGTGAAACCCACCAAGTGACATCACTCCTGTATGCACAAAATGCTTAAAATCAGCTTTTCACTTCCACACTCTTAAACATGAGCAGAACCACCAAATATGTAGGTAAGTCATCTCTGACATGGAAAAAAAAAAAAAAAGGAAAAGAACCAGATATAAGGAAAGGAGTAAAAGAAAAAAGTAGAATTTTAAAAAAGATATTAATCCAGGTTTTCATAGAAAACAAATAATTAGAATTTCAAACTAGGAAGTGTAAATCTGAATAACAGCAGTTCCAGAGAGACAGCACAAAGAAAGAAAAAATTTATCAAAGACATTATCAAAAATTTATCAAAGAAATTATGCCAGCAAATTTTCTCAACTTGAAGGGTAAGTACGTTTTTAGATCTAAGGGGCTCAATGAGTGTTTAAAACAATGAATATTGACAAATAGCAAAGAACCATCTTGTGAAGCTTCATAAAAATGGGGCTAATGACAGAATCCTAAAACCGTATTGATTTTAAAAATAGATAATACACAAAGACTGGGGAGTCAGAATAGTATTGCATTTTGTAGCAATACTGGAAGCTGAATGAAAATGAAGCAATATCTTCAAAATTTCAGGAATACCAAAATAAAGTTGATTAAAAATTTTTTTAAGAAAAACAACTTTTAATTATACATTCTATTCCAAATAATCACATGTAAGGAAAGAAAAGAAATTTTCAATCTTCAATTTCTCAAAAATGGACTGCCCATAATTTTTCCTCAGAAAATTACTAGAAGATGTGCTTCACCAAAATAAGCTAGTAAACCAAAAATGGGAGAAACATAGATTGCAGAAAATTTAGTCTTCAATAGAAGACAAGATGAAGAGAAGTCCCAGGATGATGCTTGGTTGGAGCCTGCAATGATTACAAAAAATTAACACAAATAATAAATAAATTAAAACAAAAGAATTCCGGAAGTAATTTACTGGCTGAAAGGTGATCTAAACTTCTGACGCAAAATGTTGGAATGAAAGACTGATAAATTCATAAGGAACTAAGAGACAGAGGGAGAAAAGAAAAGTACAATTATAATAAAAGAAATATGTTCAGAATATAAGACAGGAAACAGATGTGACTAATATTTATAAAGTCATAATTTATAAACCCTGACTATTGTATTTATATAAAATCTCTTAATCAAAACTCTGATGGACAGAAATATTTCAGAATTGAGATTAAATATTAAACATATGTAATTTAGTGTATAAACCAGCAGGGTCTCAGGTGGCACTCTGTATCAAACACTTAAATATTTCTGCAGCAAAGTAAATGAATAGTCACACTAAAAATAATAAAGGCAGAATTAGATCATATGTTGCTGCTAAATAAATTATCAAAATACTTCCTGTTTTCTGAGGTTTTGAATTTCAGAATGAGACCAAAAAAATATGCTTTAATTATTGAGCAGTAGGAGAAAGTTTTTTTTCCCCCTCTCTCTTTCTGTCTGTGTGGGTGTGTGTGTGAGATCTGCCAAAGTAGAATGTCAGTAATTGATAGCTCAACCTAAAAAATAAAAATATATAACTGCAAAATGATCTTCTTTTGCCATACAAGGGCAACTACTAGAAGAATGAGTTAAAAAAATTGAGAAGTTTACTTTGGATATTAGGATTTTAGGGTAGGCAGGTATATTATGTACGATTGCTCTTTTGTTTTTTTCCCATGCAGAACTATTTGATTTTTAAAATTACATGTGAAACCTTGATAACAATAAAAAAAAACAGAAACTGGTTGGAATGGCATGTTCTTGGGTTAGGATTGTCTTTTATCGGGCTTTATTCCAGGGTGAAAAAGTACCTTTCTTTTATTTTCTCTCCCTGATAGGCCTTCTTGCCCTATGATTTGTATCACTCAATTTGAAACTTTGCCCAATACTGCCTCTGTATTGTTTACCTTTTCTTGCAGGCCTTATCTCTATAACTACACTAGATATTCCACAAGAGAGGAAGCATAATATAGTAGACAGAGCATAAGCTTGGGAGTGAGGCACATTTGGCATTGAGACTCAGCGCTAATGTTAGTTAGTTAACGTTAAGCCAGCTACTTATTTTTGCTGAATCTCAGATTCCTTTTCAAAGGTGAGCGATAAGGTCTAATTAACAATGTTGTTATGATTTAATACAGCCTCTGGAACTAGTAAGTAATAGGTATTCTCTAAAATCAGTGGGTTATTTCCCCTTTTCCTGACTTGAAGGGAAAAAAACCATATTTGTTTTCCTTTCCTTTTCTGTCACCATGACATGTTCAACAATAATAAGTGAATAATAGGCAATCCATTGTACTAAGAATATCCCTAAGGTGCTTTTTATGACTACAAATACAATACTTCCTTCAAGACAGTTTACTGAGATATTGCTAACTTTCTGATGAGAGGTTACCTTTAGAAATATCTGCCTAAAGAGAGAAGAGAGTAACTCGAATGAAAGTTAAGAACAGCTTACTTCCATAACAATGATGAAGGTCATCTTGGCAGCAAGGACATGCCAGAATTGCATATTATGAAAATATTTATTCTCGTCATCAGGAGGATATCTGTAATCTCTGTACCTGAAAAGTGGAAGTAAATGCAAAAAAAAAAAATAATAATAGTTATAGCTTCAACTAGAGAGACCTCACATAATTTCTTATTTCTCTTAACAGACCTTTCTAGTTGATCAGAAAAATCAGGTCAAAGTTAACTGATATTATGAAACATTTATCTTTCTTGTTCACATAAAGTCAGGGTATATGCTACTTATGTGCAAAATAGATCTAAGAAGAAATACACAAGAGGAACTTCTCTCTTGCCCTTCAAAGACAAGCTTCTCAAATGAGTTATTCAAAATTTGCTGCTTCCACTTCCTCTTTTCCCACTTCCTTAACACTCCCAGTCCTTTCCTTCTCTCCTATCCTTAAACTGCAGGTATATTTTAATCCTTTGATTTGACTTTCAAAAATAAGAATATTATATATAGGCCACTTCTATCTTCTTGGAACTCTATTTTCTCTTGGCTGTTCTGATGCTGTATTGCTTTGTTTTTCTTAACACAATTCTGAAGTTTTCTTAATGTTCAACTTTGTGAGTTCATTCTCTTCTATAAAGTCACTGGATACTGTCCTCCTCAAATATTTAGTCCAGCTAAGGGGTAATGACATCCAGAAATCTGACACCAGTGGCCATGCTCTTAAACACATTAGGCTATGATTTAACTATACTCAAATATGTAATATAACAATATAATAATGTCTGCTTGTCTTGCAATATTTTGCTCTTTTTTGTTTGGAGTCTCAAATGAAACAGCTGGTTTAAATTAAGTGGCCTTGATAAGCGTGTGTGTGTGTGTGTGTGTGTCTTTAAATTGTATGGTGAAAAGATCCCACAGTACATGATACACTGAGTGTAAAAACAGTAGGTTCACATATGCAATTTTATATTCCCTATACAGTATAAAACCTTTTAGTAGGATAGGTGGTGAACTGATCATATTATATTTCACTGTCTCACTCTCTTTTCTGAGGACAAAGATAAATTCAAGTAAGTTAAATGTATATACAATTTGACAATGTTGTATGATCTATAGATTATTGCAGCTTTGGACTAAGGGGCACTTGTTGGTGACAAATCCTTTTGATACATTAGAAAGTAAGAAAAAAGTTTGAATTAATGTTATCTTTACCCATAATCTTAGTTTTTGCCATTTTACCTTTACCCATAATCTTAGTTTTTGCCATTTTACCTTTTCAAATCTGAATCATGCAATGTGTGAATTCTAGAATGGATACACTTTATTTATACAGGATTTTTGTTGCCCTAAGAAAATCCTTTATATTGTAAGACAGAAAGGTAATAGATAACTTAAGAAATACGCTTAAGGGATAAAACTAAAACCTAAACAAACAAACAAACAAATCACCTGCAAGTGATGAAGTCTCGTTTTTCCGAAGGTGCAGTGTGGTTTGGAAAATCAGCTATCAGGAATACTGACAGGCTATTATTCACATATCCTGTCATAGGCTGTGTGGCATTTGTTGAGTAAGCATAGTAGTAAACTAGACGGGGAATGATGTCTGACGTAAATGCAACAATAAAGGCCTGAAGAATAAAAAAAAAAAGAGGAAGATCATCAGCTGCCAATTTAGTTTTAATAATGTCTGATTTGTACATCTCTCAGTACCATAAATTATATAGATGCAAAATGATTAAATACTATTATAAATCATAGTAATATGCAAGTCTTTGTCCTGAAACACAAAGTAGCTCATTTACAGTGTGTGATCAGTATTCCAAGATTTCATAGCTACAAAGTGGCTAAGTAGAGAGTCAGACCGAAATGTATCTGTCTCTACGAACCATGTTCTTTCCATCAAGGCTTTCTATTTCTTACATTTCTTATTGTTTCACAGCACAGTTCTACTATCTTTAACCAAATTAACTTTCTTAGACTAACTCAATGAGGTAGGACTGCGGGTGTGTGTGTGTGTGTGTGTGTGTGTGTGTAAGAGATTAACAGGAAAGGAATGAAGAAGCAGAATATCATGTGTTTGTAAATTTCTCACAGTTGGGTGCAATTAATTTCAGTATTTGATTCCATGGGAATGATAATTTTGTATCCTTTCCTAAGTTCTGGAATAGTATAAATAGCATATTTCTTTTAGATTAGATAAGTCAATTAAAAACCATCTGGCTCTGGCACTTATAATTTTAGTGCTACGCTTTAAAAAAAATCTAATGTAACTTCTATGGCTAATGGTACATTCAGGCTTTCTATTACTCACTGAATAGATCTGGCAATTTTTGCTTTCTAAAAAAGTGGTCATTTCAAATATATTTCAAAATTTATTGGAGTAAATGAGGACACAAGAGTCTCTCATACTTTTTTTCAGAGTTTTACTTACTTTGTCTTTCCAGTAAACTAGCTCTTGATTTACTTAGCAATTATACTGCTTTTTGTTTTCTAATTTGATTATTTCTGATTACATCTTTATTCTTTTTTACTACTATCAATTTGATTTACAATTTTTGACAGTGTCTTAAGTTATATACTCAGCTTATTTTCCAGTCTTCTTTTAATAATTAAAAATGTATGGCAATGGAGTTATCTGTAATAGTGGTTTTGGCTCATTCCTACAGGCTTTCATTTAAATTAAGCTCTATGATTTCAATTCTGTTTTCTCTTATAGGATGCCTACTTAAAAGTGTTAGATTTTCTTTTTGATTATCTTATTATCAACTTCAATTTATAAAGTATATTGTAGGTGAAAATGCATTGTAAAAGTTATGCTTTTGGAAATTTATTGTTCTTACATTTTAATAATTGTTTCATAAACACAACAGGTAAATGTATATTCTCTGTAGTATACAAATATAATCAATTTTTAATTGTTTTATTCAAACACATTATACTGTTACTTATTTTCTGTCTGCTTTGTCACATGCTGTGAAACTGTGTCATGATACTTCAATGAGAGTAATTTTATAATTGTCCTTGTATTTCTAAGAGTTTGCATGACATAGGTTTTTCTATATTGGTTAGCGCATAACAATTTCGGAATGTTTTAGCTTTATAAAGTATCACCATAATGAAATCATGTAAAGATTAAGCATCATTCACATCTCCCCACACCCCCCAAAATGAAATACAAAGTCACCCCACCGAAATAGGTCCACTTACATTAGTTGCAACAGAAAGGACAGCCATTCCATAAAGAATGTCTTGCCAAACACCTATGCTATGAGCTTTAGAAGCTACAGTTCTCCTGTATTGAGTGGTAAGTTTCCAGGCATCCACTCGAATCTCTACAATATTATTTATGAGAGCAAGAAGAGGAGCCAAAGGAAAAGAGGCCACAAATAGTGTAACAAATCCAAATTGAGTAACTGTAGAGAAAAGAAAAAGGCATGAACTCATTATTGTGAAGGAGAAAGACAGGAACACCCTGCCCAAATCCTGCTACTTCCTTCGTTTTGGAGTGATCCACACGAATACGACAATCCAGGCTTCCATCCGTCTGTCCAGTTCCTCCTCTACCACAGGAGGCACAGTGACTTACCTGCTTGCTAGAACTGGAAGGAGAAACTGGGCATGCATGGCTGAGTTCTTTCTTTGCTCTTCCTTTAGAGATATGCTTGTTACAAGGAAGATTCTATTCCTCTTTGCCTTTTATTATGGGCTAAGCTTAGGTTTATGCTTGTCTAGTCTTTACATCTATATTAGCAATTTAGTGAGGTAACCAAGTTTTTCTATCTTGCTAGCCCATCTAATTTTTGAGATCAGGAATGATGACTGATTCAGTTGTATAATCCCAGCAGCCAGCTGTGTGTGTGTGTGTGTGTGTGTGTGTGTGTGTGTGTGTGTGTGCCGGAAAAGGAAATATACATTTTCTAGAATAAGAAATTTGTTAAGGTCTTTATTCTCCTTACTATCATGACATCTTTCTAAATAAATTTTATTCTCTCTCCTCATTAAGACTCAACAGAGGACCACACCTGTGTAAGCTGGCTTATCTCCACATTTTTATTCTTTTGTTTCCAACAATGTTTAGGGTAAAATAACCCATGCTATTAACAGCCCAACTTTCCCACATGATTGAAGAAAAAAATAATAAGCCATTTAATGGAAATGGCTTTCCATTAAAGGAAAAAAATTTCCGTTATTCCTCCATTTTTAAATATATCTCAAATATTTCTGGAATTTAGCATCTCTCATCTGACTGAATCCGTCTTATCAAGTGAAAAAAATACATATTCACCTCCTTTTTTTCCTGCTTTCTCTACCTAACCTACGAGGTAGAAAATGAAGAGGAAGTATTATGTAGAAGCAGCATGAACTTTCTAGGTTCACATCTAATATCTTTACCTAAAATCTTTGTGGCCCATAAAAAATTTATTAACCTATGCAAGTTTCAGAATTCACAACAATAAAATGTGTAGAATAATGAATACTCTGCAGAATTGTTTCAAAATTAGAGATAATATAGTTTTCAGAATAAATTAATTATGTCTTAATAAGTGGTAAACAATCTTATGAAACCTTTGTTTCAACTTTTTAATTTCAGTAGTAATCTCTGATGTACATATGTGCAAACTCATTTGAAACTTACACAATTAAAAATCATAGCCTTATCACCTTATAAGGCAAAGATTATCTGATTTTACAAAGAGTTCTATAAAATAGCTTCTATTTGTCCTAAATTTATATTTCAATCCATGTATCACATAATGTATTACACTGGAGAAGTATGAAGAATTTTGGCTCATCTCATGTATCCTACCACGGTTTTATGGGCCTTGAAAGGTAAGAAAATTATTTTCCTGGCTGGGCGCTGTGGCTCACGCCTGTAATCCCAGCACTTTGGGAGGCCGAGGCGGGAGAATCATGAGGTCAGGAGATCGAGGCCATCAACATGGTGAAACCCCGACTCTACTAAAAATACAAAAATTAGCCGGGCGTGATGGCACGCACCTGTAGTCCCAGCTACAGGCAATTCTCCTGAAGCAGGAGAATCGCTTGAACCCAGCAGGCGGAGGCTGCAGTGAGCCGAGATTGGGCAGCTGCGCTCCAGCCTGAGCGACAGAGCGAGACTCTGTCTCAAACAGTTTCCTTAATTCTGCGAGAGAAACAGAGAAAGTTGCTTGAGGGAAAACGCTCTGAGCAGACCATATAAGCAGTTCCCCGAAAAATCTCTCTGAAAGCTGCTCCTCAAGGGTCTCTTCTCTGTTCAAACCTTGCAATGTTTTGGATGTTTCTTGTGTTCAGCTTATATTTCCCTTACACAATCGCTTTTAGCCTTATTTTTAGCCTCACAGAAAGGACATATACTAATTGCAAGTCAAACTCTGGAAATGTTTTCCAGGCTACTTATTCTATCTTTGAGCTGTCACTGAGGCAAACAAATGGAGAAATAGCCATCAAAGCGAATTTGAGATGGGTGTTAAAAAATGACTCTTACTTGATTTGGTTCAACAATATTAACATTCAATTAACAGGAATTATGTCTCTGAGATTGGTGTTTTGAAGCTAAACTTTATTCTGCAGTCTATTTGATGGAACAGGGAAATAGGGAACAAATTTTCTTTATATCCCTCCACTCATCTTTTTTGCCAACCAGTCAAAGATTTATTGAACACCTACCATGTGCAAGGCAGAAAGAAGTATCTGGAGCTGAAAAACCACTCATTCATGCCAACTCTATGTTTCAAAACAGTGGTTAAAAATTACCTGTTTCTAAGTACTCATAGAAAAGCCCAAGGGGTCCAAAACTTTCAAGGTCATGATCCTGCTCCCATCGACTATACAGCTTCTCAGAGTTTGTCCGAGCTTTTCGGCGTCTCCACCAATTCAAAGCCAAGCTGTTGGAAGTGATAAAAGTTAATATATGAAATAGGACCAAAAAGAAAGCGATCAGAGAATCAGAGTGTTAGATCTGGAAACTGGCAGAAATTAGAGATTAAATAACTTAAGATCACAGAGCAAAGAGAAATGACACCAGCCAAAGCGCAAGTCAAAATCTGGTGTTCTTTTCATGACACATGCAGAAGTCAAGAGTTCTTTATTAGGGTGATTGAGAAAATGAGACAATCTTTACTCTGCTCAGAGAAATATATTTACTCAGAGACAGTTTGGCTAAGGAATAAGTGGAGGAGAGAGTTACCACTAAGACCACTTACTAATCCTGATGCTGTCATGATGCTCAGAAGAAAATTCAAACAAATATGAAATTGACTATAATAGGAAATGACTTACATAATATGAAAATAAATGGAATAACATTAAACAAAATTTTAACCAACTAAATTCCATGCTATATAAAAAGATGATATATTATGATAATGTACCACTTTTTTTAAAAAGAGGCTTTTTAAGAAAGAAAAATTAGCAAATCAATAAATATATCACATTGACTGGTTTGAGGTGAAAAACATAAAATCATCTCAATTGATGCAGAAAAATGCATTTGATATATTTTAAGGACCTATTAAAACCTACTTAGGAAAGAAAAGTAGAAATAGAAAAAAATTATTTCAGTCTTATCAGAAATATCTACTAAAATCCTAGGGCAAACTCTTTCTTTCTCTTTCTTTCTTTTTTTCTTTCCTTTTCTTTTTTTCTTTCCTTCCTTTTCTTTTTTTCTTTCCTTCCTTTTCTTTTTTTCTTTCCTTCCTTTTCTTTTTTCTTTCCTTTCTTTTCTTTTTTCTCCTTCCTTCCTTCTTCCTTTCCCTTCTCTTCCCTTCCCTTCTCTTTTCCTTCTCTTTTTTTCTCCTTCCTTCCTTCCTTTCTTCTTTCCTTCTTCCTTTCCCTTCTCTTCCCTTCCCTTCCCTTTTCCTTCTCTTTCTTTTTTTCTCCTTCCTTCCTTCCTTTCTTCTTTCCTTCTTCCCTTCTCTTCCCTTCCCTTCCCTTTTCCTTCTCTTTCTTTTTTTCTCCTTCCTTCCTTCCTTTCTTCTTTCCTTCTTCCCTTCTCTTCCCTTCCCTTCCCTTTTCCTTCTCTTCCCTTCCCATCCCTTCCCTTTCCTTTCCTTTCTCCCTTCCTTTCCTTTCCTTTCTTTAATCCCTCCCTTCCTTCCTTGCTTCCTTCCGTCCTTCCTTCCCTCCTTCTTTCCTTTTCTCTCTCTCTCCCTCTCTCCTTTTTTCTTTCTCTATGTCTGTCTTCTTTCTTTTTTGAGACAGGGTCTCACTCTGCCACTCAGGCTGGAGTGCAGTGGTGTGATCACAGCTCACTGCGGCCTTGACCTTTTCTCCTGCCTCCACCTCTCAAGTAGCTGGGACTAAAGGCATGTGCCTCCATGCCTAGCTAATTTTTAAATTTTATTCCACATGACGGGGTCCCATTATGTTGCCCAGGCTGGTCTTGAACTCCTGAGCTCAAGCAATCCTCCCTCCTCAGCCTCCCAAAATGTTAGGATTACAGGCATGAGCCAATGCACCAGGCTGCAAACAGCATTCTTACTTGGGAAAAGTCTGAAGCATTTCCTTTAGAATCAAGAACAAAATAAGCACTTGCATGATCACATTCAAGATTGCTGGAGATCTTAGCCAGTAAAATAAAATAAGAAAGGCAAAATATTTGGAAATAAAGGAGAAATCTGTGATTATTAACAGTGATGTGATTGTCTGAATAGAAAACCCAAGTGAAGTTAGACAAAAATGAGTAGAAACAATATTAGGGTTTATTAATATATTTCATTCCTATACACCCACAACACACAAGTAGAAAACATATATATTCTAAAAAGATATCATTTACAATAGCAATTAAAAAGTACCTAGACACTGATGTGACAAAAGATTTATAAGACCTATATGTAGAAGTTTAAAATATTTATTAGAATTCATTAAGGTCCAATTTAAATGTTGACGAGTAAGAAGGCTCGGTATTATTAAAAAAAAAAGTCAACTGTTTATATTGAAACAATTAAAATATAATTTCAATGAAAAAGCCAAATTATTTTTCCATGTAAAATCTGACAAGATGTTTATAAAATCTATATAGATTGATAAAAGACCAAGAATAGCCAAGACAGTTCTACAGATAAAAAATAAGTTGATAAATGTTGCCCCACCAGATATCAAGATTTAGAAAGCTATATTAATTAAGAGATTGTAGTACTGTATTCACAATAGCAAAGACATGGAATCAACCTAAATGTCCATCAGTGGTAGAGTGGATAAAGCAAATGTGGTACACATACACCATGGAATGCTAGGCATCCATAGAAAAGAACAAGATCATGTTCTTTGCAGGAACATGGATGGAGCTGGAGGCCATTATCCTTAGCAAACTAATGCAAGAACCAAATACCACATGTTCTCACTTATAAGTGGGAGCTAAATGATGAAAACAAACAGACACATAGAGGGGAACAGCAGACACTGGGGCCTATCAGAAGGTGGAGTGTCAGAAGAGGGAGAGGATCAGGAAGAATAAGTACTGGGTATTAGATTTAATACCTGGATGATAAAATAATCTATACAACAAACCCCCATGACACAAGTTACTTGTGTAACAAATCTGCACATGTACCTCTGAACAGTTAAAAAAAAAGAGAGAGATTGTTGTACTGGTACAGGGATAAACAAATCTTGGGATAGAGTGGAAAACTTGAAATAGCCTTGCACTTGGTATAATTGTAGATAGATTTTATATATATATATATAATTGTAGATATTTATATGGTATGTAGATAGTGTTTATATGGCATAAAAAGTATTGTAGATAATATTGTATGTAGATGAAGAGTATTGTAGATGATGGAGCATACGAAAAAGGAACTTTTCAATAAATGGTAATATAAGGATTTATACAAATATATAGTTTATACATATATATACACATATATGTAAAAAACAGACTTGTATCTCATATCAAACGTAAAAATCCCATCCACGTATATTTAGAATTTGAAAGTGAAAAACAATAATGTTAAAATGTATAAAAAATTTAGAAGTAAGTATATGAGAATATCTTTGTGTATGTGTGTGTGTTTCCATATAACTTTTTATCAGTACATCTGCATATCCAGTATTTTGCCTAGGACCTTACTTTTTGCATAACTTTAACCGATATAGTAAATAATAATGAAAATGTCTTATAATCCTGGGTAGGAAAATATTTCTTAAACAATTCTTTAAAAATGCTAACACATAAAATAAAAGATTGATAAATTCTACCACATTAAAGTTATGTAATTTTGTTCATCTAAAGCCGTGGTTTCCAACTGGGAGTAATTTTGCCCACAATGACACAATTGCACTCTCTGGAGATATTTTGGTTGTCCCAACTGGAGAGGGATGAGTTACTGGCATCTAGTGGATAGAGTCCAAGGATGCTGTCAAACATCTTACAATCCAAAGGATAACCCACACCCCACAACTAAGAATTATATCAGTAATTCTGTGGTTGTGAAACTGTGACCTAAACATATTATTAAAAAATAAAAAGATAACATTTATGTTAGAATAAAATATTTTCAACATATATAACCAAAAAAGAAGCAAATAAACAAAAACCAGTAACCAGAAGTTTAAAAGTATTCATAGAAATAAATTGAAAAAAGATTGACAAGTAGGAAAATGGTTAAACAACATGAACAAGCATTTAATTGAAAAGGAAACAAATATGGCCAAAAATACTTATTCATGTTGTTAATCAGAAAAATGCAAAATTAGACTAAAATGAGATATCATTTATAACCCCCAGTTGGCAAAAATTAATAAGACAATATGAAGTACTGTAGCAAATGTGGATTAAGAGGAACATTTGTATATTGCTTATACTCAAACCAAAACACAAAGAGGAAAAATGAATGATGTAAAGAGGAAAAAGCACCTGTGATTTCTGAGACACTATCAAACAGACGAGCATACTCTAACTGGAGTCACAATGGAAAAGAGATCACTCAGTTCAAGAAACAGAACATGGCTAGAAATTTCGGAAGCTCTTTCATGTGCTTCATTCCATTTATAAATTCTTCAATCCCCACATCCATAACCATTATCTTAAATTTTATAATAATCACTTCCTTGCTTTTTAAAAAATAGTTTTGTCTATGATCCATTTTGAGTTCATTTATGAATGAGGAGCAAGTTTCACATAGAGTTTCATTATTTTGCATATGCGATGTCCAATTTTTCCAACACCATTTACGAAAAAGACTACTCTTTCATCAATGAATTGTTTTTGCACCTGTCTTAAATTAAATGGTCATATTTGGCTAGAGCACAAATTTCTGTAATATCTGTTTCTACAATCTCTACTCCATTCCATTAGTTTATATAACTATCCCTTCACCAATCCTACATTGTCTTGATTAATATAGTTTGTAGTAAGCCTTAAAATTGAGTAGGGTGTTTCCTACAGCTTTATTCTTCTTTTATCATACTTGTTTGGGTTATTTTAGTTCCTTGGCCATCCATATAAATTTTAGAATCCACTTGTCTATACCTATAAAAATCCTGCTGATATTTTGATTATAATAACAATAAATCTATATATCAATTTGGGGATAATTGACCACCAACATGATATTTCTCTCCATTTATATAGTTTTACAATTTCTTTAATCAGGATTTTGTAGTTCTCCCCACACAAATTCTATATGACTTTAGAGTCTACCAAATAATTTCATTTGTTTGGAGCTAACAAATTCTGTGCTAACCAATGTTTCTTGCATCCTGTACTTTCACTTTGTGATCTCTTTTTGCTCAAGAAAATCTTTCAGTAGTTCTTTCCGTGACAATTTTACATGCAAACTCTCCTAGTCTTTTCATGTCTAAAAATGTCTATTTTACCAGCACTTTAAATAATAGTTAACCTGGTTCTAGAAATGAAAGGGGAACACTATTTTCACTGAGAACCTTGAAAACATTATCTTTTGGCATCTAATGCTATTGATGAGAAACTGATGATAGTGTAGATGTCATTCATTTGAATAAAGTTAATCTTTTTCATCTAAGATTTTTAAAGATTGTCTGTTTATCTTTGGTGTTCTGTAGTTTCACCATAATGAATCTGGGTATGAATTGAATTCTATTATCTTGATTCATACTCAGAATTTGTTTCCATTTCTGAAACTTGTGTTTTTCCTCATTTTTGAAAAATGTTCAGCAATTACCTATTCGAATATTTTTTTCCTTCAGCATTGACTCAATTAACTTTTTCTGGAACTACTAGTAGATTAATGTGGAAGCCTCTTAATCTAACATACCCTTATTTTATTTTTATTAAATGTCATATATTTGTTACACTGTACAAGGTAGGAATTTCTCACTATTATTTTCCAATTCACTAATACATTCTTCAACCATGTCCAGGCTGGAACTGTACTCTGGAATTTTCCCATCTTGTTGTACTCATTATTTAAGGTATAATTTTTCACTTATGTGTAATTGCTTCCATTTCATATTTACTTATTCTTATTTCATTTCTGTCAGTTTTTATTTATTTCCTGATCTATTTTAATGACAGTATCACCTTTCCTTATGTTGTTAGTATTGTCAACATCATTTTTTAAGGGCTTTTCCAGAATATTCTAGTTAGAAATATCAGCTGGGGTAAGTTCACTTTCTAATAATTGATTTTGTTCACAGCCTTTGTAGCATTAAATATTACCACATTTTGAAATTTTCGTTATTAGGAAGGTTCAGGGTTTTTGTTGTTGTTGTTGTTGTTAATTTGCTTGTTTTTTTTTTAAAATTTTTTTATTCTTTTACCTCCCCTGTCTTTTGTCTCTCTCCCTCTCTGTGTATATGTATCCCCCATCTTCTGTTTGGTTTAGGTATTGCCTCCATTCAGTCCTCTGGGTTCTCAATCTAGAGCTAGAACTTAAAATAAAAGTTTGGGGGCCAGGCATGGTGGCTTACGCCTGTAATCCCAGCACTTTGGGAGGCTGAGGCGGGTGGATCACCTGAAGTCAGGAGTTCCAGACCAGCCTGGTCAACATGGTGAAACCCCATCTATACTAAAAATACAGAAACTTAGCTAGGTGTGGTGGCACATGCCTGTAATCCCAGCTGCTCAGGAGACTGAAGCAGGAAAATTGCTTGAACCCAGGAGGTGGAGGTTGCAGTGAGCCGAGATTGCGCCATTGCACTCCAGCCTGGGCAACAGAGTGTAACTCTGTCTCAAAAAAAAAAAAAAAAAGGTTTGGCTATTTCCCTTATGGATGTGGTATATCTAAGCATGAAACTAGAAGGCTAGGCTTACATTTATTACCATTTGTAAGGATAAGTCCATGTTCTTCTTTTGTTAGTACTTGAAATAGAGCCCTAAGTGGCACTATGAAATTGTGTGTATATTGGAGGTGGGAAGGTGCAGGGATGGTGTTTTCAGTCTTCTTTCATGAGTGAGAATAAACCCAGTCTCTGGCTTCAAGTGCAGTTAAAGTGGATGGGCCTCTGTCTTAAGTGGAGCACTTTTACTCCACTTTGTATTGCATGCCAAACCCTGACACAGTCATTTCCTAACTAGGAGCCCTGAAGGATCGTAGACTTACGATTTTATAATTCTTTCTCTTTTTATCCATGACAATTTTCATCTACTATTTGAGATAAACTGTCAGTTTAGTTTTCTCTTTTTATAATGTATTCATTATTGCTGTGTTTTGATCAGAGAGCAATCTTTCATGTATTGACCTGAAAGTCTCCATCATTTCACTTACAATCTATTTTTATGCCTAGATTACATGACACATCGATATTTTTACAAAGTTCACCTTTTAGTAATATTCAGAAATAATACACAGCATGTAGAATAAACTGCAGAGGATATAGCATTTAGATGTCCCAGTGAAATCTTCACAGGAAAGAAAAGTAACAAAAATGCATATTTAAAAGATTGTGTTCAAAACATTATATTGTACCTCATAAATATAGATAATTATTATTTGTCAAATAAAATTTTTTAAAAACCTTGCTAGCCATGGAACCAAAATAAATAAATAAATAAAAATAAGAGTTTATATTACTTTAATGCAACCTTCACTGTTGATTAAAAATAAAGCTTTCTTTTGGCTTAAACATTTTCTAACAAAGGCACCATGGTAATCAAAAAATTCCATCTTCTTCTAGAGGAAATATCTCATGGTTACTTAAATCAAATAAAAAGCTTGTAAGTCATACATACGGATAAATGGCTTCTTTAATGTTTCCAAAAATCTGTTTCCCGGTCATTATAATGGTCAATTGGGTTGTCAATTCTATAAGACAGCCTCCAGGATCACACTAGTCAGAAGCAAGAGGGGAGAAAACAGAATTGAATGATCAAAGATGGAATTTTGCAACACCTAAAGGAAACCCTAAACTATAAAATTAGAATCTAAAGGTTTTGGTTGGAAGGGTTAAGATATATTTAGCCCAATAGTTCCAAACCTGATCACAGACCAGTGCCAGGCTAGCTGCATTAGATTCATCTGTGAACTGTGTTAAAAAACACAGATTTCTGGGTCTCATTCTTAGAAAATTCTGAGTTCTTTATATCTGGGTTAGGGTTGGGAGTTGTTATATCTTCCATTCTCCACAATTTGGAAGCCATGGATCTGTTCTAACTCTACTACCCATAGTGGAACCATTTCTACAGAAAGTAATCAGTCTTCCTTTGCAGGAAATTTTCAGGAATAAAGAACTTATGTCATTTTATATTTCATATTTTACTGCTAAACCATAGGCATAATGTAACTTCTTGCTCAAAAATAAACTGAGAAGTTTATCAAATGACAGGATTCATCTGTGAACAATACTCTCTGTGGATAGAGTCAGTGCCTAGATATATTTTGTAATTTTTTAGCATGTGAATCAGTGCTTGACACACAGAAAGTTGTTAATACTGAGGTATTGAAGCTACACACCTCAACTCTCAAGGAAATTCTTACCTCTTCACTTCTCCACTCATTAAATAAATATGTGTATTTTCCAGGATAGCCTACGAACTTCCCTTTAAAGAAAGCTACGTAGAAGCAGGATGAGTAAAAATTTACAAACTGAAACAGGAACATTTTCAAGGTAAGACTGCTCTCATACTCCTGGTATGTTCGAGGAATTTCTGTTAAGTTAAAAAAAAATGTTTAGTGCATCTTCTTATTTTTTTCCTTGAACTTCGTACTCCCTAGGACAAGTGAACATCTAGTCACATCATTCTGGGAGCCTATAGAATGCTCCCCATTCTGGCGATAGTAGGCCAATATTAAGTAACTATGGATTTGTGCTAGACTTTCTGTTACACATTTTGTATTAAACTAACCACTGGAAAAGCCTAGGAAGCTATTGTTACCACAGTCAGAGAGACAGCATTCTTGTCTTGGGGTTACACAGAATTTGAAATTCAAACCCACATGATATGGTTTGGCACTCTGTCCCAACCAAAATCTCATGTCAAATTGTAATTCCCACGTGCCAAGGGAGGGACCTGGTGGGAGGCCATTGAATCATGGGTGTGGTTTCCCCCATGCTGTTCTCCTGGTATTGAGTGAATTCTCAAGAGAGGTAATGGTTTTATTTATTTATTTTTGAGACGGAATCTCA
This sequence comes from Homo sapiens, assembly GCF_000001405.40. Lineage (NCBI taxonomy): Eukaryota > Metazoa > Chordata > Mammalia > Primates > Hominidae > Homo > Homo sapiens. Next base: position 22,261,649 of record NC_000011.10, on the reverse strand, counting down.
CTCTGTCACCCAGGTGGAGCACAGTGGCGTGATCTCAGCACACTGGAACCTCCGCCTCCCAGGTTCAAGCAATTCTCCTGCGTCATCCTCTCGAGTAGCTGGGACTACAGATGTGCACCACCACACCTGGCTAATTTTTTTGTATTTCTAGTAGAGACAGGGTTTCACCATGTTGGCCAGGCTGGTCTCAAACTCCTGACCTCGTGATCCACCTGCCTCTGTCTCCTAAAGTGCTGGGATTACAGGCATGAGCCACCATGCCTCGCCAATTGAGAGCTAATGGTTTTAAAGTGTGGCACTTCCCCATGCACTCTCTCTCTCCTGCTGCCTTATGAAAAACGTGTTTGTTTCCCCTTTACCTTCTACCATGATTGTTAAGTTTCCTGAGGCCTCCCCAGCCATGTGAACCGAGTCAATTAAACCTCTTTCCTTTACAAACTACCCAGTCTCAGGTAGTATCTTTATAGCAGTGTGAAAACAAACTAATACACCAAATAAGACTGAAGAAACTTATGCTCATCTCCAAACACTATCTGCCATGCTATAAGCCATTAGAACTCATCTGTTTTACAATCAGGTTTAAAGAAAGTAAGCTCATGTCAAGGGCAGGGATGATTTCCAACAGAATTGTGTTGCCCTCTCATTAATTCAATGGCTATATTAATTTTGAAAATAATGTAATTAGCAAATAGTGGCAGAAACAATACACATTTTCCCTCTCCTTTATTTAAAATGCATGATCATGATCTGTCATTTAATGAATTCTAAAGATAACAAAATATTAAATTATCTTCACCCTGCAATAGAGGATCATGAAGCACAAAAATGTAGAAAAGTATGTTTTCCTGAGCTGATGATCTCCCAGTAGCATGAGCTGATCCAGCCAAATCATGACATTTTCAGCAATACTGGAAGAGTATCACAAATTATTTTAAAGACACAGATAACTCCCCCATTTTAGTGAAATGTAGCTGTATTCCTACAAAACCTGTAATGTGAACTTGATTTTTTTTCCCATTGAGGAAAATGGTGAGTTTTTAGGTGCTTTTAAAAGCAATTTATCTGCTATGATTTTCTCACTGTTGATAGCAGAGAAAAGTAAAAATGGGAGAGAACTCCAAATTTGAAGATAGTATATAATGAAAGTCTCATCTCAGTGATCATTCCAGCGCTGACTGAATAATGTGGTCTTTTGCTTGACGTCAGCCATGATGTCTATGTACAACAGATTCAAACGAGCTTGAACCCTGGAGAGAACACTCAGAGAAGAGGCTGATGCCTTGATTTGAGTTTCCGATCTTACTGCTAACTTGCCAGGAAAAAGAGCAGAAGCGACTGTGCTCTGTGCTGCTCTACTTAACTCAATTTCTCACTTAACCTGTGACCCCTTTCACTTTCCCCTGTGGCTTGAAGTAGAAATTTTAATATTTTAACAAGAAAATATTCCAAATTCTAAGAGATAGCAGTAGAAAAGAAAAGCGCTAAAATTTAGATTTATTTAGGAGAAGCTGATGTTTCTGTTTTTCTCACAATAACTTCCAAAATCAATACTTTATAAGAACCATACACATGAAACAAAAATTATCTGTGTCTTCAGTAAAGTGATTATTTTTCTTAGGATTCAACTAGACCCATCAAGGGAGAATTAAGACAAGGATACTGAGAAAGATATATAGAGTCAGAATTCTTTTTTTTTTTTTTCAGTTATTTTGCCTCTTCCTTTATAATGGACCTTGAATGGTGGCTCTTGAGCAATTTTGAAATAGCAGATATGGGTCTATTTATAGAGAAAAACTGCCTTAAAATGTGTCCTTTGAAAATGAACTCCTGGAGACCTGATCCAAAATAGACATATAGCATCAATAAGAATCATTCTTCAGAATCACACAAATGATTTGGCCAGCTTACCCATTTTTGTGATCCAGGCAGATATCTTTTCATAAAAGAAATTCAAGATCAAGATGACAATAAAGTTCAAGCATGATCCTGTGAGTGATGTGGTTATCTGAGGAGTAAGGAAGCTTTTGACCTGCTTTAAGGATGCATCACTTTCCATGAAACTAGCAAATGTAGCAAAGACTGACAGGCGGTACACAATTACAGCTACCATACTGGTGACGACAAGAGACATCTGGGAAAGGAAAACAAAGAACTGCTATTTGGGTCTCTGTATCTCTGTTATGAATATATATCTAACATATTGATTATTCTGTTCATCTCATTATATGAAGTTTAGCAGTTCTCATGTGCAAAGCAAACTAAGTCAGTCTCTCTTTCCCTAGATGGCAAGACATGAACACTGGCAAGGTAAAAGGGTTAGAGATAAGGCATATAGTAGCTGCTGATTAAGTCTAAAAGAGAAACGTATTCATTGCTCATCCTCTAGGCTCATCCTCTAGTAGGGAGTGGCAAACTATAGTAGAAAGCCAAATCCTGCCCGTGGCCTTGCCTGATCTTATCTGGTCCTTAAATTAGGAATGTTCTTTTGTGTTTTTTTCTCTTTTTTTTTTTTTTTTTGAGACAGAGTCTCGCTCTGTCGCCCAGGCTGGAGTGCAGTGGCGTGATCTTGGCTCACTGCAAGCTCCGCCTTCCAGGTTCAAGGGATTCTCCTGCCTCAGCCTCCTTAGTAGATGGGACTACAGGTGACCGCCACCACACCCGGCTAATTTTTTGTATTTTTAGTAGAGACGGGGTTTCACCATGTTAGCCAGGATAGTCTCGATCTCCTGACCTCGTGATCTGCCTACCTTGGCCTCCCAAAGTGCTGGGATTACAGGCGTGAGCCACTGCGCCCAGCCTTCTTTTGCATTTCTAAAGGTTATAGAGAAAAATAAAGGCAATTATGTTCCAGAGACTATATGTGGCCACAAAGCCAAAAATATATCTGGCCCCTTTACAGAAAATGTTTGCTGACTCATGCTCTACATTGAAGTTAAAGATGTAGAATCAAGATCACTTATTTTCCTAAGAAAAATACATGTCAATATTGTATTTCATTTCCCCTCAGAATATTGCCATTAGTGCGCTAATATGCGTGGTAGTTTAGAAATTTATATACATTCTGTATAAATTTTGTATACTTCCCATATTGCAAAAGCACAAAGATGGCTTTCTATCAATCATTAGAGAATTTTATTCTAAAAGTTGAGGAAGCGAGTCAAATTAAATGAAAACTAGAAATCAAAAACAGAATAATTTTCTGGGGATATACTCCAGAAGATTTCTCAAAAGAGAGTCCTGAATTAATGATTCTCCCCCTTTTATTTTATCACATCTCCTCAATGATTATTATGTAATCTAAGAAAACATATTTTTACTGTTTTAAAATATGAAAATAGTAGATTTAACAAGAAATGCTAAAGATAAATCATATGGGGTTTATGGACTGGTGAGTCTAAACTATAGTCTACAACTGTCAATTATTTATATTTCAACATGCTAACTAACCTCTTAGAAGGTAACACTGCCTGTTTTCCTAAAATTAGATGCTAAGTGTTAAGAGGGAACACATTTGGAAAAAGGAAGAGCAGGAAATAAGGTGGAAATAAAGATACATTCATGATTTTTCTAAAACTAACCAAAGAGCCTGGAATCAGAGTAAGTTTGTTATTCTGTCCTGATTTCAAGTGATCACTTAAACGAAGTGTCGTGAGGCAGGGAGGGACGGGCTTTAAGATAAAGTACCTCCTTTTCCCCAAGATCTTTTCCCAAAGTTTAAGTATGGAAAATCCACATAAATTACAGTTTATTTTGTATAAGAGCTATAACCAAGATAAAAAGACCAGGGAGGGAGAGGGAAAGGAAAGACTCAAGAGACATTGTAGGTAACACTGTTGAGATAGCTCATTTAATCACCTGTTGAAGAAATTATAGCAATTTTTAAAGAAATGCTCACCCATAATGTCACTGTGGCTCCTGAAAGAAAGTACCATGGAATACGCGTGTATAGAGGCATGTAAGGTTCCATCTCCTGTAATATTGAAGAAATCACAAAGAAATTCAAAATCTCCCCTCTAAGTCAAGACTCCAAGCACTAGTCAATATCACAGAGCCCAGTTAAAGTAGGAGTCTCCCAAAAGGGCCTACTATAGGTCATGGAAAGCTACATTATAGGAATGGTTCCTTCTCTTGAAGGAGAAATCTCCAGGCCTCCTAGATGGGTTATCTTACACATGATATGAAACATAATGGATACACACAATTTCCTAAATGCTGAATTACAATGTTTAGGGCCTGGCACTGAGTAAATAAAGTCAAATAATGAATAATGAAGGTTGCTGCCTAGGTAGACATGATTTATGATGTTTAATGGTGTTATAATTTTATTCTAATTGAATTGAATTACATTGCTCTGCATGATATTAAATTAGATGCTTTCTTTATATTTTTCAGATAAACTGTGTTCTTCCACATAGCTCAGGAGCCAAGAATTCCACCTTTAGTCTTTAGGAGTTATTAATGAAAGATATTGATTATACAGCTGACATTCTTAGGTGCATCAAGAAGTAAGTAGATTTTACCCAAAAGAAGCAAAAAATAGTAAAAAAACAAAACAAAACAAACAAACAAAAAAAAAACGCTGTCAGCAGAAATCAAAATCATGTAATTCCATAACATAATATTTCACATTTTAAGAATTTTTAGGGTGGTCTGAATAAAAATAGAACTCTCAACAGGCAGAGTCAGCTGTCCAAGAGTCCTACACACCTCAGAATGTGTGTGCATGTAGGCATATATGTCACTGTGTACATGTGTGTTCATGTGTGCACCCAATGTATGCGTGTTCATGCATCTGTATGCATATTTGTGTGGGTGCACATGTGTGTTCCCAATGTGGACTCAAATGTGACAGTTCTGGTCGTCCTTAAACACTGAGGAAGCACTGCAATAAGTAAAAAACAAAACAAAACAAAACAAAAAAAAACTCTGTTTCATGATTTCTAAACCATGAAAGCTAAGTGAAGCCAACAATTCACAGTGAATCAATACATATGGCTTTTCAACTGGATTCAAATGTAAGCATTCAATACATTTTTTTCTGTTAATTTTTGGCAAAGCTAATAGGACTGCTTTTGTTTACTTTTTTATTTCGTGAAATAGGAATGAACATCATGTCATTATTCTGTCAGTATCTTTTAATATATTTTCTTAATTTCAAACTGCCACCCACATTGTTAATGTATTTTCTGAGATGTTTTCATGATCTTTTGAGATGTTTTCATGATCTTTCAATGAAATTTAGTAATTGTTCAGTGAATGCCTAAATGGTGAAAATAATTTTAAATGTTATACTGCGAGAATAATTTTCTGAAGAGAATAGGGAATTCTATTGAAGAGAGTGTATTTAGGACACATATTATTCTCTTTTAAATAGCAGCAGGAAACACAGTGATTGTAGATTACGGGAAGATAGGGGCTCAAAAAATATGTAACCAAGATTCTGGTCTTTAAAGGCAAAGCACTTCCATTTTCACATGAAAAAAGTGAGGTACCAAAAAGTTAAACAACTCAGTCAAGAACATATAGCTGGTTTGTCAGCTAAGCATTCTAATATGTAGACTTCTTCCCCCATACACAAATACAATGATTCTCAATATAATCAGTTAAAAGGGGCCGTGTGAAGAAAAGTTAGTCTAATAAAACATAAGACCTCAATCTTAATATAAATACTATTTTAATTTTTATATATCACTTAGCATCATTTCAATGTCTGTACATTTATATGCAAAGCCCACAGCATACACATTATTTTCCTTTTTGCACTTAGTTTAATGTTATTATGCCTTGGATTTGTTTCCAAATAATTTAGTGACACAAAAGAGTATGAGTATGAATGAAACAAGATTGTCCATGAATTAAAAACGATTCATTCTGAGTGATGGGTTCATCCATGTAGTTCATTATATTTTTCTATCTACATTTGAAAGTGTTTGAAAATTTTCATATATATACATTCTATATATACATTTATATACATGTATGTATATTAGAAACAAGTAAAGAAGTTTATGTGATTTATACGTTGCAGAATATTTTAAAGGCAAAATAAACTATGATTATATGAGAAGAAACCTATAGCAGTGTGTCCATTGAGATATGCTGTCCGTTTCACAGTTTTCTAGTCTACCTTAGTCACTGCATTCAATTTCCTGTGTTTACACATAGCTTCAAATTCTGGTCTCAGCTGAAGCTGCTGCTGTTCCTCTTCAAAGTCCACCAGGTCCCATTCATATTCCAGTCTGGCTTGTCGTTGTTTCCAAAACTCCAAAAATAAGGTGACTATAGGTAAATAAATATATAAAAAAAAGATATTAAAAAAGTTAAAAACTTTTTCAACTTTTCCCTTTAATTACTTTGGTTGCAGGATGGTTCACATGTTTCAGGTGGCTATTCTTTCACTGTTGTGTTTGATTAAAACTTCATCAATTATTAGTGTTGGCATAATATTGTGTATCCAATAATACACTGAAAAAAAATCATACAAAAATTTAGTTTCTTGGTCAGTGGTCCAAGCAAGAATTTTTTTCAGACATATTAATATATTTCTTCATTCAGACAATTTGAAGTAATATTTGAACTTAGCTTTTTATTAACACTGAAATATTTTTTTTTGCATGTATCTTTTATCTTTTATTGAAATCATTCAAGTCTTTGTACTGCTTTCTCAGGCTTGGGGAAATATACCTAGGAAGCATAAGAGCCAATCCCCAGCACAATTACTCTCTCTTTTAAACTACATATACTATATATACACACAAAACTTCAGCTTTCTTTTTATGTCTTTATTTGAGTCTCCTTCTGTCACCCAGGCTGGTCTTGAACTCCTGGCTTCTAGTGATCCTTCCACCTCAGCCCCCCAAAGTGCTGGAATTATCAACTTTCAATTGAAGAATATATATTTACAGAAAAATACATAAAGTATAAATGTACAATTCAAAAAAATTCACAAAATAAATATACCCATATAACCAGCACCAATATAAAAAATATTCCATTACAAATATATTTACTTAAATGATATACAACTGATACTTTTTCGTGTCAAGCTTTTTTTTTTTTGGTTCAACTTTGTTGCTGTGTACAGCGAAAATTCATTTATTTTCATTGCTGCATAGTGTTCGACTCTACGGTTAAATTGCAGTTCTGGTTATATATTCTTGGGCTGACAGACATTTGAGTTGTTTCCAGATACCTGCTATTACACATAGTGCTGCTGTGAACATTCTTGTACGTATCTATTGGTGGGCATATACATGCCTTTCTGTTCGGATATACTTAGGAAGAGAATACTAACACCTCCAATATTAACTCATAATTGTATCATCTATAAAAGATTCAACTTTCTGACTCACTCTCTACCTTTTAAATAATGTAAGGAACTATGGATGATATCCATACATTTTTAAAAATCCTAATTATATTTTTATCATTACAGTCATCTAATTGCTCTCTCAGCTTCCAAAATATATTTTTCCAGTGCAAATATACCTATCATCTGACTGTTGTTTTTTTGTTTGTTTATTTGCTCATGTATACATTGGCTTATGTTTTCCTTTGCTCATTATTTAAACTTTAAAGAAATATTTAAACATTTATTAAATGGGAAGAACACAGTAGACTAACCACTTAATTGTAAAGTATACAATTAATTATTGTGGACCATTAGTACAATGTTGTACAGACCTTATTCATCTTGCTTAATTGAAACTTTAAAGTATGCTTATTGATTAGTAACTGCTCATTTCCTAATCGTCCAGCCCTGGTAACCACAATTCCACTCTTTGATTCCATAAGTTTGGCTATTTTAGATACCTCATATAACTCCTCCAGTCAAAAAGTAATTCAGCCCTCCTCTGTACTCCCTCAGCATTTACAATGCACTTCTACGAAAGTAGACTTCAGATTCTAACCCAATTAGATTGTAACTTTCTTAACAACAGGTTATATTTCATTCACTTATTCATTCTATCATTTAATATTGGTTGTGAATTTCGTAAGGCAGAAACTTCTACTCTACTCATTTCATTACTGCTGTATGCAGTAGATACATTGTTAGCAGGGAGAACAGTTTCATGAACTTGGTACTATTAAACATTTTAATATTTGCTTGTTTGTTTATACTACAATAGAACAACTACCATTAATTTTAGAAGCAGTATTTGGTTACTATGGCTATGCAAGAGATTGGATGTCATATACATACTGCTAAAACTTTTAAATACACTAATCATTTAAAATTTCTTGTCTCAAAGTTTGTTAATGCTGAAGTAGAAATAAGAAAGTTGGCCAACATAGATGGGATTGTGAGATAAATTAATGATGGTACAAAATAGTTAGCAAAAAGAGTACTGTAAGGAAAGAGAAATGATGTGGACTAAAAACAATATTGTTCCCATGATTTCTACGGACTTTTGTGATTATAAGTATATAGGAATCACAGGATTCATATATTCCCTGAAAAGGATTTCAGGAAATTAAAGGGACCCTTGGTTTGGGCCTTATAGATTGTGCCTAAGTAGGACTTGACCTTTTTCATTTTTAAGAAGGAATACAATTAGCATTTAAATTATTTATTTATTCAACATATATTTGAATACATACCATATGCCTAGCCCTGGAACTATGGAGATGAAAGCCATGGTGTTTGTCCTAAAGGAGCAAGTAATCTAGTGATGAGCCTGGCTTATACACAATTGCAATCATGGAGGCATGTACACTCAAAATATGTCTTAAAATCAAGGACCATGTATGTGCATATTTAAATTCCTATTGCCTAGAATGGTACCTGTTCCAGGGTAGAAACTTTAAAAACTAGTTGCTGAATTATATTAAAGTATAAATAAAATGAAATCATTAAATTTCTGAAATGAAGCATAGGTGAACATCTTACATTATCTCTCAGTGGGGAACGTTTTCTAAAGAAACACAAAAACAAGAAAAACCATAAGGAAAGTTTTATGACCAGTAATATATATTAAAATGTCCATTGACTACGAATGAGATCAAATGTAAATTACAAACTGAAAAAAATATTTGCAATTTATGTGGCAGACAAAGGATTACTGTGCTTATTATACAAAAGCACATGTGAATCATAAAAAAATTTAAATACTTCAAACATCAAGGAGAGCCAATGGTCAGTAAATATTAAAAATGTGATCAGTCTCACTTGTGATCAAGTAACTGCAAATAGTGCTGAAGGGTGCTCCACACACACCCACTCCTCTATTTATGATGTAATATAAGGCAGGTGTTGGTGCACAATCTCTCTCAATGGAAACAATGGAAAATTCTCACAATGTATTTGTTTTAATCATGCACCTATCATTCATTTTTGATTCCAAGTAATGAGAGGTAGGATTTGGCAGCCTCATGAAAAATGGATGTATATACAACAACTTACAAAAACTGAGGTTGCTGTTAAACCATTAATAAGATTTCTAGATTCTTTATTCTTTCTTTGAATCTAGGCTGCTCTCTTCAGACCACAGCAGCCAAGCAGAAATGAGAGAAAGCCATAAATCCCTCCGCTTTGCAAACATACTACAAATTTTGATGTTATTTGACTGGATAATGCAGCCCTTGCCTAGTTTTTTTTTTTTTTTTTTTTTTTTTTTTTTGAGACGGCGTCTTGCTCTGTCTCTCAGGCTTGAGTGCAGTGGCACAATCTCGGCTCACTGCAAGCTCAGCCTCCCGGGTTCATGCCATTCTCTTGCCTCAGCCTCCCAAGTAGCTGGAACTACAGGCACCTGCCACCACGCCTGGCTAATTTTTTTTGGTATTTTTTAGTAGAGACGGGGTTTCACCGTGTTAGCCAGGGTAATCTCGATCTCCTGACCTCGTGATCTGCCCACCTCAGCCTCCCAAAGTGCTAGGATTACAGGCATGAGCCACCGTGCCTGGCCGCCCTTGCCCAGTTTTGAATGGCATATATTTGTGTTTGTTAGAGGTGTTTTTTAACTGGGAAAAATGTCTAATTTACACCCAGGAACTCCAAGTTTTGTGATATATTTTAGACCAGTCTTTAGGTCTCTTCCAACGAAGTTATTCTTACAGAAAACATTTTCCTTGCTGATGATAGGAAAAACTTCATGACACTTTAACTTTCCAACTGAAATGGTTAAAATATGAAGTCCTGGGCAGGGCATTTTCAAAGTTAAGGGAAATTCCATTCTATATGAAGGATTTTTAATGAATGAGTGTGGAAGTGGTAACTGTAACTAGACAATTTATACTCAAAAATGTTCATTAGTCCTCAAGTTTTTGATCTGTGTTCCAGTTTGTATACATGATCAATATCCTCCAGCCACAAAATATTTGTTTAGTCTCTCCTGAATGAAGTATTTTTTGAGCCTGTTTTTAACATGGCACTGAAAGACAGTGGGAAATTAATACATTTGATGTTTCAAAAATTATGTTGTCTCTTAGAGAAATGAGCTGATGTTTAACAGAGACCTTTGTGGACCAAGAACTAATGGCCACTAATATGCACTCCATCAGTATATTAATGCTAACAAAGACACAATGATCTAAAACCACATTTGGTATGTAAGATATTTCATCTGTCATATGTTATATGGAGGCAAAACAACACATTAATAGGAAGAAAGCTGTTTCTTTATGGGACTATTTACTCACCCCAAATTCCCATGAATATTGCAAAGAACACTGTTGACTCATTATCAAACAAATGGGAGAACTGTAAAAATAACAATAACAATATCACAAAGATAATTTAGTACTAAATGTAATAAAAAGGAGGAAAATTCCAAGTCTTTTCAACATGTTACAATGCATACATACCTTTGAAGCCAAACACGTACTATTTAGTCTCCAATAATCACACACTTGATCACAGAGTGGGCACATGATCATCTGACCACCAATCTCAGGGTCACAGATTTCAGTGCTGCAAGAGGAACAGCAAAGTTATTGAACAGTGATAGGTGTTTAGGTAAAAGTCCAAGCTGTTCTTATTAGAACAACTACTTATATAACTTCTCACATATAACAGAAGGGGCAATCAAGCAGCAATTTCTATAGTGGGTCAAGTCATGCTTTGAGGAGTAGAGTTTTCAGAGCCCAGCTTTAAAAACAGATTTTCCATAAAGCACCAGGTGAGAGGCAACTGTTATGTTTGAGTAGTTTTTGGAAAATATCGATTATCTGCTGCTATAAGGAAACATTCTGAAGGAAATGCCAGGGAAATAATAACAACAACTTCATTTGGCACAAGATAAAGATGTTTTCTCTATCTGGGCAACTCAGGTGCACTTACCTGCTTGTGTTATGTTCCATTGATAATAAGCCATAAATAAAACAAGCTAAGCCAACTACAGCTGCAAAGAATAGCATTTCTGTGTAAAATCCAAGAAAGACAAAATAGATACCAATTTTTTCTCCATAATAATTCCTGTGAAAAAGAGTAAAAACAGAATCAGAATATGGAAGAATGTTATAGTCTGGAGCCTTGATTTTGTATTCAGACAGGCATATATTCTAATTTTGGCTCCACTGCTTTCTAGACATGTAATTTTGGTGAAGTTACTCAACTCTCTAAACTTCAGTTTCCATATCATTATCATGTTTTAACACAAGATGGTGCTTATGCCATACTGCAAGGACTGATACAAGGATTAAAAGGGATAACAGATATAAGTAGAAAGCCAATTAAACGGAATTTAACTTTAAAATTTAAATAAGATAATTTGGAAAGCCTCTGTATTATAAAGAGAATTTAAATGGTTTTTAAATAAACTACAGAATATTCTACAATGTAATTTCTAGGAATGAACTTAACAAATCAAAACCATATCCAAAATCTGCATGGACTTTTGCTTTATCTCTCTAAAACTGAAAACATTTCTCTGACCGCATTGTAGATATACATTTCCATCTTTCTCCAAGTTTGAATCTTGGATGTTTACAGGATTGTGACATATGCAGCAGGCCAAGGAATTAAACATGACTACTTTAGCAAAAATTCTATGAAATATGCAGCCTAGCTCTTGGTTTTCAAAGAATTGAAAAGTGACAGCGTTTATCGGCACAACATTTTAATTCTCACAACCAAGTGTTTTGTTTTTAACTTAGTACCCATTTAGGAATGAGAGAAAGTAGTTTTCTCCTCCTCAGAAAGTCAGGTTTTCTTGTTGTTGTTGTTTAACCTGATTAATCTTCCTCCTTATTCATATAGATCCCAGCTCACCAAATCTGTGAGTCTTTCCACAGTTTCCTAGGCAGAAAGATGTGATACCTTTTGTGTTCTAGTAGCATGCCATATGATTCTGTGAAAGTACTTAATATTAAATTGTAATTTCTATATATGCTTAACAAGAACACATATCTGAACATAAAGGTTATAAACATTTTTTCTCAATGAGATTTTAAAATGTATTTATCATATTCAATATTAACTTTATTGAACATCCCATTCTTCATATTTCAACACTCTTAATATTAATAGGCATCTTTCTGTTTATCCTGTCTTTTTTCATTCTTTTCAGTGATGATGAACATTGTTGCATTGTTAATTTCCCTAATTTGGTTTTCCAGATCACTATAAACTTGAAATTAAATTATAATGCCATCATATTCCCTTGCTAATCTGCCATTCACAACTTCCTTAGCTTACTCAGAGTGAATGAACTTTTTCTCCCAGTTTTTTTCTGAAAAATGTAGAAATTATTGTAATAGTACATGACATCAAAATCAGAAAAAGTACAAAAATATATTTTATGAAATTTACTGTTTACCATGTCTATTTTTAATGTTTTAAAAATGGCAGAATCAATGTTATTAGAAATATAATATCAACATTATTGCTATAGACTTAACTTAAAAATTCTTTAAGTATTCATAAGGAAACTGGATATTTCAACAATCTTAGTTTTAAAGTACTACTTTTTTCTCCTTTTCAATTGTCACAAGTCTTATTCCTTGAGCATAAAAAACAAAATCCCTCAAGAACTCTAAACCTGTCAAAAAAAGAAATTGCTGAGAATTTACTAAATGAAATCAGGTAAGTATTTATTACATGTGGAAATATACAAATTATCTTACTAAACTTTGGACTTGGGTATCTAACAGTAACAGATTAACAACGAAATAATCTTTCAGGATCTCAGAAAGCAGGAGATATTTCTTAGATTTGCAATATGGTAAAAATGCATACATTATTGAAATCACATTTAATATTTAATTTAAACTATCTTGTTAGTCATAACTAAGAAAATAAGAGAAATCTAATAACATGAGACACTCTACAAAAGCTCAAATATAGGGAGAGCCTTCTTTTGAGTATTATTTTTTAGAAAAATATGCCATATATTTAAATCTATGATCTTTTTTAACCTGTCCATTTTAATTATTAGACTTTCAACTGATCTGTGGCACTGCACCATTTAACACAGCATCTGATAGGTAGATGTGTGTTAGATACTGTGTGAGGGGACTGCTCTCATTTTGTATTTCCAAGATGTAATATTTAGTTGAAGACATAGTAAATAATCAAAAGAATGATGATAGAATTAAATTGAATACAATCTTGATAAATCAATCAATGCAAACATTTTTTTCTAAAATGACTTATTTTTACAATGAATCCATAAACATCTGAGAAACTTAGCTTCAGTATTATCCTCACATTGTAATAACATTATCTGTACCACACATATATTTAGTCTATGCTATTTAGTATGTAGCAGTATTTCAATTTTGTTTCTAAGCATTAACATACAACATATGGATATCAAAAACAAATTACCTGAAGTGTAAGCTGGAAGGAAAAAAAAATGAGCTGATAGAGCTGATGTGCCAGTGATCAGTCTTCAACTTTATATGCTCCATCAGCCCATTTTTCTCAATCTTAGCATTGCCATTTTCCCCAAAAATATTATCTAATGTGACAAAACTATCTGTGCTCAAAAGGCAGAAAAACCACTTCCAGATATCTGGACATTAAAGTGATGTTTGGTATAGAGGTAACATGAAATATGTGAAATCTAGGAACTCAGATTCCTATAAACTGTATCTCTTTCTAGACACCCTATCATTCTGTCTTCCTTATTTTTGTCCTCCATATCCAATAATCCATTAGGGCCAATGAATTCTGTCATAAAAATATTTTTTCTAATTCATAGTCTCCTCTCCTTCCTGTTGTCAATGCCTTGAAAAGACCTCCAAAATTTATTGCTGGACAATTTTAACAGCCTTTACTTCCCTGAGTTCAATCTTATATCCATCTAAATTATCTTTTGTTTCCAATAAAATGATGTTTCTAAAGAAAAATTGAGCAATATCCTTTTCTTCCTTCAAAGCTTCATCTTTTTACTTCAGCATTGTTCTTCAGGATTTTGTTCCTGGTGAACATTCAAATCTTCTTTGCCAACACTCCTACTTGAAGAACTAAACAAACACACAATGCTCTTGTGTGTTCTCTTTGCCTGAGATATTCTTACCTAACTTCTTTCCCTACTATACTGCTACTTATCTTTCAAGACATAGTTCAAAAGCACTGTGAAGCTTTCCTAGAGGTTGTCATGAAGATAGGTGCTTTTCCCTCTGTATTTTGTTTGGAGTATTACTGTGCTGTAACTAATACGCATTTGTGTGTGTTCCTGCAAACAAATTCATGTTAGGAAACCACCATCTGATTATCTTTGTAGGCACAGTACCTTGCTTGATATGTAGTGATGCTTAATAAAGTCTCATTAAAAGAAATGTGTCAATTGTAATTATGCATATATGAATAAATTCTTTTCTTTTTTGCTTTTTTTTTTTTTTTTTTTTTTTGAAACAGGGTCTCACTCTGTTGTGCTAGGTTGTAGGGTAGTGGTGCGATCTCGGCTCATCGCAACCTCTGTTTCCCAGGTTCAAGCAATTCTCCTGCCTCAGCCTCCAAAGTAGCTGAGATTACAGTTGTGTGCGCCACCACGCTGGGGTAATTTTTGTAGTAGTAGTATTATTATTTTTTAGGTAGAAACGGGGTTTCACCATGTTGACCAGAATCGTCTCAAACTCCTGACCTAAAGTGATCTGCCTGCCTTGGCCTTCCAAAGTGCTGAGATTACAGGCAAATTCTTTCTATTTTAAGAATATTTTAACTTTTATCAAGTCTACCCACAAAACCTTTACTAAAACCCATGAAATCAACAAGGAGAGGAAAAACACCCAAACCCAATACAGGCCTTCAGTATCATGACAGAGAAAGTCATGATCCTCAAATTACCTGCAACTAAGGAAATAAAAACAACACCTGCTGCTACAAACCTAAGACACAGGAGAGAGGTGAAGATGTTTAAGAAATTATAGGGGAAAAATGTAAAGTAGGGTGGAAAACATAAAGAAACACAGCTAAAATAACCCTAGAGAAAAGTTTAACTAAATGCCCTAATGCAGAATATATGTTTGGATTTGGTCATTTATAATCTATAAGAAAGGATCTGAAAAGAGTGAGACTGGAAGTGGCAGCCTGAGATAAGCAATATTTCTTGAGAAGAATCAGATACAAAGAGAAGACTGGTACTCTTTGGAGGAGTGTCAGTAAACAGAAAAAAGAAAATAGGAGAGTTAGAATCTCGTAGAAATGAAAGAAATAGGCTGCGCAGGGCAAGGGAAGATGGGTGCCCACAGCTGTGAGACTCACAGGAAGCTTCAGGTCCAGCACACACAGAAACAGATTCTCCCTCACTCCCATTCACCAGGTTGAGCATCCCTCATCTGAAAATTCGAAACACAAAATTCTCCAAAATCTGAAACTTTTTGAGTGCCGACATGATGCCACAAGTAGAAAATGCTACCCCTGACCTCATGTGATGAGCCACAGTCAAAACACAGGCACACAATGAGAAAATGACATTTTTAACACTGCAGAAAGGTGTCTACAGACAACACATTGAGAATGTGTGATGGACTAACAGAGAGGGGCACTCTAGTGCTAGAAACTCTGTTTATAAATTAAAAACAAATTGAAATAGGTAGGCCACGTCCATAAAAAAACATGCAAAACAAAAGCAAAATCAGAAAATGTGAAGTAAATAATTTAGTCTGATAATTCTCCCCAAATAACATGAAATTGAATAATACTGTAATAAAAACCTAAAAACAGAGTGAACTCTTCTCAAATAAATATTTGCTGATACAAGAAAACCCCAGAAATATAAAAACTAAAAAAAGGAATAGAGAAGAGTGGAAAGATATAAAACAAAAATTGATTGAACTCCAGAGATAAGTAGAGCAAATTATAAATCATATCAGATCACATCAGAAGTAATACTGAAATTAGCAAGTAACAAAGGAAACACAGACACAGTGCCAGCGATCAGAGGGGTCTCCCCCAGGATCCCGAAGCATACCAGCAAGGAGAGAGGGTCATCTCTCTTTTCACCCCACCACAGAGCACTGCTGTGAATAGGCAGAAATACTGAAGCGCTGCGAGGCTGAGCCTATCTGCTGGCTCTTACTCCTAAGTGCCATCTACTGGATAGTAAACCAAATTACAACACCAAAAACATTCTGCCAATATACAAAACTGTGAAACCCAAGGCAAGAATCCAGCTACAAATAAAGACCCTGTACAGAGCCTTGGCTCTCTGAAAGCACCCAGTAATGAAGCCAATTGACTATACTCAACTTATACTACAATTAATGGAACACCAGCCCTCTCAGGCAAGAAAGATTCAGTGCAAGAACTCTGGAAATTCAAAAAGTCAGTGTCCCCTTACCTTCAAATGAGCTCCTCAGCAATGCTTCTTAACTAGATGGTAACAACAGAAATGACAGACATACAATTCAGAATGGAAAGGACACTCATCGAGATTCAAGAGAAAGTTAAAACCCAATCCAGTAATCCAGGAATCCAGTAAAACAATCTAAGAGCTGAAAGATGAAATAGCCATTTTAGGAAAAAACAAAACTGAACTTCTGGAATGGAAGCAATCACTACAAGGATTTTATAATACAACAGGAAGCATTAACAGCAGAATAGACCGAGCTGAGGAAAGCATCTCAGAGCTCAAAAACCAGTTCTTCAAATCAACTGAGCCAGACAAAAGTTAAAAAAAAAAAAAAAAGAACAAAACCTCCAAGAAATTTAGGATTACATAAAGAGACCAAACTTATGACTTATTGGCATTCCTGAGACAGGAAAGTAAACAACCTGGAAAAAGTGCTTGAGGATATAGTCTATAAAAATGTCCCCAATCTCACCAGAAATTGATATACAAATTTAAGAAAGATGGAGAACCCTGATGAGACACTATATCCCCAAGGCACATAGTCATCAGATTCACCAAGTTCAACACGAACAAAAAAATTTAAAGGCAGCTAGAAAGAAGAGTCAGATTACATCCAAATGGAAGCTCATCAGGCTAGCAGCAGACCTGTCAGCAGAAATCTTACAAGCCAGAAGAGATTGGAAGCCTATTTGTAGCATCCTTAAAGAAAAGAAATTCTAACCAAGAATTTCATATCTCATCAAACTAAGCTTCATAAGTGAAGGAGAAATACAATTCTTCTCAGACAAGCAAATTCTGAGATAATTTTTTACCACTAGACACGGCTTACAAGAGGTCCTTAAGAGAGTACTAAACATGGAATGAAAGAACAACACCTGCTATCACAAAACACACTTAAACACATAGCCCAAAGACACTATAAAGAGACTATACAATCAAGTCTACAAAACAACAAGCTAACGACATGATGACAAGATCAAAATCTCACATATCAATACTAACACTGGATGCTGAGATGCAAAAATCTATACACAAGATCAATGAAACCAAGTATTGGTTCTTCAAAAGAATAAATAAGACAGACCACCCTAGCTATATTAACAAAGAAAAAAAGGAGATCCAAATAAGTCCAATGAGAAATGACAATGATGATATTATAACTAATCCTACAGAAATCAAAAATCCTCCAATACTATTATGAAAAGTTCTATGCACATAAATTAGAAAATCTAGGAAATGAATAAATTCCTGGAAACACAAAAGCTCCCAAGATTAAACCAGGAAGAAAGTAAAAACCCAAACAGACCATTATAAGTTTTGAAATTTAATCATTAATTTAAAAATCTACCAATCAAAAAATGCCCTAGACCAGATGAATTCACACCCAAATACTAGCAGATAGAAATACAAAGAAGAACTTGTAACAACCCTGCTGAAACTATTCCAAAAACTCAAAAAGGAAAGGCTTCTCCATAACTCGTTCTATGAAACCAGCACCAGGCTGATACCAAAATCTGATAGAGACACAACAACAAAAAGACAATGTCAGGCCAATATCCCTGATGAATACAGACACAAAAGTTGTCAACAAAATACTAGAAAACCAAATCCAGGAGCACATCAAAAAGTTAATACATCCGATCAAACTGGCATTATTCCTGAGATGCAAGGCTGATTCAACAAGTGCAAATAAGTAAATGTGATTCACCACATAAATAGGATTAAGAGGAAAAACTATTAACATATGATCATCTCAATAAATGCAGAAAAAGCTTTTGATAAAATTCAGCATCCCTTTCCATTCATGATTAAAAAACCCTCAATAGTCTTGGTATTGAATGAACATACCTCAAAATAATAAGAGCCATCTATGATAAACCCACAACCAACATCATACTGAATGGGCAAAAGCTGGAATCATTCCCCTTGAGAAATGAAATAAAACAAAGATGCCCACTCTTACCACTCCTATTCAACATAGTGCTTAAGTCCTAGCCAGAGGAATCAGGCAAGAGAAAAAAAATAAAAGGCATCCAAATAGGACAAGAAGAAGTAAAGCTATCTCTCTTTGTTGCCAAATGATTCTACACCTAGAAAACCCTAAAGACTCCACCAAAAGTCTCCTAGATTTCATAAATGACAGATGAGAGAGTTCAGTAAAGTTTCAGGACCCAAAAGCAATGGACAAAAGTGAGTAGCTTTCTATATGGCAATAATGTTCAAGCTGAGAGTCAAATCAAGAACACAATCCCATTTTCAATAGCCACAAAAAATGAAATATCTAGGAATACAGCTAATCCAGGAGGTGAAAGATCTCTACAAGGAAAACTACAAAACACTGATGAAAGAAATCAGAGATGACACAAATAAATGGAACAACATTCCTTGTTCATGGATTGGAAGAATCAGTATCATTAAAATGGCCATACTGCCCAAAGCAATTTACAAATTCAATGTTATTCCTATCACACTACCAATGACATTTTTCACAGAATTAGAAAAAGCTATTCTAACATTAACATAGAACCATAAAAATGGCCAAATAGCCAAAGCAATCCTAACCAAAAAGAACACAACAAAGAACACAACTGGAAGCATCACACTACCTGGCTTCAAACTATGCTATAAGGCTATGGTAAGCAAAACAGCATGGTACTGGTAAGACACATAGACCAATGGAACTAAACAGAGAAAGCAGAAATGAAGCTGCACACCTCCCACCATCTGGTCTTCAACAAAGCTGATGAAAACAAGCAATGGGGAACGGATTCCGTATTCAATAAATGGTGCTGGGATAACTGACTAGCAATATACAGAAGAATAAAACTTGGACCCTTATCTTTCACCATATAGAAAAATAACTAAAGATGGAATAAAGTTTTAAATGTAAGACCTCAAACTATAAAAATCCTAGAAGAAAACCTAAGAAGTATCTTTCTCTACATCGGCCTGGGTAAATAATTTTTGGCTAAGTCACCAAAAGCAATTGCAACATCAAAAAATAATTGACAAGTGGGACCTAATTAAACTAAAGAGCTTCTGCACAGCAAAAGAAAGTATCAATAGAGTAGACAATCTACAGTATAGGGGAAAACATTCACAAACTACACATCCAACAAAGGTCTAATATCCAGAATCTATGAGGAACTCAAACAAGTCAACAAGCAGTATCCAAATAACCCCAATAAATAATTGGCAAAGGACATGAAGAGACACTTCTCAAAATACATACAAGCAGCCAACAAACATATGAAAAAATGCTCATCATCACTAATCCAGAGAAATGCAAATCAAAACCGCAATCAGATAACATCTCATACCAGTCAGAATGGCTATGATTAAAAAGTCAAGAAATATCAGATGGTGGTGAGATTTGGGAGAAAAGAGAACATTTATACACCGTTGATGGGAATGAAAATTAATTCAGCTGCTGTGGAAAACAGTTTGGAGCTTCTGCAAAGAACTTAAAACAGAGCTGCCATTTGACCCAACAATCTCATTACTGGGCATATGCTCAAAGCAATATAAATTGTTCTACCAAAAAGATGCACGCACCTATATGTCCATTGCAGCACTATTCACAATAGCAAAGACATGGTATCAACCTGGGTGACCATTAATGGTGGAGCAGATAAATAAAACGTGGTATATATAAACCACTTGTAAGTGGGAACTAAATATTGAATACACATAGACATAAGGATGACTACGATATACACTAGAGGAGGTAGTGTGGGAGAGGGGTGTGGGTTAAAAAACTCCCTATTTGTTACTATGCTCACTACTTGGGTGGCAGGATCTGCACCCCAAACCTCAGCATCGTGCAATATACCCACACAAAAAACATGCATGTATACCACTGAATCTAAAATTAAAAAGTTGAAATTATATAAAAAAATTGGGACAGCCTAATGTTTTTCAATAGAAAAACAAATAAATGAATTATGAAAAATTTATAATAAGGCATTCTGTGTTCCACTAAATAGTATCAGATAGATCTTTGTGTATTCATAGAAGGACATCAGTAATATACTATTTAGTGAATAAAGAAAAATATTAGCATGAAAGAGAAGAGAAAGATGCCATTGCTCTCAGAAAAAAAAATGTTTCTGCTTTTTTATGCAGGAACACAAAAATAGGACTAAATCAATATTATCCAAATCAAGCCTAGTTATTTTTGTGGAGTTTGATGAAGGTAGAATTTCACTTAAAACTTTGTTCATCTCTTAATTATTTGAAATGTTTTTGATAAATATTCTGGTTTTATAACTTAAAGTATTAAATGATTATTATTCAAAACAGTTAAAATAGCCATTCAAGAAAGAGTTTGCATGATTTATCAAAAGCCCCAGTTTATAAACTGACTAAGTGACATTAATTTTCCAAAATGTGTCCTCTAGTTTGACTTAAACATACTGTTGAGATAACATTTCAGTTGATTTGGATGGATCCATTCAAATCAGTCTCATGAAACAGATACTGTGATGCTGTGTAAGCATAGCAATGCAAGTATAAATCATCAAGGAAAAAACACTGCCTATAGTAGCAAGAGATCTCTAATCTAATAGTTCATTGAATAAAATCATATGTCTCCTAATATCTTGTATGCTTGTAGTATTGCTATGCTTTAAAGTGATAACCTGCAACCATAGTCTTCTTGCTTAGCTAATGAAACTATCTAAAGGATTGAGGTCATAGAACAAATGTCTTCACAGCTCACTGAGAGCACACACACACAAACATCCATACACAACCTTTGTCTTATGTTCCAAATTTCTGGACTCCAAGAGAAACAAAAACTAATATGTATTAAACACTAAGTGTTAGCCCCTATGCTAAAAAGTAGTAATATTGCTATTCCCGTTTTACAGATAGTATAGATATTATAACTAATGTGCTAAAAAGTAGTAATATTGTTATATCTATTTTCATAATGGTTAAGTAACTTGACCAAATTTATATAGCTTTCAAGAGACAGAACTTGGATTGGAATTCAGCCTAGCTAAATGCTAAGGTCTAACCTCCTAACCACCATACTATCGCTGTTGTCTTTCATCAGTTTAGCAACAACATTCTCCTAAATGAATTGCTAATTTATAGTGTAGATATGAAATCAAGAAGTTGTGAAATGTAGTGGGAGAAAATAGTAGTAAAAAAAATATTATGCCATTGTGAATAAAAATCACATTATCAAGTTTTAATTGGTCTGATCCTGTGTATGAAACTTACTTAATCAAGTCTAAAGGCTGCTCCTTGTAGAAATAGGAAAATCGAGCCCAATTCTGGTGAAGTGTGTATCTTTCATTGGTAGGATTGGGAGGTTCTGATGGCTTCCAATATTGGCCCTGCAGATATTCAAGAGGAGGGTACATAAAAGACGAAGCAAAAGACAAAGACGAAGTAAATAAACACTGCTGTTCTAAGAATGTTAGTAAACAAGGGTATGTTTTCTTTTACTTTTAGATTTCATATTCAATTGATGTGAAATTATTTCATAAACTAATAATATTTATTTATTAAATTATCACACAAAGCTATCTCAAAATGCAAGTAAAAGTATAAGACTTTGGCTTTACTCAAGCTATTCTTTCACCTGGAATGCCCTTTCTTCTCTACTCAAATCCTAATATAATATTCACGGCCCAGAGAGCCATATCACTATACAGCTGGATAGGACTTTAGAAATGGGCTAACACTTTTTTTTATAGATGAAAAAATTAAACTTCAAGGAACATTAAGCAACTAATCCAAAGTCATACTGCTATTACTGGAAGAGACTCCTGTTCTGTCCTCACTGATAGCCATTTCCCAAAGAACTTAAAATATTACAACAAACTTTAGCATTTAAGGGGCTTGGTATTGCTTGATGCATAAGTTCTTTTCCCATTGTTAGATACTGACTAATATTATTAATATCTTTTCATGGCCTAGCAAAGTATTGTGTACACTGTGGCTGTTTAAGACATTCTGTTTTTACTGCAGACAAATGAACTGCTGAAGGCAGCACTGAATAAATATCCAGTTTAAAATTTAGCACGTTGGAGATATACCTAACGTTAAATGATGAGTTACTAGGTGCAGCACACCAACATGGCACATGTATACATATGTAACTAACCTGCACATTGTGCACATGTACCCTAAAACTTAAAGTATAATAAAAGAAAAAGAAAGTTAAAAAAATAAATAAAATAAAATTTAGCACGTGTGAAAATCTTTATATGATAAGGTGTTAAATTTTATATCACCCAGATTCCAACTTTTTTCTTCTTCTGTAGGTAATCCAACTGAATCTTAAGAAATTAAACAACCAAAAAAGCAGCCTATGTGGGTATTTTGAAAAATGATTCTGTAAAGCACATAAGGGAAAATCCAGTGCCTAACACTGCATTCAGAAGTAAAGAAAGATTAAAAAGTAAAATCACCAGTAAGTTATAGCTATCTCCAGTGATAGCTCAGTGACATCGAATTTCCAATGAGCCTATATGACTCTACTGAAAGGCTACATGCATAGTTTAAAATTGCTGATGACTGAAGACATTAGTTTGGCTTTATGATATGGCATTGTAAGAATAGAACTAATGCCCTAAAAATTAATTTTAAAAAACTCAAAATCTTCAAAAAAAAAAAAAAAACTATGAGGTCTTTTGTGAAGAAAGATGGACAGAATGCAATGCAAAGTGTTTATTAACCTACTTTAGATCTTTCTGCTTTACCAAACGTCCATGTTAGTATTTAGAATCTATAATCTCCTAAGAGTTTCTTTGCCCCAGGAAAAAAAAATTGTGACAGTGGGCCCTCTGTATCTGCAGGTTCTGCACCCACAAATCTAACCAACAGCAGATTGTAAATATTTTTAAACAGCAGTAAACACATACACACACAAATTTAAAAACAATACAGTGTAACAACGATTTACATTTATATTGTATTGGGTATTATAAATAATCTAGAGATGAATTAAAGTATGCTGAAGAATGTGTGTAGGCTATATGCAAATACTACTACATTTTATATAATGAACTTGATCATGCTGGGATTTTGGTATCCAAGGGTCCGGGGATTGGTTCTGGAACCAACCCTCAGTGGATGTTTACTATATATGTGTTCAAGGGCTGTTGAAAAAAAGAAGAGGCTGTTTGGTTTTTCTAATACTTAAGTTACTAAATTGACACTCCTGTTGAAAATGGCGACTCATTTTGGAAAATTTCCTCTACTCTTACAGAAAAACTAATCAGTGTTGAACTGACCTGGAGTAAATTCTCATACTACTGAATAAATATTGAACATTGGCCAGGAGTTCAATTACAGCCTGGCCAACATAGCAAAACCCCGTCTCTACTAAAAATACAAAAATTAGCCAGGCATGATGGTGTGTGCCTGTAATCCCAGCTACTCAGGAGGCTGAGGCAGGAGAATTGCTTGAACCCGGGAGACGGAGGCTGCAGTGAGCCAAGATTGCACCACTGCACTCCAGCCTGGGGGACACAGCAAGACGCCGTCTCAAAAAACAAAAGTAAACAAAACAAAAATTAAACATTAACAGAGGAAAACTAGCACAACAGACTAAGTCCTATGAAAGGAAGAGCTTGGCTTTGGGCTTTTGGGAACTATTACAGCAACACTGTATTTCAAAAAAATGGGGAATTATTTAGCTGCCACTTGTTTCAATTGAAATATTTGTTTCTTCTATTACTGAGAACTATATTTCTTACAAAGAGAATACATCACCAAAAAGTCTTTTTAAGTATGGAAGAGTAAAACTGTAACAAAAGAAACAACAAAAATAGACATTCCAAGGGATGATCTCAAAGTAGAATATGTACACATTCAGCCCCAGGATTTCCACTGCCAATAGGTGGTGAAATTTAAACACTGGCTATTCAAATGAGAAGGTTTCCATCAAAAACACCCAGAAATTAGGCTGAGTATTGGTTCCAAGGCCAAGTTTTCAGGTTTGGTTCAACAGGTGAATCACGTAAAATGTCACTTCTCTATTAAACTTATAAACTCAATGTTTTTGTACAATGATTTGCCAGCCCCCAAAAAACGTTCTTCTGAATATCAGTTGTCATAACACCTGAAGCATTCTTATGCACTGAAGCCTTTAGTTTATATTGCAGTTGTACACATGCTTTATTTCTAGGAGAGTCCTAGTCTATGAGCTTGGATTCATGGTTGTGTTCCAATAATGCCTAACAGAATGCTTTACATATAATTGAAGCCAATCATGTATTTGATGAATGAATATGTGAATGCAGGTAATTTAAATTCTTTACAGCTTCAAAACTTTATAAATGAGAAAAGAACTAAAGGACTCAGATAGAAATTTCCAAATATTATGTTCAAAAATGTTCTTTTAATGTGACTGCTATTTTCAAAATGGGTTCTAATAAAAAGTCATGTGCAAATATAAAAGTTTTTAAAATAAATGTCCATTTGAAACCTTAAAGATACATTTACTATATATCTCAGCATAGCTCGTAAAGCTCTCAGCTCAGAACCAAGAAGTCTTTGGGGATTTTCCCACCATGAGAGAAAACTAAGCAACTGAAGTAAAGGAAGATTCTCTCTCCCAGTAATGAACATGGCAGGAGGAAAATAAGCTCAGATTTTCACAATCAAACCTATACATACATCATGGAGTGGATAGGCAGATGAGTAAGTGTTAGAGTTTAGCAGTCTTTCAATCCCAAACCTTTTCTTCCCATCTTCTATGCCAAAAGGACATCTTGAGAGAATATAGTACACCTACAAGGTAAGTGCAAAGAGACACTATCACATCTCAGAACTTTATGCTTTCCACATTTCTTTCAATCACAATTTAACAATGTCTACTTTGAATGTAGATACAGGCTCTAATTATAGAAAGAAGCTTCTCTTGGTTGTCAGGAAGATGTAGAGTGAGGGATTATATGGAGTTTGCAGATATTTTAGCTTCTGAGTCTGAGAGCATTCATTTGATGGGGTGCAGGGGTGAACAGACCATAATTTATTTTGCTTCTCCTGTCCAAACCTCCTCTTTAGTTCTTTGTGCCAGAATTTCTACTATAATTAGGGCTTCAAGTAGGATACTAATGTCACTACTAACAGTTCAGTTGGGGGAATATGGAGTAGAATTGATATTTATCCAAGCTGTCTTGAATACTTCTTCAATTAATTATTTTTACAAGGGATTTTACCTGATATCTGAATTTATTAGCCAAAGTGATCCTATCTCTACAGCCACTTTGCAACAACTTGAATATTTCTATCAGTTTTATCCTGAATATGATTTGGGCTTTGGTATCCTCTGCTCTTGTATTTCTGTGAATTCAATCTCATCTGCTTTTTATCTTCCAACAACTTTTCAAAATTTCTTCTTTCTAATTGCTAAATTTGTTTTTTTCAGCACTGTTTTATACATAGTCCCCTACCTTTCCTTTCTTTTACATTTCACCATTCAAGGACTTTTTGATTGGAATGGTTGTAGTTCTTGAATCATCATCATCTAAACTCATCATTCATGTTAAGAGCAGCTCCATATTCCATCTCGGTAAATAGATCATAATTTATGCTAGGTAGTTTTAATTTTTACAAATGATGTCATAAATATGACCTGTTTTACATATTTTAGATTATTTCCTTAGGAAAGATTCACCACAATAAGAACTCTCTCTTGGGATGTTAACAAAGTGGAAATATTTACACTACCAGGTATTAAGATGTATTATAAAGCTATGATAAGTAAAGCATAGTATTCTAAAATTTAAAAAAAAACCTGAATTTAGGCCTGAAAATACATTATTTGAAAAAATTATTGCAAAAGATGGAGAGGGACTACTGCAATAGAAAGAAAGTTTCAGGAGATCTGCAAACATCTGAAATGTCAGGCAGAAAAGTGATTTCATTCATAGGGAGAAGTAAGCAAGTGTCAGGGATTATCTTTCTTTGTGTTAAGGAGGAGCTGCTATACATCACAATACTGGCTCAAGTTGAGGGTAGGTCAGTGTTCAGGTTCCTATAGGGAGAAGAGAAGCTTAATTAAAGTTTGGTCAAGTCAGGTCAACTGCTTGTTCTGATGGATCAATGGGGATAAACAGTTCAGCTAACCACTCATAAAACGAAGAATAAGAATTTGGAGGAAGTGAAGTGTGTCTGGCCTTTGTTACCAGAAACTGTTAATAACAACAAAAGGAAGAAACTGCAAGGGTAAGGATAGATGTAAAAGAACTAGATTTTCCCTGGTGCCAAAAGGCAAAGTGACTTGCCCCACCTCCTTTTTCTTGGAGTACAAAGGGGTCTTCAAAACACTAATGAAAAATGGATATGTGTGGTTTTCAAATTTTTGGCACAAAATTAAACTCATACTAACTTGTTATAACATGTCCGAACAGGATTTAGTTTGAGAGACTAAGAAGGACACATCAGTTTGAAAAGCGCCGCTGTCAGAGCAACATTAATTCTGCTAAAATTGAAGCAAGAACAAATATCAAATTTATGATGAAGCTTGTGGGGAAGAATGGTGAACTCACTGATGCTTTACCAAAAGCTTATGAAGACAATCCCCCTAAAGAGATCAACAGTTTATAAATGAATAACTCATTTTAAGAAGGGATGAGATAATGTCAAAGATGAAACCTACAGCAGCAGACCATGCACATCAATTTGCAAGGAAAAAATTCACCTTGTTCATGTCCTAATTGAAGAGGACCAATGATGAACAGCACAAATAATAGCCAACACCACAGATATCTCAACTGGTTCAGCTTTCCCCATTCTGACTGAAAAATTATAGTTGAGCAAATTTTCCAATCAATGGGTGTGAAAATTGTTGTACTCAGTTCACCTGCAGACAAAAGCAGTTTTCAATGAAAATTTTAAATAAGTAGGATCAAGATCCTTAAGAATTTCTTTGAAGAATTATGACAGGAGATGAAATACGGCTTTGCCAGTGTTATCCTGAAGATAAAGCACAATCAAAGCAATGGCTACCAAGCGGTGGAAGTGGTTCAGGGAAAGCAAAAGCAGACAAATCAAGAGCAAAGGCCATGGCAACAGTTTTTTGGGGGATGCTCAAGGAATTTCGCTTGTTGACATTCTGGTGGGCTGAACAACAACAACTTCTGCTTATTATGACAGTGTTTTGAGAAAATTAGCCAAAGTTTTTGCAGAAAAACTCCTTGGAATGCTTCAGCAGAGAGCCCTTCTTCACAGGTACAATGTTCCTGCTCCTCCTCTCATAAAACAAGGGCAATTTTTGCAAGAGTTTCAATGAGAAATCATTAGGCATCCACCTTTCAGTCCTGATTTGGCTCAGTCTGACTTCTTTTTGTTTCTTAATCTTAAAATGTGTGGAAGGGGCATCCATTTTTCTTCAGTTAATAATGCAAGTAAGACTGCATTGACATGGTTAGATTCCCAGGACCCTCAGTTCCTCAGGGAAAGACTAAATGGCTGCTATGATCACTTACAAAAAATGTCTGGAACCTGGGAAAGCTTACGGTGATAAATAAAATTTATATATATTTTTTAAATTCTGTTTTTCCAGAAAATTTTGAAGTCCCCTCCTATTTCTTTTAGAGAACTTATAAATTCTTTCTTTGTCCCTTTGAGATGTGTGTCTTTTAAAAAGCTAATAAGGGTCTTACCAATTTCATAAATCAGGCATTTTTTTCTTATGTTTTCTCGGAGTAATCACTTTTGAATGTAAGTATCAAAAAAGGCAGCATACTCATCTCCCAGTCTCCATGGGAGTTTAGCCTAAGCACCTGGCTCCATGCTGTAACTACTTCTTGACATAGAGATATGAGTTTTGTTTTTTCTTGGAATAAAAGCAAGTAAGTAACACAGATGAACACTTCAATTACCAGGTGAATTTAGGATGAACTGTGTGGCAAATGGTACTGTCAAGTCAAACTTGCGGGAAGGGGTATCTATGAGTATTATCTACGTCATATGGTAAAGAGTAGTTCTGTGTAATAAACAGTTTTCTAGAATGTGAAATGATTCCTTTAACTGTCCCTGTTTTAAGGGACTACAGAACTCAGAGAAAGTTCAACATTCTAAGTACTGACACAAAAACAGATGGAGTAAATCAGCAGAATAAAATTCAGAAGTAGAGCTATGAATATATAGATACTTAGGTTATAAGAAAAGGTGGCATGGTAAAACAGTATGAAAAGTTGAATGTTTTCAATAATTGGTGCAACCTGACTGACTATACACTTGAGAGAAAAAAATTGACTTACATTTTGTACAAGGCACAAAAATTAATTACAGGTAGATAGTAGTTGTCAATGTAAAAAGTAAAATAATACAACTTTTAAAAGATAATATATGAAATTAATTTCATTATCCTGGTGTGAGTTGAATATTAAGAGCATTATTCATAACATAAAAAATTGAGAAAGTGGGGTATATTCAAATTAAAAACATCTGTTATCTAAAAACATTCAAAAGGGAAACACAAAATAACAAAAGATCAGTAGAATATATAATGAATAAAGGACTCAGATCAAGAATATATAAATAACTACTGCAAATTGACAAGAAAAGGGAAGATCTAATTGAAAACAGACCAGAGACTTTAGCAGGTACTTCACAAAATTGCGTATCTAGATGGCCAATAAACATATACAAGGAGATCAATCTCATTTACATCAGGGAAGTGCAAATTAAAACAATAATGACACATACACAAATAAATTTCTATGCCAAAGAATGAATGAACAAAAGTTCATACAAGAGCTTAACTGATCACCCAAATAAAGGTTGAGTTAAAGAAGCCAGACTACCAACAACACATACTGTATGATTGCATTTTTATAAAATTTAAAAACAAGCCAAACTAATCTCTGCTGTAAGAAGTTAGTCTATCTCTGCAGAGGAGACAAGGAATAGTGAACGAGAGGAGACACTAGAGCTTCTGGATGGCTAAGAATATTTTCTCTCTAGGTGTTGGTGGTGGTCACATGGCTGTGTTCACCTTGTGATAATTACGACTTATGGACCTCTATCATTTTATGCGTCCATTAAGAAAAGAGACAACACGAAAGACTGATAATTTCTTGTGTCCAGAAAGGTATGTAGGTGGAAAACCAAGTACTCCCATATATTGTAACCAGGACTCCAAATTACTACATCTTTTTGCAAAGTGTGATAGTGTAATACATGTAAAAATTTAAATGTGCATGTCCTTAGATCTCAAAATTTTACATGTGTATCTCTTTTAGCAGAAAACTTACATTTATGCTGAAATGTATAAATACCAGCTTGCAAACTGAGTTGTTTATAATATCAGAAAAGTTGGAAACAACCTGAATAGCTATCAGATGTGAAAATGTTTAATAAAATTATATCTATACTATAGAATATAAAGAACCATTAAAATGAATAGATAGATTAATATCTACTGTCACAAAAAGATATGAAAGAATATACTGTTAACTGATGAGTGTTTTCCACTGAAAAATAAGTAAAATGGGGATTAATATAACTTATCTTTTCATTTTATGATATACATCTCTTTAATGTTTGATACTTTCACAATGAGGATGAAACTGTGCTTCAGTCGTACAATTAAAAAATTTAATAAGGTAAATGACCATAAAAGTGATATTGAAATATTGGAAAATGCTTATAATATAAAATGATGTGATGAAATAATGTACATCTTATTAATTCATTACTTAAAAATACTTATGAGTGTTATATACTGGGCATTGAGCATACAATGGTAAGACTAATGGGAAGATGAACACTAATAAAAAAACAGAAAAATAATTATTTAATTTTCAAAATCTTCTGATTCTTCTGAAGTGAATCATGCAGTTCTCAGCCACATTAATAATTCTGATCTGTGCCATAAGAGGTGTGGTGAGATTTGAAGGGCTGACCCTATCAGAGTTGATTTTACAAAGATCATTCTGGATGTCTATATTAGAGAGTAGCAAAAGCACGGGTAGGAAGACCAATTAAAATGCATTTCAGTAGATCTCATGAATGACGACTATAATTTTGGATAATTTGGTAATAGTGAAGGTGGAGATAGAAGTGGACAGATTCAAAGAGAGTTAGGAGTTAAACTGATAGAACCTAGTGATGGGTTGAACATGGGTGGTAAAGGAGAGGTAGTATAAAGAAATCCTAGGCTTCTTGCTGATGCCTGAATGGAGGTGCTGTTCATGGGAAAAGGGATACTTAGGAGAGGACCCGGTTTGCATCACTTTTGTCTGTCTGCTTTTTGGTACTGATAGTCAGGAGGACATGTGGGAATGGTAGTTAAAAGTTTGGCTTTAGGCATGTGGAACATGAGTGCTTTCAATAGGCACACAGACGTGATTTGTAGGTGTTGGATTTATGAATCTGAAATTTTTTAAACATTTTACAAACTGAAATTTAAGATAAAAGAATTTTTTAAAAACACTATCAAAAAGCAACTGTGTTGGGATGAAGTACACTTAGAATGTATAAAATCCAGCTGTAAAATATTATTTGACAAAAAAAGATACTGACATGAATCCATATATTACATATTATTAGTGCAATGGAAAATTTTCCATTATAAATGGACTGAAATTTGGCATTGGTGTCCTATAAAAATTAATTCTCTATCTTTAAGAAGGACATTGTAACTAAAATGATTAGATGTATCTTATTTGTTTCTCTTTCTATACACATAGAAATTCCTTGGCCATATGTTCAATTTAAATCTCATATTGATAGTGTAAGCTTTTTCACCGACACAGCTGGATAAATCTAGAGCTTTGTTAATGTTAAAAAGTCTAAACTTTTTCCACAATAAAAGGTGTAAACACATAATCATATATATTCATCATATACACATTCACAAATCTACATATTGGTGTATATATAAACAAACATATCACATATATGGGTTATATATTATTTACTATATATTGTGAAGCTCAGATGCCATGATTGTTGTGAAATGCTTTGAAAAGTATGAAATTCTATATTAATGTAAGATGCTCTTGTAATATTATTCAGTTTGTATATCCATTGAAACAAGTGTTATGGATGAGGATAAAAAGGTAGGGACTTTGTCTACATTAACCTCCCAAATATCTTCCTCAATAAAGCAAGAACAATGTTGCTACACTATGAAGGAAGATAAAGTGTGCTTTAAAGTTGAATTCGACTAAGGTATTGACACTGTTCACAAAGAACAAGTAGAGGTAAATGAATACTGACATTTCTATTCCTGATCAAGTTCCTAATTTGTTCCTACGAGTTCACTGGCTTTTTATGAACAATTTTTCAATGTAACAAATATCTCTAAAATACTTTTCAGTTTTCAAAGTGCATTACATATATTATTTCATTTAATTTTCACAATCATGTCAGTATTATCATTATTTGTTTTAAGAGAAATGATCATATTTAGAAAGTAGCAGAGTTACGACTTGAAATAAGGTCTTCTGATTCCATGTCATTTGCTCTTTATTCCCATAAATCCTGACTTAGGTTTTGTTATTGTTTAATCCTGGTTAAAAAAAAAGGAAGAACATTTTTAGTTTGTGGATTCATATCCTGAATTCTAGGAATCACATTTTGTTGACTATTCCTGTCAGTGAATTTTAAAAATATTTATTTAGGAACTAGAAAAAACATGGAATCAGATCTCTAATTCCTCAGGAAAATAAAGTAAGTAATCTCAAGGAAAAGAATCTTGTGATTGTTAGAACCCTGATGATTAAATTAATAAACAAAATCAAAAGATAACAAGTGTTGGAGAGTACCTAGAGAAAGTGTTGGAGAGGACGTTGGAGAGGACATGGAGAGAAGGTGGAGAGTGTGTAGTCTTACACACTACAGATGAGAATACAAATTGGTATAGCCATTATGAAAGACAATATGGACGGTCCTCAAAAAATTAAATATAGAGCTACCACATAATCCAGCAATCCCATTACTGGGTATATGCCTAAAGGGAATGAAATCAGTATGTCTAAGAGATATCTGCCATCCTATGTTTACTGCAGCACTATTCACGATACCCAAGATGTGGAATCAATCTAAATGTCCATCAATGAATGAATGAAGAAAGAAAAGGTGTACACACAGAATTAAATAAATTTTATGGCTAGATATAGCCATAAAAAGAATGAAATGTTGTCATTTGTGACAATATGAACCTAGAGGACATTAAGGTAGGAAGAGAAAGATCAACACCATATGATCTCAGCCATATGTGGAATCTACAAAGTTGTTTTCATAGAAGTAGAGGGTAGAATAGTGATTAGCAGAGAATGGGAAGAGGTAGGGGGAGGAAAGAATGGGGAGAGATTGGTCAACGGGTACAAAGTTATAGTTAGATAAGATGAATAAGTTCTGGTGTTCTATTGCATAGTAGGATGACTAACATTAACAATAAAGTATCAAAATAGCTAGAAGAGAGGTTTTTGAATGGTCTCATCACAAAAAAATGAAAAATTTTAAGATGATGGAGATGCTAATTATCCCAATTTGTTCATTACATAATGTATACATGTATTGAAACATCACATTTTATCACATAAATATGTACAATTATGTGTCAATCATAAATTTTTTAAAATAAGCAAGCTATAAAAGGTAACATACAACCTTATTTTTTTCCCTCTGAAAGCCAGATAAATAATGATAATAACATCTTAACGCTTGTTGAACACTTGGTACAAGCCAGGCACTGCTCAAAGCTCTTTATGTCTGAACTAATTTAATTATCTGGGTAACCTATGAAGTGGATATTATTCCAGTCTAAGCACAAAGAAACAGTGGCACAAAACCATGATTCTTTCTGAGAGAGGTTTTCAATGGGAAACTTAAAGATCCTAGGACTTCAAATGCAGAGAAAACAAGACTATTTAGAAGGCAGAAAATAGTTGTAAATGAAGGGAAAAAAAAGTTTTGAGGTTTCTCAAATTTTATCCATATATAAAGGAATTAAAACATTTCATTTCCATTTGGAATGATAGTTCCTTTACTATGCACTGACTGTATAAAACCAAACTCCAAGTTTGTAAAACCATTTTACAAAGATCTTACAAAATCAAAGTCCTCTAGCTCTCAATTAATTGCTTTTTCCAATATTGTATAACATCTCTTTCTTTACTACATCCATACCATCAACCACTCACTTTTAAACAACAGTTTGAGAGTTAGGGAGAGTAATACGTTTATGTGGTCTAATTAGACTTTCAAACTCCCCAATATCACCAAATGCTTATATCCTATACAGAAGCACCTTGCAGAAATGGTACGACATCTGCACATGTATAAAAGCACACACAAGCATACATCTCGTATTTGAAGGGATGTGCCCAAAGGTCTTCTCTACCTACAATTCTGTTTCTTGATGAGGATGGAAAGAAGGTTGCCTGATCTTCGATGAGGAAGAGCTCCTGCCGATGTCTGCTGAATTGTGCAGTAAAATATTCAGGATGGGGATACTTCACACTCAGTGGGAGTCTTACAGGTCCAAGCACATAGCTTATAGGAGTGTGCTTAGGGCGGGGAATATCACTCTCCTTAATAGGCATTTTGATTCCCAAGACTTCAGCATAGGTAACTAATACCTCCCAAGGGGCATGGATCTTGACAAAATAAGTTCTTCCATCTTCCGAGTCCTGCATTAAAAAAAAGGCAAAACAGCAGAAAGCTTACTGATCAGTTTGTTATTGAGCTGATTAAATAAGATGGATAATATTTTATAAAATCTCAAACACATCAAAGCATTTTCAATATTTTGAAATTTTCAGGCAAAACTTTGAGAAAACAAAATTCACAAAACATATAGTTACAAAAACATGTATATATGTATACATATAATGTGTGTATATATGTGAAAGACAGAAAGAGAGACATACAAAGACACATGCAGAGAAAGACTATTTTTAAACATATATTTCATGGTCAATGTATACTCATCTCTAAATCCACAATAACCTATGCGGTTCTGGGCAATTTCTTAAGTTTTTAGTAACTAGCTATAAGCTCAAAATTTTACTTACGTTATATAAGTGATACATATAAACTGTAAAACGT
Organism: Homo sapiens; assembly: GCF_000001405.40. Taxonomy (NCBI): domain Eukaryota; kingdom Metazoa; phylum Chordata; class Mammalia; order Primates; family Hominidae; genus Homo; species Homo sapiens. The sequence continues at coordinate 22,226,883 of NC_000011.10, read as the reverse complement.
ACTCACTCTTCTTACCCAGCTTCTTTGTTTAGCCTACACAATGAGGAAGAACTTTAGGTAACAAAGGTTCATGGCATAGGAGAAATTATGGATTGTGTGGTATAATAATTTATTAGTTCACTGAAAATGGGAGAACTAGAGAGTAATGCTTCTGTTTTTCTTTTCTTTTTCTTTAAGACAGAGCGTCACTCTGTTGGCAAGGCTGGAGTGCAGCAGCACAACCATGAAACTCCTGGGCTCCAGCAATCCTCCTGCTTTGGCCTCTCAGGTAGCTGGACTACAGGCACCATGCCCAACTAATTTTTTATTTTTTATTTTTTGTAGAGACAGGATCTTGCTATGTTGCCCAGGCTGGAATAGATAGGGTAAGATATTAAATAGGCCTTTAAAAACAATTTTGAAGGAAATTCTAGAAAAACAGTAAATAAAATGACTTTAAAAAGAAAATTTGGTAGATTCATGAACAGAAAGAATGTCTTGGCTTAAACAGCAGGTTATGCTGCAAGACAGCCTGGTTAATTATTTAGGGTACCAGATTATAGGCAGACTTCAAAATGAAACTGTTATGATAAAAAGTCCACATCTTCTTTCTCTTTGTATCCTGAATGCAAACTGTGTCAATTTATAAAGTGTTCCATTTATTACTGCATATTCACAGTACTCATCTACTTACCTGTAAGACCACAGGCCCTATCATCCCGGTGCACATATCTGTAGCCAAAAGAGCTATTGTATTGCCCCCAAACACAGAGTCTATCCAGGCAAAGGCCAGAGTAGGAGAAAACAACACTTAAATTAAAGAGGCTTGTATAAATTATCAACTACATTTACCCTTTTGTCTTCTATTTCCAACTCAAGACCTGTTTTTCTGAGATTAGTTTCAAACTCTTTTCTTCTTTCCTATGACAAAAAAAAATCAACAGAATTATGCAGAATGCTTTTGTTTTATTTGCTCAGTATTGACAGATTCAATATACAATGGCTGTGACTCTGGATGGCTCTCTGCCCCTCCCATGGTTGTATATAAAAATGCTCCATCTGAATGTCAGGTACTGCTTTTCTCTTGTACTATAATTCACAACTACAAAAATGCAGTATATCCAGGAATAATCACCAGGAAATATGCAGAGCCTCTATCTGAAGAAATGTACAAAACTTTACTGAATAACATAAATTATAAAAAAACTTTATAAACAGAGAGACATATGCTCCAAGTTGAAAAGATTCACTATTACAAAGATCAATACTCTTCAAATAAACTATACATTTAATGGAATTTTAAGCCAGTATGTCATCAAGACTTTTTAATCCTGAAGGACAAAATGGCTTCACTTAGCAAAAAGTAAACTTACATTTAACTATAGGTCATTACTGAAAATAACCACTTGGGTGCTTAGTTCTTCATTTGTTTGTTTGTTCGTTTTGTAGTGACAGGGTCTCACTCTGTCACCCGGGCTGGAGTACAGTGTTGTGATCACAGCCCATTATAGCATCACACTCCTGGGCTCAAGTGATCCTCCCTAGCCTCCTGAGTAGCTGGGACTACAAGAAGGTGTCTCCACACTCGGATAATTTTTAAAAAATTTTTTCATAGAGACTGTGTCTCATTATCTGCCCAGGCTGGCCTTGAACTCCTGGCCTCAACTCATCCTCCCGCCTTAGCCTGCCAAAGCACTGGGATTATAGGTGTGAACCACCCACCCAGCTTTTATTAAAGCAATGTATTGATGACAAAAAAAAGCATTTTTTCTTTTTAAAACATTTTTATTGAGTTAAAATATACATATATAACTTACCATCTTTACCATTTTTAAGTGTATAGTTCAGTAGTAATAAATGCATTATATTGTTTTTCCCCCTTTATCTCCCTCCTTCCCCTTCCCTTTCCTGGCTTCTGGTAGCCACCAATCTACTCTATCTTCATGAGATCCACATTTTTACCTCCTGCACATGAGTGAGAACATATGACATTTGTCTTTTTGTGCTTGGTTTATTTCACTTAACATAATGGCTTCCAGTTCCATCGATGGCTGCAAATGATAGTATTTCATTTTTTCAATGGCTGAAAAATATTCCATTTTATGTATTTGCCACGTTTTCTTTATCTATTCATCCAACAATGGGCACTTTTCCTTTGCTGTGCAGAAGCTTTTTGGCTTGATTTAATCCCAGTGGTCTATTTTTCCTTTAATTGCCTGGTCTTACACAAGAAGTCTGTCTGCACCAATGTCCTGGAGCATTTCCTTAGTGTTTTCTTCTGGTAGTTTCATAGTTTCAGGTCTTAGAGTCAAAGCTTTAAGCCACTTTGATTTGATCTTTTGTATGGTAAGAACTATGGATCTGGTATCATTCTTCCACATATAGTTATCCAGTTTCATCAGCATCATTTATTGAAAAGCCTATCTTTTCTCCATTGTATGCACTTGGCCCCTTTGTCAAAGATGAACTTGTTTTAAATTCATAGATTTAAATCTGGATTCTCTATTCTATTTCATTGGCCTGTGTGTCTGTTGTTATGCCAGTACCTTATTGAAGGTATGAGATACAGAACAGTCATTTAGTTATGCACAGTTGGAAGAGAAATGTGGACTGGAAAAATGAATTCTGGGATTGTATGATTAATGTATATAAAATCATAAAATATATGATTTTAAAACTGTAAGACAGAATCATCAAATACATCAGTGTAAGATAAGGAAAGGTGAGGATTAAGGACTGTGCCCTGAGGTACTTTAATAATAAGTGATTTAGGAGAAGTAAAGACTGAGAAGGAGCAACTAGTGAAATAAGAAAAAAACTAAGATAATGTGGAGTCCTGGAAGCCACATGAAGAACATACACAATAGAAAAGGGAAGGATCAACTGTGTTAAATATTGCTAATAGGTCAAGTAAGATGAGGGCTGAGGCTTGACCATTGGATTTTATACAAGGAGATGGGCAGAGTGGTTGGGATAAAGGCTTGAAAGGAATAGGTTTAATATATAATTGAAAAGAAAAAAAATAGAGAAATAGTAGCTAATAGGAAAACTGGAACAAAAAGAGGGTTTTTATTCATACCTTTTTAATATAGAAAAATTAACAGCCTAGTTATTCATGGAAGAAAATGGCCCAGTAAAGAATATCAAATATAATTTAGGAGAAAGAGGAACTAATTTTCAGAGCAATATCCCAAAATAGGTATACAGAAAAGAGTTAATAAAGCAGGGATTAAATTGCTATCCTTAGAAAGGCCTGCCTGCAACTTTAGAAAGGTTGGTCCTAGTGTCTGGGACTTGCTTTTCTGAAGAGTTCCCTCCACTCCCAGAACTGATAAGAGTGGCTCATTTTGCCTATACTGTTTTTACAAACAGTGTTATTTATGCTGAATATCTGCTTTCCTTCTGGGAGTATGAAATTTTGGTATGTGCTAGGCAGAAGGTGACAAGGTAACCAGCCCCTAATAAAAACCTAGGGCACTCTAATGGGCTTGCCCAATAGATATTTCACATGTGTTTTCATACATTGTTGCTGGAAAAAGTAAGTGTATATCCTGTGATTCTACTGAGAGGGAATTCTCACAAGCTTACTCCTGGTTTCCTCCAGACTTTGTCCCATAAGCTTTTTCCCTTGCTCGTTTTGCTTTTTATCATTTCACTGTAATAAAACGTCTCCATAAGCATGACTATATACTGAGTCCTGTGATTCCTTCTAATGAACCCCTAAACCTGAGGGTTGTCTTTGGCACTCCTGAATAGTAGGCAAGAAGAAAGAGAATGCAGGGCACAAGTGGAGCAGTTGGCTTTAGGTAGAAGGATAAATAGTTTGTCTATGGTAACAGAAAGTAAGATAGCTTACACAGGCAAAACTCCTGGTGGATGGACAGATGTGATGGTAGAAATTTATAGGTTTTCTCTTCTTGCTTCAGTTTTCTCAATGAAACAGAAAAATATGATCAGCTAAGCTTGAAGACAGGAGGAGGTGTTGGAGGTGTGAGGAAAGAAAAAGCATTATAAAACAGTCATCTAAGAAAGTGGGAGAAAACAGAATATGGAAGGAAAGTATGATTGCCACACAGCATAAGGACCCAGTTAAGGTCCATGGGCACAAATACAAGGTAAAGTCAGTCAGTAAATTGTAAGTTTTCCTTTCTGCATGTGTGCTGGCATTTAGTAGGTAGGGTTGGGTTTAACTAAAGTTGTTATTTTGTCAAGTACAACTGGGAGAGGGGCAAGGGACTTGGCGGGATATGTAACAGAGTAATTAAAATTGTTGACCACGAGACATAAGCTGAATAAAGAGTGAGAGGGGAATAAGAGCAGCAAAAAGCAGTAAGACGATTGCATCTTATCTGGTCCTGGTGAGGTTGAAAGAGGAAGAATGTGGATCAGAAAGATTTGAGGTATAATCAGACAGTTGTACATGTAAAACGAAATTATAAAGAGTTGCAGTTATTAGTAGTGACAAGTTCTAGGTGAGTGAATGGCTGAGTAGAAGCTAAGATTATTGGAAAAGGGAGTTCAAGGAACAGAGAGGCCAGAGTGTCAAAATAATCATCTAAGTATGAATTGATATTATCAATGATTTTAAAAGATTGCTGGAAAGACGGACAGTGATCCAGGAGGTAAAATTGTTGAGGAATAGAAGATGCAGAGAAAGATAAATGACAAAAACAATGCAGGATAATAATAAATCTGATGAGATTTAAATCTCAGGAATTTCAGGGACAAGTGAAGGAGAACACAGTATAATCAACAAGATACAAGGAAGGCAAGCAGCATTTACCCCATCTCTAGGGAAATGTTGTATAAAGAAAAGTAAACATCACTTGAGAGGACTGCTACGGAAAGCAAAAAACCTCAAAGAGGTTTGAAGGGAATGTTCGGAGAAGAGATGAAAATGATGATGGGTCATGAATTTCAGAGGCCTGGTAGAAGGCTTTCCAGGCAGTGGGTGGAAAAAAGGGACAGACCTGTATATGTATGGAGTCTTGTGGGAATAATATCTTCATTTTTTATTTTTATTTTATATGACATTTATGTTGTAAGTACATAAGTAAATGTGTGTGTATGCACACACACATATATGTGTATAAAAATGGATTAATTTATGATTTCAAATATTGAGTATTTATTGAGTATCCATTATAGTCCAACCATTGTTCTAGGATTTGGGTACATAACGGTGAACAAGACAAAGTGCTTGGCCTCATAAACTTAATTTATAGTGTTGGAGACAGCAAACAAGTAAAAACATGAATAAATAAGCTCATAAAGTGATGTGTAATACAAATAAAATAGAATCAGGAATAGAGTACAATATAAAAGCTATACCTGGAGCAATGGATTAGTCATACATTTCCAAAATGAAAATATCATACAAAAGGTAATTATTATATTCAGACACATACCTCAAATTTTGGATGTTACATTTAATATCTAAAGTGAGCTATAAAAAGAATCAGTTACTTGGAAGAAGAAGAAAAATAAGTTAGTATGCAAAATATCCAAAAAGATAACATTGACTTTACATGTCTATTCTTAGGCTGCCTACTTTACAGTTATCTCATTCAGTTTCAGTTTTCAGTAACACTTCAGGGCCTCTCACTTTTACAACATAATTCAATCCAGATATCCATGTGAAATTATAAAATGTGCTTCTTTTTATTATTCCCACTTCTGTTATAATGCACTTACCGCCTTTAACTCTGCGTCTTTCTTTACATCATCAACGTAGGAAAGCACAAAATCAATTTGCCTAATCCCATCTCGGAAGAAGATAGAATCTTTGCTTTGCTGATTTTTTTGAAACTGCAGGAGACATAAATGACACAATTGTAAATTATAGTTTTATTCTGAAATGGCAAAAGCACAAAAGGAATTATTTATAATTTAGTCAAATCAAGACAAATAACCAGAGTTTTCAGCAACAGATTATGCTTTGTTTTATAAAGTGAAATTCCATATAAAAGATTAAGCAATAATGACTCAGGAGGAAGATAAGCATGTTAACTACATGCACATACAACAAAAATGCTGCAAACATACCAAAATATGAAATGAATATATGTATAAATTGATCTCAAAATGCACATTCAGAGACTGACTTGTTCCCTTCATCAAACAAGATATCACTTAGTCCACTAAATAATTCATGGCTACACACAACTTTGGGGGTATAATTAATTACAGACCAATTAATGGAGTCTCACTATAAGAAAATAAACTTATGATTAATGTTTATTCTATGTTTTTATAAAATTGTCACTTCCTAATTCAACTTTGTAAGGATTAAAATAAAATCAAGGTGCAGTTAAATATTATAAAGCAGGTAGCTTATTAGCTGGCATCACAAGTTAGGTTTCATGCAACTCGCCCTTCAACATCAATTTCCCAGGTGAGCAAAAATCAATCCTTTTTTAAATTTGCATGAATTATCTCAGTATAATAATTACACTTAACAAGTTCAACTTTCACGTGTTGTGTAGTTAGTTCATTAGTTCCTTCACTTTAAAAACAGCAAAAACATGAGAGAGCTTCAGAAGAAAGAGATTTCATGTTTGACTGATTTGGTTTTATTTAAAGTTTATATCTAATACTTAATATTCCTGCTAGCCTACATGTATTATTACACTTAGAATTATGCAAATAGATAATACAGTGGCTGTCAATTAGATAGTTTTCCAATTGCTTTAGCTCACCTGCGAATGAGTAACTATATGGTTTTAATTTTCACAACTAGTGTTTCTATTAATTCATGAGTTTCCTTTATTGTACCCTATGGGATTTTTTTACCCAAGTCAGGTGAGACAGGCCTCCCAGAAAAGGGAATGGATGAGGATCAGTTATATGCAAATAAGCCATAAGTCTCATGTTTGATCTGTGGTCTATGAACAAAGTAAGTGCATTTACATAGCTGATGCAAAGCTGATGTGTCTCAGAAAAAAAACTAGCTCCCAATGCACAGGAAGAAATGTGTGGAAAAGGGAACTAAGAATTAAAAAAAAAAAAAAAAATCTAGGGAACCTAGAGATTAAGTGCCAAGATACAGTAACTCAAATGTTATGTCTGAGTTCTCTTCACCTCAGCCAAAGGATGCATAATCATCTCCTATTTCCTAAAAGAAAGTAAAAGAACCTGAGAAAAATCAAACTGCTATCACACTATACTTTGATTATAAATCACTAAAACTTGAAAAGAAAGAAAAAACCCAAACAAATCATTGGCACTCTTATAAATCATCACAGCGTTAGCATCTTATGAAATTCACCAAAATTCTTGGAAGGCAACTGAGGCAGAAATAATATACTACTTAGACTAAATAAAATCAAAGCTCAAAAATTAAAAGAAAAAAATAGTCCTCTTTCTCTAAGTCTGTGACAGTCATATTTTGTATGATAGAGGGGTTTTTTGTTGTTTTTTGCTTTGTTTTCAAAAACTAATATATTTACAGGTACTTGTATTGTTTACATAAGCTAAATCTGGGTACACAAAGAACAGTTCTGGTAACAGAACATGTGCACGTATGAATTAACAAAACTCATATTCAGAGTATTCGACAGCAAGAAAACAGACAAAGTAGCTAAGAGAATAGTAATTCCAGTGATTTTCCGGAGTGCTCAGTCAAAAATAGGTATACATACTGTCCTTCTGAAAGCCAAAGGCTAGCTAGGAAAACACAAATTTCTATCATTATATCACACCCTGATGATACACTGTAAATCTGTTTTAAATATGGGAAAAAAATCACTGGGAGCCTTGTAAGTCAGCATGAGAGACATGTCTCAGGACTACTAATAAAAATCAGTTAAGGTTGAGGCAGAAAAATCTGATAATTCTGTCACATATAACTGAATGTTACTAACATACATCATGCTTTTGTTTTGCTCAAAACATAATATAAATATATTTTGTAGCATGTGTGTGCATTTGTTTATGTTTATATTTGATTTGTCCTTAGAATATCTATTTGTAATTATGTAAACATCTGAGTGGCTTCTCTGTAAAGGATGTACTTATTCTGTGGTTCAAACACCTGAATTACCAGCTGGGTGTGGTGGTTTATGCCTGTAATCCCAGCACTTTGAGAGTCCGAGGAGAGATGATTGCTTGAGCTCAGGAGTTCAAGACCAGCCTGGACAACATGGTGAAACCACTCATCTCTCCTAAAAATACAAAAATTAGCTGAGCATGGTGGTGTGCCCCTGTGGTCCCAGTTACTCAGAAGGCTGAGGTGGGAGGATTACCTGATCCAGGGAGGTTGAGGCTGCAGTGAGCTGTAATTGCACCACTGCACTCCAGCCTGGGCGACAGAGTAAGACTCTGTGTGAAAACAAAACAAAATAAAACCCTGCATTCCTGATGAGAGTTCATAAACCACTGAAACTGTATGAATTACGTGTATGTGTGAGAATGTGCATACATTTTAGGAAGAGGATCTATAGATTTAATCCAAATCCAGAACAAATTAAGAATCACTATTCTTAAACTTCAGTTGCCTGGGGACTAGGAATTAGTGACAATGTTCCCCCAAATCAAAGTATTCATTAGAAGAAAAATAACTAAGGCTACCACTGCAGCCATTCAGAGCATAAGCAGCATCATTCAGCACTGGTTTTACCATAAGCCGCCGCCTCAGGAACAAATTGAATCGCTTTGCAGGCTGTGAAGCAACCAATAAAGAATTAGCACTTCCTGCCCAGAATTACAGTAAAGATTCCAAAAAAAAGACAAAGACAAACTAACCCTTGGTATGATCATTTTATAAGTGTGTGTGTGTGTGTGTGTGTGTGATATTTCAAACTGGAGGATACAAATTAGCAAGGAAAAAAAGAAGAAAAATGGGAAGAAAGCAATAAACAGGTAAAGAAAATAAGGAGACTCAAGTAAATTTTCCTAAATTCTTTAAATAGTGACTAAAAATAATAAATATTTGTGGATTTATATTTTATTTTATTTATTTCTACTTTTTTTTAAGTTCAGGAGTACATGTGCAGGAAGTGCAGATTTGTTACATAAGGAAATATGTGTCATGGGGATTGGTTGTACAGATTATTTCATCACCCAGTTATTAAGCATAGTACCCAGTCGTTATTTTTCCTGCTTCTCTCCCTCCTCCCATCCTCCACCCTCCAAAAGATCCCATTTGTTATTTCCTTCTATGAGTCCATGTGTTCTCATCATTTATCTCCCACTTATCAGTGAGAACATGCAGTATTTGGTTTTCTGTTTTTGTGTTAGTTTGCTAAGGATAATGGCCTCCAGCTACATCCATGTCCCTGCAAAGGATGTAATTAAGGAAGAGAAGAGAAAAATAATAATAATAAAGGAAAACATGAAAATAATAAAAATATAAAGTAAAATAGATATTTTGTTAAGTATGCCTGTATATATCAGGAAAAGAAATTAAAATTACCACATTTATACTGATATGATGTGTAGTATGGAAAGTTTACCCAGGTTTTTTTTTTAATTTAATGAGCATGCAATATAATAGAATACATAAAAAGTCATTCAGTTATTCAAATGCTCAGTTATCTCCAATCTTCAATTACATGGTCATTATTTAAAATACAGGGTCAATTACCTAAAAATATCTGGGATACTCAACTATATTTGAAAGAAAACCAAACCTATAGCATAAATGAGCAAGAATTGAGTGTATTTTATAGTGTAATGCATGGATAAATAATCCAATACAATTACTTAAACTAGTCTCTTCCTGGAATAGGCTGAAGAAGTCTAAGCAACTGGTGACTATTGGAGGGAAAATTCCTGCCCTGTAAACTAATGTCTTCTATATATAGACAGAGGAGTTAGTATTGCTGTTGTTTTAAAATACAAAAGATACAAGACAAATGTTGGTCATTACATAAAATATATTTTAACCTATATTATTCTGATGGCCTGAAATTTTTCATCTCAGTGTTTTTATTTTCTTGGTATCTTTCATGAGATTCACAGGTTACTATTTTTCTCAGATGTTTTCCCTAAATTCATTAAAGAATTGTTAAGAAAAATGAAAGACTCCCACACTAAAGGACCATGCAGGGCCACATTATGACTTCCATGGATCACAGACCTAAACATAAAAACTAAAACTATAAAACTGAAGAAAATCTTAGAAAATCTCCCCTACTTTGGTGTAGGCAAATATTTCTTAAATAGAACATAAAAAGAATGGATGATAAAAGATAAAATATGAGAAATTGAATTTATATACTTCTAAATGTGCTTTTCTAAAAACACTATGTAAACGAAAAGGCAAGCAACAAACTGGAAGAAAATGTTCACAATAAGTAAGGTTGACAATGGTCTCGCATCCAGAATACATAAACAACTCTTACAAGTCAATACAAAGATAATCAACTCATTTTTTTAAAATGCAGAAAAGATTTGAACAGTTCATAAAAGAGTATCTATGAAAGTCCAATATGCCCATGAAAAGATGGGCAACATCATTATTTAAAAAAGAAATGAGAATTGAAATCACAAGATACTACTACCTATCCACTAGAATTACTGAAATTAAAAAGCTATCAATATCAATATCAATATCAAATGTTGGTGAAGATGTACAGCAAAAAGAACTCTCGTACATTGCTGGCAGGAATAAAAAATGGTACAACCACTTTTAAAAATAGTGTGACAGTTTTACATAAAGTTACACCTATATTTTCCACATGACCCAGAAATTCTACTCCTAGGAAATTACCCAAGATTAATGAAAACATACATCTCTAAAAACACTTCTTACATGAATGTTCATAATAGCCTTATTCATAATGGTCTTGAAACTGAAAACTATCCAAATATCCATCAATGGATGAGTGGACAAATAAATTTCAGTATATCCATACAATGAAATATTACTGAGCAATAAAATAAACAATAATATCTCTAGTACAGATATATTCAGAAAGAATGAATTTATTAGTAATATTTGGAGTTTTGCATGAGTCTTAGAAACATTGTGACGAGCAAAAGCAGCAAGAAGCCATATACAAAATAGTGTATACTGTAAAATTCCATTTATATATTACATTAGAAAGAAAAACAAATCAGCGGTTGCTAGAATATGGTAGGAGGAAAACCGCTAAAGGGAAATTTTTGAGGTAATGGAAATTTTCTACATAAATTATAGTTTGTTAAAACTCATCAAACTACACACTTAAAATGGGTGCATTTTATTGTATTTAATGTAGAACCAATGAAGATGAAAACTTTTTTCATAAATTTCTGATGTGAGCAACGAAAAGAATATAATGCATGTTGTTGAGATGCGAAAGACTTCAGACAAGCAGTTTTTTTGCAGGGGAAGATAAAGAATTACATTTTGGACATATTAATCTTGAGATAGCTTTTAGACATCCATATGCATATGCTGAGAAAGCATTTGGATATTTAAAAGTGAAGTTGAGGAGAAAGGACTACACTTGAAACTCAAATTTGAGAATTGAGATGGCATATCAATTGTATTTAAAGCCATGAAACTGGATGAAATCACTAGGAGACTGAATTAATGACTGAATCATAAGGTGATAATATCTAAATACATGCACAGATCAATTATAAATACTGTGCTAATATGACACTAATTGCTTCTTGTCATTTTACTCAAAGACTCCTTCTGATTGGTTTGTGCCTGTGCCATATCAGTTATTAAATATTTGGAATATCATCCTTGAGGTGATCAAGGCCCATACTCCTTCAAAATCTGTTAATTGCATATCTGTCGTTATTTAAGCAACCTTTAGTGTGTCTTTTCAATTCCCATTCTTTGCTTACTAAACTCTAAATACTTACCAAACTATTCTGTCCAATCCCCTACAGTAGTCACTCTAAGATAGGTTCTCTTAAGCATAATAGTTTCCATCTTTCTGTATTTCATTTAGTGGCTTTAGTGACATTTCTATACTGACAATCTCTGTAATCATTTAGGTACTCATTCACTTTTCACTATTTTGTTTCAAATAGAATTTTAAATTGCATTATTAAATATTTATAAAATAATTGATATAGAGTTTCTGTCATAATAATCACAGTAGGAACCGCAAGACTCCATTTTTTTACCCAAAAACATATCCAGTGATATTACGTTGGATTATCCCAGCACATTCCCTCTCCACTCCTCTCTACCCTGCTTTTTGTCCTGTGCAGGTAACCAAAGAGCTCCCTTGACCTCTTGCTTCTCACGAATGATTGGAAAGAATAGATAGTGTTTTCCTTCCTAAGGTTGAATTCAGGAAGATTGTGTCCCCTCACCAAAGATCATTGAGCCTCTTGATAATGTCTATAGTATATGAGTTCTTCCTTCTGGGTTCCAGTAAGTTCTCCTTACCCTATTCCCTTCAGTTCTATGGATTTTAATAAATTCAAGATTACTACACCTATATATGCTGAGATTCCCTTACACCCCATCTTTGTAAAAAGTCTTTTTAAGAAGTCCTTCTCAAATTATCCTACACTGAGTAGGCCTAACAGGACCCTAATTTATACAGATTTTTCTTTTGTGATATTTCTATGATATATTTAAAAAAAACCAAACTTCCCTGGGTACACAGTTGATTCTAGGACTGAGGCAGGAAATGTACAAAATGAATTTGGAGCATCTAGTCAGAAAGAAGGAAAATACTCAAAACAAAACTAAACACAATAATAGGGGTATACCAAGGAAACACAGGAGTCAACTGAAAAGCTTCCAGCCAAGTGATGTGGCTTATGTCTTGTAATTCCAACCACTCAGGAAGCTGAGAAGGGAGGACTGCTTGAGCCCAGAAATTTGAGAGCAGCCTGACCAACACAGTGAGACCCAATTTCCAAAATAATAATAATAATGATAATAATTAGCTGGATGTGGTGGTGTACTCCTGTAATCTCAGGGAGGCCAAGGTGAGAGGATTACTTGGGCCAAGGAATCTAAGGCTGCAGTGAACTATGATCATGCCACTGGACTCCAGCCTGGGCAACAGAGCAAGATGCTGTCCCAAAACAAAACAAAACAAAACAAAACAAAAAACAAAACACCACTTCCAATAGCCAAAGCTAGAACAATTTGAGCAAGAAAATAAAGTAGTATTTGGTTTATAACATAAAGTATAAAATAAATATCCATAAGTACACACTGACAAAAAGAAAGGAAGAAAGATCTCCCCGACACACAAAACAATTCCAAATAATGGATTCACCTATAAGGAGGGAGAGCATAATCCCAATCCTTTTGTGTAGGCTGCAAATAGTGACTTTCATCTGAAGATTGCAGTATGGAAAGGGAGAAAAAAAAAAGAGTAACTTTACAGTGAATAAATCTGCTAAACATTACTTCAAGCCAGGTAATCAAGGTTAAAACATTAAGGGTGATTAAGTCATGTTGATAGAATATACCCTTGATATGACATGAAGATAACGACACTTCTATTATCTTCCTCCAAAAACATATAATCCAAGTCTAATCATAAAAAAAAAAATCAGGAAAGTCCCAATTTAAGGACATTCTACAAAATACCTGACCAGTACTCCTCAAAGCTGTGAAGGATATAAAAATCAAAAGAAGTACATGAAACTGTCCCAACCAAGAGGAGCCTGAGGAGACATGACTACTAAGTGCAATGCTGCATCCTCAATGAGATATTGGAATAGGAAAAGGATCTTAGGGGAAAACTAAGGAAATCTGGATAAAGCATGAACTTTATTTGATAATAATGCACCAATATAGGTTCATTAATTGTTACAAATGTACCATACTAATGTAAGATTCTAATAATAGGAGAAAATCAGTGTGGGGTATAAGAAACTCTGTTTAGATTTTATTTATAATAAATAGATTTATAATAAAATCTAAAACTATATTAAAATAAAGTATATTTTTAAAAAGAAGTCTACTGTTTAACAACTTACTGTTTAATCAAAGACAATGTCAACATAGTGAATCAAATATCATACATCATTTTAAAGTCACTTAGAATTTAAAAATTAAATTATATGTATTTAACATATTTGAGGAAAGTATCTGCAACTTCTGTACAGGCAAGGAGATAACAATAAATATATATAAAGAGCTCCAAAAAAATCAAGAGTAAAAAAAAAAACAAAACCTGACAGGAAATGGACAAGATATATGAACAGAGTGACATAGCAAAATAAATTTAAATGACCACTCAATGTAGAAAAAGATGAATATCTCACACATGTTGTGAGAAATGCAATTTTAAATGATACTAAGATACTGTGCCAAGTGAAATACCTCCCAATAGCCATTATCTATCTCAGTACCATGAGACAGGCAAGAATCTAAAAGCATAACAACACACTGCTGATAGGGTTGTGGGGAAACAGCCACTTTCACAGGTTTGTTACAAACACAAAAGGCAGGGGAATTTGGCAATATATGGGAAAATTACAAATTACTATATATACCTTTATTCTCTGATAAATGAATTCCATGCAGAAAAATAAAATGACCAAAATATTATAAGACTAATTCCCAAGGGTATTCATTTTAGCAACATTTGTAATAGCATTGGAAAAATAAACCAAACAAAAATGCTAACTATTATACAAAAAGACTGAGAGGACAAAGAAGAAAGATTTCTCTGAAAACACTTTGTTTCATATTTTCAACCTAAGACAGATTTACCTTCAAGCTAAGACAGATTTACCTTCAAGCTAATAAAGTCTAATCTTCAGGGCATCTTACTTGCATCTACCCCTTCCAAGGGTTTAGGAAGGACTCCAGCAATGTGTTCTCGTGGTAAAATATTTTCGTAAATGTTTTAAAGGAAAATATTTTTCCATATGTTTCTTAAAGAGTGATATCAAAATTGTATAAGCTTTAGGCTCATCTAAATGTTATTTGATCTGTGGATTTCAACTTTGGAATCATGTAAAATGCTTTATGTAGTAAAAAAAAAAAAGTAAAAATAAATTTAAAAAGAAAACAAAACATTTCAATTGTTTTAATTTGATCAATATCACAATCCTCATTCCAAAACACTAAAGATTAGTACTCTAGTGAAAAGCAAACTATCATCCTTGCTAAAATTATCAGTATAGGAATATAACTCTATTTCCCCATCTTCCCAAAAGGCATTTTTTACTTGCTAGGCAACTAATGAAAAGTTTCAGGTCCCCTTACCAACCTTTTAATTGATATTTAAGTTTGATTTTTAAATGAATTGTACTTTTTCATGATTATCCTCAGGCATGTACTTAAAGACAAGAAGAGTGATGCAGTGGAGAAAGAATACTGAACTAAGTAAGCCTCAGAAACTTGAGTGTAGTCAAGCATCAACCCCTTAAACATATCAATAACTTTGGTCAAGTCATTACACCTCTTAGACCCTTCATTTTCTCATAGAAAAAATAAAATCCAAGCAAAGTGTTATACTCAGTGCGTCATTCTCACTGATATGTCTGATGTGTTTTCCCCCCACCTAAAGAAACTGATTTTTTTTTTCTAAAGTAATATATTCTCAAATACCATGTATGAGAGCATGTCAAATAACTGAACTGGAAAAGAGTATCATCATTGCAGACTACAAAAAGATGCCCCATTTGTGTCCATGCAAGAAAGGATAGTACTGGTCGCTGCTTACCATTGTTTCTTCATTGATGAGAAAGCTGGTCTCTCTGCTGCTCAGGCTCTGCTAACAGTACCAGGGGAAGATATAATGCTATTATTAATAGTGCAGGTGGAGCAAAGGGTGCTTTTAAGTTTCAGTAACAACTCTGTAATCTCTATGCAGAAACACTTAATCTGGAACCACATTAAATCATATGCAAAACTGTGGGCATATATGTGTATGCATGTGCATGTGTGTTCATGTATGTGTGCTATGTATCTGTAAATGTGCCTGTGGGGCAGGGTGTGTTTGTCTGTGCAGTGAGGAAAGAGAGTGAGCTTCAGAGAGAATTAGTATTTGGGAGGTAGCTTTATCAAATCATAAAAGAAATCAGATACAAGAAGTGGTTAAGAACTACTACATTACTGAGAAATAACAAGGAGGTCTAATCTTTTTATGATGCTGCATCCTGAAGAGGACCAACAGGAAAGGCAGAATTAATTGGCTATTTTACGCCCTTCAACATTTGTTTGAAATCATTAAAGGGAATACCTTGGAAAATACACCATCAGGATTCTTAATAATTTGAATTTATAACCTCTTCAAAAAAAGCCATACATGTATAAAAATACACACAAACCACTTATAATTAACACAATAGGGATGCCTCCCTCTGTATATGGTGGATTCCCAATTCCTTAGGTTACACGATGGTCCACACACCACAGGACACAGACCTGAGATAACACCCAATGACTTCTCAGCAGTCTCTAGTGACAGGTACAATATAATACTATGGAGAGACATCAACCAACAGAAATGATCGGAAATTCATGTCCAGATTGTAATTCACTTACCTTGTTCTTGGAAAAATCACAATCAGTATCTCATTATGCCCAAATAATGCTGGGCAAATCAGTTTTCAAAATAGCAGATAAAATGTGTAACAGACATATTTACAACATACTCAAAGAGCACCTTGGAAATATACCTAATGCTACAAAAGTAAAGTAACAGAATGTGCCACAAAAGCAGTAATTTCTCTGTGTTCTTTAAAAGAGAATGAAAGATAATTTTGAAAATGTACAATTTTCATACCACTATATTTAATATAAATTACAAGATAATGCAATCTATTGTACTAAAGTAATACTGAAACCGGTGGGAAAAGTTGTGGGAAGACTGAGAATCTGTGAGTAAATACAGGCCTAAAATACAGTTATAATTAGAATCCACTTATATGTGATTATATCTACTTGTGGACCTTGAATGAATTCCACTAGCTCGTCTAAATACAACAGATAGCAAATGAAGTGAATGAGTATCTTGATCACTCAATTCTGAAATAGTAGCCTCTAAAAATATGCTGTGCAGCTACATTTCTGCTAAGACAATAAACAAATTTATTATAGTTTCATTTATATTGACTCCTGATAAGTTTTTCCAATTATCCTAGAGAAATGTTAGTTGTTTTGCTTACAGAAGCATAGAAGAAAACCATATATTCAAAAGCAACCAGGCTAGTCATTTTACAATCTCTCCTTTTAGGAAAAATCTTTGCTCTGATTTCCAATCAAAAGATGGGGTTATATCTTCACTTTGCAGAATGTAAAATAAAATAACTTAGATTACTTCTTCATTTTGCTGAGTATGTCATTGTCTCATTTCTTACTAAGAATAGTCTTAGGCAAAACGAGAATCCTTGATGTACTTCTAGACACAATTCTTAAAACAGCATTCTTAAAGAAATATTATACAGTGAATAAGGAGCTTTAGAATCAGATTACCTGTGTTCAGAATCCCAGCTCCAAAACATAGGAGACATAACAATAAAACAATTTATATAGTTTCAGTTTGCCTCATAACCTTTTTCTTCAATTATATAAACCCCATTAAATACATATGTAAAACTGATTACATTTGTAAACTTGAGCAAGTTAACCTCTCCAAACCATAAAGTCCATACAGTGAGATTAAATAATACATGGGAAGTTCTCCATAAATGTTGACTTTTTAAAATTAATGTTTGTTACTTTCTAGTGATCATGTAATAAATATATTAATCATGTCATGCATGTTTAATTCACATGCATTTTCTGATTTCCAACAAGACTGTAACAATGTCCAATGATGGACTCATACTAATTGTAAATCAGAGGTAAAACTAGAATAGCTTTTTAATATTTAAGCAATCATGAAAGCACAGAAGACCTTTTCAAACATAAAATAATTTTGAAATAATGAACCTACAATTCTTATACTTCTGTCTTGTAAAAGCCTAAAAACATTCATCATATCTATAAATTTGTTACTGGATAAAAATCCATTGATTCTAGTTCTGCCTCAATCCAATAGTTGAATGAATATGCTATAATACTTATTTTTTTTGAAAATTGCCTGCCTCCTGCCCATAGATGGGGTGAAAAAAATTGACTGCAATGTGTAGAGCCTGTTTTTATTGCATTTGAGTGTCAGAAAAAATATAATTTAGCATTGAGGAAAGTGAAATAAGTTGTATTCACTTTTTTTAACTTTTTATTTTGCAATAACTATAGCTTCACAGGAATTTGCCAAAATAATACACACAGATCCCATGTAACCCCTACCCAGTCTCCTCCAATGGTTATTTCCATCTTACATAACCACAGTAAAATATCATAATCAGGAAGCTGACATGAGTACAATGTCTCTGTATAGTTGGAGGTCATTTTGTCACGTGTGTACAATTGGGTAAGAGCCAGCCCTGTCAAGGTATAGAGCTATTCCATCCACAAGGATCTTCCTCATGCTACCCTTTTAAATTTATGTCCATTTTCCTTCCCCTCAACATCCATGTCCCTTAGAAATCACTAATTTGTTCTCCATCTGTATACTGTCATTTCAGAAGTGTCATAAAAATGGAATCATAACATATGTGTTCCTTTAAGATTTTTTTCCACTTAGCACAATGTCCTGGAGATCTATCCAAGTTGTGTTTATTAATAGTTTGTTCCTTTTTACTGATGGGTAGTTTTACATGATAAGGCTGTGCCACACTTTGTTTAACCATTCACCTGCTGTAGGACACTTAGGTTGTTTCCACTTTCGGCTACTACAAATAAAGCTGCTGTGAATATCTGTGTTTAGGTTTTGCGTATGAATATATGTTTACATTTCTGCTGGATAAATGCCCAAGAGTATGATTACCCAACTTACATGAAAATCATAATTTAGATTTTTAAGAAACTGCCCAACAGTTTTCCAGAGTGACTGTATCATTTTATGTTTCCCCCAGCATTGTGTGAGAGATCTAGTTTCTCTGCATCCTAACTAGTAAGTTGTATTGTCACTATTTTATATTTTAGCTCTTCTAATAGGCATATACTGACATCTCACTTTGATCTTATTTTGCATTTCTTAGTGGCTGGTGATATTGAAGATCTTTTCATATGCTTATTTGCCATCATATTTCCTCTTTAGTGAAAGATCTCAATATGTATTTTGCCCACTTTCTAACTGGGCATTTTTTCTTGTAAAATATTTAAATTTTATGGGTTCTTTATAAATCATAGATACAAGTACTTTGTCTGATACAGAATATGCAAATATTTATCCCAGTCTGTAGCCTGTCTGTTCATCATCATAACAGGATCTTTCAGGGAACAATAATTCTTACATTTGATAAACTCCAATTTATCAATGCTTTTCATTAATAATGTTTTTGTTTGCAGATATGACATAACTACAAACCCTTCACCAAGATCTAATTTCCAAACAGTTTGATCCATTTTTTCTTCAAAAAATTGTATAGTTTTACATTTTACATTTAGTCCATGATCAATGTTGAATTAATTTTGTATAAGTTATAAAATTAGGTTAAGTTCATAAGTTTGCCTATGAATATACAAATGCTCCAGCCTGTTTGTTCCATTGAACTGCTTTTGCACATTTGTCCAAAATCATTTGGCTGTACTTGTGTGAGGCTATTTCTGGGATCTCTATTCTGTTTCATTAATCTACATGCCTATCCTTCTCCAAATATCACACAGTCTTCATTAGACTGCAGCTAAAGAACAAGTCTTAAAATAACATAGAGGGTTTTCTCCCACTTTCTTCTTTTTTTCACAATCATTTTATCTCTTCTACTTCCTTTGTATTTCCATAAAATTTTCTGAATAATCTTGCCTATGTCTATGAAATGTCATACAGATATTTTAACTTATATACCAATTTGGGTTTCCACATTCTCATTACCAGTATATAGAAATATAACTAATTTCTATATAATTTTCTTATTTTTTACAACCTTCTTAAACTCAGTTCTAGGAAATTTTGTTTTTGTCTTTAATTTTGTAGATTTCTTGGGATTTTCTATGTACATCGTCATGTCACCTGGAAATGGGGAGAATTTTATTTGTCCCTTTCTGATCTGAATACCTTTTATTTTATTTTTTTGTCTTATTGCAAGAACTGTCAGTACTATATTTAATGAGAAGGGTAAGTGAGGACATTCTGATCTTACGAAGAAAGTGTTCAGTCTTTTATTATTAAATATACTGTTAGTGTAAGTGTTGTGTGGATGCTCCTTATCAGGTTAAAATAGTTCCTCTCTATTCTTGGTTTTCTGAGAGTTTGTGTTTATTTTTAATAAATGGAAGTTAAATTTTGACAATATTTTTTCTGATAAAAATCACATGATTTTTATTCTTTAGCCTTTGGTGAAGTATACCAATTGTTTTTCAAAAAATGAATGGAGACCAGGCACAGTAGCTCAAGCCTGTAATCTCAGCACCTAGGGAGGCCAAGGTAGGCGGATCACTTGAGGTCAGGAGTTCGAGACCAGCCTGACCAACGTGGTGAAGCCCCCATCTCTACTAAAATTATAAATATTAGCCAGGTGTGATGGCATACACCTGTAGTTCCAGCTACTCAGGAGAGGAAGGGGAATCACTTAAACCTGGGAGGTGGAGGTTGCAGTGAGCCAAGATCGTGCCACTGCACTCCAGCCTGGGTGACAGAGCAAGACTCTGTCCCTTTCCACACGCACACAAAAATGAATGGAGCCTTCCATCAATAGAGTAAACCCTACCTGGCCATGTTGCATAATTATTTTTATATTACTGAATTTTATTTGCTAATATTTTACTAAGGATTTTTGTATCTATGTACATGAGGGATCCAACTTTTAGGTTTTTTGTTTTCATTTTTTTTTAAACTGTCTGTCTCTTTTGGTATCAAAGTTACGTAGGGATCCGACATGAATTGAGAAGCATCTGTTTTTCTTCTATTTTCTGGAAGAGATTGTATAAAATTAATGTTAATTCTTCTTTAAACATTTGGTAGAATTCTCCAATGAGACCATTTAAGCCTGAAGAGGTCTTTCAGGGGAATTTAAAAATTACACATTCAGTTTACTTAGTAGCTACAGGGCTATTCAAATTATTGTTTTAACGTTGAGTGGATTATAGTAGTTTGTGCTTCTTGAAGAATTGGTCCGTTTCATCTTAGTTGTCAAATTTATGTGTGTAGAGTTGTTAGTAGTATTCCTTTATTATCTTTTTGGTATCTACAAATTCCATATTGATATGTCCTGCTTTATTCCCGATATTGGTTACATATGTCCCAGCGCAACTCCCTTTCTGCCAGTCTGGCTAAAGGTTTGTCAATTTTATGTATCTTTCCACAGCTTTTGGTTTCAATGATTTTTTCTAATACTTTCTGGTTTTCAATTGCTTTTATTATTATTTCCTTCTTCTACTTGCTTTGGGGTTGTTTTGCTCTACTTTCCTTTTATTTATTTTATTTTATTTTATTTTATTTTATTTTATTTTGAGACAGCCTGGGCCCAAGAGTCTACAGTTTTAAGAAATTCTTCATATAATTCTTATTCTTGTTTGTATATTGATCTGCAAACTACACTATAAAATCACTGTCCTATATGATCTTCATAGTTCCCTCTGGTTCTCATATTCTGTTTCTCTCAGCATTTAGGTCGCTGAACTTTTCTTTGTTAACTTTTAGTTTAAGTCCAGAGATACAAGTGCAGGTTTGTTGCATACATAAACTTATGTCATGTGGGCTTGTTGTACAGATTATTTCATCATCCAGGTATTAAGCCTAATACCCACTAGTTGTTTTTCCTGATCCTCTCCCTCCTCCCACCCTCCATCCTCCAAAAGGCCCCAGCGTGTGATGTTTCCCTCTATGTATCTGTGTGTTCTGATAATTTATCTCCAACTTATAAGTGAGAACATGGGGTATTTGGTTTTCTGTTCTTGTATTAGTTTGCTAAAGGTAATGGGCCTCCAACTCCATCCATGTTTCTGCCAAGGACATGATCTTGTCATTTTTATGGCTCCATAGTATTTTATGATATATATGTATCACATTTTCTTTATCCAATCTATCATTGATGGGCATTTAGGTTGATTCCATGTCTTTGCTATTGTGAATAGTGCTACAATGAACATATACATGCATGGGTCTTTAAAAAAGAATGATTTGTATTCCTTTGGGCATATACCCAGTAATGGGATTGCTGGGTCGAATGGTATTTCTATCTTTAGGTCTTTGAGGAATTGCCACACCATCTTCCACAATGCCTGAACTAATGTACACTCCCACCAACAGTGTATAAGCATTCCTTCTTCTCCACAGCCTCACCAGCATCTGTTATTTCTTGATTTTTTTAACAATAGCCATTCTGACTAGTGGGTCACTGAACTTTTAAAGGAACCCTGTAACTTCTAGGAATCTTAATGAGCTTATCCAGCCAACTAGCAAATAGCCAACCTATTCTAGAAGGACGTGTTTTCCAAGCAGAAATTTCAATCATTCCTGGAAATTCTTTTTAAATCCTGTTTATATCTGGCAGGACATCCTGAAACCACTCAAGGACGTCTACCTCTGTGAGAGCTATGCATGGGATTCTTTATCAACTAGAGTCTATCAGAAAAATGATTTCATTGAAATGCCTTTAACATGCTTATATTCAGTATAGAAGCAATATAAATTGTTTGTATGGTTCTTAAAATTTATATAAGAAGTCCTTTGGTTAAAAGAATTCTGTATTTTTACAAGTAGTATTTAATTTATTTATTATTCTATTTAATGTGTTTATGCAATTCAGGTTGAACTCCAGTATAGTCATAGATAAGCACTAATCATACTAATAACTGTAAAATAATAAGCTATCACAGACTACACTAACATTATATTATAGCAAAATGTTAAGCCAAATACTAGTATCTTGCATATCAATGATCAGCATATCTGAGTTTATTTCACAGGGAGCCTCAAAACAAATCAAAGATCTATTTGTTCCCTTATAACATCTAGAAAAGATCCAATATTAAATCTGCATGGAACATGGAACTTGCTTTAGCTACTTAAAAAATGAATAAATTAGAGGGCATAATAGAATGTATTATAAGTAAATAAGTACAAAGGCTTAGTTAACCTTATCTTGATTTTTTATTCTGACTTATAAGGAAGTTAATGCATATATATTTAACTTACCTCACTCATTTGGAAAGAGTAGTCTATATGCTTATTGACTTTTTCCCCTAAATTAAATAAGAAAGAGAAAAACATGTTAAATTAGCCACTGATCAGAACATATTCAAAAGTCTGTGTAAGGAAAAAATAGGAATTGAATGAATTAAAAAATTCAAAGAAAAAATACTAGAAGAAAAGATACAAGATGATTCGGAGCTAAATTGTTTAAAACAGACTCCAAAAGAAGTCTTACCTAAAACTGCCTATAACAGGAAAAGCATAAAATACTGATGTGTAAAATACAATCTCAATTACTGAGAAATAAACTTAACTCTGATCAATGTGGTTATCAACCTATAACCACAAAACCACTGAGAGTTAAATACCCAATAGGGTGTCCATTCATATGTTTTAGTTCTCACCACATGAGATTTCATATTCTCTCACCTTATTTTCCTGAAATCAAACCAGACAGCTTGTATATAGAACACTACCAGTTTCTACACAGGCCAGAGTACTTTCCCGACATACAGATAGCTCCGTAATGGTAATGCATTTAGTCGTTTGCACTAAAATACATGTTCAAGTAAGTTTATGACACTAAAAAAGTTAAATACAGAACTGAAATTCTTATTTTCTAGTGGTTCCAACTTGAAAAAGCCCTAAGATATATTTAAGTCAAAAACTTCCTATATATTTTTTTTGGAGAAAATATCACAATGGGAACCACATAAAATGTTAGCACTTTAAGTTCAAGTTAGTGACCATAATTTTAGAAATACGATAGAAAAACTGGCGAATGAAACTGAACAGAGAGCCCAGAACAAGACACTTTATTATATGGAAACTTGATATTGACCTATTGTAGGGGTTGACTAATGTCTCTCCTACACCAAAATTCATGTCCATCTCAAACCTCAGACTGAAACCTAATTTGGAAATGTAGTCTTTACAGATGTAATTAGTTAATGATCTAGAGATGAAGTTATACTGGATTTAAGGTGGGCCCTAAATCCAATGATGGATGTCCTCCTAAGAAAAGAAGAGGGAACAGAGGCACAGAAGAAGGCAGTGTGAAGATAAAAGCAGAAATCAGAATGATGTGTCTACAAAGCCAAAAAACACTAAGTATTTCAGGTGCTGTAGTCTGAATGTGCTCATGGTGCAGAGCTCTTATGAATGGGATTAGAGCCCTTATTAAAGAGATTCCAGAGAGCTGCTTTCCCTCTTCCATCATGTGAAGACACAGTAAGAAGATGGCATTAATGAGCCAGGAAACAAGCCCTTACCAGACACTGAGTTCAGTACCATGATCTTAGACTTCATAGCACCCAGAACTGTGAGAAATAAATGCTTGTTCTTATAAGTAAAAAATAATAAAATAAAGCAATTGTATAAGTCAAAAAAAAATTTAAAAAATCTACCATTTGTATAGCTTTTTCACAACCCAAGTATGACAGTCCAATTCCTTTTCAAAGATCACACAAATCCCTCAGTTATTCTCTTAAATAATTAAGCCCATTATATACATAAATTTATACTTGACAGAAATTCAACCATTATAGGTCAGCTAGGGAATAAAGTCCAAAGTTTTCTGCAGAGGAATATTTTGAGTTTTGATCTGTACATTGGTTAAAACGAGGCTGTATGTGAAAATAAACACTGGTTTGTAAGAAAGCTTTATTTTATTTATAATTTTATTTTATTTTAAAAAGCAGATTTATGGGTCATAGCTTTGCTAGTATAAGATGGGGTCATTCTTGATATGAGTTTTTTGCCTTTGGCAAACAATAAAATTCTTTAAAATTAACTAAAACCAACCAACCTCTCCAACCTCACCCTTTCACGCTCTTAAGTCTGGCCCACTAGTCTCCTTTCAGATCCTTATACCTTCTTTCAGTTCCATTCTCCCTCTTTGAGGGGCCTTAACACACAATTATTCCTCTGTAAGGAATGCTCTCTGCTATGGATTGAATTTGTCTCCCAAAGTTTATGTGTCAGAAACAATCTGCAATGCAACAATGTTGAGAGGTAGGCCCTTTAAGAGGTGATTAGGTCATGAGTGCTCTGCCTTCATAAATGAATTAGCACTGTTATCACAGGAATAGATTTGTAATAGCAAGAATGGATTTGTTATGAAAGAAAGTTAGGCCATCTCATGTGTGCATGCTCTCTCACCAAGTGATGCCTTCCACCATGTTATGACACAGCAAGAAGGGGCTCACCAGACGTGGTCCCCAACCTTGGACTTCCCAGCTTCCAGAACATGGACCAAATAAACTTCTATTGTTTATAAATTACCCAGTCTGTAGTATTCTGTTATAACAGCACAAAAGGGAATAACACACTCTCTCTCTCCCCACCTTGCCCTGGGTAATTCTTCACATCCTTCAGATATCAGCTTGAAAGTCACTCTCTCCCCAGGGAAGCCTTCTTTCACATATCTGGCTAGTTCAAAGCATCTGATATATCTCTATTTGCACTTGTCAGGGTTTCAATTTTACACGAATATTTGTGCATTTTAATTACTATCTTTTTATCCGCAAAAGAAGATAAGTTTCTGAAAAGTGAGCACAATTTTTGATTTTGTTCTTTTAGCACACTGATTGGCAAATGAAAGACGGCTGATAAACATTTATTGAAAAATTGAATGAGCGAGCTGACAAGGGAGCCAAGTTTTTCACTGTGGCTGCAAATGAAAAGCCAAAATATAATGATAACTTGCCATGCACCAGGCACTGTGCAAAGAGGTATAACAAATATTTACATGGCATTTCCTTTGTATTACATATTATAAGTAATCTAGCAATGATTTAAAGCATGCACAAGGATGTGCATAGGTTATATGCAAATACTATGGCATTTTATATAAGGGACTTGAGCATCCTTGGATTTTGGTACCAGTGGGGTATCCTGAAACCAATGCCTGTGGATACTGAGAGACAACAGTACTCACACACATACATAACACACCCATACAAAACACACCCATACAACTTCTCCTTCTAGGTGATAATTCAAATCCTATATCAGCAATTTTAAAGTACTGTCTGCCATCCCCCATCAAGATACAATTTATTTTACTTTTTGTATGTGTCAAATTTATACATTTTATTTTGTATTTAAAGTTTTATAATAATATTAAAACCATATTTGTCTTTTTCATTCTGTTGACGTTTGCACTGGTGATGCAAAAACAATGGGATAAAACTGCTGGTGCCATCATGTGAATCAAGGCTATGGCACCAGACTATATTAGTAGTCATTATATTCTCCACCATCATGCACTCTCAGTACAAAAAGAAACAAAAATGTAGTTTAACTTAAAAATGTCCTTGATAAACAGTAAAGCTTATGAAGTTTATAAAATCTTGACCCTGAACACACAAATTTTTAATAATCTATAAAGAAACAGGAAGAATGCATGAAGCGCTGATGCTGCATTCCAAAGTACCATGGTTGCCTCATGAAAAAGTACTTTACATTGCAAGGTAAAGTAGCTAAATTTTTCATAAAACACCATTTTAGTTGAAAGTATGATGGGAAAACATATAGAGTCATACAGACCTGACTATTTGTCAGATATTACCTCAAACATTAATGACATGAATCTATCACTTCATGGAAAACACCTGACAGTATTTATTGCCAATGACAAAATTTGAGTTGCAAATGAAATAATTTTTGTAAACTTATGACCGTCACTGTGTGCTTAACAGATTCCCAAGGCATTCCTGATAAGATCAGTGATGATGTTAGCATTACGTTTTGGTATTTTAAAATGAAATATGTCAGCATTTGGAAGATCTGTATAACTCAGTAGATAATTGTTTTCCAAATAAGCAATACATGATGTTACAAAACCATGCATGAGAAAAAGATACATTTAAAGTGAAGGACAGACCAATAGATTTTAATGCAGCAGTGAAATAAAAGTTCATTTCAATGGTTTCAAATTCTACATTATATCTAACTTTAAAGAACCTATTATTCGTTGAATTTGGGGGCAAATCAGAGAAGAATATCCATAATTATTCAAAAACTTTCTAAAATTATCCTCCCTTTTCAACTATAGATCTCTAAGAGGCCAGATTTTTTTCATACACTTCAACCAAAACACAACACATCACAACAGAGTGAATGTAATGCAGATACGAGAATACCTATATTTTATCAGGCCAGAGATCAAAGAGATTTTTTTTAAAGTAGAACAATGCACTCTTATCACTAAATTTACTTTGTTTTAGAAAATATACCTATTTTCATAAAACTATGTTAAGATGAAATAGAAGACTCCTAAGCATGAGAAATTTGAGAAGATGTCCTTTAATAAAATAGGAAAGACTTAATGGTGGGTGACTAATACAGCAGAGGCTACAGGCTACTGACAAATATCTTTCCTCCTCCTCCTCCTTCTTTGCTAATAGAACCTCAATTATATGGTGTAGTAATGTACTCAAGCAAACAAAACATTTCCTAGCATCCATTGCAAGAGTATGACATAAATTCAAAGCTCTCAGCTGTCATAAGTGGTATGTCTATCTCATAATGTTTGTGTAAGCACTAAATAGATAATGCATGTACTTGGCATATAGGAGGTAAGCAGGTGTTATTCTTGTTGATATTGTTGTTATTATTCTATTCTACTGTTAAGCTTCAAAACTGCTGTAAATTCCTTGGGCTAAGTTTCAGAATGTCAGAATAAAATCGAAATAACTCCTTCTGTATTCAG
The DNA here is from genome assembly GCF_000001405.40 of Homo sapiens. Taxonomy (NCBI): domain Eukaryota; kingdom Metazoa; phylum Chordata; class Mammalia; order Primates; family Hominidae; genus Homo; species Homo sapiens. The sequence continues at coordinate 22,199,139 of NC_000011.10, read as the reverse complement.
ATCTTTGTGTTGCAGGATCTGCTCTTAAAATGTTTTACTCTAAGCAAAACATGAAAACTAACCAACTATAGCTATACCACTTAACTTTCTGAGTGCAGGCTTTCTCATGTAAAAGATACAAATCTAAAGGGAAATGCTTGAAAAATATTAAACATCATGCAGTATTATCATCAATGGGTTTTACCCATGATTACTGCCTAAACACATAGCTCAAAACTCAGTTGATCCTGATCCTGATCATCTCTCGTTAGATCTGTGAATGAAAAGGAGACCAATTTAGAATGGCTTTACAGTGAATAGATAAAGAATAGGATTCTAAGAAATACAAGCCTTGTGTCTCAAGATATGATAGTTAACATTGACTTAGAGAGGCTTTTTTTTAAGGACAAAAACAGTCACTATTATGCCAAAGAACAATGCATCAAACAAAATATAGTTCCAATCACAGAACAATCAAGCAACTGCAAACCTTAAGCTAGGTTTAAAGAGTTTTACAATTCTATTTTTACAAAAAGAAAGTTGAAAAACTGCAAACACTAGCCCCTCTTTTTCCTAATTATTTTTGTTCCATTTAACATAAAACAAGTAGGTGAAAAAATATTTTCAAGCTGCTATTAAAATTTGATGCGATGCATTTATTTGAGAATGTGGAAAAGGGACAATATGAATCCCCCAGATTACCTCCTATTATTACTAGCTCTCCTTTCACACTTTAACCTTTAAAATTACAGCTTTCTTTCTCTAGAACTAACACTGTTTCTTCCCTTTCTAACTCTTGCTTATTTTTCACATTATATCAGCCTAGACCTCCTCCTTTCAGGCCTTGCCTGAAACCTCAACTGTCCCCTGGATTGGCCTCCCACCTGCTCCCATACCACCTTGAATGCAGCCCTCTCTGGACACCTAGCTCAAATACACATCCCTCCACAAGACTGTCAGCTCCAGAGAACCAACAGAGACACATTTTGTCAACTGCATCCTTTTGTGAAACATCGGGACATTCAAGAGGATAGATTTACTTCCACACACACCATGCTCCCTCTCACCCCTGCACACTTACTGCTCGCTAGCTCTCTCACATGTATGCACCCTTGCAATTAGATGTTCACACAGACCATAGACTCAGACACTTTCATACTCCCTCATGGAGTATAAAGATGCTGTGACTATGCATAATCACCAAAACCTCTGTCAAAACTGAGGCCTGACTGAAGAGGCAGGATTTGAAGCCAACAACTCTGTCAGCTTCTTTCTATTCCTCCAACTTCCTCTAAAATGAATGGATAGCACTATACTCTCCCTGCGGGCTAGATTCCAGGGATATGAAAGATTTGGTACCAATCACTGTGGAGAATCATCAAATACTTGCCAAAAGTAAAGCCAGCCTAAAGACTGAGTCTTGAGTTTTCACTGAAAGCACATGACTAAGAATACACACTCCAGCAAATCCACAGCCCAAAAATAGCACTTGTACTTACCAACTGGTCTTCTCAGTTTACACTCTTACTAGCAGTATAAAATAAAATATTTCTAATCAAATATTAACATTACTAAAGACGGATGGCTTAGTTGGACACAATGCTTAACATAGCCGTAAAGATGCAAACAACCTAACGTTCAAGTTTTAATCTGCCTTTTCCAATGCTAAAGTCTCAAACTGTCTTTTCCAATACCAACTGTATCATAAATCAGCTAAAGCATAAACATTTCTTGAGGCTATGGTGAGCTATGATCACACCACTGCACTCCAGCCTGGGCAACAGAGTAAGACCTCAAAAAAAAAAAAAAAAGTTAAATTCCAGCAATGACATTTTACTGGCAATGTTTGTTTATGTAACTAATTAAGTGCTCTATTAACTTCTGCCATTAGAATTTCATTTTTAAAATTAGAAGATAGTAGGAAATTAGCCAATTGGAGATCACTGATTCCTCATGTGTTTAATTGTGAAAAAAGTAGAGAAGATGTAATAAATCTTAGATCTATTAAGTCTAAAAGGCAAAATGTTATGTTGTCTCTCTTACAATCAATTTTATAAATTAACTCTCATATTCAGTATTTAAAGGTGATTTAGAAAGCACATACAAAATCAAGGCTTACCTATATGGGTAAATTTAGTCTAAAAAGTCTTCTTATATTTTAAAACATAGAAATGAAAGTAGCTATTAAAAATTGATGCTCTGGAACTTGAATTTTTCAGCCTTCTTCAGCCAACACTTTTGTTTTCATAACAGTGTCGTTTATTTTATTTTTATTTTATTTATTTATTTATTTGAGACGGAGTCTCACTCTGTCACCAGGCTAGAGTGTAGTGGCGCAATCTTGGCTTACTGCAACGTACGCCTCCCAGGTTCAAGGGATTCTCCCACTTCAGTCTCCCGAGTAGCTGGGACTACAGGTGCATGTCACCACACCCAGCTAATTTTTGTATTTTTAGTAGAGATGGGGTTTCACCATGTTGGCCAGGATGGTTTCGATCTCTTGACCTAATGATCCACCTGCCTCGGCCTCCCAGAGTGCTGGGATTACAGGCGTGAGCCAACACACCCAGCCAACAGTGTCATTTAAATCCAAGAGAAAATATATCTGGAAGCAGAGTTCTAAAAATCCACTGGAATGTTCATTAAAAAAAAAAAAAAACTCTCATAACAATGAACTTTTCATACATCTTAGTGCTATGGTTTAAATATCCCTCCAAAACTCATGGTGAAATTTAACTGTCATTGTAATGGTATTAGGAGGTAGAGCCTTGAAGAGGTGATTACGTCATGAGGGCTCCATCCTCATGAATGAATTCATGCCATTCTCATGGGAGTGCAACAGTTACATTAGAATTGGGTTCCTAATGAAAGGATAAGTTTGGACACATTTATCTCTTGGTCTAATGTGCTCCCTTGACCTTCCAACATGTTAAGAGGCAGCACAAAGGTCCTTGTCAGATGCCAATACCATGCTCTTGGACTTTCCAGACTCCAGAACCAAAAGCGAAATATTTTCTTTATAAATTACCCAGGCTGTGGTATTCTGTTATAGCAATAAAAAAAAGTAGGCTAAGATACCTAATAAGAACACAGGTCTCAATAATGGGCAGTAAAACTAAACCAGCAAAAGAACTGACATGCTAAGAAACATCTAAAAATATACGAGTCATATGAGTGGCCTGAACTATGCTGCTCTTTAGGCCCTGATCTCATCAATGCCACACTTCCCTGATGCTTGGGTTCTGGTTCTTTGAATATATCTAGATACAGGAATTTGGGCAGAATGCAGTAATTAGTCCCAGCCATCAAATATACGGTATTCCTCATCAATATCTATTTCTCTCACCTCCACCCTAATCAGAGGCACAATTTGGATCACATGTAAGCATAAATAGATTACAAAGGCCCTTTTTTAAAATGGGGGAGTGTGACTGGGCATTGTGGCTCACATCTGTAATCCCAGCAATTTGAGGGGCCAAGTCAGGTGGATCAGCTGAGCTGTGGAGTTCAAGACCAACTTGGGCAACAGGGTGAAACCCCATCTTCATAAAAAAAATAATAATTAGCTGGGGAGGTCGTGGTGCAGCACCCATAGTCCAAGACACTCCAGAGGCTGAGGTGGCAGGATCGCTTGAGCCTGGGAGTCAGAGGTTTCAGTAAGCAGAGATGATGCCCCTGCATTACAGCCTGGGCAATAGAGCCAGACCCTGTCTCAAAAAATAAAAAAAAAAAAAAAATAAGGGGGGTATGCTTCAACTGACACCATTAAGAACATAGAATGATAACACTCAGAATGGGAGGAAATATTTGTAAATCATATATCTAATAAGGGACTTGTATTCAGAATATATAAAGAATTCTTGCAACTCAATAATGAAAAATACAACTAAATTTTTGTAAACAGGCAAATGATCTGAATAGACACTTCTCCAAAAACGTGAATAACTAATAAGTATATGAAAATACTTGCTACATTAGTCAGTAGAATCAAATCACAATAGAATCAAAATCACACTGAGATACCACTTTACAACCACTAGGATGGCTATAATAAAAAAGACAATAACAAGTGTTAGTGAGTATGTACAGAAATTGGAACCCTCATACATTATTGATGGGAAGGTAACATGCAGATGCCTGGAAAACAGTTTGGCAGTTTCTTAAAATGTTCAATATAAAGCTACCACATAATCCAGCAATTCCACTCCTAGATATATACCCGAGGAAAATAAAAGCATATGTTCATATGAAAACTGATACATCAATGTTCATAGCAGCATTATTCATAGAAGCAAAAGAAAGTGGAAATAACACAAATCCTACCATCGATGAATGGATAGGTATGCTATATCTCTACAACGGAATAGTATTTGGCAATTAATAAGAATGATGCACTGATAAAAGCTGCAGTATGGATTAACTTCAAAAACGTTAATCTACGAGAAAGAAGCCAGTTACAACAGACCACATGTTGTATGATTCTATTTATTCGAATGGTCTTGAATAGGCAAATCTATAGAGACAATAAAGAGATTACTGGTAGGAAGTGGGGAGGATGGGAAGTGACTGCCTAAGAGGTTTCTATTTGGGGTGATGAAAGTGTTCTAAAATTAGATTATGATGATAGTTACAAAACTCTGTAAATACACTAAAAAAAATCCAACTTTACACGTCAAATAGGTGAATTTTACAGTATATAGATTATATCTCAATAAAGCTGCTTAAAAAAGGGAACGAGGAGGATGCAGTAACACACGGTATTTCCCGGTGCCTTTGAAGACTGAATAGTAATGATCAGATCTTTTGTCACTTTGGAAAACTGTTTCTGTGTTTAAATCCAACACTAAACAAGACATGAAAATAAAATATCATTGAAGGAACTGGGGTCCTGGAGATAGCAGCAAAATAGTATGTGCATTTTAAGGAAAATACATGTATTAAAATAGGTCCACGGAATACAGGTGGTGTAAAGGCTTTGGCAAACAATGGATAAATATTTCTCAACGGAACTAAAGGGCTTAATGAAAGCTGTTGAAAAGCAACAGCAGCAGCAGCAGCAGCAGCTTTTCCAAGTGCCTATGGCTCTCAGTATCTCAAACTGATAGATTTTAGGATCTGCTACTCCTACAATTAACAAGCATCTCAAAGCATGATAAGTAACGGGCAGAGAGAGTGAGGTAATAAGACTCAAGGACCAGCTCCTTACACGTGGGATAGCTGTCTTGCACTCTATACTGCTGCTTTTTTTGGGAAAGCCTTCGTTTCCATTGGCTGGGTTCGGAGACCCAAGCACTGCAGCGCTAGCCTAGCAGCCCTGAATTACTCGGCGGTTCCCAGGCCTGCAGGGGAGCAAGGAGGGTGTTCCGGAACCATAGGGGTCACAGGTCGCAGGTCCCTGGCGCGCAGGAGCAGCAGAGAAATCTGTGGGGCGCCGAAACCAACCCCACTCACCCCAGGCGGGGGACTCTGCCCCGCAGTCCCGGTTTCGCGCTGAGCACGCCACGCAGCGAACCTCCCTAGGACTCAGGCCGCAGGGCCGCCAACGTCCCCCGGGGCCTCTGCGCCGCGGGTGGAGGGGTGCAGGCAGCCAGCCTGGCTCTCCCTTGACGCCTCTTGGCGCGGTCCTACCTTCCTCCGCCAACACTTCCAGGAGATCCGGGTCGCCCATCTTCGCCAGCTCGTTAATGGCACTGGTGCCTGAGAGGCAGCAGGAGAGGGGCAGCTGAGACAGACGTGGAGATCTGAGGCAGGTGCTGAATCTGACTGTGGGCCGCCGGAGTTGCTGCTGCTGGACTTCTAAGGGCCTGCTCTTCCTTCTGCAGGCCTCCTTCTCCTCCTCCTCGGACTCCACCGTCTCTGGGCGCCACAGCCAGCCGGCCTTCCTCTCCGGCGGGTACTTCCACTCGACCCGGTCCCCCACAACCTGCTTCGCGCGCTTGGCCCTGCGCTTCCCCACCCTCAGCCGGTAGCGCTCCTGGGCGCTCTCCCAGTACTTCTCCAGGCACCTGTCCCTGTGCCTGCTCGGCAGCTGATCCCGCAGCCGCCACTCCTCCCGGTGCTCGCCAGGATCCTTTCCACTCCTGCCCTCTGGCAGCTTTCCTTTCCCCTTCGCTGCGTCCCTGTTTCCACGCCTCTTTCCCCGCCTCCAGACCGCAAGACCGGCCGGCGCCCCACCCTCGGAGACCGCCATCTCCCCGCCCCCCGGCCCGGCTGGCTCCACGCTGGCCCCCTCCTCTCCGCTCAAGCCGTCCCCAGGTCCCTGCTCTGCCGCCTCCCGCACCTCCTCCGGACATGCAGCCTCCCGTCCCTCCTCGGGACCCGCCGCCCCCCGGCCCTGTTGGCCGGCCTGCTCCATTCTGTACAGGCTTCGCACGTCCTTTTCCACTGGGTCCACCCACGACCAGGAATCCTGGTTCCCCAGGGCTGCCGCTTCCCTCCTGTCGGAATCCTCCTCCTCCGATCCCCAAAGGGGGTCCCGATGCTCCCTCAGCCGGTTGGCCGGGTCTTCATCGATCCGCTCATGCGTGCCACTCGGAGAGAACCCCTCTCCCAGTTGGGAGTTACTTTTGGTCTCGTGGGGAAAAGTCCCTCTCCCTTAAAGGAACCCCTCCCTTTTAAGGCCGGCTCATGGCCCGAGACTCCAAGGTGCCAGCAGCCCCTTCCCCATAGCGTCTGGAGCGGGAGTATTGACTTTTCTCCTGGCCCTGCCTGCTTCCTGGGTTCCCAGCAGGATCTCTGCCCTCTACAGGTGGGGGAAGGTCATCCCTTGTGGCCTGAGTTCCAAGTCAGCCTCTGCCCCTTAAGAGTTGGATAGTGTGGGGCAAGTTTCTCTAAGTTTCAGTTTCCACATATTTAAAGGAGAATGATAATAGTACCCACCTCCTAGGCTGTTGAGAGAAGCACGGTGCACAGTCCTTGCCACAGAATGTGTTAAACATTTAGCTGCTATTAAGATTAACCCATATTATAGTCCAGCTGGGATGACGCCTGTCATCATCTCAGCTGGACGATATCGCTTGAAAGCTCAGGAGTTCAAGACTAGCCTGGGCAACATAGGGATACCCCTGTCTCTACAAAAAATTGGAAAATAGCCAGTCATGGTGGCAGGCACCTGTGGTCCCAGCTACTCGGGAGGCTGAGGTGGGAAGATCGCTTGAGCCCAGAAGATTGAGACTACATAGAGCCACAATCATCCCGCTGCACTCCAGCCTAAGTGATGGAGAGCAAGACCCTGTCTCAAAAGAAAGTAAAGAAAAGAAAAAAAGAAGAGGGAGGAAGGAAGAAGAGAAAAAAAAAAGAAAAGAAAATTAACTCATATTACATTGATCCCTACTCCATTTCAAAGGGTTACTTTGTTTCCCCCCTCCACTTCCTGCCCACCCCAACCAGAACTTTAACCTCAAGCAGAATGGGTCGTTCTACTCCTCACAGGCCCCTCTGCATTGGTTCTGTGTTTTTGAGACCCGATCAACTGCCAACTACACAATAATTGAGAGACTAGATTCACTGTCTAATGGCGGGGAAATAAGACTGATGATGAACTAACAGTGAGGTAGAGGTCTCAGCTGAGAGCCTTGAGTGATGAGGAGGGAGTGACTGTATTAGTCTGTTCTTATGCTGCTAATAAAGACATACTTGAGACTGGGTAATTTATAAATGAAAGAGGTTTAATGGACTCCCAGTTCCACATGGCTGGGGAGGCCTCACAATCATGGCAGAAGGCAAAGGAAAAGCAAAGGTGCGTCTTACATGGGGGGAGGGCAAGAGCTTGTGCAGGGGAACTCCGATTTATAAAACCATCAGATCTCCTGAAACTTATTCACTATCACTAGAATAGCATGGGGGAAACCACCCCCATTATTATCTCCACCTGGCCCTGCTCTTGACACGTGGGGATTATTACAATTCAGGGTGAGAATTATTACAATTCCCTGGGCATGCCACGCAGCGAACCATATCAGTGACTCTGAGTTTAGGATAAGGATGGGGTGATTTGAAAGTTAGGATGAGGTGACCAAAGAAGTCTTGACCTTTCTTCATTTTTCTGCTACTGCATTCCCCTCCCCACCCACCATTCTATTGATATTTCAGAACTGAGAATCACCTTTTGCAGATAAGGAAACAGGCCTAGAGAGAAGTGGTTTGGTAAAGGTTATGATTAACCACGGAACTGGAAATCAGTTTTGCCCCTATACCTTACTTTCCTGCCTATATGTCTACGAATACATGAGCTCTAGTCAAGTGATTTAAGACTATAGGTAGGCAATTCCCTACTTGATGTAATTTGGAATTGTGTTTGAAAGGTGACTATACATAAGCATAGATTTACACATTAAATTATAATGACTAATTGTGATAGAAGTGTTTGGTTATCATCTCTTGATTATTAATCCTTGTTTGGGCTTCTAAGAAAATTTCTACAATATGAATGTTTTCTAATATTTTTCCTGAAATCAGGTATTTTTCTAGATGCTGTGGACATTGTGAGTTAAGAGCTGGGGAGAATCTTTGCTTTATATAGATGAAGTTAAAATAAAGAAAATAAAATTATTTTTCTAGTATTTTATATAATTCCTTGTTTCATGTTTTTTTATTCTGTTCTGTATTTGAAATGATGTGTATGAGAAGACATTATATGTTGATGATTTTGCTCCATACTAAATGAAACATTTTCAGGCTGAATTTGCTTAGATTGTTATCAACATGCTTTAAACTTTGTTAGCAAGAGTTGAAAACCAGCTGTGTCCTTCTAATAAAGGTCTGGGTTGTGACCATAACTCTTTAGATCTTGAGAGAAATATTCTCTATATTCATATCATTGACATATTTTATATTGCTTATACATTTATACTTTTAGGATATGCCCATTTTCTCCTCCATCACTATACTCTGCCTCGTTAGATACAATCTTTAACCATACATTTCCAGAATTACGTTCTGAGTAATTTATATGTGTTCCTTTAATGTAATTGAACATTCAGTTAAGTATTGAATATAGCCCAAAAGTTGTCTTTTTTTAACCATCCAAATGATTTCAGCCTTTGTTTAAATTATTACAAGCATCTGGTAACACTTTTTCTTATTTGCCTTTTATATCTTATCCTGAGTAGTATGCCAAAGTTTTTAAACGATCATGTAAACATAGTTATAAAGATATAAATGGTGATATTTTGGAAACTAAACTATCAACTGGCACCTGACAGTATTTGTATGCCTGCTAATCAGTAAAAGTGTGAATTCCCTGTAGGAAAGGCATCTCAGGAATGTAAGTGTACAGTATGTGAAAAAAAGAGCCTAAGCTGTATGAAAGTTAAATGTACACTCTTGAGCAACCCCTGCATGTGAAGTTTTTATTATTCTAGCAGGCTGATTGAATCACTGAACTTAATCAGATTAAAGAGCATAAGTTTACAAGCTAGACTCCGAAGACTAGTAAAGGCCTCAGGAAGCCACCTAATGAATATATTTTCCTTCTAGTATTTAAAGCAAGGATGTGGTACCTCCCATCTGTGGCCTAGATTAGTTTGCTTTTTTTTATTTCTTCACATATCAAAACTTTGACTCCTGGAAGTTCCATCCTTTCGGACTTCTTATCATGCAATGGTTTTCTTAACACCTAAAAATTTCATTTATTCCATGTATTTTGAATATCTCTGCAGTTCACATAAAATGCCATACTCTAATACATGGAGCATTGTGCAGGAGTGAAAAGACACACATTAAATCCTTACCCCTTAATAAGGTGGGCAGCACAGTGATTATGGACAGATGACTTGGCTTCTTTGATCCCCAGCTCCCTTCTCTGGATGTGAAGTTTCTTAACTTGTTCCAGCCATTTCTCAGGTTGTTGTAAAAGTCAAATAAATCCTATGCATGAAAGGACTTTGGAAACAATTAAAATGTACCAAAACATGAAAAAGTTTTATTGGCTGGCAGAGGTAAATTTAAAGTAATAGATTTACCAGAAGGTAGGAATAGTAGTTGAGGGTGTTGTTTCCCCCACACTCCTACAAAATGCTGCTTCCACAGTTTCTCTGGAATTTGCAGTTACTTTCTGACTCTACATATTCACTACTCCCTGGTTTCAGAGGAGGGTCCAAATCTCTTTATTTTCCAAATTGATCACTTTGAATCCTGACATTTTTAGGCCCCAGACCTTAACAATAAGCCTCAGTCCTCTTTACTAGCTTGTTCATTTCTGCCTGCCATCTTTCATTCTTCTCGGAAAAAGCTCACTTTATGTGCTGATACCTGGAACCCTACTGGTCATCAGAAAATGGGGTTTAATACTTGGCAGTCACATGCATGCTTGATATTTCCCAATCTCAATGCCTAGGGTGGCATATCCCCTCTGTCTTGTAACCAGAAAACTGTCATTTGTCCTCAGACTACAGAGATCATGGAGAACTGTTCAGCAATAGATATGGAGCAAGGAAGCATTATTCTCTCCTACGCCTGCATGGAACAGCAACTGAGGTTACAAATAATACTCCCGTTTTCAATCTATCGATGGCTTTCTATCACAAACTATTTTGTGGACTTAGGGAAAAATCAAAACATAGTTCTTGTCTATAGAATTGCAAAAGTTCTATTTACATGATGTGGCCCTAACTAAGTCTCCATTATTATTTCCCACGTCTCTCTCCCTCCCCAACTACCCTCCAGCCATGGTGTCATACTGCTGTTCTTCAGACATAACAAGCACTTTCCCATCACAGGGCTTTTGCACTTGCTGTTCCCCTACTCCTCCTAAAGATCTTCATACAGATGTTTGATGGTTAACTGTCTTACATTATTCAGTTTTTCATGCAAATGTCACTTCCCTGGAAACAACTTTGCTGACCACCCTAAGGCAACAACCCAACATCAGTATCTGCTTACTCTGTGTTGTTTGTCTTCACAGCAGTAAAGACTTTCTGGATTTTTATATGTGTTTGTTTATGCATATGTGTTAGCATATAAACTCCATGAAGGCTGAGGTTTTGTCAGTTCTCTTTATTGTTGTATCTGTGGTACCTAGAATGGTGCCTGACACAGAAAGGTTCTATATAAATGTATGTTAAATGAAGGATTTGACCAAGGAGTATCATCAAATTTCCTATTGCCTGAGGTCAGCCAGTAGCTGACTTCTCTGTTGTCCCTTGCTTTCAAGCAGCTGGTTGAGTAATTGTATTATATACATTGGGTGGCCAAGTGCCATTCTGAGAACTAATTTTCTAGTTCTAAAGAAACTATAAAATTGATCGGAAGAAACTACCAGAGCCAACAGTAATTCAGGAATTCATCCCACCATCTGAGCACTAACGTTTTGACTTTCCTCTGAAGACAGGTGCTAGACCTTTGGCAAACAATGGCAGCAAATGACAGGAAGGGGTGAGATAAGACCTATTTTGACTTAGCACTGCTATATTCCTATGGTCACAAGTGTTTCATGGTATAATCACATCCTCTTGTTTAAGTGGCATATGCTTAGGATTGTTATTTTTCTTTAGCATACACATAAACAGGGGCCAAAATTGAATTCAACTGCTGTATATTGGCTACATCAAATATTGCAGTAAGAATCTGGACTTTGGGGTTTGAATGGACAAATCTATATTGCAATTTTCCTCTGATCTTTTACCAATAAACTCTTCCATCAAGGAGTCTACACACACTGGTTCTACATTTTCTTTACCATCCATCAAATCCTGTTTTGAACACTACCACGCCACTGAAGAAAACTGTTCTCTCCAAGATCATTCTTCACTGACCTGTATCAGTCATTAAATCCAATGCCTCTTTCCAAATTTTCCACAACAGCTTGCAAGACCTGTGACATTCTGAGTCTCCTCCCATAACTGACTCCCACTTTACAGGCAGTACAATGTAGAAGGAAATGCATGGACAATAAAGTCATACCATTCTGGATCAAGCAAATCTGTTCCAGTTTTGAATTCTCACTCAACCACCTATTGGCTACACAACTTTGAACTTAGTGGGTTCACAAACCTCTAAGCTTTACCTTCCTAACCTATATAATGGAAGTAATCATATCCACCAGATGTTGTTGTTATGAAAACTAAATAATAATAATGTCTTTGGCACATGGTAGACACTAAATGAATGTAAGTTTTCATCTTTCTTTTGTATCCTCTATCACTTCCTTGACTATTTGTCTTCTTTCAACAAAGTCTCTCCTGTTATTTTCATTTATTCCATTAACCATCACTTTTTGAGGGGCTCATGTCAGTATTCAGCTCCACACTTACTTCTCATTGAAAATTTCTTAATTACTTACAAAATTTGTAAGTCACTGATATGTTTTTACATTACCCTAATTTGGACAAACATATGGCTAAATTAATTTTTCCTTAAATTAGTTCAACTTCCCAACTCTTCTACTTCTTTCAAAATCACCAGGATTATCTCCAGTTAGTATTTAATAATTATAATAACTACTAGTATTTAAATACTTTCTATGTGTCAATTAATATGCTTTTCATATGCTACTGCATTAAATCTCAAGATTATATGAAATACGTGCTTATCAGACATTTCTTGTATTTATTGCATGTCTCGGCTCATCCTTTTTTAAAACAACCAACTTTATTGAAGTATAATTTATATTTGTCTTAGTCCACTTTGTGTTGTCATTACAGAATACCCAAGGCGGGGTAACTTACAAAGACAAAGAAAAGAGGTTTATTTGGCTCATGATTCTGGCAGCTGGAAGGTTCAAGATTGAGCAGCTGTATCTGGTGAGGGCCACAGGCTGCTTTAACTCACGGTAGAAAGTGGAAGAACAGACGTGTGCAAAGAGATCGCATGGCAAGAGAGGAATCAACAGAGAGAAAAGTTGAGGAAGCCAGACTGTCTTTAACAACTTGCTCTCATGAGGACTAATCCATTCCTGTGAGAGAAAGAACTTACCCCCTTTAGGAGGGCATTAATCTATCCATGAGAGATCTGCCTATATAACCCAAATTCTTCCCACTAGTTTCCAGTCCCAAAATTGTTAAATTGAGGATCAGATTTCAACATGAGATTTGGCGGGGAAAAACCACATCCAAACCATAGCAATATTGGTAGTTATATTTGTATTAATAATTAAATTGCCAATTATAAGAGTACAACTAGAGAAATTTCTGACACGTACAGTATACGCTTATGTAAACATCACACATTCATTATATAGAACATTTTCAAAAACCACCCCATTCACCTTTGTAGTCAATCACCTCATTCTATCCACTGGCCCCTGGCATCCACTGATATGCTTGCTCTCATTGTACCTTTTTGGCTCACCTTTTTACTCTAATCTTTACTATAGTAAATATCTGTGAACACATAACTTAACAGGACCTTGCCTTAGCTCTATTGTATACCTTGTGCATTCTGTCCCAGGGCCTCTCTACCACCATAATATGGGTTGCCTATTCATGTCCACAATTCCACCCTGACATATATGCAAAATTGTAAGCAGGAGGAAGTTAGGGCAACACAGGGCAACTCTGAAAAATAGGTGATGATGGGTAAATATTTTCTTTTTCCATTCTTTCAAGGGGCAATTCTGAGATGTATTTTGCATAGCTCTTTCGGTGTTTTGCAGAGACCAACACTTATTTGCCCATAATGGTAGCCAGCTCAATAGCATGTTCTCTGATTGGCTCTCTTTTCATGTTTGAGTCTTCCAAGCCCCCCATTTCTCTTACTAGAGATCATTTCCAAAAATAATCTGCCTGTATGTAAGTCTTATATCAGGCTCTGCTATTAGGGGAAATCCACACTAAAACAGCATTATTATATTATCTCTTAAATAATTAATTAAGGAAACTGAGGCTAAAAGAGGTTAAATAACTGTCTTGAATTGCATCACTATTAAAAGAGTAACAGCTTAGTTTCAGGATAGCCCATCTACAAAGTACATGTACTTAACTACCATATTGCTTTTCAAGGCAGAAACAAGTCAGCTTTGATTTTTGTCCAATATTTTAATAAATTGTACTACCAGTTTTTATTGTCATTTCTTCTTTTAAATTGTCTCCCTTACCAGTTATTGGAAATGACTTCATCTAGCTGAAAGCCACAGTGGGTAATTTTGGGGAAACATCCAAAATCCATTGCTGCTTCTCCTTTCTTACTGCTATCACTTTACCTCCACCCTCTTTGATTCCTACAATAGCCATCAGTTGATTTTTATTTCTTCCAACTAGACAATATTGTTTAGTGGAAAGTGTGTTGGCTTGATGGAATTGATTTCAAATCCTCTCTCAATTTTTTAACTTGGGTAATATTTGGTCTTTTAGCCTCCTTGAGCTCCAGTTTTCTTATCCGTACACTGGAGAAAATAATTTATACTTTTTGGTGGATTAAATGCAATAATTACTGTCTCTGTTCAGATAGGAAACCATGGGATCCCACTTTTATTTTATTGTGTTTGTTGTTATTTTTGTTGTTAGGTTCATTTTAAGCAGTAGAGATTTGGAGAAGATGGAGCCTTTTGTTGTTAAATGCAGATTTATTCCTTTAATTTTCATGAAAATATTTATTTTTATTAGTCTATAATATTTCTAGTAACCTATAGCACAAACCCAAAGATTTCTGAATTTTAAAATGAAGTACATGATGCATAAGAATGCCAATACAAATATTGCTTGAAACAATGAAAGGAACTCTTAAGAGCCAATGGACTCACATATTGATTAAATTACTCCATTAAGCAGTATTCAGATGATTATTACTGCTGTGGCAATGAAATAAAAGCTTCTGAGAAATAGGATGTTCCCATCAAAAGATGATTTAATACTTGGATTCAATATGCTGTTGGCCAATTCACATTCTCTGAAATACATTCACGACTAAAATTCTAAAAGGGTCCTTAAAACAGGTTAGATAGAAAACCAAACCAAACTTGATTGAAATACAGGAACTTCAAGTTAGGGAAAGTATACTATTCATGCACACTAAAATCGGCCAGACCTTCTATAAAATATGTTTAAGAAAGCAAAGTCTATTTTCAAAGTATCTAATTCTTATGCAGTTTCAACCATAAGTACAAAGAGAGTGAAATTAAAGAGTTTCATTGACTGAGTGGTTACATCTGGGGTTTTATCCTGTGAATTAAATCATCTTTTGTGTTCTCCACCCAGTGGCTACATGATTTTCACCAGAAGCATCAGAAACATCAAGACCATATTTGACATCCCCCAAATGATGAGCATGCTTGTAACAGAGCCTTCTGTGGTTTGTAATTTTATGTTTTAAGGAGAAAGTTGTTAATTACATTTTTAATTTAGCTCCCCCAGACTAGATATGTTTTTTTTAAGCAAGTAGTCTCTCCCAGAGAGAATGAGCCCACCCTACTTAATTATATATTTGCTTTCCATTGAAGGGATTGTTCTAATCTGGGATAGCCAGAAAAGCCATCTACAAAGATAAAAAAGAGGGAGTCTGTAAAATAAATACAGGCTGCTTCTAAAATTAACTAGCCACCTCCCATTTCACTGAAGTCAAGGAAGATCTGCAGATGGATGTTAAGGCAAGTTCAGAATGATAGGATGTATGTAGATGGGTTGTTTAGTCAGCAGAGAAAAGAAGTGATGGGTACTCTGAAAACATATTACATCTGTAATTATGTAACTATTTGTTTTCTACTATCTCTGCCATTGTTCTGTGAGGACAAGAACCATGTATCTTCTACTTATCACTGCATCCACCAGAGACAAGCATAGGGCATGACACATATATATTCACTGATTGATGGGCAGTTGAATTTCTCCTTCATTGTTTTGCCCTTTGATAGTTTCTTGCATGGTTAGCATATCTACCCAACTAGATAGTAGTTATGTGAAAGCAGAAATCATATCTTCTATTCCTCTAAAATCCTTTCTAATGGTCTTCTGTTCAAATCAGTGTTGATATCTGTAGGATGTTAGGTTGTGAATTTGGAAAAAAAAAGTAAAGGAAAAGATAGAGAAAGAAGAGTGTTAGTGAAGAGTTGTGATGATTTTTCCACAGTATAGTTCTAAATACACATTGAACTATATGGAATTGCCAAATGTGACTATTTTTGGCATATTTCATCTCAATTTCATTTGATTCCATCTAACTACTGGAGAAACCAAACCAAATAAAACAAAAACACATGGCAATTAGGGTGGGCAAACTGGAGTTTACATCATAGCTCTGCCACTTGCTAGCTTTAGAATCCTGTATAAGCTTCCAATACTTACTGGGCTTCAGTTTAGAAATGGGCATAAGACCATTTTGGAGGGTGGTTGTGAAGATTGGATGAGCTGAGGGCTCTGAAATTCTCTAACCCATTACGGATGTTTCACTTCCCAATTATCTTGTTCAAGTATCTTGATGTTTCATTGTCTCAATCTGCTCAACAAAATTGGTAAAATAAATTCAACAGGTTGTTATAAAAAATACAATTTAAAGCATTTTGCTATTTGATCCCCTCAATAATGCTATGAGGTAGTTATTGTTCCCATTTTACAAACAAGGAAACGTAAGTGTGGCTCATAGCTAATGCTCATAGCTATTACATTATACTATACTGTATTATACTATAGTTTTTATAGTGTTTAAAAATTCAATTTGTATAAAAATTTATACTGATTCAGACAACAAGATATGGAGCTAGTATAGGAGATAGAAAAAAGCATGGGGTGTGTGTGTGTGTGTGAGAGAGAGAGAGAGAGAGAGAGAGAGAGAGAGAGACTGAGAGGGAGGGTCTAAAGATGTCTGTGTCTGACTTGCGTCATCCATTTTTCTTTTCAATGCAGGAATAAGAAACTAGTATGTGTCATACTTCCTAAATCTTTGCATAACTAACCTTCATTTGGTAGGAGCATGAGGTGTTTATCTCTCAGTCAGTTTGCAGATCTATTCACACTATAAGTTTGACCATTTTGAATAAAAGAAGGGTAATAGTACAAGTTTGTATCTTTTTTTCCATTTAAGGAACTTCTGCTTAATCATTTTAACAAACTGATTTCAGTTCTGACTCTGATACTGTTCTAAGAGCTATAATGTATTAGCTCATTTAATTCTTTTTTTTTTTTTTTTTTTCTTGAGACGGAGTCTCGCACTGTCGCCCAGGCTGGGGTGCTGTGGCGCGATCTCGGCTCACTGCAAGCTCCGCCTCCCGGGTTCAAGCCATTCTCCTGCCTCAGCCTCCCGAGTAGCTGGGACTACAGGCGCCCGCCACCATGCCCGGCTAATTTTTTGTATTTTTAGCAGAGACAGGGTTTCACCGTGTTAGCCAGGATGGTCTCGATCTCCTGACCTCATGATCCGCCCGCCGCGGCCTCCCGAAATGCTGGAATTACAGGCGTGAGCCACCGCGCCCGGCCCTCATTTAATTCTTATAACAACCTCTTACAATAGATACTATTCCCTTGCCTTTTCAGATAAGGAAACTGTGGCACAGAGGGTTTTAGTAACTTGCTGAAGATCACACAGTTGGTATGTTCTAGAGCTAAGATTTTCACAGAGGTATATAGGCTCCAGAGGTCATGCCATTTCTCTCTGTGCTATTCTGCCTTCTAATGATTTATTAATTTTGTATATTATTAGCTGAAAACTCTTACTATCTGGCAGATGTGTTCTTATGAATAAATGATTACAGTTAATGTTATAGAAATACCCCTGAGGGTGCCCCAACAAAGATACTTCCCTAATTGCCACTAATTGCACGATTAAATTTTTATTCTTTTGAAACACAAATTACCTTCTTTAAGATGCATATGGTGTGTGAGAATATAAGGCTAGGTAAGAATGCTAGGATTGGAGAGGAGGAAAACGAATTCTGGAGCATTGGCTAATTGCTGGGCAGTTAAGACTGGATTTGATGACTTCTTAAGGGGAAGATAGAGGGGGAAAATACAGACTTTCCTATCAGGTTAGATAGTCACAACAATGAGATAGTTTGTATGAGTTCCAGTTTTTGAATGATGAAGCTGAAGATCAGAAAGGTTAAGGATTTTCCCATGGTCACATAGCTGCTAAGTAGCAGAGTATGGATTGGAAATATGGGTGTCAGACTCCGTATGTAAGTGCCATTTCTTCCATTACTCTGATTATCTTCTAGGGAAGGGGAGAAGTTGGTGAAGAGGTATATCTACAATCTTAAAAAGGAAAATAGGAGAGTATAGAGAAAAAATTCTTTCTAATTTTCTTAGGTGGCCTTGCTTTTGACTTTTCATTTATATTATTTTATTATAAATTGATGACAAGTTGTAGTCCTCTGTATTCTGCTTTACTTGAACATATTTTATTGATTGGCTGTGATGCATAAAGCATTGTACTTTTTGCTGTTTATGTCTGCAGTTTCAGTATAAGATGGGTAGGGGCAGAGGGATAAACACTTTATCCTTCTAATCGTTCAGGGAAACTACGATCTGATTAGGGAAATAATCAATACATGTTTTCCTGGACACAGACTACATTTTTGAACCTGGCATGCAAGGCTATTCCAAATTGAATCACAACTTTCTTGTTACCCTCAAAACTCTCTCCTCCTCACCTTGACCTCATCTGACAATTGTCTGGGAACATCCCGCTGCCTACTTAAGCCTTGGTGTTTTGGTAAGCAGAGTTTTTCGGATTTTTTTTTTTTTCAGTTGAGGGTGCCCTCCTACCATCTAACACAGATGCTAATTAGCCAGCAGCTGAGGGGAATCGGTCATATGACCTAGAGTTTGCCAATTAAATGTTCTCATTTATCTCTTTGAAATTGAGCAAATGATACAGGAATAAAAGGTCAGAATTAATTCATCATGGTGTTAGATGGGATCGAACAAGAGCCATGCTCAATCATGTCACAATGCCAGCAGGAATACTGAGGATAGTAGGGGGTCCTGGCTAGACTATTTCTGCCAAGAGATAGTTATTCTGCTTCCCGTTTCTGGGCCCATTGTCACTGCTTTGATTCCTGTCTCTCTCTCAAGCCTGGCCCTCTTATTAAACATTGAATCTTTGAGCCCTGATTGTCTTTTCCTAAGTCCCCCTGTGTTGCTGCAACCAAAATAGCTAATTGTCTATTCTCTGTTTTCAGACTGTGAAACCTTTTTCTCAAGCATCTTCTGGTATTCTCATTCAGAAGTGACTACTTTTCTTTGCGAAATGTGCTAGTTACTATGGAAAGTACATTAAAATGCAGATAAATGATTTGAAAGAATATTATTCTCTAAGAGTTTAGTATGGTATAGTATAGTATAAAATCTTTTTATAGTACAAGAAAAAGATATACTCTGAACTTAACTGGTGAAAATTTATTGTAAGTATTTAACAAGTGATCTTCTTGGGTGCCTGCCATTTTTCTCTTTCTTTCCCTTTTTTCTCTCCTCACTAATTCATTCACTAAATATCACTGAGCTGCTGCTTGGCATTGTTCTTGGCTCTGGGGATATAACAATGAACAAGGCAAATAAAGTCTTTATTCTAATGTAACTTCTTTTTTAGTGCCTAGGGAGAGAAAATAAACAGGTAAAAAAAATAAAATTATCATTTCAAAAAGTTATAGAAACAATATATCAGAGTAATGTGGAAAATTATTGGGTTGGGTACACGAGTGTGATTACATAGAGTTTACACAGGGATATTTAGGAAGGCTTCTCTGGGAAGATTATGTTTAAGCTGAAGTTTGAATGATAAAAAACCAATCTTACAAAGAATTGAAGAGGAGTAATCTAGGTAGAGAATGTAGTGCATGCAAAAGTCCTGAGGTAGGAATGAGCATATGTTTAAGTCCAGGAAAGGGACCAGCGTGAGGAACGTAGTAAGGTGTAAATGTCAGGAGAGGAAGAGGGGAAAGGGCCCTTTTACACAGGGTCTAATGGGTCGCTTTGAAAAGTTAAATTTTACTCTAATTTTTCATAGAACACTCTACCCCCATTCTGTATCTCTGGATTTCAACTTTCCTAATTGGTAAAGATCTAACTGAGTAGATTGTGCACCACCTTAGTTGCTTGTGTTAATTAAGAGAATGCTGACTTCTTCGACAGATAATCCTCAAAATCTTGGTCATTTAATACTGAGTGGAAGAAAAATGTATTTCTTACTCCACTAAATTCCCAAATGGTATTCCTGATTAGTGTTGGGGAGCTCTATTTTACTCAATCTGATGAAAAATCAGACCCAGACTGATGAAAAATTTACCATCATTAACACAAGGCTTTCATGTTTGCCCTGAAGGTAGAAATTTAGGCTGGGGTGGTGTATTAGTCTGTTCTTACAGACTAATACCTGTCTCAGGTATGCTAATAAAGACATACCCGAGACAGGGTAATTTATAAAGGAAAGAGGTTTAATTGACTCACAGTTCAGCATGGCTTGGGAGGCCTCAGAAAACTTACAATCAAGGCAGAGGGGGAAGCAAAGACATCCTTCTTAACATGGCAGCAGCAAGAAGTACAGAGTGAAGGTGGAGGAAAATCTTTTATAAAACCATCAGATCTCATTCTCAGCAAACTTTCGCAAGGAAAAAAACCAAACACCACATGTTCTCACTCATAGGTGGGAATTGAACAATGAGAACACTTGGACACAGGAAGGGGAACATCACACACCGAGACCTGTCATGCGATGGGGAGAGGGGGGAGGGATAGCATTAGGAGATATACCTAATGTAAAGGACGAGTTAATGGGTGCAGCACACCAACATGGCACATGTATACATATGTAACAAACCTGCACATTGGGCACATGTACCCTAGAACTTAGAGTATAAAAAAAAAAAAAAAAAACCATCAGATCCCGTGGGAACTCACTCACTATCAGGAGAACAGCCTGGAGGTAATCACCTCCATGATTCAATTACCTCCCACTGGGTCTCCCAGGACAGATGAGGATTGTAGGAGCTACAATTCAAGATGAGATTTGGGAGCGGGGACACAGCCAAACTGTATCAGGTGGGTTGGGGACTGTGCGGAGAGAGGAGAGCGTATGATCTTAAGGAAGGGTTTGATGGGCTAACTGGAAGTGATAAGCACCACTTTTCACATCCCTTTGGGTAGTTCAGTCTCATGGCCACACCAAACTGCCCAGGAAACTGGAAAATGTTGTCTAGATAATACCCAGGAAGAGAGGCAAATGGTTCACTCAGTCGTGGCCTGAATAATGAATTGCATGGAGCTGCCTAACTTGGTAGGTAGGCAGTGGAACACAGAGCAGTTGGCAGGCATTTTGAGCCTTCCTACCCCATAGGAATGGGGAGTGGGTAAAGAGAGAATGTGTTTTGTAAAATGAAATTCAAGTAAATTTTTTTTTCTAGAATAATACTAAAGTTTAGATAATACACACTGCAGAAAAATATAGTGATTCTCAATGGAAGTAACATTTCCACAGGGGAATTTAGTGGATTGAATAGTGTCTCCTTGAAAACATATGTCCAAGTCCTAGTCCCTAGGACCTGTGAATGTGACCTAATTTGAAAATAGGATCTTTATCATATATAAGTTAAGGATCTTGGGATGACATCATCCTGGAGTTGGAGGTCCCTGTACGTGGCCAAAAAATAAGTTCTCCCTTAACATTGTTTTCACTCAGTCTTTTTTACATACCCCCACATCCCTTCTCCCAGGAAAGTGTCTCCTCTTATCATTTGATGCCTCAAAGATTGTCTGTAAAACACGATCAAAATGTATTTTGTCAGTTCAGCTTCAGCCAGCATCTAGGCCCTGCTGCAACTTGCTCATCTCTCCCTCGTTGTAATCCAACAGCCGGAACGGAATGAACCTCTGTATACTTGTGATGATGTACACATCCAGTCAAGCTGAAGCTGCTGATGTCCCTGGAGGCCAAAGCAGGGTATTGAAAGGAAGGGAGGAGAATGATTCTCCCTCAGCTTTCTGGCAACTGAGGCTCAAAGTAGCAGTGCCAGTTCTTAGACTTTCACTAAGTCCCTCATGTGAGAGGGTCTGTCATGCTCTGGTCCTAACTCCTCTCTCCCTTAGTATCTCTCACACAATCTAATGTGCTTTGTGGCAGCAAACATGGTCCCATTGCCTGTACTCTCTTCATCTCTTCCATTGCCTCGGCACCTCTCTTACAAAAAAAAATAATAATAATAGGTTCTCCAGCCAAAACAAAAGCCCTATGTACAGTAATTTATATAAAGTGAACTCTTGGAAAGTGGGTGAAATATTATATACCCACAAATAGCTCCCCTCCAGGAAATGTATTCACTGCATAAGGAAAAACTAAAAAAAAAAAAAAAAAAAAAAAGAAGAAAATAATTTGCTATGTTATGGATGTGTTTTGTCCCTGCCAAAATTCACGTTGAAGTCAAATTGCCAGTGCAGCAGTGTTGGAAGGTAGGGCCTAGTGGGAGGCTTTTGGTTGGTGGTAGTAGATCCCTCATGAATAGATTAATGATGTCTCTGTCTCTCAGGAGTGAGTGAGTTCTTGCTTTCTTGAGAATAGATTAATTTTCACCAGAGTGCATTGTAAAGCACAATTTCTCCACTGTTTGGTCCCTCTTTGTACACATTCACTTTCCTTTCTGCTTTTCTGCCATGAGTTGAAGCAGCACGAGACCCTCACCAGAAACTGAGCAGATGCCTATGCCATACTCTTGGACTTTCTAGCCACCAGAATTGTGAGCCAAATAAACTTCTTAAAAAAAAATAAATTACCCAGCCTCAGGTAATTTGTTATAGCACCGCTCAATTATGAAGACAGGATTGTGGGCATAGAGCAAATATAAAGTTGTCAGAGATAAATGCCTCCTCCCCAAGGCTAGTCCTATTGTGCTCAGTAGTCTTCGAATTTGTACTCCAGCTTTCATATGACTTGTTATTATTTCTTATGCCTAGAGGAAGTCCACTTCTTTGTCTTGGGAGGGATATTAGTTGATGAGAAGTTTATAAGGCGTAGCTGCTGGGCTTTAGCCACAGGATTTGGGTTGAGAAGGAAAAGAATGGAATCTGGTGATTGCAGTATCCCCATGAAACAGGTATCAGGAGAGTTCCTAACACCCTCTTGGATTTAGTCTTCTGTACCTGTAGAGGATAAAAGCAGACCTGCTGAAAGAGAAGGGATGCCAACTGTAGCTAAGGAAAGAAACCAAGAACAATAGCAGAGGAAAAGGACAGTGAATTAAGCTTAAGGAATGAATTCAAGGTCAGAAACAGAGAACAGGAGCATGTTGTGGAATTAAGAGTGATATGTTGCTATGGTTTAAATGTGTCCCTCCCAAAGCTCATGTTGAAACTTAATCCTCAGTGCACCAGTTTTAAGAGGTGGGGTCCTTAGGAGGTGATTAGGCAATAAGGGTTCTGCCCTCATGAATGGATTAGTGTCTTTATCAAAGGGCTTGGGGAAGGGAGTTTGGTCTGTTTTGCATTTCTTCCATGTAAGGACATCTAGACAGTGCCATCCATGAGAAATGAGCCCTCACTAGATCCTGAATTTACCAGCAATTTAATGTTGGCTTTCCTAGCCTCCAGAATTGTGAAAAATAAATTTTTGTTCTTTATAAATTACTCAGCCTCAGGTATTTTGTTATAGCAGTACAAATGGCCTAAGACATAAATCAAATATACATAGATGCTATTTATTCATTTGCTACGGCTACTATAACAAAATACTGCTGACTGCGTGGCTCGAACAACATAAATTTATTGTCTCACAATGTCTCACAGTTCTGGAGATAGAAGTCCAAGATCAAAAGCTTAGCACATTTGTTTTTCCTAAGGCCTCTCTCCTTCGCTAGCAGATGACCACCTCTTTGCTGTCTTCACATGGTCTTTCCTCTGTGTGCACGCATCCCTGGTGTCTCCTTGTGTGTCCAAATTTCCTCTTCTTATAAGGACACTGGGCCTATGTGATTAGAACCTAATCCTTATGACCTTATTTAAACTTAATCACCTCCATAAAAGCCCTATCTCCAAACATCCTGAGGCACTTGGGAGTGAAGTCTTCAACATACGAATTTGGGGAAAGGGGAGCACAAGTTGGCCCATAACAGTTACATATTCAGTAAAATGAACAAACACGGTTTTTAGCACAATATAAACACTACTTCATGTTAGTCTTCCACTATCTCTTAAACATCTATTTAGTGGAGGTAAAAATTTCCTGATCCTGAATAATATTTGGAAAGAGTCCAAAAATTTTCAAACTTTCAGAGAGTTAAAAGATCATTTAAATTTATGAAACATTGTTTCAATTAAGTAATTAGGATGCACCCATATTTAGATATTAATCAAGTAATTCAATATTTATTGAAAGATAAGATTTTTCTCCACCTTCTTGTAGATGGCAGCTGCCTGCCTTCAGGGAAGGGAATGTTGAACTCTTCATCTCTGTCCTACTCCTAACCCACATACTAACTAATGTTTCTGGTTTTCTAGAGGCAAAGGAAAGAAGAACGAAAGTAGAGGTGAGGAAAGGCAACATATGTTATAACTAGGCCGGATATCTTTTTGTTCTCCGTCTTCAGCAAATGCACGTGGAACCCTAGTGATCACCATTGATGAATACTTCTCTCCAGCAATATCCTTAACCTGAGTGGATGAACCCTTATTCCAATTGGTTACTTATGGCTTATTTCCCTAGCCTTTACCCAACTCCTTGCAGGTCAGAACTCTCTGCCCTTCTAGAGAGCTTTATTGGCCAGGACCATGGATGACCCAATACTGCCTTTTGCTCCTGCATGTTTTATGTCTGTTTAATGAAAAATCTGTCTCATCCTCTTGCTCCAGTGAAGTCTGAGAGTTCAGGTCTATCCCAATGCACCCCCTTCTACTTTGTTGCCATAGACTACATTGGCATTCTCAGGCACAAATCAGTTAGTGGTCCTCAGCATTTCTCAAATGCAGGATACACATTTTAATCTCATTAACGGTCCTATGATTACTTCTTTGCCTCAATAAGTTTGAAGAGAGAGAAATATGCCAAAAATGTTATTAAAACTTTATAAAATAAGTATTAATGTAGGAATGGTGGAAAAGATTATTTCTTTTCTCTCCATTCATTTTCCATCTGTTGAATATTTTACATTGATTTTTAAAATAAAATTTTTATTTTAGAATAGTTGTAGAGTTACAGAAAAATTGCAAAAATATTAGAGAGTTCCTTTATACCCAACAACTAATTTCTCCTATTACTATTTATTTATTTTAGTGTCTCACTATTTTGCTCAGCCGGGACTTGAACCCTTGAACTCTAGTGATTCTCCCACCTCAACCTCCTGAGAATTTCCCCTATTATTGAGATTTTAAATTATATAGTAAATTTGTTAAAATTAATGAACCCAAACTGATACGTTACCATTACCTAAAGTTCACACTTTATTCAGATTTTTTTACTTTTCACCCAGTGTCCTATTTCTGTTCTAAGATCCCATCCAGGATACCACATTGCATTTAGTTTGTTTTGTCTCATGCTCCTACAGGCTGTGACAGTTTCCCTGATTTTCCTTATTTTTTGATGACCTAGACAGTTTTGAGGAGCACTAGTCAGGTTTTATGCAGATTGTCACTCAATTGAGATATGCCTAACGTTTTTGTCATGATTAGACTGTGGTAATATATTTTGGGGAAGAAGACGACAGGGTAAAGTGTTATTTTTATCACATCATATCAAGGGTAAATACTCTCGATGTGACTTATTACTGTTGATATTTATCTTAATCATCTGGCTGAAGTAGTGTTTTGTAGATTTCTTTACTGTAAAGTTATGGTTTTTTAACCTCCTTTTCATATTGTATTATTTGGAAGGAAGTCACAATGCATAGCTCACTCACTTAAAGTAGTTACACCCTCACATCCTTGAAGAAAAAGTAACTACCTAAACTATTGAAATTATTTTGCATATAAAAATTGTCTTTTGTTCTTGATTTATTTATTCAGTCATTTGTTTATATCAGTATAGACTCATGGATATTTATTTTATACTTTGGGTTATATGATGCTTTTTATTCTCGGAAAAAATAAAGTGCGAAAAACCAAGTAAATAAAAATATTTCTAATTTGGATCAAAATTGAAATACACTAATAAGCAGCTTATAATGCATTTTGTAAGGACCTTCAATATGACTTTTTAAGTAAGTTAAATTTAACTAAATATAATTATTGTCGTAAAAAATTTTTTGAATAACACCTAATTACGCTAAAGGGAAGGACTAACAAAATAACTTTAAAAAATATATTTTAAACTAAACAGCTCTTGAACATTGTACTTTGATATGCATGCTTATTCTAAAAATAAAATACCTATATGTATAAATTATAAATTATTTTTATAATAATTATCTTTTAATTATTATAAATTATTTTTTATTTGCCTGATGGGTTTGTATTTCACCATAGTATGTGTGTAGCGATTCTGAAACTATTCTCTGTGTATTGTGAGACTGAGTGAATGAGTAAAGACATTGCTGCAGCCAGAATTTTCACTCTTAGACAAGGGAGATACAAATATGGAATAGAGGAAGGCTACAAAGAACCCAGTAGTGTTGGACTGGAATTTTCCAGGGTCTTCCAGATAAAGGAAATGTACAAGATGAACCTGGAACAATTTATGGTGCCACAAAATAAGGATGTGGTCAAAATACTAGTAGTAGTAGTAGTAGTAATAATAATAATAATAAGAAGAAGAAGAATAAGGCATGTCAAAACTACAATGGGGCTAACCCAAAATGGCTCCCAGTGGCCAAATCTGGAAAGAAGATTAGAATACCAAAATAAATAATGATAGTAATGGATGATAACTCATTGCCTAAAAGAAGAGTCCATGTGCCCACACCAATAATAAAAATATAAATGAAGGATTGACGGAGAATGGAAAACTTAAAAAATACTAGAAGGCTAGCAATTAAATGAAGAAGAATAATGATGTTAGAAAATCACCAACTTGTGATTATCATAGCAGTATATCTTTTAACCTGAAAAAGAATTGATTCTGGCATGAATCATCAAAGGATGATAAAGCTACAGTACAAATGGTGATAAAAAACGGTATATGCGTAATCACAAAGCATCTTCCCAGAAATTAATCACCATAGATTAGACATCTGATGTGATCTACTGAAGAGAAACATTAAGTCATTTGTATTCCAGACAAAAATGTATAGCTTGAACTGAATTACAGGAAAACAAATACAAATTTTTGAGACAAAGTCTATAGAATACTGGCTTATATTCTTCAAAAAAAAAGTCAACGTCACTAGAGATTAAGAAAGCCTACAGACTAGAAATTAAGAAGATATGTAAAGTAAATCCACTGTGTAACACTAAGTTGGTTTCTTGATTGAAGAAAAAATTATATAAAGGAATTTATTGGTATAGAGGTGAAATTTGAATATAAAGTATAAATTAAATAATAACAAAATTCATGGCAGTAGTAGATTACTAATGGCCAGAAAGTTATTAAAAAAACCCATGTCTTCAATTTTAAAAGTAAGCAATGTAATATAAAACAAAATCAAAATCAAAATCATCTCATTCAATGCTGGTAAGTATATAGCAAAATGGATACTATTGTTTATCACTCATGTATGTATATTGATGGATATTTAGATAGATAACAATATATCTTTTAACCTGAAAAATTCCAGCTCCTTAAATTTAGGCTAATAAGAATTGTTTTTACCATATTTATATTTTGAGGGGAACTTAGACTTTTTTGAAATATAAGTTAATTTTTTTCTCTAACTATAAAATTGGTGTGTTGCCCATTTTAGAAAATTTAGAAAATATAAACAATTTCAAAAGAAAATTAAAAGCTTCTATAATTTTACCACATAAATCTAACTACTATTAATAAAGACATAGATTTTTTTTTAAACATTGAGAACATACTTGTATACAATTCTATTTTTTGTTTTTCAAACTTAACCTCATAATGTTATCCTGTCATTTTTTAATTTATGGCTATAAATATACCTTTTTTTTTTTTTTGAGACAGAGTCTCACTCTGTTGCCCAGGCTGGAGTGCAGTGGCGCGATCTTAGCTCACTGCAACCTCCACTTCCTGGGTTCAAGTGATTCTCCTGCCTCAGCCTCCCAAGTAACTGAGTGCACACCACCATGACCAGCTAATTTTTGTATTTTTAGTAGAGACGGGATTTTGCCATGTTGGCCAGGCTGGTCTTGAACTCCTGACCTCAGGTGATTGGCCTGCCTTGACTTCCTGAAGTGCTGGGATTACAGACTGTAATCTGTAAAGCATTAAGCTTATTTTTATTTTTTTACTATGCTATTGCTCTGGCACATTTCTCTGTACATTTATATTTTACACGCCTCTGGTTATTTTCTTGTTAGTTTTAAAGAGATACAATTTTTCAGGTTTAAAAATCTATCTGTTATCTATCTATCTACCTATCTAGCTAGCTACACCCACCCAACCACCTACTTACCTACCTATCCACACGTTTCCACATTGCTTTCTGAGTTTTTTTTTTTTTTGCCAGTTTAATACGCATGCATTTTGTATATGAGAGGGCCTATTTTGCTATCTGCTTACCAGCATTGCATATTATAACTTTGTTTTTGTCCTCTATTTCATTGCTTGATTACTATTGTAGCTCAAAATTATATATGTATATAGTATATATATTTCATACATATATAGTATATACATTATATACATACATGGCCACTAGTGATTATGCTACATGTGTAAAGCATGTTTATATTGGAATATTAGAGTTTTACATAATTGCCTTATATTTTATAATTATATATATAAATTTTATATTACATAAAATTATCTCATATATAATCAAAGGATAAAGCTAGAGCTATAGCTGAAGAAGGATATAGAAATAAAGCGATAAGGACAGAGATGATAAGAAAGAAAGGAGGGAGGAAGAGAAGGGGGGAAAGAGGGATAGAGAGAGAGGGAAGCAATGATATATGTGATTTCGATACAGATTTTACATTACTTTAAAATTCCCGAACAATAGATCATTTTCTAGTTGATTTTCATTATATTCTCCTGATATGTTTTTCTAGATTACTGTAAATATGCATTCCCCTATCTTGAAGTAGTGTATATATTCTATCTAGGTAGAGACTCAAGAGCATATATAGTATATTATTTTAATTTATTTAGTCCTTCTAGTGAGATATATTTGTGTATGCCTTGCAAAATTTCTAACTTTTTCTTCAGTATTTAGTGCCCTCTAGTGTTTACAAAGAAAGGATAACAATACATTTTGCTTCCATTCCGTTTTCTGTTTATTTAGGATTCCTTGCTATAAATGAATTGTATGTATACAGATTGAGGAAATGCTTAAGTATTTTCAAATTTAGTCCAGAAATAAAAATGAGTGCCAGTCAATTCGTTATTTTGGGAGAATTTCAGCTTTAAAATACATACATGGGGTTTCTATCTGGCAAATGAAGAATGAAAATTGAGTGGGAAACCTAGTTACCAGAGTGACCATCCTTTACAAGGTAAGAAAATGAAATATTCACATTGATCCTGTGAAGTTCATTTCATGATACGTTAGCAAATATTGTGAGAATAAAATCAGCATGAGAGAAGGGGAACTAGCAAAGAAGAGAAAGGAAGAGGCATAAAGGAGCTATTTTTCTTTGTTATCAGAAGAGTACTATATTCTTTCCAGGGGATTTTCCCAGTCTTGAGGATTTTTTTATTTTTTTCCATGTAATATAAAGATTTGATATCAACCAACTCTGCAGCTTTGGCTTATTTCACTTGCTTAATATGGGCTTCAGCTTTCTCATCTGTACACTGAAATTGGCTAGTTCAGTAACTTCCAAATCTTTTTGAGGTGGCACAGATGGAGTATACACTTATTCAAACAAAACAGTCCATGGAATTCTACTGCATAACACAGGCAACATCAAAAATAATCTGGCTAAAGTGGAGCAGGGAGCTTGGGATTGTTTTGGTCCCTGCCATTTAACTTCCCCTCTTGTCTAATCCCTAGTTGACCCCTGGGTCACCTCTGAGACTCCCCAGTTTCTTGAGGAATGCGATTTGAGCAATAAGGGCAGCAAAAGAGAAATTCAAAAAAATTTCCCTTCCTATTAGTTGTTGAAATTTACCCTCACATGCATAAACTCTGCTGTCTGTAAGTTATTTTATATTTCAAAAACTAGCAATTTTTTTCACTTACTCATATGCTTAACAAAATTTAATGATAATCAGGTGTTATGTTAAGTTCCAGGAGTGCAATAAATAGATATATTCCTTGTCCTTATGTGTATAGTCCTAGAGTGGAGATTAACTAAATGGTTGCATAAATATTTATAACATTATCGAATTGATACACATAATGGAGAAGTAATAAGTGTTACTATGAGACTATCTGATAGGAAGATTTGATCTATACAGAAGTATCAGGAAATCTTCCTAGGGGAGGTGATGAATGAAGTGGGATCTAAAGATAAATTACCAGTTACCTGGGTACAGTTAGGAAGTAGGAATATTTTATGCAGAATACGGGGCAAGAAGCAGCATAGCATTTTTATTAATTGAAGTATGGTTAATGTAGCTAAAACAAAACAAGCAAGGGATGGGGGCTGGTGGAGAATGAGATGAATAGGGGCCAGGACAAACTGTCTTGTAAGCTACTCAAGGATTTTGATCTGTAGTCTAAGAGAAGTGGAAAAATCTGTAGCTGAAGAGCAATACTACCAAAATATTTTAAGCAGAGGTGTCATGATCAAATCACTCTGGCTCTAGGATGGTGAATGCATTGGTTTGGCATGGGTGAGAAGATGTATAAACAAGAATACAGTAACACATGTGAGGAGATTATTTCTATTGTTTTGAAGAGATATTAGTCTTGGACTGAAATGTGTCAGTGGAGATTTTAAAAAGAAGGTGTCTTTAAGAAATTCTTAAGGGATAAAATTTTCTAACTTGGTCATCGATTGGATAGAAGACGTAGGAGACGGGGAGATATTAAGGATAAACCCTAGATTTCTGTCTTATTCGATGGAATGGATGAGACATGGCCCATTCCAAGAAGGGTACAATTTTTGGTGAAAGGAGAGTCATGAGTGTGGTTAGTTTGGCTATATTAGATTTGAAGATCTTTTGAGACAAGTTGTCAAGCTGGTTTACGAATTCAGATTTGAAATACAAAGGATCTATCTCAGCTGAAGATAAAGATTTGGGAGTCATTTATGTTTCAGTAGCAATGAAGACATAAGCATAGATGATGGTTCCTACAAAGTGCAAAGTGACAATATAATAGAGTCTTAATAGAACTTTTAGGAACTTCAACATTAAATGGCTAAGCAAAGAAGGCCAAAAGGTTCAAAGCAGGTAGGCAGAGCTGTTACTAAATCAAGAAAATATGATATCCTGGGATCTTGGAGAAGAAAGTGTTTCAAGAAGGAAAGGGTGGTCAGAAGAGTTGAAGAGTGCTGTGAACTTATGCAAGATAAGAACCAAAATTATTCATTGGATTTGTTACAGGTAGTTAGACAGGCATGAACAGAGCAGGAGAGGGCTCTCCCTGCCACCCACTAGAAATGCTGGATGATGATTTGGCAATGATCACATTGCCTCTCTAAAAGTGATAAATTGGAAGCCAGTGCCAGGGAGAGGCCATTTCCTGATGATCCATACCTGTTGCACTAAAGTGTTTCATTCAACGCAGATGCCAGGGAGAAGCAAATTTCTGGGCATGCACGTTAAGAGACAAAATGGTGGAGTACGATCTTCTGGGGGCATACCACCGGAAAACAGAAGAAAGAGTCAGATGGGCATGCATACAACTTCCTAAACACATTGCGTATGCTCACCTTCCAAGGGTTAGCAGGGCACTGTGCATATGGGCAGCCCACCTTAAAAGAAGAACAATGGGAAAGGGACCAGCCTATAAAGATCTAGGATCAAACACCACACTTGACCTCGGTGCCCGCTTTGGTCTCTTCTAAGTGTACTTTGCTTTTTTTTTTTGAGAGGGAAGTGTTGCTCTTGTCGTTGTCGCCCAGGCTGGAGTGCAGTGGCACAATCTTGGCTCACTGCAACCTCCGCCTCCTGGGTTCAAGCAATTCTCATGCCTCAGCCTCCTGAGTAATTGGATTACAGGCGCCTGCCACCACGCCTAGCAAATTTTTGTATTTTTAGTAGAGATGAGGTTTTGCTGTGTTGACCTCAGGTGATAGGCCTCCTTTCTTTCCTGTTCTAAAGCCTTTTAAAAGAAACATCCACTCCTGCTCTGAAACTCACCTTGGTCTCTTCTTCTGCTTTATGACCCTCAGTTGAATTCTTTATTCGGAGGAGGCAAGAATTGAAGTTGCTGCAGACTCATACAGATTTGCCACTGATAACTCAGATACCCTCCACCAGTAACAGATTTAGTAACAGGAGATTTTGGGTGATCTTCATGAGACATGGTTCAGTAGCATGATGGAGGCAAAACTCCAGGCTAGAGTAGTTTGAGGAGTGAGTTAGAAGTGAGTTGAAATATTTCTTTATAGAAATTTAGCCTTAAAGGTGAGAAGAGAGATAGTCTGCTAACTAGTATAGGATGTAGTATTGAAGGAAGGACTTTTATATTTAATTGGGAGAAACTTGGGTATGTTTAAACACCAAAGGAAGAATCCACAGAGATGTTGCAACATATGAGAAGGAAAAGGAATAACAATGTTAATCAACAATCCAATTTTCTGGAGAAAAGTAAAGGTGATGTATCTGAAAGCATGTAGGAAAGCATTGCCCTTAGATAGAAAGGAGATACACTTTATTTTAACCAGGGAGAAATATTGTTAAATTAGTTATGTATATATGGCAAATTTGCGTATTTCTTGGCAGGGAAGAGATGTATTTGTGTGAGTGTGTGCATGTATATGTAATGTTTGTATTTTCCCTGTAAGGTAAATGGTGACATCATCTGCTTAATTTTAAGAATAAAATGGAGAGTTAAGACTTGATGATAGAGTAATAAGTGTAGTGATAGAAGAAAATGAGCTCACCATATAAATGTAGAAGGATGAACTAATAGTGTTGCAATTATATCAGGGTTGGTTTCTGTGAATTTATAGCGTATCCAATCTGCTTTCCTCACCTTTATTTTATTTTGCTTTTTACCACATACAATTTAACTGGACCAAATACAATGATAAAGCAGCCATGGAAATAACATTTTACATCTATTTCAGACAGCCTGTATAGTGTCCTGACCATTCACTATATATAATAACATTATGGCATTCCCTGGATCACTGCTAATGTAATTGAACACATACACATGCAAAACAGTGATCTAATCACTGAGCACATGAAACTATTTAGAACAAGAAGAAAGAGAACATGAGAGACCACATGACCACAGATTCTGGTGGGATAGTGACGTTTTGATATACTAACTCTTCCTGGAGTTGGGGAGGGAGAAAAGAGGCATAGAATAATTTCTTTGTGCTTTCAGGATGGTTATAGAGGCAAATCTATAATGAGATGAAGCATGAAAGTATACAGAGATGAAAATGATGTCATATAAAAGAAAGAAAACAGGAAATTAATGTGACAAATTTCACTTCTAAATCAGCTTTCCATGCGAGTACATAAAACCTGGGATCCCAAGGTTGAAAAAATAATTAAAAACTGATAAGGTACACTTTACATATATAACAAACCTGCATATGTAAACCTGAACCTAGAATAAAAGTTAAAAAGAAGACAGAAGAAAAGGAAAACCCTATGACATTTTTGGCTGCTCCTTCTCCTTTTTTATATCCAATCTATTATCCTTCCAATGAGACTGACCTTATAGAAACAACTACATTTGTTTCCAAGAAAATCTGTCTTTAGGGTAATAATTACTATAACTTCTTTTGTTTCAGCTCTTCAATGTATTTGGTACATGAGTAGCAAGGAATTTAGCCAGGTCATAAAGAGATCTGGCCTTTGTCTCAGGTTCCTGGGAGGTAACCTTGGAACCTTTGGCATTTCCTTATTGATAGGAGTGTCTTTGTCATTTGATCTGGATCCGCTAATAGTTTATGCTATAAAGGTAACTCATGGTAAGCCCTTCTGACCATGTGATCTCAGTTTAACCTTCAGGGAGCGTGATTCAATCAATTTTGCCTAAGTAATGGACCCTAATAAAAATTCTGGACATCAAACCTCAATTGAGCTTCTCTGGCTGGCAATACCCATGTGTAGTGCCATAGCTTGTGGCCAGAAGGAGGTAACCCTGTCCATCCCTGACTCCTTGGAGAAAGGATGACTAGATGCCCTGTGTTTGTTTGGATCCTTCCAAGACTCTGCCTTGTGTGTCTTCCTTTGTCTGGTTCTAATTTGTATATTTTCCTTTTAATAAAAGTGACCTTGAGTATAATAACTTTCAGTGAGTTCTGTGAGTCTTTCTAACAAATTATTGAGCCCAAGAATGATTCTGGGGATGATTCTGGGAGCCTCCCAAACTTGTCTGTTTCAAAAGTCTTGGGCAGACTTGGCAGTCTAGAGGACTGTGACCTTAACTTTGCAGTCTAGCTAACTCTAAGTGGTACAAAACCAAATAAAACTTATGAATGTCCCTCTTGATTATTTAGATGACTTTGGGCTCTATGCATATCTGTTTTGTATTCTAAGTGAAGGTTTTTGTGTCTTTCACATGTGGTTCTGCCATTCCAAAAGCCTTGTTACTTTCTTCTGACGTCTCACCTCCAAAACAATGCTCCTTAGAGAGGCTTAGCAGTGAAATTACAAGATCTTATTCCTAGGCCGGGCGCGGTGGCTCATGCCTGTAATCCCAGCACTTTGGCAGGCCGAGGTGGGTGGATCACCTGAGGTCAGGAATTCAAGACCAGCCTGAACATAGTGAAACCCCATCTGTACTAAAAATACAAAATTAGCTGGGCGTGGTGGTGCATGCCTGCAATCACAAGTACTTGGGAGGCTGAGGCAGAAGAATTGCTTGCAGTGAGCGAAGATCACACCATTGCACTCCAGCCTGGGCAATAAGAGCGAAAATCTGTGTCAAAAAAAAAAAAAAAAAGGAAAAAAAAAGATCTCATTCTTAACAATAGCATTCTGGAAATAATAGTATTTCTGAGTGTATCAGTCAATGTCCAATCAGAAGACAAAAACTACATGGTAATTTGAATGGGAAAAATTTAAAGAATTATTAATTATAAAAAGGGATTGGCACAATAAGGGTTTGGTTCTTAAGAAGTAAAGAGAATTCTAAGGAATACGGGAGTAGCAAATATAAAGAGCAGCCAGTACCTCCCAGACTGAGATAGGCTGAGATACAGCAGCCAAGGAAGATCCACTCCCAGCTCCCAGGCTGAGACCCAGATCTTTTGGGAGAAGGCTCTGCTATGGTTCATTGGATGGCAGAGAAATTGCTGTGGCACCTCACTAGTGGAAACTGCTGGAAATCTGCCCTCTAGAAACTTACAGAAAATCTACACTCTAGAGACTGGAAAAAGTTGTTCACAGAAGTTGTCTTGCCTGAGGCATTCCAATACAAAATTGCCTGGTTGAGCGGATGGCAGGGGAAGCTGCTGCCTACTGGGTGCTCCTGATAACTGTCTGCTGCAGGAGCTAGGCTCTGGGGAAGCTGTACTTGGTACAGGAACTGGGCACTAGAGAAGCAGTTCACTGAAACAGCTGGGCATGGGAGAAGTTGTGTG
Source organism: Homo sapiens (assembly GCF_000001405.40). Taxonomy (NCBI): domain Eukaryota; kingdom Metazoa; phylum Chordata; class Mammalia; order Primates; family Hominidae; genus Homo; species Homo sapiens. Next base: position 22,163,599 of record NC_000011.10, on the reverse strand, counting down.
GGCTGCAGAGGGCTTCTGAGCCAGCTCATCAGAACCAGAAAGGAAAATCCTTCTTCGGCAATGTGTCTCTAGTGCCCTCTGTTACACAATGAGGAAGTGAGGCAGGGACTAGATCTGAAATCTTCCAGTCCAGTGTAGTATCATTGTTTTTTTTTTTTAACCACAAGATCATGCAACTTCAAACCGCTGTTAAAAAAAAAAATGAGTTATCTTCTGGAACAATTTTCTCTTTTTTAAAGTGACAACAACAACAATGACTATATTTTCAGGGCAGAAACTATGTGCTCACAAAACCCAGTGAAGACAGTAATATTATCTCCATGTTACAGATAAAGAAAGTAAGACTCAGGGAGGTTAAGTGATTTACTTAATGTCACACAATAAGTAGCAGAGCAGTTTGCCTAGTTCCAAAACCTGACTCTTAGCCTTACATAAGGTAAATCATATACTTATTATTTACAGCCAAGAATTTCTTACATAGGTAAGAAATGGGAATGTTCCTAGGATTAGAAAAAAAAGGAGACAATTATGGTAGGGAGTGACAATTATAAAGTAAGAGATACACCAGCATGGGTTGGCTGATTACTTGTCTACATGGCTGGCTGGGGGAAGTATGTTGTTGGGTGGAGAGGTTGTGGATTGGCGTAAGTTGAGGGAACGCTGGCACTTGGCAGCTGAACAGAAGCTGAGGGCAATGAGAGCAGGGCTGGAGGAGGATTGCAGGAGATAGAAGGCCTTTATGCACCGTCCTTGCCTTTTTCACAGCTTGCTTAATCTACAGTACACAAAATCAACTGAATGGTAGTGTCTTCTCTCCTTTTTGCCTTATTTCTTTAACTACATACTATAAATTTTATGGTTTTTGTTTTGTTTTGTTTTGTTTTGTTTTGTTTGAGGCAGAGTCTCACTCTGTCACCCAGGCTGGAGTGCAGTGGGATGATCTCGTCTCACTGCAACCTCTGCCTCCTGGGTTCAAGTGATTCTCCTGCCTCTGCCTCCAGAGTAGCTGGCATTATAGTTGCCTGCCACCACGCCCCGCTAATTTTTTTGTATTTTTAGTAGGGATGGGGTTTCACCATGTTGGCCAGGCTTGTTTTGAACTCCTGACCTCAAGTGATCCACCCTCCTTGGCCTCCCAAAGTGCTGGGATTACAGCCGTGAGCCACTTTGTGCCCAGCCTATAAATTTTATGTTTAAATTTAAGGTTGGGTAGCTACATAATTTAAAGGAGGGCAAGGTATAGATTTTGAGCAATCACTCTAGTTTTATAATGCCACCCCCAATCCGATTCTTAATGCAAGCATGCGGAACCTTTGCCAAGTACTTCAGAGTACACACAGTATAAGTACAACCATTGTCATAGAGCATTCTCTTAAATGTGGTTTCATTTGAGTCCTTGGATAGAAAATAAATGTTCAGTGAAACGAATGAAATGTTACTTGTGGTTGGGAAGGGAACACTGTAATATTCTTGAATTGGCTATATTTAAATCTCTTGTCAAGTAAAAGCAGAAAAGCAGATCTCTGGCTCATTGCTAGTTGGTGGACTCAGGCTGGTAGATTCTGAGCCTCTGAAGTTGCTTGTGCATGTGTGTTTAGGGAATGCAGACAGATTTTTTAATGACTTTACATAAAAATGCAAGAATATTGGTAAGCATATTTAAAGCAGAAAGAGATGAGAAAAACAAAAAGTTAAACACTTTGTAAATTAATAGAACTGAAAAAGTATCTTAGATATATTTTCATCTAGCCTCTTTCTTTTACCAAAGTAGAACATGAAAGTTGAGTTTTTCTTTTAAAAAACAACTTGGACTTCAGAAGACCTTTTAATAATGCAAATATATTACCATGCAAGGTATCATATGGACACAGAGTTGAAGTTGTAATTACAAAAACCACCAAGGCAAAACCACAAACTCAGAGCTGAAAGAGACATGAACCTCACTTAGCCTAAACTCCTTATTTCAAAGTTGGCAAAGGACTCCCTGTTAAGATGGAGGCCTCTGGAAGCCAATGCCATAAACAATTTCTCTTGTTTTTCTGTTAGTAGCTTTGACATTTCCTTGGCATAAGACTTCGGCCACTATCATCAGTGAGCTTCACTTAACTCTTGTAAAATTGGGATAATAATTCTTCAAGGATTGTTGTGAAGATGAAATGAATTAGTAGCTAGAGAAGCAGCTTCAAACTATGAAGTTCTATATATTCATGTAAGTACATATGAGTATGCTACATGATAACATATAAAAGCAATATAAATATTATTGCTTTTATTACTTAAAAGGAAGATTCCTAGATAAATCTAAGCACTGAGTATAGCTTTTACATTCACTCAGTTTTTTTTTTAGAATGGATACCAAGTAAAGCAGACAGCATTTAAGAAAAATCAACAAAGTATATTTTATAAATGGATAAAATTCAGCATTGTAGAAGTAGACAGTCACTGTTCCTTGTTAGGAAATGTGACTAAGGCTTCATCTATTTTAGCAACTACAATATTTAAGCAACTAAATAGCAGACTATATGTTGCCTTAAAATAGTCAATCATCTTGTAATTCTTAGTGTACCTTTTATTACCCTAGCAAAAATTGATTTGTCAGAGACAGCAAATGGAATATGGAACAAGTTCATTCTGATGAAGAGTGGAAGGGTGAGGAGGGTGTCAGCATGGAAAATCCAGCATAACAGAGCTTCCATAAAATGTCTGCAGTCTTGGAAAGATGTGTTCATTTTTCAAATCTAAGTGCAGGGCTTTACCTGGCTCCTATGACAACTGTCATATACTTTTCCAATATAGCAGCTGTCTTTCTGGAGTGAACCTATGTTATTTCTGTTCAGGAGTTAGCCTTTCTGACGTTATTACCATGGTTTCTCCACATATACTTGTGTATATGCAAGTGAATGGCCTCTGACCAATAAGGCCTAAAGTTTCCCTCAGCTTGACTAACCGTTAGACATATTTATTCTCTACATTAAGCCCCTCACCTCTCTTTTCTTGGATTATTGACTTTAGAATATTTGTAATCCTAAATTCTCTGCTCCTTTGAGATGTTAATATTTTAAAAAGCCTCTTGCTAGTTTTACCACCCAGAAAATGCTTTCCTAAAAACTTGGAAATGTACTCTTTGAAATATAATGAACAAGGAAGATAGCATCCCTATCTCCCAGTTTTTGTGGAAGGTTAGGAACCTACCTTCAGCAAATGCTTTGTTCCAAGTTGTGAAAGGACCTCCAGTTAGGAAGACATAAGAAAGTCTTCTTTTCCTATGGGTAAGGCCAGTTAGCAAACACAGATGGCTTATGACCCTCAACCCCAGCTCTTAATAAAGACTCTCTCCCCCTTTTCTTAGTGGAGCTGAGTGTGCAGACTTTGTGCCCTTTCTCCTATTGCTGGTGATCAAATTGGAACAAAACTAACTTGGGTGTTTACTGTCTTGTCCAGTGTGATGTCTTTCCTTTAACAGCCCTCTTTTTATTTATTTACTTATTTTTATAGATTCAAGGAGTACATGTGGAGGTTTATTACTTAGATATATTGAGAAGCAGTGAGGTTTGGGCTTCTCGTGCACCCATCACCCGAGTAGTGAATGCTGTAACCAGTAGGTGATTTTTCAACCTCCTCTCCACTCCCATTCTTCCCACTTTGGGGGTCCTAGTGTCTATTATTTCCATCTTCATGTCCACATGTACTGATTGTTTATCTCCTACTTTTGAGAATATGCAGTATTTGATTTTCTGTTTTTGAATTATGTTACTTAGGATAATGGTCTCCAGCTCCATCCATGTTACTGAGAAGGACAGCACCCTTCTTATACTTATTTTCAAAGCCAAAAGCAGAACTCATTTGAATGCTCTGTGTAGACCCTGATTGATTGGGCTTTCTGGATGCCTCTTGTTTCTACACACACACACACACACACACACACACACACACACACACACACACACAAAGGGAGAGAGAGAGTGAAAGGGAGGCAGTCAGGATTTTATTTTTAGAAAGTTTTCCTTGATTTTTTTTTTCTCTTTTGGAGTTTCCTGCCATGGTATTATGGCTATTGCTGAGTGTTGTCATTACTACTATTTGTATTGGCAATAACCGCTTCATCATATAGTTAAATTTTACATAATGTTTTCCATAGTACTTTATGTAGTACTTGTATAACTCCTAAGGGATATGCATATGCTCAATGAAAATCAAGGAGTTTTGCCGGAGTAGCCTTAATTTATTGATTTTATTGGGTACAGTTTTCTGATTCTAGTTTTTAGTAAAAACACGTTTATTTAAAATGTCTAATGGGACAGGAACCTTATATCTCAAGGTAATGCCATTCAAATGGGACCACTTGAGAAACAGGAACCATATGAATCAGTTTTTGGTGATTAGTTCCCGAATAAGTCAAATAACCAGAGGCCACATTCTTAGCAAGAAACACGAGGTAAGCAAGTCTTATAAAGAATACTTTTTCTAAAATTTTCTGAATACAAATATAAATGACAAGTAAGAAAGGGAAAAAGCAAACTTAATTCACCCTCCAAACCCAAGTGTTATTTTCTAGTGACACTGTAAATTCTTGTTCTCAATATGCTTGCCTTTTCCTTTTGCTCTCTGCCCTGAACCTAGAGTAATGCTTGGCTAAAAATAAGCCCTTATTAAGTGCCTAGAAGAGATTCCTTGTTTAAATTTCATTTTAAATTTGTAGGTGGTGGAATCAAATTGAAGGAGTTAACTAATGTTTTTCTCCTAATGATTCCAAATGCATAGTGTCACTGAAAGGTGGGTGTACTGTGCCTCACTTAGAGAAAGAACCATATGGTTACTGTGTAGGGGTAATTTTACCATAAAAATTTAATAAGAGCAAACATTTATTGGATACTTACATGTGTCAAGGGCTGGGCTAAATGCTTCATATGAAATATCTTCTTTTAATCTTCATAATAACACTATATGTTAGATTCTATTATTATTCCCCTTTTACAGAAAAGGACAGCTCTGGTTACTGCTTTGTCCTGGACTATATTGCTGGACTGCCCTCCCCTCCATGTCCCCATGTATTTTTTTTTAATGTATAGTTTGCACTGAGATCGGGAATGGATAAGTCTAAAAAGAAAATTAAGAAGGAAGAGGCTGCAGATTAAATGAAGTGAGGGAATTTACCAGATACAAACCCTATGGAAGAAATCAGAAGCTGAGAACAGAGAACTAGTTAATTATAGTAAGGTGAGGAATTTGGTTTGGATTTTGTGTCCCCCTAAATTTACCTTACTTTTAAAGTTATAGTAGAATATAAATATTCAGATAATCTTAAAATACAGGCTTAACTGATTTGCTTTTCTTGCCTTTCTTTGCTATTCAGCAGGAATTGAATGACAAAGTTTCTCCTTAACCTCTGGAAGGATTTGAAGATGAATTTCTTTCCCTCAAGGAAAGATGGGAATACTTAGGATCTGGGTTTAATAAGCTGTCAAAGTCAATTGAAAGAAATGAAAAGGAAGACGAGGGTTTGATGTGAGACGCTGGGGAAAATGGAAGGCAGAGACAAGTTTCCCTCAGTACAGGGCTAAGGAAAAGAGAGGAAGGTATGTGGTTGCTGGGTCTGTGGCAATCCAAGCCCTGATTCCTGGAAGTGCCCTGTAGAGATAACAGAACCTCTGAGGAGGGTTGTATAGTGCATTTAGGGAGAGGAGATTCATAGTTCTTTTTCTTCCTCTAACTATGCAGGTAAAGACTGTAAAAATTCCTCTCCATGTCACTACTGTGTTCAGGTGAGCACAGAATAGCTTACACACTTTGTAAGCCAATGCATTCAGCAGGAGGTGGTGTAAGAGTGGGGCTTAAGAGCAGGATCCCTGTGAAAATCTGATAAGACACACCCATAACTTCTTGGGCAAGTCTTCCTTCCAGATGCTCCTTCTGAGGACTGGTATTAGTGGGTCGAAGTTTATTTTGTTGAAATAGTACTATGTAATCCAGCACTCTTAGTCAGAATCCCTGACACGAAATATCTACATTGTGAATTTAAGCTAAATACATTGCTAGTTTACTAAGATGCTTATAGCTGAATTTTCCTGGTTTCATGCTTATGGCTAGAAGAGGTACTAAGGTACAATCAAAATAGTATTCTCTGTACTCTGAAAGAGCCAAGAGAACCAGATCCAGACCCAGTTCTGCAGTTTACTTACCATGGTGAGGCCTGGGCAAATGAGTGCCCCCTCTAGACCTTACGTTTCCTACTTGTGAAATATAAGTGAGAGGAGTGGCCTCATTGCTATATAGAGCTCTAGTCAATTCTGACTGTGGATCCCTCACTCTCCTGTATAGAGTCATGTTATGCCAATATTACCTGCAAACTGCCAAATGGGCCAGGTAATAAAGACTAACAAATATAATGCTATTTATGAATTACCCTGAGGATCAGTTCAGATTAAAAAAGTGGAACAGTAAATCCCACAGAGCTGAACACTGGAGAAGAAAAGTTGTTAACTTGGTGGCCTCTGCTGCTACTGTGCCTTCTTGAGGGAAATCTTAACTGATGGAGAAGGGAGTGGAAGAAGGAACCTGAGAAGGTGAATAAGAAACCAGGCTAGTAGGCTGCAGCTGCCGTCTGCTTGCACCAGTGCTGCCTGAGAAGTTTAGAAAAGCCACCTTCTCAGCTACATCTGGAAGCAGCACGGTCTTCTTGAGAATTTCAGGTAGCCAAAGAACTCTGAACGAAGACTTAGAAGACCGGTTTCATGTCTATTAATAATAAAAATAACAGCTTTACCATCAATTGATCACTTAATTGTGCAACAGGACAAAAGCCTTTTGCAACATGATCTCATTTCATGTGTACAGCAACCCTGTAAAGTGAACATTTTTAGTAACTCTATTTTAGAGACAAGAAAACCAAGATTCCCAAAAGTATTAGTGATTTTCCCAAGTTCAGCCAGCTAAATAGCTTTGTATTAGGTGCAGAACTTAATAGCTATTATTTGGGGAAGGGGTGAGAAGAGTATGTTTATCACATGTGTTGTTTATACCTCCTTACACTCTCTGAAAATCCTTTTAATATTTAATGATAAAATCAGATGATGAATTATATCGAAATAGCAGTGAAGGTGGGGAAAAAGTATCAAAAGGGTAACAATTTGAAGTTTCTGTGAAAATGGAGAGGAAAAGACTTCTTGATGTGGAAGTTTGGGAAGTTCCACAAGCTGATTTCTTAGGCACTTGTAAGACTCAGATTTTATTCCCCTAGGTACATTTACAATTCAGTATCTTCTTTTCTTGGTTAAGGTCCTCACACCAGTCCCAGTAAGTAGAGGGTAGCTCTCTTTCACTTCAGCAATTTGTCCTATGATGTGGAAGGGCTTTGCTTATGGAGTCTTCTTAATGCTTCAGGGAAGAGAAGTAGCCACAAATGCTCTGAAGAGATAAAGCGGTTTTCCGCCTAAGTGTATTTGAGGCAGGATTTCTGCCCACAATTACGCTTCTCCCTTCCACTGCCTTCATTTCACTTTGATTAAAGGGATTGAAATAATCTGGGTCTTCACCAAGTCCCAGTTAAAAAAAGAAATTCATAGGTGGTGGTGGGTGGTGACTAGTGCTATAACTAAGTCTTTAAGTAAGTATCTTAAGCTACCTTTCCCAAAATGGATTCCAGGAAATAGTAGTCTCACAAGTTTCACTCCAAACTGAAGGCTCTTTGTTCAAATTCCTTTTGGAAATGCTGCAGTCTTTGCTGATGTCAACAAGAGGCTACTAGCACTTACAGCCAGACAATTCTTTGTTTTCTGCAATTATCCCCAAATATTGCACGTTATTTAGCATCCATGTTCTCTGGACTTTAAATGCAAGTAAAGGTTCTCATCATCATGATAATCAAAATTGACTTAATACATTTATAAGTGATTTATATGATTTGGCTCTGCCCCCCTACCCCCTCAAATCTCATCTTGAATTGTAGCTCCCACAATCCCCACATGTCGTGGGAGGAACCTGGTGGGAGGTAATTGAATCATGGGGGCGGGTTCTTCCCCATGCTGTTCTCATGATAGTGAATAAGTCTCATGAGATCTGATGGTTTTAAAAAAGGCAGTTCCCCTGCACAGGCTCTCCTGCCTGCTGCTATGTAAGATGTGCCTTTACTCCTCCTTCGCCTTCCACCATGATTGTGAGGCCTCCACAGCCATGTGGAACTGTGAGTTAATTAAAACGTTTTATAAAAAAGTAAATTACCCAGCCTTGGGTATGTCTTTATTAGCAGTGTGAAAACAGACTAATACTATGATCCTTGGAGGATGGTACCAAACCTCATTGAGAACTACTGTAGCTATCGCCTTATGCAAATTCCCAGAACACTTGTCATGTTGGTATATTAAAGACTCAGGGAAGAATCTGTTTTCACTATATTGTTTTGTTTTAACTTTTAATCTCCTAGGTATCAGTGCAGGTTTGTTACATAGGTATACTTATATCACAGGATTTTGTTGTACAGATTATTTAATCAGCCAGGTATTAAGACTGGTACCCACTAGTTGTTTCTACCATATTGTTATTCGATTCAGCATATCCTAAAAAATTATAGAGCCTCTTACCCCCTCTCTCTTGTTTTTCTTTAGGATACCAAGTGATATCCCATGAAATTCCCTTTGGAAAATACTACTTTAGCAAGAAGGATGAGGAAGGGGATATTAGAAAGAGCAGAGACATTAACGATTGCCTAATATCTGAAGCCCACTATTTACCCCATGAGACAGATATGGCCCACTTGGCCCTGAGGACTTTTCAAATTTTTGCTTTAGACATGATTACCATTCATGATCTTTCAAGCCGCTGGGACCTAATCATTTATTTCTCTTTGAGAGGTGTCTGGCTAGCTGGCTTGGATATATTAGTTATTGTATTTAATGTTGTTAGTAATTCATTATACAGTTTGAGCTGCTTGGTTTCATTTTATGAACATTTTATCATAAAACAACAAGAAATTCTTAGAAAAGATTTCTGCCATAAGAAAAAATAGACGTGAATAAGGCCCCCATATTCAACTTGCTTATATTTGGGTCATGTATAATTCTCATACACTAACTGTGGACCCTTTGACTTGCTTTTGTGTTTAGTTTAAAAGATTATACTAGATAAGCACACGTACATGGATGCCTAATTACGTAGTAGTCATTAAGGAAAGCAATGCATTTTTCTGTATTCTAAACTCATATTTTGCTAATGGGAGAAACTGGTCCAGAAAATGGTCAGCAGCAGAGATGTGATTTGGATCCAGAAATCCTGACCCCCGGCAAGAATCTTCATACTGCTTCATTTTGTTATCTCTTAATAGAGTAAGAACTACTGAGATGTGGAAAATGAAGATTTGGAATGAGAGGTGGATGAAGGGAAGAAACTGAACTTGAATAGGAGGGCCTTTTAACAGAAAGTTCTCAGAAAATCATTATTTAACCATTCCAGTGTTAAAAAAAAAAAAAAGTCCATCTTCACCCTCCCCAAAGAAACTCATTTCATGCTAAATATATAAACTTAACAGCTGCTTTGGTGAACCACCAGTGCCTGGCACCTCTATTATCAAGAAGCAGTGAGTCCTGATGGCAGGTTTGGGTTTCTTGGGGGCAGGTAATAACAGGTCAAGGCTTTGCTTTTTACCCAAATGCGGTGTAAAAGGAGTTTTGGGTTTCCTCAATTTCAGCTTGTCGTGGCCAGGTCTAGATAAGATTATATGGTCTTTTCTTAAAAGACCTCAGATATTTCTTTCATCCCATTCTCAGTCACAGTGTATTTTTTCTTCTGCTACTTGACTGATAAAGTTTTTTTAAATACTAGTCTCTCTCTTCTTCCTTGCTGCAGCTATAGAAATTGATTCAGAAGTGAAACAGTACTGTAAGGGTATTCTTTTGATAGTTCATTATTAAGAGGAATCTCTATATGTATTTTTATCATATTTCAGCTCCAAGCGGTAAAAGTAGCTTCATTACGAGCAGCTAAGTTCTAAATTACATATGTCAAAATAACAAAAACACTTAGTTTGCAAGGGGTTGAGGTATAAGGATTTGGAGGAATCAGTAGTGAGTTTTGGAGAAATTGGTACCTGCCCTATGTTTCAAAGCGGAAGTTCAAAACTCAAATGTCTGGTGGAATCTGGGCACCAAACTGTAATGAGTGAAATTGGCTAAGTATACAAAAAAAAAAAAAAAAAAAAAAAAAAAAAAAAAAAAAAAAAAAAACAGCTCATGCCTGATGATAATGGACAACTGACACACCCGGTAAGTGTGAGTCATGGCATAGCAAATACTAGTAACTGTGGCAAATTCTAGTGGGCAAGTGGGCATGCCCCATCTAAGAAGGGCAAACACTACTTTACCACAGCTGTGGAACAATATTGACTCTCTGTTGGCAGCCTTTCAAAGGAAACGAAAAATTCAAATTTTACACATTAGTAACCAATTCATAAAAACAATAAGTGGGTAAACATGTCAAATAGAATGGGCTGAGTCTCACTGGTTCTTAGGTTAAATAAGCTTAGTATTATCTCCACATCTCTCTGCCCTTCCAAACTGGAATCTTCCAATACAAGGCATCATTCTGATGCTTTGTCTCTGGAGTTGGTTTTCAGTGTATAGGTATCCCTACGTGTTTTTTAGCTTGTGAGTCCTAATACTTAAAGAGCCAGCAGGGGGAACCCACAGACTGTGTGACTCAAAACCAAAGGCATGGATTTTTAAAGTTTATACATGGAAAAAAAAAAAGCTATTTTGAGGACCAGCAACCAGCTGCCAGTGGTCTGGTCAGCAGTTTGAGTTGTGACTTTCACACCAACCTTGGTTTTTACTTGTCTAATAAAATATTTTCATACTAATAACTACTTACACAACTGGAAACACTGTATGCAAACTCTTCTCTGGAACTTCCATCAGGATATGGAATGTGGCTTAAATGTTGAAAGTAGAAATCACGGCCGGGCATGGTGGCTCACGCCTGTAATCCCAGCGCTTTGGGAGGCCAAGGCGGGCGGATCACGAGGTCAGGAAATCGAGGCCATCCTGGCTAACACGGTTAAACCCCATTTCTACTAAAAATACAAAAAAAAAAAAAAAAAATAGCCGGGCGTGGTGGCGGGGGCGCCTGTAGTCCCAGCTACTCGGGAGGCTGAGGCAGGGGAATGGCGGGAACCCGGGAGGCGGAGCTTGCAGTGAGCCTAGATCGCACCACTACACTCCAGCCTGGGAGACAGAGAGACTCCGTCTCAAAAAAAAAAAAAAATAAATAAAAATAAAAATAAAAAAGAAAAAAAGAAAGAAAGAAAGAAAGTAGAAATCATGCCCTTCTCTGGATCTGTCTGAATGCTGGTTCAGATAGGCGAGGGAGTGATGTGTCATGCCATATTCATTTATTTTGACATAAAATGGATTTATATCAACCAGCATTTTATTATAAAGATCTCACTATATGTACAGTGATGTATTAAATGTAAAATTGTATAATATTGATTCACCGCCTCCAAACATGTTTAGGGTAATTGTGAACGCTAACACACACGTACACACACACACACACACAGACACTCACACAGAGGGAGAGAGAAAGAGAGAGAGATAAATTGCTAGATAAGTGCAATCTGTCTTGTGGAGAAGGCTTGGGCAGAATTTACATCAGTCAGTGCTTTTTAACCTTTATCTTATAATGGCACATGTGGGAAATAAAAATATTCATAGGCACATTGGGTAAACTTAATGGTTATGATTATATAAAAGATGAATAGCTCTGACCACCCCAGGCTACATCTAGCCATGGAGAGGAATATGAGGATTAGCATCTGGGCAGATATTTAGTCTCCTTTTAGCATAGCAGGGTCCTGATGTTGGTCAGGAGCCTCTGCTTTAGGTAGGTAAGAGAGGAGCGAGTAACATAGTGGCCCCTTTGGGAATGATTTTTCTTTTTCCTTTTGCTATCTCATAATGTTGATTTAGTTATTTCATACTGGTATTGGTCAAAAAATAAATTAAGTTCTTTGTCACTTTCCTCTATTTTGAAAATATAGGATGAAATAAAAGGTTTAGTTTTCCAGAATTTTTCCCTAAAATGAACTGAATGTTTGTGTTCCTCTCAAAATTTATATGTTGAACTCTTAAGACTCAATGTGTCGGTATTAGCAGTGGGGACTTTGGGAGAATATTAGGTGATGAGGGTGGAGCCCTCAAGAATGAAATTAATACCCGTATATAAGGGACCCAACAGAGCTCTCACTCTCTTTCTGCCATGTGAGGATACCAATGTACAATAAGAAGTTGGCAGTCTGCAACCTGGAAGATGGTCTTCACCAGAACCCAACCATGCTTCCACCCTGGTCTTGGATTTCCAACCTGCAGACTGTTAAGAAATAAATTTCTATTGTTTAAAGTCACTTAATTTATGGTGATTTGTTATAGCAGTGCAAACTGACTAAGCACACCCCTTTTCAAAAGTTCTAAGACCAAAGCATCATATCTCTAGACAAGATGACATATTTTATCAGGTAAGAGCTAATCCAACTCCCAGTGTTGGTTTAGGCTTCTTCGGCTCACTCACTTTTCATAACACTATTGCTTGGAGGGAAAAGAAAGGTCAATAAGAAGAAAAACAAGAAAGAGAATAAGGCCATTACTGGTATTATCATTATACCTAATAAAAAAACCTAATGAATGCCCTCTCTATGCCATCAACCTCCATACTCATAATTACTTATTTATATTAAAAAAACAGGCTACTGCTATTTTGGAAGAGAATAATATGTAGTTATAATTGAGCATACTGAAGTCTAAATGATAGAATTATTAGTGAACTGAGAGGAGACTGAAATTGTTCATATTTATGCAGAAGAGCATTATTCCATATTACTGCATAGTGGCTTTCCTTTGTTCTTTTCCTTCAGAGCTAATCAAGTTAGATTATGCCTATTAAGTAAATATACTCAGAGGGGCCAAGATGGCCAAGTAGAAACACCTGCGGTTGGAGGTGCACCCCAAGAACAACGAAAACGGCGAGTGAATCCTGCACCGGCAACTGAGGCATCCAGGTTCTCTCATTGGGACTGACTAGGAAGTTGGTGTGATGCACAGAGAGCAAGGAAAAGCAGGGTGGAATGAGGGCCCACCCTGGAGCAGCACGGGGCAAGGCGAGCTCTCACCCCTAGCCAAGAGAGGCAGTGAGTGATTGTGCTACCCCACCCAGGAAACCACACTTTTTCCATGAATCTGTGCCACCTGCAGATCAGGAGATCCCCTTGTGAGCCAATGCCAACAGGACCCTGGGTCCCAAGCACAGAGCTGTGCAGATTTTCGGTGGGCACTCTACTGGAGACTACCTAAGGCTACCGAGTTTCCAGGGAAGGGGCAGCAGCCATCACAGCAGCTCCAGTCTGTCATTTTCCCCAGCTAGTTCCAGGGAGCCTGGGTGGCTTGGAGCCAGGAGGAAATCCCCGCAGTGCAGCACAGTGGCTGTGGCAGTTCATGGCCAGACTGTATCTTTAGGCCAGACCAGATCCATCCCTTTTCACTGGATGGGGCCTCCCTGAGGGAATTTCTACAACTCCAGCCAGGGGTTTATGGACAGAATTCTGATCTCCCTGGGACAGAGCCCCTGGGGAAGGGGTGGCAGTTGTCTCCATGAATCAGTGGACTTGACTTAGTCTTTCCCCCTGCTGGCTCTGAGGAATACAGGCAGTCCAGACCAGTGGGATTCCCCCCAGCACAGTGCACCCCCACCACCAAGGGGCAGCGAGGATGCTTGGTTAAGCGGGCCCCTGATCCTGTGCATCCTGACTAGGTGAGATCCCCCAGTAGGGTCACCGGGGACCTTACACAGGAGCATCCCTGCTGGCATCAGGTCGGTGCCCCTCTGAGACAGACCTTCCAGAGGAAGGAGCAGGCAGCCATCTTTGCTCTTCTGCAACCTCCACTGATAACACCTCCAGGTGTGGGAGGGATGCAGGTGAATAGGGTCTGGTGTGGACCCCCAGCAAACTGCAGAAGCCCTACAGAAGAGGAATTTGACTGTTAAAAAGAAAAACAAACAAACAAAGCAACAACAATAGTATCAACAAAAAAGTTCCCACAAAAATCCTGTCCAAAGATTTGCAGCCTCAAAGATTGAAGCTAGATAAACTCATGAAGATTAGAAAGAATCAATGAAAAAATGCTGAAAACTCAAAAAGCCAGAGTGCCTCTTCTCTTCCAAATAATCTCAACACCTCTCCAGCAAGGGCACAGAGCTAGGCTAAGGTTGAGATTGATGAACTGCCAGAAGAAGCCCTCAGAAGGTGAGTAATAATGAGCTTTGCTGAGCTAAAGGAGCATGTTCTAACCCAATGCAAAGAAGCTAAGAACCATTATAAAACATTACAGGAGCTGTTAACCAGAATAACCAGTTTAGAGAGGAACCTAAATGACCTGAAGGAGGTGAAACAAAAGGAGAACTTCACAATGTAACCACAAGTATCAATAGCCAAACAGACAAAGCAGAGAAATGAATTTCAAAGCATGAAAACTATTTTTCTGAAATAAGACAGGCAGACAAGATTAGATAAAAAAGAATGAAAAAGAACTAACAAAACCTCCATGAACTATGGGCTTATGTAAAAAAGACAGAACCTGTGACGATTGGGAGTAGTGAAAAAGACAGGAAGAATGGAGCCAAGTTGGAAAACATCAGAATATCATCCAGAAGAACTAGCAAGACGGACCAACATTCAAATCAGGAAATCTAGGGAACCCCAGTAAGATCCTCCATGAGGTCAACCTCAAGACACATAATTGTCTGATTCTCTAAGGTCAAATTGAAGGAAAAACTGTTAAGAGCAGCCAGAGAGAAACGCCAGTTCATCTATAAAGGGAAGCCCGTAAGACTAACAGCAGACCTCTTAGCAGAAACCCTACAAGCCAAAAGAGATTGGGGGCCAATATTCAGCATTCTCGAAGAAAAAAATTTCCAACCCAGAATTTCATATCCATCCAAACTAAACTTCATAAGCAAAGGAGTAATAAAATCATTTTCAGAAAAGCAAATGCTGAGAAAATTCATCACCACCAGAGCTCCTGAAGGAGGCACTAAATATGGAAAGGAAAAACCGTAACCAGCCACTACAAAAACACACTGAAGTACAAGACCAATGACACTATAAAGCAACTACATCAACAAGTCTGCAAAATATACCAGTTAGCATCATGATGACAGGATACAATTCATGCATAACAATATAAACTTTAAATGTAAATGGGCAAAAGGCCCCAGTTAAAAGACACAGAAGGCAAACTGGATAAAGAGACAAGACCCATTGGTGTGCTATATTCAAGAGATCCATCTTACATGCAAAGACACACATAGGCTCAAAACAAAGAGATGGAGGAACACTTACCAAGCAAATAGAAAGCAGAAAAAAGCAAGGTTTGCCATCCTAGTTTCTGACAAAACAGATTTTAAAACAACAAACACACACAATAAAAAAAAGAGAGAGAGAGAAAGAAGGGTATTAATAATGGTAAAGGGTTCAATTCAATAAGAAGAGCTAACTATACTAAATATATATGCACCCAATACAGGATCACCCAGATTCATGAAGCAAGTTATTAGAGACCTACAAAGAGACTTAGACTCCCACATAAGAATACTGGAAGACTTTAACACCCCACTGTCAATATTAGACCAATTATTGAGACGGAAAATTAACAAAGATATTCAGGACTTGAACTCAGCTCTAGATCAAGTGGACCTGATAGATATCCATAGAACTCTCCACCCCAAAACAACAGAATATACATTCTTCTCAGATCCACATGACAATTCCTCTACAATCAATCAAATAATTGGAAGTAAAACAATCCTCAGCAAATGCAAAAAAAAAAAACCCTCTGAAATTATAACGAACAGTATCTGAGATCATAACAATCAAATTAGAACTCAAGGTTAAGAAACTCACTCAAACCACACAACTTCATGGAAATTGAACAACCTTCTCCTGGGTAAATAATGAAATTAAGGCAGAAATCAAGAAGTTCTTTGAAACTAATGAGAAGAAAGAGACAATATAACAGAATTGCTTAATAAAGCTATAGCAGTATTAAGAGGGAAATTTGCAGCACTAAATGCCCACATCAAAAAGCTAGAAAGACCCCAACTCAACATCCTAACATCACAACTAAAAGTACGAGAGAACCAAGAGCAAACAAACCCCAAAGCTAGCAGAAGACAAGAAATATCCAAGATCAGAGCAGAACTAAAGGAAATAGAGACACAAAAAACCTTTCAAAAAAAATCAGTGAATCCAGGATTTGATTTTCCGGAAAAAATAATAAAATAGATAGACAGCTAGCTAGACTAATAAAGAAGAAAAGAGAAGACTCAAATAGACACAATAAAAAATGATAAAAGGGCTATCACCACTGACCCCACAGAAATACAAACAGCCATCAGAGAATACTATAAACACCTCTACGCAAATAAACTTGAAAATCTAGAAGAAACAGATAAATTCCTGGACACATACACCCTCCCAAGCCTGAACCAGGAAGAAACTGAATCCCTGAATAGACCACTAATGAGTTCTGAAATTGAGGCAGTAATAAATAGCTTACCAAACGAAACAAAGCCCAGGACCAGCCAGATTTACAGCTGAATTATACCAGAGGTACATAGAGGAGCTGTTTCTATTTCTCCTGCAATTATTCCAAACAATTGAAAAGTTAGGGACTCCCCCTCCCCACTCATTTTATGAGGCCAGCATCATCCTGCTACCAAAACCTGGCAGAGACACAACAAAAATAGAAAATTTAAGGCCAATATCTCTGATGAACATCAATGCAAAAATTCTCAATAAAATAATGGCAAACTGAATCCAGCAGCAACACATCAAAAAACTTATCCACCATGATCAAGTTGGCTTCATTCCTGGGATGCAACATTGGTTCAACATACGCGAATCAGTACATGTAATTTATCACATAAACAGAACTAAAGACAAAACCCACATGATTATCTCAGTAGATGCAGAAAGGGTCTTTGATATTTCAACATCGCTTCATGTTAAAAACTCTCAGTAAACTAGGTAATGATGGAATATACCTCAAAATAATAAGAGCCGTATATGACAAACCTATAGCCAATATCATACCGAATGGGCAAAAGCTGGAAGCATTCCCCTTGAAAACTGGCACAAAACAAGGATGCCCTCTCTCACCACTCCTGTTCAACACACTATTTGAAGTTCTGGCCAGGGCAATCAGACAAGAGAAAGAAATAAAGGGTATTCAAATAGGAAGAGAGAAAGTCAAATTATCTGTGTGTGCAGATGACATAATCCTATACCCAGAAAACACCATTGCCTCAGCCCAAAATCTTCTTAAGCTGATAAGCAACTTCAAGAAAGTCTCAGGATACAAAATCAATGTGCAAAAATCACTTGCATACATTTACAACCATCTGATCTTTGACAAACCTAACAAAAACAAGCAATAGGAAAAGAATTTCCTATTTAATAAATGGTGCTGAGAGAACTGGCTAGCCACATACAGACAATTGAAACTGGACCCCTTCCTTACACATTATACAAAAATTTACTCAAGATGGATTAAAGACATAATGTAAAATCCCAAACTGTAAAAACCCTAGCAGAAAATCTAGGCAATACCATTTAGGACTTAGGCATGGGCAAAGATTTTATGACAAAAACATCTAAAGCAATTGCAACAAAAGCAAAAGTTGACAACTGGGATCTAATAAACTAAAGAGCTTCTGCACAGCAAAAGAAACTATTATAAGAGTGAACAGAAAACCTACAGAATGGGAGAAAATTTTTGTAATCTATCCATCTGACAAAGGTCTAATATCCAGAATCTACAAGGAACTTAAACAAATTTACAAGAGAAAAACAAACAACCCTATTAAAAAGTGGGCAAAGGACATGAACAGACACTTCGCAAAAGAAGACATTTATACAGCCAATAAACAAATGAAATCAAAAAGCTCAGCATCACTGATCATTAAAAAAATGCAAATCCAAAGCATAATGAGATATCATCTCACACCAGTCAGAATGGCTATTATTAAGGCAAAAAACCACAGATGCTGCCGAGGTTGCAGGGAAATAGGAATGCTTTTTCACTGTTGATGGGAATGTAAATTGGTTCAAACATTGTGAAAGACAGTGTGATGATTCCTCAAAGATCTAGAACCAGAGATACCATTTGACCCAGCAATTCCATTACTGGGTATATACCCAAAGGAGTATAAATCATTCTGTTATAAAGATACATGCACATGTATGTTCACTGCAGCACTATTCACAATAGCAAAGACATGAAATCAACCCAAATGCCCATCAGTGATAGCCTGGATAAAGAAATGTAGTACATATACACCATGAAATACTGTGCATCCATAAAAGGGAATGAGATCATGCCCTTTGCAGGCACATGGATGGAAATGGAAGCCAGTATCCTCAGCAAACTCATGCAGGAATGAAAAACCAAATATCACACATTCTCACTTATAAGTGGGAGCTGAAAAATGAGAACACACGGAAACAGGGAGGGGAACAACACACACTGGGGCCTGTTGGGAGGTAGAAGATGGTGGAGGGAGAGTTTCAGGATAAATAGCTCAAATAAAAGAATAGATTTAAAAAAGTCCTTAAACATGTATGTATTATGGTTGTTGATTGCAGAGAACATGAACATTAACAAAAATCAGAGAAAACAAATATCCAATAATGTAGTACTAATTGGAATATAATATATCCAAATAAAGGAATATGGAGTAGCCATTTAAAAAATAAAATTAGTAAGTATACCCATACACCTGGCACCTGGCCACACCCTGTATAAACTAAATTAAAGGTAGAAAGGTGAACAACATTTGTTTCTCTCAATTTTGGAAGCAAACATATAGAATAGTGGATTGGGGATATTTGGCACAAACTGCCAAAAATTTTAGTCATAGCTTAATTTGAATTACAAAGAATGAGATAAAAATGTATTAGGAAAAGGGCAAAATTAGAGTAACTAGCTTTCCTTCATCATCTCTTACCTCTTCCCCCTTATAACTACTTCTGTGACTATGCTATTATGTTGAAAGGAGGACTGTATTAGCTAGAAGAGACTGGAAATTTTGTTGTAATTTTGAAGATTATAATAACCTTAATAATGGTCTCAATCAGAAGTAGGCTAAACTCAGGTAGATACTGCTTAACTTTGGAAATGTGGAGAATGCTATAAGACCAATACAGTTTTCCAGTATTCTCCCAAGCAAGCAATGGATGTCAAGTAAAAAGCCCTGATCAACTTTGTTGGCATTGATTACAATGGTTCAGGAAGAAATTAAAGCATTTTCAAGAATGTATTAGAAATGAGAAGGTTGAGAAGTTATTCATAGTATAATAATGTTAATAAAACAACCATAATTTATATAGTGCACTTAAAGTTTTATGGATTATCTCATTTGTGTATCCCAATAGCTCCAATGAAGTCTGTATAGTAGAATGAAAACTAAATGCCAAAGAAACGAAGTGATTTTCCAAAATTAAAATAGCTACTACTTGCCTAACAACTATCACCATCACTTGGTATTAACTGTCTTTGGTAGGTACTGTACTATTCCCATAGCATTGTGATTATAATTGTAAACTCTGAACAAAGATTGCCTGTGTTCAAATCATGCTTCTAACCCATATTAGCCATGATCTTGGGAAAGTTACTTAACTTTATTCTCTTTGCCTCAGTTTTCTCAGCTACTAAATAGGAACAAGAATATTATCTAGCTAGTGGGTTATTGTGAAAATTACTGATAAAGTGTTTAGAGCAGCACCTGGAAAAATAAGTATTCACTATGTGTTAGCTATTATTATCATTTAATATAAGAAAATTGGTTATCAGAACCCAAGGTACACAAGCCTTACATAACACATCTTGGATTTAGATCTATATCTATGTAACAACAAAGCACCATCCAAAATCAAGATTTCTCATCCAGGCTTCTATGTGCTTTTAACCATATTACTCTTGTTAACATTTTGAGGATTGCCTAAGGTACTCAGCACCACGCTAGATTCAATGGAATGCCTAACGAAGAAAATATAGCCTTTGTTTTTGAGGGGATTATAACCCAATTGGATATTCAAGACTAACATGAGACACAATTAGAGAAAATTTTAATGTTAAACTATTGTCTCCTGAATGTATGTGAAATAGAAATTCAGAAAATGTAGTACCTATTTAGTATGGGCTATGGTATCAAGGAAGACTTCATGAAAAGAGGAGGAGTCTGATAGGTATGGTGAGGTCAGAGTGTATTTCAGGTTGGGGGACTTGCCTGAGCAAAGGCTTAGGGAAAACAAAAATGCAATATACATCTTTAGAAAAAAGTAGAAGAAAAAAGATTGGATAAGAGGGAATCCAATTAGAGGAAGTCCTAAAAGCCAGGCATAAGAATATGGAATTAATGTGACATTATAGATTATTGAACATGGGAGTTAAATGATTAAAGTGGTATTGCAGAAAGATTAATCTGGTAAAGAAGCAATGAAACCAATTAGAAGCCCACTGCAGTAATGCAGGCATAAGATGATGAGGGCTTAGCTTTCAATGATAGTGGGGATATCTAGGGAAAAGGATAAGCTTAAGATATAGAACAATGATTACCCATTCAGTAAAGGGGCTGACAAAAACAGTACAAAAAACCTTAGTTTTGATGTAAGAAAATATATGTTAAACCAGATACGATGTGCAATCTGTTTTGTTTGGTTTGCATGACATTTAAAAAAATGGAAAAAAATCATAAAAAATGAATTTATGACCTATTTTTAAAATTTGGAAGGTCTGGTAATGCTGGTCCTAAATTTCTAAGGCCAGGATCAGAAGTGAGTAATGGTAGCCCAGTTAAAATGAGTTATATTTTCTGAACGTGATTGTAACCTTCACCTACCTCAGTTCTCATACCTGCTTAGACCCTGTAGGCATTTGATTTTGTGACCCTGCTTTAGGACTTGGATTTTTTTTTTTTTTTTTTTTTTTTGAAACAGCGTATCTCTCTGTCGCCCAGGCTGGCTGGAGTGCAGTGACATGATCTCGGCTCACTGTAACCTCCACTTCCCAGTTACAAGCAATTCTACTGCCTCAGCCTCCTGAGTAGCTGGGACTGCAGGTGTGCAGTCTGGCCAGGCTGGTCTTGAACTCCTGACCTTAGGTGATCCACATGCCTCAGCCTCCCAAAGGGCTGGGATTATGGTCATGAGCCACTGTGCCCCACCCCAGGACTTGGCTTTGATGTTTGAAATGATGATGATGATGAGGGCCAGGTATGGTAGCGCATGCCTGTAATCCCAGCTCTTTGGGAGGACAAGGCGGATGGAGGCTGGCAGATCAGTTGGTGGCGGGACGAGGAGTTTGAGACCAGTCTGACCAACATGGTGAAACCCCTACTCTATTAAAAATACAGAAATTAGCCGGTGTGGTGGCACAGGCCTGTAATTCTAGCTACTCGGGAGGATGAGACATGAAAATCATTTGAACCCGGAAGGGGAAGGTTGCAGTGAGCAGAGATTGTACCATTGCATTTCCGCCTGAGTGACAGAGCGAGACTCTGTGTTAAAAAAAAAAAAATCATTTTAACGAAAGAATAAAAAGGAATTATGACAATGGCAATATTGATGATGATACGGTATGAATGGTTTTCAAGGGCAGCCTACCCTCCTCAACCTCCATCTCTGGATTCTTCTTTATTGCTATAATTTCTGGAATTTATAAAGCCGTGTTAAGTATGAGAATACACTGTAACTATGTAAGTCTATACTAATTTCATATTAATCGAACAAATTTTTGTTTTTAAATCCCACTTGATCCTAACAAACACTTTATGAGGCATTTCTCCGCTCTCCTAGATAAGCAAATAAAACCTAGTAAAAACTAGACTGGTTCAAGGCAAAAATAGTAGGCCACAAACACAAGAAATCATACAGTTGTCATATGATATAATTACTGAGAAATCATTTTTAACTTACTTATAAATTAATTTATTTGAGAAACATTTGGTGAACCTTTAAAATGTACCAAATACTGCACCAATGCTTGTAAAATGCTTAAAATATTTCTTGGCTCATAGTGATAGCTCAACAATTATTTGTCCCTATCCTCTAATTCAACAACACAATAATGATAGGGTTGGAAAAACTTGACAAAAGCATAGACAATTAGTGATTCCAAGATTGAATGAACACACATATGTCAAGGATGTAGCATATTGCTTGGTGCTTGGGAGATACTCAATTATTTTAAGTTTTGTCTGAACCACACTCACCCTTTGACTTATCAACTTAATATCAAATATTATACGAGGTAAATACAAGATTTCTTAGATTTACTGGTGGAAGGGGGATGTGGATAAGAATTATAGACACAGTTTTTGTGTGATTCTCACATTTCTTAGCTACTTCTTCAATAAAATTATTTCAAAATCATAGAACGTTAGAAATGAAAGTGGTAATAGGGAATATTAGGTTTATCTTATCAATAGGCAGTTGGAATAATGAAGTGACTTTCCCAAGGTCACATGGCAAATTAGTGACAGAAGTGGGAATAGAATTCTTGATTCACAAGAAAAAGTTTATCCAGTTAATTCACACTTAATAGTTTATACATCAAATTCTAAATTCCCTATTATTCATTGAAAAATTTTTACAAAGGGGAAAAAATGAAGGAAAACCAAAAGTCTCTATTGTATGCCATCAGGAAAAAATGGATCTTTGATAACCTTGGTTGTCTAAGGACCTTGGCATTTTTTACCATCTGAAATGCAAGTGCTATCTGGAATGCTAATCTGAGTACTGACTTTTATGTCAATGTTGAGGATGACTTAACAATACCACTGTTTGTAGAACATTTTCTGGGAAACTGAAGGACTACAACATTTTGTGCTTTGTCTTCACAATTGAAATTAACAAAGGTGGAAAATTCCAAATAAATTTTCCCTTGTATTTTCCCATAATAGGAACATTTTAAAGATGTATCCCTCATCGAGGGAATAATTATAGACTATCTGGCTTTGCCCTTTAGTGCTTGCCAAGAAAATAAGAAAAACCATTCTTTGACAAAACTTTTGAACATAGCAAAAAGACTAGAATCATTCTGCATGTTTTTTGAGGGCAGAACTAAACCTAATGTAACAAAGTGACAAAGAGGCAAGTTTTGCCTTATTTTAAGTACAAATTGTCTTGTAAGCCCCCTAGCTCCAAGCACAGTGCAAAAGATCCAATAGGTTTCCAGTAAGTATTTACTGATTTCTGCATCCAGTTTACCTGAGCTTATCTTTGTCTTGGCACTTTCATCCTATATTGCCTGCTTACTTTACAGTACCTCAATATAGACTGCGAGCTACTTGAAGTCAAGAACTGAATCTTGTTTGTTTTAGTCCATTCAGGCTACCG
Source organism: Homo sapiens (assembly GCF_000001405.40). NCBI lineage: Eukaryota > Metazoa > Chordata > Mammalia > Primates > Hominidae > Homo > Homo sapiens. Next base: position 22,140,165 of record NC_000011.10, on the reverse strand, counting down.
TTACAAAATACCATAAACCAGGTAGCCTATGAACAATAGACACTTATTTCTGTTGGTGTCTGGTGAGGGTCAGCTTTCTGGTTCATAGACGGTACATTCTTGCTGTGTCCTTACATGGTGGAAAGGGGGAATAAATTCCCTTGGGCTTATTTTATAAAGCTACTAATCCCATTTACAAGGGCTCTGTCCTTTTGACCCAATCACTCTGCAATAGGCACTAGATCTTTTTTTTCTTTTCAGGTGGAGTACCACTTACTCTATTGCCTAGACTGCAGCATAGTGGTGCTATCTCAGCTTACCGCAACCTCTGCTTCCCAGGTTCAAGCGTTTCTCCTGCCTCCGCCTTCCAAGTAGCTGGGATTACAGGCATGCACCACCACGCCAGGCTAATTTTCGTACGTTTAGTAGAGACGAGCTTCTCCATGTTAGCCAGGGTGGTCTTAAACTCCTGACCTCAAGTGATCTACCCTCCTTGGCCTCCCAACGCATTGGGATTATGGCTGTGAGCCACCGCGCCCAGCCAAGGCCCTAGCTCTTAATACCATCACCATGGAGGTTAGGTTTCAACATATATTCAATTTGTGGGGTGAGGGGATACAAACTTTCATACTATAGCATTGTTGATTAATGTATCCACAGACCTAACACAGAACTTGCCACATTTTAGCATTTAATAAGTTGTGGAATAAAGAAAAGAAAAAAAAAGAAGGAAGTAGGAAGAGAGGGAGAGAGGAGAGAGGGTGGGAAAGAAGAAGGAATTGCATCAGAGTTGTTCACCAATGGAATGAAGCACTTTGCAACAAAGCATTGCAACCCCAGTTGGATGACCATTTACTGAAGTTGTAGGGTTGATCTGAAGTTTCTTTGAATAATAAAATTTGCCATGTGGTAAATCATACACAGTATTTGAAAAGCTATATACGTCTTTTAAGAGTTCAATTATTTAGAAATTCCATTTAAATTGTGATAATGACTTGCCTCTGAAATTGTAAAGCTGTTATTTAATTGTCATAGCATAACTAATAAAAACCTTGGCATTGAATATAGATGCATCATTGACAAACATGGCACTTGAATTCTGAAGCACAAATGCTCCATTAGGCTTGTAGTTTTTCAACTACAGAAAGAAGACATTAAGTTATTTTTGCTACAAAAATAAGGACACTGAATTTGGTAGAACTAGTTTTAATTATGTTAAATTGAAGCAAAACTCGATTTTGACAATCTGTAATTATAGCTACATTATATCTGCCATAGAAGAATTCTAGGGAAAGAGAATATTCCCAAATACATAACATAGCAATTTTAGTACATATCTTTAACTCATTTCAAGTAAATTCACTTCATGATAATGCTAATTTTTATAATTTGATACACAAATTTCTTTTTCAGAAGTGTATACAAAAGTAAAGGTTATGGCTGTCATTATGAAAGGGTTAGGATATTATGCTGTCAGAGGTAGTAAGGGAGAGTAAGGACTTTTCACGGATGATCTCTAAGCAATATTTTTGTGTATTTTTTTCCTTCAACATGCTGCATCCACCCTAGCTTTGCCTGGAGTGACTCAAGCCTGTTTGTGAGCAGAATATTTTGTTATATCTCATCAAGAGATTCAAAATCAGCATCTATGATTTATTCTTGACAATACCTCTGAGAAAGAGGAGCAGATGCAGTAATTCATTTCTTGCCATTCTGTTCAACAATCAGTTGATAAGTGGCCTTGTCACTCCAACTTCTCTGATTTAATGCATGAATCATAATCATCTCAAGCTTATCAAATCTAACTCTAATAACTATTTTATCCAGACTCATGATTTTTCTGATACAAATGAAAAAAAGAAACAAAATATGAAGGAAGGAAAGAAATATGGAAAGAAGAAAGGAAAAAAGGAAGGGAGGGAAAAAAAGAAAGAAAGAAAGGCTTTTGCAAACAGATACCCAAACAAAAAATAAATAAATAAAAGGTAAAAATGGAACAAAAAGGTACGGTTGATGCCATAATGCTCTTGACTAGGATTCTTTAGGCTACATATCCAGTTAAGATGCCTGAAAAAATAAGAAACATATCTTATATAACGATAAACCTAAATCAGTGGTTCTTAGCCAAGATCAGCTTTGTGGAATGTTTTGCTAGCCAGAAAACATTTAGCAATGTCTGGAGACATACTTGGCTTGTCACCCAAGGGAAAGAATGATACTAGCATTTAGTGGGTAGAGGCCAGGGATGCTGATTAGCATCCTGTATTCATACAATGCACAGGTCAGCATTCTATAAAAAAAAAAAAAAAAAATTATCTCCTCTAAAATGTCCATAGTGACAAGTGTGAAAAACCTTTACTTGAAGCTAGGGAAATTCTAGCATTGGTAAACTCAGTGTCTGTATGTCATCATCAAAGGCCTGTTTTCCTTCCATTTTTCTGCCCTCCTGTCTTTTTTCCTCCGGCTGACTAACCTCATGATGTCAAGATAGCTGCCGTGGTGCCAGGTGTTATTTTCAGATTACCACATCTCAGAGGGAGAATACAGGAGCATTTTTGTTGACTTGTACTTCCCAATACTCCACCACAATATTGGTTTAAGCCTATTATGGTTCATCTCTTAGGTTTGCAACAGGTTCAGATTTCTCTGAAAAAAATATGGCCATCTGATAGTTTAATAAAGCCAGGTTTGTTTCTTTTTTCATTTTTTGTTTGTTTGTTTGTTTATTTTTTACAAGTACGAAGGGGAGCAATGGTTGTTGGATAGGTATTCATGGATAGGTAAGTTTGAAAAGTAGGAAGAGATTTCAGTCATCTTCCTAGAATGCTCTTTTTTGTCAGTATAAAGTTTACCCTTATGGTGGCCATTTTTATGTCTTTTTTGGAAACATGTCTATTCAACTACTTTGCCCATTTTTAAATTATTTGCTTTTTGCTCTTAGACTGTAGCAATTTCTTATATATTTTGTAGATTAATTCTTTAACAGATTAATGGTTTACAAATAATGTTTCCCCATTCTGTAGGTTGTTTTAAACTCTGTTTATTGTTTCCTTTGCTGAGCAGAAGCTTTTTGGTTTAATGTAGTCCCACTTATCTATTTTTCCTCTTGTTGTCTGTGCTTTTGGTGCCATATCAAGAAATAATTGCCCAGACCAAGGCCATTAAAACTTTCTCCTGGGTTTCAGTCTAGAAGTTTGCAGTTTTAGGTTTTACATTTAAGGCTTTAATCCACTTTGAGTCGATTTTTGTGTATGATGTAATGGGGTTCAATTTTATTCTTTGCCTATGCCTATCTATCTTACCCAACATTTATTGAAGGGACTATCCTCTACCCATTGTGTATTCTGGATACTCTTGTAAAAAAATTAGTTGACTGTATATGTGGGCTTAATTCTGGGATCTCTATTCTGTCTCATTATTCTATGTATCTGTCTTTCTGCCAGTTCCATACTTTTTAAATTACTTTAGTTTTGTAATACATTTTGAAATCTGGAAGTGTGATGCCTCCAGCTTTGTTCTTTCTCAAGATTGCTTCGGCTATTCTAGGTCTTTTGTGATTGCATATAAAGTTTAGGATTTTAAAAATTTCTATAAAAATGCCATTGGGGTTTCATGGGGGATAACATTAAATCTGTAGATCACATTGGGTAGTACGGACATTTTAGTAATATTATTATAACCCATGAACACAGATTATCTTTTCATATATTGATGTCTTCTTTGTTTTTTTCATCAATGTTTTATACTTTTCATTGTATAAATCTTACACTTCCTTGGTTAAGTTTATTCCTAAGTATTTTATTCTTTTTAATGCTATTGTAAAATGGCATTTAAAAATGTTATTGTGGCACTATTCACAATAGCAAAGACTTGAAATCAACCCAAATGTCCATCAATAATAGACTAGATAAAGAAAATGTGGCACATATACACCATGGAATACTATGCAGCCATAAAAAGGATGAGTTAATGTCATTTGCAGGAACACGGATGAAGCTGGAAATCATCATTCTCAGCAAACTATCACAAGGACAGAAAACCAAACACCGCATGTTCTCACTCATAAGTGGTAGTTGAACAATGAGAACACATGGACACATGGAAGGGAACATCCCACACCAGGGCCTGTTGGGGGGTGGGGGTCTCGGGGAGGGATAGCGTTAGGAGAAATACCTAATATAAATAACGAGTTGATGGGTGCAGCAAACCAACAAGGCACATGTATACCTATGTAACAAACCTGCACGTTGTGCACATGTACCCTAGAACTTAAAAGTATAATTAAAAAATGCTATTATAATGGTATCAGGATAATGTTGGCCTCATAAAATGAGTTTCAAAGTATTTCCTCCTCTTCATTATTTTGACAAAAGTTTGAGAAAGACTGCCGCTAAATCTTCTTTAAATGTTTGGTAGAATTCACCAGTGAACTCTTTACCAGTGAAGTCATCTGGTCCTGGGCTTTTCTTTGTTGGGATGTTTTTGATTACTAATTCAATCTCCATACTAGTTATAGGTCTGTTCAGGTTTTCTATTTCTTCATTATTCAGTGTTAGTACATTGTATATTTCTAGGAGTTTATTCATTTCTTCTAAATTATCCAATTTGTTGGTGTATAATTGTTTATAATACTCTCATATGATCCTTTGTATTTCTGTGATATCAGTTTTAATGTCTACACTTTCATTTCCAATTTATTTGAGTTTTCTCCATTTTTCTTAGTAACTATATGGAATGGTTTGGGCTCTGTGCACCCACCCAAATTTCATCTCAAATTTTAATCCTTATGTGTTGAGGGAGGAATCTATGGGAGGTGATTTGATCATGGGGGAGTTTTCCTCCATGCTGTTCTTGTGATAGTGAGTGAGTTCTCACAAAATCTAATCACTTAAAAGTGTGGTACTTCCCCTTATCTTTTTCTCTTCTTCCAAAGATGTACCTTTCTTCCCTATCATCTTCTGCCATGATTGTAAGTTTTCTGAGGCCTGCCCAGCCATGTGGAATTGTTAGTCAATTAAACCTCTTTTCTTCATAAATGACCTAGTCTCATGTAGTTCTCTGTAGCAGAGTGAAAATGGACTAATACACTATAGATAAAGAACTGTCAGTTTATCTTTTCAAGAAAAACTTTTATTAATCTTTTCTATTGTTTTTCTAGTCTCTGTTTCATTAATTTCTGCTTTAATCCTATTATTTTATTCCTTCTGCTAACTTTGAGCTATGTTCTTTTTTTTCCCCTAGTTTCTGGAGGTATAAAGGTAAATTTATTATTTAATATCTTTCTGCTCTTTTTGCCCCCTAATTTCCAAAACTTGTTAGTTTCTGATTTTTAATGTAGGAGTTAATCACTATAAATGTACCTCTTAAAAGTGCTTCACTGCATTCCATAACTTTTAGCATGTTCTATTTTCATCTTCTTAAGAAATTTTTTGATTTTTAAATTTCTTTATTGTTTCATTTGTTGTTCAGGAATGTATTGTTTAATATGCACGTATTTGTGAATTTTCTGATCTTCCTTCTGGTTTTGGTTTCTAGTTTCAAACCATTGTGGTAAGAAAAAGATACTTGATATAATTTCAATGTTCTTAAATTTGTTAAGATTTGTTTTGTGACCTAACATGTGGTCTATTCTGGACAATTCCCCTTGTATGTTTGTGAAGAATGTCCAGTATTCATCTTCTTTGGGATGAAATGTTCTGTATATGTCTATTAGGACAATTTGATCTCTGGTGTTGTTCTAGTCTACTGTTTCCTTACCAGTTTTCTGTCTGTATGTTCTGTCCACTGTTGAAGATGGGATATTGAAGTCTCTTAGTATTATTGTATTGCTATCTATCTTATTTCATCTCTATAAATATTTGATTTATACATGTAGGTGCTCTAATGTTGGGGGTATATATATTTATATTTTTATATCTTACTGATAAATTGATAATTTTATCATTATTTAATGTTTTGGACTTAACATCTACTTTGTTTCTGTATTTTTCAGATTTCAATTCATTTATTTATTTTTTATTTTTTCCAACTTTTATTTTAGGTTCAGATTTCAGGTACATGTACAGATTTGTTACATGGGTAAATTGTGTGTCACAAGGGTTTGGTGTACAGATTATTTTGTCACCCAGGCAATGAGTACAGTACTCAGTAGATATTTTTCCAACACTCACCCTCCTCCTACCCTCTAACCACAAGAAAGAGGTCTGGTGTCTATTGTTCCCTTATTTTTGTCTACATGTACTCAGTGTTTAGCTCCCACTTATAAGTGAGAACATGTGATATTTGGTTTTCTGTTCCTGTTTTAATTCCCTTAGTATAATGGCCTCTGACTTCATCCATGTTGCTGCAAAAGACATGATTTAATTCATTTTCATGGCTGCATAGTATTCCATTGTGTCTATGTACCACATTTTCTTTTTCCAGTCCATCACTGATGGGCATCTAGGTTAATCCCATGTCTGTGCTATTGTGAATAGTGCTGCAGTAAACATATGTGTTCATGGGTCTTTATGGTAGAATGATTTATATTCCTCTGGGTATATACTCAGTAATGAGATTGCTGGGTCAAATAGTAATTCTGTTTTAAGTTTTTTTTTTTTTTTTGAGAAACCTCTAAACTGCTTTCCACAGTGTCTGAACTAATTTACATTCCCACCAAAGTGTATAAGCATTCCCTTTCCTCTGCACCCTTGCCAGCATCTGTTATTTTTTGAGTTTTTAATCATAGCCATTCTGACTGGTGTGAGATGGTATCTCATTGCGGTTTTGATTTGCATTTCTCTAATGATTAGTGCTTTTGAGCCTTTTTTGTATGCTTGTTGGTGGTGTGTACCTCTTCTTTTAGAGAAGTGCCTGTTCATGTCATTTACCAATTTTTTAGTGGGGTTGTTTGTTTTCTTCTTGTTTGTTTCTTATAGACTATGAATATTTGACCTTTGTTGGATTCATAATTTACAAATATTTTATCCCTATTACAAATACTTTGCCTATTTATTCTGTTGATAGTTTCTTTTGCTGTGCAGAAACTCATTAGTTTAATTAAGTCCCATTTGTCAATTTTTGTCCTTGTTGCAATTGCTTTTGGGGTTTTCATCATGAAAATGTTGCCAGGGTTGATATTCATAATATTTCCTAGGTTTTCTTCTAGGGTTTTTATCCATCGTGAGTTAATTTTTGTATATAGTGACAGGTAGGAGTTCAGTTTTAGCCTTCTGCATATGGTTAGTCAGTTATAACAACATTTATTGAATAAGGTGCCCTGTCCCCCATTGCTTGTTATTGTTGGCTTTGTCAAAGGTCAGTTGGTTGTATGTGTGCAGCTTAATTTCTGGATTCTCTAGTCTATTCCACTGGTCAATGTGTCTGGTTTTGTTCCAGTACCATGCTGTTTTGGTTACTGTATCCTTGTACTATAGTTTGAAGTTGAGCAGTGTGATATCTCCAGCTTTGTTCTTTTTACTTAGGATTGCTTTGGCCTATCACTCTCTCTTTTTGGGTTCATGTGAATTTTACAATAGTTTTTTCTAACTCTGAAAAATATCATTGGTAGTTTTATAGGAATATCATTGAATTTGTAAATTGCTTTGCGTAATATGACCATTTTAACAATGTTGATTCTTCCTATCCATGAATATAGAATGTTTTTCCATTTCTTTGTGTCATCTCTGATTTATTTAAGAGGTGTTTTATAATTCGCATGGTAGAGATCTTTCACGTCCTTGGTTAGCTGTATTTCTAGGTATTTTATTCTTTTTGCAGCTATTACAAATGAGACTGTGTTCTTCACTTGTCTCTCAGCCTGGATGTTATTGAGGTGTAGAAATGCTAACAATTTTTGTTCATTGATTTTGTATCCTGAAACTTTGCTGGAATTGTTTATCAGATCTTCTTTCTTTCTTTCTTCTGCATTGAACAGAGACTTTACTTTTAGCCTATGGGTATCATTGCATGTGAGATGGGTCTTTAAAAGGCAGCATACAGTTGGGTCTTGCTTCTTTATGCAACTTAACCCCTTTGTGCCTTTTAAATGGGGCATTTAGCCCATTTATGTTAAAGGTTAACACTGAAATATGTGGATTTGTTTCGGTCATTGTTTTGTTAGCTGGTTGTAATGTAGACTTGATTGTGTAGTTGCTTTATATTGTCAATAGTCTATGTACTTAAGGGTGTTTTTGTGGTTTATGGTAAGTCTTTCATTTCCATGTTTAGCGCTCCTTTAAGGATCTCTTCTAAGGCAGTTCTGGTAGGAACAAATTCCCCTAGCATTTGCTTGTCTGAAAGGAATCATACTTTCTTCACTTATGAAGCTTAGTTTGGCTGGATAAAAAATTGTTGGTTGGAGTTTCTTTTCCTTAAGGATCTTCTGGCTTGTAGAGTTTCTGCTGAAAGGTCTACTGTTAGCCTGTTGGGGTTCCTTTTTAGGTGTTCTGCCCCTTCTCTGTAGCTGTCTTTAATGTTTTTTCTTCTGCATTGACCTGGGAGAATCTTCTGACTATGCGTCTTTGGGATGGTTATCTTGTATAGTATCTCACACAGATTATCTGGATTTCTTGAATTTGAATGTTGACCTTTCTAGTGATGTTGGGGAGATTTTCATGGACAACATCCTCAAATGATTTCCAATTTTCTTGCTTTCTCTTTCTCTTTCAAAGATGCCAAAGCATCATAGGTTAGTCTCTTTACATAATTCCATAATTCTTGGCAGTTTTGTTCATTTTTTAATTTTATTTTTCTGATTAAGTTGAAGAACCAGTCTTTGAGCTCTAAGATTCCTTCCTCAGCTTGGTCTATTCTGATGTTAATATTTTTGATTGCATTATGAAATTCTAGTAGTGTGTTTTTAAGCTGTATCAGATTAGTTTGTTTCTTTATTAAAATGGCTATTTCATCTTTCATCCTTTGAATCATTTTACTAGATTCTTAGATTTCTTGGATAAGTTTTAACTTTCTCCTGGATCTCAATGATCTTCATTGCCATCAAGATTCTTAATTGTACGTCTGTCATTTCAGCCATTTCATTCTGGTTAAGAACCATTGCTGGAGAGGTAGTGCAGTTGTGTGGAGGCAAGAAGACTCTCTGGATATTAGAATTGCCAGAGTTTTTGCACTGGCTCTTTCCCATCTGTGTGGGCTAATGGTCTTGTAACTGTGGAAAAATTTGAGTACAGTCCCTTGGTTTCATTTCTGCCTGTTTTCAGAGGACTTTTGCAGGGTCTTTATTTATGGCTGAATTCTTGCCCTTGGTTTCACATGGAAGTGTATTAAGAAAATTATTTTTGGTGTTGTAGTTTGAGCTATGATCCAGTAGATGGCACTTAAGCATAATGGCTGGTAGATAGGGTATTATTTTGCGTGGCTCCTCTGTATCTCCTCATTTTTGCAGCCATACCCTTCTCAGTGCTCTGAAACTGTGGACTCCTCTTTCACTCAGGTGCTGGCCACAGATGTCAGCTTGGTACTCCCAGGCTATGCACCGCAGCCTTAGGGTAAGCTCATGCTTTTTGTTTCCTCTTCAGCTTGGGTGCAGCAGAGGCAAGGACCTTGGCATTGACAATGGCAGAGGGCCTGTCACTTGTCTCTGGGAGTTTCACCCCACAGAAACACAGATCCTCTACCAATTAGAATGATAAGCTGGTGATGGGGTAACTGTGATGTAGGCCCAAACTGGAGGTCTTACCTCGTGAATAGCTTGGGGTCAGGGACTCATAGGGAAGAGAGACTGGGCTTCTCTTCACACAGTGGCTGTAGAATTCTGGAGGTGCAAGCAAAGTGATCAGGGTCTTTGCTCTGTAGCACAAGACCAACAAAGACAGGTACCACCACAACAGCAATGACAGAAACCCTGTCAGTTGTTTCTAGGAATTCCTCTCCAGAGAAACACAGAGCCACCACTGACTGAGGTGATCAGAGAGTGGTAGGGCGGCTGCACTGGGAGCCCAGTTTGGGAGGCCCTGCCCAGTGAGGATCCAGAGGGTCAGGGACCTCCATGAAAAACATCTGTCTGCTTTTCCACATGGCAGCTGCAGTATACTGAAGGCCTTTGACAGTTCTTGAGCTCTCAGATCTCCATCATGAGGGCAATAGGATAGGGGCTGTGGCAGTGGCAAACACTGCAAACTTGTTGGTTACCTCTGGGAGCTCTATCAGAGAAATGCAGAGCTGGGACTGGTCTAAATGCTCAGACAAGGGTGGTGATATGTTATGGCTCTGTGTACCCACCCAAACTCATCTTGAATTGTACTCCCATAATTCTCACATGTTGTGGGACTGACCCAGTGGGAGATGACTGAATCATGGGGGCAGCTCTTTCCTGTGCTGTTCTCGTGATAATGAATAATTCTAATGAGATCTGATGGTTTTAAAAATGGATGTTTCCCAGCACAAACTCTCTCTTTTTTTGCCTGCTGCCATCCATGTAGGACGTGACTTGCTCCTCCTTGCCTTCCACCATGATTGTGAGGCCTCACCAGCCATGTGGAACTGTAAGTCCATTAAACCTCTTTGTCTTCCCAGTCTCAGGTATGTCTTTATCAGCAGCATGAAAATAGACTAACACAGTAAATTGGTACCAGTAGAGTGGGGTGCTGCTGAAAAAATACCTGAAAATGTGGAAGTGACTTTGGAACTGTGTAACAGGCAGAGGTTGGAACAGTGTGGAGGGCTCAGAAGAAGACAGGAGAATGTGGGAAAGTTTGGAACTCCCTAGGGACTTGTTTAATGACTTTGTCCAAAATGCTGATAATGATATAGACAACGAATTCAGGCTGAGGTGGTCTCAGATGGAGATGAGGAACTTGTTGAGAACTGGAGCAAAGGTGACTCTTGTTATATTTTAGCAAAGGGACTGGCTGCATTTTGCCCCTGCCCTAAAGATTTGTGGAGCTTTGAACTTGAGGTATATGATTTAGGGTATCTGGCAGAAGAAATTTCTAAGCAGCAAAGTATTCAAGAGGTAACTTGGGTGCTGTTAAAAGCATTCAGTTTTAAAAAGGAAACAGCATAAAAGTTTGGAAAATTTTCAGCCTGACTATGTGATGGAAAAGAAAATCCCATTTTCTGTGGAGAAATTCCAGTCACTGCAGAAATTTGCATAAGTAACGAGATGTTATTCCCCATGACAATGGTGAAAAAGTCTCCAGGGCATATCAGAGATCTTCATGACAGCCCCTCCCATCACAGGCCCGGAGGACTAGGAGGAAAAGATGGTTTCCTGGGCCAGACCCCGGGCTCCCTGCTCTGTGAAGCCTAGGGACTTGGTGCCCTGCATTTCAGTTCCTCCAACCATGGCTAAAAGGGGCCAAGGTACAGCTCAGGCTGTTGCTTCAGAGGGTGGAAGCCTCAAACCTTGGCAGCTTCCACATGGTGTTGAGCTTGTGGGTACACAGAAGTCAAGAATTGTGGTTTGGGAACCTCTGCCTAGATTTCAGAGGATGTATGGAAACACTTGGATGCCCAGGCAGATGTTTGTTGCAGGGGTGGGCCCTCATGGAGAACCTTTGCTGGGCAGTGTGGAAGGGAAATGTGGGGTCAAAGTCTCCACACAGAATCTCTATGGGGCACCACCTAGTGGAGCTGTGAGAAGAGGGCAACCATCCTCCAGACCCCAGAATGGTAGATCCACTGTGCACCTGGAAAAGCTGCAGACACTCAATGCCAGCCCATGCAGGGGGAAAGTAGCCAGGAGGGGGACTATACTCTGCAGAGCTACAGGGACGGAGGTGCCCAAGACCATGAAAACCCATCTCTTGCATCAGCATGACCCTGATGTGAGATGTAGAGTCAAAGGAGATCATTTTGGAACTTCAAGATTTGACTACCCTGCTGGATTTCAGATTGCACGATGCCTGTAGCCCCTTTGCTTTGCTCAATTTCTCCCATTTGGAACAGCTGTATTTACCCAATGCCTATACCCCCATTGTATCTAGAAAGTAACTAACTTGTTTTTGATTGCACAGGCTCATAGGTAGAAGGGACTTGCCTTGTCTTGGATGAGACTTTGGACTGTGGACTTTGGAGTTAATGCTGAACTGAGTTAACACTTTGGGAGACTGTTGGGAAGATATTATTGGTATTGAAATGTGAGGACATGAGATTTTGGAGGGGCCAGGGTTTTGGGGAACCTGCCCTGAAAATCACGTAGGTTCTTTTCTATTTTCCTAAGTGTTGGCTGGCTTGAGAAATAAAGGGACAGAGTACAAAAGAGAGAAATTTTAAAGCTGGGTGTCCAGGGGAGACATCACACATTGGTAGGATCCATGATGCCCCACAAGCCACAAAAACCAGCAAGTTTTTATTAGGGATTTTCAAAAGGGGAGGGAGTGTGCAAATAGGTGTGGGTGACAGGCATCAAGTACTTAACAGGGTAATAGAATATCACAAGGCAAGTGGAGGCAGGATGAGATCACAGGACCACAAGACTGAGGCGAAATTAAAATTGCTAATGAAGTTTCGGGCACCATTGTCATTGATAACATCTTATCAGGAGACAGGGTTTTGAGATCAACCGGTCTGACCAAAATTTATTAGGCGGGAATTTCTTCTTCCTAATAAGCCTGGGAGCGCTATGGGAGACTGGAATTTATTTCATCTCTGCAGACTTGACCATAAGAGACAGGTACGCCCCGGGGGTCCAGTTCAGAGACCTACCCCCAGGTGCGCATTCTCTTTCTCAGGGATATTCCATGCTGAGAAAAAGAATTCAGCGATATTTCTCCCATTTGCTTTTGAAAGAAGAGAAATATGGCTCTGTTCTGCCTGGCTCACCAGCGGTCAGAGTTTAAGTTTATCTCTCTTATTTCCTAAACATTGCTGTTATCTTGTTCTTTTTTCAAGGTGCCCAGATTTCATATTGTTTAAACACACATGCTCTACAATTTGTGCAGTTAATGCAATTATCACATGGTCCTGAGGCGACATACATCCTCCTTGGCTGACAGGATTAAGAGATTAAAGCAAAGACAGGCATAGGAAATCACAAGGGTATTGATTGGGGAAGTGATAAGTGTCCATGAAATCTTTACAATTTATGTTTAGGGACTGCAGTAAAGACGGGCATAAGAAATTATAAAAGTATTAATTTGGGGAACTAATAAATGTCCACAAAATCTTCACAATCCACGTTCTTCTGTCATGGCTTCAGCCAGTCCCTCCGTTTGGGGTCCCTGATTTCCCACAACACCAGGGGTGGAATGATATGGTTTGGCACTGTGTCCCCACCCAAATATCATCTTAAATTGTACTCCTTTAATTTCCATGTGTTGTGGGAAGGACATGGTGGGAGATAATGGAATCATGGGGGTGGGTCTTTTCTCTGCTGTTCTTGTGATAGCGGATAAATCTCATGAGATCTGATGGTTTTATAAGGGGGAGTTTCCCTGAACAAATTCTCTCTCTTTTTGCTTGCTGCCATCCATGTAAGACATAACTTGTTCCTCCTTGCCTTCCTCCATGATTGTGAGGACTCCCCAGCCATATGGAACTGTAAGTCCATTAAACCTCTTTCTTTTGTAAATTGTCCAATCTCAGGTATGTCTTTATCAGCAGTGTGAAAATAGACTAATACAGGTGGAGTGGCTGCATCGGGGTCCCAGGCCAATGGGCTTTGCCTGTTGATGTGCAGCAGAGGTGAAGTCTATAGTCCATCTACTCAGCACCAAGGATGCAGCTCCTATCCTGAGAGCGCATGAGATAGGCTGGCCTCCCTTGTTGTTTGGAGCTATGGAAGCTGGCTTCAGGGTACTTAGGGATCTAAGACCATTGGGGCTCCATGTAGGCTTCAGTGGCAGATCTACCCAGCTTTCACAAAACTCTCCATGTTAGTCTGGAGGCTCTAAAGAGGAGGTCAAGGGGATCTTCTGTGCTAAGGATTTCAAAGACTCATGGCAGAAGTATGGGTCCTGAGATGCTCTTGCTCACTTACTCTATCCTCTTGGTGGGGAGCCACTCTTGGTGCCATGCCAATCCTGGGTGTGTGCTTTTCCTGCCTTACTTCTCTCTGAGCTCCATGGGTCACTATTGCTTATTTGATAAATCCCAACATTACCTCCTGGATAATCCATTTGAAGAGCTAGTGTTTACTTCTCATTCTATCTCCTCTCCATGAGAGTGGCACACAATAGCTGCTTCTAGTCAGCCACCTTGCACCTCCTCTGTGTTTGTTTAAGTAAAGCCACCCCAGCAATCTTTTGTTTACCATTTGCATGAAATACCTTTTATTCTATCCCTTCACTTTTAGTCTGTGTGTCCTTAAATCTCAAGTGAGTCTCTGGAAAACAGCATATAGTTGGGTCTTTTTTTAAAAAAAAAATCTATTCAGTCACTCTATGTCTTTGGATTAAGAATTTTAAACCATTTATGTTTAAAACAATTTTTGCTAGCAAAGGACTTACTATTGCTATTTTGTTTGTTTGTTGTATTAGCCTGTTCTCGCACTGCTGATAAAGATGCCCGAGACTGGGCAATTTACAAAAGAAAGAGATTTAATACACTTACAATTCTGAGTGGCTGAGGAGACCTCACAATCATGGCAGAAGGAAAGGAGGAGGAAGTCATGTCTTACATGGATGACAGCAGGCAAAGAGAAAGAGCTTGTGCAGGGAATCTCCCCCTTATGAAACCATCAGACATCGTGAGACTTACTCACTATCACAAGAAAAGCATGGGAATGACCTGCTACCATGATTGAATTACCCACCAGGTCCCTCCCACAGCACATGTAAATTCAAGATGAGATTTGGTTGGGGACACAGCTAAACCACATCATTTGTCTTATAGTTCTTTTGCTCCATTTACATCTACACTTTTAATTCCTCTCCTATTTTATGTTATTTACATCATAATTTACATATTTTTATATTATGTATCCATTAACATTTTTTAGTTATGTTCTTAATACTTTCGTCTTTTTACTTTTATACTAAAATAAAAAATGATTTAGATACCCTCATCACTTATTACAGTATTCTCGACTTTTCTGTATTTTTACATTTATATAGAAAGTTTATACTTTCATATGTTTTTGTGTTACTATTTAGCATCAGTTTGTTTTGACTTATAGAACTCCCATTAGCATTTCCTGTAAAGCATATCTAGTGGTAAAAAACAAAGAAAACACTATCATTTTTTGCTTGTCTGGGAAAGGCATTCTTCATTCATCATTTTTAGAAGACACTTTTGCCAGATTTAACATTCTTAGTTGGCAGAGTTTTTTTTTCTTCTTCAGCACTTTGAATATATCCGCCCTTTTCCTTCTGGCCTGCAAGGTCTCTGCTGAGAAAACCACTTGGTAGTCATACAGGGACTCTCTTGTGCATGAAGAGTCACTTTTATTTTGCTACATTTAAAATTTTGACTTTGTTTTGTCTTTTGATGATTTGATTATCATGTATCTTGGTATAGGATTCTTTGGATTTATCCTATTCCAGGCCTGTTGACCTTTTTGAATTTGGATGTCCATTCCTCTCCTCAGATTTGGGGAGATCTATCAATCTGTCTATCTATCTATCTATCTATCTGTCTATCTATCTATCTATCTATCTATATATCTATCATCTATCTATCTATCATCTATCCATCCATCTGTAGATATAGATGGATAGACACTATATATAATATCTATAGATTATATATAGATTATAGATTTTATATAGATTATATCTCTACTTATCTCTATATATTTATCTATCTATATAGATAGATATCTCCCCTAATCTGAGAGGCTTATATATATATAGTTTGTATAACTATATATATAGTATAACTTTATATAAACTATATACATAGTTTATTAGAGTTATTTGAGTTATAATATTTAGAGTTTTAATTATTAGAGTTTTAATACTCAGAATGCAATCTTACATTTTATTTACCTGAGTTCATATTATTAGTGTCTCCCTTTCCCTACTGCTATTGTTTGGATATTTGATCCTCCAAACCTCAAGTTGAAATCTGATGCCCAATATTTGGGCTGGAATCTAATGGGAGGTGTTTGGATCGTGGGGCTGGATTTCTCATGAATGACCTGGTGCCATTCTCTCAGGAGTGAATAAGTTTTCATTTATAGATCCTACACAACTGGTTGTTGAAAACAGCCTGGCACCTCTTTCTCTCTCTCTCATGGTTTTCCACTCATCATGTAATTTCTGCACACATGGATTCTTATCCCCTTCTATCACAAGTGGAAGCTGCTTGAAGCCCTCACCTGGAGCAAACTGTGGTACCATGCTTCTTTTGCAGCCTGTGAATTTATGAAGGAAATAGGTTTATTTTACCCAGCCTCAGGTATTCTTTTGTAACAACGCAAACAAAATAATACACCCACATATTGCCTACAGCATTCACACTTCAGTTCTTATGAATCCTAAGACATATGATATAACTTTTACTACCTAACCTTATAGCAGTGTGTGTCAGTCTTATAGCCATGATAATCTTTTTGTTTTTTTTGAATAGGGCTATTATATGTTTTAGGTAATAAGAATGAAGACTTTCAAAAATGTGATTTATTATTTTATTTCTAGGTAGGTAAAATCGTTTCTGTAAAACTTTAAAACATTTCTTTTACTATTATTATTATACTTTAAGTTCTAGGGTACATGGGCACAACCTGCAGGTTTGTAACATAGGTATACATTTGCCATGTTGGTTTGCTGCACCCATCAACTTGTCATTTACATTAGGTATTTCTCCTAATGCTATCCCTCCCCCAGACCCCCACCCCCGAAAAGGCCATGGTGTGGGATGATCCCCTCCCTGTGTCCATGTGCTCTCATTGTTCAACTCCCACTTATGAGTGAGAACATGTGGTATTTGGTTTTCTGTCCTTGTGATAGTTTGCTGAGAATGATGGTTTCCAGCTTCATCTATGTCCCTGAAAAGGACATTAACTCATCCTTTTTTATGGCTGCATAGTATTTCATGGTATATATGTGCCACATTTTCTTTATTCAGTCTATTACTGATGGACATTTGGGTTGGTTCCAAGTCTTTGCTATTGTGAACAGTGCCGCAATAAACTTATGTGTGCATGTGTCTTTATAGTAGCATGATTTATAATCCTTTGGACATATACCCAGTAATGGGATTGCTGGGTCAAGTGGTATTTCTAGTTCTAGATCCTTGAGGAATCACTGTCTTCCACAATGGTTGAACTAATTTACACTCCCAAGAACAGTGTAAAACTTTCGTATTTCTCCACATCCTCTCCAGCATCTGTTGTTTCTTGACTTTTTAATGATCACCATTCTAACTGGCATGAGATGGTATCTCATTGTGGTTTTGATTTGCATTTATTTGATGACCAGTGATGATGAGCATTTTTTCATATGTCTGTTGACTGCATAAATGTCTCCTATTGAGAAGTATCTGTTCATATCCTTTGCCCACTTTTTGCTGGGGGTGTTTTTTTCTTGTAAATTTGTTTAAGTTCTTTGTAGATTCTGGGTATTAGTTCTGTGTCAGATGGATAGATTGCAGACATTTTCTTTCATTCTGTAGGTTGCCTGTTCACTCTGATGATAGTTATTTCTGAGGCCTCTGTTCTGTTCCATTGGACTATATATCTGTTTTTGTACCAGTACCATGCTGTTTTGGTTACTGTAGCCTTGTAGTATAGTTTGAAGTCAGGTAGTGTGATGCCTCTAGCTTTGTTGTTTTTGCTTAGGACTGTCTTGTCTATGCAGGTTCTTTTTTGGTTCTATATAAAATTTAAAGTAGTTTTTTTCTAATTATGTGAAGAAAGTCAGTAGTAGCTTGATGGGGATAGCGTTAAATGTATAAATTACTTTGGGCAGTATGGCCATTTTCACAATATTGATTCTTCCTATCCATTAGCATAGTATGTTCTTCCATTTGTTTGTGTCCTCTTTCATTTCATTGAGCAGTGGCTTGTAGTTCTCCTTGAAGAGGTCCTTCACATCCCTTGTAAGTTGTATTCCAAGATATTTAATTCTCTTTGTAGCAATTGTGAATGAGAGTTCACTCATAATTTGGCTCTCTGTTTGTCTGTTATTGGTGTTTAGGAATGCTTGTGATTTTTGCACACTGATTTTTTCCAACATAGGGACTTTGGGGGGATACATTCAAACCATATCATATGTCAATGAAGCCTCAAAAAGCTGTTAAAATTTGTGATTTAATTAGCCACATTTGCAGGTCTAGACTATTAAAAGCATTCAAGATATTTGCAAAGTTACTGAAGTCATGTGCCATGATTAAATATAGTATATGCTCTGGATATGGAAGAGGAAATGGAAGCACTTGTGTTATGTTGTCAGTATTCCACATGATGTGACTGCTACAAGGATTCCATTTGCTCCATGTCATCTGATCCAGTCATAGTGAAATGCAGTAGAATTTACAGGCCATTTAAAAGGATAGGGTAAGGTACTTTGTTGAGAAAAAGAAGTCTAGGCAGGCAGATGATTAAACAGTAATATTTATATCTAACTTTCACATCTTTCATGATATTTTATAGTCATCTTGTAATGAATCTTTCTTAAGTCACAATTGTCATGATTTTATTGAAACATAATTGGTGCTCAAGAAGCTTAAATATTTTTAGAAGAAATGATGGGGCACTTCCAAGATGGCCAAATAGGAAAAGCTCCTGTCTACAGCTCCCAGGGAGAACAATGCAGAAGACAGGTGATTTCTCCATGTCCAACTGAGGTACCTGGTTCATCTCACTGGGACTGGTAGAGACACAACAATAGAAGAGAATTTTAGGCCAATGTCCCTGATGAACATTGACGTGAAAATCCTCAATGAAATACTGGCAAACCGAACCCAGCAGCACATCAAAAAGCTTATCCACCACATTCAAGTTGGCTTCATCCCTGGGATGCAAGACTAGTTCAACATACACAAATTAATAAATGTAGTCCATCACATTAAACAGAACCAATGACCAAAGCCACATGGTCATCTCAATAGATGCAGAAAAGGCCTTCAACAAAATTCTACAGCCTTCTATGCTAAAAACTCTCAATAAACTAGGTATTGATGGACCATATCTCAAAATAATGAAAGCTATTTATGACAAACTCACAGCCAATATCATACTGAATGGGAAAAAACTGAAAGGATTCCCTTTGAAAACCGGCACAAGACAAGGATGCCCTCTTTCACCACTCCTATTCAACATAGTATTGGAAGTTCTGGCCAGGGAAATCAGGCAGGAGAAAGAAATAAAGGGTATTCAATTAGGAAAAAAGAAAGTCAAATTGTCTCTGTTTGAAGGTAACATGAATGTATACTTAGCAAACCCTATCGTTTCAGCCCAAAATCTCCTTAAGCTGACAAGCAACTAAAGCAAAATCTCAGGATACAAAATCAATGCAGAGAGAAATTCCTTCTATTCTTATTTGGTGGAGTTGTTTTTGTTTTTTCAGGAATGGAAGTTGAATTTCAACAAATACTTTTCTACATTTATTGATATAAACATTCTTTTTCTTTGGCTGGTTTGATAATGTGATAAATCACATTGATTCATTTTTGAATGTCAAAACAAGATTTATTCCTGATATAAATCCAATTTGATCATGATGTGTTGTCCATTTCACACAATGTTGAATTTAATTTACTAAGAACTGGCTAGGAATTTTTCCATGTATGTTCATAAGGGATATTGGTCTGTAATGGTATTTTTGTAATATTTTTGTCTGGCTTTGACAAAACTCATAAAATGAGTTGTAAGTATTCTCTTCTTTTCAATTTTCTAGAAGAAATGAACAATTTGTGTATGACCATTACTTTTCTAGTTTTTAAAATGCTTGATAGACCAGTGAAGCCATAAACTCCAGGCTTGAAGTTTTCTTTGTGGGAAAGTTTATAACTGGAAATTCAATTTCTTCATAAGATAAAGGGCTATTCTGGTTATCTATGTCTTCTTGAGTGAGCTTTGATAATGTGGATCTTTCAAGGAATTTGCCCACTTTATTTAAGTTGTCAAGTTTAGCGTTGCAAAATTGTTTATTAAATTTAGTGTAAAAAGTAATTAAAGTTAAATTAAATGTAAAATTCTCAATCACACTAGCAGATATTGAGGATAATCCTCAATAAATACCTGTGGCTCTTCACTCCTACATTGGACAGCACAGATATAGAACATTACCATCATTGTAGAAAAGTTCTGTTGGCAGCTCAGGAGATGATATTAACAGTTAATTTAAGTGGCATGTATAATAAAACTCATTCTTGTATGTTATTAATTAGGGTTTAAGATTGGGAATAAGTCAGCTCAAGCTAAGAAGTGAGATTTGTCTGCAAAATCAATTTAGTCCTACAAAGGTTTTCATTTTTAATTATACTTTTAATCTGGAAGGTAGAAATTAGATCCACATACTTATTTGCAGAGATTCAATTCCCTTTTAGTGTAGGCTTTATCTAAGTAGACAGTACTTTCTGCATTCAGTAGGGCAAGTTGCAGAGTGAAGATGTCCTCCCCTACTTGACTTGGTGAAGCCTAGGAAAGAAGGAAGTATATTTAAAACAAAAACCATTACCATAGATCTTCTAATCATGAAGTTCTACCCTTTGAGAAAAAATGTCACTCTGTGAGTATTCTGTAGCTCTGTAAAGTCTTTTTCACAGAGAATTTTTCTGACTCATTGCTGAAAAAGATGGTTTGGTATGTATTTATACTGAAATATGGATATGCTTTAGCTATCCTGAAACCTACAAATCAGAATTTCCATGGTGAAACCATCATTTGTTATAGGGAATGATATTTTAATGGGTTAGGGAAATTCAGAAAGCTGCCCTGAGAAGAATTTCCTCTTTGTCTTGCTTGCATTTCTAAATGATTTGTTTCAAGTGGTTTGCCCTGTTGATGAGTATGTGTTCTGATTGTTCACACCAAAGCAGAGATAATCAATTAAATGTAACATCTTGACCTAAAGAATTGGTGTTTTTTCAGGACTGGTCTTATGGGAATGGAAAAAAATCTTTACAGTTTAGGATTGGTGAGAACCTTTACTTTTCTTACCTGGAAGAGTAATCAGAAGCTCTTTTTCTATTCATTTGATTAACATTGCTTGATAGCTTTGTTTTTTAGCGATCCATATTTTCATACCCAGGAGATTTGCTCTGAAAAACTGAGTATTTATTTTCCATGGTGTTGGGTAATTTAGAGCTTATTTGGGACAAAACAGATTTGGGCTTGAATGTCCTTAGCTATGTTATTCAGTGGATCTGACCCTCAATTCCTGAACTCTAAAATTGGGGATTAAATAAACCTTATGAGAAGATAGTAAAAGCACAGTAATTACATGCCTGTAACTTACTGTCACACAAATTTGTATCCATAAAGTTAGGTGTGCCAATTTCTTAGCAAGTTAATCTTGTAAGCATATAAATCTAAGTATCCTCATTTGTATAAGCACACACACACATATATCATATGTAATCATATTGCTATGTAGATTAAATGTAATAGCATTGTAAAGTACTTAGTACAGTGCCTGGTTTAAAAAATGGAACATATCCTTGTTTTTATCAGTAGCTTATTGGCAAGTAGATAACATACTGTAACTGAAATTTAGTAGATGCTTGACAAATTTTACTTCCCTTTCATTCTCCTCATCTAACCCATTACTTTTAATTCAAGTTTTGCTTTATTAAAACCAAATACTTTCAGCTCTTTGTATATATATTTTTTACTTTTCATCTTTTTCTTTGTTCCTTTCTTTCTTTTTCTAGTCAGATTAGACTAATTACTTACAGAAAAATCCACAGATATTATTTTACGGGTATCCAAACTTGGAATTTTAGACCTTGTCTATATGAAAAATTTTCAGCAATTTTTATCTGTACATAACTATACATTGCAGAAGTTGTTTAAAAAAGCAGTGCCTGAGCAAGTCACACATGGAACATAGGAGAATGAAGGAGAAATACTATTGAACTATTACTTATAGAGCATAGTAACAAAAATGTTGTAGTTCAGTTTGCAATGTTGGAGACAAAAGACATTTTCACTTAGGATTCCCTTCCAGTCAACAAGTGACATTTAGGGATGTCAAACTGCGTTCCTATTATCAAATATTACAGAATTTTTATAGAAATGAGGACTATAGATCAGATGATCAGGTTAAAGAGGGAGTTGCAGTTTCATTAAATTACTCCTATGCTGTCAGAGAAAAGAGAAAGTTGGAAGGATTATACTCTATAGAAACCAATGTTCAATATTATAACTAGTAGAAAAATTAAGCAAGTGCATAATCAAATAATGAGAATGTCAGATGAATAGTTATGAGATGAACAGAACATGTGGGGACCAGGATTCATATTGGATGCAAGTATTTTAATTTCTCAAGCGTGTCAAACCCTTTTATTAATAAAAATCCATAGTCACTCCCAATTTTAAAGTTTATTTTGAGTAGATTTCCTTGGTTATTGTACAATAATACAGTTTAGTGTTATGTTTACACTATACTGTAGTCTATTAAGTAGTAATAGCATTATATCTTAAAAACTGTAAATAATACATTTTTAAGAATCATTTTTTATTAATGAATCATTTTGATTTTCATAAAGTTTCAAATGAAAGAGGTTTTCTACACATTAGTATAAAGATATGCTTGACTTTATGGACCCTACAAACTTGTAATAGTCAGCAGTTCTGGTGCTTCAATATAGATATATTTTAAGTAGTCAACTTTGCTAGTAAAGAAATACATTTTGAAATAAAACAATATGCCTTGCTAAGTTATGAAATTTGCAAAAAATTATTTTTAAAGATTTTTTATGTATTTTTAAAAATAAATTTACTATATACTTAATATAATAAATAAATATATAAATAAATAATTGTAATATATTTATGATATATTAATTAATGTAAATATACCATAAATTTATAATAATATAAATAATAATACATAGTTACTATACATTAATATAAATGATCATATAAATATGATGATATATATACACTATATCATACATGCTTGTTTATAATAAATATTAAATACTGGGAAAAATAAAATATTAATAGTGGTTTTCTTGTAGTTGGAGGAATTATAGGAATATATGATAGATAAAATCTTTATAAATTGTTATGTTATCTACAGGAAAAGATGTGCTAATTTAAAATATAAAGAAGCAAACATTCTTAGAGAGAGAGGAAGAGGGAGTGCAGGAGCAATTCCAGTGGTCTAAGTAGGCACAACAGGTAGTCAGTACACTTTTCAGAATGCTGTTTTATCTCGGTTGATTTCCCTTATGAATCTTCTAAACCTTGCACATGTTTACCTTTGATTAAGTATAAGCAGAAATTTAGTTTCCTTGAAGAAATGGCTTTGCCTGATGATATGGTTTGGATCTATGTCTCCACCCAAATATCATGTCCAGTTGTAATCCCCAGTGTTGGAGGGGTAGCATGGTGGGAGGTGATTGCATCATGAGGGTGGATTCTTCATGAATGATTTAGCACTATCCCCTTGGTGCTGTTCTCCTAATATATGTCTCACGAGATCTGGTTGTTTGAAAGTGTGTAGCATGGGGCCCCTCACTCTCTCTTGCTCCTGCTCCCACGATGTGAGAAGTCTTGCTCCCCCTTTGCCTTCTGTCATGATTGGAAGTTTTTTGAGGCTTCCCCAGAAGCAGATGCAGCTATGCTTCCTGCATGGCCTGAAGAAATGTGAGTCAATTAAGACTAGCCTGACCAACATGGTGAAACCCCCTCTCTATCAAAAATACAAAAATTAGCTGGGCGTGATGGTGGGTACTTGTAATCCCAACTACTCGGGAGGCTGAGGCAAGAGAATAGCTTGAATCCGGGAGGCAGAGGTTGCAGTGAGCCGAGATCATGCCATTGCACTCCAGCCTGGGCGACAAAAGACAAACAAAAAAACTGTCCGTCTCAAAAGACAAACAAAAAAAAACTATTTTCTTTATAAATTACCCAGTCTCGAGTGTTTCTTTACAGCAATGAAAGAACATACTAATACACCTGATCTTCTATAATCTAGGATCAAGGAGAGCTGGTATTAAAGAGCTAAAACTTGGCCAGGCCCCAGGAACTTTGCTAGTGTAGCAGACTGACAATATCCTAGGTAATTGCATAGCTCTTGCTGCTCTCAATCTGGTTTTGCATCCAACGGGCTATGATAGTGCACCTGATATTTGAAGCTTTTATCATTCCAGTTTGCCTTTACAAACTTCCTAAAATGGTAACATAGGGTGGGAAATTCTGGCTTGAACAGCCATCCATTATTATCCCAGACATATTGTGGCTGCTGCCGGTAATGATTGCTGAGCTGTTCTATTAAAGGCAACATATTACTCCGCAAAGTTTATGACAGTAGTCTTGCTGAAACAAGCAAATACCTTCTATTATGCTAATGTTCTATTTATATAACAAATAGCTGGCCTCTGGCCCTGCTTTGTCCTCTTATGTGTGTCTGGGCTGTTGGGTTTGCATGTTGGTGAATATTTTTAGGCTCCTTAAAGCAGCCAGAACAGCAGTCAATGCAGGATCATCCTGACAGCCTGTTTTAGATCTTGACAGCCTGTTTTAGATCTTGACACCTGATGCTTTCTCTGAGTGCTTTATAAAAGCAGCATTTATAATTTCCATCCAGTCATAAAAATCTGACGTATCTTTTCAGAAGAGAGCTTTGCTATAAAGAGGGAAAATTGAAGTAAATTAAGTCAGGGAGCTTTTTGAGCCATCAAGTAAGATGTTGTATACCATCATGACATTTCAACCCACAACTTGGTGCTGAATCTTATCAATTGAGCTGATGAGCTGTGTCTGCATAAAAGTAAGAATACTAAGCTAGTCAAATACCTTTCTAAGAAGCTTGCCTTATCATAGTCTATTTTTCCAAGCACCTAATCAAGGGCATTTATTTCTCACAGTTGCAGTAAAAGTGGAAGTATCAATAAAGACCAATTGTTTATTAGAAATTGCTCAGTGTTGAGCAGAGAAATTTGCAGAAATCTTAAGCTTCATCCATTCAGGTATTCATAAAAGCTTCAGATGCCTTCATAATTAGAAGCTTATTGCAATTAAACACCAATAGTTTCTTTCTTTGCATGATTGCAGAAAGAAGGATTAGCAGAAATGGATAAATGAAAAATATTATAGTGCATAAACTAATTCTTAATGTACTTGCTCTGCTGTGTTAGTAACTGGCAGCTTTGTTTTGTCTCCAAATGCCCTTTCCAACTGTATTCATGAGGGAAAATATTTCCATGCATTTGGATTAAAACTTATGAATTTCCTCTGACTTTTCTCCTCACACTGAGATAAGAAATAGATTTATAACTTCTTAAAGTCTCAAATCTTTAGAGATTAGATTAGATAGCCAAGTCCAAGATATTATTTACACATTTCAATCGTGATTCAAAGGTAAGTGTCCTCCCTCCTTCCTATATCCCCAAAGTAAAGACTGAAGTTGTCTATAGGAATGGAGATACAGCCAGATCTTTCTCCTTTATTCCACTCACCTCTTTTGTCTTTCATACAACAGTGGGAAAAGTTAGTGTGGGGGCCATAGGCTCCTGGTCCCCTAAAGGTTTGCTAAAAATCACTAACATGATTAATAAGAGAAAAGGCATACAAATGTATTTAGCATAGATACATTGGAGCCTTTAGAATGAAAATCTAATTTCCCAAAGAGTTACAGAAACTTAATATACCATTTTGAGGTTATGGAATGAATGGGGGCTTACATTCTGGCCAGCAAAGGTGACCTTGTTATGTAGCGAAGCCTCCCCTAGAAAGAATAGATGGTAAATGTTTCTTTTCAGTCTTTTAAAGGTGTCAGAGTCTCAATCCCTCCCGGATCTGGGGAAAGGTGTAGAAAGGGAGGGGGCATGACTGTATTAGTGGAGATTATCTATAGATGGAAATTTTCCCCACTTAATTCAGCTTTGCAAGGCCACTTCTGTCAGGATGGCTAAGGGCAGCCATTTCAAAATATGTCAAAGAAATATATTTTGGTGTATTTTTTTAAAATTTCCTTCAATAGGAAGAGGAGATGAGAGGATAAGGCAATTTTAAATCATGACATCTTTGTGTGAAACATTATGTCTGTGATGATGAATCCTAAGTTATATTACTGGCTTGGATTTCTCCCTTAATCTCCAGACTCATATTTCAAACTGCCTACTCAGCATGCTCACTTGGATTTCTAATACTCATCTTAAATTTAAGATGTCCAAAGATCAACCAATACCTTTCCCCTAAAACTTCTTGCACCTCCAGTCTACTCAATCTCAGGGAATCATCTTTCCAGTTGTTGAGTCTTTGGAGTCATCCTTGATTCTCTCTTCTTTTCATATATTCAATTTTTCAGGAAATCTTGAGGATGCTGCCTTCAATATACATCCAGAATTCACAACTTCTACTGCTACTAGTGGACTCCAAGCCACTACAATCTCTCATCTATATTATTTTCTTCAACCTGCTCTCTTTGTCTCTACCCTTGTCCCTTTGTGCTTAATTAGAAGCTAGTGTGATCCTTGCTTAAAGCCCTAAAATGACTCTGTTTTACTCATAGCAAAAGCAAAGTTGTTAGAATGAACTATAAAGCCCAACATAATCTGGTCCCCATGATCTCTCAGACTTCATCTATGATTGGGTTTCCTTGCTGTATTAGCACAGCTACATTGGCCTTTTTCTTGTTCCTGAAGCATGCCAGGAAAATTTCCATCATTTGGGTGTTTGTACTGGCTGTTTCTTCTACCTGTGTGCTTACTTCATTATCTCCTTCAAATCATTCCTCAAATTGTTACCTTCTTTTACTAATGATGACTACCCTGTCTACCCTGGCATTCCTCATTCTCCTTAGTCTGACCTTTGTTTTTTTTTTCACTTTTTAAAATTATATTTTAAGTTCTAGGATACATGTGCACAATGTGCAGGTTTGATACATAGGTATACATGTGACATGTTGGTTTGCTGCACTCATCAACTCATCATTTACATTAGGTATCTCTCCTAATGCTATCCCTCCCCTAGCCCCCCATCTACCGACAGGCCCAGTGTGTGATGTTCCCTGCCCTGTGTCCAAGTGATCCCATTGTTCAATTCCCACCTGTGAGTGAGAACATGCGGTGTTTGGTTTTCTGTCCTTGTGATAGTTTGCTGAGAATGATGGTTTCCAGTTTCATCCATGACCCTGCAAAGGACAGGAACGTATCTTTTTTCATGGCTACATAGTATTCCATGGTGTATATGTGCCAAATTTTCTTAATCCAGTCTATCATTGTTGGACATTTGGGTTGGTTCCAAGTCTTTGCTATTGTGAATAGTGCTGAAATAAACATACGTGTGCATTTGTCTTTATAGTAGCATGATTTATAATCCTTTGGGTATATACCCAGTAATGGGATTGCTGGGTCAAATGGTATTTCTAGTTCTAGATCCTTGAGGAATTGCCACAGTGTCTTCCACAATGGTTGAACTAATTTACACTCCCATCAACAGTGTAAAAGCATTCCTATTCCTCCACATCCTCTCCAGTATCTGTTGTTTCCTGACTGTTTAGTGATCGCCATTCTAACTGATGTGAGATAGTATCTCATTGTGGTTTTGATTTGCATTTCTCCGATGACCAGTGATGATGAGCATTTTTTCATGTGTCTGTTGGCTGCATAGATGTCTTCTTTTGAGAAGTGTCTGTTCATATACTTTGCCCACTTTTTGATGGGGTTGTTTGTTTTCCTTGTAAATTTGTTTGAGTTTTTTGTAGATTCTGGATATTAGCCCTTTGTCAGATGGGTAGATTGTAAAAATTTTCTCCCATTCTGTAGGTTGCCTGTTCACTCTGATGGTAGTTTCTTTTGCTGTGCAGAAGCTCCTTAGTTTAATTAGATCCAATTTGTCTATTTTGGCTTTTGTTGCCATTGCTTTTGGTGTTTTAGTCATGAAGTCTTTGACCATGCCTATGTCCTGAATGGTATTGCCTAGATTTTCTTCCATGTTTTTTATGGTTTTAGGTCTTACATTTAAGTTTTTAATCCATCTTGAATTAATTTTTATATAAGGTGTAAGGAAGGGATCCAGTTTACAACCTTGTTTTTATGTTTGCCTCTACCATTAGAATAAAAGTTCTCCAAGGGCAACAATTTGTGTCTGTACTGTGTGTTAATGTATCTTTAGCACCTAAAATATTATTTAACATTGTCTAGAAACTAAATAAAAAATTATGGATTGAATTGGGTGATGTACATTTTTGGATTATTGAAAGCTTCCTGACACTAGAGACTTTTCTTCTACAGTTCCTTTGACCTGGACAGATGCATTCACTCTTGACTGCTAACATTCTCAGTAACCTATTATCTACTCTAACTTCTGCTGCCATGAATCCTCAATCCTCTGTACAGTTCTATTCATGAGGACCAAGATAATCTCAAGAGGCCCACATCTAGTTCACAAAAAACATTTCAGTCCTTGTCCCCAAACCCAAAATTGAAAATGCAGGTCAAACTAACTCTATCTTGCTTATATGGGCTGACTAACATTCTTAGGTGTGAATCAGACTGTGTTCTCCAGAGAGACATATCGAATAGGATGGTGGCTGTTATCTCTGTAATCCCTCCAGTAATGTGGTATTGCTTTCAGTTTAGTATTTTCCTTGGTAGAGACAGGTCTAGTGGCTTACACTTAGCCTTTCCTACCACAATAGCTCTCAATATACAGATGAGAAAACCAATGTGGGGATTCTTCCCTGGTTGCTCAGCATGTCTATACCAATTCTGAATTTTAAAACTGGGAAAATAAGCACAGGATAGTTTTGGGGATTATATAAATCAGGGTTCTCCAGAGAAAAAGAACGTGTAGGATGTTTGTTTATTTGTTAACACATTTATTTTTGAATTAGCTCATGTGATTGTGGAGGATTAGAAAGTCCAAAATAAGATAAGGGAGGCTAGCAGTTTGAGACTCAGAAAAGAGATGCAGTGTGAGTCCAAAGGCAGTCTGCTGGTGAACCAGGACTAGCTGATGTTTAGATTTTCCAATTTGGAAAACTCATTCTTAAGATTTTGTTCCTTTTGAACCACTCTGGGTACCAAAATCTGTATTAGTCCGAGTTCTCCAGAGAAACAGACCGATTAAGAGAGAGAGGTTGATGTTAAGGAATTGGCTCACAAGATTATGGAGGCTAGTGAATCTTAGCAAGAGTTGATGTTGTAGTATTGAGTCTGAAAACTGGAAACTCAGACAGAATCTCTATGTTGCAATCTGGAAACAGAATTCTTTCCCTGAAAAACTCCAGTCTTTGCACTTAGGCCTTTAATTGATTGGATGATGCCCACCCATATTATATAGAGTAATCTGATTTACTCAAAGTCTACTGATTTAAATGTTAATCACATTGATAAGGTTTGGCTGTGTCCCCACTAAATCTCATCTTGAGAGACCCAGTGGGAGGTAATTGAATCATGGGGGCAGGCCTTTCCTGTGCTGTTCTGGTGATAATAAGTCTCATGAGATCTGATGGTTTTACAAAGGGGAGTTTCCCTGAAAAAGCTCAATTCTCTTGTCTGCCACCATGTGAGATGTGCCCTTCACCTTCTGCCATGATTGTGAGGCCTTCCCAGCCATGTGGAACTGTAAGTCCATTAAACCTCTTTCTTTTGTAAATTGCCCTGTCTTAGGTATGTCTTTATCAGCAATGTGAAATGGACTAATACACACATCTAAAAAATACCTTCAGAGAAATGTCTAGACTGGTGTCTGATCAAACAACTGGGCATCATAGCCTAGCTAAGTTGAACAAATAAAACTAACCTTTACTCAGAACTAATCATCTAGGAAACTTCAAGGAACACATTTCTGCTTCTTTAGTGGTACCATGGAAACTCTTTTCAGCAGGCCTGAGGCAAAGTTTGGGGATTGGGAACTCACACCATGTAACAGCCTTTTTCAAAATTTTGTCTCTCCAAATCCTCTCTTTGACTTTCTGACATGGTTTTCGTTAATCAGTTTATTGAGGTATAATTTACGTATGATATCAGTTTTGACAAATACAGTTGACTCTTAACAGCACAGGTTTGAACTGCATGGGTCCGCTTATACAAGGATTTTCTTCTGCTTCTATTACCTCTGAGATGCAAGAGCAACTCCTCCTCTTCCTCCTCCTCCTCAGTGTGAAGGTGTTAAGGATGAAATCTTTCAGAGGGTTCACTTCCACTTAATAAACAGTAAATATATTTTCTCCTTCTTATGATTCTCTTAGTAACATTTTCTTTTCTCTAGCTTACTTTATTGTAAAAATTAGAGTATATAATACATAGAAAATACAAAATATGTGTTAACCAGCTGTTTATTTTATCAGTAAAGGCTTCCAATCAACAATAGTTTATCAGTAGTTAATATTTAGGGGAGTCAAAAGTTATATATAGATTTTTGACTGCATGGGGGTCAGTGCCCCTAACACTTTTCTTGCTCAGGGGTTAACTGCATATACAGTAATGAAACCACATATCTTTGTGATCATGCATAAGTTATTTAAATTGCATTTTTTATTTTTAAATATATTTTATCATCTTTGAAGAATAAAAATAAAATCTAATTTCTTACAGAGTTTGTTGTAAAAAATCAATGATATAAATCACCTAGTATAAGGTCTGGCAAATATTAGAAGCTTGAATTATGTTGGTTCCCCACTTGTCCTCTTGCTGATAGCAAAGGCTTTTGTACATTTTTACATGGCTCAGCAACTAATATGGGGCAGGGCACATAGAAGATGCTGAGTAAATGTTTCTGGAGTGAACAAACATGTCAAATGATTTAAGTATAGAGAAGAGAAAACAATTAATCATAAATTCATTGAGATAATTATATTTCCTTTCTTTTACCTCTGTAATTACTGAGCAACTTTCTCATATTAATTCAGTTCCCAAGAAAACTTCCCTATTAGAAAGAGGATACACTATCCACTTGACTTGAGAATTTTGGTCCATGAGGCAATAAAGTTTCTCATTATAAATCAAGAAATTAGCTTTCAAGTTGCTAATCAATCTCTAGTGAGTTTTATTAGCATCAGTTAGTCCCCTAGAATCAGATCAACCTTGAATAAATGAATAGGAGAGATCTTTTGACATTGAGAAGATGAGGATCATGTTTTAGGCCCATGGAGGCTTTGCAAGGTACCACATTAGCTACCAACAACCTTCTTACTTGGAAATTGGTAAGTTTGTGTTTAGCATTGTGTGTACAGAAGTATGGCTGGGCCTTCCCTTATCTTTTCCCTTTGCTTAATTACTGCTTATATTTCTGAGGAAAAACTGCTACAGAATTCAATCTGAGCTCTAGAAGATATATAGTCAGAGATCCGCCCCAAGCTGGTTCCATTAATTGTTCACTGTGTTATCTTCCACTAGGACCCCTCTGTTTACATCAATTATAACAGTCTTCTTTTTACTCCTTCTTGCCTCTCCTTTTCTCAGCCCTGAAATGACTTCTTTTCATCCTTACTTAAACAAATAAATAGTGAAATAATTTTCAAAGCCTGGCTCAGGTATGCTGTCTCCCTGGAGTCTACCTTGATGAGGTTGTTTGCTTATACTGTTTTCTTTATTCTATCAAGGCTTTTCATCAGAATACATAGACACTTTACATTATATTTAGGTAAATTGTAAGTTCAGGCAGGAGACTTTATAATGCAATTACAGAAACCTGATTGTGGTATTCAGCACCCTAGATGGCTTCTGGTGACCTTTGCTTTCTATTTCTCTCTTTGCAAAGTTCCATTCCATAATGAATAGGGCTGATGCTGTGTAACCAAGAGAGTAAGGCAGAAGTAATAGTGTGTAACTTCCAGTGTTAGTTGGTTAGGTTTTAAAAAGTAGTGCAGCCTTAGTCTTGGGCTCTTGGATAGCTCACCCTGGGGGAAGCCAGTTACCATGCCATGAAGACACTCAACGAGTCCTATGGAAAGGCCCATGTGAAAAAAAAACTGAGAACTTTTGCCAACAGCCAGCACTAACTTGCCAGCCATGAGTGAGCCACCTTTGAAAGGATTCTCCATTTCAGTTGAGCCACTGAATAAATGCAGTCGAGCCAACATCTAGGAGCAACATCATAAGAGACTCAGCCAGAACATCCCATCTGAGCCACACTTGTAATCCTGCTCATTAGAAACTGAGGGATAATAAGTGATTTTTGTTGTTTTCAACCATTAAATGTTGAAGCCATTCATTATGAACTGCAGATAGCTAATATACAGATTCAAATTGGCTTAAGGAAGAAAAAGTATCTATTGCTTATGTAGCAGAAAAGTCCAAGGGCATGGCTTTACGGATGGATGAACTCAGGTGCAAAAAAATATTTGTCAGAAATCTGTTTCATCCCATATCTTGGCTTGCTTTTCTCCTTCATTGGTTTCTTTTGCAGACACATTCTTATGAGGAAACTAGATGAACTGAAGAAGCTCCAGTTGTAAATCTTAACATGTTAGCTATATTACTCAGGGCTCTCAATAGGGACAGAACTAATAGGATATATGTATATATGAAAGAGATTTTATTAAGGAGAATTGGCTCACATGATCACACTGCAAGTCCCATGATAGGCTGTCTGGAAGCTAAGGAAGAAAGAAGACAGTAGTGCCTCAAACCGAGTCCAAAAGTCTTCAGTCTGTGACTGAAGGCCTGAGACCCCCTGGCAAACCACTGGTATAAGTTCAAGAGTCCAAAGACTGAAAACCCTGCAGTTATTGGATGAAAGCTGCAGGCAGGAGGAACAGAATGAAGCATCCAGCATGGGAGAAAGATGAAAGCTAGAAGGCTCAGCAAGTCAGCTTCCCCCACTTCTTCTGCCTGCTTTGTTCTACTGTGATGACAGCCTACTGGATGTTGCCTACCCACATTGAAGGTGGCTCTTCCTCTCTCAGTCCACTGACTCAAATGTCAATCTTCTTTGGCAATACCCTCACAGACACACCCAGAAACATACTTTACCAGCTATCTAGGCATGGCATCCTTCAATCCAATCAAGTTGACACCTAATATTAACCATAACATTAGCAATACTGAGAAACAAAGTATCTCTTTCCCAATAGTTTAAGCAAACATTTAGGACTGCATCTTTTTGGCCTGCCTTGGGTTGCGTGCAAGTCTTTGAGGCCAGTGGTTAGACTGGTAGAGGTTAGAGCTAAGTCATTTAACCATCCTTGGAACAAGAGGTGGGGTAGACTTTTACCACTGAACTGTCTTATGGGAAGAAGATGGTATTCAAAAAAGTAATTGAAGGGCTATGTCACTAGAGTGGGTGCTGGACTGGAAGAATTACAGACTTCAATTACAGACAATTATAAACTGGAATAATATTCCTAAAGCCCTACTTTGATCATATTACTCATAATATGAAGACTATATTGGTCTTTTATCATGCTGGTGATAAAGACATACCTGAGACGGGGCAAATTACAAAAGAAAGAAGTTCAGTGAACTTAGTTTCACGTGGCTGGGGAGGCCTCACAATCATGGCAGAAAGTGAAAGACACTCACATGGCAGCAGACAAGAGAGCTTGTGCAAGGTAACTCCCCTTTATAAAACCATCAGATCTCATGAGACTTATTCACTATCATGAGGACAGCATGAGGAAGACTTGCTCCCATAATTCCATTACATGTAGGAATTCAAGATGAGATTTGGGTGGGGACACAGCCAAACCATATCAAAGACCATTTGGTGTCCTTAAATTTTATTTATTAAATATTTATTTGAAAGCTGGGAAAAGTAACATGTGAGCATTGCAACCAGTAAAATATTACAAAGAAACAATGATAATGAAATATGATATATTGATTAATTCAGGCAACATGAATTGAGCACTCTGTGTGCTTTGACACTGTACTAAGTGTTGCAAATTCAGTGGTGAATGAGGGAAGCCTGATTCATCCCTGCCGTCACATAATATGCAGTCTAATGTGAAAAAAGGCACTGAAAAAACAGTTGTATGAATAATATATTAAATACAATGTTAAAGGCTATCAAGGAAAAGTACCAGGCTCTGTGAGAGTATAGAAATATCTTATGTTCAATAAATAAACATGACATTCAGGTAATAGCTGTGGTGTCCTAATCTTAAATTGAAATCTTAGTGCTGCTGCTAGTAACAATCCTAGTTGATTGACTTTGGATAAGATACTTAACTTCTCTAAGTCCTACTTCCCACATAAAATCATTTTTATAAAGATTAAGGGAAATATTGCAAGTAGTGTGCTTAGTATAGGTCCCAGCACACAGTAAGTACTTAATAATTGTTTGCTACTTTTATTATTTTGCACACAGGACTTGGCACAGTGTCATGGACTAGTGAATTCATAAACAATGTGTGCTAAAGGGTCATACTATGAGGGGCCTTCTCTAAGCAGGTATCTGCATGACTCTTCCTTACATTCTGTAGCAGTTTGCTCCAGTGTCACCATCTCAGTGACACCTTTGCTGACCATTCTAATTTAATTGCAACCCCCACCCTGACTAAAAACCCTCATTGCCTTATCTGTTTTATCTTGTTCTTCTCCATGACACTTATCGCCGTCTTATATACTACATATTCTGTTTATTTATTTATGGTTTGTTTCATCATTAAAATATAAGCTCAATAAGATTATAAAGTTTTGTTCATTTTGTTCACTGATCTTTCCACAGAGCCTCAAATAATGCCTGACATAGAGAAGGCACTGAATATATAATGATCATAGCAACTGAATTTCTCAAACACCTTTTGTTTGCCAGGCACTGTTTTAAGTGTTTTGCATTTATTCTTTCATTAAAAATGGATATTAAGACATTATAACGTGCCTTAGTGCAGACACAGGATCAGCACAGGTTATGTAGTTGAACATACATACTCAGGGGCCATGCCAAACTCCACAGTGATGCAGGATCTCCCACGTTGTAGTGTCACAGGTTTTCTGATCCTACCCCTAAAGCATAGTCTCTATTCTATATGAGTAATATGCACTAATAGGGGGACTCTAAATAACCAATATGCACTTACATAAAGCCAGATTTCATTTTTGCTGGGATATTTCTTTATGTGTTTGGGAGAGAAAGGTGATGCCTAGAAGAATAAGATTCTGATGACACATACAGCCTAGCCCACCTGATTCGATCCCTGTGGTGAACAGTTATCTCTTTTACTTCCTTCATGCTCCTCATGGGAATACATATATTTCACTTTATTAACTTCAAGTAAATTCTATGCTTTGAAGATCTCTCCATGTTGCCATATATATATCTCTAATTCATTGATTCTGATAACAATTTAATATTCTATAGATTACATTTTATTAAGGAAAAAAGCTGCCTAATAGTAATTTAATTCCCACTTAATGACATTTATTTTACCTTTTCAGGCTGAATAATATTAAGGAAATGACAACAATACAGGAAAGGATGGAATTAGCTAAGAGGAGACAGATACAACTTAGGTGACAAAATCTTTGGAGTTGCCATATTATAGTAAGTCTGCCCAAAGTCCAATTTAAAGAAAATAACGTTTAACAAATCAGAAATTTCTCATCCTTTTGCAATGTGACTTTTCTGCTCCTCCCATCAAGAAGTAGACTTGTATCTGGACTGGCCTCATTACTTGCTTTGTATGGCAGAATGTGATGGAATTAAAATTTTGTGCATTTTTTTGGTTTAAGGTTCTAATTTTGTGGTGGTTTATAATTCAGCAGTAGGTAACTGATAGAGTCCTGGTATTGTATCTTCTCTGTTTCCTTCTGTCACTGTGACAACTTAACAATCCGTTAATAAAGAATGCTAAAAGGTTATTTCAGAATTTTATTCTAGGTAGATAAGGCTCATTAGCTATAACTTTGAGCTGTATTTTGGATTCAGGATTTCCCTTGAATTACCTAAAGCTACACATGCAGAAAGTGTGGGTAGTGAGGGAAGTGCTAGGCAGGAGGGGACTATGTATTGTAGGCTATCACAGATAAAACTTAACAAAGGCATTAACTAGACATTAACTAGGACAACAAATGGAACAAAAGGAAAACTATTATGAAAGCAGAATCATTTATCTCTGGGCTGGGAATATCAGAATTCATGGGACTTCCACCTATTTGTGCACACTAATTCAGCTTAGATTATCATACACTTAAATCTAATTTTTTAAGTATCAATCATCTGTAATTCTAATTTTTACCAGTCACATCTTTCATGTAAGAAAATGTGGATTTAGCACAAGATTGATTTCAGTTCAAATTCCATCTCTGCAACTTACTAGCTATACCTTTGAGTAAACAGTATCTTCCAAACCACAATTTCTTCATGTGTAAAATGGTGGCAATGATACATATTTGTGGGATTTTCTAAAGGACAAAAGTAGCCCAATAAATGTAAGTAACTTGCATTCTATTCTGAAATGGAGGAGGTTAAATGTAATAAGACCTGTATGATTAATTTTCTTTTCTCTGTCATGGGTTATTGTTGTGTCACTTCTAAAGAATAGGCACTGGTTTGGCTTTCTCTAAATAAAATTCAAGTAATTTACTTATTTTGGATATTTTCCCTGAGTTTTATCCATGCTGGACTTGAGTTTTCTCTACTCCAATATATGGTTCTTTGATGTTCATTTATATGTCTTTATATTTATGCTTCTTCCTTCAACTTTCACATGTATTTTTTTTTTCAAAATCTGATCTTACCACAGCATTTCCTACGGAGCCATTTTACATGCCTCCTTTTTTTTGTTTAACTATTTGATTATTTCTGTTCATACAATTAGAACTTTTATTTTTTGAGCCTCCTATCATAACTTCATTTGTTTACAGTTAACCTATGACTATGGCTTCATAACTGTAATATTGTATAGTGGTTAAGGGGATGACTAGTGAAGCCAATTTCCTCATTTGGAATTCTTACTTTCAGTAACTGTGAAAAGCTTTCATTTCCCTAAGTGTGAAATGGGGATGAAAATAATAAGACTGATCTATAAAGGGTATTTTGAAGATTAAATGGGATACTTCTAGAAGCTTTATAGTTTTAGATTTTATGTTTATGTCTTTGATATAATCTGAGTTAATTTTTGTATATGGTATGATGTAGTTATTCAAATTCATTCCTTTGCATGTGGATGATAGTTGTTTCAGCATCATTTGTTAAAAAAAAATCTATCTTTTTCCCCATTGAATGGTCCTGCCATCTTTGTAAAAAATCAATTGACTATACATATATTGTTATTTCTGAAGTCTCAATTCTATTCCATTGATCTTCAAGTCTATCCTTATCCTAGTAATCACAGTCTACTTATTACAGTAGCTTTATAATAAGTTTTGAAATGGGAAAGTTTGAGTCCTCCAACTGTTTTCTGCTTTTTCAATATTGTTTTGTCTATTCTGCCTCCCTTGCATTTTGATATGAATTTAAAAATGAGGGCTGGGTGCAGTGGCTCACACTTGTAATCCCAGCACTTTGGGAGGCTGAGGCAGGTGGATCACCTGAGGTCAGGAGTTTGAGACCAGCCTGGCCAACACGGTGAAACTCTGTTTCTACTAAAAATACAAAAATCAGCCGGGTGTGGTGGCGGGCATCTGTAGTCCCAGCTACTCGGGAGGTAAGGCAGGAAAACTGCTTGAACACAGGAGGTGGAGGTTGCAGTGAGCCCAGATCGCGCCACTGCACTCCAGCCTGGGCGACAGAGTGAGACTCCATCTGGAAAAATAAATAAATAAATAAAAGAATGAGCTTGTCCATTTCTAAAAATAACTTTTAAACGTTGTTGGAATTTTGATGGGGATTGCAATGAATCTATAGGTCTATTTAGAAAAAAGTGCCATCTAAAGAACTGTAAATCTTCTAATCCATGAACTTAGGACATCTATTTCATTAGGTCTTCTTGATTTCAACAGTGTTTTGTAGTGTTCAGTGTAAATGTCTTGCACCTCGTTGATTACACTTATTTCTAAGTATCTTTTTTTGATATTATTGTACAAGAATTTTTTTCTTAATGTCATATTTGGATTGTTTATGGATAATGTAGAGAAATGCAACTGATTTTTTTCTTGATCTTTTTGTGCATACTTGCTGAATCATTTATTAGCTTTCATAGAGTTTTTTGGGAGTGCAGATTCTTTAGGATTTTTTAAATATAAGATCATCTCATCAGCCAATAGAGGTACTTTTACGTATATTTTTTCCAATCCGGATGCATTTTATTTCATTTTCTTGCCTAATTGTCCTCCATATTACCCTGACTTCAAGTGGTGACAGCAGAATCCTTGTTGTGATCCTTGTCATGTTCCTGATCTTAGAAGGAAAGCATTTAGTCTTTTATCTTTAAATATAATTAATTTTAATTCTATTTACTTATTTTTAG
Organism: Homo sapiens; assembly: GCF_000001405.40. Classification (NCBI taxonomy): domain Eukaryota; kingdom Metazoa; phylum Chordata; class Mammalia; order Primates; family Hominidae; genus Homo; species Homo sapiens. The sequence continues at coordinate 22,101,892 of NC_000011.10, read as the reverse complement.
AGACAAGTTTTGCTCTGTCACCCAGGCTGGAGTGCAGAGGCATGATCATAGTTCAATGTAACCTCAAACTCCTGGACTCAAACTATCCTCCTGCCTCAGCCTCCCAAAGTGCTAGGATTGTAGGCATGAGCCATTGTGCCTGACCTCCATTAAGTATAACATTAATTGTGGGTTTTGCATAGATTCACTTTAAAATGTTGAGAAAATTCTCTTCTATTCCTAGTTTATTGAGTGCTTTTATTAAGAAAGAGGATTGGATTTTGTCAAATACTTTTTCTGTGTTTATTGAGATGAACGTGTTCCTCTCTCCCCTTGTTATCATTTTTGGGTATAAATTGATTAGCTTTTGTATGTTGTGCTTACTTTGGATTCTGGAATAAATCTGGTATATAATCTTTTTTTATGTACTGCTGGTTTCAGTTTGTTAGTGCTTTCTTTCTAGTTTTTCCATCTTCATTCATAAAGGGTATTCTGTATTTTTTCTGTTTTGTGATGGCTCTGTCTGGTTTGCTATCAGGTAAAAATCCTGGCCTCCTAGAATGTGTTTGGAAATGTACCCTCCCTTTCTATTTTTTGACAAGTTTGTGAAGGATTGGTGTTAATTCATCTGCAAACATCTGGTAGAACTCACCAGTGAAGCCATCTTTTTCTTGGTTTTTCTTTGTGGAGGTTTTTAAAAAATTACTCTCTCAGTCTTTTTACTTACAATAGGCATATCCAGATTTTCTATTTCAATAGGTATATCCAGATTTTCTATTTTCTCTTGACTAAATCTTGGTAAATTTTCGTCTTTCTGGGAATTTATCCAACTCATCTAGGTCATTCAATTTGTTGTCACGCAATTGCTCATGGTATTTTTTTAATCACCCTTTTTGTTTCTTTAAGATTAGTAGCAATATCACTTCTTTTATTCCTGATTTTAGAAATGTGAATCTTCTGTCCTTTTTTCTATGGTTGGTCTAGCTAAAGGTTTCTAAATTTTGATGATTTTTTTCAAATAATTAACTTTAAGTTTTATTGATTTTTCTTGTTTTTCTAATTTCTATTTCATTTATTTCTTTACTAATCTTTTCTTCCTTCTGTTTGCTTTGGGTTTGTGTCTTTGAGTATAAAGTGAGTCTCTTCTAGATCAGACCGTTGAGTGGTGCTCTTTTACTCATTTGCAATTACCTAACTTGTAATATAGAGATCTTTCTAGTGTACCATTTTAGTTTACTTGCAAATTTTATGTTGTACATTTTACTATATATTTTTGAGTTATTTTCTAGGAATTAACATTAATATTTTAATTTATAACAATTCAATTTGGTTTAATATCAACTTAATTTCAATAGTGCACAAAAACTTTGTTTATATATAGAACAGTTATAGCTCCCCACTCTTTATGTTGTTATTTTTACAAATTTCATCTTTATACATTGTGTACCCATCAATATAAAATTATAATTATTGCCTTATGCATTTATCTTTTAAATCAGAAAGGAGAAAAAAAGAGGTTAAAAATAAAACACTGCATTTATTTTGTATTTTATGTTTACCTATATCTTTATCTTTTCCAGGGCTTTTTATTTATTCATGTGAATTCCAGTTGCCAGTCAGTGTCTTTTCCTTTAATCCTGAAAGACTCTCTTTAGTTTAGTATATTTTGTAAAGCAGGTCTGTCAGCAGTGAATACTCTCAGTTTTTGTTTATTTTGGAATATCTTAATTTCCCCTTCATGTCTGAAGGATAGTTTGCCAGATATTGAATTCTTGTGTGATAGATTTTTCTTTTCACATCTTGAAATGTCATCCCACTATCTCCTTACCTCTACTGAGAACCTAGCTTTCAATTTTGTTGAGGATTCCTTAAACATAATGAGTTTCTTCTCTCTTGCTGCTTTCAAAATTTCTCGTAGTCTTTGACTTTCAACAATTAAATTATAAGGGGTATAGAGGTAGATTTCCTTTATTTTATCCTACTAGGAGTTCCTGGACCTTCTCAAATGCATAGGCTAGCAATTTTTATCAAATTTTAGAAGTTTTGGCCATAATTTCTTCAAATATTCTTCCTGCTCCTTTTTCTCTCTTTCTAGGATTCCCATTATGCATATATAGGTATGATTAATGGTGTTTCACATGTCTTTCAGGCCTTGATAACTTTTTTGTTCTTTTGTTCCTGTTATTCAGATAGAATAATCTTGATTGACCTGTCTTTGAGATCTCTGATTGTTTATTCTGTGTGCTTAATCTGCTTTGGTGCCCCTGTGGTATAAATTTTTTATTTCAGCTATTATGGTTTTCAATTCCAGATTTTCTACTTTATTCTATTTTATATTTTTATCATTTAATCTATATTTTATATTTGTGGAGACATAATACTATGTCTTTAGACATAGTTTCCTTTAGCTATTTGAACATAATGTAAAAGGCTAATTTAAGTTTCTTGCCTAATAAGTTCAATATCTAAGCTTCCTCAGGGATATTTTCTATTTGTTAATTTCTTCCCCCTTTCTTGTTTCTTTGCATGTCTTATAATTTTTTGTTGAAAACTGGACACTTAAAATAATATAATATAGCAATTCTGGGAATCAAATTCTCTCTTTTTCTGTTGTTGTTGCTGCTTGTTGTAGTACTAGTTGTGTGTTTGTTTGGTAAATTTCTGAACTAATTTTGTGAAGTCCGTATTCTTTGTCATGTGTAGTCATTGAGTCTAGACTCAGCTAGCTTAGTGGTCATCTAATGATTGGACAGAAGTTTCCTTAAATGCCTGAAACTAATAAATCTTCTAGTCTTTGCTGATGGGCTTTAGATGTGTTGAGGCCTTCACTATTATTTACAAATATCTATTTAAATGCCAACGTAAGTACCAAACCTACTATCAATAGGACCCTATTCTTGTCATTTAGTCAGGCTGTTTACCATGCTGCTTTAGCTTTTACAGAGCCCCAAAGTCAGCCAGAATTGAGAGTTTAGGGATTTTTTTTTTTTTTTTGGTTTTTCTTGAGCATGTGCACGGCCCTAAGAATATGCATGGCCTTCTAGATTCCTAGGAGTATTGGAGCTTTCTAAATCCCTTTAGAAAATCTCTTTCCTCAGATTTTCTTTTTAAGCCTTATGATTAGTCCATTGTTCACCCCAATTCTTACCTATCATCTAAGGTAGCTGCAATATTAAATGCTTGCATGCAGATGTTTTTGATAAATGCCCCTTTAGGATGAGGTTATTAGCACTAGGTGAGCTTTGATTCAGGCCATATAAAGACAAGCTTTTCATGTTAGATCTTCTAGGGAACCATCTGAAAGGTAAAATGATAATTCTTTGGAAATGGGGCTTTGAAAGAGTTCTAGCTTTATTCTGCTCCCTTTGTTATCAAGAGTGGACACTAGTACTTTACAAGGCTGCCCAGGGGAGCCAGGGAGGGAGGTAGAGCAAGTTAAAATACAACAAAGCTCGCTGAGGTAAAAATAAGCTTAACATTCACATTCCACCCCCCACCCCGCCCCGAATTTTAAACCTTTGCAGATTTAAGTCTATGAAGAGTTCAAGCTACAGTATTTTGAAAATTTTAATTATATAATTTAACTTTAACTCAATCAGGTGAAAAGAATTAAACAGCCGTTTTTATGGGGAGGGGTGGTTATGTAATATAATTCATCTTGTTTATATGCAAGCAGTGGAATAAATTGAAATGTGATTTGAATGATTTCCATGTTGTAATAATTATGGTGTTTTTTGTTTGTGTTGGTTTTGATAAATAATCAGATATTACATGCCAATTTATATTAGTTTAATTGAGACACCTAAGTCAAGCTTGGCCTAAAGTGGAAATTTGTTGGCTCAAAGAAGCAACACACAACTGCAGTGAGGGAAGGAATACAGCTGGGCCTAAATTACTACCAGGATTCTCTCGTCTTCCTCTCTTCTTAAAACTAGCTTAACTCTGTTTTCTCTGACTGCAGATGGGTTCTTCCAGTGTGGCAATTGACTTGACCACTAACAACAGCAGAGTTTCCAGTTGTTTCACTTTCTCCGGCCAAGAGCTATTACTTTTTCTGAATTCAAAAAAAATCCCAGGTAAGGGCTCTCATTGACTCAGCATGTGTTCCATTACTTCCCCTGGAATAATAACCTAAAGCAGAAATTGGGCAATATAGCAGCATAGTCGTTATGCTGTTGCGGTTCAAAAACAAGGAGTTGTTTTTCCCTGAAATGGGTAGAGTGTAATTGGGTTGGAAGATGATGTGCAGTTAAGATACTTGATATTTAATATACTTTTGCAAATATGCATTTCAAAGCCAATATAAATACTAAATTTAATTCCAATATGACCTTACTCTTATTTTAAAAATACCCAAACTAACAACAGCAACAAAACAAAACAATGCTCTCCAAAAAAATGCAATGAAAAGGATCAGTAAGCTCCTCTCATTGTTCATGTTTAATCACAAGATTAAACCCATTTAGAAAAAAAGTTAAAATGGGCATAGGGAAAAATCTTAACATCTTAATACCCAAACTGAATTTCTGAGATTTAAAGCACATGTTCCAGATCTGAAAGACAATAGAGTTAGGGAACCCTGTTTATACATTGTTGAGGTCATGACTGTTTTGAATGTCTATGTGGGTCACCGTACCAGAATAATCACAAAAACTTTACTTTATTCTGGTTGCCTGTGAAAGAGATAATTACTTTATTTATACAGAATATTTAGATTCGATAGCCCTGATTATTTTAGACTAAAGTGCATGTGTGTCTCTTTAAAACTTAAATTATCTGACAATTGTTTCAATTGTATGCTTGGCTCTGCTTCATAGTCAAGACTCAGCAATTATGCAGTTGATTTGAACACTATAGATCAAAGTAAGAATTTAATTCCAAGAATGAAATCTTGTTTGCCATTTTATACTGACTACACCAACAGGCTAATCAATAACTGTCCTCTTCATGTGTACAAAGTGATTTTTCTTTCTTTTTTTTTTGAGATGGAATCTTGCTCTGTGGCCCAGGTTGGAGTTCAGTGGCACTATCTCAGCTCACTGCCCCCTCTGCCTCCAGGTTCAAACAATTCTCCTGCCTCAGCCTCTCAAGTAGCTGGGATTACAGGTGTGTGCCACCATGCCTGGCTAATTTTTGTATTTTTTGTAGAGATGGGGTTTCACCATGTTGGCTGGGATGGTCTCAAAGTCCTGGCCTCAAGTGACCTGCCTGCCTCGACCTCCCAAAGTGCTGGGATTACAGGCGTGAGCAACTGCACTTGGCCACAATGTCCTTTTATTTGGATGTTTGTATTGTGTCTACACACTCAGTTTAAATTAAATCTCACAATAGAGATGATGTTTAATATAACTCTAATTTTCAAACTTTAACATTTCTTTAAACTGATTGTCAAAACATCGAAAGAAATTTACCATCATTAGACATCATTTATGACAATAAAGTCATTTTACAGACCTGCCATAGTTTAGAATCCTTTAAGGTTATTACCTCATCTACCACAATAGAACCAAATGTTGCCTCTTTTATGTATCCAAACCCCAGTGCACCCAGGAACAAATTGGATTTCTGAAGGCACTCTACTTGTAGTCCTTCTCCACTGACATTCAATGCAACTGTTTGGTCACAAAAATATCATGATTGAATGAAAATTTAGTGCCAGTGTTTCCCATGATTTATTCTGAATTCCTCGTATTCTCTCTTAATTCTCCATACCCAGGAAGAATTGTTGGGCCGAGGGAAAGAGGGCTGGAGCAGGAATCAGCAGATGTTACCATTTGTCTATATAGTGTCACAAACAAATATCAGATGTGGCTCTTGCCCATCTTCTACTCTTTCCCCTCTATTTCATCATAGATATCAATTATGTAACAAGTTCGCTGGACATTAAACACTGAAATAAGAAAAGTATGGAACATACTAAAACTCCTTTTTATTACTAAGATACTTAGAAATGTAAAAATGAACATATGTTTTGTAGGAACACTAAATTTCACCAGTGTATAGTGTGTCTTTTATTATACTGACCCTTTAAAAATTAAATTCCAGAATTCTCCTTTTATTTTTTTAATGCTGAGAATGAATTTCTGTAATAGTTTAATGGAGAGCTTCTCCATGGAAATGATGAGGTGGTACATGTAAAAGTTGTTCAAATCAAAATGGAGTCACTAATGTTAAAACAAAAAAACCTTGACAAATAGAGCCAGGGAAGGCTTTGAAGAAAGGGTTCTCATGCTTGTATGTTTGATAAAACTATCACAAAAGAGTCTGCAAAAACCACAACCATACACAAAGGCCATCACAATCTTACATGAAAAATTATTCTGCAAAGACATCTGCACAGCAACTACCTGTCCAGACTCAGACTGGCGTGACCCTTGTTATTAATCTTTGTAGCAAATGAAAATTATTTTAAAACAATTGTGTATTCTTTATTTTTTTCCTTAAAAGGATTTGTCTTTCTTTACCTCCCTGAATACACACATAGTTTACTACAGCATGCGTATTTTCATTGCAATGCTCTATTCCCTCAACATCTTTTTCTTTCTCTGTTTGTTACGTAGGTTGATGTATATGGTCACAAAAGTGAACATGAAAAAGATCACCCATTGAAAGAAACTGGCGATTCTTAGAACCAGTATGCAATACTCACTTGAGCCCTTTGAGCTCTCTGCTTTCACGACTCACCTTTTCTGTTCTGGTGAGTATTCTCTAAGGCTGAGCCTCCCTCTTTTTGGTAGTAGCTCTTGACTATATTTGGAATCTGGATCTGGTAAAGCCACTTTAATAAAAGACCATATGTCCCTCCTGAGGTGATAAAAGTGTTTCTGTCTTTTCCGGTAAGTCCTTTCTGGTGTAAAGACACATGTCTTTCTGGATTGAGTGCTCTTACTTCTACAAAATCTACTTTCTGTTCATGAGGCATGTCTTTTCTGGTGAATTCACTTTCGGGCCACAGGTTTAGTTTAATATTTTTTTCAATCTGCGTGCCTGCATTAAGATTTCTGTGAATACTTGATTTCTTTGGATTTGGTTTGGAATTTTTTGTTGTGTGTTTCTAAAAAATCTTCTGATTGCAAGGAAGGTTAAGAAGAAAAGAGAATAATTTTGTATGAGAAAAAACCTTGGGTAGAAAATTTTTGTCCTAAAGTAAAATGACTGGTTATTTAAGAAGGAGGAAGTACAGGACAGAGCAGAGAGTCCAAGAATATCATAAATATTGTGAGTTTTGGTAAGGTTTGTGAAGGGGGTATTTATAAAAAGAATTTTGTGTGTGATCAAATTGGTTATAATTAAAAAAATTATAATAATTTTTAAAGAAGAGTCAATATTGAAAAAAAGACATACAAAACTAAAAATTCGGTTCCCTATGTAGGAACAACAAAGTATTGATTTATGCTTAGAATAGTTGCAATTCATTTTGATTTTTGATTCTGAAATCTGTTTCTTTAACAGCCACCTTCTTTTTTTGTTTTTGAGGCAGAGTCTCACTTGTTGCCCAGGCTGGAGTGCAGTGGCGCCATCTCGGCTCATTGCAACCTCTGCCTCCTGGGTTTAAGAGATTCTCCTGCTTCAGCCTCCCAAGTAGCTGGGATTACAGGCACATGCCACCATGCATGGCTAATTTTTGTTTTTTTTTTTTAGTAGAGATGGGTTTTTGCCATGTTTGCCATGCTGGTCTTGAATGCCTGACCACAGGTGATCCGCCTGCCTCAGCCTCTTAAAGTGCTGGGATTACAGGCGTGAGCCACCACGCCCGGCCACCAGCCATCTTCTAAACTACAGACAGTTTCTATTTCTGTTGCATTTCTTGCTGAGATATATTTAATTTTACTACTTTCAGATTTGAAATGCTGTCTTTTTTATTCAGAATGGCCATTTCATTTCTCCAGGTAAAATTATTTTTTTAAACTTCTCATATTTATATGTCAGAATTCAACCTTTCCTGTATCTTCTGCATGAGATTTGCAGGTCATGTATCATCTTTGCCTTCGGCTCTCCTTTCTTCCCTTATAAAGCTATATCCTTTTGCTAGGCTAGGCTGCCCACTCTTTCTTTTAACATTTTTGTCATCCCCTTTAACTTTTTTTCTCCTCAGTTTTAACTCTGAGTTTGTTGCCTGACATTGAAATATTTTTCTCAAAGACTTAGAAAAGCAAAGTTTTTCTCTAGTGTAACTTGATTCTGTGCTCTTGGGTTTTCTTGATGTATCTGAATTGTTCCACGTAACCAGGAAACTTCCCATACTGTTAGTAAAATCCATGTATTCCCCTGCTCAATGTACAAGTTTTATTGTTTACATTCCTCTGTAATACAATGTACTCATAATCCTGAACACATTCTTTCTGTGTCTGATTAAATTTAATTACCCTTCCATCAAGATTGATTTCCAGGTTATCTAAATGGGCTTCCCGAGAAACAATCATGCTGCAGAACATTTTTCTTTAACTTTTTGGCAACTAACCTAAAAAACAAAGATTTTTTGGGAGGCCGAGGAGGGCGGATCACGAGGTCAGGAGTTTGAGACCAGCCTGGCCAATATGGTGAAACCCCATCTCTACTAAAAATACAAAAATTAGCCGGGTGTGGTGGCGCACACCTGTAGTCCCAGCTACTCAGGAGGCTGAGGTAGAAGAATTGCTTGAACTCAAGAGGCAGAGGTTGCAGTGAGCCAAGACCATGCCACTGCACTCCAGCCTGGGCGATAGAGCAAGACTCCATCTCAAGAAACAACAACAACAACGACGACAAAAACAAAGATTTTAAATTCTATTAAGAGAATTTCCTGTGTTATCTTTTTTTTTTCCTCCTTAGAGACAGGGTCTCATTCTGTTGCCTAGCGGGAGTGCAGTGGTGCAATCACAGTTCACTGCAGCCTCAAAATCCTGAGCTCAAGTGATTCTCCCACCTCAGCCTCCTGAGTAGCTGGGACTACAGGCATGTGCCACCATACTTGGATAATTTTTAACGAAAAAAGTTTTTAGAAACAGGGTCTTAGAGTTGCCCAGGCTAGTCCCTAACGCTTGGCCTTAAGCAATCCTCGTGTCTTGGCCTCCCAGAGTGCTGGGAATTTATAGGCAGGAGCCACTGCACCTGGCCCTGTGTTGACTTTATTAGGGTGTTTTTCTTTACTTAGGAAAATTGACCTTTTAAAAAGGTTAAGGATTTTATATTCATTTAATTTTCTGTATTGCTTTTGAAGATCTCTGATTATCATTCTGGTTAAATGAATGACTATTATTTTACAGGGACCTTTAATTCTGTTTTTATCAAGTGTTTTGTACTTTTTGACATCTTTGACAGGTTTCCCCAGGATCAAAATCCTAAATTAAGGCTTTTTTGACACCTACAACTAACTTTGCAATTTTACAGTTGGGCTTCTGTAGAGCCTCAAAGAATATATCTCTCATCTCGTAGATATATTAAATGATAAGGCTTATTTGGCAAATTGTATGAAAAGCATTGTCAAATGATGTGATACTAGATCTTCTTTCAGTTATATTTATTGGTGTATTCTTGGTATAACTGTTTAAAAATTATATAAATTTGTAAAAATTTGATATGTTATGCCATAATTTTGGTTTTCTGAAATATTTTCTAAAGTTTTATTTTAATGGATATGTTATGAATTTAAGTACTCTAAAGCATATATAAAATTTATAAAAGTGCGATGGTACTAATTTGATGCTGTCAGTCATGATTCTGGTTGATATTTTAAAATGCTGCATGTAATAACTACATTTCCTTGTCAACTTTGAATTTTCATCAGACTTTTAACCATGGTTATTTTAAGTTTTTGTCATCCACAGTTATTGTTTTAAATTATTCTCTAATAGCATATGTAATCAGCTACAGCTCAAAATTGCTTTTCAAGAAAAAGTCTCTAAGAAGTACCCTGGAACACAGACTTCTGATAACTTTAAGATCAATGGACTGAACAAAAATTTCCAGAATTCCAAAGAAGAAATGTATGAGTTTATAGAAGTGATCATCAAGATCAGGCAGTAAAAATTTAGTTACATGAAATTAAGTAATTGACAAAGCTAATGTTTTTATGATTTTTATGTAAAACAATGATTATTCACTTAAATATTTTCAAGATTTTTAAAAAAGTTATCTCTTAAGCTTTACAACACTTAAGCTTTACAACATAGTTTACAACACTTTGGTAAAGTATACTTTTGTGAAAAAAAATGGAAGTATTTACTTTTTCTCTGTAATAGTCAGGGTTCTTTAGAGGGACAGGACTAAGAGGATGGATGTATATATGAGAGGGAGATTTTTAAGCAGTATTGACTCACATGATCACAAGGTGAAGTCCCACAATAGACTGTCTGCAAGCTGAGGGGCAAGGAAGCAAGTCCGAATCCCAAAACCTCAATTTTCCCTGCTCAATTCCTCCAAAAATTGAAAAATATTCATAATATTTTTAATGATAATGTAGTTACTTGCATAAGTTCAACAAAAATCTGCTCTCTCTTTATAGAAGGATAGAATTGAAAACAGTGGTTACATTACCAAGGCTTTGACTGAAGTATCGTATTTGAGGATGTGCATGAAACAACTGGCTTCAATGGTTCCTAGCATCACAGTGAATGATTAGAAACTGTCACTTCCTGGCAGGCCCGGAAAACTGTCACTTCCTAGCAGGCCCGGAAAACTAAAGAATGTAAGTGAAATCTAAAGTCTGCCCTGGTTTGACTTCCTTCCCTCAAGAAGTATTAAAATCTGAGACTCCTATGTGATGAATGCAGAGTGAAAATATTATTTTGAAGAAAAAATGAACTATTATATACTTGTTATTAGATTGTAGCCTTATTCATAGGTTTCAAGTTCTTCTTATTTACCCGTAGACTAGACTAGATCCTGAATCCTAATTTCATCCAATATTTGGCTACAACTCTCCAGCTAGTAACAAAAAACTGCTCTAATCCTAAAGCCCTGTAAGTTGAAACTAGATACATTTTAAACAACAAGACTTGTGCCTGATGTGTGGTCACCACAAGATCATCAAACTGAATATCATGACTAGAGATATTCAAACTGAAAACCAGGAGAAGTTGATGTTTTCATGCTGTAGACAGTTTTTCCCAAGATATTGGAACAAGTCTTCATATCACAATGGGATTATTACCTACCTTAATGCTACTCTAACCTCCCTATTTCACATGGTAAGATAATGGTGTAAAGTTTAACAATCAACAGATTCTGCTGGCAACTTAACAGAACCTAAACATTCTTTAGTATCTATTGGTTAAATAAGAAAATGTCTTTGCTATTGCTAATACTACATGCTGTACCTGGTAAAATTCCTCTGGAAAATTGAGAGTCATTTGCATAAAATAAGAAAACAGACCATATTCTTACTATGGGTCTTACCTAATTCCCTGTGGTCATTTGATTTATTCGATTGGTTACTTTTAAGTTTAGGTTCATGGCTCAAAATCATTATGCAAACTTGAATTGTCATATTACCATTTATTTTACCTTTCTAAATTTTGTATCTGTTACTTATTAAATTTCTATGGAAGTACTAACTCCTAACAAAATAATGTTGGCCCAGCACTTTAAGATAACAAAAGACTACAGAGCAGACAAAATTGAACATAATAGTGAACTCCACGCAGACATAGCTTGAGAGCCACTCCCTAAAGGACTAAAGGGTTGACCCTGGATCCTAGTCTCCAATCAATCCCTTTCAATATGAGATGAGACCAGCCCCTTGGACAAGTCCATCATGGCACCAAGAGACATCAAAAACTAACTATAGGATGATTGATTAGTGATGCTTTTGAAATAAGATCTTGATCAAAAGGGGAACTGTGAAAATTGTCAGAGTCAAAATGGAGTCACTAATGTTAAACCAAACAAACAAAAAACAAACAACGCTGACAAATAGTGAAATAGAGGTGGGGAAGGCTATGAAGAGAGGGCTCTCACACTTGTGAGCCTGATAACAAAAGCTATCACAAAAGACTGCAAAAACTACAGTCTTGCACAAAAATCATTGCAACTTTACACAAAAAGTACTTCTGCAAGGATATCTGCACAGCAACTGCCTTTCCACCCTCAGACTGGCATCATGCTAGTTATTGAACTTTGTAGCCAGTGATAATTATTTCAAAACAATTACGTAATCTTCCTCATTTTTTTCTTTAAAAATATTTGTCTTCCTCTACCTCCCTGAATATGTATGTAGTTTACTATGGTACACATATGCTAATTGCAGTTCTTTCGTCCCAAGTAAACATTATTTTCTTTTAGAGAGTCTGTCTCTGTTGGCTATTTAGGTTGGCACATATGTCACAGTGACCTTCCTAACAGTTTGTTGGAATCTCTTAGTAGATTTTGTGAGGTCTTTGAGCACAGAAAATGGGTCTTGTTCATTTTTCTATCTCCACCACTGAATACTTAGTAGGTGCTCACAATATGTACATTGAATAAAAAAGTAAATTAATAAATAATGAACCAATAAAGGAAACAAATAAATGCCAGCTTACAAAAATAAAAGTAAAATGGTTAAAAAATAAAATTATTTAAATCTTTGACTAGTAAAAGGTAGATTAAATCTACTTCTTTTCTAGAAATAGAAAGATGAGCAATTTTTTACTTCTTCCTTTAAAAACTTATACACTTGGGGGTCAGTAGACTCAAACAATTAATTCATCTTGTAAGGGTGCCTGCAAAGTAATTTTGGTTAAATATAAAAGTAAAGATATATTGTGTTCGTTTTTTTTTGACGGACTCTCGCTCTGTCACCAAACTGAGTGCAGTGGCTCTATCTCAACTCACTGCAACCTCCGCCTTCCAGGTTCAAGTGATTGATCTCCTGCCTCAGCCTCCCAAGCAACTGGGACTACAGGCACACACCACCACACCCAGCTAATTTTTTTGTGTTTTTAGTAGAGACGAGGTTTCACCGTCTTGGCCAGGATGGTCTCAATTTGACCTCCTGATCTGCCTGCCTTAGCCTCCCAAAGTGCTGTGATTACAGATGTGAGCCACCACGCCCGGCCATCGTTTGTTATTCTAAACAACCAGGCAGAATGAACAGAGGCTTGGGGAAAGTGAATAAATGAGGGATGAGGATATCTGAGCAAATACTGTTCCAGGCAGATGAATTGCCAGTTTGCAGACCCTGAAGTCTTTTAAGAAACCATGGCTGGCACAGAGTGAGTTGGGGAGAATAAAAGGAGAGGCTCTCAGAAACCAAACTCAGTAACAACTTCGTATTTTACCCTGAGTGAGATAGGAAGACTTTGAGGAGGCTGAGTAGAGGAACATGATAATATGGCTACTGTGAGTGACATCAGGGTATAGGCACAAGAATGGAAGTCAGAAATCTTCCCTTTAGGGTATATAGAGAATTTTCAGCAGGAGGAGATACATAGCAGGTGAAAAAAAGACCATCTCAGGAAATGACAAACATGGGGAACTACAACACTAATGTGACAGAGGCTGGGGACTGAATGGCCCCTTTTTTTCACTCTAGATTAGGCCATTAGAGGCCATCTCTTTTAGGAGATGACATTTTAGCTTAGATCTGAAGATGAAAAAAATTCAGTTATATAAATATGTAGGGTCAGAGAATCTTGGCCAAAGGAATAACAAGGGTGAGATTGCCCAAACAGCTCCTCCCACAGTGTTTAATGAATTTCCATTTAACACTAAACTATCAAGGGCCTTTTAATGTGGTTCAAATTTGGGAAGTGTGGGGCATAGTTGAAATGCACACTCTTTAGAGATATGCTAATTTTACTTTAATTCTCAATTTTTCCCTGATCAGGGGTATCACTTATGATCAATTGCCAAATCTCTCTGAGTTTCACTTTCTTTACTTGAAAATGGGGATATTAAAACCTACCAGACAGTGCCGTTGTGAGGATTAAGTGAGATAATGTACATAAAGCACCTAGCACATTTTCTGATGTATGAGTTGTATTCAATAAATATGATTCCCTTCTTAAAATGAAGAAAAGAGAAAATATCATCATAGTTGAATTTTTAAAAAGATTTTTTTCTTTGTATTAGGCAATGCTAATATGGGAAATTCCTTTTCCCCACTTCTCAGTGTCTTGTTTCGCACACAGATGGGATTCTGTCCACTCTCTGTCAGAGGATGTGAGTTTGCAGTTGAGGGTCTTAATTAGAAAGCTTGAGTTGGCCATCTTCATTTAGCCCAACCCTCCTTGCATTTTTTTTTTTTTTTTTTGAGATGGAGTCTTGCTCTGTTGCCCAGGCTGGAGTGCAGTGGTGCAATCTCGGCTCACTGCAAGCTCCGCCTCCTGAGTTCACACCATTCTCCTGACTCAGCCTCCCAAGTAGCTGGAACTACAGGAGCCCGCCACCACACCTGGCTAATTTTTTTGCCTGGCTAATTTTTTGTATTTTTTAGTAGAGACAGGGTTTCACCACATTAGCCAGGATGGTCTTGATCTCCTGACCTCGTGATCTGCCCACCTTGTCCTCCCAAAGTGCTGGGATTACAGGCATGAGCCACCACGCCCAGCCCCTCCTTGTAATTAACAGTTCACTTTTATATAATGCCTGGCCTATGGTAGATGAGTATTTGTTAAGGTGAAGAGGAAATATCCCTAGGCACAAGCTGATGAAATGCAGGGTGTGTGGAGGCCACAGCACATGTGGAATAAGTGCTGACTGCCTGCAACGAACTTCATTAACACAAAATGTTAAGCTTAGTGATTCATAAATTTAAATGCAAATATTGAATAAAAGGTTTTGAAAGATTTTTTTGGTTATTTTACCCTAAAACTTTTTTTAGATATTTTGATAGTATGACTCTTTGTCTACCCAGTCACACTAGTGCTGAAGAAATGTAACTTTTGCTTTCTATAATTCAATATAATTTTATTTCAAGGCCTCGTTCTTAAGAAAGTGTCAAAAAAAAAGCCAAAATACAACAAATTTAGTTTAAAGATCTCATTTGGCTTTATTCGCAATTGTAGAATTGGGCAACACTTCATTCTATAAAATAGAATGAGTGTTCAGAGAAGTTGAGTAGAAGGGTGGCTTTGTAGACAGAGAAGGGCTAAAGAAGGCAGAAGCAGAGAATGAAAAGCTCATTAGTCATTTCAAAGCTATTTTTCTTTAAAATCTGATCTGTTGGGGCTTAGTGCAGGAGTTTAGTCCAAAACAATAGTTTCCTATAATTTTTACCTAACAACAGGAACAAAAATGTCAACCTATTTAAGGTTCTGCCACTTTTCCCCAGGATGGTGGCTAAATTCCTTAGCCCATGTTGCAGGGCACAGTGATGTCTGGTTCCTGACTGTCACCTGACTATGCAGGCATCTTCTGTGACATCAGTTATCTGTGCCAGTCCTGGGTCATCAATCCCTACAGATTGCTGCTGTGCTATCATTTGCTCCAGGTCTGGCTTTCTCCACTGCCTCAAAACTTCTGCCGCGAGTGTGTAAAACCATTGGCTGCACTCCCTGCCTACTCTAAGGCTATGAACAACTAGGGGCTGGATGGATCAAGGAGCTTTATCAAGCATGTATCACATAGTCACTTCTACTCTGTTTCTGAGGGCCTCTTCTCAGGAATCTCACCCACTTCCCAGCTCTCTTCAGTTCTCTCTGAGTTATTCTACCTAGTCATTTACATTTCAGAAGCTACAAACTGAATTAGGCATTCTACTGGGTCGTCTCATCCCTGCAGTAGTAAAGACAAGACGCCCAGTTGCTCTGATTAGGAGAAGTGGTTAGGTGAGGGGAAACATCTTGAAAAAACTTTGGTTAACAATTCAAAATATTACTCTGCCTCACTTGTACATCAAAGCAATTTTTCATGGCCATCACTTACATAAAATATGCAATTAATGAAATAGCCTTTTATGAAATTTAATCAAAACTGCTCATAGGTGTTGAAACAGAAATATAATCACTCCTTAAGGAATGAGAGGGTCAGTACTTCATCCTGTGTCTCTGGTGTGTCTCCTGAGAGTTTGTCCTCAATGTTCTTTTAAAGGCAATTAAACTTTTGTGAGTGACTCAGACACAATTTAAATATGGCCGATGTCTCATATTCTCAGACAGTTTTGTTTAAATAATATTCTCTATTTAAAAGAAGCACCAAAAGCAAATTGGTTTGTATTTGTTTTGCACTGGTACAATATGGTCCTAGAGATTATGATCATGAAATATTTTACTATATATGATCATGAAATATTTTACTATATATTGTAGTAGGCACTGTTTTAACCCAAAACCACAGAAGTCAAATTTAAACTCCTGAAACTAAAAGGAGAAAATATTGGCTTATGTATCTGGAAGTTTAGGTTCAGCTTGATTCTACATAGCAAGATTCAGTGACACAAATTATAATATTGGAGTTTTATTTGTTGTCTGTTTCTTTTGTCTTCATCTTTTAGCATTTCTACCTTCTGCATGTGGGTCCCATTCTCAGTAAGACTTTCTATGATAGGAAAAAATGCCCAAGCTTATATCCTTGTAGCTTGTGATTCAGAAAACGGACTCTTTTTTTGTTGTTGTTGTTTTTCACTCTCCAAATGTCAAATATCAGGAAAGGCCTGGACTTCTGTGAGCCATGTGTACACTCTTTGCTCAATCACTGCAACAAGGGAAATGGAATACACTGATTGGCTGTCCTGAATCACATGATCACAAGCTATGATGAAAAGAAGGGTCACTATAATTGACAGCTCCACCAGGACAACATGAACACAGTCATGATTCCTAATAGGAAAAGTAGTGTGCTGCTGTCAGAAGAATGAAGAAAGGCTATAAAAATAAAACAAATCTGCAGTATAAATGGGGGAGGGGTGGGTAGACTGAAGCACTCTGTGTGTTTCTTTCCAAATCTGGATTTGGGGCTATACGCACATTTATGATACTAAGACTGGGGTCCTATAATGCCCAAAGCATCTTGTGAGAAAAGACAATGGCTGCTTCTATATATTCTAAGTAGATTTTCAACTACTAATAACTACTAATTTTTAACTACTAAATATATTTTTAACTACTAATAAAATTCACCTTATTTTTAAAGAAATTGTGCATTTTCTCATTAAGATATATTTTGTTATTTTTTCCCTCCCATTTCTTCCACCTTCCTATGTTACCATAAACAAGGGAGCTTTTGTGACTGTTTGCACAGTTGTTTCAACAGCCTACTTAGTAAGCCAGATAAAGTGGTGACAAATACCAGTTTGAGTGGGATTTGATACTCTGTGTAAAATTTATTTCTAAGTTTCTTTAGAAGTAATGCCATTCTAGGTAAAAAACAAACAAACAACAATCCCCCCCAAACAAACAAACAAACAAAACCTGGAGCTGAACTGCAGAACCCTTCATAATACATCATATTTGGGTCTCAGAATCAGGTTCTCTTCCTCACTTTGTTTCTCTGTCAGGACAGATGCTTCTGCCAAAGTCAGAATTATCAGTGAGATGGAGAATGAGACTAAATCACATTTACTGTAGCTGTGGATAAAACATCTCCAAATCAGGCAGAAAATGTCAATATCATTGACCTCAAGGGAGATATGTGGTTTTTGCACAGTGTAGAGTTTGGGGGCTCTCCAGCAAAACAACATAACAGCAACAGAGAAGGTTTTTCCTGTGACCAGAATGTAAAGTGCTGTCACCGATCCAGATTTAGAAAGGAATGTAACAGTTCTGAGCCTGTGCAGGAAAAGAGAACTAGACATGAGGCCAAAAATCTGAAATTGTAGCCCTTGTTCTTTCACTGCATCCCTGAGGGTTCTTGTCTACCCACTGGACTTCCTTCTGCATCACTTTCTATTTATTTGATATAAAACTGATGATAGTAGTTCTCATAGAGTCTGGGATACACTTTGTTGCTCATTTTATTTATGGCTATAAGGTGCCCATTAATACTATCATCATCTAACATTTCTTACATGATATGTGTACCTTTCCAAAGACTTTCACTTCAGTTATGTCACTTGATCTTTACAACATCCTAGCCAGGAAACACGAGAGTATTTGTATTCCAACTTTTAGAAGAAACTGAGATCTACAGAAGTGAGGTGACTTCTTTACAAGCCCTAGAGTAACATGAAACAATCCAGGACTTAAAACTTCTGCCTCTGTACTCTTGACACAGCTTGTTCCTTTCCTTCCCTAAAGTTCATAGTTACTCTCTTTATATATTTCTTTGCTAGTAAATCCTTTCTTAAAAACCTTTAAAGTACAGATTTCCCTTTCTTCCATGGCTTTTGTTTTTCTTTGTAAACAAAACAGTGATCTAATATTTAATGAACACTTAATATATGATGAAATTGGTGCAAAGTACATTATTCCTATTATCTCATTTAATCTGGCTGCAACCTTATATTTCAGGAACTATTCTTATTCCCATTTTACAGATGAGGTAATTGAACCCTGAAGAGTTTAAGAGGCTTGCTTAAAGGCATACACTGAGAGTGTGAGCTTTTTAAACACTTTGAGATACAGCCTCCATGATCGATAATGGCTTAAAAAAAATGGATGTGGCAGAAATGCCCCAGGAGAGAGTTTCTTGCCTATGCCAGTTTTTTTCTGTATTTTCAAATTGAACAGGAACTAGATATATATATATATAGATATATATATCTATATATATCTATATATAGATATATATATCTATATATATCTATATATAGATATATATCTCTATATATAGATATATATACATATACATATATGTATAGATATATATATACATATATACACATATATATGTAGATATATATATATATACATATATACACATATATATGTAGATATATATATATATACATATATACACATATATATGTAGATATATACCTGCTCTAAAAAACTAGATAACTGAGCCAAATTTATCAAGAAACAATTTTCAAACTTTGGACAATAAGTTGCACAGGACTTTGGCCTCTGATAGAAGAAAAGCAAACAAGATTAGGTTTAAAGTTTCACCCTTATTCTGCCTGGAGGCAGTTTTCAAGCCATAGATACAGAAACAAGAGAACCCAAAGAGCACCTAGTAGTCTTAATAAATTGAGAAGATTGAGATAATGTTTGGGGAAACCAAGTTGGTCAGTATTTATTTGCAAGTTTTAAGACAAGAGAAGAGACAACTGCCTATAAAGATAAGGAACTCCAAAGATCTATAGAGAGTTTATCTTGTGTATTTGGTAGTAATTTTCATCTGCACGTGTAACACCATGCAAGGCTGGAGAAGGATCCCCTGGGAATAAGTAAGCTGAGTAATTTCAAGAAGTCAAACAGAGCTAGGAATATTTTGTATAGCCACCAATCAGAGTAGGAAGATCCCATGAATAAGGGCATCAATTAGAGTACTCAGAAGTATATTGCCTTTATAGCAGGAATAAATAAATTTCATATACTACTCTGGATCTGCCCCAATGAAACTTAAAAACAAACCTAAAAAAAAAAATCAAACTAATTCCAAACAACTTAACAATGTGCCAGAACAAACTTCAACACTATTCAAAAGCATACAAGAAAATCCAGCATATGTAACATTCACAAGGTCTGGCATCCAATCAAAATAACTAGGCATTGGCTGGGTACAGTGGCTCATGCCTGTAATCCCAGCACTTTGGGGAGGCTGAAGTAGGAAGATTACTTGAGACTAAGAGTTCAAGGCCAGCCTAGGCAACAAAGCAAAACTGTGTCTCTACAGAAAATTTAAAATTTGGCCAGATATGGTATTGTGTGCCCATAATCCTAGTTACTCAGGAGCCTAAGGTGGAAGGATCATTTGAGCCCAGCAGTTTGAGGCTGCAGTGAGCTATGATTGCACTCCAGCCTGGGTGACAGAGTAAGACCCTGTCTCAAAAAATAAAAAATAAATTATCAGGCCTACAAAAAAGTATGCAATAGAACCCACAACTGGGAGAAAAACTAATCAATAGAAATAGACCCAGAAATGACAGGGAGAATGAAATTAGCAAGCCAGGACATTAAAACAGCTATGACAAACATGTTTCCAATGTTTAAGAAGATAGAAGAAAATATAACCATAATGACATAAATGAAAATTACAAAAAAGACTTAAATTGAACTTCTAGAGATTAAAAATATATCTGAAATAATACATTGGCTGGAAGGGACTGCAAGTTATACACTGTGAAGAAAAGATCAGAGAATCTGGAGATACAGCAGTAGAAACACAGAAAGAAAAAAAGCCTGAAAAATAAATATCACTGACTTGTGAGATAGTATCAAATTATTTAACATGCATATAATTGCAATATATTTAAAAAGATATGAGGAGAGAAAAAAATTGAATATTTTAGCTTGGAAATTTCCAAGTATGATGATGAAAAATATGAACCCACATATTGATAAGGCCCAGTGATTCCTAAGTTGATTATAAAAATAAAACTACACCAAGGCACCCATAATCAACTTCGTAAAAACCAATTATAGTAAGACAATCTTAACAGCAGGTAGAGAAAAATAACACATTATATACAAAGGAACAAAGATAGGAGTCAAAAGCAGAAGACATTGTAGGGCAACATTTTTATTGTGCTGAAAGAAAAGAACTGTCAACTTAGAATTCTGTACCGTGTAAAATAATCATTTAAGAAAAACCAGTGAAATAAAGCCTTTTTCAGGCAAACAGAAGCCTGAAATTTGAAAATTTTAGCTTGAGATGTCTATTAGAGTAGAAATGTAGAATAGGTCATTGGACACTCAAATTTGTCTTTTAGGGGAGAGGATGGTGCTGGGGATGTACATTTGGAAGTCATTCATTTACAGATATTAGGCTGAAATATTTTGTTTGGCAGAAGCTTGTATTTTCCCTTTATATACTAAAGCCACTGAACGGAGTTTTAAGCTGGGAAATAATATAGTCGTATTTGGTTTTTGAACAAAACTGCTATGGTGGTATTCAGAATGATATTTTGGGACAGAAAATGTAGAAATACCATTCAGGAAACCTATGCCAGTAGAAAAATGGGGTGAGGAATTACATAAAGGCAGTGGCAATGTAGTTAAAGAGGATGGGGTAAATTTGAGACATAATTAGAATGTATAATTGGCCAGGTTTGGTGATATATTAGATTTGCGTTATGTTGGGTGGAGGAAAAGCTAGGATTTCTGCCTTAAGCAACTGAGTGGCTGGTTCACTGAGATGGGAGATACACAAGGCAATTATATATTTATATCCAAGTTGAGACACTTTTAAGACTAAAAGAGCAACCTAGGACATATGAATGGTTTAGGGATATTGAAGAAGAAACAGCATCAATTTTGCGGGGGGTTGGCAGTGAACATAATATCTTCAGTGATCAATACACAAAGTTTGAAGGACTTGTGGGACATCCAAGTATATATGGCTAATATACCATGGGATAAACAGGTCTGGACTCTGAAGAGTGATTTTGACTTCAGGTTATTGGAGAGGAGGTAGCTGCAGCCATAGAGGTAGATGTATTAGACACCAAAACATTTATGTAAGGAGTCAAGCAATGGGGTGAGGATTACTTCTTAAATGATCTTGTTGTTTTTTATTTGTTTTGGTTTCCTGGGGCTAGGAATAGTGGTGGATGGTTTGTACATACAATGACAGTTACTACGAGATAATAGGAAGCCAAATGAGGAAAATTTAATACAATATCTTACAAGAGGCTGGGGGCAATATAACTGAGGCAGGTTGGTACAAAGTACATTTTTTAATGGAGTTTGAACATAATTAACTGAAGCTTGCCTGAGAGAGACTAACCTTTAAATGTGATAATGAGAGTTAATACTTATGTGATGCTTACGATGTAATGGGCACTGTTCTAGGTGCTTTATGTACATTAACTCATTTAATTACTACAACTGCCTTATAGTTACTGTGTTTTTATCCTTATCTTCTAGATGAGACAAATGAGAGTCAGACAGTTTATTAGCTTGACTATAGTTACAAAGCTAGTAAGAGAGGTGCTGAAATTGAAATTAGATGATCTGACTTCTGAGTTCAAGCCCTTAACATGACCCTCTACTCTAATCCTGCAGGTTCTTTAATGTATTGATCCAGAGTCCAGTTTTCTCTCATTTGTTTTCCTTTTCTTCCTAACTCTGGTTTAGTACAGCCCAGTCTGTCTTGCCAGTAGAGGAATGATTTATTTCCTGGCTATTTTGTGTCTCACCTGATTTTCCTCTTCATTCAGAGTGAAAGCAGGGGAAAGGAACACAAGTATGCAATGATTCATCTTTATTCCTTACCTCTCAGCTCTGACAACCAGACTGCATTTGCTGACTTGGCTCCAGGGAAAGCAATTCTCATCCTAAGTGCAGCTTTCATTCCTGGCTCCATTGTCAACTTCAAAGACCCAGCTGGCCTCCTCCTGCCCAACACTTTTCCATGGCAGTCACAGATCATGGTTCCTGTGAAGAGAATGTCCAAGGCTCAAGTTGTAATTAGGAAGGACATTGTTCCTGAACCCAAGGTTTCTAAGCAACAGATAAAAAGCCAATTAAATGTTATTGGCTGCACGTCCTGTCCTCCAGCCACATGCATGATGCTTGTTACAGAGGCTCTTGGCTATTTCTCTGCATGTCCATCTGCTAAAATGGCAAAATGCCCTCTTGGTCTATATTTGAATTCTTGCCCATAGCCATGGTTGCCAGGCCACAACAGATGCTTGCAGATCAACAACAGTGTTAGATCTTTTCCAGCTATGCCTCTTGTGGCAGCCACAGACCTTGTAAGACATGGTGTGCACCTGTTGAATGTCATCTGCCAAACAACATGACTGCTTGGGAATGGGATTAGTGGAAAGCAGCTGCCATGAAGACAGGCTGCACCACATGTTAAACTTGGTGTCAAAATCCCCAATACATTTTATAAAATAACAGGTCTGTGCTAGAAGACATGAGGAAAGTTTAGGATGCAAAGGGTGCCAAGAGATTTTGAAACCTCAGACAAACAAGATCATGGAATAGTGGGTATCTCTGTGAAGTGTTCCCAACATGAGCAACTTGCTGGAAGCAAAATCTAATAAGGTTGAGAGAAGTCTGTGTAATGAACTCACTGGCTTTCATAATAGAAAAGAAAAGTAGAGGATCCAAAATTTCAGCTTTATGTCTCAAAACTATGAGAAATGTTTTCTCACAGGCTTAGATCTGGGCATTTGAAGCTCAGACAAGTGTACTTACGTACATTTCTTGTAAGTTTCCTTTTTATATGATAAGCTATAGAGGGGATTTAAATGGGGTGCAGAGAATATAGCATCCTGGGATACTTTCATTCTCATAGACCAAGGATAAGATAAGGAAAAAAAAGGATGAGAGTTTACAATAAAAATTTGATAATTCAGTAATAATTTTGATAACAGCAAGACAAATATTTATTAAGAACACTATAGGTAGACATATTTAAAGGGTGTAATTTGGGGAGATATTGTAGCATTATATTGATTTGGGACATTTCATATTTTTTATTCATCTTTCCTAGCAAGAAGAGAAAATGTATCAACAGTTTTTTGTATCAACATTTTTGAGCATCAGCCACATGCTGGATATTACATACGCACATCCACATTTACCCCTCACACCAACTCTATGAGATATCATTACTTCCATTAATAATATATTATTATTAATTAATATATGATGGCCGTTACTAATTCCAATAACCTAAAGCCATTTTGTGACGTCATTTAACATTTTTGACCCCTAGGTACTTAAACTGTAAACCTGGAAATCAAGAGACTTACTTGGTATATGTGGAGTGTCAGGCAGATTTACAGCATATTTATTTTACAATTCTGTTCTAGTAAAGATAAACATTGTGCAGGCTTCTGAGTAAAAGAGTTTTAGATTTTATATATTTAAATGCAGGTTAAACTGTAGGCTTAATATTTACAGGTATTGCTTCTACCTTGCTTTGTGCTATAGCCCTAATGCCTGGCACAGGAACCAGACATGATTTGCTAAATGAATAAAGAAGAAATGGTGGTGATCAGAGCAATATTGGCAATCCCTCTACACACCAATTTATTTGTTGTAAAATTAATATTCTACACACACACACACACACACACACACACACACATTTTGCCCCTGGAAAAGGTGCCAAAGATAAAGAGATTCATTAGAAAGCTGAGATGAAAACAGTCCAGATCTCAGAAAATAAATATGATCTGTGGCAGTAGGGATGGAGAACAAAAACTTATGGCATAGCATCTTCTGAAGACTTGAAAATACTTGTTTGCCCCGGAAGTGTGTGCTGTAAGGGCAGATGTGAGAGAGGAGGGGCAGTATAGGGTGATTCTAAGGTATTCAGTAGATTTCTGGGGAGAGAGGATAATGCCTTGAGAATATCATGAAATATCTTGAAATTTTTTGAAAAAGTAATACTAAGCTCATAACTCAGTCTCAGGTCTGGAAGGCTCAGACAACCATCAAGGGTGTAGATGACTGCTAGAACCACTTGGCCTTCTTATTGTCTCTGTTATTAAAGACAGTGGCTTCCTAAATAGGCTAACAAATTGTGACTAGGGGCTTTTCAGTTTTTTTTAAAGCTAAGATTGATGGAAAACCAAATTAAATGATAAATGCCAGAAGAGATCTTGTTTCTGCAGACTGGTGACATTTATTTCCTGCACACTTTGGTATTGCATTAAAGTTCTTATTAATTTTTGTTTTCATTACTGACTTTTAAATGATAACATTCCAGATGACATTTTACAATAAGAAAGTTTTTTGCCATCTGAAAGTATAACTAATTAACCAGCATATTTCATGTTATCTACATAGTGCCTTCCTAGTTATATACATTTTCTCAATATTTAATAAAGCTGTTTGAATAAAAGAGCTTTATTTCTAATAAGACTTTTAATTGAGCTGTGATAGATGTGTCCTTTCAGGTTTTTCTTTTATTTACACACATTGCTTTGCAACCTCCACCTTAATAGTCACCAGGAGCCCAAAAGACTTGACTCCTTCACTACAAGTATTAGGTTGTAAAAATAGAAAAAAAAGTGGTTGCAAATTACTCTTTCTCATTAGAAAGAAAAATGTACCCCTGTGATTAAATTGGCTAGAGATGACAGATTCTAAGGTCATGCCTATCTCTGTACCTGCACTAAACTAAGTGTCCCACTACTATGCTGAGTTCATTCTGTCTTCTGTGTCTTTTTCATGGCACTCTCTATATCTGGATTCCTAGTAGTTCATGAGCACTGAGTTCAGTTCCTAGAACCATTACGAAACTTTCCATGCTCATTACAAACCAGGAGATATTATTTGTTCATTCATCATTTATCAAGCCAGTGAACAATATTTACAATTCAATATACTAAGGATAGGAATAGAGGTTTGGAAACGTGCTATGAAAATACAGCAGAGGTTCATCTTCTTCCTCCTGGTTACCATTTTTACCATTTTTGTTATATCTTTCTTGTCACATCTCTTCAGTTGAATTTAACTTTTGTAAAACCGACTCTGTTTTCATGAAAGAAAACGTGTACTACTCTCCACCCCCTCACTCTAACTATTCCTGCTACGCTTTTTCTGTCATGGTTAATTATTGTTGAAGTAAGGTTAATTATTGGTTAAGAATTGCAGTGACTGAAGGCTAGTTAGTAAAGTTAGAATGAAAAAAAAAAAAAAAAGAAAAGAAATGAATCTGTTACTCTGGCTAGGATTTAGGGCCTAAGGCACTAGATGACTTTGGTCACTTATTTTCTTAAGAAAAAAGATGGAATTTAATTCTTATTAAGGACAACAGAAAGCACCCACTAA
The DNA here is from genome assembly GCF_000001405.40 of Homo sapiens. Lineage (NCBI taxonomy): Eukaryota > Metazoa > Chordata > Mammalia > Primates > Hominidae > Homo > Homo sapiens. The sequence goes on along the minus strand of NC_000011.10, from coordinate 22,076,180 downwards.
GCACCCACCTACATGCACACACGCACGCGCACGCGCGCGCGCACACACACACACACACACACACACACACACATTGAGTAACAAAGATGGTTTGGGCCTTATAAAATGAAGGGACATAAATTCCATATGGATTTCCAGACATCTCTTCCTAGTGTATTATATTAGCTAAATCTTGATGCTTCACTTCTCAATTTTCCTTAAGAAAAAGGGGATCGATGTAGCCCATCTTAACATAAAATAAGGACATAAGAGACACGATCAGAATGACCATGCTAGAAACTTTTTGACAACGTTTGTTTTGCATGCTCACTTTCTTCAATAAGATCACCTTCTTTCCAAAAACAAATTTAGCCCCTGATAAAATAATGCTAGAATAAATGAGAACATTTGTAGTGATGGTGCTGCTATGGAACAATTTTTTTTGAGGTGCAGAATCAAGAACTCCTTATTCTGAGGCCACATGTGGTTATTTTGCCAAAAGTTTTGTTTAAGGAAGGTGTGAAGACCTGGGTTGCAAAGGGCCATAATAAAATCATTTTCACTGATGGTCAGAGGTATATAGATGTGAAAAGTCCTTTTAGGAAGGTCGTTTGTAACAAGTCAGCCGTAGTGCACTGATGTCAGTCAAACCCTTCAGTATTGGGCCAGCCATGAAATTTAAATGATGCATAAAATTTGCTTTAGAAGCAACAGAGAATACATATTATTACTTTGACATATAGCAGATGGAATGTTAAGTAGAGGGCTTTGCAAGATTTTATATAAGTGAGTACCTCTTGCTGTGAATAAAGCAAAAAGGGTAGCATAAGATGGAAATGGCTCATTTACAGAAACATGAAAGATCTCTGTTAAGCGAAGGGAGTAATATCATGAAATGTTCTACCCAATAATGACGGACTACTGAAAGGAGACTAAGAAAATAGTGGAATATCATAAATAAATGTAATCTGCAAGTTTGGGATGAAAATTCTAGAATTTAAAGTGTGCCCAAGAATAGGAAAGATTGAAAATCACTATATTAATATTCATGAGGAGATTTTTGGGGTGAAAACATTAACTTGGGGCAGGAAAATATGAACATATAAGACTTAAGGTAATGGGTTATATTTCTTTGAGGCATTTTATTGTTACCACATTCCATGGCTACCGGCACTTTTGCCAATAAGTAATTCTGATCATAAGAAAGCCAGATTAGAAAGGGTATGGCAAGCTCATTAATTTATCAAAGAAAAATCCATTGAGTCCCTAAATATGAGGACATAAGACATGACACAACCTTATATATATTCGTGTTCTGTGGAAAATATAGGCAAAGAAATGCAGAGTGCTCTGTTATAAATAATGTATTAAGGGGTAACTCCAAGACTATGGAATGACACAGGAAGGTGCTTAACAATACTGGTGGCATAGTAGATGTCTTGGAAGGCTCCTAGAGGAGAGAAATTTAAAAGGAAACTAACTATAAGAAATTATAGGAGAACAATTGAAGGTTTGAGTACAGTGCTGAAGTGTCTTGCTGAGGAATAAAATATTTCAGACAGGGGAAGTTGTTTTAGCGTCTTTCCAGATATGTAATCATTAAATATGGTCACCTTGCTGTACAATAGGTATCTTGAACTTATTCCTACTATCTAATTTTGTATCTGTTTACCAACATCTCTTCAATCCCCAGTAATGGAATTGCTAGATCATATGGTAATTCTATTTGTAGTTTTTTCAGGAACCTCCAACTGTCTTCCATAGTGGATGTACTAATGTACATTACCATCAACAGTGTGCAAGGGTTCCTTTTTCTTTTGTCTTTTTGGTGGTAGCTATTCTAACAGGAGTGAGGTGATATCTATTTGTGGTCCTAATTTGCATTTCTCTGATAATTAGTAATGTTAAACATTTTTTCATATACCTGTTAGCCACCTGTATGTCTTCTTTTGAGAAATGTTGATTGAGGTTCTTTGTCCATTTTTAAATTGGATATAAGTTTATTACTATTGAGTTGCTTCAGTTCCTTGTATTTTGTGAATATTAACCGATTATCAGATGTACAGTTTGCAAATATTTTCTCCCATTCTTAAGGTTTTCTCTTTACTCTGCTGATTGTTGCATTTTCTGTGCAGAAGCTTTTAAATTTGATGTGATTACATGTTTCTATTTTTGCCTTTCTTGCCTGTACTTTTGATCTCATATCCAAAAAAATTATTGCCTGACCAGTGTTATAGAGTATTTCCCCCATGTTTTCTCCTAGTTTCATAATATCAGGTTTTATGTTTATGTTTTTAATTCATTTTGAGTTGATTTTTGTATATGGTTTGAAATAAGAATCCAATTTCATTTTTATGGATGTAGATATTTAGTTTTCCCAACACAATTAAAGAGACTATCCTGTCTCCATTGTGTTTTCTTGACAACTTTGTCAAAAACTAGTTGACCATAAAAAGAAATAATCAACAGAGTAAATGCACAACATTTAGAATGGGAGAAAATATTTGCAAGCTATGCATTCAACAAAGGACTAATATTATTTGTTAAATTTACAAGGAACTCAGTAAGATAAAAAACAATAAAAAGTCAAAAAAGGACATGAAGAGATTATTCTCAGAATAAGACATAGAAGTAGTCAGCAAACACATGAGAAAATGTTTATCATCACTAATCATCAGAGAAATCAAATCAAAGCCATAATGAGATAACATGTTACACCAGTCAGAATGGCTGTTATTAAAAAGTCAAAAATAACAAATGTTGATGCGTATGCAGAGAAAAAAGAATGCTTATACACTGTTGGTGGGAATGTTAATTACTACAACCTCTATGGAAAACAGTATGGAAACTTCCTAAAGAACTAAAGATATAGCTACCATTTAACCTAGAAATCTCACTACTGGGCATCTACCCAAAGGAAAGGAATCATTATATAAAAAGACACCAGCCCTCATATGTTTATCACAGCACTAGTCACAGTAGCAAAGCCATGAAATTAACCTAAGTGCCCATCAACACATGACTGATTAAGAAAATGTGGTATATATACATCATGAAATACTACACAGCCATAAAAAGAATGAAATACTGTCTTTTGGAGCAACAAGGATGGAGCTGGAAGTCATTGTCCAAAATAAAATAACTCAGAAATAGAAAATCAAATATTATATACTGTCACTATTAAGTGGGAGTTAAACAATGGGAACACATGGACATAAAGATGGAAATAATAGACACTGGAGAATCCAGTGGGGGAAGTGTATGGAGGGTGAGGGTTGAATAATTACCTATTGGGTACAATGTTCATTATTTGGGTGATAGGTACACTAGAAACCTAAACCTCACTATTATTCAATATATCCATGTAACAAACCTGCACATGTATCTCCTGAATCTATAATAACAATTTAAAAAGAGAATCATTTGGCTGTAAATGTGTGTATTTATTTCTGGACTCTTTATAGTGTCCCATTGTCTTTATGCCAGTACCATATTCTTTGCATTACCATATCTTTCTAATTTATTTTGAAGGCAGGTACTGCTATTCCTCCAGCTTTATTCTTTTTGCTTAATACTGCTTTGGCTATTCTGAGTCTTTTGTGGTTCCATACAAATTTTAAGATTGTTTTTCAATTTCTGTGAAGCATATCTCTTGTATTTTAATAGAAATTACATTAAATCTGTAAATCTCTTTGGCTATTCTTGGCATTTTAACAATATTAATTTTTCCAGTCTGTAAACATAGAATATCTTTCCATTTGCTTGTGACTTCTTTAATTTCTTTTATTAGTATTTTATAGTTTTTAATGTAGAGATCTTTCACTTTCTTGCTTAAATTCATTCCTAAGAATATTATCTTTTAAGAAATCTTTTGCAAATGTTAATGTGTTCTTAATTTCTTTCTCAGATAGTTCACTGTTCATTTATATTAACAACACAATTTTTTTATATTGATATTGTCTCCTGCAGCTTTACTGAAATTGTTTATTAGTTTTAACTGTTTTTTTGGTAGAGTGTTTTTGGAGATCATGTCATCTGCAAACATGGTCAATTTCATGTCTTTCCTTTCCAATGTGAATGCCCCACATTTCTTTCTCTTGCCTAATTACTCTGGCTAGGACTTCCAGTGCTATGTTGAATAGAGGTGGTAGGTGTGGGCATTCTTGTTTTTTTCTGGATATCAGAGGAACACTTTTCAGTTTTCTGCCATTGAGTATGATGGTAGCTATGGGTTTGTCATCTATGGCCTTTATTGTGTTGAGGTACATTCCTTCTATACCTAGTTTGTTGAATCTTTTTATCATGAAATAATTTTGAATTTTGTCAAATGCTTTTCTTGCATCTATTGAAATGATCATATGGTTTGTGTCATTTGTTATGTATTACATTTATTTATTTTTGTATATTGAACTACCTTCATATACTGATACGGTTTGGCTCTGTGTCCCCACCTAAATCTCATGTCAAACTGTAATTCCGAATGTTGGGAGAGGGACCTGTAGGAGGTGACTGGATCATGGAGGCGGATTTCCCCCTTGTTGTTCTCATGATAGTGAGTGAGTTCTCATGAGATCTGGTTGTTTAAAAGTTTGCAGCACTTCCCTCTTCTCTCACTATCTCTCCTGCCACCTTGTGAAGACCAGCTTGCTTCCCTTTTACCTTTCACCATGATTGTAAGTTTCCTGAGGCCCCCCAGCCAGCCATGTCTCCTGTACAACATATAGAATTGTGAGTCAATTAAACCTCTTTTCTTCATAAATTACCCAGTGTCAGGTAGTTCTTTATAGTAATGCGACAATGGACTAAAACATATACCTAGAAAGAATCCCGCTGGATCATGGTGAATGCTCATTTTAATCACTGTTGAATTTATTTTTTAAACAATTTGTTAAGTATTTTTGCATGTACATTCACAAGGGAGGTTGACCAGGATTAGCCTAATCTTAAAACCAGAAAATGACACCAGAAGAAAGGAAAACAGTTCTGGTGTCCTTCTCTGGTTTTAATGAGGGTAATGCTGGTCTCATAAAATTAGTTTGGAAGTATTCTCTTCTTTTCTGTTTTTTGGAAGTGTGTGAGAATTGGTATTTGTTCCTTAAACGTTTGGTAGAATTTAGCCTTGAAGCCATCTGGTCTTGGGCTTTTCTTTGATGAAAGAAATTTATTACTGGTTACTTAGGCATTATGGGTCTGTTCAAATTTTCTGTTTATGATTCAAACTTGGTAGGTTGTATGTGTCCAGGAATACATCTGTATCTTCTAGGTTATCCAATCTGTTGGTGTATGATAATCTCTCATGATCCTTTGTATTTCTGTGATATCAGTTGTAATATCTCCTCCTTTATTTCTGATTTTGTTTATTGTAATCTTCTCAGTTTTTTTATTTAGTTAGTCCAGCTAAAGGTTTGCAAAATTTGTTCGCAAATTCTACAGTTTGTCTGTTCACATTGTTGATAGTTTCTTTTGCTGTGCAGAAGCTCTTTAGTTTAATTAGATCCCATTTGTCATTTTTTGCTTTTGTTGCAATTGCTTTTGGTGTCATTGTCATGAAATTTTTGCATGTTCCTATGTTCAGAATGGCATTACCTAGGTTGCCTTCCAGGATTTTTATGGTTTTGAGTTTTAAATTTAAGTCTTTGATCCATCTTGAGTTGATTTTTATATATGGTGTAAAGAAGGGTTCCAGTTTCAATCATCTCCATATGGCTAGCCAGTTATCCCAGCACTATTTATTGAATAGGAAGTCCTTTCCCCATTCCTTGGTTTTGTGAGCTTTGTCAAAGATCAAATGGTAGTAGGTGTGTGGCCTTATTCCTTTGCTCTTGATTCTGTTCCATTGGTCTATTTTTCTGCTTTTGTACCAGTACTATGATGTTTCAGTTACTATGCCCCTGTAGTATAGTTTGAAGTCAGGTAGGGTGATGCCTACAGCTTTGTTCTTTTTATTTAGCATTACCTTGAATATTTCAGATAATTTTTGTTTCCATGTGAATTTTAAAACAGTTTTTTCTAGTTATGTGAAGAATATTATTGGTGGCTTGATAGGAATAGCATTGAATCTGTAAATTGTTCTGGCCAACATGGCCGTTTTAATGATATTGATTCTTCCTATCTATGAGCATGGAATCTTTTCCAATTTGAATCTTTTCCAATTTGCGTCATCTCTGATTTCCTTGAACAGTGTTTTGCAATTTTCATTGTAGAGATTTTTCACTTCCCTTGTTAGCTGTATTCCTAGGTATTGTATTCTCTTTGTGGCAAATTGTAAATGGGAATGCATTACTGATTTGCCTCTTAGCTAGGCCTTTGTTGGTGTATAGGAATGCTGGTGATTTTAATACAGTAATTTTGTATGCTGAGACTTCACTGAAGTTGTTTATCAGCTTAAGGGGCTCTGGGGCTGAGTCTATGGGGTTTCTATATGTAGAACTATGTCATCTGCAAACAGGGATAGATTGACTTCCTCTATTCCTAATTTGATGCCCTTTATTTCTTTAACTTGCCAGATTGCTAGCCAGGACTTCCAATACTATGTTGAATAGGAGTGGTTAGAGAGGGCATCCTTGTCTTCTGCTAGTTTTCAAGGGGAATGCTCTCAACTTTTGCCCACTGTGTATGATGTTGGCTGTGGGTTTGTCATCGATGGCTTATTATTTTGAGGTATATTCTTTCAATACCTAGATTATTGAGGACATAAAAGTATGTTGATTTAGCAAAAAACTTTTTTGCCTCTATTGAGATAATCATGTGGTTTTTGTCTTTTGCTCTGTTTATTTAATAAATTACATCTATTGATTTGCATATGTTGGATCAACCTTGCATCCTGGGGATAAGCCCTACTTGATCATAGTGGACTAGTTTTTTAATGTGCTGCTGGATTCAGTTTGCAAGTGTTTTACTGAGGATTTTTGTATCTGTTCATCAAGAATAGCAGCCTGAATGTTTTTTGTTGTTGTTGTGTCTCTGCCAAATTTTGGTATCAGGATGATACTGGCTTCATAGAATGAGTTGAGAAGGAATCCTTCCCCCTCAATTTTTTGGAATAGTTTCAGTAGTAATGATTTCACTTTTTCTTTGTACATCTGGTAGAATATGGTTGTGAATCTGTCTGGTTCTGGGTGTTTTTGGTTTGGGCTGTTTATCACTGATTAATTTTGGAGCTCATTATTTGTATTTTCCGGGATTTAATTTCTTCCTGGTTCAGTCTTGTGAGGGTGTATGTGTCCAGGAATTTATCTGTCTCTTCTAGATTTTCAAAGATGTTCATAGTAGTCTCTGATGATTATTAGTATTTCTCTGAGGTCAGTGGTAATATCCCCTTGCCATTACTAATTGTGTTTATTTGAATTTTCTCTCTCTTCTTCTTAGTGTAGCTTGTGGCCTATTTTTTTTCCCCCAAAAATCCATTTCCTGGATTTGTTGATCTTTTGAATGTATCTTTCTGTTAGTATGTTTCAGTCTCTTGCAGTTCAGCTCTGATTTTGGTTACTACTTGTGTTCTGCTAGCTTTGGGGTTGGTTTGCTTTTGCTTCTCTAGTTCTTTTAGTTGTGATATTAGGTTGTTAATTTGAGATCTTTATAACTATTTAGTGCTATAAATTTCCCTCTTAACACCCTTTTAGCTGTGTCCCAGAGACTTGAGTATGCTGTATTTTTATTCTCATTAATTTCAAATAACTTCTTGATTTCTGCCTTAATTTAATTATTTACCCAAAAGTCACTCAGGAGCAGGTTGCTTCATTTGCATGTAATTACATGGTTTTGAGCAATTTTTTTAGTCTTGATCTCTAATTTTATTGTGCTGGTGTCCAAGAGTGTATTTGATATAATTTCATTTCTTTTTACATTTGCTGAGGGTTGTTTTATGTTCGATAGTGTGGTTGATTGTAGAGTATGTGCCAGGTGGCAATGAGAGGAATGTATATTCTGGGTAGAGAGATCTGTTTATGTCTATTAGATCTATGTTGTCCAATGTTGAATTTAGGTCCTGAATATCTTTGTTAATATTTTGCCTCAATGATCTATCTAAAACTGTCAGTGGTGTGTTGAAGTCTCCCACTATTATTGTGTGGGAGTCTAAGTCCCTCTGTAGGTAAATATTAACTTATTTTATGAATCGGAGTGCTCCTGTATCAGGCACATATACATTTAGGACATTTAGTTCTTCTTGTTAAATTGAACCTTTTACCATAATGTAATATTTTTCTGTTTTTTTTTTTCTTTAATCTTTGTTGTTTTAAAGTCTGTTTTGTCAGAAATTAGGATAACAACCTCTGATTTTTTCTGATTTTCATTTGCTTGGTAGATTTTTCTCTATCCCTTTATTTTGAGCCCATGGGTGTCACTGCATGTGAGATGGGTCTCTTGAAGACAGCATGCTATTGGATCTTAGTTCTTTATCCAGCTTGTTACTTCGTGTCTTTTAAACAAGTTACTTCACTCATTTAAATTCAAGGTTAGTATTGATATGTGTGGATTTGATCTTGTAATTGTGTTGTTAGCTGGTTACTATGCTGACTTGTTTGTGTGGTTGCTTTGTAGTGTCACTGGTCTGTGTACCTAGTGTGTATTTTTATTGGCTGGTAACAGCCTTTTCTTTCCATATATAGTACCCCTTTGAGATTTCTTGTAAGACTGCAGCTCTAGGGTGATCTCAGGGAGATTTGAAACTGCTGCCATCCAGAAAACACCAGCAGGGGTAGCTGGAGTCCCTGGTCGGGATGTCCTGCAGTCCTGCTCAGTAAGGAGGAAGATCAGGGACTTGTGTTAAAAAAAAAAAAAAAAAAAAAAAAAAAAAAAAGTAGTCTTGTCACTTTATTGTAGAGCAGCTGTGGTGCACTGGGGGTCCATTCTAGCCCCCAGTTGCCTCTGACTCTCCAAATCCAGAAAGCAACAAAAGTTAAGGTTGTGAAACAGTAAAGATGGCAGCCTACCCCACCCTCTGGGAACTCTGTCCCAGGGAGGTTTGTATCCACTGTTGGCTGGAAAACATTGACAAGGGTGACTGAAGACCCTGCCCTGGTTGGGAGATTCCACTCAATGAAGAGAAATGATGGATGAGCAGTTGGGCCACTTTCCCATAGAGCTGCTGAACTGTGCTGGAGGACCGTTCTAGACTCCAGTTGCCTCAGACTTCCTAGAGCTTAAGAAACAATAATTAAGGCTGTGAAACAGCAAAGATAGTGGCTTGCCCCTCCCCCTGGGAGCTCCATGTCAAGGAGGTGCAATGCTGCTACCAATGGCTTGCTAAACTCCTATGCCAGTGTTATTCTGTGGGTTTCTATAGAAGCAGGGCTTTCAGCCTGTTGCTGCTCAGCTTCCTGAATTAAGCCCCTTTCCTAGGGGTGTGTATGAAGTTCTAACCTCCAGCTTTGCTGGAGCTGCAGTAACCTTTCCTGGGAAGCCCAGGTATCTAAGATTCCTGGGCCTCTTCATGTGCCTGAGTGTCTGCTCTGCTGAGACGCCACATAACTTTGTGTGTCAGATGGAAGGCCCTGGTGGAGTGGGCTCTTGAGGTGTCCTTAGGATTGCAAAGATCCATGGAAGAAATGTGGGTCCCCAGGTTTGTTCACTCACTCACTACTTCCCTGGGCTGTGGAGGCTCCCTTGGCTCTGTGTCACTTTTGGGTGGATGGATGCCCTGCTTTGATTTTCTCTGTTGTCTGTGGGTCAAGCTGTTTCCTTGTTGAGTCCCAGTGTGCATACCTGGATGTTTCCATTGAAGGTGCTGCATTTACTTCCCCTTATATTTCTCTGTATGAGAGTGGCACACACTAGCTGCTTCTAGTCAGCCATCTTGGCCAACCCCTTCAGGTATTTCTTTATAGCAATGCAAGAATGGCCTAATACAGAAAATCAGACTGGGGGTGGGGTATTGTTATAAAGATACCTGAAAATGTGGAAGCAGCTTTGGAAGTGGGTAACAGGCAAAGGCTGGAAGAGTTTGGAGGGCTCAGGAGAAGATAAGGGAAAGTTTGGAACTTCTTAGAGACTGGATAAATGGTTGTAAATAAAATGCTGATAGTGATATGGACAGTGAAGCCTAGTCTGAAGGGGTCTCCAGTGGAAATGAGGAACTTATTAGGAACAAGAGCAAAGGTCATGCATGTTATGCCTTAGCAAAGAAATTGGCTACATTCTGTTCATGTCCTAAGTATTGTGGAAAATTTTTCTTCAAAGTGATGATTTAGGGTATCTGATGGAAGAAATTTCTAAGCAACAAGTGTTCGTGAAGTAGCCTGGCTGCTTTTAGGGGCCTATCTCAGATGTAGCAGCAACGAAATGACTTTATGTTAAAATTTATATTTAAAGAAAATCAGAATGTGAAAGTTTGGAAAATTTGCAGATGTGGCAGAGAAAGAAAATATTTTTAGGAGAGAAATACGAGCAAGCTGTGAAGCAACCACTTGCTACAGATATTTGCATAACTAAACAGGAGTCAAGTGCTACTATCCAATACAATGGAGGAAAAGGCTTTGAAGGCATTTCAGAGAACTTTACAGCAGAGGCTACTGTCACAGGCCCAGAGGCCTAAGAGGAAAGAATAGCTTCATGGGACAGGCCCAGTTCCTGCTGCCATGTGCAGCCTCAAGACAATGCTGCCTACATTCCAGCCTCTCCAGCTCCAGCCATTGCTTAAAAGGGCTCAGGTACAGGTTCTGCTTCCACTATGGATAACACAAGCTGTAAGCCTTGGCATCTTCAACATGATGTTAAGCCTTTAAGTGCACAGAATGAGCATGAAGAATGCTTAGCAACCTCCGCCTAGATTTCAGAAGATGTATGAGAAAGTTTGGGTGCCCAGGTAGAAGCATCCAACACAGAAGAAAGATGAAGGCCAGAAGATTCAGCAAGTCTCTTCATTCCACTTTCTTCTGCCTGTTTTATTCAAGCCAGGCTGGCAGCTGATTAGATGTTGCCCACCCTGATTGAGGGTGGGTCTGCCTCTCCCATTCCACTGACTCAAATGTTAATCTCCTTTGACAACACCTTCACAGACACACCTAGAAGCAATACTTTGCGTCCTTCAATCTAATCAAGTTGACAATATTAACCATCAAACTTTACATTCTATTTTCCTTTTACTCCTCAGGGTATATTTTTAAAAATAACTTGTCTTCAAGTTTACAGATTATTTTTTCTGCCTCATCAATTCTGCTGTTGATGCTTCTTCTTGCATTTTCCCTTTAATTATTATATTTTTTACTTCTAGGATTTCTGTTTGGTTTTTAAAATCATATCAATTTCAGTTTTAAATTTCTCATTTGGCTCACTTATTATTTTCCTCATTTTATTGAATTGTTTCTCTGTATTTTCTTAATGTTTGCTGAGCTTTCTTAAAACAATTATTTTGAATTTTTTGTTAGGTCATTTATATATCTCCATTTTGTTAGGGTCAGTTACTGCCATTTTATTTTGTTGGTTTGTTGATGTCAAATTTCCTGATTATTTTTGATACTTCTGGCCATGAGTAATAAGCACATTGTAGGAAATACATACTCATTCCAGTCTTCACAAACTGGGTTTGTCTAGGAATATATATTTTTGAACAGTAAACCTATCCAGTGATTCTTTGCAGGCTGTCTAACGTATTTCTTAAGCCCAGGGCTGCTGCAACTAACATGGTGCTGAGCTGCAATCTTATGACTCTTGAGGCTGGCATGAAGCTCTGTCATGCCCAGAGTTTACAAGTCCAAGGTTATTTAGGCCTGCTTGCCACTGAAAGTTTTCTGGAGCGCAAGATTACTGTAGTCAGCCGGCAGTAATGCAGATGCAAACCAAGTTTACCTCAAAGGTCCTATAGGTTCCTGCCTAGTTTTGGGGCAGGTCTGGAGGCTCAGTCTACGGGTACCAGCTTAGAATCAAGGCTTGTGGGGGTCTGTGCAGTGCTGGGTTTAAATAAGGCAGCCTTGGTGTTAGAGTCCAAAGCAAAATTCTGCTTTCAGTTCCCTTTCTTTCCTTCAATTGGATAGTATCTCATTTCATTGTACTTATTACAATGCCTGGCTCTTGATAAATTTTCAGCATATTTAGTTATCACTATCAGGAATAGTAAGAACAACTATAATATTACCTTATGGTATTATTGATATTATTGATTTTTATTTGAGAATAAGTTTAGCCTAACAGGAGTAAGGATTATTCCCCAAGTTAGTTCATTTCATGGGGTTCTGAAAGATAACTAATTAATGATATATGCAACCATTAAGATGCTAGTTATAACAAGATGCCACCTGGTGTAACAATTTAAACATAGTTTTTAAACATATAATCTGATACCATTATCTGAAACCAAAAATTTATGTGAAAAAAGGCAGAATAATGATACTATTATCATTGTGTTATGGTGATTTTTTTTTCTTCTTTTCTCAATGTCAAAATTTTTCTATGGGTTTATTTGCAATTGAGCTATAATTCTGATTCTGTTGCTTACTAATTCTAACATCTTAGTAAGTTATTTATTATTTTCGAACCCTGAATTTAATAATTTAAAAGTTAAAATAATAATAGCAATTCTCTCATAAAATTGTTTTGAGTAGTAGATAACGAAATGCCCATTAAAACTTAGTATAACAGTTGGTGCATAGTTTATGCTCAAGATATATTTTTTTAATAATAAATCTTCAGTAATGGAGAAGGGTTTTGAAGTAAAATAACATATTAATATTTTAAATAATATACAATTAAATAAATTTATTTAATTGGTTTAGTTTTAAACTTATAAGCTCATTCATTCAACAAGTATTTACTATCCATTATTTTCTAGCATGATTTGACGTGCTGGCAGTTTTAAAAACAGGCAAAAACTTTGTCCTCATGAATATTAGATTCCTATTAAGTTGATTTTGATGTACAAAAATAAATATAATTAAATGTATTGCTTACAAAACCAAGCATCAGTGAACATGTGCAGCTGTGGAAAGTATATTGGGTATGAGAGTTTTCCTTCTTCTCCTCAGGAACGTTATGCTTTAGGTGTCAGCCTCAGCAGGTCATGGAAGGGTGATGTATGATATACATCTGAAAAATGTCAAAAACATGTGTCTGGGATGCTGACATATTTCTACTGGCTAGAAGCCCTTTAACAATACTTAACTCTCATGAATAAAACCATTTCTAGGTAATTCAAAATCTTTGTGACTCTCCTTCTAAAATTTTGTTTAAGCAAGGTATTATCACTATCAGGAGAAGGAGAAAAAAGACATAATCAATACACAAGAACAAAGAATAATGAATCAAAGGTGGCACAAAAGGGTGAGAGGAGCTCAAATTAGAAGGAGCATGACAGCTGCCAAGCCTAAAAAGGGAAGGGCAAAGATCTACATTTATGAGTTTTTTTAAAAAACCCATCAGACAAACTAATTAAAACTACAAATTTTAATTGGAGTTAATTGGATTGGGTAGTTTAATAAAAGGAGTGGGAAAAAAAAGTCCGTCACTCTTTTCCCTGCTATCAAGCATACTAATGGATGATGAAGCAGAGGCTGTTAATCAAGGCAAAACATTCATTCCCTCATTGAATCCTAGAATGTTGGGGCCGATGGGTGTTTTACATCAAACATCTAACACCATCATTTGATGGATGAGGATGTTAAGAACAAGGACTGATAAGCTTCATGCCCAAGGTCACCCACAGTGGCAATCCAGGGAAAAGAGTTGTCTCCAGTCTCCTTATAAAAATTTTTCCAAGCACACTCTGTTATAGCTAATGCCTCATGCCATCTGAGGAATAAGTAGAAGAGATTTTCCGGTCAAGGCTATTTAGAAACCAGGTAATTAGGTATATTGAGAAATAACTGTTTTGATCAAGGAATCCATACAATTAAAACAGCAGTTTGAGTGTTCCTTATAGATATTGTGAATGAGAAACAGAGAGAAAAGAAATGAAGAAGAGATCAATGAAGCTGCTTTTGATTGCAAAAGCTAATGTGAGGTCCAGCTTGCTTAGAACCCTAAGTTGACCTCAAATTCTTCCGCTCTCCATGAAGGACGTTTTCTGCTGAATTGTATAATGACTGTTTAACAAAGCCCTTTTACCTCTCTCTTTTGGTTTAAAAAAGAAATAATTATTTTGACAAAGACATTAATGAAGTTCGGTGGAGGAAATAAAAGTCTTTTTAATAAGTAGCACTGAAACTACTAGATGTTCCTTGGGAAAAAAATTGATCTTTGACACCTACCTCACATCATATACAAAAATTAATTTAAGATAGATCATAGATATAAATGGGAGAGTGGGAGGAAACATAGGAAGATGTCCTTGTGACCTTAGCATGGGTGAAGATATTAAGCAATGTCAAAAGACAAAATTATAGCAAATTTAGTTTAAAGATCCAATTGGATTTTATTTGTAATTATAGCACTGGGTAATGACTCATTCTAAAAAGCAGAAGATAGAATGAGTGTTTCAATGATCTGAGCAGGAGACATTAGTTTTATAGGCAGAAAAGGGCTTAAGCAAGCAGAAACAGAAGAAAATGTAGATTGGTCATTTTAAAGTTATTTTCCTTGCAAAGGTTAACGCAGAGAGGACTTCCTTATTATGCTGGCTAACACTGATCTGTTTGGAGATTTGGCTATTATCTCTTAACTTGATGGATTTCTTGGAAGGTCAGATAAATAATTTAGTTTTGGCTTGGTGGCATGGTACTTTAGCATGAGTAACTCCACCTTGGTTTATTTGGTCTGTCGGATCTAGTGCAGGGGCTCAGTCAGATCCAACAGCCTGCTATGCATTTTATTTAACAGCATAAAAAGAAAAAAAGAAGAAGAAATGATAGCTTGAACTTTATCAAATTAAAAGCTACTGCTTATCAAAAAATACCACTAAGTAAGAGAAAAGGAAAACTATAGACAGGGGAAAAATATTTATAATTTATTTAAAAATACCTGCATCTGACAAGGGACTCATAGACTGAAAATACATAGAACTCCTACAGATCAGCAAGGAAGATACATCATCTCCATAGCCCATAGCAGACTTGAACAGATACTTCAAAAAGAAAGTATACGAATGAACATTTAGTGTATGAAAAAAGTGCTGAATAATATTACTCATAGGAGAAGTGTAAATTAAAACTGCTCTTCCATCATAATGACTAAAAATTAAAACACACAGAAACAAAACTAATGATATTGAATATTAGTAAATGTGTAGAGCAACAAAATTGTACTTATAACTCTTTAAAAGTAAAATAAGTCTTAACATTTGAAAAACTTCCAGGAAGTTTCTAATAAACTAAATATACACCTACCCTATGACCCAGCCATTCTATTGTTAGATATATATCTAAGAGAAAAATGCTCGTATGTTCACCAAAAAATTTGTACAAAATGTTTATATTAGCTTTAATTGCAATAGCCCTAAAATGAAAACAACCTAAATGTTTATAAACAAGTGAATGGATAAACAGTGATATATTCCTACAGTGAGATACTACACAGTAATACAAAAGAAAAAAACCACAATATGGATAAATAATAAAAACATTATTTTGAGCAAAATAAATCAGACACAAAAGAGTACTTAGCTATATGTTTTTATTTTAATTTTAGTTTCAAGAATAGGAAAAAAATATTCTATGGGGAAATTAGAATAGTGACTCCCTCTGGCTGGCTGAGAAGGAGGTCATATTGACTTTGATGGACAAAAAAGAAGTTTTTATTTTAATTTTAGTTTCAAGAATAGGAAAAAAATATTCTATGGGGAAATTAGAATAGTGACTCCCTCTGGCTGGCTGAGAAGGAGGTCATATTGACTTTGATGGACAAAAAAGAAGTTTCTGGGAGATTGACTAAGTAATGATCACATGGTGCATACATAGATACAAATTCATAGAACAATATGCAGAGCAATACACAGAGCAGACTTTTGTAATAGACTATATATAAATTACTTCTACATTTAAAAATAATTAAAAAGAAAGAACAAATCAGGTTGAAAATTTGAAACGGTGTAGAATTTTGGCCTCCCCCCTCAATCCAGAACTATTAATGGCTGAAACCTTTTCCCGCTCTCACTTCTCCCTCTCCCTCTCCTTCTCTCTCTCTTCTTCTCCTCTACTCCCTTCCCCATGACTTCTCTTTCCTTTCCCCTTATCCCTCCTTATAAGGTGCTTATATAATTAAGGTATTTTTTTCCCCACTGGCTGAATCCAATTTATGAGAAGAGGGTGACCAAAAAGAGAGTCATCCTAGGCAGGATAACCATATAACTTATTGTCTAGACCAGGACACTTCTAAGAATAAAGAATGTAAGAATGCTCTCTCTCTCTCAATCTCTCTCTCTCTCTCTATGTGTGTGTATGTGCATATATATATATAAAATTTTATTAAAATAATTAAAATAATTTATATATTTATTAATATTTAACATTTATGTTATAATAAATTATATATTTATTACATAAATTATAAGTTATAACTTAACATACAATATGTAAGTTATAAATAACTTACATATCTATTAAAATAGTTAAAATTAAATTAGTGTTGAACACAATGAAAGCAATTTGGAAAGTAATATTACTTCCAAATCGCTTTCATTTGTGTTCAAAACTATTTTCAAAAGTAAAGATATGCCATGTGCAGTGGCTCACACCTGTAATCCCTTTGGGAGGCACTTTGGGAGGCCAAGGCGGGCAGATCACTTGAGGTCAGGAGTTCAAGACCAGCCTGGCCAACATGGTGAAACCCCGTCTTTACCAAAAAATACAAAAATTAGCCAGGCATGGTGGAACATACCTGTAGTTCTAGCTACTTGGGAGGCTGAGGTGGGAGAATTGCTTTGACCTGGGAGGTGGAGGCTGCAGTGAGCTGAGATCATGCCACTGTGCTCCAGCCTGGGCAACAGAGTGAGACCCTGTTTCAAAAAAAAAAAAAGTAAGGATGCAAAACAGTTAAAAATAAGATAGATCTTTGAATGTTAAATCAAATACATAAACAGCAACCCAACCATTTATTGTGTTGATTGAGCATTAAAAATTGCATAAGCATAATAATTTTTCTTAATATATTTTTACATACTTTAATCAGTTTCTTGCTTACATTTAATACTGTGTCATGGATATTTATCTGAAAAGTATATTTTAATAGTCTTATTAAAGTTTTAGTAAGATTGCCTACAATCTTCTGGCTAGGAAATTTGAAAGTGCTGACACCTTCAATTAATGCTTACTCTTTTAATCATACCTTTAATGTAAAAAAAATCTCTCTACCCTGTGCAAAGGTGCATGGCTCAGAGCATGTTATTCTAAATGAAGTGTATTGTCAATTCTAACTTTTATTTTGTGAAGTGTGTAAATGTTTCAGCCAAACATTTTTACTGTACTCTTATTATAACAATTCATAGTGCTTCTCTTTTTTACATACTTTTATAAGACAAACTCATTCAATTAGTGGTCTCTACTATTATTTTGCATACTTAATCAAAATTACATATTGTAACATAGTAGGCCTTCTAGTTTCATTACAGTTTGGCACAGAATATAAATACAGTGTATATACAATTGAAATTAAGATCACTATCAAAAGACTTTCGCCAAAACACAAGATCTTTCCAAGTGCCATTGTAAAATTTAAAAATTATATTAGTGCACAATTTGCATCCTTATTGTTTGATTTGTTTAGTTTCTTGTTTCTATAATGTTCTTTTATTGTTTTGGTGATTCATTGTTGAATATTTTGATTAAAATTTTCAAAACGATTTTTTAAAAGATTAAATTTTTGGAGGACTTTTTTTACAATAAAGCTAAATAATATCAAGCATTTCAGGTTTATTTACAAGATAGTTCTTAAAAGGCTCCTATTGATAAAGGACAGTATAGAGAGCAGTTATGGTCTGCCATCTTAAAGCATTGTTTTAGTATTTAACATAAAATTTATCTCAAAAGTGTTGTAGTTTTTCACTTTGTACATCTTTCTTTCTGGATATGTGTATATACACACACATATGCATTGGTAAATATATGCAATTACAACTTTAATTAGTAGAATAACAGTTTAATACACATGTAAATTATATTATTAGTACAATTAATTTCAATTATATTTCTGTCCTAAAATTCTCTACACACCTTGTTTGTCATCATAACATTATGGTCTACCAAAATTTCTATTCATATTATCACCACAATAACATTTTTTTAATTTTGAACTTTTAAGTTAAATTTATATTAAAAGTAATGTCAGATGCTTCATCTTTTAGAGAACAAACACCAAAATGCTTTACTTTGATTCCATGAATGGGTTGAAATTATTGAAATATTATTGTACCTACATGACTTTCTATTTAAAGTTGATATAAAAGTTTAATCATTTAAAACTGTTTGTAAAATTCTTTTTTTTTCTACTAATGGAGCGAATGCATTAGCTACTCCTTGAATTTTGTATATGCCCAAAAGAACTTGGAATTGAAAATGAGCAAATTTAATTTTGAAGAATAGTAATGCAATCTAACTGAACAGTCATGCTTCACATAGTGATATATAGCATGCAATTTACATATCACAAACTTACATTACATAAACTTGCTGATGATAAGTTGTCATCTTTGTGTACATTTTTTCTGACTAACTTTTGAAGGTGACAGAGATACCCCAACAGATTTATGTTTTTCTCTGGTCACTAATACCACCCTGGTCTCCATGATGGATTGTAAATATTGACACAAAACTTGTGCAAGTGTCAACTTTTGTGAGAAAATGAAATTCTGTACCTAAAATTTTGTACAAATATCTTTTTATTGTTAACACGTTGTTGCCAAAGGGGTTATTACAAAATAAATATAAATGTTACAAAATAATAAAATAGTTTTAGATTTATACCATTATATGTGACAAAACCATTGTAGCAAGAATATTCTGAGTACTCTCTATCTAATCTATGGCAGGATTTCTCAGCCTGTATTTCACACATGTTTCATGTATAATCCAGTTATAATATTTATTGATTTGTACTAACCCTACCGACTGGTAATCTGGTGGATATAAACATTTTGAATGCCGTAGTACAGTAAAATTGGCTACCTCGTCTAGTGGCAGGCATAACAGAATCAAAAAGTAATCCACTACTACCTCAAAGTGAAGAGTTAGTTCTCCAAGGCTGCTTTAGTCTGAGGTCACTTTGTTTTATGAATGAGTATCCTATATAGTGTCCTTGAAATTGAACTCCTTGAAAATTTAAGAAAGAACCAGAAAGGGGTCATCACAGGTCATATTTCAGATTTATTCTCCTATTACAGTGAGTATTCTGTTAACTGCCCATCTGTTTTAGACACTACGGGGAGAAATCTCGGCAGATGCTGGGAGCACAAAGCAAAGGTCTACCAAACCTATTCCAGCATTCTTTAATACACTTGTTAATAATAAAACTTCATTAAAAAAATGGACAGATGTTTAACTATGTAGGAGGCCAGACACATCCATGGATACAGTTCTGGGTAAACTGGAATGTATGGTTACTTTACTTACTTTTAGTTTTAGTCTCACTTGGAAGGTTATCATCTTTAGACTTTTTTGTGACTATAGTGAGCCAAAGAGGACAGAAATAAAAGCATAGCTGCCGGTAGCCACGATGGCCTAAGAGAGGCAGCTGTTGTCTGCCTGGCTCTCACGGAGAACAAAAACATGAGTGAATTCTACATCTTTAATTGAGGTATCCAGGTTCTAGCATGGGAACTGACTACATGATCGGTGTGATCCATGGAGAGTGAGGAAAAGCAGGGTGGAGTGATGGCCCACCCAGGAGCAACACGGTACCAGATGGGCCCCTACACCCACCTAAGGGAGGTGGTGAGTAATTGTGTGACCCTGCCCAGGAATCCATGCTTTTCCCATGAATTTGTGCAACCCGCGGATCAGGAGACCCTCTCGTGAGCCCATGCCACCAGGGCCTTAGGCCTGCAGCACAGAGCTGTGTGGAGTCTCAGCAGCCACTCAGGCCGGCACAAAGTCCCAGGAGTTTTTGCATTCCCCAGCCTCGGAAATAATAGTGAGACAGGAGATCCTCTCTTCATTCCCCTAGGAAGGGGCTGAAGCTAGGGAGACAAGCAGTGTCCTTCTGCGAGCCCCACTCCCACAGCACCTCACAAGTTATGACCCACTGGCTTGGAATATCAGCTGGCCAGCAGCACCAGACTGGAGACTGCCTGAGATAACTGAGTTCCTGGGGGGATGAGTGGCTGCCATCTCTGCAGCTCCAGTTCACCATTTTGGCCTGCCATCTCTGGGGAGTCTGGGAATTCCCCACAGCACAGCACAGCACAGCTGCTGTGACAGATCGTGGCCAGACTGCTTCTTTAAGTGGGACCCTGATCCATCCCTCCTCACTGGGTAGTTCCTCCCTGTGGTAATTTCAGCAACTCCGACTTGGGTTTTACGGACAGAACGCTGATCTCTCCCTGAGACAGAGCCACCAGGGGGATGGGTGGCCACCATATCGGCAGATCAGCTGGCAGCCTTTCCTGCCTGCTGGCTCTGGAAAGTCCTGGAAATCTGGTTGAGGAGGGTTCCTGCCAGTGCAGAACACTCATGTTGGCAAGGGGCAGGCAGACTGCTTCTTTAAGTGAGTCCCTGATCCTGTTTCTCCTGACTGGGTGAGACCTCCCAACAGGGGTCTCCAGACACCTCCTACAGGAACATTTGGACTGGCATCAGGTCAGTGCTCACCTGGAACGGAACTCCCAAGTAAGGAGCAGGCTGTTTTGCAGCCTTCACTGGTGAGACCTCCAGGTGTGGGAAAGTCTGAGCAAACTAAAGTCTGGAGTGGACCCCCAGCAAACTGTAGCAGCCCTATGGAAGAGAGGCCCCACTCTTAAAAGAAAAACAAACAGAAAACAACAACAACAAGATCAACAAAAAAAGAACCCACAAAAACCCCATTCAAAGGTCAGCAACCTCAATAACCAAAGGTAGATAAGCCCACAAAGATGAGAAAGAATCAATCCAAAAATGCTGAAAACTCTTAAAATGCCAGAGTGCCTCTTCTCCTCTAAATGATCACAACACCTCCCCAGCAAGGACACAGAACTGGGTGGAGGCTGAAATTGATGAATTGACAGAAGTAGGCTTCAGAAGGTGGGTAATAGCAAAATTCACAGAGCTAAAGGAACATATTCTAGCCCAATGCAAAGAAGCTAAGAATCATAATAAAAGATTACAGGAGCTGATTACCAGAATCGCCAGTTTAGAAAGAAACATAAATGGCCTGCTGGAGCTGAAAAACACAAAATGAGAACATCACAATGAAATCACAAGTATCAATAGCCACATAGACCAAGTGGAGGAAAGAATCTCAGAGCTTAAGACTATCTTTCTGAAATAAGACAGGAAGACAATAATTGAGAAAAAAGAATGAAAGGGAACAAACAAAACCTTCGAGAACTATGAGATTATGTAAAAAGACTGAACCTATGACTGATTGGGGTACCTAAAAGAGACAGGAAGAATGGAACCATGTTGGAAAACATACTTCAGGATATCATCCAGGAGAACTTCCCCAACCTAGCAAGACAGGTCAACATTCAAATTCAGGAAATACAGAGAACCCCAGTAACATACTCCATGAGAAGATCAACCCCAAGACACATAATCGTCAGATTATCCAAGGTTGAAATACAATAACAAATATTAAGTGCAGTCAGAGAGAAAGGCCAGGTTACCTGCAAAGGGAAGCCCATCAGACTAACAGCAGATCTCTCAGCGGAAACCCTATGAACCAGAAAAGATTGGGGGCCAATAGTCAGCATTCTTGAAGAAAAGAATTTCCTATCCAGAATTTAATATGTGGCCAAATTAAGCTTCATAAGCTAAGGAGAAATAAAATCCTTTTTGGAAAAGCAAATGGAGAGGGAATTTGTCAACACCAGGCCTGCCTTGCAAGAGCTCCTGAAGGAAGCACTAATTATGAAAAGGAAAAACTGTTACTAGCCTCTACAAAAACACACTGAAGTACTCAGACCAGTGACACTACGAAGCAACTCCATAAACCATTCTGCAAAATAGCCAGCTAGCATCATGATGACAGGATCAAATTCACACATAAAAATATTAATCTTAAATATAAATGGGCTAAATGCCTTAATTAAAAGACACAGAATGGCAAGCTGGATAAAGAGTCCAGATCCATTGGTGTGTGGTAAGAGACACATCTCACATACAAAGACAAATGTAGGCTCAAATTAAAGGCATGGAGGAAAATTTACTAAGCAAATGGAAAACAGGAAAATGCAGGGGTTGCAATCCTAGTATTTGATAAAACAGACTATAAACCAACAAAAACCAAAAAAGACAAAAAAGGAGATTACATAATTGTAAAGGGCGCAATTCAACAAGAAGAGCTAACTCTTCTAAATATATATGCAACCAATACAGGAGCACCCAGATTCATAAAGCATGTTCTTAGAGATTTACAAAAAGACTTTGACTCCCACACTGTAATAGTGGGAGACTTTAACACCCCACTGACAATATTAGACAAATCATCAAGACAGAAAATTAACAAAGATATTCAGAACCTGAACTCAGCTCTGGATCAAGTGGACCTGGTAGATATCTACAGAATTCTCCACTCAAAAACAACAGAATATACATTCTTCTCATCACTACATGACATTTACTCAAGAATTATCACATAATTGGAAGTAAAACACTCCTTAGCAAATGCCAAAAAAAACCCCTGAATTTATAACAAACAGTATCTCAGATCGCAGCACAATCAAATTAGAACTCAAGATTAAGAAACATACCTAAAACCACACAAACACATGGAAATTGAACAACCTGCTCCTGACTCTTGGGTAAATAATGAAATTAAGGCAGAAATCAAGAAGTTATTTGAAACTAATGAGAACAAAGAGACAACATACCGGAATCTCTGGGGCGCAGCTAAAGCAGTGTTAAGAAGGACATTTATAGCACTAAATGCCCACATCAAAAAGCTAGAAAGATCTCAAAAAGCTAGAAAGATCTCAAATGGATGATCTGACATCGCAACTAAAAGAACTAGAGAGCCAAGAGCAAACAAACCCCAAAGCTAGCAGAAGACAAGAAATACCCAGATCAGAGTAGAACTGAAGAAGATGGAGACACGAAAAACCCTTCAAAATATCAACAAATCCAAGAGCTGGATTTTTGAAATAATTAATAAAGTAGATTGACCACTAGCCAGTCTAATAAAGAAAGGAGAGAAGAATCAAACACATACAATCAGAAATGATGAGAGGGATATCACCACTGACCCCACAGAAATACAAACAACCATCAGAAAATACTATAAACACCACTATGCAAATAAACTAGAAAATCTAGAAGAAATTGATAAATTCCTAGACACATACACTCTCCTAAGACTGAGCCAGAAAGGAGTTGAACCCCTAAATAGACCAATAACAAGTTCTGAAATTGAGGCAGTAATAAATAGCCTCCCAACCAAAGAACCCCAGGACCAGACAGAATTATAGCTGATTTCTACTAAAGGTACAAAGAGGAGCTGAGACTTTTCCTACTGAAACTATTCCAAACAATTGAAAAGGAGAGACTCCTTTGTAACTCATTTTATGAGCCCAGCATCATTCTCATATCAAAGCCTGGTGGAGATACAACAAAAAAAGGAACTTCAGGCCAATATCCCTGATGAACATCGATGTAAAAATCATTAATAAAATACTGGCAAACTGAATCCAGCCAATCAAAAAGTTTATCCTCCACGGTCAAGCTGCCCTCATCCCCAGGATGCAAGGTTGGTTCAACATACACAAATCAATAAATGTAATTCATCACATAAATATAATTAAAGATAAAACCACATTATTATCTCAATAGATGCAGAAAAGGCCTTCGATAAAATTCAACATCCATTCATGTTAAAAATTCTCAATAAATTGGGTATTGATGGAACATACCTCAAAATAATAAGAGCCATATATAACAAACCCATAGAGAATATCATACTGAATGGGCAAAAGCTGGAAGTATTCTCCTTGAAAACTGGCACAAGACAAGGATGCAGTCTCTCACAACTCGTCTTCAACACAGCATTTGAAGTTCTGGCCAGGGCAATCAGGCAATGGAAAGAAATAAAGCATACGCAAATAGGAAGAGAAAAAGTCAAATTATCTTTGTTTGCAGATGACATGCTCCTGTATCTAGAAAACTCCATCGTCTCAGCCCAAAAGCTTCTTAAGCTGATAAGCAACTTCAAGAAAGTCTCAGGATACAAAATCAATGTGCAAAAATTGGTAGCATTCCTATACACCACCGATAGGCATGCAGAGAGGCAAATCATGAACTAACTCCCATTTACGATTGCTACAAAGAGAATAAAATACCTAGGAATACAGCTAACAAGGGAAGTGAAGAATCTCTTCAGGTAGAACTGCAAACCACTGCTCAAGGAAATCAGAGAAGACAAATGGAAAAATATTCCATGCTGGGGATAGAAGAATCAATATCGTGAAAGTAGCCATACTGCCCAAAGTTATTTATAGATTCAATGCTATTCCCATGAAGCCACCATTGACATTCTTCACAGAATTAGAAAAAAAAACTATTTTAAAATTCATGTGGAACCTGAAAAGAGCCCACATAGCAAAGACAATCCTAAGCAAAAAGAATGAAGCTGAAGGTATCACACTACCCAATTTCAAAATACGCTACAAGGCTGCAATAACCAAAACAGCTTGGTACCATTACAAAAACAGACACATAGACCAAGGGAACAGAATAGGCAACTTAGAAATAAGACTGCGCACTTACAACCATCTGATCTTCAACAAACCTGACAAGAATGAGCAATGGGGAACAGATTCCCTATATAATGAATGGTACTGGGAGAACTGGCTAGCCCTATGCAGAAAATTGAAGCTGGATACCTTCCTTACACTTTATATAAAAATAATTCTAGATAGATTAAAGACTTAAATGTAAAACCCAAACGTATAAAAACACTAGAAGAAAATCTAGGCAATACCATTAAGGAAACAGGCACAGGCAAAAATTCCATGACCAAAACACCAAAAACAATTGCAACAAAAGCAAAATTTGACAGTTGGGATCTAATTAAACTAAAGAGCTTCTGCACAGCAAAAGAAACTATCATCAGAATGAACAAACAACCTACAGAATGGGAGAACATTTTTGTAATCTATCCATCTGACGAAGTTCTAATATTCAGAGTCTACAAGAAACTTAAACACATTTACACACACATACACACACACACACACACACACACACAAATCAAAAAAAAAAACAAAGTGGGCAAAGGACATGAACAGACAGGTCTTAAAAGAAGACATTTATACAGCCAACAAACATATGAGAAAAACTCAACATCACTGATCATTAGAGAAATGCAATTCAAACCCACAATGAGACATCGTCTCATGCCAGTCAGAATGCAGATTATTAAAAAGTCAAGAAATGACAGATGCTGGCAATGTTGCAAAGAAAAAGGAATACTTTTTTACTTTTGGTGGGAGTATAAATTAGTTCAACCATTGTGGAAGACAGTGTGGTGATTCCTCAAAGACCTAGAAGCAAAAATACCGTTTGACCCAGCAATCCCATTACTGGGTGTATACGTGCATGTGTACATGTATATAAAGACACATGCATGTGTATGTTCATTGCAGCACTATTCACAATAGCAAAGACATGGAATCAACCTAAATGCCCATGAATGACACCCTGGATAAAGAAAATGTGGTACGTATACACCATGGAATACTATGCAGCCATAAAAAGGAACAAGCTCATGTCCTTTGCAGGGATATGAATGGAGCTGGAAGGCATTATCCTCAGCAAACTAACTCAGGAAAATAAAACCAAACACTGTCCATGTTCTCACTTATAAGTGGGAGCTGAATGATGAGAACACATGGATACATGGTGGGGAACAACACACTGGGTACTGTGGTTGGGAGTGGGGGAGGGAGAGCATCAGGAATAATAGTTAATGGATGCTGAAATTCATACCTAGGTGAAGGGTTGATCTGTGCAGCAAATCACCATGGCACATGTTTACCTATATAATAAACCTGCACTTCCTTCATCCTTTACATGTACCCTGGAACGTAAAATAAAATTTGATGAAAAAAAATTTTTTAATAATAATAAAAGCATACCTAAGGAGAGGGATAAATTGAATACTTAGGGTAAATGTTCACTAAATTAGAAAATGCATTATGCAAAAGGAACACTGATAAAGTACAGACAAACATATTATGATTCATATCCAATTTAGGGAAATGCTGAAGAAACATAGTGAGGTGTATGTGTCAGGGTATATAAGACTGGAAGCTAAGTCTATGAACCCTGAGCATGAAATAGGATATAGTAAACTTTAACGATAACAATAACAAAAGAACTTACTCATTGAGATACTACGTGTGCTAGGCACTCATTAAGTAGCTAATTTATACAACTAATGGATGAGATTTATATCAATTTCTCCATTACCTAGATGAGAAATATGAAGATAAAGAAGAAGTAAGAGACTACTAGGTAGAAATACTAGAATTGAAACCCAGATCTGTTATGCTCTAACACACACACATTCTTCTACTACACCTCTCTAACCTCACTACTCCTTTTATGTAGAACTACACTGCTTAAATTTTATTAATTAAAAACAACCCAAAGCTTCCCATTCAGCATTTCATCCTCTCTCCCAAATTTGTCATTTATACTGACTCATGCTTGCATAACCAGAAAAATAAAAGCAGTTGAGTCACTTGAATACATGAGTCTTCATTGCTCACTCCAGAATCTGTGTCTCTTGTCTCACACTAACTCCATTCTATGGCCACTCACGGCAAACTCTGCTACCTTATAGAGTCTAAGATGTATTGCCAGATCCTTGTTCCACTACTGAGCTCCCTTCTTTTGGGTTTTGTACCACAAAAAACAAACAAACAAACAAACAAACAAAAACAAAAGTCATTTCCTTCTCAAATTACGGAATTTAACATTTTCGTTCAAACTGAAATTGAATCTTAATTATTGAGCTCTGTACTGCCCCTTTAGAAAGCTTTTATTCTTTCTCAGTAACTTAGGAAAGGCACCATAAAAAAGACAGCGAAAGAATTCTCAACGTACCTACCATTTTAAACCTAAACTTACTTTGTCTTGCTCTTGAAACTTTCAATATCTCACTTCATTGCTAATCCTCCTATTTCTTGCTTTACTTTTGTACTTATTTTCCTGGACTTAATCAAGTCTTCCTCTTAATATACTAGTTTATTTTCTCATTAGAACCCTCATAAAGTGACTCCTCTCTTTGGGTGTATTCACACAATTTGCTCCTACCTCATAGACCCAATATTCTGTAAGCAAATACAACATGATTCAAAATTAATAGTTCTAATTCAGAGACCGTGTATAATTTGACTTTAGCACAGGAATATTATAATTCAAATAGTGCCCTGGCCCAAAGTGTCTTCAACTCAGTTTTATCTGCCTGTGTTTAAAGGCCTGAAGAAAATGTGCTTATAAATAGTTGGGGGTTGAGACTATTGGTCTTGTCTACATCCACATAAAGAAAATTGATGAAACCATAAACTTTTAGGGGGGATGACCTAGCTGACTGCAGATAGAACTCACTCTTCTCAAAGAGTGATGATATTTTTAAACAACATCTGGCAGAGATTTAAAAATCTGCACCCTTTTTTATTTCCTCGTTAACTATGGAGGAAAAGCAATCTTTCCTTTCATAAATTTTTTAAGCAGAAACAACCACCTTGATGGACCTCAGGGGCCTATATGGCAGGCTGGTTGACACATGCACAGCAGGAAAAACTTGGATCTGCACAGTTTGGGAATTATCTAGGCCCTTGCCCAAGGAAGACAAAAAAATTGTCCATATGAAGGAGTTGGGGCCTCATCTCCACCACTTCTCTGCTTCTAGAATAAAAACAACTAAATTCTTAATCACACAATTTTATCTTTTTGCCATGTACTAACTGTGTCACTAGTGGTTGCTTACTCTTTGTCACATAATAATTGTTCAACGCTGGAAAAGAGTTGCAATCTCTTTGACCATATTTTTTTATCTTTTTATCATAATTTATTTTTTAAATAACAACATCAAAGTTACCATCTTAACAATTTTTAAATGCATAGCCAGTAGCGTTAACTATATTCTCATTGATTTATACATCTAGGGAATTGAATTTGATCAGGTTTTCTCAAACTTGGTATTTTTTGACATTTAGAGCTGGATAATTCTTTGTTACTGGGCAGGCATTGTGCATTGAGGTATGCTTACCAGAATCCCCAGCCTCTACCCAGTAAATGACAGCAGCAACCCCTTTCCCAATTGTGACAACCAAAAATGTCTCTAGGCATTGCCAAATATCACTGGGGCAAAATCAGCCCTGGTTTTGAACCACCGAACTACAACATCTCCAAATTCCCTTCACTCTGTGTATTCTGTCATCTTCTGTTGTGTGTAGTGACATTTTTGCTTTTTCAATAGATAAAAACAATTTCTAGAAATACAGTTCAGGAGGATAAGACAGGGATGAGGGGAATGGTAACCTGGGTTTATAATAATAATTTATATTTTTGGGGGAGATCTAGATTTGAACATTTGGTTTTCATATAAAGTTTATTTTTTATTTACAAAGTAATACTTTGTTTAAAACATTAAAGTATTCTAAAGAAAACCATCAATCTTATCTAAACAACCAGGTAAAGTTACACCAACATGTTGGCATATTTCTTTGTAGTTTTTGTTGTTATTGTTGTTAAAGGTTAACCTATGTTTTTCAATACAGAAGCTACAATCATATTTAGCGGACTTTTGAATTTGTTGGTAAACCTTCTTGAAATAATGGCTTTTGTAGGAGACTTCTTTTTGCGGCCTTAAAGTATTACTGCCGTTGAAGAGTATGACAATCATGAGATTGTTTATTTGAAGCTTTATTTTGGTGTCACTGTGAAAGGAATTCTAAACACATCCACTTTCTTGCAGGCTGAATGCTGTGTTGAGGTTAATCTGGTTTGGTACTCACTGGTATCAGCACTGTTCTGTGATTTGGATATCATATATTTTAGAGTCCCACAGGAATGTCTTCCAGGCCATTTTTATTCTAGCAAATTGTCTCTTGTGGTTTCTTTTTTTGACTTCAGTTTTGTTTGTCTAAGTTGAGTGGCATATTCTTAGCTCCTGTATATTTAGATTGTCTTTCTTCTGTTATTAATATTTAAAGGCTAAGTTTCTTAACTATACCCTGTAAATATCACATCATTTCACTTCTCATATTCTCTATAAATTATTCCATTTTTTTCTGAAACTATGTATCTTAAGTTGTTGGGGTCTGAGGCTAGCATGGTTCTTATTTGTAGATGAACTTTTTCCTGCATAGATACTTGAAAGATTTTTTTCTTTATTCATCTAATTCAGATATGTTGCTGGGATATGTCTAGATAGGAATTGTGGTTTATTAATTTTTCATTCAATATATTGAGTGGTATATACTTAGGGTATTTTGTTGTTGTTTTGTTTTTAAATTGAGAAAAAATCTCTACAATTGTGAAGAGCATTTTGGACTTTCTTTTGTTTCATCTTGTTGGATTTCTTCCTCAAAAACATTGTTGTAAGTACTTTGTACATAGGACAGAGGTGGGAGATAAAGGGAGAATCAGGGTGATTATATACACCAATTTCCTTAGGTCAGGCATAGTTTATGCTAGTTGTCCCAAGGTTACTATAAACTAAAGTTTTAATATTCGCTCTCAATAATGTCCAGTTTGGCCTGTGTTCATTGCTATTGGCTCTTCATAGCTGGCTGAATATTATCCTATAATCTGTGGGTAGTGAGGCTCTGCCTTTACTGTTGCATTGGAGAAACAGAGTAAGAAATTGTTCACCTAGGTTGTTGACACACCTGGAGGAAAAACAATAGATACCTATCACGGGCTCACTTCTACTCTGGTTCACTCTTCCCTTTATAATAGGACAAACCCCTTTATTTTAACTGTTGAGACAGTCTTTGCATTTCATTAACATCTCTCCTATTTAGAGCTGCAGCACGTGGAATGTTTGAATATGAAAGATGATATAAAGGTGTAGCAGACAAAGAGCAGCTAAATGAAATTTGGTAAAGGTGTAATGTTAGACAGATAAAGAAATTCAGGCACAAAAATGCCAAAGCATCAAAGAAAATTACCACGTACTGAATATTATCAAGAATACTTAAAGTTCCAGAGTACATATGCAGTTAACAATATAGTCTCAAAATATACAAAGTAAAATCTAGATAATAATGGGCAAATTGACAAAATAATAATTGTAGGCAAAAGATTTTAATAACTCCTGTCAGAAAATAATAAATCATGTTAAAAAACAATAAAAATTAAGCAGGGCAATATAAAAGATGCCTATAATATTTTACACCAACAAACACAGAATACACACTCTCTTTAACATGCATGCTCCAGTCACTAACATTTCTCTGGAAACAGACTCTAAGATGGAGAGCAATACGCAGAATATTATTGGGAATGTGCTTTTAGGAGATATATTTGTACATAAGTGAACACACTAGTTTCAGGCAGAAAGGGAACGTGACCCACAAAAAGGTTGCTAGTGAAGCTCAGCCAATCCTAATGAGGGCTCTTCCAAGATTTTCCAAACTGAGAGAAAGGGACTTTGCATGTCACTGTCTGTAGTCACTGGCAACATGCTGAACCAGGGAAGGGAGAGATCCTTGAAACAGGCATTTCCTTGCATTTGAGGATTATCTCCTGTGAGGGACAAGCTTGGAGCAATCAGCAACCAATGCTTCTGGACGTTGGAATATAGGGAAATCATCCCTGAAGAAACTATCTAGAAAGACTGCCATGGTATCCATTGCAAGTAGATAAGAAAAAGAAGCTTCAGTACATCCCAACAAAATAGTACAAACTGTGTTCTCTGGTAATAATGCATTAAAATTAGAAATCGGTAACCAAAGAATAGCTTAAAATCCCATATGCCTTGAAACTTAAAAAATTATATGAAATTATCACTTGGTTAAACAGGAAATCATAAAAATAAAATAACTTAAAACTGAATGACAATAAAAACACCACATGTGAAAATTTGTAGCATGAATCTAAAGTGGTACGCAATGAAAATTTAAAATTTTGACTCTTTGTGAAGAAATAGCAGTCATTGAAAACAAGTAAGCAAAAAGTTTGACGAAAGAAGCTATAAAAATAAAGATAGAATAAACACAAAGAATTAAGAAAGAAATAGTAAATTTTGGGGCATTAGTCAATTAAATAGGGAATAAACTATAGATAAAATTAATAAAACCAAAGCATGGTTCTTTGAAAAATCTAACAATATTGATAAATCTCTGGTAAGACTGAAGTGAAAAAAAAAGGAGGAAGAAAAGGAGAAAAGATGGAAATTGTTTCTGCTCAAAAAAGACAAAGGAGGATTAATCACTATAAAATATTATAAAATATTCATTAATACATTTAAAATGTGAAATAGATAAGTAAAAATAAAATGTAATAATTGACACAAGAAGAAATAGAATGGAAATAAAATTATATTTTCCCAGAAAATTTTAATGTCTAGATATTATAAAGGAACAAATATTTCTTCAATAAAAGTTGTTCTGGAAAGTAAAAAAGTAATAAAGGAGAAAATTACCCAGCTGGTTGTTTTTGTTTTTGTTTTTTTTTCTGAGGCAGGGTCTTGCTTTGTCACCCAGGCTGGAGTGCAGTGGAACGATCATGGCTCACTGCAACCTCCGCCCTCCTGGGCTCAAGCATTCCTCCCACTTGAGCCTCCTGAGTAGCTGGGACTACAGGCAGGCACCACCATGCCAGTTAATTTTTAATTTTTTTGTTGAGATGGGGTTTAGTCATGTTTGCCAGACTGGTCTGGAACTCCTGTGCTCCAGGAATCTGCCCACCTTGGCCTCCCAAAGTGCTGGAATTACTGGCGTGAGTCACTAAGCCCGGCCCAACCCAACTCTTTTTATGAGGCTGATATAGTCTTGATGCTAAAATAGAATAAGGAAAATGTGAGGAAAAAAAGAGCAAATTTACTCATAAAAACATATGCAAATATCATAAGCAAAATATTACAAGCCCAAACCAACTAACATAAAAGACACATATTTATCAAATAAGTATATAAAGATGGGCTGAGTTTAGAAAATCTGTCAGGCTCAAAACGTGAAAAATGAAAGTATAAAGTCAGTAAAATAAATAATAGGATACGATCTGTGAGAAATATTGGTGAGAAAGATTGCTTAAACGCAATTTGAAAAATACTAGCCATGAGGAGAAAAAAATGATGGATTTTACTATAATTACCCGTATTAATATACCTAAAGAGAAAAATTAAAATGACCAACTCCATAGATTGAGCAAAAGCATTTGAAAAAAGGCCTACACTTACTGATGATGAAAAAGAATTCTTAGAAAACAAAAGCTAAAACTTAAATATGTAAAGACTCTGAATAAAGCCTGCATTAACATTTTCCTTAACTTGATACACATTCCCTTTGAAGCTGGCATTAAGACAGTGATTCTTTGTCAATTGTACTGTCCATTAAAGTGCAGAAAGATCTGACATAAGCATAACATATAATTGTGCAAGAAAAATAGACAAGATAACCATAATTGTTATTATTTGCAGATGAGATAATTTCCCTACAAAACTTAGTAGAATTAATAATAGTCTGTAACAACCAATAATAGAGTTTGGAAAGTTGTTGAATATAAGGTCAACATACCAAAAATTTAGTGACGTTTCTGAAAATCAATAATAATGAAATAAAATAAGAAAAAGGTATCGATTACTAAATGAATAAAAAATTGAGAATTGCCCCAACTAAGATACATATCACCTTTACTGCAGATAATAATTTAAACTCTATTACAGGGCACAAAAGAACATCTGAATAATATATTTATGGATAGGATAATTTTACATGTAAAGATGTTAACAATCAACCACTCACCTTTAAATTCAATTTCTATCTTAAAAAGAATTTTTGAGTAATCCAAATATAACTAGAACAATAAATATCCTCAAATATATCAGGCAATTTTGAAAATAAGGGGAAAAAGGGAATATATTTTCTATAAAATTTTAAAACATAGTACAAAATCATCATAATTAATAAGGTAAGATCTTAATAAAGAAACAGAGAATTCAGAGGACAGAATAGAGAGCCCAGAAATAGATTTATGGAAATATAGGGATATGGTATCTAATAGGAATAACATCATAATTGCTGGGGAATCAATGAATTATACAATGGTTGGTGTTAGGAACATTTAGTTACCATGTAGAAAATTAACATTTAGTAACTAACATTTAGTTACTATGCAGAAAAAAATAGAGTCCATACAGACCATATAGGCCATATAGTCCATATAGAAAAAAATAGCCCATAGAGTCTAAATTACTAAAACCCCAAATGTAAAAGTAAAACTATAAACCCAATGGAATATTCAGAAACTATTTGTGAAAAATCCAGAAGGAAAATTTTTCTAAACATGTCTACAAAAGCACTAGCTATGAGTAGAAAAAAAATTATCTTAAACTAGTGAATTTATATTCAGGGAAAGACACTGTGATTAAAGTTAATGAATGGGTGACATACTAAAAGAAGATATTTGGAAATTTAAGAGACAAATAATTAATAACTACAATTAACTCCTATGAGTTAGAAGATCAATACAGAAAACCCAATAGAAAAATGGATACAGAGGACATGAAAGGACAACTCACATAAGGGGATATTAAATGTTTAATATATGCATGCAGGAATGTGCAACCTCATTAAAAATTAGAGGACTGCAAATTAATGTGAAGCCACTTCATACTGATTAGTTAGAGAAAAAGAAAGATGTTTATGCCAAAGGCTGTAGAGAATGTCAGGGAAGGTAAACCTCATTTCTTGTGAGAAAGTGACCAGATGTGTAGCCACTCTGGAGAGCTTCCAGGAAATTCTTAATGAAATTAGTGTGCATATGCACAGTGACCCAGCAATTACATTTTTTGGGTGTATATATCCCAGAGAATTTGTTGATTTCTAATGCACAAATAGATGAGATTCTTTATCGTTTGTTAGAGCAAATAATTTAATGGGGCTTTGATGTCTAGTAGTAAAGGAATAGAAAAAGGTGATAGATTTTGTTACTTTCCATCAATACTTGCTTCCCCAACAAGAGGGAGAATTGTGTATCTCTGTCCCTTTGAAGTCAGGCTTGGCCATGTGATCAGCTTTAGCCAATGCAAGCATAAATTGCATGTGTCACTTTCTAGCAGAAGCTTAAAGAGTAGGTGTACTAGTTTCCTAGGTCTGTCATAACAAAGTACTATACAGTGGGTGGCTTAAGCATCATTTATTTCCCACAGTTCTGGAGGCTAAAAGTCCAGTATTAAGGTACAGGCATGTTTGGTTTCTCCAGAGGCCTTTCTCCTTGGCTTGCAGATGGCGACCTTCTCTCTGTGTCCTCACATCTCTGTGTCCTTTCCTCTGGGTGCATGCATCCCTGGTGTCCCTTTGTGTGTCTAAATTTCCTCTTATAAGGACTCCAGTCAGATTGGATTAGTGCAGATTCTAAAGACCTCATTTTAACTTAATAATATCTTTAAAGGCCCTATCTCCAAATACTGTCTAATTCTGAGGTTTTGGGGTTATGGATTTAATATATAAATTTTGGGGGTACACAACTCAGCCCATAGTAGTAGGGTTGCTAGCATTAACAAGTAAAAATACTAGACATCTAGTTAAATTTGAATTTCAGATAAACAAAGAGTAATTTTTATAAGTGTACCCCATGTAATACTTGAGATATACTTATGCAGAAAATGTATTTATCATTTATCAGAAATTAAATGTAATTGAATGTTCTGTATTTTATCTAATTGACATTATTAAAGATCCAGTTTGTATTTTATTACATTCATCCTTTCTTTTCTTTGCCACGATGACTTGCAATTTTTATAGAGCTTAACCCTTCATTCTTGGCCCCAGAATGAAGACATCCAGCCCAACTAATAAATAAATCTCTTCTGCTGTAAGCAAATTAGATTTGGAGATCATTAATTACTGCAGCACAACGTAGCCAGTCCTGAATAATGCATAAATTGTACCATGAATATGATTTTTCAATAATATACAATCTAAACTATGTGTCAATGGCTTCAAGGTTGGAAAGGGGTAGGGAAAAAACTGTTGTTAGAATCTGGAAAGATGGCGATCCATGTTAATCACGGGCAACAATTTGGTATAACTATTGAATGAAATAATTTCTAAAGTATGTAATAAGTCTGTAGCTTTTGGAAAAGAGATTAACAACAACAAGACTATTGGTATAGTGGTTGGTTGGTCAAAATTGTTTTGTTTAACAAATTAATACAATAAATATTTGTACTTGGCAAAGAATTGTCAGGTTTCACACAGGAATAAAAGTGAACTTGGCTAGTTTGAATTCTCCCAATAGTTGATCTTGTTATCCAAGGATTAAACTGAAAATAATTTATTTGGGATGAAGAGGAAACACAAATAGGGAGTGGGAGGAATGAGAAAGGAAAGCATTCAAGCCAGCTACCTCTGTTGGCACTGTATCATAATCTCACTTGGAAGCATTCAAAAATGGTGTGGGAGACATGTTTCAGAGTCATCCACTGCCATGCACTTAGGCAGAACATGCTTCTAGAGCTTTGGAGAAATGTAACAGGTAAAGAGACGCTGGTACTATCCATTGAGAGACAGCCAGTACTGACGTGGCAACGCGAAAAAGATATCCTGTAATGTCTGCTGTAAGAATAAATTCCAGTAATTGAGAAACTCTCAGGTGTGGAAGACAACAACAGGTTCTCATTCTCAGTTGGTAAAAAATGAAGTCAAAAACTTATTTGAGTGACTTGAAAGCTTAAAAGTCAAATTCCTATTAAGAATCAAATTGATAGTGTTGTCCTTATACTTGTTGTTAAAACCATAGAATTGATTACATTTGTACCCAGTAAATTTTCTTGGTTAGAAAAAAGTATTTTTGCAAAAAAGTCTAAGGTTGTGGCTTCTCCAGTGCAGTTTTATAGGCTCAAGGTGGCAGTAACTGAGAAAGGGATGTTTTTGAGAGAGTTGTACTAGTAGAAGCACTACAAACCTAGATATAAATCGCTTGTGATATTTAACAAACATAGGCCCCAAATCCTCTGGAAAGCAGACTGAGAGAGCTGCTCAGCTTCTTAGCAAGAAATATTCTTAAATGCTTCCTTGAGATGTGCCCAAGAAGATCATGGAAGAGAAAAATAACTCGAGTGGAGCCAAAATTTATGAGCATAATTGACTATGGAACTAATCTTATAGAGTAGAATCTCGGCCTAGAAAAAAATGTCCCTCACCCTGAGGACAGGGGCTTTTTGACATTTCTGCCCAGCAAGGTTTGGGAATTGCTACTGACAAATGTAGTAGGGTATTCTCCCAGGCCCTTGGAGGCATCCTCGCCTTCTTTCCACGTCTGAACGAGCTTATCTCTGTCCTGTCATCGTGTTTTGAGAGTGTGTAAGGTCCTAAACATTTTATTCATATCAAAATTTTTTTAACTAAGAGGATTCATCTCTAGAAGTGATAAAGAGACCCAACACCAGTCACTGATTCTGGATTTGTGGTTAGAGCAGAGAATGGTTAGGACTTTTGGGCTTGTCTCTCTTGAAGGATTACTGAGTGAGTGCTACATGTCAAAGCGAGAGGAAATAAAATGTTGGGCAGTTGAAAGCGTGGATGTGGAAGGTAGAACAACAGTTTACCAGTATTTGCTTACACTTTCTAGAAAGGATTCTTTTTTTTTTTTTGAGACAGAGTCTCACTCTGTCACCCAGACTGGAGTGTAGTGGCATGATCTCAGCTCACTGCAACCCCTGCCTCTAGAGTTCAAGTAATCCTCCCACCTTAGCCTCTTCAGGAGCTGGGACTACAGGTGTGCACCACCATGCCAAGCTGATTTTTGTATTTTTACTAGAGACTGGGTTTTGCCATTTTGCCCAGGCTGGTCTCGAACTCCTGGGCTCAAGCAATTTGCCAACCTTGACCACCCCAAGTGCTGGGATTACAGGCTTGAGCTACCCTGCCAGGCCCCAAGGAAGAATTCTAATTTCTCACTCCAGTAATGACAGGTTTGTCCACAAGACTTACTTTAGCCAATGGAATGTGAAAACTGCCATTTCTATCAGAGACTGCTAGGAAAGATGACTTTTGATGGACATGTAGCATGTTAAAACATAAATCTTTGTGGTTGTAAGCAACTGAGATGGAGACATTTGCTACCACAGCATAATCTAACTTACGCTAAGTAAAACATGACATATGCTTTACATATGACAAAATAATCAATTGAAATCAGACATATAAGTTGAAGGTAAATGAGTAAAACTGTACGAGTTGGATACAAGTTGAAACTATAAGATATATAGAAATTATAATTTATTTAAATCTAAAACTACATACACCAACACTATTTTTTTGTGGAAGAAATTCATTAAATACAATAATGTGGCTCTGGAAAAGGTAACTGTGGCTATTTTTCATAAGCAGAAATTGGTAACAAAGCAGAACATGCAAAAATGCAGATACTGAAATAAAAAACTCAAAGCAAATTAGACAGTTTCCTCATCTATAAGATGATAAATGGCTTATGCTTTTTGTGCTAATTAAATGAATTAATGTAGAAAAAAGGCTTCAAAGAGTTCCTGATACCAAGAAAGATTTTTAAAAGTATTTGCTCTTTATTACTATTTGAAGAGAGACTTACTGAACTTGAAGGCAGAACAAAAAAGTTGCCAATGTTGCAGCAGGAAAAAGTAAACAATATGTAAGTAAGATTAAGGGACATGAAGGATGGCATTAAAAACGTAAACATATACCTACAGGAGTTCCAGAAACAGAGAATGTAGAAGAGGCAATATCTAAAGATATAATAGTCAAGAGATTAAAAAGAGATAAATATCCATAATTTGAAAATTATACAAAATTTTAGGAGGATGAAAAGAAATCCAACTTAGGCACATCATAGTGAGATTTCAGAAACCAAAAGCAATGAGAATATAATATCTTTAAAAGTTGAGAAAGGCTGTTTACTAAGGAACAAAATTTTATTTTCTTCAGTAAGACTGATGCCGGAAGATAATGAAACAGTATCTTTATGTATTAATGCAAAAGTACCCAACTAGAATGTAATGCCCAGCTAAACTTCCTATTTAAGAGTAATGGTGAACTATAGATATATTTAGATAAATACTCAAATCATTTTTCCATCCTCAGACCACAGCTGATAAAGACCAAGAATTCCCAGGCCTCTCTTACTAGTTAGTTTTTGCACTGAGAGTACTGAAATATTGGTTTTCATGTTTATTTGTTTTTCTCTAAATTCCCTACAGGATAGTTTATTACTATATTAGCTTATCATCTAGATCTGGAGTCGCCAACTCCCGGGCCACGGACTAGTACCAGTTCCTGGCCTGTTAGCAACCTGGTGGCACAGCAGGAGGTGAGCGACAGGCGAGCACTACGGCCTGAACTCCGCCTCCTGTCAGATAAGCAAGGCATTAGATTCTCATAGGAGTGGGAACCCTATTGTGAACTGCGCATGGGACAGATCTAGGTTGCATGCGCCTTACAAGACTCTAACTAATGCCTGATGATCAAGGTGGCAAAGTTTCATCCCCAAACCATCCCCTCAACACCTGTCTGTGGAAAAATTGTGTTCCATGAAACTGCTCTCTGGTGCCAAAAAGGTTGGGGACCGCTTATCTAGATTAAAACAACAACAAAAACCCAGGAAGGTGATTTTGTCAGTTATCTTTTAAGAACAATAAAATAGGGAAGGAGAAACTTATATGGACTTGGTCAACAAGAACATATGTTCTGTTCCTCACCATTTCTCATTTAATTACTTGACCAAATTATTTGCCTACATTTCCAACCTAGTCCTTTCACTTCCCCTCTTCCTTATTTTGTTCAATTACCTGGCCTTCTAGCTGTTCCTGGAACTGACCAAACTTGAATCCATTTTAGATCCTTTCTCTCTTCCTGAAATGCTCTTCCTACTGTCTTGCAAGGTCTCTTATTTCAGATCTCCTTGCCATTCCTGGAAATTGAGTATGCTACATTTCAGCTTTCCTCCTCAGAGTAGTCCTTGTTCACCCTAACTGGAGTAGCTGCCCAGTGTTCTTTCAGTTACATGACCTATCTTTTCATTAAATCTCCTCAATAGTCAGTATCTTGTCTATTTGTTCACCACCATGTCTGTAAAATGTACAACAGCATTGGACACATAGTAAGTATTCAACAGTTACTTAGTGAGTATATGAATTAATGAATAAGTTGGCAAATTGCAAAGCAAATCTGGGACTAATATAACCTGATTTCTAAAATGCAAATAACTTCACCTTCATTACCTTACACTTTATGACAAATCTTAGGAAAAGTGACAAAGAGAATAAAATAAAGGAAGGCCTCCTTAATCAGCAGAGTGATTAATTATCACCATTTTGCTGAAAAGGGAGCTAAGAGTTTAAAGTACTTAATGATTAACTAAGGTCATAAAGTGATATGAATGAAACTTGTAGTAGGCATCATAATGCCCTCTGCCAAACGTGTTCATGTCTAATTCCTAGAACCTATGAATATGTTACCACCAAACATGGAAAAAGGGACTTTGCAGATGTGATTAAAGTTAAGAACCTTGAGAGGCAGAGATAATCCTGGATGATCTATGTGGGCACAATCTAATTACATGAGTCCTTAAAAGTACCTTTCACAGCTGAGGGAAGGGCCAGAGAGTGTGTGACTGTGAAACAATGGTCGAAGAGATATAAAATTACTGACTTTGAGGATGGAAGAATGGGGCCCACAAGATCAGGACTGGGTTAGACTCTGTGAGACCTGTGTTATATCTATAATCTATAGAATTGTAGTATTAAAAATGTATCGTTTTAAGCCCTTAAATTTGTGTTAATTTGTTACAGCAGCAGTAGGAAACTAATACAGAGCTGAAACTAGAACCTACATCAGCTGACTCTTTCTGTCTGTTATACTACTCATCATCTTTAGTAATTCCAAATTACCCTAAACTCAATGGCAAACAGATTAAATACTCACAGAACAGTGCTGTGACAGGAAAATGTCTCCTAAATTAGACAGATTGTAGTATACAACTGTTGTGACAGATTTCTTAAACTGTCAGCTAATTTTTTTTTTAAATTTCACAAAGAGATAATGACATCATGAAACAAGGCTATATACAGCATCTAAGGAGGGGATATAAAGCTTAGCAATGTGTTTTGAATAGGTTTTATTTGAACTCATTTATCATTCTCATTACATTCATCTTAATGAGAAAATAGCTCCATTCTGGTTATAATCTGTGTTATTGTAATATAATATACAACATTGTTCTGAAGAGCAATTCAATGCAGCCAAATGGCACTTTTTCTTTCTTTATATCTTTTTGTCAGTTTGTTTCAAACTTTTGCTTGCATTTTCATGCAGCCTCTAGAAGATGGGATAGACCAATAAGGAAAAGGAAAAAAGAGAGTAAAATGAATAAAGGAAGAGACAAAGGGGTCAAGGAAATGCTGAACCAAAAGTATGTACTAATACAGAATAACACATAGATGTTTTGGCTAAGATTGGATGGGCTGAACCCTGTTTGCTGGTTACCATATTTCTGAAACAAAGCAATTAATCTTGTTTGACAGGATAGTTTTATAAGTGAATATATTAATGTAAGAAACTTAAAAAATACACAAATTATATCATATTCAGTTATAAATATTATTTCATTGAACATTTAGTAAATATATAACTATTAGTCAATAAAAATTTTTAAATTCTTGAAATCAGGTCTATTAAAAAATTGTGAGATGTATAATTACATTAAAATTATAGCTAACTTTTTTGTACTGAAAGCAAGAACACAAGTTTCTTTGGTATAACTTGCATATTTGAATATACATGCATACCACCATCTCTGTACCCATGATCGTAATGTTTGTGTTGAAAATTATTTTTTAAGTTAAGATTTAAAAATACTTCAGGTTAAAAAATGCAGTTTGTGTCTATACAAGTCAATTCTAATCTACAACTTAGTGGTTCTTCGTTAAGATATGAAAAACCCACTGAAGATGTAATACCTCTAGGGATAGTGTTGTAATCCACAGTCAAGTATGATCGCTTTACTCCACAACAATAGCATTATCAAGACCTAAACAAGAAGCTTTATTAATAGTATAATGAGAGTTAGAAATATCTTTTCATTGGGGAGATAAATGATGATGAAAATGAACAATTATAGAATGGCAGGTTTGGGCAAGCTAAAT
This sequence comes from Homo sapiens, assembly GCF_000001405.40. NCBI lineage: Eukaryota > Metazoa > Chordata > Mammalia > Primates > Hominidae > Homo > Homo sapiens. The sequence continues at coordinate 22,034,861 of NC_000011.10, read as the reverse complement.
GAATTTGTATAATCATACTAACACCAGATTTAAATATTTCCAACTTTTGATAAAGCAAAAGATACACTGTATTTCATTTATTTACTCAACAAATGACTGTATTCTTTTACAAATTACTTACTCTGAGATGGGCACTACGTTGGGCTCTGAGATTACAGAGATGAGTAAACCGTAATCATTGTACTCGTGGAGCTCATTGTCCAATAAAAGAAACATTTGGGGGAAAATAACACAGAACACCTTGCCTTAATTTGACCAGTGGGTTTCCTCCAAAATAAAATCTTATAAAAATATGGTCACATTATTGCAAGATTGCTGAAGGCAAGACTGCATAAAGCTAGCCTTCTTTATATTCCAGGATTCCACCTATATTTTTCCATCAACGTTGCAATTTGATGCTTTCGTATTTTTTTATACAGTTTATTTCATTTTCTTTTTTTTATTGTACTTTAAGTTCTAGGGTACATGTGCAGACCGTGCAGTTTTGTTACATAGGTATACATGTGCCGTGGTGGTTTGCTGCACCTATCAACACATCACCTACATTAGGTAGTTCTCCTAATGCTATCCCTCCCCTAGTCCCCACCCCCCAACAGGCCCCAGTGTGTGATATTCCCCTCCCTGTGTCCATGTGTTCTCATTGTTCAACTTCCACTTATGAGTGAGAACATGCGGTGTTTGGTTTTCTGTTTTTGTGTTAGTTTGCTGAGAATGATGATTTTCTTTACAGACAAGCAAATGCTGAGGGATTTTGTTACCACCAGGCCTGCCTTACAAGAGACCCTGAAGGAAGCACTAAATATGGAAAGGAAAAACCGGTACCAGCCACTGCAGAAACATACCAAATTGTAAAGACCATTGACACTATGAAGAAACTGCATCAACTAATGGGTAAAATAACCAGCTAGCATCATAATGACAGGATCAAATTCACATATAACAGTATTAACCTTAAATGTAAATGGGCTAAATGCCCCAACTAAAAGACACAGACTGGCAAATTGGATAAAGAGTCAAGACCCATCAGTGTGCTGTATTCAGGAAACCTATCTCATGTGCAAAGACACACATAGGCTCAAAATAAAGAGATGGAGGGATAGTTGCCAAGCAAATGGAAAGAAAAAAAAAACAGGGGTTTCAATCCTAGCCTCTGATAAAACAGACTTTAAACCGACAACGATCAAAAGAGACAAAGAAAGGCATTACATAATGGCAAAGGGATCAATGCAACAAGAAGAGCTAACTATCCTAAATATTTGTGCACCCAATACAGGAGCACCCAGATTCATAAAGGAAGTTCTTAGAGACCTACAAAGAGCAATTCAATGCTTTCTATTGGTGCTTATCTGTTCTAGCTTGAATAAGGATGGAGACAGTAATGGTGTTTTGGTTTTCCTGGGGAGAGTTAGTAATTCAGGAAGCTGTCTGTTACCTTGAGTGAGGAATCCATATTCACAAATTTGAGGTGGTTCAAATCAAGGATCACAAAAGATTCCTTGTCTACCCCTTGCAATGCATCCCATAATGGGATTGCCTTCAGCATCTCTCCCCCACACCCTGCCCTTTCCCCCAGGCCAAGATGAAACTTTAGCTTGCCTCCTGCTCCACTATAAAAATGAGGAGCAAGTGAAGGAGCTAATTACCAACCAAGCAATATCCAATTTCTTATTACTGTGGGGTTTCACTGTAATTCAATGTAGCATAAGTACTGCAATAGGAATAAATACACCGTTACATGAGAGCACAATTCCATAGAGGAATGACTCCCTAACTCTGTCTGAAGGAGTGGAAATTTATAGAAAGGGGGCTGTATTTGAGCTTGGATTTGATACATGAGTAGGTGTAAAATAAGCAGAAGGTGGGAAATGCAGAAAGAAGAGCTTGTTACAAACAGAAGGAAGATTATACAAAAGCTAAGATGTGGCTGGAGCACAGATTTCCAAGGGAAGAAATATGTTTATTTGTGTGTTTCGAAAGAGAAAGGATAGTTAAAGCAGTAGAAGCAGGTTAAAGCTAAATTGTTTTGAAGGATGCTATGTACTGACATTATCATCTGTGGAGAGCAAAATATCATTCTTTGCATTTTGGAGTGGGAACTTCCACTTATGGGGATAAGGTTGAGAACATGGATTCCAGGGCAAAGACAGTAAGAACATGGATTATCTGAATGTACTGCATATTGAGTAGGGTTGTCAGATACAGAAAAATCAAACAGCAAAAACAAAACAGAATGCTGGGTTAAATCTGAACTTCAGGTAAATAATAAAAATCTTTTTAGTACAGCAATGTTCCATATGTTCCATGCAACATTAGGGACAAACTTATACAAAAAGTTATTTGTTGTTTACCTGATATTCAATTTTATTAGGGTATCTTGTATTATATCTAGTAAGCCTAATATTGAGGGAAAGAAGAAAAGAGTTTAGAAAACTGGTATTTGCTCTAACTTTATTTCTAAATGTAAATGCTTTCTTAAACTCCAGAAATGTATGCAATTCAAATTAAATTGCATTGAAACATTCTGTACTATTTGAATGTAGTTAATTCTGATATTGCTTAAGTTATGTCCCTTCCTTTGGAAACTCTGGAGGCTTTTTAATTTATTGAAATGCATTCTTCCCATTCTTTCTTAAAGTTTTCTCTCTTTCCATCTTTGTTTAATTGCAAACATAACAGAATTTACAAAGTCCTTAAGTCCTTAAGGCCATAAAAGTAGTGTGTCTGTGGGCTGAATTTATTTTCACTTTGAGTATTATTTGCACTGTATATGCTCACACTGCCATGACTACTTCAGAACTCCGAAATTTTTTTTATTTGTATAAGTTTGTAGTCATATGCTGCTTAATGACCTCATCTTCATAGAATTGTCATTATTTAATTTGTCTTGCAGCTCCCTGGAAAAGCTCAATTCACAATGCTTATCTTTATATGATCAAACTCAAGGCTTACTCAGTGATAAAAGCCATATCTCCAGTATTCTTATTGCCAACAATCATTTTCTATTGTTTAATATTATAGCTGCCTAAGGTAGCAATACAAATTCAGGGAAACAAGAGGTTGACCCAACAATTTAAAAAGAAAATTTGGGAAATAAGATTTCCATAGGTATGTGAAAAGTTCAGAAATATTTTTAAGGACTTGGAAGGGAGCATGCAGGTGCAGTATTGGGGGTATTCCCAGCAAAGACCTGATAAGGTCTTGGTGTTTAACCTCTGGCTCACATTGAGCCTTTGTGCAAGCAGAATATGAAGGTTAAAATAGAGTCATAGGCTGGGCACAGTGGCTCAAACCTGTAATCTCAGCACTTTGGGAGGCCAAGCCAGGCAGATCACCTGAGGTCAGGGGTTCAGGACCAGCCTGGCCAACATAGTAAAATGCTGTCTCTACTAAAAATACAAAAATTAGCATGCCTGTAATCCCAGCTACTGGAGGGGCTGAGGCAGGAGAACTGCTTGAACCCTGGAGGTGGAGGTTGCAGTGTGCCAAGATTGCACCACTACATTCCAGCCTGGGTGATAGAGCAAGAATCTTTCTAAAAAAAAAAAAAAAAAAAAAAGAAAAAGAAAACACAGTCAACACAGTCATAAACTGCTGGAAAGGCGAAGGCATGCTCCAACACACAAAGAGAGCCTTTACAAAGAGGAGGAGACCGACTAATTCAAGGTGTTTAAGCAGATCTCTGCCTAATTATTTGCTGACTTCTACGTTAAATGAGCAGAGACGTCAGTGGCCCCAAGCAACAAATAGTACAGAAAAATTATTATTATTTTTCTTTATTTTATTTTACTTTAAGTTCTGGGTTACAGGTACAGAACGTGCAGTTTTGTTACATAGGTATATACATGCCATGGTGGAAAGCTGCACCCATCAACCCATCACCTACATTAGGTATTTCTCCTAATGTTATCCCTCCCCTAACCCCCACACCCTGCAGGCCCCAGTGTGTGATGTTCCCCTCCCTGTGTCCATGTGTTCTCACTGTTCAACTCCCACTTATGAGTGAGAACATGCGGTGTTTGATTTTCTGATCTTGTGATAGTTTGCTGAGAATGATGGTTTCCAGCTTCATCTATTCCCTGCAAAGGACACGAACTCATCTTTTTATGGCTGCATAGTATTCCATGGTGTATATGTGCCACATTTTCTTAATCCAGTCTATCATTGATGGACATTTGGGTTGGTTGCAGGTCTTTGCTATTGTGAATAGTGCCACAATAAACATATGTGTGCATGTGTCTTTATCATAGAATGATTTATATTCCTTTGGGTATATGCCCAGTAATTGGATTGCTGGGTCAAATGGTATTTCTATTTCTAGATCCTTGAGGAATTGCCACATTGTCTTCCACAATGGTTGAACTAATTTACACTCCCACCAACAGTGTAAAAGCATTCCTATTTTTCTACAACCTCTCCAGCACCTGTTGTTTCCTGACTTTTTAATGATTGCCATTCTAACTGGTGTGAGATGGTATCTCATTGTGATTTTGATTTGCATTTCTCTGATAACCGGTGATAATGAGCATTTTTTCATATGTCTGTTGGCTGCATAAATTTCTTCCTTTGAGAAGTGTCTGTTCATATCCTTTGCCCATTTTTTGATGGGGTTGTTTGCTTTTTTCTTGTAAATTTGTTTAAGTCCTTTGTAGATTCTGGCTATTAACCCTTTGTCAGATGGATAGATTGCAAAAATTTTCTCCCATTCTGTAGGTTGCCTGTTCACTCTGATGATAGTTTCTTTTGCTGTGCAGAAGCTCTTTAGTTTAATTAGATCCCATTTGTCAATTTTGGCTTTTGTTGCCATTGCTTTTGGTGTTTTAGACATGAAATCTTTGCCCATGCCTATGTCCTAAATGGTATTGCCCAGGTTTTCTTCTAGAATTTTTATGGTCCTAGGTCTTATATTTAAGTCTTCAATCCAACTTGAGTTGATTTTTGTGTAAGGTGTAAGGAAGGGGTCCAGTTTCAGTTTACTGCATATGGCTAGCCAGTTTTCCCAACACCATCTATTAAATAGGGAATATTTTCCTCATTGCTAGTGTGTGTCAGGTTTGTCAAAGATCAGACGGTGGTAGGTGTGTGGTGTTACTTCTGAGGCCTCCATTCTGTTCCATTGGTCTATATCTGTTTTGGTACCAGTACCATGCTGTTTTGGTTACTGTAGCCTTAGAGTATAGTTCGAAGTCAGGTAGAATGATGCCTCCAGCTTTGTTCTTTTTGCCCAGGATTGTCATGGCTATGTGGGCTCTTTTTTTGTTTCATATGAAGTTTAAAGTGGATTTTTCCAATTCTGTGAAGAAAGGCAGTGGTAGCTTGATGAGATCGCATTGAATTTATAAATTACTTTGGGCAGTAAGGCCATTTTCATGACATTGATTCTTCCTATCCATGAGTATGGAATGTTTTTCCGTTTGTTGGTGTCCTCTCTTATTTCTTTGAGCAGTGGTTTGTAGTTCTCCTTGAAGAGGTTCTTCACATCCCTTGTAAGTTGTATTCCTAGGTATTTTATTCCCTTTGTAGCAATTGTGAATGAGAGTTCACTAATGATTTGGCTCTCTCTTTGTCTGTTACTGGTATATAGGAATGCTTGTGATTTTTGCACATTGATTTTGTATCCTGAGACTATGCTGAAGTTGCTTATCAGATTGAGGAGATTTGGGGCTGAGACCATGGGGTTTTCTAAATATACAATCATGACATCTGCAAACACAGACAATTTGACTTCCTCTCTTCCTATTTGAATACCCTTTATTGCTTTCTCTTGCGTGATTGCCCTGGCCAGAACTTCCACTACTATGTTGAATAGGAGTGGTGAGAGAGGGCCTCCTCGTCTTGTGCTGATTTTCAAAGGGAATGCTTCCAGTCTTTGCCCATTCAGTATGATATTGGCTGTGGGTTTGTCATAAATAACTCATTATTTTGAGATACGTTCCAACAATTTCTAGTTTATTGAGAGTTTTTAGCATGAAAGCCTGTTGAATTTTGTCAAAGGCCTTTTCTGCATCTATTGAGATAATCATGTGGTTTTTGTCTTTGGTTCTGTTTATGTGATGGATTATGTTTATTGATTTGTATATGTTGAACCAGCCTTGCATCCCAGGGATGAAGCTGACTTGATCGTGGTGGATAAGCTTTTTCATGTGCTGCTGGATTTGGTTTGTCAGTATTTTATTGAGGATTTTTGCACTGATGTTCATCAGGGATATTGGCCTAAAATTCTCTTTTTTTGTTGTGTTTCTGCCAGACTTTGGTATCCGGATGATGCTGGCCTCATTAAATAAGTTAGGGAGGATTCCCTCTTTTTCTATTGATCAGAATAGTTTCAGAAGGAATGGTACCAGCTCCTCTTTGTACCTCTAGTAGAACTTGGCCATGAATCCGTTTGGTTGTGGACTTTTTTTGGTTGGTACGCTATTAACTGTTGTCTCAATTTCAGAACCTGTTATTGGTCTATTCGGAGATTCAACTTGTTCCGGGTTTTGTCTTGGGAGGGTGTATGTGTCCAGGAATTTATCCATTTCTTCTAGATTTTCTAGTTTATTTGTGTAGAGGTGTTTATAGTATTCTCTGATGGTAGTTTCTATTTCTGTGGAATCGGTGGTGATATCCCCTTTATCATTTTTTATTGCATCTATTTGATTCTTCTCGCTTTTCTTCTTTATTAGTCTTGGTAGCAGTCTATCTATTTTTTTGATCTTTTCAAAATCCGGCTCCTGGATTCATTGATTGTTGAAGGTTTTTTTGTGCCCCTATCTCCTTCAGTTCTGCTCTGATCTTAATTATTTCTTGTCTTCTACTAGCTTTTGAATTTGTTTGCACTTGCTTCTCCAGTTCTTTTAATTGTGATGTTAGGATGTCGATTTTAGATCTTTCCTGCTTTCTCCTCTGGGCATTTAGTGCTATAAATTTCCCTCTCCACACTGCTTTAAGTTTGTCCCAGAGATTCTGGTAAATTGTGTCTTTGTTCTCATTGGTTTCAAAGAACATCTTTATTTCTGCCTTCATTTCGTTATTTACCCAGTAGCCATTCAGGAGCAGGTTTGTTCAGTTTCCATGTAGTTGTGCAGTTTTGAGTGAGTTTCTTAATCCTGAGTTCTAATTTGATTGCACTGTGGTCTGAGAGACAGTTTTTTGTGATTTCTGTTCTTTTACATTTGCTGAGGAGTGTTTTACTTCCAATTATGTGGTAAATTTTAGAATAAGTGCGATGTGGTGCTGAGAAGAATGTATATTCTGTTGATTTGGGGTGGCGAGTTCTGTAGATGTCGGTTAGGTACACTTGGTCCAGAGCTGAGTTCAAGTCCTGGATATCCTTGTTAATTTTCTATCTCTTTGATCTGTCTAATATTGACAGTGGGGTGTTAAATTCTCCCATTATTATTGTGTGGGGATCTAAGTCTCTTTGTAGGTCTCTAAGAACTTGCTTTATGAATCTGGGTGCTCCTGTATTAGGTGCATATATATTTAGCATAATTAGCTCTTCTTGTTGAATTGATCCCTTTACCATTGTGTAATGGCCTTGTCTCTTTTGATCTTTGTTGGTTTAAAGTCTGTTTTATCAGAGACTAGGATTGCAACCCCTGCTTTTTTTTGCTTTCCATTTTCTTGGTAGATCTTCCTACATCTCTTTATTTTGAGCCTATGTGTCTTTGCACATGAGATGGGTCTCCTGAATATAGCACACCAATGAGTCTTGACTCTATCCAATTTGCCAGTCTGTGTCTTTTGGTTAGGGCATTTAGCCCATTTGGATTTAAGGTTAATATTGTTATGTGTGAATTTGATCCTGTCATTATGATGCTAGCTGTTTATTTCGCCTGTTAATTGATGCAGTTTCTTCATAGTGTCAATGGTCTTTACAGTTTGGTATGTTTTTGCAGTGGCTGGTACCGGTTGTTCCTGTCCATGTTTAGTGCTTCCTTCAGGAGCTTTTGTAAGGCAGACCTGGTGGTAACAAAATCTCTCAGCATTTGCTTGTCTGTAAAGGATTTTATTTCTCTTTCACTTATGAAACTTAGTTTGGTCTGATATGAAATTCTGGGTTGAAAATTCTTTTCTTTAAGAATGTTGAATATTGGCCCCCCACTCTCTTCTGTCCTGTAGGGTTCCTGCAGAGAAATCTGCTGTTAGTCTGATGGGCTTCCCTTTGTGGGTAACCCGACCTTTCTCTCTGGCTGCCCTTAAAATTTTTTCCTTCATTTCAACCTTGGTGAATCTGACAATTATGTGTCTTGGGTTGCTCTTCTTGAGGAGTATCTTTGTGGTGTTCTCTGTATTTCCTGAATTAGAACGTTGGCCTGCCTTGCTAGGTTGGGGAAGTTCTCCTAAATAATATCCTGAAGAGTGTTTTCTAACTTGGTTCCATTCTCCCCGTCACTGTCAGGTATACCAATCAAACGTAGATTTGGTCTTTTCACATAGTCCCATATTTCTTGAAGGCTTTGTTACTTTCTTTTCACTCTTTCTTCTCTAATATTATCTTCTTGCTTTATTTCCTTAATTTGATCTTCAATCACTGATATCCTTTCTTCTGCTTGATTGAATTGGCTATTGAAGCTTGTGTATGCTTCATGCAGTTCTCATACTGTAGTTTTCAGCTTCATCAGGTCATTTAAGCTCTTCTCTACACTGATTATTCTAGGTAGCCATTCTTTTAACCATTTTTCAAGGTTTTTAGCTTCCTTGCAATGGGTTAGAACACGCTCCTTTAGCTCAGAGAAGTTTGTTATTATCAACCTTCTGAAGCTCACTTCTGTCAGCTCATCAAACTCATTCTCCATCTAGTTTTGTGCCCTTGGTGGCAAGGAGTTGTGTTCCTTTGGAGAAGAAGCATTCTCATTTTTTGAATTTTCAGCCTTTCTGCTCTGGTTTCTCCCCATCTTTGTGGTTTTATGTACCTTTGGTCTTTGATGTTGGTGACCTATGGATGGGGTTTTGGTGTGGATGTCCTTTTTGTTGATGTTGATGCTATTCCTTTCTGATTGTTAGTTTTCCTTCTAACAGACAGGTCCCTCAGCCGCAGGTTTTTTGGTGTTTGCTGGAGGACCACTTCAGACCCTGTTTGCCTGGGTATCACCAGTGGAGGCTGCAGAACAGCAAATATTGCTGCCTGATCCTTCCTCTGGAAGTTTTGTCCCCCAGGGGCACCCTCCTGTACGAGGTGTCTGTTGGCCCCTACTGGGAGGTGTCTCCCAGTCAGGCAACACAGGGTTCAGGGACCCACTTGAAGAGGCAGTCTGTATGTTATCAGAGCTCGAACACAGTGCTGGGAGAACCACTACTCTCTTCAGAGCTGTCAGACAGGGACGTTTCAGTCTGGAGAAGGTGTCTGCTGCCTTTTGTTCAGATATGCCCTACCCCTAGAGGTGGAATCTAGAGAGGCCGTAGGCCTTGCTGAGCTGAAGTGGGCTCTGCCCAGTTTGAGCTTCCTTGCCACATTGTTTACACTGTGATTATAGAACTGCCAACTCAATCCTCAGCAATGGCTGACACCCCTCCCCCAGCCAGGCTCCAGTGAGCAAGGCTCTGTGTGCATGGGACCCACTGAGCCAGGCAAGGGAGGAAGTCTCCTGCTTTGCTGGCGGCAAAGACCTTTGGAAAAGCGTAGTATTTGAGCAGGAGTGTATTGCTCCTACAGCCACTCACCACTTCCCTTGGCTAGGAAAGGAAAATCCCCCTACCCCTTGTGCTTCCTGGGTGAGGCGATGCCCCACCCTGCTTCAGCTCACCCTCCGTGGGCTGCACCCACTGTCTAATCAGTTCCAATGAGATGAATCAGGTACCTTAGTTGGAAATGCAGAAATCACCCATCTTCTGCACTGATCTCACTGGAAGCTGTAGATCTGAGCTGTTCTTGTTTGGCCATCTTGGAAGCGACTTGAAAAATTATTAAATAAATAAACAGCAACAAGAACAGACAACCACAACAGTAAAATCCAGAGGGGAAAAGATGTCTTATTTCCAGCATTTACATATCCATATTATTTAAAATGTTAATAGAAATAGTCTGTAAGATAGCGTCAATCTGGGACTTCCTAGGCAAGGGCTTTAAATCAACTATTATAAGTATATTCAAAGAACTCAAGGAAACAGTTTTTCAAGAACTAAAGGACAGTCTTCAAATAATGTCTTTCCAAATGGAGAATAAAAGTAAAGGGATAAAGATTATAGAAAATAACCAAATAGAAATTCTAGAGTTAAAAATTATCATAACTAAAATAAAAAATTCACTAGAGGGGCTCAACAAAAGATTTGACTTCTCAGAAGTATCAATAAACTTGAAGTTAGGTAAGTTGAGATTATCCATTTTCAGTGGCAGAAGGAATAAAACAAACAAAATAAACACAGTCTCTGAGCTTTGTCAGAAACCATAACCATGCCAATATGTGCATAATTGGAGTTACAGGAGGAGAGGACAAAGAGAAAGAAAAAATATTTGAAGAATTAATGGCTGAAATTTTCCAAATTTTGATTAAATATCTTAGTCTAAACAATCATGTAACAAATCTGCACATGTACCCCTGAACTTAAAATAAAGATTAAAAAAACAAGAAGTTTCACATGTAAATAGGGTAAATTCAGAGGGATCCCACCTAGAATCATCATTCAAATTATTGAAAGACAAAAACAAGAGAGAATCTTGAAAACAATAAGAGAAAAATAGCTCATCAAATATAAGGAATCATCAATAAGATTAACTGTTGACTTTTCATAAAAAAAATGGAGGCTAGGAAGCAGCGGTATGATATACACAAAATGCTGAAAGAAAAGACTATTAACCAATAATTTTATATCTGATAAAACCATATTTCAAAAATGAAAGATAAATTAAGAAATTCCCATATAAACAAAACTTGAGAGAATGTATTGCTAACAGACTTGCCGTATAAGAAATATTAAAGGAATCCTTTATAGTGAAATAAGAGAATACTATACAAAAACTTAAGATCAAATGAAGAAATAAAGTGCACTGGTAAAGAAAAAGTAAATAAGGAAACTGGTTCCAGATGGTTTGAAATGACAGGGCTTTTATTATACTGATTTTTCAAAAGTTAGACCATATTTCAAAAACTCCTGAATAATGAAAAATATGCCAGAAAACATGCTCTTTTTAGATATGGTCCTAAGAAAGAAGAGGAAAAAATATTATTGTATTTTATTGCTTCTATTTGTCTATAGACAAGCAACAACTGAATTTTTTCAGTAATTTTCTATTTCTCTATTACAATTAGCCATAATGTATATTATTAAGAAAAATGCCTTTTTCTAATAAGAATATATCTTCTAAAAATTACAGCAAAGAAATATTGGCTTTCTAAGTAATAAAATGCCTTTATCAAGGGTCATCTTTTGTTCATATTTTATCAAAACATACATTTCTCTTTTGGATGAAATATTTGATTGTTCATTTGAAGAAACTGAGCTTCAAATAAGAAGGCTTCCTAGGCATTTGATAAACCAATACTTTTCAATTTAGAAATAACTCCAAATATACTAAAATATTGACTATGCTGTTTATGAGAGTAGATTAAGATATTGAGACCTTAGTATAGTTTTAAAATTTCTGAAATAAGACAGACAAGAATAAAGAACAAAGAACAAAAAGGAATTAACAAAACCTCTAAGAAATATGGGATTGTGAAAAGAGATAGAATCTACTCATTGATGTTCCTGGAAGAGATGGGAAGAATGGAAGCAACTTGGAACGCATATTTTAGGATATCATCCATGAGACCTTCCCAAACATAGCTAGAGAAGTCAATATTCAAAGTCAGAAAATGCAGAGAACTCCAGTAAGATATTTCACAAGAAGGCCATCTTGAATACACATAATCTTCAGATTCTAGAGGGTAAAATGAAATAAAAAATGTTAAATTACCTTCCCATTGTAGATCACCTACAAAGGGAAACCCATCACACTAACAGAAGAACTCTTAGCAGAAACTCTACAAGGAGCTCCTGTTCCTGTAGTCCCAGCTACTCTGTAGACTGAGGCAGAATTGCTTGAACCTGGGAGGCGGAGGTTGCAGTGAGCCAAGATCATGACACTGTACACTCCAGTCTGGGTGACAGAGTGAGACTATCTCAAAAAAAAAAAAAAAAAAAAAAAAAAAAAAAGACTAGAGTAACCAAAACAGCATTGTACTGGTACAAGAACAGACACATACACCAATGGAACAGAATAGAGACCCAGAAATAAGGCTACCTACAACCATTTGATCTTTGACAAAGCTGCCAAAAACAAGCAATTGGCAAAGGGCTCCCTATTCAATAAGTGGTGATGGTATAACTGGCTAGCCATACGCAGAAGATTGAAACTGAACTTCTTTCTTATACCATATAAAAAAATCAGATCAAGATGGATCAAAGATTTAATGTAAAACTCAAAACTATTATATAAAAACCTTAGAAAACAACCTCATAGGCAATACTAGGACACAGGAATGGGCAAAGATTTTATGATGAAAAAATTTCTCATCAAGAGAAAAAATTAACAAATTGAACCTCATTAAACTAAAGCTACTCACACTGCAAAAGAAACTATCAAAAGAGTAAACAGATGACCTATAGAATGGGAGAAAGATTTTGAAAACTATTCATTTGGTAAAGGTCTAATACCCAGCATCTATAAGGAGCCTAAACAAATTTACAAGAAAACAACCAAACCCATTAAAATGTGGACAAAGGACGAGAACAGACACTTATCAAAAGAAGACATACACGCTGCCAAGAAACATATGAAAAAAAGCTCAACATCACAATCATTAGAGAAATGCAAATCAAAACCACAGTAAAACATCATCTCACAACAGTGAGAATGGCTACTATTAAAAATTCAAGGGAGGAGGAGCCAAGATGGCCGAATAGGAAAAGCTCCGGTCTACAGCTCCCAGCGTGAGCGGCGCAGAAGATGGGTGATTTCTGCATTTCCATCTGAGGTACCGGGTTCATCTCACTAGGGAGTGCCAGACAGTGGGAGCAGGCCAGTGGGTGCACGCACCATGTGCAAGCCGAAGCAGGGCGAGGCATTGACTCACCTGGGAAGCGCAAGGGGTCAGGGAGTTCCCTTTCCAAGTCAAAGAAAGGGGCGACGAACGCACCTGGAAAATCGGGTCACTCCTACCCGAATATTGCGCTTTTCAGACCGGCTTAAAAAACAGCGCACCACGAGACTATATCCCACACCTGGCTCAGAGGGTCCTACGCCCACGGAATCTCGCTGATTGCTAGCAATGCAGTCTGAGAACAAACTGCAAGGCGGCAGCGAGGCTGGGGGAGGGGCGCCCGCCATTGCCCAGGCTTGCTTAGGTAAACAAAGCAGCCGGGAAGCTCCAACTGGGTGGAGCCCACCACAGCTCAAGGAGGCCTGCCTGCCTCTGTAGGCTCCACCTCTGGGGGCAGGGCACAGACAAACAAAAAGACAGCAGTAACCTCTGCAGACTTAAATGTCCCTGTCTCACAGCTTTGAAGAGAGCAGTGGTTCTCCCAGCATGCAGCTGGAGATCTGAGAACGGGCAGACTGCCTCAAGTGGGTCCCTGACCCCTGACCCCCGAGCAGCCTAACTGGGAGGCACCCCCCAGCAGGGGCACACTGACACCTCACACGGCAGGGTATTCCAACAGACCTGCAGCTGAGGGTCCTGTCTGTTAGAAGGAAAACTAACAAACAGAAAGGACATCCACACCGAAAACCCATCTGTACATCACCATCATCAAAGACCAAAAGCAGATAAAACCACAAAGATGGGGAAGAAACAGAACAGAAAAACTGGAAACTCTAAAACGCAGAGCGCCTCTCCTCCTCCAAAGGAATGCAGTTCCTCACCAGCAACGGAACAAAGCTGGATGGAGAATGACTTTGACGAGCTGAGAGAAGAAGGCTTCAGACGATCAAATTACTCTGAGCTACGGGAGGACATTCAAACCAAAGGCAAAGAAGTTGAAAACTTTGAAAAAAATTTAGAAGAATGTATAACTAGAATAACCAATACAGAGAAGTGCTTAAAGGAGCTGATGGAGCTGAAAACCAAGGCTCGAGAACTACGTGAAGAATGCAGAAGCCTCAGGAGCCGATGCGATCAACTGGAAGAAAGGGTATCAGCAATGGAAGATGAAATGAATGAAATGAAGCAAGAAGGGAAGTTTAGAGAAAAAAGAATAAAAAGAAATGAGCAAAGCCTCCAAGAAATATGGGACTATGTGAAAAGACCAAATCTACGTCTGATTGGTGTACCTGAAAGTGATGCGGAGAATGGAACCAAGTTGGAAAACACTCTGCAGGATATTATCCAGGAGAACTTCCCCAATCCAGCAAGGCAGGCCAACATTCGATTCAGGAAATACAGAGAACGCCACAAAGATACTCCTCGAGAAGAGCAACTCCAAGACATATAATTGTCAGATTCACCAAAGTTGAAATGAAGGAAAAAATGTTAAGGGCAGCCAGAGAGAAAGGTCGGGTTACCCTCAAAGGGAAGCCCATCAGACTAACAGCGGATCTCTCGGCAGAAACCCTACAAGCCAGAAGAGAGTGGGGGCCAATATTCAACATTCTTAAAGAAAAGAATTTTCAACCCAGAATTTCATATCCAGCCAAACTAAGCTTCACAAGTGAAGGAGAAATAAAATACTTTACAGACAAGCAAATGCTGAGAGATTTTGTCACCAGCAGGCCTGCCCTAAAAGAGCTCCTGAAGGAAGCACTAAACATGGAAAGGAACAACTGGTACCAGCCACTGCAAAATCATGCCAAAATGTAAAGACCATCGAGACTAGGAAGAAACTGCATCAACTAACGAGCAAAATCACCAGCTAACACCATAATCACAGGATCAAATTCACACATAACAATATTAACTTTAAATGTAAATGGACTAAACGCTCCCGTTAAAAGACACAGACTGGCAAATTGGATAAAGAGTCAAGACCCATCAGTGTGCTGTATTCAGGAAACCCATCTCACATGCAGAGACACACATAGGCTCAAAATAAAAGGATGGAGGCAGATCTACCAAGCAAATGGAAAACAAAAAAAGGCAGGGGTTGCAATCCTAGTCTCTGATAAAACAGACTTTAAACCAACAAAGATCAAAAGAGACAAAGAAGGCCATTACATAATGGTAAAGGGATCAATTCAACAAGAGGAGCTAACTATCCTAAATATATATGCACCCAATACAGGAGCACCCAGATTCATAAAGCAAGTCCTGAGTGACCTACAAAGAGACTTAGACTCCCACACATTAATAATGGGAGACTTTAACACCCCACTGTCAACATTAGACAGATCAACGAGACAGAAAGTCAACAAGGATACCCAGGAATTGAACTCAGCTCTGCACCAAGCGGACCTAATAGACATCTACAGAACTCTCCACCCCAAATCAACAGAATATACATTTTTTTCAGCACCACACCACACCTATTCCAAAATTGACCACATACTTGGAAGTAAAGCTCTCCTCAGCAAATGTAAAAGAACAGAAATTATAACAAACTATCTCTCAGACCACAGTGCAATCAAACTAGAACTCAGGATTAAGAATCTCACTCAAAGCCGCTCAACTACATGGAAACTGAACAACCTGCTCCTGTATGACTACTGGGTACATAACGAAATGAAGGCAGAAATAAAGATGTTCTTTGAAAGCAACGAGAACAAAGACACAACATACCAGAATCTCTGGGACGCATTCAAAGCAGTGTGTAGAGGGAAATTTATAGCACTAAATGCCCACAAGAGAAAGCAGGAAAGATCCAAAATTGACACCCTAACATCACAATTAAAAGAACTAGAAAAACAAGAGCAAACACATTCTAAAGCTAGCAGAAGGCAAGAAATAACTAAAATCAGAGCAGAACTGAAGGAAATAGAGACACAAAAAACACTTCCAAAAATCAATGAATCCAGGAGCTGGTTTTTTGAAAGGATCAACAAAATTGATAGACCGCTAGCAAGACTAATAAAGAAAAAAAGAGAGAAGAATCAAATAGACACAATAAAAAATGATAAAGGGGATATCACCACCGATCCCACAGAAATACAAACTACCATCAGAGAATACTACAAACACCTCTACGCAAATAAACTAGAAAATCTAGAAGAAATGGATACATTCCTCGACACATACACCCTCCCAAGACTAAACCAGGAAGAAGTTGAATCTCTGAATAGACCAATAACAGGAGCTGAAATTGTGGCAATAATCAATAGTTTACCAACCAAAAAGAGTCCAGGACCAGATGGATTCACAGCCGAATTCTACCAGAGGTACAAGGAGGAACTGGTACCATTCCTTCTGAAACTATTCCAATCAATAGAAAAAGAGGGAATCCTCCCTAACTCATTTTATGAGGCCAGCATCATTCTGATACCAAAGCCGGGCAGAGACGCAACCAAAAAAGAGAATTTTAGACCAATATCCTTGATGAATATTGATGCAAAAATCCTCAATAAAATACTGGCAAACCGAATCCAGCAGCACATCAAAAAGCTTATCCATCATGATCAAGTGGGCTTCATCCCTGGGATGCAAGGCTGGTTCAATATACGCAAATCAATAAATGTAATCCAGCATATAAACAGAACCAAAGACCAAAACCACATGATTATCTCAATAGATGCAGAAAAAGCCTTTGACAAAATTCAACAACCCTTCATGCTAAAAACTCTCAATAAATTAGGTATTGATGGGACGTATTTCAAAATAATAAGAGCTATCTATGACAAACCCACAGCCAATATCATACTGAATGGGCAAAAACTGGAAGCATTCCCTTTGAAAACTGGCACAAGACAGGGATGCCCTCTCTCACCACTCCTATTCAACATAGTGTTGGAAGTTCTGGCCAGGGCAATTAGGCAGGAGAAGGAAATAAAGGGTATTCAATAAGGAAAAGAGGAAGTCAAATTGTCCCTGTTTGCAGATGACATGATTGTATATCTAGAAAACCCCATTGTCTCAGCCCAAAATCTCCTTAAGCTGATAAGCAACTTCAGCAAAGTCTCAGGATACAAAATCAATGTAGAAAAATCACAAGCATTCTTATACACCAACAACAGACAGAGAGCCAAATCATGAGTGAACTCCCATTCACAATTGCTTCAAAGAGAATAAAATACCTAGGAATCCAACTTACAAGGGATGTGAAGGACCTCTTCAAGGAGAACTACAAACAACTGCTCAAGGAAATAAAAGAGGATACACACAAATGGAAGAACATTCCATGCTCATGGGTAGGAAGAATCAATATCGTGAAAATGGCCATACTGCCCAAGGTAATTTACAGATTCAGTGCCATCCCCATCAAGCTACCAATGACTTTCTTCACAGAATTGGAAAAAACTACATTAAAGTTCATATGGAACCAAAAAAGAGCCCGCATCGCCAAGTCAATCCTAAGCCAAAAGAACAAAGCTGGAGGCATCACACTACCTGACTTCAAACTATACTACAAGGCTACAGTAACCAAAACAGCATGGTACTGGTACCAAAACAGAGATATAGATCAATGGAACAGAACAGAGCCCTCAGAAAGAACGCCACATATCTACAACTATCTGATCTTTGACACACCTGAGAAAAACAAGCAATGGGGAAAGGATTCCCTATTTAATAAATGGTGCTGGGAAAACTGGCTAGCCATATGTAGAAAGCTGAAACTGGATCCCGTCCTTACACCTTATACAAAAATTAATTCAAGATGGATTAAAGATTTAAACGTTAGACCTAAAACCATAAAAACCCTAGAAGAAAACCTAGGCATTACCATTCAGGACATAGGCATGGGCAAGGACTTTATGTCCAAAACACCAAAAGAAATGGCAACAAAAGCCAAAATTGACAAATGGGATCTAATTAAACTAAAGAGCTTCTGCACAGCAAAAGAAACTACCATCAGAGTGAACAGGCAACCTACAACATGGGAGAAAATTTTCGCAACCTACTCATCTGACAAAGGGCTAATATCCAGAATCTACAATGAACTCAAACAAATTTACAAGAAAAAAACAAACAACCCCATCAAAAAGTGGGCGAAGGACATGAACAGACACTTCTCAAAAGAAGACATTTATGCAGCCAAAAAACACATGAAAAAATGCTCATCATCACTGGCCATCAGAGAAATGCAAATCAAAACCACAATGAGATACCATCTCACACCAGTTAGAATGGCAATCATTAAAAAGTCAGGAAACAACAGGTGCTGGAGAGGATGTGGAGAAATAGGAACACTTTTACCCTGTTGGTGGGACTGTAAACTAGTTCAACCATTGTGGAAGTCAGTGTGGCGATTCCTCAGGGATCTAGAACTAGAAATACCATTTGACCCAGCCATCCCATTACTGGGTATATACCCAAATGACTATAAATCATGCTGCTATAAAGACACATGCACACGTATGTTTATTGCGGCATTATTCACAATAGCAAGACTTGGAACCAACCCAAATGTCCAACAATGATAGACTGGATTAAGAAAATGTGGCACATATACATCATGGAATACTATGCAGCCATAAAAAATGATGAGTTCATGTCCTTTGTAGGGACATGGATGAAATTGGAAATCATCATTCTCAGTAAACTATTGCAAGAACAAAAAACCAAACACCGCATATTCTCACTCATAGGTGGGAATTGAACAATGAGATCACATGGACACAGGAAGGGGAATATCACACTCTGGGGACTGTGGTGGGGTGGGGGGAGGGGGGCGGGATAGCATTGGGAGATATACCTAATGCTAGATGACGAGTTAGTGGGTGCAGCGCACCAGCATGGCACATGTATACATATGTAACTAACCTGCACAATGTGCACATGTACCCTAAAACTTAAAGTATAATAAAAAAAAATTCAAAAAATAACAGATGCTGATGAAGTTGTGAAGAAAAAGGAATTCTTATATACTGTTGGTGGCAGTATACAATAGTTCAACCTCTGTGAAAAGCAGCATGGCAATTCCTAAAAGAGCTAAAAACACAACTACCATTCAACCCAGGAATCACATTACTGGATATATATTCAAAGGAATATAAATCATTCTATCATAAAGGCACGTGTGTATGTATGTTCATTGCAGCACTGTTCACAATAGCAAAGACATGGAATCAACTTAAATGCCCATCAATGGTAGACTGGATAGAGAAAATAAGGCACATATACACCATGGAATACTAGGCAGCCACAAGAAAATGAGATAATGTTTTTTGCGGGAACATACATGGAGCCGGAGGCCATTATTCTTAGCAAACTAACAGAAGAACAGAAAATCAAATCCCACATGTTCCTACTTATAAATGGAATTGAAGTGATGAGAACAAATGGACACATAGAGGGAAGTGATAGATACTGGGGTTTACCTGAGGGTGGAAGGTGGGAGGAAGGAGAGGATCAGGAAAAATAACTAATGGGTACTAGGTTTAATACCCTGGTGATGAAATAATCTATACAACAAACCCTTATGTTATGAGTCCATGTACTTAAAAGTTTTAAAATGTCGTTTTTCACAACAATGTGTTTTTATGTTAATTTTTAATGGATTTATTGTTATTTAAATATTTTAATAAAATATCTCAATTGAAGTTTCTAATATAATAAACATCCATAATTATAAACCACATAAATAAAATTTATTTACAGTCCTCAATAATTTTTCAGAGTATAAAGAAGTCTTAAGAATAGAAAAGTTGAGAATTGCAGTAAATCAGCATATATCCTTATGAGAATGGAAAATGTGTATTATTCATTCTGATGTCACCAGAGTCTCGCTTACAGCCCACTCCAAACCAGTAGTTTGATGTGTTTGTTTATTTACCAAGAAAAGAGTGAAGTTGAAATTGCTCAACAGAAATTGAGAGCCTATTTTAATCATCCATGTGATTAAATTTGAATCACTGTACAATAACTCATGTAGAGCATAAATAAGATCCTCAATTTTATTATTGTTTTTTGAATCCACTTGTGAACAAGTCTCAGAGGTCTAGAAGCTGGAACAGTGGAGAAGCTACCATAATGCAATAAACATGATGATTTTCTTAATTAAGATGATAGTTAAGATTTGATGTAGACCAAACTCTAGCAGAACTGCCACAAAATTTCAGTTGAAATAGTGAGGACAAACATTTAAGGTAACTATATTCTAGTTGACTTCCATTTCAGTCCATACAAAAGGAATGCGCTACATATGATGCCAATTTCCTCATGTTTTTCCAGGTCTGATTCACTCTTTACCATATGTACACACATAGATACATGTATCTATGTGTATGCCATATATATTTATATATACACATATATACCACATGTATATATGTATATGTATATGTTGCCATGTATCTGTATATATGGTAAAAAGTGAGTCACATATATGTGTGTGGGGTATATAAGTGTGTGTGTATATATATACATACAACACATGTTTATGTATATATATACACACACACATATATACACATATACATATATATACACACACACACCTAAAACAACATAAGAAACACTTTAGTGGTTATTTATAAATAGTTGTCATTAGCACCTGTTTTATTTGGAAGCATAACAGAAAAACATATTTTGCTGTTTGTCCTACACCATGCCTGATAGAGCCTGAAGAATTAACACATTGTCTAGGATGACTACAAACTACAAAGAATAATCCAGAAATTGGACTCCAATAGACCAAGCACACTGGATAGTATGTTAAAGGGTTTAGCTCATTTTGTAATTCTCGATTATTAGACTATAAGTGGATCTAGAAAATGTGTTTCTCAAGTTAATGATTCAACGTCTCCCAGTAAAAATTAAAAATAAATAACATTGCGATGGAATAATGTTTCCCTTACAGCTTAGTGCATGGGCTTAGCGCATGACCTTAGGTTTTCACGTCATGTTTACAAAATTTTGCAAAATGTGGACTGACCCAGGTCCAGGGAGACCTCAAGCTTGTTTTTATCTCAGATTAAGATGGCTTCATTTTCTTATTGTGAGTACCACACATGTCAGGTAAGTTCCAGGAGGCATAGATTCCAACTTCTGCTGAGGATGCTGCCAGAGGAGCAGGGTGCTTGTACCAACAGGAAAATCCTTCAGGCAGGACTTTCTCTGTGAGTTGTACTCAGCTGCTCATCGCTCTTCTCAGGAACCACCCCACCTTCCCTATGTTCTCACACATTCTGACTACTTTGAGGTAGTTCTAGTATATGAAATGCTCTCAGTTACCTTTTCTTAAACTAATTGCTTAAATTTTTTTTCAACTTCCAGTTTTGAGATGTCTTTAGGAAACCTGAAATGTGCTTCTAAACATTCTGGAAAAAAAATCTAAGATCTACTCGTAAGACAGTAAATAGGTTACAGTTGTGCTTTGTGTGCAGTTTTCTTACAACAGTATGCAGTATATTAGGAGTGGAGCTAATATGGATTAGGCAATGGTTATCAGTGCAGATCTTGTTAAGTAGCTATTGGGATTGTGACACCATAGCTTGGGCTGTTTTACTTCAGAAGATGTATATAGAGTTCTGAACAAAGGTACATTTTAGACCTACATCTAAACTGAAGGAATTTCCTACACCACCGCTCTCTCCTAATCAATCTACAGATCTTCTAATGTAGCAACAGTGGTTTTATTGCACATTGGAAAATTGGAAGAAGAATGTACTCAGGTTTTTCCTTTGCCTAGGTAGTCTTAGATTCTTCCCTAAAGTGATGCCGGTTACCATTGTTTTCTCCTGCACAAGGTAGGGAACCCATGAATAGGCAAGTGGGCAGGGCACAATTGAGTTTCTCAGGTACAGTGAGCCAGGCTGCCACTATTGTTGATACCATCGATGTCTCAGGCCCATGCTAGGTTTTTGAATGAATCAAAACATAGAAAGGCAGTAAAGCTACATGAAATTAATATAATAAATTTGTAGTCTTTACATACTTTCTTTCAAGTGTTTACAACAATGCGTGTCAACCTGAATGAAAGTTGATTCCCAGATCTCGTGACAGAAGAGAAACATTTTGTTCTGAAAGCACATATATTTTGGCTTATTTTTTTCTATCTCCAGAAATTTATCAGTTTCAGGCCTTTACATGGCAAATTATCCCATAAGTAATCCCTAAAGATATGTATGAGAGAAATATTTGCAAAGGATTCTGAGATGTGACATATCAGGCTTATATGGTTAATTTTTAATTCTCTAAATGTGGAAAATTGAGATATTTATAAGAAACCACATACATTCTTTTCACACTATTTTGAGTCTGGATTCTTCAGTGATAAAGTGCAAAGGTCACAGTCTTATTTTCCTATAATATCATTTAAAAGAAAGTATATATGAAAAAGTACATCAATGCCATTAATCTTGAGGGAGATGTGGTAATTATGGATTTAAGATTTTTCAGGGATTATGCACATCACTAAATTTCATAATGTACAAAAAATAAAGATCAGTCAGGAGAACCTCTAATATATTTCAATCTATGACACTCCCAGAAGTAGGCTGAAAACCACATCAACAATATTGTGCACCTCTTACCATCAAGGAGTGTTGTCTACCTCCCTATCTCTTGAATCTGTACTGGACTTCTGACTTGCTTTTTTTTTTGCATGCAACCTAGGTGATGTAGCCTATACCTTTGGCCTCCTGAACACTGCCCTGAAGTTGCCATGTTGGAAAATCAGCCAAGAACAAAAATCTACCTAGGAGGAGAACTGCAGCCATTCTAGCAGTACCTGCTAAGTCCATTCCCACGCTGACCTCCTCAGTTGAATGCAACACACACGTGAGCTCAGGTGAACATAAGAATTACCCAATCGATCCACAGAATTATAAGATATAATAAACAACTCATTGTTGCTTAAGGTTTTGGTTTATAATATTACACAGCTAAAAGATATTGATACCTAGAAGTGGGATATAATAGGTAATGGACACAGTCTGATAGATCTTTTGATTGAATAATTACATTATTTGAAATAATATATTAAAATATTCATTGCCAAGGGACACTGAAACCTTCCATGTTTCGAAACATTATGGACACTTTGCTATGTGCATTCTCATATTTTTTCCTTTGAACACCAATCTATAAAACAATTCTTATTTTCTTCATTTCTTGTATATTTGAGTTTTTCTTCTAGCTTTTGTGTAAATTTTCAAATAAATTTCCTTTCCTTGTCTGTGCCAGCTTATCATATGTGCCCATATTGCCTTTCAAAGTTTTCTATGGTTTCTTAAAAGCAAGGATGATTTCTGATGTGCCTTAGCCCCCAATATTCTTTCCATCCTTCACCAGTTTAATGTTTAGAAGCAAATGAGCCATTTAGATAATAATCCCTGTTCTTACTTTTTTGCCCTGAGGCTCGTTAGTTTGTATTTCTTTTCACAGAATCTAGTCATTGCTTTCATCAAGTCAAGTTATTGAAACAGTTTTAAATTTTTTTCCCCTTTCTTATGCTCACCATTCTAACTTCATTTTCACTGACCCTCTGCTTGGGTCTCATTGCCAGACATAATTACATTTCTACTTTAGGATAGCTGAGTTTAAAATCCCTGGCTCTGGAATCAGAACCAGCCCCTACCCCTTACTAGCTATGGGATCTTGGTTAAATAATTAACCTTCTAAATTTATAACAGAATATTAATAACAAAAAATAACAATCATTAAGCACCGACCATGTGTTTGGTACTTCTGTATACAAATCCATCAAATTTTCTAGTAACCCTGTGAATTGAGTACTGTTACCATTCTCATTTTATAAATGAGGATCATAGGATGAGAGACAGGGATTTACTTATATTGGAGTTGTTGGAAGTACTGTGGAAACTAGTTTCCAGCGTCCCATGTGGCACATAGAGATCATAAATTATATTTGCTTAAACCAGTCAAAACCATGATAGTGAACTCTGAAATTAAGCAGTATTATTCAGTGGTTACAGAACAAGCTGCCCCTGGAACAAAGAAACTAGAATAATGGAATGTTTAGTACATGCATCTGGCCACAAATATCCAAGGGTTTCCTAGTATATTCTTCCAGGCCTGAGTCTGGTAGGTGGTGTGACATGAAGCTACCACCATTGCAAGGATATATTTGCTTTTGAAGTATAAACAGTAGGAAGAAACCCTTAACACACAATTCACTTTCTTCTTTCTCTAGAAAAATATTTGTGAACTGTTGGCCCCTGCAAGTCATTATTTTCAAGAAGGCATAGTTTATATTCAAGAGATGTCTCATTACAGAATATAGCATGGAGCCAGATCGTTAGTAGGCCCTCAATACATACTTATCGAATGAAAGAACAAATAAGTTTTAGACCAGTGGTCAGACAATTTGAATGTGCATTCTGCTTTGTTTTTCTACTAAAGATAGAACTTATTAAAGGTTGTTGGGTTTATTTCAAATAAAAGGGAAGAATAATCCCTGTCCTATCCTAATAATAGGCATAGCATGAAAATTAAATGAAATAATGGATGGGAATATATTTGTGAAATTTTAAAATGTCTATTATTAATTGAAATAAATTTTCATGTACACTCAGCTTTTTAGTTTGCCTCATTACCATGACAAGTGTCATTGATCTTTGCCTGCATTGCTTCCCCTTATTTTTCTTCTCTGTGGAATATTCTCAGTCTATAATCCTGATTCTATATAATACCATGTCTCTGCTAAATGTCTTACAAAAGAATACTATATGTTCTGCTGGTTATACTCTTGCAGTTAAAAAAATCATAAAATGTAATAATGTCTTGATCTTTTGTCATACTTAAAACATCACTAAAGTTAAATTAAGGCAGAGTCAGTGTTACTAAGATTCTAATCAATTCTATGCCCTTGGAAACCTGTAGCTTTCTTCATAGTTTTACTGATATCTGGGGATTTCTACCTCTAGTTCTAGTTCTTGCCTCTAATGCTAGCCTCTGAGCCTTTGTGTTGTTGTTTGTTCTCTGTTCCTGGCATCCACCTGAACCCATATAAAATGTCTTTGAACTTTCCAAAATAATTTCCTCACACAAAAGCATTAGTAAGGAATGTAGAATTTATTTTAGATTTTGTAGTGGAACGAGGATAGGGGTCAGTTTTAGCACACAACTTAAAAATCCCTTTTTGGACAATTCTATGAACTTTCTTTGCTGCTGCTCCTAAGTCCTATTTCTCTACCATTTCCCCAATATTCCTCTACCTTTCTGATTCCTGTTGTCTTTCACTTATATATCCACTGCCCCTCACTCACCCTTTGGAATCTCATATTCTTCTTCCCTTTTGTAGAAGAATTTTCTTTCTCTCTCTCTCTCTGTCTGTCTCTCTCTTTGAAGCCATCTGTGGAAGTTCTTACATTTCACCTCAACTCATTCTCATGATCAAAGATGGAGTTTTCTCTCAGAGAAAAATTCTTGTGAATGATTTTTTTTAAATCTCATGCCTGGTATAGTTCATTTTGAGTCTAGTGAGCTGTGTCTGCTTTCCCACAGGAACTGAAGAACAGATTGAATATAAAGTCACAGATCTGAAAAAAAAAGCTCTATTATGATGTCTAAAATTTATTGACACTTACTATTTAGTCAAGCATCATCCTAAGGGCTTTATATTAAATAACTCATTTAGCACTTCCAATATCCCAGTGGGGTAGGAAGTGTTATTGTTATTTTTAAAGATGAAGAAACTGACGCATTTGGGGTTAAGTAGCTTGCATACAGTCACAGAGTTAGTAAATGGCCGAGCCATCATTCAAACCCAGGCTGTTTGGCTCCAGAGTCAAAGATCATAAAGATGATGCTGTGTGACCTCTCATACGCTACCAAAATATACCATTGTTCTATCCATTGTGTTGGTATTTCTCCCATCAATCTGTGGTTACCAGGACACCACTATAATAACATACCAATTGAATAGCAACAATTCCATCAGCAGTTCCTCTGAAACAATGGGGCTTTTTCTTATAGGCCACTGGGTCGTATTAAGGTCTTTATTGATCTGTTCATAGGTCTTGGCACCTGGGGCTAAGTCTTATTGCTCTTTGGTCTAACGTACCCATATAGATAAATATACTACTGTCAAAAAAGTGGGCAACATTGCTGTAGAGTCATATATAGTCATGTATCACTTAATGACAGGGATACTTTCCAATAAATGTGTTGTTAGGTGATTCCATCCTTGTATGAACATCATAAAGTATAAACACAAACCTAGATGGTATAGCCTGCTACACATCTAGGCTATAGGCTATATGGAATGTGAGACCTAGGACATTATTGTATACTACTGTAGACTTTATAAACTATGTACACCAAGGCTACCTTACATTTATAAAAAATTTCATTCTTCTCTAGCACTTTGGGAGGCTGAGGCGGGCCAATCATGAGGTCAAGAGATCGAGGCCATCCTGGTCAACAGAGTGACACCCCTCCTCTACTAAAAATACAAAAATGAACTGGGCATGGTGGCATGTGCCTGTAGTCCCAACTATTAGGGAGGCTGAGGCAGGAGAATCACTTGAACCCAGGAGGCAGAGGTGGCAGTGAGCTGAGATCGCGCCACTGCTCTCTAGTCTGGTGACAGAGCTAGACTCTGTATCAAAAAAAAAAAAAAAATTCATTCTTCCATAATAAATTGACCTTAACTTCCTATAACATTTTTATCTTATAAACTTTTTAATTTTTAAAAACATTTTGACCCTTTTATAATAACACTTAACTTAAAACACAAACACATTCTACAAGTGTATAAAAATACTTTTTAAATTGTTATTCTATGAGCTTTTTTCTATTTAAAAACCTTAATTTTTATTTTATTTATTTTTTGTATTTCTTAACCTTTTTTTTTTTAAATGAAGATGTAAATACACACATTAGCCTAGGCCTACATAGGGTCGGGATCATTAATCCATCACTAGGTGATAGGAATTTTTCAGTTCCATTATATTCTTATAGTCATATATGAGGTCCTTCATTGGCTGAAACATTGTTACATGAAACATGACTGTATTGGGAAAAGTTCTACTTATTAGGAGTGCAATGAATTTCTTATTTTGTTTATTAATTGACTTATTTGGACAATGAGTACAGGTTATGAAATAAATTTTAGTTGCTGACACACAAGAGTGAAAATTCTGGCTTCCCCATTTATAAGTTCAACTCTCTGAGTCTCAGTTTCTCATATGTAAAATCTGAAAAATATCATTTTTTGAAGGCAATAGTGAGGATAAAGCAAAATAATAGATGTGAGGTAATTAACAGCTTTTCTTATAAAATAACTATGGGTCCTGACTATGTGATAGCTACTCTGCTCAACATTTCACATACATAATGCATCCCATACATAATAAACTCTCATTAAATTGAAGCTCTTACTCTTCTTGATGCAAATTTTTAATTGTTGGATATTTTATCGTTAGAATTTTTTTTTCTTTCAAGAGACCTTGAAGCCTCAGGCATACTGAATTTGGATGTAACTAATTTGTTAGGTCTACACTCTTCAGAATAATATTTATACTATTGATCTCATGAAATGCAACCTAAAAGATGAATGCAGAGAAAATGATAGTACAATGATATCAAAGAATACCAGACTTGAGAATACAGTGGAAGAATGTTACTCCTGAACTTCTAACCACTGACAGATCTTTTCTCTGAAACATACATTGTCTTTCTGATATTCTATGCTGAAGGTATACACATAGACTTCCCTGTTTCTGCTTTGTTTGCACAGAATTCTATTATCTCTTGGCAAAAAAGAGATAAGGAAGAAATAGCAAAATTAAATTTCCCACTAGGTGGCAAAAAGGCACTACATTGATTTCAGCCTCTCTCTGTGCAACATAAAAATAGGAGAGAAAAACCAAGTCAGCTGTAAGCTGTCTTGGAATGAATATATATAAATGTCTATAATATGTATATATATATATACATATTTCTTTAGATTTTGCCTTTGGGAGAGAAATTGACTTATAATGATTACAAACCAGAAAGCATAAGGATAGAATTATTGAGGTAAGTCAGATTAAGGAACTTTAAAACATGTAAATGTTTAAACTTATCTTCAGGGAAGACAGAGTAGGAAATTCCAAATTGATACTTTTAGTGAATTTGCTGGCTGCCCCCTCAGTTTGCCACAGTGTCTCCCAAGACTCCTGTTATTTAATTCACCAGTTGAACATGATTCTGAAAGCAATGGCACATGATGGTACCTTTAGATTTCTGAATATGATTTGTCATTGTTTAAAAAGTGTTTCAACATTTCCAAATTTTTTGGAAGTTTCTTATTTAAAAAATCACTTACATCTTGGCTGTGGGCCATGACTAGAACTAGTGCCCATGTAAAGCATTCCTAAGCCATTCTTCTCTGACTAGGGTGGAATGCCAGTAAATGGGAAAAGGGAAATCCTTGCAGTCTTTATGCACAAGTCTAGGGTAAAGGAGTAGATTCGTTTATTTCCTTTGCTGAAAATATGAATGAAGGATAAGGTGGGATAGAGCATAGAGTACAGAGTCTTCTCCAATCTTCTGTTCCACAATTAGTTGGCAAATTAATTGGGCACTATAAATGAATGTCATATTGGTTTAGTTTGAATTCACTTGAGAAGTTAGGTTGACCCAATCTCTCTACCTTCAGTTTTCTCATCTGTTAAATGGAAGTAGTAATAGGACCCTCTTCAAAACCCTGAGGAGTAAATGAAGTGATGATGATGAAGATGATGACAAGGATATTGTCAGTTAACAATTCCTAAAGTTAACAACTTCCAAGTGCTTTCTTTGTGCCAGACAGTGGGTGAAGTGATGATTTTAATTCATTCCATGAGATGAAGATGTATTCTTCTGGGTTTAGACCAACAAATTATCTTCTGAGCTAGCCTCATATTTTCTCTACTGTCTTCTATCATGCTTACACACCAAATAAAACGCAATTAAATGATGTAACACAACACATATCAAAGAACAAAACAAAGAAAGAGAAGATGTGAGGTCATTTCAGGTACAATTAGCATCACCTAGACATCCTCAATTGTATTAGAGTCCTTTGGGAAGTTGTGGCTTGTCTTGAATGGTACTCCACTACACAGAGCTGTTTTGTTTGTTTATTTGTTTTAGCATCAGGGTCTTGCTTTGTCACCCAGGCTGGAGGGCAGTGGCACAGTCAGCTCACTGCAGCCTCAAACTCTTGGGCTCAAGTGATCCTCTCACCTCAGCCTCCTGAGTAGCTCAGACTACAGGTGGCACCACCATGCCCAGCTCAGAGATCTTTAAGATGCCTTCCTGGTCCACTATTCTATGACTAAGATCCAAGCATGCAATCAATTTTAGTAAAACCCATTCTGAAAACTGAATCTGCAATTTACACCCTTTGGCTCTATGCTCACGTATCACCTATCGTGACTGCCTTGTTTAAATTTGGCACCCTTCCCTTTGTACTTCCTATTTCCTCACCCTAATTTATTTTTTTCATGACATATTTAACTTACTATATAGTTTATTTATGTGTTGTATTTATTGTCTGTCTTTTCCAACTAAATTAATAGAAAAATATAAGATTCTCAAGGGCAGGGGTTTTGTTTGTCTTGTTCACTTCTGTCTTCCTAGTTCTTAGAAATGTAATCTTTATTAAATATTTGATGACTAAATGAATCAAGGAATTAATGAATAGCTAAAGGGTGAGGGGACAAAAGGCAATGGATGGATCATGGTCCTCACATTCTATTGATATTATAAGTACAGCTGTGTCTGTATAGTTGACCCATTTATTTACTTATGTGATATTTATTGGCTCTTGCATTGTGCTATATGTTAGGTATATCAAAAGCTTATATTATAGTATGATAGACAGTAAACAAATAATAAATGAGTTAAAGAATAATACTTGAGGATAATCAGTGATACTGCTAGCATTTTATATAGGTGTTAGGGTCTGCAACCTGTTTGGATGATGGTGGGCAGCTGGGAGTGTTGTCTTGAAATATGACAGTCATATTCTTGTAATGTAGATGTTATGTTATGTGACTTGACTTTATGTGTGCTGATAGAGATTATAGGGAACCATAAATCCTCTTCTTTAAGCCATTGCATTTGATAACTTGATGATAAGTTGTATAAAGAAAATAATCAAGATGATATAGTCAGTATAATGGGGTAGGGCTTGGGCATACTATTTTAGAAAAGCCTCTCTGAAATGGTAATTAAGTTAAAACCAGAAGAATGAGAGTTAGTCATTCTAGCAGCAAGATAAATAGGAGTTCCAGGCAGAGAGACAGGACAAGCAAGAGCTCAGCCATGAGAAAGTACATCAGGAATATAAATGTGACCAGTATGGAATGGAGAGCTGGCATGTGGTAAGGTTTTAGGGATACAGGAGCAAATCATGGAGGTTCTAATAGACACTCTGTTTATTCCATGTGTGAATGGGAAGACATCAGCTGGCTTTAGGACAGGGAATAGTACAATTTTGTCTGTATTATGCAAGAATTTCTCTAACTACTGTGAGAAGAAACATCTGATGAGGAGCAAGAGAAGGAATGGCAGGTCATATAGGAAGATCTTGCAGAATCCAGGTGAGCAGTGATGGAGGCTTAGACTTGGTGGCGGCAGTGGACAGGAAAGAAGTGGGGATTGGGAATTTACATTAAAGGTAAACATGAGAAGATTTGCTACTGGATTCATTGTGGGGGTGAGGAAAAGAAAAGACTCAAAGATGATTCCTCAGTTTTTAGCCTAACCAACTATATGGAAATTGGAGATATTAACTGAGATGCAAAGATTGGGTAGAAGTGTGCCAACACCCAGAAGGTCTGACACCTATGTTAGTGGAACATATTGGAGACACAGCACCAAATATTCTATTGGCAGCAAATCTGTACAGGTTTGCAGCAACCTCAATTCTTCCCTCCTCAGAAGAAAGAATTCCAGTGAGGGGCAAAAGGCAGAATAAGAGACCAAGGCAAACTTTAGACCAGAAATGAAAGTTTATCAAAAAGCTTTAAAGCAGGAATGAAAGCAAGGATAAACACACTTGGAAGAGGGCCTAGCAGGTGACTTGAGAGATCGAGTGCACCGTTTGACGTTTTGACTTCGGGTTTTATATGTTGGCATGTTTCTGGGGTCTTGCATCCCTTCTCCCCTGATTTTTCCCTTAGGGTGGGCTGTCTGCATGCACAGTGGCCCACCCGCACTTGGGAGGTGAGCATGCACAATGTGTTTACTGGAGCTGTACACATGCTCACTGGAGGCATTCTTCCCTTACCAATCATATGTCCCTAGAAGGTCATATAGTAGGTAATACACCAGTTAAACTCTGCCATTTTGCCTCTTAAACTGCATTCTTGAGTCCACTTGCCCAACTCCTGAGATTTTATTGGGAAGCTGTTAATCACCAATTTCCGGTTTTTACCTATTGGGAGACCGCTTTTCCTTGGTGCTGGCTGTGGCCAATTATTATTTTAGAGAGACAGTTTAATAACCACCTGACCATCACCTGATAATTGCGTGACATTCCTAGTGGTGGTGGGAGCCTTTCCTATCCCGCTCATATCTGACTAACTACCTACTGTAACACCTATAGCAGTTATTCAGAGTATGGTAGCTACTAATCTTTTTCTGTTAGGTGTGGGGTGCAGAATAAATCAGATGGCTCTGATATTCTGGACTAGGAGAGTATTAACAAAGTGGTGTAAATAGAAGCCAGATGAGTGTTCCTATCTCTGAGAAACCTTACACTTCTCCCTATCTCAGAATGAAATAAATACTTCCATTAAGCATTTGTATCATGTCCATATGATGGCATATTTCACATTGAACTTAATTGATTCAGTCACTTTACTACTTGTCTGCCTAGATGATCAGCCATTTATGGGGGATTGCGGTAATTTAGCATTCCATCATAAAGCCATTGTACTTGGCACATAGTAGTTGCTCAAAGGTAAATGAATGAATAATTGTGTGGCTGGCATGAATAAAAAGTCAGAGTAATATGCTTCTCAGAGCTTTTTTTGAGACAATATTTGGTCTTAATCATCTGATTGTTAAACATGTGAAAGGGAAGGTATTATATATAAGGTCTTAGTTGAGACATTGGAAAATCTTTTTGAAAATCCAGATAGTATGGCACTGAAGGGGTCTCATAACTTGTGTAATACTTGGTCTTAATTTTCAGAATACTATGTAGTTACAACATCCTTCAAGTTTAAGTGGAACCACATCCTCCAGGAATCTTTTTTTATACCTGACAAGGATTCTGAGCTGCCTCTCCTTGGTTTTGTCTGTAATGCTGCACTATGACTATAAGACTTGCATATGACTTCCTTGTGGCAACTTAACTACTTTCTAAGTGGGCTTAGAGATAAGGTTGAAGCCAGAGATTCTGAGGACAAAGTAGCTGATAAATGTTTTCACTCATGCTCTTTTTAACCAGTTTGCTATTATCTATTAGTAAGTGAATTATTTTCTGGAAAAATTCTACCAAACACAATAACAGTAAATAAACTTGCACTATCTCAGTTAAATTATCATTTTAAAAAGATAGTTGAATGTAGCCCCACCTAGGCTTCCGTCTCACAGAGAATATATTTATGCCTTAGTGTTATTATTTGCAAATCAGACATACGTGACACTCCTTTTTCTTCTAGGTCATGATGCCTCAAACTCTAATATGCATAGCTACCTCCTGGGATTTTGTTAAAATGTAGATTCTAATTCAGTCACTCTGGGGAGCAACCTGAGATTCTGCATTTTTAACAAGCTGATGCTGATGCAAGTGGTCTACAGATTACACTTTGAGTAGCCAGGCTCTAGAGCTATAGGGTGAAGGATTCCCAGACTGAAGATGAGAGTTTACGTGGACCTCTAATATTTAATGGTAGCTTAATAGTTAATCCTATGGTTGCATCATAACTTAGTTAATAATTTCCATATTGGAGTTTGCTAGAGGTCCACTCCAGACCCTGTTTGCCTAGGTATCAGCAGCGGTGTCTGCAGAACCATGGATTTTTGTGATCCGCGAATGCTGCTGTCTGATCGTTCCTCTGGAAGTTTTGTCTCAGAGGAGTACCCGGCCATGTGATGTGTCAGTCTGCCCCTACTGGGGGGTGCCTCCCAGTTAGGCTGCTTGGGGGTCAGGGGTCAGGGACCCACTTGAGGAGGCAGTCTGCCCGTTCTCAGATCTCCAGCTGCGTGCTGGGAGAACCACTGCTCTCTTTAAAGCTGTCAGACAAGGACATTTAAGTCTGCAGAGGTTACTGCTGTCTTTTTGTTTGTCTGTGCCCTGCCCCTAGAGGTAGAGCCTACAGAGGCAGGCAGGCCTCCTTGAGCTGTGGTGGGCTCCAGCCAGTTTGAGCTTCCCGGCTGCTTTGTTTACCTAAGCAAGCCTGGGCAATGGCGGGTGCCCCTCCCCCAGCCTCGCTGCCACCTTGCAGTTTGATCTCAGACTGCTGTGCTAGCAATCAGCGAGACTCCGTGGGCGTAGGACCCTCCGAGCCAGGTGCGGGATATAATCTCCTGGTGTGCCGTTTCCTAAGTCCGTCGGAAAAGCGCAGTATTCAGGTGGGAGTGGCCCGATTTTCCAGGTGCCATCTGTCACCCCTTTCCTTGACAAGGAAAGGGAACTCCCTGACCCCTTGCCTTCCCGGTGAGGCAATGCCTCGCCCTGCTTCCGCTGGCGCACAGTGCACTGCACCCACGGTCCTGCACCCACTGTCTGGCACTCCCTAGTGAGATAAACCCGGTACCTCAGATGGAAATGCAGAAATCACCCATCTTCTGTGTCGCTCACGCTGGGAGCTGTAGACCGGAGCTGTTCCTATAACAGACCTGCAGCGGAGGGTCCTGTCTGTTAGAAGGAAAACTAACAAACAGAAAGGACATCCACACCAAAAACCCATCTGTACGTCACCATCATTGAACATCAAAAGTAGATAAAACCACAAGATGGGGAAAAAACAGAGCAGAAAAACTGGAAACTCTAAAAAGCAGAGCGCCTCTCCACCTCCAAAGGAACGCAGTTCCTCACCAGCAACGGAACAAAGTTGGACGGAGAATGACTTTGACGAGTTGAGAGAAGAAGGCTTCAGATGATCAAACTACTCCGAGCTACAGGAGGAAATTCAAACCAAAGGCAAAGAAGTTGAAAACTTTGAAAAAAATTTAGAAGAATGTATAACTAGAATAACCAATACAGAGAAGTGCTTAAAGGACCTGATGGAGCTGAAAGCCAAGGCTCGAGAACTACTTGAAGAATGCAGAAGCCTCAGGAGCCCATGTGATCAACTGGAAGAAAGGGTATCAGTGATGGAAGATGAAATGAATGAAATGAAGCGAGAAGGGAAGTTTAGAGAAAAAAGAATAAAAAGAAATGAACAAAGCCTCCAAGAAATATGGGACTATGTGAAAAGACCAAATATGCGTCTGATTGGTGTACCTGAAAGTGATGGGAAGAATGGAACCAAGTTGGAAAACACTCTGCAGTATATTATCCGGGAGAACTTCCCCAATCCAGCAAGGCAGGCCAACATTCTGATTCAGGAAATACAGAGAACGCCACAAAGATACTCCTCGAGAAGAGCAACTCCAAGACACATAATTGTCAGATTCACCAAAGTTGAAATGAAGGAAAAATGTTAAGGGCAGCCAGAGAGAAGGGTCAGGTTACCCACAAAGGGAAGCCCATCAGATTAACAGTGGATCTCTCAGCAGAAACTCTACAAGCCAGAAGACAGTAGGGGCCAATATTCAACATTCTTAAAGAAAAGAATTTTCAACCCAGAATTTCATATCCAGCCAAACAAAGCTTCATAAGTGAAGGAGAAATAAAATACTTTACAGACAAGCAAATGCTGAGAGATTTTGTCACCACCAGGCCTGCCCTAAAAGAGCTCCTGAAGGAAGCGCTAAACATGGAAAGGCACAACTGGTACCAGCCACTGCAAAATCCTGCCAAAATGTAAAGACCATCGAGACTAGAAAGAAACTGCATCAACTAACGAGCAAAATAACCAGCTAACATCATAATGACAGGATCAAAATCACACATAACAATATTAACTTTAAATGTAAATGGACTAAATGCTCCAATTAAAAGAGACAGACTGGCAAGTTGGATAAAGAGTCAAGACCCATCAGTGTGCTGTATTCAGGAAACCCATCTCATGTGCAGAGACATGCATAGGCTCAAAATGAAAGGATGGAGGAAGATCTACCAAGCAAATGGAAAACAAAAAAAGGCAGGGGTTGCAATCCTAGTCTCTGATAAAACAGACTTTAAACCAACAAAGATCAAAAGAGACAAAGAAGGCCATTACATAATGGTAAAGGGATCAATTCAACAAGAAGAGCTAACTATCCTAAATATATATGCACCCAATACAGGAGCACCCAGATTCATAAAGCAAGGCCTGAGTGACCTAGAAAGAGACTTAGATTCCCACACAATAATAATGGGAGACTTTAACACCCCACTGTCAACATTAGACAGATCAACGAGACAGAAAGTTAACAAGGATACCCAGGAATTGAACTCACCTCTGCACCAAGCGGACCTAATAGACATCTACAGAACTCTCCACCCCAAATCAAAAGAATATACATTTTTTTCAGCACCACACCACACCTATTCCAAAATTGACCACACAGTTGGAAGTAAAGCTCTCCTCAGCAAATGTAAAAGAACAGAAATTATAACAAACTGCCTCTCAGACCACAGTGCAATCAAACTAGAACTCAGGATTAAGAAACTCACTCAAAACTGCTCAACTACATGGAAACTGAATAACCTGCTCCTGAATGACGACTGGGTACATAACGAAATGAAAGCAGAAATAAAGATGTACTTTGAAACCAACGAGAACAAAGACACAACATACCAGAATCTCTGGGACACATTCAAAGCACTGTGTAGAGGGAAATTTATAGCACTAAATGCCCACAAGAGAAAGCAGGAAAGATCCAAAATTGACACCCTAACATCACAATTAAAAGAACTAGAAAAGCAAGAACAAACACATTTAAAAGCTAGCAGAAGGCAAGAAATAAATAAAATGAGAGCAGAACTGAAGGAAATAGAGACACAAAAAACCCTTCCAAAATTAATGAATCCAGGAGCTGGTTTTTTGAAAGGATCAACAAAATTGATAGACCGCTAGCAAGACTAATAAAGAAAAAAAGAGAGAAGAATCAAATAGATGCAATAAAAAATGATAAAGGGGATATCACTAGCGATCCCACAGAAATACAAACTACCATCAGAGAATACTAAAAACACCTCTATGCAAATAAACTAGAAAATCTAGAAGAAATGGATAAATTCCTCGACACATACACCCTCCCAAGACTAAACCAGGAAGAAGCTGAATCTCTGAATAGACCAATAACAGGATCTGAAATTGTAGCAATAATCAATAGCTTACCAACCAAAAAGAGTCCAGGACCAGATGGATTCACAGCCGAATTCTACCAGAGGTACAAGGAGGAACTGGTACCATTCCTTCTGAAATGATTCCAATCAATAGAAAAAGAGGGAATCCTCCCTAACTCATTTTATGAGGCCAGCATCATCCTGATACCAAAGCCGGGCAGAGACACAACCAAAAAAGAGAATTTTAGACCAATATCCTTGATGAATATTGATGCAAAAATCCTCAATAAAATACTGGCAAACCAAATCCAGCAGCACATCAAAAAGCTTATCCACCATGATCAAGTGGGCTTTATCCTTGGGATGCAAGGCTGGTTCAATATACGCAAATCAATAAATGTAATCCAGCATATAAACATAACCAAAGACAAAAACCACATGATTATCTCAATAGATGCAGAAAAGGCCTTTGACAAAATTCAACAACCTTCATGCTAAAAACTCTCAGTAAATTAGGTATTGATGGGATGTATCTCAAAATAATAAGAGCTATCTATGACAAACCCACAGCCAATATCATACTGAATGGGCAAAAACTGGAAGCATTCCCCTTGAAAACCGGCACAAGACAGGCATGCCCTCTCTCACCACTCCTATTCAACATAGTGTTGGAAGTTCTGGCCAGGGCAATTAGGCAGGAGAAGGAAATAAAGGGTATTCAGTTAGGAAATGAGGAAGTGAAATTGTCCCTCTTCGCAGACGACATGATTGTATATCTAGAAAACCCCATTGTCTCAGCCCAAAATCTCCTTAAGCTGATAATCAACTTCAGCAAAGTCTCAGGATACAAAATCAATGTACAAAAATCACAAGCATTCTTATACACCAACAACAGACAAACAGAGAGCCAAATCATGAGTGAACTCCCATTCACAATTGCTTCAAAGAGAATAAAATACTTAGGAATCCAACTTACAAGGGACGTGAAGGACCTCTTCAAGGAGAACTAGAAACCACTGCTCAATGAAATAAAAGAGGATACAAAGAAATGGAAGAACATTCCATGCTCATTGGTAGGAAGAATCAATATCGTGAAAATGGCCATACTGCCCAAGGTAATTTATAGATTCAATGCCATCCCCATCAAGCTACCAAAGACTTTCTTCACAGAATTGGAAAAAACTACTTTAAAGTTCACATGGAACCAAAAAAGAGCCCGCATCACCAAGTCAATCCTGAGCCAAAAGAACAAAGCTGGAGGCATCACACTACCTGACTTCAAACTATACTACAAGGCTACAGTAACCAAAACAGCATGGTACTGGTACCAAAACAGAGATATAGACCAATGGAACAGAACAGAGCCCTCAGAAATAACGCCGCATATCTACAACTATCCGATCTTTGACAAACCTGAGAAAAACAAGCAATGGGGAAAGGATTCCCTATTTAATAAATGGTGCTGGGAAAACTGGCTAGCCATATGTAGAGAGCTGAAACTGGATCCCTTCCTTACACCTTATACAAAAATTAATTCAAGATGGATTAAAGACTTAAAGGTTAGACCTAAAACCATAAAAACCCTAGAAGAAAACCTAGGCATTACCATTCAGGACATAGGCATGGGCAAGGACTTCATGTCTAAAACATCAAAAGCAATGGCAACAAAAGCCAAAATTGACAAATGGGATCTAATTAAACTAAAGAGCTTCTGCACAGCAAAAGAAACTACCATCAGAGGGAACAGGCAACCTACAAAATGGGAGAAAATTTTCGCAACCTACTCATCTGACAAAGGGCTAATATCCAGAATCTATAATCAACTCCAACAAATTTACAAGAAAAAAACAAACAACCCCATCAAAAAGTGGGCAAAGGACATGAACAGACACTTCTCAAAAGAAGACATTTATGCACCCAAAAAACACATGAAAAAATGCTCACCATCACTGGCCATCAGAGAAATGCATATCAAAACCACAATGAGATACCATCTCACACCAGTTAGAATGGCAATCATTAAAAAGTCAGGAAACAACAGGTGCTGGAGAGGATGTGGAGAAATAGCAACACTTTTACACTGTTGGTGGGACTGTAAACTAGTTCAACCATTGTGGAAGTCAGTGTGGTGATTCCTCAGGGATCTAGAACTAGAAATACCATTTGACCCAGCCATCTCATTTCTGGGTATATACCCAAAGGGCTATAAATCATGCTGCTATACAGACACATGCATACGTATGTTTATTGTGGCGCTATTCACAATAGCAAAGACTTGGAACCAACCCAAATGTCCAACAATGATAGACTGGATTAAGAAAATGTGGCACATATACACCATGGAATAGTATGCAGCCATAAAAAATGATGAGTTCATGTCCTTTGTAGGGACATAGATGAAATTGGAAATCATCATTCTCAGCAAACTATTGCAAGGACAAAAATCCAAACACCACATGTTCTCACTCATAGATGGGAATTGAACAATGAGAACACATGGACACAGGAAGGGGAACATCACACTCTGAGGACTGTTGTGGGGTGGGGTGAGGGAGGAGGGATAGCATTAGGAGATATACCTAATGCTAAATGACGAGTTAATGGGTGCAGCACACTAGCATGACACATGTATACATATGTAACTAACCTGCACATTGTGCACATGTACCCTAAAACTTAAAGTATAATAATAATAAAAAAAAAGAAATAACAAATCACCTTAAAAAATAATAATAATTTCCATATTGTCAGAAATGTGACCACCCTTTGGCTTTTATACATATTAGTCTAATAATTTTTTTATACATAAACATCTCTCTAGGTTTCTGGTTATTTTTATTTATTTTTGGATATATTACTAAAAAGTATAATTGGTTTTTGTAAGGTACATGTTTCGGTATGCATTTTAGGATATGTTACCAGATGAGCAAGAAGTTTCAAATAAAGTCTTTGATGAAGTTATTCTGTATAATTTTATCTTTGTAGCTTTGCCAGCCTACAGACCCATGTGACACCTGATATCCTGACCTTTTTAATAATGGCTTAAGTAATATTTTTCCAGCTATCTGATCATGTCCCATCTCTTTTATGCTAGTTAAATATTTTAAATGTTGAGTTTGTAAAAAATCTTAGCTGTTGCTGAGGAAAGAATTTATAAATGCATTCCTGGTACAGAATACATATACAGTATATATCACATAGATAATAAAGGAACTTCAAATCAGACAAAATGACTTCATATCTTAAGACATGCACCCAACTTCATCAGTTGATTAAACACTATACAAAATAGCTGGAAGCTGACAGGAGTGACATCTTTTAGAATGACTTGGATTCTCTAGATTCAAATATATACAGGAAAAATATGAAGAGAAAAAAACTCTTAATTACATCTTAACACATACAATAAAAATAGCTCAGACACCCATTGTGTTTAGGGTTTATTTGAATAGCATAGTGTTTATTTGGCCCCCAACTCGAATAACATTTGCTTTATCCTGTTTTCATTCCTTCTTGACATCTGATATCCAGATCACTTCAGCTCTACCTTATCCAAGGGTATAAAGTGGGACATCAAATGTTATTTTAAAAGTTATAATGCTCGGGCAAGGCCATGTGGTGGCAAGAACTTGTTTTGGAGTCAGTACACCTAGGTTGCTGTAATATAGATTATTAGGAGGTGAATACTATGATCAAGTGAATGTAAATGAAAATATTTTATAACCTGAAATGTTACCCATAATAGTAAATACTATTATTTATTATCTTGAGATGCAGCAGGGGCAGATAAGCCATGTAAGGCAAGTACTTCACTTACATCCTTTTTCCTATCAAATGTCCATATTGTTCTTCCTGTGAGCAAGCACCCACTCTTTTATTTCTCTCTACTTCAAAACCCACCACAATCTCATTTTCTCTAAAAATGTTCTCATAAGTCTCTTCAATCCTTGGTAATTATCTTTTATCAGAATTTATACAGCATAGTTTTCTGTCTTATCTTTTCATCTTTGTCACACATGCATTTTTAGATTATCTTTCTGTTATGAGCTGAACAGTCTCCCTTCAAAATTCATATGTACATTGGAATCCTAAAACCGAGTACCTCAGAATGTGGCTGTATTTGAAGATAGGGCCTTTAAAGAGGTGATCAAGTAAAAATGGCGTTTTCGGGGTGGGCCCTAATCCAATGTGACTGATGTTCCTATCAGAGGTGGAAATTTGGACACACAAGGAGACACCACAGATGCATGCTCACAAAGAAAAGACCATGTGAGGACACAGGAGAAGGTGGCCATCTGTAAGCAAAAAAGAGAAGCCCCAGAAGAAACCAAACCCTGAGCCTCCAGAGCTATAAAAAATAAATTATAATAATAAATTTTCAGAAATAGATTGTAATTACCTTGAAGTGACTCCTAACATCTTGGACGCTTTTATAACATTTGGTGATGAGTTCATATTGCATGTTGAATAAAAGTTTTTATCATAATGCAATTTTGTGACTGGATGAAGAATGAAGCCCTTAATTCTGATGAATACTTTTATCAGAATAGCTGATAAATATATTTCATACTTACGGCTTTCTTGATCCAGGTATTTTGAAAAAAGTCCTACCTCTCAGTCATCTAGGGGATTTAGGAAATAAGATTCTTAGACAATTTTATATGGATTGCCTAGTTTGACTTTGTTAACAGCTTTCTGAGATGGGCTGCACAGGTATTAAATACACCATTTTACAGAATCTAAGGAATCTAAGGCTCAGTGACTTATTGAAGTAAGAAAGCTAAGAAATGACTTAGAACCTGACTCAGGTCTTTTTATTCTAATTCTAGTCTTGATTTCCCTCCCTATCCTTCCCTTGTCTGGGGCAATTGCATTTTAAGAAAAATATCCATCACTACTAGAAGTTGGACAACTTAGATTTTAGAAATAGTTCTGCTCCTTAGCCTCATTCATTCATTCATTCAACACAATTTTGTTAATAGTTTACTATTTAAAGTGTATTAGGCAAATAATACTTAATATTGAGCCTCAGGATTCTTCCCCATTAAATGGAAAATAATATCTGATTTCCACACCTCACAGAAAGGTTTTGAAGATAAGCATAAAAAATAAATACATTCAACTTGGAGGAAGAGGTGATTCGTTTCCATAGTCAAGGCCTTTCTGATTACATAAACACTAGTTGTCCTAGCAGAACTCAGAGCACACTGTGGAGCCCAAAGGCTACAAATGCAATATGTTTCATTTTGGGCACATTAGCCAAGCGAGAGGGTGACAAATGTGTTGGAACCTAGACTTCTAGGCAAAAATAAGGACTATATTTCTGAAATGGTAACTGTAGAGGAGTTAGGGCCAACACGAGAGAATCCATTTTTCTCTAGATTCTTCATATCTCCTTTGATCTTTGGGGCTCCAAGCTGGTCATATACTGAGATAATAGGTAATAATACAAATAAGTAATAATACAAATTATAAATGGGAAATTAATGTATAGCACATTCCCTCAAGTGTGTAAGGATGATTCACTTGCTATGGGGAGAAAAGGGTAGAACTCCTCTATGTTTTTATATCTCAAAATGTAAAATGGTTGTTTTTCTTTTATAGTATATGTGATAGATGAATATTACACATAAAGCAAGTGAACAAATATTTACATGTTAGGGGATGCATGCTCAAAATGTAGATATTGTTAAAAGTTTGTAGTCCTCAAAATATAGAGTCCACTATTATAATGGAGAAAGCACTTGGCTAGAAGGATGTGTTTTGTATCTCTTATTTTCTAGGTTCACCACTTATTACCTGGGTTATCTTCTAAGTCACTTAACGTTTTTGACTCACTCTTCTCAATAAAATGAATATAATATTTGCAATACCTGTTTCTTGAGATTAAAATTAAATAAAATAATTTTATTTTCTACCCAATAGTAGTAAACACTGCATGTTTGTCCCCTCTGTTATATTTTATGCTTGATAATTAATGAGAAGCACCTCAGAAATTCTAAAGCATCACATCCATGGTAGCCCTTAAGTCTTATTTCAAGGGCTTAGCTCACATACACACAGATACAAACTTAGTATTTCCTTAGAAGGTCCATTCCCTATGTTACATTTTGTAGGAGTAATATTGGCTTCCCTGATATATGAATAAACAGCATAAGAAGTTTAGAAACCTCAGAGTAACTGAACTTTTCATGACAAAACAAACCCAAATCTTATTTAAAAATAAAGTATATACTTGTATTATACTCCATACTGATAAACTTATGGAAAAAGCTTATACCTATCTTTTATTTTTTAAAAATCAAAATTATTAAACTGATTTGATATGTACAAAGATTCACCTTAGTTATGTGAACTTGTATTATTAAGTAAAAATATTTCTGAGTTAGGAATTTCTAGAGATTTTTAAAGTCTACAATATTTAAACTATAATATTATTTCAGTTTTCTTATTTCTTTGAATTTGGGAAACATTAATTTCTATAAAAATGTATTTATCTCTCTATGAGAGCAGAATTTCTTCAATTTAAAAATGTTATAATCTAATTTATCAATATCTTCTTAGGGTAGGAAAACATTTCATACCTATACAGTGAAAGATATAAAGTTTTTATCAATTACAGAAATACAGAGAAAGCTCTATAGTTTCAGTTCTGAGGTTAAAAATAAACAGAGCAATATATAAACCTTCCAGTCCACATCCTAAAGATGTATTCTTTTTTCCAGCAGGTACAAAATTCTTAATTGATTTGAGCTCACAATTGATACAGAGGCAAACAAATTATATCAAATCAGATTCTCTACCTTTATCTAACAGAAAATAAATATCATCATTTGACAGAGATCCCAAATGGTAGCATCATAAAGCCAAATACTTTATCAATTTTGCTACCAATAGAGACAAACCTGTAGTCCATCTGCGAACCAGAAAAAAAAAAAATACTACAAATCGGAAAAAAGTAACAAATGAACTTAGAGAAACAGGGTAAGCAATGTTAAAGTTGTATTGCTGCTTACAATATATTCGGGGAGTCAGGAAGAGATGTGCCTGAGATTAAAAAAACCCTGAGGTAGTCCTTTCAAGTCATTCAGTTTAGTTGACTCAGGTATTTTTATTCTAATTCTAGTCTTGATTTCCCTCCCTATCCTTCCCTTGTCTGTCAGGTTAGTCTACTTAAGTAAGTATCTTGGTGGAACACTTTCTAAAACCGCTAAAGCAAAATCTTTAAAAAGTTAAGACCATGACCCTCATGTTTTATTATTATTCTCTGATAGGAATAATAAAACAAATGTGAAGTGAACATATCATAGATTTTATTCAGTTCATTAGAGAAACAGTAAGATGTTAAGACCAGTTGAAAGTGTATTTATAGACAATTCAGCAAAAAATTCTTAGGATGAGATTTCCAGGTCAGATGCAAAATGAATGTCCTACAGGGCAAAATGTAACTTTTGGTTTTACCTTTTGCACAGAAATAAATTAGTCGTATCTTTGCCAGATAAAATTCTACAAACTAACATGTCAGATCATTAAGCCTGGAACCTTAGCTTAAGGCAGTGAAATAAAGAGAGCTATCTTTTAAAAGACCAAGATCTCTAACCTCTACAATAGCAATTTGGTAAAGAGGTTTTATCTTCTACATG
Organism: Homo sapiens; assembly: GCF_000001405.40. NCBI lineage: Eukaryota > Metazoa > Chordata > Mammalia > Primates > Hominidae > Homo > Homo sapiens. Next base: position 21,990,903 of record NC_000011.10, on the reverse strand, counting down.
GGTTAGCCAAGGAACATGTGGATAAATAGAAGCTGTGTTGAGTGACAGCCTTTCAGTTCAGCTGAAATTGTCCCCAAATAAAATAAATAAGTTGTTGAGGTCAAGAACTATAACTATGTTTTCTCACTATGAAAGCACTTGCCTGAATTCTTGTTCTTAGCTTCATTTCAACAGGGAACAGATAACGTACAATTGAGAACTGGGCAGCAAAGGGCAAAAGGTATTTGGAGCAAAAAAGACACCAACAATTGTCTGAAGCCACAATGACTGCGGGACCCTGATGTGGTTTGGATGTGGTTTGTCTCTGCCAAAACTCATGTTACTGTCATGTTAATGTGTCATGCTAGTGAGGCAGCATTAGGAGATGGGAAATAGTGGGAGGTAGTTGGGTCATAAGAGCAGGACCTTCATGAGTAGATGAATGCCCTCCCACCAGGCGGAGTGAGCTCTCTCTCTTATGGGAATGGAATAGTTATGGTTCTACAAAAGGAATTCTTAGCCTCTCCCATAATGTAATCTCTTCATACACTCCCCAGTTTGGGCTTTCCACCATGAGTGGAAGCATCACGAGGTATGCACCAAATAGCTGTTCAATTCTGAACTTCTGGCCACCAGAATCATGAGCCAAATAAGTCTCTTTTTAAAATAAATTACCCAGCCTCAGGTATTTTGTCATAGCAAAACAGACTAAGAGAGTCCCGTTTTTGTCTTTATACATGGTATGGTATTCTGAGTGTACTAGTATCTTTTTGTTCTTGTTTACAATAATATTCTCCTCTTGCTTAATTGGCAAGTGGTTGGGACTGTTACATTGACTTGCAGAGAACCCACAGGAGGAAAAACAAATCTACATAGACTGAAGGGGAAAATACAGCTTATATTCTAAAATTTCATTCTGAACATGAATAGACAGTTCTATTGGAGCGACTGTCATTCTGTCCTAATCTCATATGTCTTTAGGTCATATCTCTCGGTTCCAATACCAACAGTAATTTTCCCCTAGTTTTAAGTGTGATTGTATACATATTTTGTAAATTCTTTATTATCATCACTCATTATTCAATCACTTTTCCCTAAACATTTCATTTTTGTAAACTGCTTTTATATCTTAATTGTTCCTTATGATGGAGATAATGGTATATTTAAGTTTTGATTTTAAGTTTCATATACTCCATAAATTATCATCTCAATACTCGATTTAATTGCCTGTTATTGTCATCATAATGTATGAATCAGCATTGTTATACCAGGGCCTATATGAGAGAGGAGAGAAAATAATCAAGGCACTACTTGGACTCAGAAATTTTGGCAGGGAAAAGGGTTAGATGTCTAATTTTTTAGAGTCAGGAATTCTAAGGTTAGAAAATACCAGAAGAACATGATAAGGGTTTTCTGATCTTCCTTTCCTGGATAAATTTGGGACTAGGCTGATAGGCTTAGACTGGGGTGCCAAACCCTGAGTTTAGGTCAGATATCAGGTAAGGTTGCCATTTGCACGCTGTGCAAACAATGTGGTGTTTGGAGTTGGCGAGCTGGAATTGGAAGCAGTGAGTATTAGAACAATGAAGATACAGGGGCAGTGAGTAGGGAGGACAAAAGGCAGATAAACAAGAGCTTGTGGAAAGGATGCTATCAATATTTTAAGCAGTTTTTACATCCTTCCATTCACTGAAGAAATCAGCTATGATAAACAGGTTATAGCCATAAGTCTTAAGCAGATGCAGAACAAATGTGATATCAGAAGCTCTAGAATGTTCTTTTATTTTCCCCAACTCCTCCTATTGGTGGTTGATGCCAGAAATCCTGCTGTTGATGGTGGGCAGAAATGATACCTATTTGATATATATCTGCTAACAGTGGGTTATCTATCCTGACTAAGTGATGTAGGGAAGCTGCAGAAAAATGGGAAGTGATGTAGGGAAGCTGCAGGTTATCTATCCTGACTAAGTGATGTAGGGAAGCTGCAGAAAAATGTCCAAATAGTCGACAAAAATAGGAAGGTTTTGAGTCACATAGGAGGGTCCACATTATGATGCCATGGAAGGCATGCACTATAAGAGCAGGTCAAGGTGACAAGCAGGAGGGCAATCTGGGCCAGCCCCTGGTCCAAGGATCTTGACCATAGTGAGCTGGCTCTTACGAGCTTCTTGTATAGTGATATGACACACCAGCTGCACTTTAAGACCAGGGAAGACAATGAACAGTACCAGATTGTGTAATATACTCTGCTAAAAACAAAACCTTCCAAAAGAGGTCACTATTAAGCTATGATTTGGTATGACAGCATTTCTCAGATCCTTTCTGAGAAGAAGCTTTGAGGAGAGAATACCTAAGAGGAAAAAGCATTCAGAGGGCTTCACACAGGCTTCACTAGAAATTCCCAAGGTAAAAAAGGGTATTTGAATGATAGGGTTCAGAAGGCAAAGAAAACCTGTATCTATTCACAATTTTTCTTAAATCAAGTAATTGTTTTTAAAGCAATGCTGCAGATTATGCCTGGTGCAGTGGAGTGGTTATGAAAAGATCTGTATTTAAATTCCTTGTATCCATGATCAGATAGATGCAGGATCTTCCCTGATAGGGATAACAACATCAAGCCCATATACTTCGTAGGATATTCAAAATATTCAAATGAGATTGAAGATGAGATTATTCAATTCAGCAAATAGTTCAAGTGGTAGAGAAATATAAAGGGATTATTATCACTTCTATAGCAACTCAAATTGTTCATTTGTTCAATTCATACCCTCCGAGTATCTCCATGTGTGAACAGTGAATAAGATAATTCTTTTCCCAAAGAAGCTAATTATATGATGATCACTATATGTAAACATCTTCCAAATTTTTCTCATCTACACACATACAAATCTCTATCATAATAACCTATTTTAAATTCAAATGTTTTAATGCATTGAAGACTTTCAGTAACCATTAATGAATTGTGTTGTACATTTTAATTTTTGTTTTAGCTAAAACAAATCTTATCAAAATTATACCAGAGAAATGCACAGTTAGTACTTATTTTAAGATATCATAAATAACTGATCAAACACTGGAAGCTGCCAACATTATTAACCTGGACCCCTGGAAGCATGAGGGAAAGTGCAAAGGCAATTGCAAAAATTGAAAACTAGAACTTTGATTCAAAGGCAGCTTCTGAGAACAACTGGAATCTCAAGTGAAGGACAACTTGGACTATGTATTTGAACAAATGACACCCCCATGAGCAACAATTTTGAAAATCAATCTTAGAAAAGATTGCAGTGTGATATATGGAAATCAACTTTAGTTGTATCTCATCCTTGGATTGTGGTACCAAGGGAGGTACAGAAAGTAAGCTGTCCTCTTTACCGGCTTGTCAGATCTCACTGTATTTATGCATCCAGGCCTTTTGCTATTTTGAGCTGTGAAAGGCAAGAGCCACCCAGGCTGGTCTTTAGTTCCTAGATTGAGCAGACACTTCTGACAAGGAGAAAAATCTCACTGTTCACTTGAAGCAGTGCCTATTATAGCCTCATTTTTTTTCCCTGAGAGTTTCTCTCACTAAGAGCATTGCTACTCTTATCCTATGACCTACAGAAACTGAGGAGGTGATGGGGCAGTCCCCTCATCCCTTTCCAAATGCTGACCCAGTCACCCAGGTCAATGAGGTAAAATGTAAAGTATAAACACTTCTATGCCAACTTCCCCTGTGAATTAAAGCCACTCTTTGGTCAAGAGGTTAGGTTATAAGTTCATCATGATGGAAGCACTTCTTGTGCTGTTATTATATTCTAGAATGATCAGGAGGCAACATCATAACGAAGTCCATAAAGCATGGACTTCGATACCATATGCATTTCAGGTTTTGAGTCTCTTCTACTCTCCCTTCTGAATGCATCTGCTTAACAACCTTATGATCTTTGTGAATATACTTACCCTTTCTAAAACTTTGATTTTTTTTTTATCTGTGAAGTGGAAATAATAACAACTACCCTGTGGATATGTTAAGTACTGGAAGTATCTTGCAAATAGAATACTGTCACCCCCTACCAAAATCCATCTTTCACACTTCAACAAGAGATCTTTTTCAAGTCTAGCAAATGGTCCCTCACTGTTCTCAGGATTAAACACTAACTCATCAGTGAGGCTGACAACGCCTCTGCATGGTTTGAGCAATGCTTGCTTCTCCAATTTTACCAAGCACACCTCTCCCCAACACCGTTATCCAGCTATTTTTAATTGGATCCTCTAACATACTTTGTCTTTAGGTGTTTACAGGTCTAAATTCCTGCCAGTCCCTGTCTCAATTACTTCTTTATTAAATTACATTTGTACTCATCTTTCTGGCTTTACCAGTTTTTCTTGTAATTCTTTTTTGACTATTCCAAAAATCTGAGTTAGGTGCTCCTCCCACAGATCTTCCCGTATCATAGCACTGACTGTACTGATCATAACTGCCTGTAAACTTGCCTGTTTTCACCTAATTACCTATGTTCCAAGTTCCATAATGTCAGATATGGTAGTAATCAGTATTCTCTATTAAATATTCCAATTGACCTGCCAAGTGTGCCAGAAGATTGAACTTCCTTTCAACTTGGAAGATAGTTGTGGTTATATTTCTTGCTTTGGGCCATCATCTGTGAACAGATGTGATACGGTCATTCTGGGTAGAAGCTTCAGTAGCTGATTCCCTTATCCAGTTCTCTTTGTCTTGTTCTAATGATCATGGCAATGTAGCTTGACATGGAGCCTCCATCAGTTTAGGCCCCTGAGTGACTACATGAAATAGAATTCCCTGATGTCCTGCACTGGACCTGTGGTATGTGTTAGAAGTAAGTTTTCTGTGTGTTAAGCTACAGAGATTTGGGGTTGCATAATGTAGTCTATCTTGGTTACTACAACAGACACAATATTTACCTTCTTCATTGTCACATTCCCAAGTCCTAGTAGACTGTCTGAAATAATAGTAGGCATTCAATAAGTATTTACTGCAAAAGGAATAGCATTTGATACATAATAGCTGCTGACTTCATCTCTTCCTCTTTTACCTTCTCCTCCTTCAAACTCCTCCCCCAAGCTACTTTCCTAGCTTCTGTGGACTTATCTAATTAAGTCTTCCAAGTAAATCTTCCACTATAATCAGAACATTACCCCTTAATGTCTCAGGAAGGCATAGTGCTCATTCCTGGCTCTGTGCCTTTCCTCATGCAACAGACTGGTTCTATGCTACTCCAGATGGCAAAACTAGGGACAATGAGGGCAAGTTATAGGGAAATCAGAAGCATTTTCTCACAATGATAGTCATGAACAGTGTCCAACAGTAAAGCTAAAAGCTACAGAAGGGAGTTTTTTGGTTTTTTTTTTTAATTGTTGAACATGTACAAGCAAGAGGTTTTATGGTTATCTGTGTAACAGTAGCATGGGGAAAATCATTGCTTCAGAGAGGATACAGACTGTGACCAAGAAGACGTATGGCAACTCAGAGACTCAGTAAGTCTACTTTTCCTCTCATCTCTTATCCCATAGCCTTTCTTGTTTACTCCACTTATCTTTGAAGTCTCAATCTAAATTTGAACTCTTCCATAGAGTCTTTAAAAATCACTTTAGTCATCATGGAATCTCTATCTTAAACTTCTGAAACCCCAGGCTCATACTTTCATTTTAATAATCTACCATTTCATATGTCTTACTGTTTAACCCATAGGCTGATCTTCTTCAGCAGACTATAAGTTTCTTCCCAGCAGGGCCACGTTGTATACGTCTATTGTATTCTCCAGTAAGCAGGAGTCCTGGTCCAAGCCTGACTATCTTAGCAGCCTGATTAGCTGGGGAAGCTCTATTTATCTGGAGGGGCTCTGTGGGGAAATCCTACAGGGAATTCCCTGGAAGGGACTGCAGAGAGAATGAAAGCTAGACTCGGAGTCAGGCTGGGAAGCTAGTGTCTAATAGCAAATTGTGCTTAAGACCATAGATTGATAATCAGCCTGTCTTGGGTTTTGTTACTTACTCTGCATGATAGTTGTCAAGTTTCTTAAGCTCTTGAATTAATTTGATAACTAATTCCAACAAAACTGGATTTCTGTGTTTCCAAAATGCATCTCAATCTCTGGCTCAGCCATTGGCAAAAGCAGAGGGGTATGCTGTGCCAACTCCCTAAGATTATTTTAATCAATTATGTAATACTTTCCTAGTAGATGAACAGTTACCTCCAGACACCACTGCTGTGTGTCATGCAAGCGTGCACTGCATGTGTTTGACTGTAACATCTGCAGATCTAATATAGCAGTTAATTATTTAAGGACTCTTTCTGTCTTTTCATTCATATGGTGTATGGCAACTTCAAAGCCACATGCACTTGTTCTGCACACACAGAAGACCTGCACTGTGGGAGCCAGAACTGGGCTCAATGGCACAGGTCCAAGGAAAAGATCAGTTCTCAACATCACAAACTAGGGCTTCTTTATGAAAACTTCTATATCAGGTAATATTCCTTACCAAGACTGTTTCCACATTTATTATATTAGGCCAACTCTTTTTTTTTTTTTTCTTTTTTTTGAGACGGAGTCTTGCTCTTTCGCCCAGGCTGGAGTGCAGTGGCGCGATCTCTGCTCAGTGCAAGCTCCGCCTCCTGGGTTCACGCTATTCTCCAGGCCACCTCTTTTTAAGGGGATATATTCTGCAGCGAATCTTAATAGGGCATATTTTCTGCTGCTTTCATATAAATCATACGTAAAGAATAGCTCATTAGCTGGTTAGTAATGACCTGTCTGTGGGAAGAATTTAAAAAATAATAAACAAAGCACCCATAATGAAGAAAAAGTTACTGCTCATGAAGCCTGTCTGAACAGAATGGAAATTAGGCGGAAAAATCTAAGCTAGGCCTACTCTCTAGAAAATATGTTTTCAAAGACATTGCCAGCTTTGCAGCATACCCAGCTTAATTACTGGATTTGCATTCCAGAGTACATTTACTATTGTGGTATGCTGGAAAATTATATACAGTAAAATCTCAAGCAGAATATTTAACTCTACACTGCATTTTAGAGAGGCGAAGTCAGAATCATATCATAAGATACAACTATCTATCAAGAATTGCATTTTGAAAAACCGTGGACATGGTTGGTGCTCATTCATATCTTCTGCATGTATTAGAATCCATGCCTGTAATCAATCAACACACATTTAGTAAGTGCCCATTGTGTGCTACTCACTATGCTAAGCACCAAACATATTGTATGAATAAAACACTGTTGCTTCCTCAAGCAGTTTGGGGTAGGAGAAACAACCAGCAAACCATCTGAGTGCTGATGGGAGCCAAGAAGGGGAGAGATAAACTCTTGGCTTCTGTAAGAGCGTTGTCTCTCTTAAGAAAGAAACACAGCTCCTACATTTGGGGATTTTTTTCTAACAGTTTTGTGCACTGTTTAGTTGTCTAAAAAACCCATTTGTAACCCCAGGTCAGGGAAAATCTTTTGTCCCAAATGGAGAGCTTTTATCTTAGCCTGTGTAGCCTTGGGCACAAGATATTTGAGCAATGGGGAAGATGCTTCCAGGGAGTATTTACTTGAAATATAGTTCTTTCCCATTTAAAAACCAGAGGTGCTTATAAAAGGAATCTCACTATAGCAGGCAAAGTGAGTCCCCATAAATATCTCAAAGGGCAATAACCCTTTTTTCCGTTCTTAAGTTTATGATTTTCTACAATAGCAAATAGGAACTTTGTTTATAGGTTCTGCTGTAGTCAAGGAAAAACCCACAGTCTAGATGGCTGAACTTTGTACAATTGCAGTTTAAGAGACTAAGAATGCTATAGAGGTAAATCAGACCTGATATTCAAACTCACCAGATAGAACTGAGGTACGGGAAGAGGGATAGCACAAAGCAGAAGCAAAAAGCAAAGATGATCCAGATTGAGACATGAACAACTACGACCACTTCGCAACTCCTGGTTATACCCTGCAACAACAGAGAGATTGATAGTTAAAACCACATCACTCTAGAATAATTTTAATAAAAAAGACCACATTATTTCCATAAAAGATAATCTTTTGTTGAAGAGTTCTTGTGTGTATAAATACGCACTTTGTGAATAAGGCAGGAATATCTTCAGATCTAATACCCCGGATAATTAACACGCCATGGCTACAGCTGTGCTCTACGAGGTATCTTTGTATTTACGTTAAGGATTAGTAATGGCTTGAGTTTACTTCCTGATGTGGAGTTAGTCCTTCTTTGTTTCCAGCAGAAGACCAAGTGAAGAAAGCACTCAGGTGTTGTTAAGGCAATCTACCCGAGTCCAGGTGTAACCAATATGTCTTTTTGGTTAGAAACCATGACCAAACTGGGTAGACCAGATACACTACTCTTCTTGACATTGTGTAAGGTGTTAAATAAGGTAAGAATCGTTATCCTACTTTACAGATTAAGAAATCAAATTCTTGAGTGGTTAAGACACTAGTCCAATGTTTAAAATCTAAGAAGGCTTATTCCCATCTTAGGAGCAAACAGATCTTAGAAAGGTGAAATGACTTGCCTAAAGGTTAGTATTAAACCTACTAAATAGAGGAAGGAGTGCTTTAATTCATATCCTTCAACATGCTGACCAGTGCTCCTTTTTCTGTTATTCAAGAGTGATGAATATTGATTAGGGTTTTGTTGTTTAACTTTTGCTAAATCGCTTAGTTTCTTTTACAAAACTCTGCTGAAACATTTTAGGGAATCTTGATTTCGAGTTATTAGCCATACACACTAGTACAGTACTCTGCTGGGACTCAATTTGTGCAATTTTGGCTTCTAGTGAATATTCATGATTGCATTGTGAAGAGTTAGAAATCTCTGGAAGGTAAGAACTGATAAAGAAATTGCTGACACACACCTCCAGCAGCCCTGGGAGCCAAGTAAGTCAGATTACCACAGATACAACATAGATGTCAGCTTGGCTGCATTTTATAGAGATGTAAAGTCAGCAAGAGACTATTTTGGCGCTTTCTTAATTTACATCTTAGAAAGTAATTATCATAATATTAATCTTTTAGCAATAGAAGTCTCTTTGACAGTTTTATTTTTCCTCCAGGATAGGTCTCAGAAAATTCCCTTTTGTACATTAGTGGGAAATACACATTCAGTATTTTTGTGGAAGTGAAAACATTTGCAATTTAAAAAAGAAAAAGTAAAAAGGATTAATGATCTGAGAATATTTTCTTTTCTCACTCTCCCCCGGACCCTCTTCCCTTAACAGCAGTGTCTCTGTCATCAAAACAGTGCCTGTGTTTGTGGTAGGTACTTAGGACTATCTGATATATAGAGGAATATTATTCTGAAGCAAAGGAACAGGAATCCTGGTGATGGAAGGCACTCAGTTATTGGAAATGAATTATGAAATATTTTTGTATGTATGTTTATTTATAATTCTGCTGTACTCTCAGTATACTGTTGCATATTAATGATTGAAACTTGTTATCTGGTGACTACTGATGATACAGTGAGGAATGGGAGGGAGATTTTTGTAACATACTTTAAGGTCATGAGGCTTATTATTAAAACAATGAAGCAAATCATGCAGACAAACAAGAATGTTTAGCAATTCATCTACCTCCTGACTGGGAATTCAACACTTAGCTAAAAGTAGAATAGATTGAATGTCCTGATATTGGCATATATACTGTCTTTTAATAAGGTCCTTCTATTAAGCTGGTTTAATTTTTTTGGAGTATCTTTTTTATTCTCTGTTTTCTTTTTAATTAGTTAAATGTAGATAAGATGTCAATCTTGTTTCAGAAATCCAAGATGGCTGGGAATTATCCACAGATGCTGTTTCTGTTTTCCACGGACATTAGAAAGAAGGCATGATTTCAGAAAAGTTAGATTTAAGAATGACCTCTGTAACTATTTAGTGAGGAAAGAAGGTTTTGGGGTGATAAATATTGAACTTCTAGAAGATGCTTGAGGTGTCACATTTCTCTATTCCATATAGAGGTCTTACTTCACAACATTAATAAAATGTCCCAAATGACTATGAACTATGTTTGTATTTTCTAGATACTCTTACATGCAATGACTGCTAAAGGAAGAGGCCTGGACTGTAACAGAGATTATTCTGTGTCTTTGTTTTGTGCTACTCTATCAGAATACCACAGATTAGGTAAACTCTAAAGAATAGAAGTTTTTTTTTCACAGTTCTGGAGACTGAAAACCAATAACTCTCTGGTTCCAAGATGGCTCCTTGTTGCTGTATCCTTTAGACAGAAGGAACACTGTGTCCTCCCCTGACAGAAGAGAGAAAGAGAGGAAGCCCATAAGCCCTTTTTATAGTGTCACTGATACATTCATGAGGGCAGAACTCTCATGACCTAATCGCCTCCTAAAATGTGACTACTCTCAACACTGTTGCATTAGGGATTAAGTTTCCAAAACATAAATTTTGAAGGGGACAAAAGCATTCAAACCACAGCACTCCAGTTTTTATGGAAACTACCATTTACTGTGTGTCTACTATGTGCCAGGGGGCCTGCTTGGCACTTTATTCATTACTCTTAATCTTTAAAATAATCCCGTAAGGTAGGTGTTAATATTTGTTATATTTTTCTACTTCCAGGATGATAAACTGATGCTCAGAGAGGTTAGGTTATGTAAGTAAGGTAGAAATTATATAACCAAGGTGATATGGTTTGGCTTTGTGTCCCCACCCAAATCTCATGTCAAATTGTAGACCCTAGTGTTGAAGGAGGGGCCTGGTGAGAGGTGATTGAATCATGGAGGTGGACTTCCTCCTTGCTGTTCTCGTGATAGAGTTCTCATGAGATCTGGTTGTTTAAAAGTGTGTAGCACCTCTCTGTCTCCCTTTCTTTCTCTCTCTCTCCTGCCAGCAATATGAAGACATGCTTGCTTCCCCTTTGCCTTCTGCTGTGATTGTAAATTTCCTGAGGTCTTCCAAAAGCAGAAGCTCATACAGCCCACCAAACCATGAGCCAATTAAGCCTCTTTATTTTAAATTACCCAGTCTCAGATATGTCTTTACAGCAGTGTAAGCAGGGACTAATACACAAGGCATATAACTACTAGTAAATCTTGAATCGAAAATTTGATCCCACATCTGTCTGATTCCAAAGGTATGTGTTTTGTAACATAATCCTCTCATGTAATTAAAGGACTGTATGTGTATTTTAATAGAAGGTTTCACTTAGTATGAGTAGTCCAAAGAGAAACCTAAAGACTAATTTATAAAATCCATCTAATCTCTCTATATATCTATTGAGAGGCCAATTAAAAGCTTATTCCAGATAGTTAATTTTTCTGAGTAATAAACCAGTCTTTAATGGCCATGAAGGGAGAATGACTTTGGCATCATCATAAGTGACTTGTTTCTGAATACCGTTAGGATCATCATTCGTTCATTGGAGATGCCTGCAGACTGTGATAGGTCGAGATCAGTAACAGGCTTGTGCCACCTGAGCCAGCCTGCTAGGCTTCTCTTGAAAACAAAGAAAGTCTCATTTATGCCTGGGAGCCAGAATCTAACCCAGAATAAATCAGCCTCACTGTCTCATTCGTCAGCCTGATGGTTTTAATTGTTAAATCGGAAGTTTAATTTGCCATGCTTGGATAACAATCCAATTCCAGAAAAGCATATGCATCAAGTGATCAATAAGGGACAAGTATAGAAAGTTAATTGTAAATAATTCCTGAATCCTGATGTAAATCAGAACAATAGAAAAATTCTAACTTTGCTTATTTCCCCTTATTATTTGAAGTCTTAGAGGCCTAGGGGAATAATGAATTTTATCAAATTACTTCTTACTTCATTTTTTAATCTAATAATATTTATGTAGACCAGATACAGATAAATATACACAGACTTTTTTTTTTTTTTTTTGAGACTGAGTTCTTGCTCTGTCATCCAGGCTGGAGTGCAGTGGCACAATCTCAGTTCACTGCAACCCCTGCCTCCTCGGTTCAAGCGATTCTCCTTCCTCAGCCTCTCGAGTAGCTGGGATTACAGGCTCCTGCCACCACACCTGGATAACTTTTTGTATTTTTAGTAGAGATGGAGTTTCACCATGTTGGCCAGGCTGGTCTCGAACTCCTGACCTCAGGTGATCCATCTGCCTCAGCCTCCCAAAGTGCTAGGATTACAGGCGTGAGCCACCGCACCTGGCCAACACAGACATTTTTATTTGTTGTTTTAGTTTTCTGATGACTGAACTAGTGAAAACCACTTAGGATTATAATTTTGTATTCAATCTTCACAGTAACACTGCTATGTATTAATATTATTCCATTTTACAGATGAGAAAACTGATACTCAAAACTGATCAGAATGTAGCTTTTCTGCATTTGAAATAAGCAAATTCCATTAGTATATAGAACTATATTTGGCTTTGAAACCCTGTCCTATGTGGGCGAAAAGAGAAATTTCAAATTTCTCAAGTTACAAATACAATAACAGCTTGGAAGTGACTCCTAATTCAATCTGCTTATTTTTAAAATGAAGGAAATGAAACCCAGAGCTGTTAAGTAACTTAGTCAAGGTCACACACATAAAAAAATGTGTTGTCTGGCTCAAACTAGGAATTTAGACTCTCAACCCTCAGTTCAATGATCTTGCCATCAGATCACACTGCCACTCAAATCACCAAAACTCATCCATAATGCCTACGGAAAGATATGGTTTCTAAGAATGTCTGAAATTTCAGATGGTAATTGATAGAGTTTAGAGGATATAAGTTTAAAAGTGAAAACCTTGGTTCAAATTCTGGCTGAGCAACTTACTAGTTGTATAATTTTGGGCAAGTGGTCATTTCTCAGAGCTTCATTTTCTCATCTGTAAAGTGAGCATGCCTACCTAATGTTGTTGTAATAAATAAATTGTATAATATGTGTAAAATACTTAGCCTAGACCTGGGTACATTGTCAGTGCTCCATGAATGTTCATTTTTATTATCTCATTCTACATTTCCATCAGAAATTTTAGAAGTTTAAACTTCAGTGGCAAATGTCTGACTTTATCAAAGGAAGCCATAGAGAGTGAGGTGAACAACAAAAAAACGTCCATAGTAGAGGATTAAAACCAGCTTTTCTGTATTGAAAAAGCTCCTATGATAGAGTTTGTATCTAAGCACATATATGTATATAGAGATACTAAAAAAGTATGAAGTGCCATAGAGTGCTATTCAAAATATTTTGCCAAACTCTTCTGTTCTCCATCCAAATTAAAAACCCAAGATGTATCAAAAACTGTGTCCATTCCTGTGCACTGTATAAACAATTAGTCTCTATGTTGAATTATAATTCCTAAGTATCTTTTGAATATTTGCCCTTGTTTCTATATCCTGGGCAACTGCCTTGGTTCCAGGCCTCCCTGGTGCTCACTTTACTACCCCAAAAGCCTAATCACTACATACTTTAGTCCTCTCCTCCTATGGTCCATCCTCCCAACTGCTGCCAAGATGGTCTAATGTAAAAATCTAACCTTGTCATTTCCCTACCAAAAATTCATCAATGACTCCTCGTTGCCCGAAATATTACCCCAAATCAGGTACAAGGCGTGTAGAGAATCTTCTTGAGCCATTTCTTTGTGCTTATCTAGTTTCATCACTCCTCACTCTTCAGTCATACTTTGTATCTAGCCCAGTGCTTGGCGTGTGGTAGGCATTTGAAAAGTGATGGCTGAATGAATAGATGAATAAGTAAATGAATAATGAATGAACAAATCAAAGTCTTACACATTTTCATTCCTCTGGTCTCCTTTTGAGCAAGTAGTTTCCTTCTGACCTAGTAGAAATCAGTGAAACACACAATCAATATTTTCAGGCATCCTTCAGCAAAGTTGTATTTCTTCCTTCCAGTGCATTATATACGACTTTTAGATTCTTCACACTTTTCTAGTGCTGTGAGCTCTAGCACTATGAAATAGCTACCTCATTTATTTAATTTATTATGATAATTTTTCCCATATAATTAATCTTCTATAACCTTTATTTAATAGCTACAGAGTATTCAATCTTCTGAATATATTATAGATTATTTATCTAATTTTCTATCATCAGAATTTTAGGTCACTTTCATTTATTCACATTAGGAAACATGCTTATGTGGTGTGCATGTTTCTCCAGGAAAAAAGAATTAGAGTGAACAAAATATGCTGGGTTTTAAGGCTTTGTGTATATTTTGCCAAATGCCCTCAAGAATGGTTTTACCAAATTATACTACTGATAGCAACAGGAGGCAGAATAATTCTAGGCAGAGAGGGGTGGGTCCCTGGCGAAATTCCACTCTCAAGCCAAAAAGCCTGAGATGGGGCCCAAAGTGAGAACTTATATCCATGTTTTCCCACTGGAATGCTGCCTTTTCGTAAACCACCCATGGCCCTGACTCACCCCATCCTGTGCCTTATAAAGACCCCAGGCTCAGCCAGCAGAGGGGAGAAGCAGGTGGACATCAAAGACTATGGCTGGACATCAGAGAATTTGATGCCGCGGGTGACAGAGTGGCCAGGCCAGCCGGTTCTAGCACTCATGAACTCCAGGTCCTGGTTCGTTCACTTATGCACTCCCTCCCGCAAGTAGTTGAGAGCAGCGGGCTGAGTAAACGAGGTACTCCTGCTGTGAGTTTCATGAAGAGATAGGGGAAACACCCTGCTTCACTAATACCAATAAGTTAAGAGAATACCCCAAAAATATTTTTAATAAGATAATATTAAGTAACACAAGAACTAGTAGGCAGGTATTTTTTGGTCTTATGATAAGCCTAATCACTGGTTCATCTGATACCTAGTAAATCTGTGCTTGAGCTTCAGTGCTTTTTCAATATCTTCTCCTGGTCGCTCTCTCTTTTTCTCGTTATTTTCCCCCTATAATGGCTTTTTCTTCTCTTTTCCTAGGATTAATAAATCCACAAAAACGTGTTTCTCTTGCTAAAAAATATATTTACATAATTAGTGCCTATTTGCTATTTCGGGTATATTCATCTCTCAAGTGATATTTAGTACCCTGTAATCTTTGGGTTATATACAAAGAGGAAACCATAGCATGAATCAGTGTTTTCTTTCAAATAAAGCTTCTTTTAATTCTTAATTATTATTATTTGTTAGGACCTCTCAAATAATTCTTACTTATAAGCAATGTCAGAAATCTAAGCCATTAATGAAAGCATCTTTCCTTCCAAAATCATGCCTCACTCTTAAAATTTTGCAAAATAGACATTTCAAAAATAATAGATACAAATGACACCTCATTTACTCTTATGAGACCAATGCTGTGAGAATGTTGGTTTAAAGATAAAATAATATTTAATTAATCATGTAAAATATTAATTCTGCTAAACTATTATTCTTCCAATGGCCCTAATTTTTTCATTAAAATGGACACGGTGCTTGTAATTGTGTTAGTGAGTTATAGACGTAGAGAGACCACAAGGACTTTGTGAGTGTCAAACTTCTTGGTCTGTTGCTCAGCTCACATCCACCAGCCTATTCTTTGTGAGCACAAATGACTCAGCTTGTTTATGTTCTCATTCTCATTCTTCCAGCAGCCACTAACACTCTTTCCTTTAGAGATTAAATCCTTTCAAGTCTAGCTGTGGGAAGATGCAGGGTACCCAAGTTCTTCCCCTTTAATAAGTTTTCTCACTCAGGTACACCAACAGTGGTAATAAAAATAACAAAAAAAAATTTGAAGTAACAAAGCTTTCAGAAATCTTACCAAAGTCTCATAACGTGGGGACTGCAGTTTCCACTCCCTTTCTTCAGTGCAATCCCAGACTCCAGAAGCCTCTTGTCTCCTTGTCAATACTGTCTTAAGGTATACCTTGGCTTCTGTCTTTCACCTGTTAGGACTTGGTGAGTCTTCTAAGACTCTACTAAACTTCCACTTTAAGTGACCATATAATCCCATGATTCCCTGAGATATACAATTGCTTGGGGTCCCCTGCGTTTATCCATCCCTATAACCTCATTTAAAAAGGGTCCCTTCTCTGGTCCATTCTCTCTGCCTGGTTACACATAGGTGTTGCCTGTTTGGGTACTTGCTGGGGTCCCTTTAAAATGAATTACAGAGGAAAGAAATTTTTCATTAGAAGAAAAATAGTATCAGTTGGACCAGCAAGAGCTTCACAAAAGATTCTGAAGGGGGGAAAATTATCAGTATTTAACAATGAAGGACAAGACCTTTTAATTCTAGACTCTTTGTGGCAGGGAGTGAATGACAATAAATTCCATTACTGCGAATGTCAATCTAAAGGTTGATGAGAACGCTTACTGTAATTCCACACTGCAAATGCCCACTTTGGAGAGAGTCTATGTCTTCTGTCCTCAGCCTTTAATAACTCCAACTCTGACTAAAGTTGGTCAACTCTTAGAAGTTCATAAAAAGCACAGCTGTCTATTAACAAGAAAAATGGAATACTCATGAAACCTAAGGATTTAGAATGCTCCCACTTGTAATACATTTTCCTTGTCTAAGATGAAATGATTTTTTTCTCTTTCCCATAGAACTCATTTTTTCATGATATCTTTTGTTCTGTTACATTAGAGTACAAATGTCTATGACTGCAATTAAAACTGAATGGTAAAATGTGTTAATAGGAACTAAAACCTTTTTTCTTATGGAATACAGATAACTAATTGGCAAATACATGAATGGAAACCATCAGGGCCATTTTACTAGAAAGTTCAAATTATTTATTCATGATAATCAACCCCAATCTAAAGAGGTCCAATTTCTTGTATCTTACCTAATTTTTCCCAATCAATGAATCAGAGAAAACTGACCAGCAAAGAAAACATTAAGGATCGAAACTATTTAGAATCTACATCATTTGGGGAAACTCAGATGAACTTTGCATATCTCAGCAAAGGCTAGTATCTATTGACATTTGAGTTACTTGTTTCAAAATGACCCACTAGGTATCTGGACTCTTTCCCAACTTCGTATAGCCTGAGTGGAATCTGAAAAATTGACTATTAGTTAACATTTAATTTAGGCATCAAAGGAACTGCAGCTTCAGTCTTTGAAAAAAATCTGCTTTGGACATAAAGTGAGGTCTAAATTGAAGTGATGCATTATGATGGAAAGAGCACATTGTCACATGGCACACTGCAGGGAGAGCCATGGGGGTATAGATATAAAGCATGTCCAGGTTTGACTCCCTCACAACTGGAAAAAACAAAATAATTAAATTTGAAGAGACTAGCAAAAGAAAAATTGGGTTGCCATATACTCTGCTAGAAAACAAACATGTATTACCTAAGGGGAGTTCAGAAAATTAGAAACACTGTCAGCCTCTGCCACATAATTGTAAAAAAGGAAGAGAGAAACTGTGGCAATAGAAAGGAGCATGTTTTATTTTTATTAAAAAGTGTACTTTTTAAGAAAAAATATTTTTGATTAAAAAGAAAGAGTACCAGCATAATTTACTGAAGGGACTATCCTTTCCTCACCGTTTCTTCTTTATGGCCTTATTGAAAATTAGTTGACTTTATATGCTTGGGTTTATTTCTGGGCTCTCTATTCTGTTCCATTGGCCTATGTTTCTGTTTGTATACCAGTACCATACTATTTTGATTACTATAACTTTGTAATATAATTTAACATCAGGCAGGGTGTTGCCTCCAACTTTGTTTTTCTTTCTCAAGGTTGTTTTGGCCATTTGGGTTTTTTTGTGGTTCCAAACGAATTTTAGATTTGTTTTTCCTGTTTCTATGAAAAATGCCCCTGAAATTTTGGTAAGGATTGTGTTGAATCTGTATATGGCTTTGGATAATACAGACATTTTAACAATATTAATTCTTATAATCCATGAACACAGGATGTCTTTCCATTTGTTTGTGTCTTATTCAGTGTTTTTCATCAATATTTTATAGTTTTGTTTGTGAAGATCTTGGTTAAATTTATTTCTCAATATTTTAATTTTTGATGCCATTGTAAATAAGATTGTTTCTTTGATTTATTTTTCAGAAAGATCCTTATATAAAGAAATGCAACTGATTTTTATATGTTGATTTTGTATGCTGTTTCTTTACTTAATGCAGTTGTTAGTTCTAACAGGTTTTTGTTTTGTTTTGTTTTTGGTGGAGGCTTTAAGCTCCTAGATATATAGAATTATGGCATCTGCAGACAAATAAATTTACTTATTCCTTTCTGATTTGTATGCTATTTATTTATTTATTTATTTTCTGACTACTCTGGCTAGAACTTCTAGAACTATGTTGAATAAAAGTGTTGACAATAGGCATCCTTGCCTTGTACCTTGTACTTGTTCAGATTTTAGAGAAAGCACTTTCAGTGTTCTTCTACAGATTATGATGTAGGTGCACAACATTACTAACCATCAGAAAAATGCAAATCAAAACTACAATGAGATGTCACCTCATATCTTTTAGAATGGCTTTTATCAAAAAGATAAGTGTTGGTGAAGGTGAAGAGAAAAAAGAACGCTTGTACACTGTGGATGAGAATATGAACTGGTAAAACATTATAGAAAATAGTATGTAGGTCTCTCAAAAAATTAAAGCTAGAACTACCATATAGAATCGGCATTTAATCCAGCAAGTCTACTATTGGGTATATATCCAAAGAATATGAAGTAAGTATGTTGAAGAGACAGCTGCACTTCTATATTCATTGTAGCATATTCACAATAACCAAGATATAGAAACAATGTAAGTAAACCTCAACAGATTAATGTATAAAGAAATATTATTCAGCCCTTAAAAAGGAGATACTGCCATTTGCAACAACTGAATGAACCTGGAGGACATTATGCTAAGTCAAATAAGCCAAACACAGAAAAAGAATACTGCATGATATCATTTATACATGTAATATTTTACAAAAGTCAAATACATAGAAACAGAGTAGAATGTTGGTTACCAAAGGCAGGAAGTGGGAGGCAAGGAGAAATAGATCAAAAAGTACAAATTGCAGTCAGGTAGAATAAATAAATCTAGAGATCTAATGTATAGGATGAGGACTGTAGTTAATAATATTGTTTTGTGCACTGAAAATTTGCTGAGAGTAGATTTCAGGTGCTTTTTACCACACACACACGCACACACACACACACACACACACACACACACACCCACACACGGTAACTATGGAACGTGATGAAACGTTAATTTGCTTAGCTGTAGTAATTATTTCGCTATGTATATGCATATCAAAACAATGTTGTATACCTTAAATATACACATTTTTTAAAAGAAAGTAAACAAGAAGCTATGACACTTTTCTGAGTATTTATTGGTTCTAATGATAGCCCATTAAAAGGAGGAGGAGGAAGAAAAGGAAAATAACCCTTTGGTCAGAATTTGAGGAGTGCTAACATTGCTTGTATTTCTATTAGTAAAGAACACATCATGGTCATTTTTTGTTTTTTAGTACATTAGATGTCCAAAAGGTAACAATCAGAGGTAAATGGCATGGTGGTAGCTTGCATTACAAAATACATTGATGCATTTCTCAGTTCTAAGGCTCTGGATCAGCAAGAGTATTTGGCACTAGCTTCATTTAGTTCATTATTTTATCCCTTATGGGCAATAATAATTCTCCTCTTATTTTTTCCAAAGTGAGTATTTCAGAAGATGATAGGTCCTATTTCTCAGTAGCTGAGAACAGAAGGAGGTCACTTATGTGAATCCCTATGATCAGCCCTCAATGCCATCCTGGAGGGTCTCTCTACCAAGAGGGACCTGAAAAATCCAGCAGTATAATTATTCATACTCAGAGCTCAGAATTTCTCCACAGAAGCAAATTCAAGCGATATAACCTGACATTCAGCAGCAGCCTAAAGTCAGCCATAAAAATGGGTATATTTGGCATTAAATCAATAATAAAAAACAACAGTGCTTTTAGATGAGGCATGCACATTTCCATTTGACAGAGGATCCACTTCTTTCTATCATTTTGGCTTCATGTGTTGCAGATATTTTAGGTACCTGCCAAACAAGTCCTAGAGACATTTGAGTTCGAGCAAGCCAAACTCTGTCTGCCTAGTTCTCTCTCTGTCTCACTATCTCTCTTGCTCTCTCTTGTTCCCTCTCTTTCTCTCTCTGTGCTCATTTATTTTTTTTCTTTGTGTTTGTCTCAGCTTACCCTCATTTCTCCTCTTTCTTTCTTCCACCCCTCTTAGTCTCAGCCTGCATTCTAAGCAGTAACTTTCCTATCTAGAATGACTACCACCACAAAGGTAGGCTGGGATACTGAGACAAACAGGGAGATTTAGGAAGAAAGGAACTGTATAAAATACACATGTCATGCTCTATATTTGCTGATTATTATTCTAGTCTTTGGAAAATAATTGAGAAAAAACCTTTCTCTAATTTTTTGAAATAATAAACATTATGTTGCTGGTTCTTCCTTTTTCTTTTTCCTTGATCACTAGGAAGTTCAAGGTTAAATTCTGTGCTTATAGTAGAAGGTGTCATTAACCTCTTTTTCTAGGATAATTGTCTCCTCAATGGTACAGCTCCTCTTACTTTAAAATTATCATTACTAATCACCTTATGCCTGTGGTGTAAATTAAGATGACTGCATATTCGGGGCTACTCTTTTCCACTGAGAAGTACTGTCTAATTTATCTCCTTTGAGTCAAGGCTGCCTTAGTGATCTGTTTGACCACTAGAATGTGATGGAGGATACACATGGAAGGTTCTGGGACTTCAGAGGTTCATTCTTTAGAAGTTTTCCAGCTTCTGCTCATGCATCTCGGATCACGAGGGACAACTAGCTGCCATGTTAAGCCCAACTATCCCAAGATGACATACTGTGAGGAAGCTGCCTGGGAAGAGTCCATCAAAGTCCTGAGGAGCCCCAGCTGTCCTAGTCATTCCAGCAGAACCAAAGACATAATTGAAGGGCCACTCTGAGCATTCCATCCCTAGCAGGGGTGGCATGGAGAAGACCCATACAACCTGAGGCTCTAGATATATGATCCCAGAAATTTGCAGTTGTTCAAATCACCCCAGTAAATTGTGGAGCAAGGGCAAACCATCCTACTGTTTCGTTTCCCAAGTCCTGACACACAGAATTGTGAGCAGAAAAAAGTGCTTGTTATTTTATACCATTAACTCTTGGATTAGTTTGATTACATAGTATTAGATAAGTGGTTTTTTGATTATATATGGCTTTTATTGTAAGCCACTTTAAATCCTTTTTAGAAGCAGACATTTCACAAGTAATTAAATAAACTTTCTTTACTGATAATCAAGGAGAAGGAAATTCTTCAGCTGCTGACCATTGTACTTTAAGTTTATATTTTTTCTTCTTTTTAAACTTTACATCATTCTCTTAATTTTAGATTGGAAAGACAATTATTTGTACAAACTCCCAAAAGCTGTAGGCATTAAAAAAAGTTTGCATACAAGCTCAAGTGAGTTGTTTGAATTATGCAAGAGCATAAACTGCAGTCTTTTCTGTGCCTCTTACGTGTTGTGCAGAGGTACAGCCAGCACCTGGCATTGTGTCTAACAACCCTTTGTCATCGCATTGGTCGTCAACCATGCCAAACCCATTGGGTAGCACTGTCTACAGTTGAATGACAATATTTAAGTCCCCATAAACCAATTTTTCATTCTTAAAAATATCCTGAATGTGGACAATTCTTTTCGGTTGGAACAGTTATGGTTTTGCAGCAGGAATATTACAATTGGGAAGATTATGCAAGTAGCTTTTCTAACACATACAACAATGAATAAGATAAGCTGTACTCCACAGACAAACTGAACTGCATCTCTTGACCATTATGCTGATAAAATATTTCAGTAAATCAGTCTTTACGCTGTCCTTGGGCTTTTGCAATCTCAGCTGCTGCAACTGTATAATGTACATTGATTTCTGCTAGAAATTCAATGGCAAGAAAAGCTGTTTAATCATTTGACTCCTGACTAGTTAATAAAGAATCTGTCTCATTTAATAAGTTTATTTTAGATAAGACCACCATTACTGCCATGATCCTATATCCCTTTCTACTTCATTTATGGGGGAGAGAAATAAATGAAGCTTCAGATGAGACAATGCCACTGTTATCTTCCCTCTGCTTTCCTTGATCGTCTCTATGATTTGCAAGGCTGTCTCACTATCCACCAGTGAAAGCCACTTAATCATCTACTGGATAAATTGTAAATACACAGTGATTTTTCCATGCCTTAGAAATCACTTTTAAGTAAAAGAAATTCTGATAGTCCCATTCCTAACTAAAGCCTATGCTGCAATTATAGAAGCCAAGCACCCTATTGCTATAATTTTCCACCCAATCACATCCCATTATCATTCAATTTTGCTAAAACCACATGACATAAAAATCACTAATAAGCTACTGCATTTTGTAGGGTATTGGCTAAAAATTAAATCAGATACAACCACATTAATGTTCTATGATAGGAGCTTGCTAATAGGATTATAAGCAGCCAAAAAGGTTAGGAAGAAATCATCTGAGAAAGTCACCCCCTAATATTAAGAGGATCAATTAGCCAGGCATATTTGTGGATAGAGGATACTGTGCAGTAACCAGGGGCTTATGAAGAAAAGAGGCGGGGGGAAGGATTTATTTTGGTTAGGGAGGCATTGAGGACTTCCAAATAAAGATTCCAGAAAAGGACTTCTTAACTTCTGTTAATACAAAGTAAATGACTTTATCATCCTCAAAGCTTTTCTTGGCTCCCCACTGACTGATTTCTGGGCTATCTGAAAATAGGTTAAACCTGTTTCATGTGTCTTCACCTGAGAATTAATACAAACTTGGCCTGTTGTGGGACCAAGTACAGAGGTCTTTCACATATCTCTAGTGATCTCTTAGGGCCTCAATTTTGGAAGGGATTTTTGCTGGAAGTAAGGTCCCTGGATGTATTTTAAGTGAAAGCTGGCATTTACTCCCCAGCTAAGAGCATATATTCCTATTCACTGAGGCATCTTTGTTCAGTCTCTGAGCTGACATCCCAAAGTCAATATCTTCTTTTACTTAAGCCATAGAAAAATGGAGAGATAGTGGACCAACATTGCATATAGGATCTCCTCCTCTAGAAACCTCTGGCCAGTAAGGATGTGTGGGGTAAGGAGCATGCCTTGCTACATATTGGGGAGCTTTCTACAGGGTAGGTTATACTGATGCTATACATTTTAATGTTGAGACTTGAACTCTGAGAATAAAAGGACCAGATTTGACCCTGTGAAAATCTGGTCATATGAGGTGGTTGTATTGATAAATCAGTTTTGAGCTCTCTAACTTTCAAGGGGAGTCAGTTGCTGTGATCTGGGATAAGATACATATAAAAACTGAAAACATAATAGGGAAATCCATAAATAATATTTCATAGCAATTATCCAGCTTCATTACATCCATCAATACTTGTAAATTATATACAAAGCAAGGTCTGGTTTGGGATTCAGGCTCAGTCACTTGCTGGAAGACCTTTGACAAATTTATTTAACCCTTGTAATCTCCACTTCTCTTGTATATACTATGGGAATAACAGAAATGGTTTATCTCATAAATCATTATGAAGCTTATATGAGATGAAGCATGTAAATAAAATACATGGCATGATGGCAAGGGCTTCCTAGTCCTTTTCATCTATGAGATAAATTAGTTATCACAGAAGGAAGGAAGGAAGAAAGAGAAAGAAATGGAAGGAAGGAAGGAAAAAGAAAAAGAAAAGAAAAGAGTTCCTAAGAAGTACCAGCTTGGAGCTGACCTGACACTAACAGTTAAGCAGTGGCCTTCTCCTGTTGATCACTAACAGGTAGGATAAAGAAAGACATATGTCCTGCCCTTGAGAGTTTGCATTCTAGCAGGAGAGGCAGACACAAAAACAATTATCTTAGGCAATCATCCCCAGCTGCCAAAAACGTTAATCCTAGAGAACACTGGTTAATCCTGGCCTGATCACAGGTCCTAGTGGATAGAAGATAAAAAATAAAGATAGGGTCAAGAAACTTGGAGTGAAATAGAGTCTTTCTAGACTTTTCTCCAGGTCCAGATAGCTCAGCCAGAATGAGATAATACCTTTGAGGGCTCAGTAACCATTTTGGTCTTAATATTTCTGTCATGTAAGGGATATAAGAGTCTTTTTTTAAAAAATTACACTTTTGCTTGAGTGTTAATAAATGCCACATACTAGGCTAAGTGATTTATATACATTATTACAATTTAGTGTCACAAATATTCTATTAGATAGTTTTCATATTGCTTGCCATTTTTATTTTTATGAGGAAACTGAGGCTTAGAAATATTAAGTAACTTCCCAAAGTACACACTATGTAGATAATAGAACAGAACTCTATCTGATTTTTATATCTGTGACCTTATCCACCCTGTATTCAGTCTGCTTTTCCTGTGGCTGCAGTTACAGAGTCTTAACATCAAAGCCTTGCTGATATAAACAGACTAGCTGTCTGTAATGCCCAAATGCTACCAAATTGAATTTCTCATAGCTTAATTTCTCACAGAAATGATCATTCGAGGATATTGTCACTCAGAGTATGCGACCTAATAATGTTTCACTTTTGTTAACACAATGCAGCTGCGTGTGTGTGCTTGATTCAAAATGCCAATGTTGAGATTTTGGTGCTGTCTTCTGAGAAGTAAATTTGTGCTGCCAATTGAATCTGGGGGATGGGGTGTTTTCTGAGAAATGTTGAAATGCATTTCACATTTATGGTTTAGATGAGAAGCCATCAGAAGTCCTATAAACACATTTTGTGTTTCTCAGTCAGGTATTTACAGCTTCGTAGGTTGGACACAGTGGAAAATGGCCAAATCCTTAGGAAGTTGCAAAGGAGAGCAATGAAAAGGAAAAAAAAGATTAGGTAGAAGCTGGTGTAGCTAGAGATAGCACAATGGTGAGCATTCATACTTCATTATTCAGGGGTCCTGCCGATTGTCTTCCAGGGTCAGGGAAGAGTCTGTGCTCAACAAGTCAGGGCTCACAAATTGGCCAAGTGCATTGCATTAATGTGTTCTCTCCTTTAGGGATTGTGCCACGGCTGAATATTTAAGGAGGGGGGTTTTCATTAGAAAATTGATGATTTTCTTATGGTGAAATGACTCTGATTGTAACCTCCTCTCCAAAGCAGTGGAAAGAGGCAGAAGAATTGGAGAGTAGGAAGAAAACAAGGGTTTTCCACACTGTCCCTGTTACTGTTGAAGTGTATATTGCTGAACGTTCTTAACAGACTTCAGCAGATGATTTGCACAGACTGACACCACTTTGATAAAATTTACACATAAATGAAGAAACCATGCTAGGTACTGGGTTGGAGGAAGGGGCAGGGGCAAAGAGGAAAATGCACAGAGATGAGTAAGAGAGGAGTTTTGGTCCTCAGATTCCATTCTCGACCAGACAGGATAAAACAGATACATAACTGACTATAATGGACAGCAGAGTAAATTGACGGGAGGATTCAGATACATTCATTGAGTTGCTACCAAACCATTCACGTTATCTCCTTTAATTTGCACAATGGTCCTGTGAGGAAGAGATTACGATCTGACCTACTTTACTAGAGAGGAAAGGAAGATTTAGGAAAGCCTGCTCACTAATCAGTGGCTGAGTCAGACTTCAAAATCAGGCCCCTTCCAAAAAAGAATGCATCTCAGGAGCCTCCAGGCTATGATACTGTACGGGTAAATCAGAAAGTAAACCTGGAATATAAAGAATGGTGAGATCCTTTTTGTTGAGGGAAGGAAGCCTTTTGGAGAAGGTATTTGAGGCTTGGGCTTTGAATCAAAAATATAATTTTGAAAAATGAAAATGAAAGAGTATATGGGCAGAGGTAGTGAAGTAAAGGGTTATCTGATAAAGGAAAGAGGTAAATAGCCCAATCTAACCTTCAATGGTAAATATTATTAAATATCATATAAGATCATATTAAGATTTTAGTATTTCCTAGTGATGTTTTCTGTTAATTTTTGTTGTGATTCCCAGTTTTCCAGATTCACTCTAGTTTTAGGCCCCTTGAGGGTAAGGATTATGATTTATAGTCATGCTCTTTTCCCTGTGTCTTATACAGAGTGAGCTCACTGTGATTAATTTTACAATTCTCTCAAATTTTAAAGCTGAGGAGGACTGCAGAAATAGCCTGATCCAACCATCTTATTTTACAAATAGAGGCAATATGATGAGAAAGGCTAAATGATTTGCTGGAAACTAGAGGAGTTTTCCAGCTTTCATGATGATGATGATGCTAAAATGTAGGAGGAGGATTAGGAGGAGGAGGAGAAAATGCACTTGGTGTATCTCATCCTCTTTTCACAGGACAAGTACTATGAGATAGTTTTCCTGAGAATGGTCACAGATTTCACCCTGAATCATCCATCTGAACATTTCACAAAGTCTCTGTTATAATAAAGAAGGTAGTCTGTAGGGAGAAGAGTACAGCTTCTCACTGTGGAAGAACAGAAGCAAATTAGTTTCTTTAGGGAATGAACAGCAGCTTACTGCCTTGAAATGTGAATTATATGTCATCATAACACTCATAGAAGCTGGACCTCAAAAGGTCTCAAGTGACCTCTCCAGGCCTCAAACATCGAATTATTTCTTCCTTGAAAACTTCTCATCCACTGTCCATTGTTGGGGTTCACAAAATGTTACCCCAGAATATGGCATTTTGACATGCTGAACTGAAGATGCCTCAAGGTCTCTCTGACCTCTCCCCCAACCACTTCTCCCAAAGAAGTTGAAGTTCATTTATCTGCCTAAGATCCAGACCCATAAGGGAGAAAAATTGTTTTTTTTTCTTCTCCTCCCTGTAAGACCAAGAATGTAACCACGCCTAAACAGATCTTTTCACAAGATAATACAGTTGATCTCTGTTCCCTGATCCACTCATTCTCTCTAGTATTCCCCTCAACAGAATTGCTTTCCTACCCTGTCCCGTAACCTGTTTTGCCAAGAAGATTATGTGCTTCTGAATCCTCTTGGGGATGGAGTAATCACTCTGATTCTCTCCATTTGCATGTTAAATATATTTGGATGCTTTTTCTCCAATTAATCTGCCTTTTGTGAGTTGATGGTTCAGTGAACCTTCAGCGGCCCAAGAGGAAAGCTTTCTCTCCACCCCTATGCCATCATGATGCTGCACTTTTCCAGTTCACCTGTTTCTCTGACTCTTTCATCTGTCTCTTCCATTCCTTTTTTTTTCTTTTGTGGTAGACTACATATAGATTTGAATTTCTGTGCTACAGATTACTAGCTGTGTAATCCTAAGAAAAATCGTTAACCTCTTGGAGACTGAATTTTCTTATCAGTAAAATGATAATGACAGACAATCAGGGAAACTGAGAAGTGC
Organism: Homo sapiens; assembly: GCF_000001405.40. Classification (NCBI taxonomy): domain Eukaryota; kingdom Metazoa; phylum Chordata; class Mammalia; order Primates; family Hominidae; genus Homo; species Homo sapiens. Next base: position 21,963,640 of record NC_000011.10, on the reverse strand, counting down.
CTAACATAGTGCAAAGCTTATTATATGCTGCTTTAAAGAAAAACTGTAGACAAATTAAATTTGATAGAGTATATGTGAACAAAGAAATATACATATACACAAACTATATATATGTACACATACCTATATAGGTACACACACACATATATGTATGTATATATATAGTCATCCAGGAATTTCCTTTATTTATATATACATATATGTGTGTGTGTGTATATATATATATAAATATATATGTATATGTGTATATATATGTATATGTATATATATTGGGCAGCACTCAGAACCAGAAGAAGTTCAGAGAGCTCTGTGCTCTCCTCTGTAGCATGTGCAGTGAGCTTTTAAAGATGGAATATGGAAGAAAAGAAGAGAAAGTACTTGGCTGGCTACAACTAGACTTCGCCTAGACTTTGCCTTATTTGGGTATTATCTGGTGGAAAGTCCCTAGTTAGAGGTTAGTTTGCAGTTTATGAATTATTAAGTTTTGTTTTACTGTTTACATTGAATTGAGTTTTGGTTTGCTTATCTCGAAGTTCTTATTACAGAAACAACCTCTGGCTAATGGCTTCCTCTTCATTAGATTTAATAGCTGTCAGTAAATGTGCCTTCCTAGATATATTGTGTACAGTTGACCTATCTAAAAGCAATTCCTTTTATTGCTTATATCACCTAACCCTACATACACATAGCTAAATTTTTTTTTCTTCTTCTTCTTTGTTTTTTGTTTTTTGTTTTTTTTTTTTGAGACAGTGGCTAGCTCTGTCACCAAGCTGGAGTGCAGTGGCTCACTGCAACCTCAACTTCCCAGGCCCAAGTGACCCTCTTGCCTTGGGCTCCAAGTAGTTAGGATCACAGGTGTGTGCCACTTTATACCCAGCTAATTTTAAAAATTTTTTGTAGACATGGGGTCTTGCTATGTTTTCTTGGCTGGTCTTGAATGACCAGACTCAAGCAATCCTGCCTCAGCCTCCCAAAGTGCTGGGATTACAGGCATGAGCCACCATGCCCAGCCAACTTACAAATTTCTTTCACAACTCCTTTCTCACATGAATGTCATATTAACTTGTCAAACCAAGCAGGACAGATATATAATTCCCAAGTGATAAGCGATAATGACAAGGTTAAAAGGCTTTTGTAAAACGTCATCACAAATGAAATCAAAAGCAGTAATTGGAATCAGAGTCCCTTGCTTTCTGATCTTGGGTATTTTCTCCCATACTGTGCCAACTTTCTCTCAGATGCCTTCAGGAAACATTTCCCTCATTCAGGTACCCGAAAAACTTTAACAGATTTACGATTTTGATTTTGTTACACAGCACACCCTGTGTGGAGTAGTTCAAGCCTACTGATTTATCTTCTGACAAAACATTTGGAATTATATGGCTTTGAGTAACTAGCCTAGGTTGGTAGGTATTTAATATATTCTGCACACATCATCCTGCTTCTTGCTTATGCTGTTGTTAGTCCTGATTTGCTATACTGTCAAACTCCTTGATTTTACAAACTTGTCTCCTCACGTAGGGTATGTGGTGAGAATAACCCAAGTATGGTTACCACATTTCCCATTGAATGTATTTGTTCTCTTGGACTCACAACAGTTCTTTTCAGCTATGGTTGCATTTTTCAACATAAAAGTGCTGTCATCTGGTAATTTCCTTAACCAAATTTTAGCTCCTAAAAAGCTAAGAGAAATAGTTGGGAATGGTGTTTGGGATGTGTTTCCATTCCTATTTTACTTCCCTTGCAAAAATATAACATGTGTAGCAGGGGAAATACCTTCTTCTAGAAAGAGTAAATGAATCAGTGAACCTAGAGGATTCTGGCTCTAAGAGCTTAAATCAATCATCCTTCGGAGACTTAGCTATTTCTCTAAAGTGAAGATCTGAATAACTGTTCTAATAACCTTGGATGATTTGTTTCAGTTCCAGAGACAGAAAAGAATGAGAATGTTTTGTAAACACTACATTACTTCACAAAGTGTGGAGTATCTTCACAACTAGAAAAAAACCTGAAGCCAGTTTCCTGAATCAGATAGTTTAGATTTGAATTTTGACTGAATAGTTTACTAGGTGTACAATTTTGGGCAAGTTGATTAGTGTCTCTATGTTACCCCCACCTCCAATATTTTTATTTGTTAAATAGATATTAGAAATATAGTAAGAGTAATTATAAGGATGTTATAAGAATCAAATTAGATAATATAGGGAACGTACCTGGAGAGATGAAAGGCCTATAGTAAGTGCTCAATAAACACAAGCATCCAAGTCACATGGTCACTTTTATAAGGAGGAAATTTGTGCCTAGAGTAGAAAAAATTAACATAGAAATCTTCAATTGTTAAGTGTTTCAAGATTTATATAAACTTCTCCCAGATAAGATGATGTCTGCTGAAGTCTAGGGAACACTTACATGTAGGTTTTCTAACACTTTCCGTCTAGAACCACAGCATCCACAGGTGAAAATACTGAGGTGGAAGCAAATAGAAAATAGCCATAGGGAACATGAAGAAGTTCCCTGTAACAACCGCTTAGACATTTGCTTGGGAACAGTTCTGTACTCAACAATACTTCATGTCATCGAATCTTTAGTACCATGGTGCAATTAGAAATCTTAAAGCTTATACAGAAAAAGCTTAGACTGACCTATTTAACAGGTTGGCATACTTTCAATTAAACATAGTAGAATATTCTATAATTTACATTTTTCTAAAATTGGTAGGTACAAAGTAAAATTATTTGTACTTGAAAGTAAAATATTTAAGAATCTACGAAGGTTAGAAATAAAATGGACCTTCCTTATCATTTCAAGACTAGGTAGCCATTTGCCTAAATATCAAATCAAGTTAGAGCAAGAGCCTAGCTCTTCTTGAGTGCATGCCAAGTGATAATTGCAGCATGTCATTTGTTGCTAGACATGCTTATCTGACATTAGTAAATTTTAATTCTGGTTTTAATTGTGAATATCAAGATTTAACCTATCTGAACTTTATCTTTCAATTTCCTCACTTGTGAAATGGGAACATTACTTCTCTGTTACCTAAGGATGTCTCCCACCTTAGTATCTAATCCGTGAAAAAGGAATTAAAGTTTATGTTTTCCATCAATGAACATGTTTTTGCATTAATTCTCAGCTATAAAATTGACATTCAGAAAAATGTATACACCATCTTTATAGCTGAACCAAACATTTTCTACTGTCCTTAATTGATGCCATGTTTTATTTTGTTGTTCATAATATACATATACACAGAGAGCTTAATATCATGCCATGAGTGGATCTCAGAACTTCTTTGAAAGACAAACTCTATTTACTTCTATCCCTTTATTCTCTCATCTTGGTCTCATGAGACATACTGGACCATTTTCAAGGTCCCAGCAAACCTTCTTCACTCTCATTGCTAGATAATGACTCATTGCTAGATAATGACTCAACTTAGAATAATTTTTCAGAAGACCTTTCTTTACCTCCTTTTTACCCTCAGCATCATGGACTTGATCTAACATAGCATTTATCACGGTGAACTGTTATTAACAGGTATACCTCATTTTATTGTACTTCTGAGATAGTGTTTTTTATTTTACAAATCAAAGATTTGGGGCAACCCTATGTCTAACAAGGCTATTGTCACCATTTTTCCAACACGTGCTCACTTTGTGTCTTTGTGTCACATTTTAATAGTTCTCACAATATTTCAAAGATTTTCATCATTATATCTGGTACAGTGATCTATGAGCAGTGATCTTTGATGTTACTATTCTAATTGTTTTGAGGCACCACTAACTGCTCCCACATAAGACAATGAACTTAATCAGTAAGTATTGGATGTTTTATGACTGCTCCACTGAAAAGCTATTTCTCCAACTCTCTCCCTCTCTTTGGGCTTCCCTATTCCCTGAGATACAAAAATATTGAAAGTACACCTCTAAATGTTCAAGTGAAGGGAAGAAACACATATCTCTCATTTTATTTTGTTTAGTTTTTAATTTTAATTTTGGTCTTTACATAGTAGGTATTTGTATTTATGGGGTACATGAGATATTTTAAAATAAGCATGCAATGTGTAATAATTACATCATGGAAAATGAGGTATCCATTTCCTCAAGCATTTATCCTTTGTGTTACAAACCATTCAATTATACTCTTAGATATTTTTAAATGTACAATTAAATTATTATTGGTTATACCCACCCTGTGTGCAATCAAATACTAGCCTTGTTCATTCTTTCTATCCTTTCTGTACCCATTAACCATGTCCACCTTCCCATGATACCCCCAACTGCCCTTCCCATCCCTTGGTAATCATCCTTCTTCTCTCAGTCTCCATGAGTTCAATTGCTTTGATTTTTAGATTCCACAAATAAGTGAAAACATGTAATGTTTGTCTTTCTGTGCCTGGCTTATTTCACTTAGAATAACGACCTCCGGTTTCATCCATGTATTATTCATTACGGCTGAATAGTACTCCATTGTGTATAAGTACTACATGTTCTTTATCCATTTATCTGTTAATGGATACTTAGTTTGCTTCTAACTTTTGACTATTGAAACACGGCTACAACATACATGAGAGCGCAGATATCTCTTTGATATACTGACTTTCTTTCTTTTGGGTGTATACCTAGCAGTGGGATTGCTGGATCTTAAAGTAGCTCTATTTTTAGATTTTTGAGGAGGCTCCAAACCATTCTCTGTAGTGGTTGTGTTAGTTTAAATTCCTACCAAGAGTGTAGGAGGGTTTCCTTTTCTCCACATCCTTATCAGCATTTATTACCTGTCCTTTGTATACAAGCCATTTTAACTGGGGTGAGATGATATCTTGTAGTGTTGATTTGTATTTCTCTGATGAACAATGATGTTGAGCACATTTTCATATGACTGTTTGTCATTTGTATGTCTTTTTTTTTTGAGAAATGTGTATTCAAATCGTTTGCCCATTTTTTTTATAATAAATTATTAGATTTTTTCCTATAGAGTTGGTTGAGCTCCTTATATATTCTGGTTATCAATTCTTTGTCTGATGGGTAGTTTGCAAATGTTTTATCCAATTCTGCGGACTGTCACTTCACTTTGTTGATTGTTTCATTTGCTGTGCAGTAGGTTTTCAACTTGACATGATCCCATTTGTCCAGTTTTTGCTTTGGTTGCCTGTGCTTGTGGCGTATTATTCAAGAAATTTTTGTCCGGACCGTGTCCTGGATAATTTCCGCAATGTTTTCTTGTAGTAGTTTCACAGTTTGAGATCTTATATTTAAGTATTTAATCCATTTTGATTTGATTTTTGTATGGCAAGAGATAGAGGCCTAGTTCCTTTCTTCTGCATGTGGATATCCACTTTTCTTAACACCATTTATTGAAGAGACTCTTCAATATGTTCTTTTCACCTTTGTTGAAAATGAATCTCCTGTGAGTGTGTGGGGTTTCTTCTGGGTTCTCTATTACATTTCATTGGTCTATGTATTTGTATTTGTAACAGTACCACACTGTTTAGGTTACTATTGCTCTATAGTATAATTTGAAGTCAGGTAATGTGATTCCTTCAGTTTTGTTCTTTTTGTTTAGGCTATCTTTGGCTATTCTGGGATTTTTTTTTTCTGTTTCTGTGTAGAATGTCATTGGTATTTTGATAAAAATGGCATTGAATATGTAGATTGCTTTGGGTAGTATGTACATTTTAACAATATTGATTCTTCCAATCCATGAACATGAAATATCCTTCCATTCTTTGGTGTCCTCTTCGATTTTGTTTATGAGTGTCTTATAGTTTTCATTGTAGAGATATTTCATTTGTTTGGTTAGTTTCTAGATATTTAATTTTATTTGTGGCTATTGTAAATGGGATTACCTTTAAAATTTTTTTTCAGATTGCTCACTGTCAGCATGTAGAAATGCTACTGATTATTGTATGTTGACTTTTTATTCTGCAACTTTACTGAATTTGCTTATCAGTTCTAATAGATTCTTGTGGAGTTTTTAGGTTTTTCCAAATATAACATCATGTCATTTTCAAATCTAACGTCATGTCATCTCCAAACAAGCATAATTTGACTTCTTTCCCAAGCTGGATGCCCTTTATTTCTTTTTGTTGTCTGATTGCTCTAGTTAGGATCTCCAGTAATGTGTTGAATATCAGTTATGAAAGTGAGCATCCTGTCATATTTCAGGTCTTAGAGGAAATGTTTTCAGTTTTTTCCTCTTCAGTATGATACTAGCTGTGATCTGTCATATATGGCTTTTATTATGTTGAAGTATGTTTGTTTTATCCTGTTTTTTGAGTTTTTTTTTATCATGAAGGGATGTTGAATTTTATAAAACACTTTCAGTATCAATTGAAATGATCATTTTTTTTCTTTTTGTTGATATGAAGTATCACATTGATTGATTTGCATATGTTGAACCACACTTGCATCCCAGGGATAAATCCCACTTGGTCATAATGAATGATCTTTTTATTTCATTATTGAATTCAGATTGTTAGTACTTTATTAAGAATTTTTCAATCAATATTCATCAAATATATTAGCCTATAGTTTTCTTTTTTTGATGTGTCTTTATGTGGTTTTGGTACCAGGGTAATACTGGCCTTCCAGAATGAGTTTGGACTATTTCTTTCTTCTATATTTTTTGGAATAGTTTAAGTAGGATTTCTTTAAATGTTTGGTAGAATTCAGCAGTGAAGTCATCAGGTCCCAGACTTTTCTTTACTGGGAGACTTGTTATTATGGCTTAGATCTCATTACTTGTTATTGGTCTGCGAGGGTTTTGAATTTCTTCATGGTTCAATCTTGGTAGGTTGTATGTGTTTGGGGATTTGTCCATTTCTTTTGGAGTTTTCTATTTATTTACATGTAGTTGCTCACAGTAGCCACTAAACAATCTTTGAATTTCTGTAACATCAGTTATCGTGTCTCCTTTTTCATCTCTGATTGTATTTATTTTGATCTTTTTTTTCTTCATTTTCTGGCTAAAGGTTTGTTAAAAGGTTTGTTAATTTTTGTTAACTTCAAAAAAACAACTTTTCATACCATTGATCTTTCCTATAACTTTCTTCATTTTGATCGTATTTATTTTTACTCTGATCTTTATTATTTCTTTTCTTCTACTTATTTTGAGTTTGATTTGCTCTTGTATTTATAGTTCCTTAAGTTGCAGCATTAGGTTTCTATCTGAATTTTTTCTTCTTTTTTGATGTAAACCTTTATAGCTATAAACTTTCCTCTTAGTACTGCTTTTGTTGTATCTCATAGGTCTTGGTATGTTGTGCTTCCATTGTCATTTGTTTCAAGAAATTTTTCAGTTTCCTTCTTAATTTCTTCACTGATCCACTGGTCATTCAGGAGCATATTGTTTAATTTCCATGTATTTATATTTTTCCAAAATTCTTCTTGTTATTGATTTATAGTTTTATTCCATTATAATCAGAGAAGGAGCTTAATGTTATTTCCACTTAAAAAATGTTTTGAGACTTGTTTTGTGACTTAATATATAGTCTATTCTCATATATAGCTGTTAGACGAAATGTTCTGTAAATATCTTTTAGGTCAATTTGTTATATAGTGTAGATTAAGTCCACTATTCTCTTTGCTAGTTTTCTGTCTGAAAGATCTTTGCATTGTTGAAAGTTGGGTGTTGAGGTCTCCAGATATCATTGTATTAGGGCCTATTTCTCTCTTTAGCTCTAATAATATTTTCTTTATATATCTTGGTCCTCCAATGTTATGTACCTATAAATTTTAAATGATTATATCCTCTTGCTGCATTGACCTCTTTATTATTATATAGTGACTTTCTTTGTCTCTTCTTATAGTTTTTGTCTTGAAATCTATTTTGTCTGATATAAAAGTATACTACTCCTGTTCTTTTCAGTTTTATTGGCATGGAATAAGTTTTTCCATCTCTTTATTTTCCATCTGTATGTGAAGTATGTTCTTTGTAGGTAACAGATCACTGGGTCTTCTTTTTTTTTTTTTTTGTCCATTCAGCCACTCCGTGTCTTTTGAGTGGAGAGTGCAGCCCATTTACACCCAATGATGTTATTGATTAGTTAGGACTTATTCTTTCCATTTTGTTATCTGTTTTCTTGTTGTTTTGTGGCCTTCTCTTTCTTCCTTCCCATCTTCCTTTTGTGAAGGTGATTTTGCCTGGTGATATAATTAAATTTCTTGCTTTTTTGTGTGTGTATCTGTTACATGGTTTTTGCTTTAAGGTTACAAATAGTAACCTTTGCTTTGAAGCTTGCAAATAGAATATTATAACCCATTATTTGCAGCTAATAACAACACTGTTTGCAATACAAACACACAAATAAGCAAAAAGGAAACAAATAAAGACTCCATGCCCTAATTTTATCCGTCCGCTTTTTAACTTTTTGTTTTTTTCCTATTTATATCTCATTGTACTGTGTATTTCTTGAAAAGTTGTTGTACTTATTACATTTGATTGGTTCATTAAGCCTTTCTACTTAAGACAAGAGTAGTTTACACATCAGAGTTACAGTGTTATAATATTCTGTGTTCTTTTGTGAACTTACTATTACCAGTGAGTTTAGCACTTTCAGGTGATTTCTTATTGTTCTTTACTGTGCTTTTCCTTCTGATTGAAGCACTCCCTTTAGCATTTCTTCTGAGACAGGTCTGATATTGATGAAACCCCTCAGCCTTTGTTTTTCTGGGAAAGTCTTCATTTCTCTTTCATGTTTGAAGGATAGTTTCACTGGATATGCTATTCTGAGGTAAGAATTTTTATTTCTTCAGCACTTTAAATATGTCATGCAACTCTCTCCTGGCCTGTAAGGTTTCCAGTGAGGAATCTGCTGCCAGACATATTGAAGCTCTGCTGTATATTATTTGTGTCCTTCCTCTTGATGCTTTTAGGATCCTTTCTTTATCGTTGACCTTTGGGAGTTTGATTGCTAAATGCCTTGAGGTAGTCTTATTTGGGTTAAATCTTCTTGGTATTCTATAACCTTCTTGTACTTGGATATCGATATCTTTCTCTATGTTTGGGAAGTTCTCTGTTATTATCTCTTTGAATAAACTTTCTATATCTATCTCCTTCTCTACCTCTTCTTTATGTTCAAAACCTCTTAGATTTGCCTTTTTTGAAGCTATTTTCTAGATCTTGTAGGTGTCCTTCATTGTTTTTTATTCTTTTTCTTTTGTCTTCTTAGACCGTGTATATTTTCAAGTAGCCTGTCTTCAAGTTCACTAATTCTTTCTTCTGCTTGATTAAATCTGCTATTAAGTCTCTGATGCATTCTTCAATATTCCAGTTGCATTTTCAGCTCCAGCATTTCTGCTTGATCTTTTAAATTATTTTAATATCTTTGTTAAATTTGTCTCATATAATTCTGAATTCCTTATCTGTGTTATCTTACAGTTTTTTGTTTTCCTCAAAATCATTATTTTGAATTTTCTGTCTGAAAGGTCACATATCTCTGGTTCCCCTGGATTGGTCTCTGGGGTCTTATTTAGTGCTTTTGGTGAGGTCGTGTTTTCTGGATGGTCTTGATACTTGTAGATGTCCTTTAGTGTCTGGACCTTGAAGGGTTAGGTATTTATTGTAGTCTTCTCAATCTGGGCTTGTTTGTACTCATCCTTCTGGGAAAGGCTTTCTAGATACTCAAAAGGACTTGGGTGTTGTGATCTAAGCTGCATCTGTTTTAGGGGAAACCCCAAGCTCACTACACTGTGGTTCTTGCAAACTTCTACATGTATTGCCTTGACGATCTTGGGCAAGATCTGGAAGACTTCTCTGGATTACCAGGTAGAGATTCTTGTTCTCTTCCCTTATTTTCTCCCAAACAAAGCCCCTCTCTCTGTTCTGAGCCACCTGGAGCAGAGGGTGGGGTGACACAAGCACCCCCATGGCCACAACCACTAGGACTGTACTGGATGAGATGTAAAGCCAGCATAACCCTGGGTCTTGCCCAGTGCTTACTGTAACCATTGCTTGTCTATGACCTATGTTTACTTCAGGACTTGGGGCTCTATAATCAGCAGGTGGCAAAGCCATCCAGGCCTGTGTCCTTCCCTTCAGGGTGATGAGGTCTGCTAGGCTCTAGGCAGGTCCAGAGGTGGCAGCTGTGAGCCATAAACTATAGTCAAAAACCTTAGAAGTCCACCTAGTATTCTATTGTACTGAATTTGAGCTGGCATTCAAACCAAAAGATGCCATCCTTCCCACTCTTCCTTCCCCTTTCCAAAGGCAGAGGAGCTTCACTCCATGGCCACCACTTCCACAGGCCACAGGAGGTAATGTCAGACTACTACCAATGTTCTCTTAAGTCCCAAGGGCTCTCCAGTAAGCTTGTGAATGCTGCCTGACCTAGCACTCACCCTTCAGGGCAATGAGCTCCCCTCTGGCCTAGGGCAGGTCCAGAAATGTCCAAAAGCCAAGTCCTAGAATCAGGGACCCTAAGAGCCCACTTGGTGCTCTTATGCCCCTATAGCCAAGCTGGTACCTAAGGTATAAGACAAAGTCTCCTTAAATTTTTCCTACACCTTTCTCAAGTGGAAAGAGTTTCACTCCATAGCCACTGTATCTGGGAATGTGCTGAGTCTCATCTGAAGCAAGCAAGTTTCAGAGTCTCATCCAATGCCCTTGGCATAGTGCCTGGGTATCACTGCTGGTTATTCAAAGCCCAAGGACTTCCCAGTTAGCAGGTGATGAATTCTAACAGTACTGGATCCTTGCCTTCCATGCACCAGGTTCCTTAGTCCCCTTTACTTTTCCCTCCACTTTTCTCAATGGGAAGGAATCTCACCCCGTAGCCACCACATCTGAGAATGTGCTCAGTCTCACCTGAAGACAGCAAGTCTCAGAGTCTCACTCAAAGCCCTTGATGTAGTATTGGGTATTCCTGCTGGCTATTTGTACCAAGGCCTTTTCAATTAGCAGGTAATTAATCCTGCCAGTACTGTGTCCTTCCTTTTGAGTCAGCAGGTTCCCTTCTGGCCCAGCATGTTTCTAGAAATGTAGTCTGTGAATTAGGGCCTAGAAACGGGGCCTCATGGCTCTGACCACTGCTCCATCCTGCTGTGGCTGAGCTGGTATCCAAGGTGCAAGACAAAGTCCTTCCCACTCTTCCTTCTTCTTTCCTCAGGCAGAGAGAAGGGGACTTTTTTGGAGCCATGAGCTGTGTAGCGTGGAGTTAGGGGAGGGGTGATGCCGGCACTCCCTTAGCAGCCTTGGCTGATGCTTCAGTAGGTCTCATGGCCCCCTCATCCACTGGCTCTGGGCCCAGTTCAGCACTTGGGACTTGCCACAGAACTGCAGCTCCTGTGGCCTAGACTACCCTTCAGGTTTATGCAGAACCACAGAACACTCTAGACTTCAGGGGCAAGGCTTGCAAGAACTTAAGTTCTGACCACTGGCATGGTTGACTCCCCTAGCTAGGGCTGGTTTAAACCCGTGGGTGACTGTCAGCTTAGTTTGGTCCTGTTTTGTTTTTTGTTATAATAGGGCAGCACTGAGTACAATGCCACATATTTTCTGTGCTTCCCCTCTCCCCAGTGCACAGAAACACTCTCCACACCATGCCACCACTGCTGGGGGATGGAGGAGAGGTGCCATTGGCAATTCAGGACTGTTTTTGTTACCTCTTCAGTGTCTCTTTCAGCAATATGAGGTTAAAATCAGGTACTGTGAGTGGTCACTCGATTTTTCGTTCTTATGGAGGTGCTTTTTTTGTGTGTGTGTAGATAATTGTTAAATTGGTGTCCTTGTAGTGGCAGGGGGATGATTGGTGGAACCTTCTATTCTACCATCTTGCTCCATTCCCACACATCTCACACTTCAAACAAAAAGCTAGAAATAACTAAACATAATGAAGATGGCATGTTAAAAGCTCAGATAGGCCAAAAGCTAAGTGTCATGTGCCAATCAGCAAAATTATGAATGCAAAATAAAAGTTTTTTTTTTTTAATTAAAAGTGCTACTTGAATGAACAACAAATAAAAGAAAGCTAAACAGTGTTATTGCTGACATGGAAAAAGTTTTATTGGTCTTAATGAATCAAACCACTCACAACATTCCCTTAAGCCAAAGCCTAACCCAGAACAAGGGTCTAAGTCTTGTCAATTCCATGAAGGTTGAGAGAAGTAAGAAAGCTGCAGAAGAGGTTGAAACTATCAGACCTTGGTTCAGGAGGTTTAAACAAAGAAACCGTTTTCATAAAAGAAAAATGCAAGGTTATACAGCAAGAGCTGATTTAGAAGCTGCAGCAAGTTATCCAGAAAATCTAGCTAGGAAAATTGATGAAGGTGGCTACACTAAACAACAGATTTCCAATATAGACAAAACAGCCTTATATTATGAGATGATACCATCTAGGACTTTTACAGCTAGAGAGAAGTCAATTGCCTGGTTCCAAGCTTCAAAGGTTTACTCCCTTGTTAGGGGTTAATGCTGCTGTTAACTTTAAGCTGAATTCAGTGTTTACTTACCATTCTGAAAATGCTAAGGTCCTTAAGAATTTTGCTAAATCTACTCCACCTGTGTTCTATAAACGGAAGAACAAAGTCTTGGTGACAACACATCTGTTTACATCATGACTTACTATATATTTTAAGCCTTCTATTGAGACCTGCTTCTCAGAAGTTTCTGTTCAAAATATTACTTCTCATTGACAATGCAGCTAGTCACCCAAGGGCTCTGATGGAGATGTACATGAAGATTAATGTTATTTTCATGTCTGCTAACACAATATCCATTCTGTACCTCATGGATCAAGGAGTAATCTCAATTAGTAAGTCCTCTTATTTAAGAAATACATTTTGTTAGGCTATAGCTGCCATAGTGATTCACTAGAGCTACCATAGTGATCAGGGCAAAGTAAAGTGAAAACCTTCTGGAAAGAATTTATTATTTTAGAGGCCATTAAAAACATTCATGATTCACGGTACGAGATCAAAATACTAACAGGAACAACAGTTTGGAAGAATCTGAGTTCAATCCTTGCTGATTGAAAGTTTTTGAGAGGTTCAAGACTTCAGTAGAGAAAGTAACTTTAGATGTTGTGAAAACAGGAAGAAAACTAGATTTAGAAGTGAAGTCTGAAGATGTGACTGAATTGCTTCAATCTCATGATAAAACTGGAATAGATGAGTAGTTTCTTCTTATGCATAAGCAAGGAAAATGGTTTCTTGAGATAGAAGCTAGTTTTGGTGAAGAGCCTGTGAACACTGTTGAAATGACGACAAAAGGCTTAGAATATTACATAAACTTAGTTGACAGTGGCAGGGTTTGAGATAATACATTCCAATTTTGAGAGAAGTTCTACTCTGGGTAAAATGCTATCAAACTTTTCATCACACGCTACAGAGAAAACTTTTCTGAATGGAAGAGTCAATCGATGTAGTGACCTTCACTGTTATCTTAAGAAATTGTCACAGTCATCTCAACCTTTAGGAGCCACCAGACTGATGAGTCAGCAGCCATCAATACTGAGACAAGAACCTTCACCAGAAAAAAGATGATGACTTGCTTAGGGTTCAGATGTCCATTAGCATTTTTAAGAATAAAACATTTTTAAATTAAAATATGTGCATTTCTAGACATAATGCTACTGAATACCAAGTAAACTATAATATAATATAAACATAACTCTTACATGTGCTGTAAAACAAACAAAAAAAATGTGTGACTCACTTTATTGCAATATTTGCTTTATTATGGTGGTCTGAAACTGAACCTGTAATATCTCTGAGGTATGACTTCATTTACTTATCTTTCTGCCAGATTGGAGCATGAACTCCCTGAGAGCAAACACTGTTTGAGCCAACACTGAACCACTAAAGCCTAGCACAGTGTCTGAAACATATTAGGGTCTCAATAAACATGTTAGGCCAGGCGAGGTGGCTCATGCCTGTAATCCCAGCACTTTAGGAGGTTGAGGTGGGTAGATCATGAGGTCAGGAGTTCAAGATCAGCTTGGCTGAGATGGTGAAACCCCCTTTCTACTAAAAATACAAAAAAAAAAAAAATTAGCCAGGTGTGGTGGTGGGTGCCTGTAATCCCAGCTACTCGGGAGGCTGAGGTAGAGAATTGCTTAAACCCGGGAGGCAGAGGATGCAGTGAGCTGAGATCGCACCACTGCACTCCAGCCTGGGCGACAGAGTGAAACTCCATCTCAAAAACAAAACAAAACAAAACAAAACAAAAATATGTTAAATAAAAATGTGGACGAATATGAACACATCAGGAATTGAGAATAGTTAGTTGTCCCCCATTGGAATTTTAGGGAGTCAGGTCCCATTAAATAATTTTCTAGAAAAAAAATGATTACTGTCTCTATTCTTACTGTTCCCCTATTTATTGATGCATCCTTTATCCATCAATAGGAATATGAGCTGAACTTGTGATGGGGTGCAATGGCAGAAGTAATCTTAATGGCTCAGGTTGTAGAATAGAGAGGTAGATTAATCCAAGCAAGCAATATATATCCATATCTGAAGATACTGAGGGTAGGACTTGTATATATTTTGCAATATAAATGATTCTGACCTGCATGAGCATGTAGCTGTTTTCCTGGATGGGGAAGTTGGAGGGAGTGACGGATGCTCTTTTGGAGCTATGCACTCCCACACAGAATTGACAGAGTAAACAAACACATTATCTGGTTCAACAGGTCTGGGGTTAGGCAGCTCAATTACTATAATGTTGTAACTCCATAGCCTTCATTTTTTTTCAACTGTATGATACAGGTGGAAGTTACTAGAGAGCAGATTACTTTGATTACTACCCAAGAAGTTTGTAAGATGGAGCAGTTTCGTGAAATGGTGTGATTTCATGAAAGACTTGGGGATGCTACTTGACTTTTCTTGCTTTTAAAATAGAATCCTACTTGGTCTCCTGAAATTTTTTTCTATAGATTATGAATTTTTGGACTACAAAACCAAGCTACACTTAAACACATCCCATAAGAACTTGAAGTATGTCAATTCTATCTTTCTGACAGGAAGAGATATTTAAGCTTCCATAAGAAGTCAATGTAAAGGTTATTATATTCTGTAGGTTGAAGTGCGTTACCCTATAGGAACCTTTAAAATAAGGGCATATCATTTCAATTAACTTTTTAAAAAATATACTTATTCCATATATGTCTTAACTGAAGCCAGCAAACAACAATTCTTTAATAATCAAGCTTTAGAAATGGGAGTTGAAGTATTTTTTACTTATGAGAAATATCTCAGTGAGCTAATGATCAAGGTGGAATTGGAACAAAAGCTTCTGCTTGCCTATTTCTCATCTGCTAGACCATGATACAGTTATCACCACTATCACTGATGATGATAGCTGGTTAGTCTAATAGCATGAAGATTTAAAATGTCTCGCTATATTTAAATCCTCACAATGTCATTTTTCTTTCTAAGATGTCCTAGCAGAAAGTTTTCTTAAAGAATCAGGTAGGCTTCTATTTAAAAAGTTGCACGTAGTAGATAAAGTGACAGGGAGGAAACCTAGAGTTAAATTTGGCTTATTTGTGAGTATAGGGCTCCCTACAGCCAAGTGTGAATTAAAACTCTATCCAAAGCCCTGCATTTTGGAACCCCATCTATGCTTGACTCATTCCACAACACTGGTATTGAGATCACTCTCCATTAAGTGCAGTTGGGAATCAGCTATTAAACCTTGTTCAGAAGTTATAAGCCAATCTGGAAAACCAGGAAAGGGAGCATACAAGCTACTTCACAGAGAAAATCCTACTAGAGCTCAGAGTTTCTGCTTTAATTGGAGCCATAATTATGGAAGTCATAATTATGTGGGGAAAAACAAATCAAAACAAACTTAACTTTTGGATTTTTTCACTTTGACCCATTGGCTAGCTTACCTAGAAATGAACTCTTGAATTTAAGTGATTTTTTTTTTAAGGCTGGAGAGACTTTATTATAAGGTTCCTGGGGTGTATGATGCCATCACTTGGTCACAGGAATTATACTTTATTAACAAAGAAAGCTAAAATCTCAAAGTTGGTGCGGTAGGAAAGGAGAAAGAGGCTTTGAAGTGCATGCTTTGATAAATGTAGAAATGCCCTCTTCTAGAACTTCTTTTTTTATATTTAGTCCACTGGTTCAAGAGCTTTAGTTTACCATCTCTAAAGCTTATATATTTACACAATTTCCCTCCACAATGTAATTTGTTCCAGAATGTGTTGCCTACCTCTTATTCAAAATCTTTTTACTCAGTGTTATGATCCAGTGTCATTCCCCTGCTACACTGCACTTCATATCTTATCTTGCTATTTTCTCCAAATGAGCAAATTGCCTCTGTCTCCTTCGATGTCATTTTATAGTGTCCTATGTACAGTTTTACTATTTTTCTTATGTTGGAAAGAATCATTCTATCGACTTTTTTATGCCTTTGGAAACTGTTCAGGAGACCTAACTTGTCACCTCTATAAGCCAATGGATGAGATGAAGGATCTTAGTGTGTCTGAACTGCAGGGTACTTAGAATTCCCAAATCCTTTTTCTTTTATGGATGAGGTAACAGGATCCTAGAGGAGGCCATTGACTTGCTGAATGAGAACAAATGCATTAACTGCAAAACAAATGCTTGCACTCAGTTTTCCAACTCCTGTATTTTTCTGAATTTGACTCTGAAACTGCACAATAAATAAACATTCTATTAAAACTCATTTTCCTTAATTCTGTATTGTCATAATAGATTAAAAACAAGAGGCATTGCTTCTTCCTTTTTATCAACAATAAGCAATATGTGATGATAAGGTGATACGATTTTTTAACGAACAAACTTATCAGACTTCATACATGATATAAGCCACAAGTTTCTAGGTAGATCTTTTAGAAGTCTGTACAATTATTCAAGTGGTGTGGATTTTGCTTAGAATATTGTTTAACATGCAGATGATTCAAGGACTGTGAATATTTTGAACAGAAAAGAGAACTGTTTCTAATGCCTCTGAGGTTCTGCCACTAACAGATGGGTTATATTAGGATGAGGAGAGGTTTTCCATCTTCTCATGTGAAAAATACACAGCTGGACCAGGAAGGGATAAAGGAAAAACTCTTTTTCTTCTTCTGCTCCTTATCATTAGTGACTTTCTATAAGGCAAACATAGTTATGTTAGTAAAAGAGCTAGTGAGGTCACTTGCTTGGGCCTTCAATATAATTATTATAAATATAGTGAGAAATGTAACTGAACACGTATGAGATGTTTCTGAAATGTATATGTAATATTTTATATAAAGAATGAGTTAAGGCAGTGCGTGGTGGCTCATGCCTGTAATCCCAGCACTTTGGGGGGCCGAGATGGGCGGATCCCCTAAGGTTGGGAGTTCGAGACCAGCCTGACCAACATGGAGAAACCCCGTCACTACTACAAATACAAAATTAGCTGGGTGTGGTGGTGTGCGCCTGTAACCCCAGTGACTCGGGAGGCTGAGGCAGGAGAATCACTTGAACCCAGGAGGTGGAGGTTGCGGTGAGCCAAGATCGTACCATCGCACTCCAGCCTGGGCAACAAGAGTAAAACTCTGCCAAAAAAAAAAAAAATAATAATTTAAATAAGAACAAGAGTGAAGATATATATTTTTTCAAGGCCAAACTTCAAAGTGGAAAATTACTATATATTCTTTAGTCTGAATCAAATCTGACAGCTGGAAATGCTATACTTTTAGGAGCTGCTCTTTTGGAACAGATATGAAGAGAGAAGCCTAAGAATTCAAGTCTGGATTTCCTGGAATTGAAACTTCCATGTAAAGAGCTGTCATTGAGTGGCCACTTTGTTTAATTTCAAATCTTATGACCTGGGAAAATGATAAGAGAATAAATCTCTGAGGTGAAGGTGTTTGTTTTATAGGGAAAAAAAATTAAAAATTTAAAAATTTATGTGCATGTGCATATATATATCTTTCCAAATTGTTTCTACCATTAGTGGACTCCAATGAATATAACTTAATAATCTTTTGGTTGATTAACACACATACAATTTCAAATTTATGTATTTTATAAAGTCTTCCTTTTGCATAATGGATAACAAAGATCATTCATCTGTTTAGTAGTGAGGAAGAAACCATATGTTAATTTTTCAGTTGGAGTTAGCATAAGAACATTGAGTAACAGAGAACAAGCTATTCTTGGATTTGAGGACTATCAGCTAGTTCAGAAATAATTTAGGTTAAGCTCTTTATTTTGTAGATGAAGATACTGACACCTGGAAAGATGATATGATTTTCCCAAGGTTACAGAGTTGGCTAGTTACACAGCTGGGATGAGTCTGCGTGTTTCAATGTTTTGTAGCAAAATCAGGTATATGTGTCTAGGTGTATGTATAGAGAAACTTAGGGTATGAGTGTGTACGTGTGCATATATATGTAATGATTTATCAGCCTGTATCATGTTATATGGTGTAGGGGGCCTTCAGAGTTTTGATGTACTGTGGGGAGGAATACATCAATAATCCATGAATGGGATTAGCAAGAATGGGAAAAGGATGAGAGAAAAAGGATTATCATATGAAAAGAAATATGCTTCAAAAAGGGAGGTGGGAAAGCTTCACAGATTTCACATCCTTGTCAGTACCTGTGCCCATCCACCCTTTACCAGGCTTTCTAGGCTTCTCAATTCCTCCTATACCTCAGACTACAAATTAGTGAGTTAAATTAAAGATTTTGCAGGTAACAAACCTGATACCTAGAAAGATTAAGTGACTTGCCCGATGTCACTATACAGTACCATTTTTAAAAGTGGTTCTGGAGCCTTCTCTCACCTTAGGGGTTGCAGCATAAGCCCTCATGGTCTGACTGGCCTTCCGGTATCCTGCGTGTAATGTCTACCCTGCCAATATCACTATTTTGGACTTTGTGTTTTTGTTTCCTCAGTCCAGCTGCTTGTTCTGTTGATGATACAGGAACTATTTCCTGTTGATATCCACTCAGAGGCAAAATCATGCTTTAAATAGAAGCACAAAAAATATGGGTTGAGTTTCCTTACTCTTTAGCATATGACTTTATTTTTCCATTAAGTGAACCAAAAAGTGCCACAACAGAATCTGAAAAAGGCTTCATAGACTTGGAAGCCAAGTGACGTGGGATCTACCCCTGGATCTGACTGACCTGAAGCAACCAGTTAATCTCTCTCAATCTCATCAATTAAATACATTAAATCAAAGGGTTGGTGTAAGGATAAAATGAAAAAATATATCTAACCTAGTATATAGTAGGCACTCAGTAAATATGTTATTTTTTCCTATCCTTTCCTGATGACTTCACAGGTTGTTTTGAGATTGGAATTATATAATTGACGTGAAGACATGTCAAAGAGTTGAAATACATTTAACAAGAATTAGGAATTGTTTTTATTTCTCTGATGTGGGAATGTTAAACATTGCCTTCTCTGAAATGGCATTTAAGAAAAGTCTTCTAGTTGTGAAGCAACTTTAATTCAAAGAATATTTGCCTACCAGATAAATACAGCAAATTACATAGTGAGAGGTGAGACTGAGGTTTTCTGTTTGGTCTATTGCTTCCCAACAAATATGGTAACGGTTCTGATGAGTTGTCCATATCTACAGTGTGCAGCCCCATCTATCTCGCCTGTCTTTGAACTTGAGAAACACTTTAATAAGGCCTATGCTTTTTGTGGAAAGGAATTTGCCTGTCAAGAAACCACTTGGTTTCTTGCTGTGCTGTGGAATTCCGTTTTATGTTCTGAACCCATCGTGTGTCCTGGGCTTCCAGTTATATTTATTTATTTACTTTTCATACTTGGGGGCTGGGCTTAGAGCACGAAAGCAGTCTTCATGTGCAGCCAGAGTGTTGGATTTTTACTGTCTCTCTTTTGAATATTTTTGGGTCATTAGGAATTATTACTGCAGGTGACTGGCTTGTAAAAATCACCATGACAATATTTCCTTGCATATTTGCCTCGTGCAATTATCCATATTTTTACCAGAAAAAAATTCTTAAATCATTCTTGTATATATTTGTGTGTGTGTGTTTTATAACAATAGCTAATGTTAACAAGATAAATTTCTCTGAGCAGAATATATATTATTTGTGCTAGAAAAGAGCAAAGATTAAAAGAAAGGGGTTGCCAAGAGCTGGGAGTTTGCTTTTGTCTCTTTCTCTTTATTTAATCCCTCAGCATCTCCTGTCTCTCTAATGGGAAATACAATTCTCTTTGATTGCAATAAAACTTTGGAGAACACAAAATCTAAAGGAAGAATGAAAGATGAGGCCGGGCGCGGTGGCTCACGCCTGTAATCCCAGCACTTTGGGAGGCCGAGGCGGGCGGATCACGAGGTCAGGAGATCGAGACCATCCCGGCTAAAACGGTGAAACCCCGTCTCTACTAAAAATACAAAAAATTAGCCGGGCGTAGTGGCGGGCGCCTGTAGTCCCAGCTACTTGGGAGGCTGAGGCAGGAGAATGGCGTGAACCTGGGAGGCGGAGCTTGCAGTGAGCCGAGATCCCGCCACTGCACTCCAGCCTGGGCGACAGAGCGAGACTCCGTCTCAAAAAAAAAAAAAAAAAAAAAAAAAAGAGAAACATGAACCCCAATAAAATGGTAAAAAACCAAGTAGATATCCAGAGTACCAACTAAATTATCATCATTAAAAATAGCCTAATTTGAATATCACTGCTACTGCCACTGGACACTGAGTGCCAGGACCCTGCATGATACCGTTAGCAGAGAAATAAATTCTCAACTATCTCTTCTTTCATGTGCCATTTACTACAGAATCAAATCTTCCATGGTGGCATCTGATTGAACAAGACTAAGTCATATGCCCAGACACCAGCTTTCACTTCTATAAATGCAAGGTAAGGCTCTGCCTCCCACCAAGACTTCAAAAATGGTAGATTCCATAAACCAAAATATTATGTTTGGTAGTTGATTGGCCAATTGAATGTCCATCATATTCTGCTTAAAAGAGCATTTTCAGAAACTTCAAATTCTGGAAAGATGAAATAAATTTACTTCTTCTTGTTTTTCTTTCTCAGCACAACTAAAACCCTGGATGTATTAGTCCATTCTCATGCTGCTTATAAAGACATACCCAAGACTGAGTAATTTATAAAGGAAAGAGGTTTAATTGATTCACAGTTCAGCATGGCTGGGGAGCCCTCAGGAAACTTATAATCATGGTGGAAGGGGAAGTAAACACATCCTCCTTCACATGGCGGCAGCAAGAAGAAGTGCCAAGCCAAAGGGGGAAAGCCCCTTATAAAACCATCAGATTTAGTGAGAACTAACCACTATCATGAGAACAGGATAGGGGGACAGCCCCCAGGATTTAATTATCTCCACATGGTTTGTCCCACAACACCTGGGGATTTGAGTGGGGACACAGCCAAACCATATCACTGGATACTACAGATGAAATGAAAATACACCTCTGAAAAGTAAAAAGAAGAAGGAAAGCGACTAGAGACTTCAGGACTGGAGGAGCAACAGGGTGGTGAGATCCCTGGGTGCTCTTTTTGTCTTATGTATCTCAGACCTGGAGCTAAAGGGGCCAGCAACCCAGAAACACCAACGTGTGTGTATATGCCCCAAAACAAAGCCTCCTCTTCCTAGCCAAAGGATCAAGAAATAAATATCAGGGAGATCGTGTGGAAAGCCTTAGATTCTACAACCACCCAGCAAAAATGAGATGTCCCTCCTGGTCCCCGTGGGGTTGTATCAGAGGAGGCCTAATGGCAAGTAAGGATTTGCCCCATTGCTCAGTGGTAACAGGGCGGCCACTACTATAGTGTCAGTGGAGACCATGTGGAGAGCCAGAATGTCCATTCTAGCTTCCCATATGCCAGAAACCAGGGACAAAGATCAAGTATAGTCTTTATTGTAACATATATCCATAGGCAACAAGCTGAACTTTGGCTTCTCATACCTTACACAAATATTAACACGGAATGGACCACAGACTTATGTGTAAAACATACAACCACAAAGCTTTTGAGAAAAAAAAAAAGGAGAAAATCTTTGCCATCCAGGGGTAGACAAAGAGTTTGTAGATTTGACACTAAAAGCATGATCCGTAAAATAAAAATTTGGTATGTTGGAGTTTATAAAAATTGAAAACTTTCTTCTGTGAAGGACCCTCTAAAGAGAATGAAAATATAAGCTACAGAATAAGAGAAAACACTTGTAGACCACATATCTGAGCTATCAGGAAAAAGTGAAGAACTCTCAAAACTCACCCGTTAAAACAAAATCCAATTATAAAATGAGCAAAATACATGAAAAGATACTTCACCAAAGAAGAAATATATAATGCAAATAAACATATGAAAAGACGCTCAACATCAGTCATTAGAGAAATTCACATAAAAGTATAATGCAATATCACTATAAACCTCTTAGAGTGGCTAAAATAAAAGAGTAGCAATATCAAAAGTGGGAAAGAATGTAGAGAAACAATGTGTTAGTTTGCTAGGGCTACTGTATAACAATATATGGCAGGCTGGGTTGCTTAAACAACAGAAATGTATTTCCTCACAGTTCTGGAAGCTAGAAATTCTACATCAAGGTGCTCTCCAGTTTGGTTTCTCTCTTCCTGGCTCGCAAACAGTTGCTTTCTCTTTATGTCTGTGCAAAGCATTTTCTCTGTGTGTGTATATGTTACAGGAACTCTGGGATTTGGTCTAGATACTGCTGCTTACCACACAAAAAGCCAATCACTGAGCAGAAAATGACCAGGGAAGAGGCTTTATTCAGGTGCTGCAGCAGAGGAGTTGGGAGATCAGTCTCAAATCCATGTCCCTGACTAACTAAAATTGAAGGTTTATATAGCAGAAAAGGAATGTAGCTATGTGCAGGAAAACAGCAATTAGAGAGGGGTAAGGAAGAGGAGTTGGTCAATAGGAAGCAGGTGGTCCCTTAGTAAACCAATAATTACAGCAGGTAAAGAAACAATCACGATGAATGAGGGGGTCTGGTGTCTCATTGCCCAGATGTGATGATTGGTTAAGTTTCAATTTCTTGATACTATCTGGGAGGCCTGATGGTTGGTTTCCTGAGAAAGAAACTCAGATAAGGCAGTTGTAAGTTTCTCAAGTTTTAAGACTGGCAGGGCCAATTTTTATGATTATCCCATAAACTATCTATGGCACAATTAGGTTGGTTTCACACAAAAGGAGAGAAAATGATCTTTGGTGTTGCTTCCTGTTATAATAAGAACATCATTCATATGGGATTAGGGACCCACTCTCGTGACCTCACTTAAACTAATTACTTCCCTAAAGGCCCCATCTCCAAATACAGCCACGTTGTGGGTTAGGCATTCAGCATATGAATTTTGGAGGGATACAGTTCAGCCCATAACAACAGGTACCTTACAGATTTCTGGAAAGAATGTAAAATTACACAGACACTGAAAAACAGTTTGGTGGTTTCTTAAACTAAAACTGCAACAACTATGTGATTATACTCTTAGGCATAAATCTCAAAGAAATAAAAACCTATGCTCACAAAAAAATCCTGCATGTAAATTTTTATAGCAGCCTTTTTATTTTTCATAATGGCCAACAACTAGAAACAAACCAGATGTCCTTTAATGTGTGAATAGTTAAACAAACTGTTGTACATTCATACTATGGTATTGATAGGAACAAACTACTGATACATGAAAAACTTGGATGAATCTCCAGAGAATTTGCTAAGTAAAAACATGAATTCAAAAATGTCATATACTCTATGATTCCATTTGTACAACATTTTTGAAATGACAAAATTATAGAAATTGAGGACAGATTAGTGGTTTCCACAGTTAACCAGGTGTTGTGGTGTGTGTCTGTGGTCACAGCTACTTGGGAGGCTGAGGTGGGAGGATTGCTTGAACCTGAAAGGTGGAGGTTGCAGTGAGCTGAGATTGGGCCACAGCACTCCATCCAACCTGGGTAAGAAAGTGAGACCTTGTCTCAGTAAATATATAAATATAAAAAGGCAACAAAAGAGTTAATTGTGTTGATAGAAAATATTTGTGTCTTAACTATATAAACCTCAATATTCTAATTCTGTTATTATACTAAAGTTTTGCAAGGTGTTGCCACTGGGGGAAATTAGATAAAAGATATATGGGGTTTCTCTGAATTATTTTTTACATCTATGTGTGAATCTATAATTGTTCAATATAGAAAGTTTAATTTAAAAAAAGACAGCTTTTACCTTTCATGGAGGGAGGAAGTGCTGAGGTATGCTGAGAAGATGGGGCTCATATAACCCTCATCTCAGTTTATTATAATTCAATGTTCACACCAGGAGAGGTTGAGAAGACTAGAGGCTACATAGCCCCTGCTCACAACCTTGGGGCCAAAGCAAGAAAGTCATGAAGACAAAAGCAGGCCACTGGCTCTACATTCATATCCGGATGCATTGTCATTTCAACAATGTCCATGATTTCTTCACCAGGAGGAGATTCCATCTCAATAAATCACTTTCTTTGCTCTTTCATAAGAAGCAACTCCTCATCCCTTCAAGTTTTAGTATGAGACTGCAGCAATTCAGTCACATCTTCAGACTCTACTTCTAATTCTAGTTGTCTTGCTATTTCTATTTAATACCACATCTGCAGTTACTTTCTCCACTGAAGTCTTGAATCCCTCAAATTCATTCATGAGTTTTGGAATCAACTTCTTCCAAACTCCTGTTCATGTCGATATTTTGACCTCCTCCCATGAATCATGAATTTTCTTAATGGCATCTAGAATGGTGAATTCTTTCCAGCAGGTTTTTAATTTAATTTGTCCAGATCCATCACACAAATCACTCTTTATGGCAGCTATAGCCTTATGAAATATATTTCTTAAATAAGAAATGCCTTTGAGAGTTGAAAGACTTGAAAGTAGAAATTACTCTTTGATCCATGGACTGCAGAATGGATGTCCTTTTAGCAGACATAAAAACATTAACTTTTTTGTTCATCTCCATCAGATCTCTTGGGTGACTAGGTGAATTCTCAATAGCAGTGATATTTTGAAAGGATTTTTTTTTTTTCTGAGCAGTAAGTATTAACAGATAGCTTAAAATATTCAGTAAACCATGATGTAAATAGATGTACTGTCATTCAAGCTTTGTTCTTACATTTGTAGAGCACAGGCAGAATAGATTTAGGGTAATTTTAAAGAGCCCCAGGATTTTCAGAATGGTAAATGAGCATTGAGTTCAACTTAAAGTCACCAGCTGCATTACCCCCTAAGAAGAGAGTCAGCCTGTCCTTTGAAGCTTTGAAGCCAGGCATTGACTTCTCCTCTCTATCTATGAAAGTCATAAATGGAATCTTCTTCCAATATAAGGCTGTTTTGTCTATATTCAAAGTCTGTTGTTTAGCATAGCCCTCTTTATCAATTGTCTTAGCTAAATTTTCTGGATTACTTACTGTAACTTCCACATCAGCATTTGCAGCCTCACCTTGCACTTTTATGATATGAACAAAACTTTATTCCTTTAACTTATGAACTGACCTCTGCTAGCTTCAAGTAACTGAAGGCAAATTAAAGAATCACATCAAGTTATGATTATAGCACAAAGGAGTTGAGTAGGAACAAAGCTATATTTGATTAAGGAACTCACACCAGACAGGAATTCAAATATACAAACACAAATGCCAAGAACCAGAAATAGTAAATAAGAAGGGTACTATAATAAATGCTGCGAATATATGATTGCTGTTCTTTCTCCTCTCAGCTTTTCTGAGAGACACCAAGTTTATATAAAGAAAGAATTATAACAACGTATTGTTGGCTACTTTCTTTGTATATGTATCACAAAGTCATCATTTTGTCAATCAAAAGGTTTTTTTTTTCACATAGTCTACTAAAGTAGGAAAAGTGAGACTATGTTTAATTTTAAAAAATTATTGTGGACAGAGTATGGGTTTATAATTAAAGCTATCAATGACGTATTTGGTTTTCTCTGCAATGAATCAAACTTTCACAAGCAGTGAAAAAATTACCAATGCTGCATAATTAGACAGAAAAGGATAAAACCATATTTAAATACTTTGTTTTCAACCACTGTCAAGATCCATTAATAATAAAGACCACATGTACATAGCATTCCCTATATACCCAGCAGCATTCTGAGTGCTTTCCGTTTATTAATTTCTTTAATCTTCAAAACTCTCTGAGGGAGAAACTGCTGCTGTATCTTTTTTTTTTTTCTTTTTCTTTTTTTTTCAGATGAGGAAACTGAAGCACGGACAAGTTAAGTGATTTTTCCAACATCACACAGACACGAAATGGTGGGAGTAGAATTTGAACTCAGGCATTCTGGTGTGAAGGTCTGCACAGTTAAACACTAGGCTATCCATTTTAAGATTTTTTCTTTAAAATAGTGTTGTTATGTAGGCTCTGAGACAAATATTTTGATAAAGTCACATAAATATGGTGAAGAAGCATTTTCTGAGCATTCAGGATGTCAGTAAAAGAAAGACGTATAGATATTCTAAAGTTTCTCTCCTTCATTCCATAGATGATAAAAAACAAAGGGCCAGGAATTGATTTTTATTCAAGATCATGTTACTGCTTAATAGCAAGGCCTAGGGTTGAATTCCAGGTTTCCTGGGTCTTAACCTCACATTTAAAAAAAATCCATACCAAAAAGAAAAAGTTGCAAGAAAGATTTTCCATTGCAATTTTCAGTTCAGCAAAAGAATGACACTGCCTTGTTCTATAATTTAAATCAAATCTCACTTTATTTCAATTACCCATCCTGGATATGGAAAATAAATAAGGAAGGATTCAGCTAAAAAGAGAAGAGAAGAGCCACAGGTAATGCTGCAGAAAGATCAAGGCAAATGAACAACAAAAGAAAGCATTGGAGTTTTGGGGGGGACAACAACAGAAAAGTTTATTGAGAAGTTTACTGAGGACATCATATGAGTTTTCTAGGAGGAAGACAGAGGAACATTTCAGAAGTCAAGCCCAGCTGTTATAGTGGGAGAAGTGAGTAGGTATGGAAACTAGACTTCCCTTCTGAATATATGAGTATATAAACTGGAATGATCTTGAAATTTAGATATGAGGAAATTAAGATTTACATCCAAGTGCAGTTCACTGCCTATGTACAAGAATCCAGACATTAACCAGTGTTTATAGACTGGTTCCTACATGGTAAGTATCAGTAAAAAAGAGGAGCTAAGGGTATCTCTCAACTTCTTCAAAGTTATTTTTCCATAATCCTATTGTATCAAGTCAATAAGAGGAGTCACAACACTTTTAATGAAAATTTAAAATAGAAGTAAATTCTCTTCCTTTTTTTTTTTTATCAACAGGGATCATTTTGGTTAAGTCACTGCCTTTCAGGGTTCAAGTGAAGTTTAAGTTTTATTACTTCCAGACTTTTCAGAACATTTAATATTGTGATGTCCATTATCCGAGAGACCTAGAGCATGCACATTTGCCCAAATCTATTTGATCAGGGGAACTCTTTTTAGAAAGACTAACCTGTTGGATGTTATGTTTTCAGCACATACTTCAGAAAACTCATCCAGAAATAATTCACTTTTACATCATTCAAAAATTGTTATACACTTATTTTTCTGTTTTCTCACTGGACTTGGATTTTCCATATGATGTGTGGTCATCTTTCCAACAAGTTAAGTGTGAACACCATCCCTACCTCTTCACATTTCTAGTTCAATATCTTGAACTAGAAATTATCAACTTTAAATATTTAAAATCCAGTAATGTCTCATAGTTGAACAGCTTTGTCTTCTCCTTTATCAATCATGCACTGTGCAGGCGCTTTTATCAAAGACCATGTGAAAAGTTCAGTGTTGTCTTTCTGCTTCCTGGGCACAAAGTAGCCAATTCTGGAAGTGAAGTCTTTCCCTTTATGGTTTCCAATGCAAAGGCAGCACCTATCAGGCCCCTGGTTTGTGACATGGCTCCTGTGTGTGACAAAGTTTGACAGATCACCTAGTAGCAGCAACCACCTACCTTTCACAGTTGTGCTGAGTTTTGGTGCGCAAGACATCTTCTTTTTGCAGTTTTCTTCTAAATTTCTTAGCTTAATATTCAAATTTCAGCCCCATTTTCAGTCTCAGTCTCCCTTTTCAACCTGTCTCCAAGGACTCGCTTTGATTTTTTGGATTTTTTTTTTTTTTTTTTTTTTTTTTGAGACATAGTCTCGCTGTGTCGCCCAGGCTGTAGTGCAGTGGCGCAATCTTGGCTCACTGCAAGCTCCGCCTCCTGGGTTCACGCCATTCTCCTGCCTCAGCCTCCCGAGTAGCTGGGACTACAGGCGCCCGACACCACGCCCGGCTAATTTTTTTTTTGTATTTTTAGTAGAGACAGGGTTTCACTGTGTTAGCCAGGATGGTCTCGATCTCCTGACCTCGTGATCCGCCCGCCTCTGCCTCCCAAAGTGCTGGGATTACAGGCGTGAGCCACCGCGCCCAGCCATGGACTTTTTTTTTAAAATTGATTTATTGAGTCATTAATTCATCCAACAATTGTTTTCTACCATAGGTGTTGTGATGAATAGAGACAAATATGGAGCCTGCCAGCTAGAAGCTTTGGCTTGGTAGGAAGAAAACGACATGCAGAAAACATTCGCTGGATATATGGTAATAGATAAGAAGTACTATTAAATAGTAGGAGGTAAGGTGTCATCTGAGTTGAGAGGAAGACTTCTAAATGGGGCATTTGAGAAGGCTTTATAGAAGAAGTTACATTTGAGATGATCCTGGGTCTCCAAAAATTTCTGAGCATCTACTATGTGCCAGCTTGAGATTACATTCATGACTAGCCTCAATAAAACGAATAACACTTACTGCATGCCATGTACCCTCTCAGCGCCTTTTCTGTGTTCTCTCTCACAACAATTGCAGAAAGTATGGACTATTTTATTCTCATTTTGCAAATAAACAGACTCATTCATTTAATTTGTCTGCAGACCCTCAGTTAGTAAGTGGTAAAGACAGGATTTACATCCAGGAAGCATAGGTGCAGGTTCCATGTCCTCACTACACTGTAGTAGATTAAACTATGTTCCCCCTTCTATGGTCCTGGATCTCACGGTGGTCAGTCTAATACAAGAGACTATTGTTAGACAGTCTAGCACACGAGACTAGACTAGTACATAGGCAACTATAATATAAATTTATGGGATAAAATATGGGACATGCAAAGCATTTGGGAGCAAATAGGGAGGGCAACTAGCCCGTCATGGAAGATCATGGAAATGGCCATGTCTATTCTGAAACCT
Source organism: Homo sapiens (assembly GCF_000001405.40). Classification (NCBI taxonomy): domain Eukaryota; kingdom Metazoa; phylum Chordata; class Mammalia; order Primates; family Hominidae; genus Homo; species Homo sapiens. Next base: position 21,934,466 of record NC_000011.10, on the reverse strand, counting down.
GAATTATAAGTTGGAGTTTGTCAGGCAAAAGAGAGAATAAACAAAAGAGGAAGTTGGGATGGTCAGAGTGAGTGTTTCAATAGAGAGGATAGTATGCATGAGAGCCCATAATAAAGGAGCATTGGCAGATGAGGGAACTATTTAATGTGACTCCAGGACAGAGCTGTGGCTATAACAATTATTGCACAGATTAGTTGTGAGAATTAGATAAACATACACACACACACATATATATATGTATATATGCCTTGCTTAGCCTTAAGTCAGTAGTTATGACAAATTCATGCTCAATTTCTTTTGTGTGTTGAGGGTTCCCTTGATCATGAGTCAATAAAAGTCATCTGAAACTGTGCTGTGAGTTACTTTGCAGTCTAAAAGCAAACTTCGTAAATGTGGAAAATCAAGAAAAAACCACTGATTAATTTTTTTCCAGGAAAAATGTAAGACAAAGAACATTAACCCAAAGCAATATTTTGAGCCACATCTTCCCTCTAAAGAGGTCAAGTAATGCTAAAAGAAAGGAAAAAAGGAAGAAGAGGAAGAGAAAAAGGAAGACAAAGAAAGAATATATACAACTTGGACAATGATATAGGCCATGAAAGGAATCTTGACCCTGTGACACTGCTGATCTTCAGGGTGTGCTATGCATATTGTAATCTATGAAGCTGTGCAGTGCACAACCTGTAGTTCAATATATGGTAACACTGTGCCACAAGTGAATATAAAATGTAGCCATGTTGTAGTCCATTTTGGGGAGAAGTTTCTGACTCAGTGATGATCAATACTAGAGTGAGTTAGACTGAAAAAAAAAAAAAAAAAAAAAACAAGATCCCCATCACCAGAAGTTTCCAAGTAGAGGTAGGTGTACCTTGTTCTACTAGGGATGTCACACGAAGGAGAGAGGCTGAGCAAAGTTATCTAAGACTTGTCCTGACTCATTCTAAAGTTCCATGTTCCCATGATATTTATATGTCTTTTGACTTTTTTCTTTTAAATGTGTGTGTATAATTAGAACATATTTTTAATGTAGAATATATAGAAAAGTAAAAAAATAAAAAATGTTTCTTTAATTGTGTAATGCACTACTTATACTTCACAAATGTTAACCAAAATACATATGCCACGCCAACTTTTTGGAGCATTTTCTTCCAGTTCATATTTGCTGCTCATTTGCTGATTTTTCCTCCCCCTAGTGGCAATCAGATAACACTAATCCTATTTTCCCCATTCATACTATTTGGATGTATTACCAATAATTGAAAATATTTTAATGGTTTCATTTAACTTTATGGAAAAGTTACTTACACATCTGCAAAGTGAGGGCTTCTCTGTTGTTTCAAAAGCCTATTAAGTTATCTAAAAGACCTTAATATTAAATACACTTAGATTTTGTAGTTGTTGATCAATGTGCCTGTCTTAGCTACTGAGACACAGCATTTTCGTCATAAAAGGCAGCAATTATGACATTCTGTAATGCGGCGGTCCCTAACCTTTTTGGCACCAAGTACTGATTTCATGGAAGACAATTTTTCCAACGGCTGGGTTTGGGGGTGGTGGGTTCAGGAATATTCAAGCACATTACATGTATTGTGCATTTTATTTCTATTATTATCACATGGTAATACATAATAAAATAGTTACACAACTCACCGTAACATAGAATCAGTGGGAACCCTGGAATTTTTTTCCCTGCAACTAGATTGTCCCAAATGGGGGTGATGGGAGACAGTGACACCCCAAGTGTGTTGCTTATGTCCAGTCTACTCTGTAATCTTATTTTGGTTGCTGTCACTGCAGAAAACCCTGCTTCACAAAGATAGGATGTTGGAAATAGAAGCAGGTTTTTCAGTGCTTTCGTGGCAATCTCAGTATATTTTGCCTTGACTTTAATCCAGAATGTGTAAAGACTTGAAGTTGTCTCAAACATACTTTTAAGGCCACCTCGATTTGCGATTTCAAGCAGTTGATCCTCTTCCAGCACAGACAAAGTCAATTCACCTGGCTTATTCACAAATGGGTTGCAGATCCATTCCTTCCCAGTTGTGGAGGTGGGTCTTTTGTGGTTGGGAAATAATGTTCAGACTCTCTTGAAAGCTGAGATAGGTGATCATGCACCAGCTGGAAGAAAGAAGGCCCTGGCTCAGTATCTTTCAAAATTTCTTCTAATTTTTGAAACATGTCAAAAATCCCAACATTCGCTCATTGCCCCCATTAATTCCAGTTTGGCATTGGATGCAACCACTTTATATGCAGACTTGAACACAGTTGTAATTCTCCCCTGAGGTGACAGATTGAGTTCATTGAGCAGGTTGAATATGCCATCAAATAAGCAAGTCTTGTGACCCATTCTGTGCCACTAAAATGTGCTACTCAAAGACTCTGGCCAGTGATCTACCTTTAGAAAGCCATCTCACTTCTGCGTATACGAGAAGACGTATGCGCTCTGCGTCCATATACTCACAGAGCTGCGCAAACAGAAGTGAGTTAAGGGGATGTACTTTAATGCGGTTGATGATTTTAATCACATACTGGAAAACGTTGTTAAATTTAGGTGACATTTTTTGGCTCATCAGCATTTCTCTGTGGATGACCCAGCGTGTAGACTCACATTAAGAAGTGACCTCTTTGACCCAAGTAGCGAAACCAGAAAGCCATCCAGTCATGGCAGCCACTCCATCTGTGCATATATCAATACCATATGACCAACTCAGTTTCCTGATACGTAATTACTCAAAGACTTCAGTAGTTCTGCAGCTGTGGTGTTGGTTGGCAACAGAAGTGCACATATCATACACATCCTCCTGAAAAATATATTGTACAAAAACAAGCCTTGTTGCTTTGTTGTCAACATCAATAGACTCATCAACCTGGACTGCATACCACAGTGACTCACTAATCCTCTCTAACAATTATGCCTCAATATCTTCTGCTATTTCATCAATTCATCTAGTTATGGTGCTAGCTGAAAGAGGAACATGTGCCACCTTTGGAACTGCAGCCTCTCCTAAAAGTTCACAACAAATGTACTTAGCAGCAGGCAGAATCAACTCTTCACCAATAGTAAAAGTTTTCTTAGCTTCAGCAGTGCGATTAGCTACTAAGAATGATGCTCTCAGTGCACACACATTTGATGAAGTGGTGGCCTTCAATAATTGCGTCTGTTCTTTGTGTTTGTATTTTTCTTTTGAAAAACTTCAAAGGTGTGCCTTTTAATGCAGGGTGCTTAGTCTCCATGGGGCACAGCTGTTTTGAAAGTTTTATGGCTTCACTGAATAGCCGATTGCCATATATGATACAAAGCGGGCTTGGACAAGGTGAATCTCCTGTTGCAATGAAACCATAATTTAAGTAGAACTCTTGGTATTTTCTTTTAAATGCAGCTTTCTTTTTGTTGGCAGTTTTAGAGTCTTCTGCTGTCTCATCATTGGGTCTTTCCCCTTTTTCATAGAAGCTCTGTAGGGACGTTTGTTTTTTACTCATTTTAGCTAGGGTTAGCTTGCGGGCTTACCAACACCATGACAGAGACAAGTGCACAGTGTGGAAAAGAGGCACGAATGGAAGTGGTAAATAAAATAATGTGCAGGCCATCTGCAGACTAAAATAAGTGTCAGATTGTGACTTAAAGCCTGCCACCAGATGCAACAGACAATTGAAGTACATCAACTCACTTGCCAATATAAAGCCTGCTACCAGATGCAGCTTGTCACTTGCCACACACTTATTGTGTTTTGATATGAGTCTGTAAGCAATTGATTTATGATGGTCTCTGTGTAGTCAAACCTCTCTGCTAATGTTAATCTGTATTTGCAGCCACTCCCCAGTGCTAACATCACCACCTCAGCTCCACCTTAGGTCACTAGGCATTAGATTCTCAAGGAGCATGCAACCTATATCCCTTGCATACACAGTTCACAATAGGGTTTGTGCTTCTCTGAAAGTCTAATGCTGCCACTGATCTGACAGGAGGCAGAACTCAGGTGGTAATGCCAGCAATGGGGAGTGACTGTACATACAGATGAGGCTTTGCTCGCTCACTCAATGTTCACCTCGTGCTGTGTGGCCTGGTTCTTGACAGGCTCCGGTCCTTGGCCCTGGGGTTGGGGGCCCCTGCTGTAGTGGAATGAATGGTGGTCCCCAAAAACATACATTTATTTTCTAACCCCCAGAAACTGTTAATGTGACTCTATTTGGAAAAAAAAAATATTTTTACATATATAATTCAGTGGAAAATCTTGAGATAAGATTATCCTAATTTATCCAGGTTGCCCTAAATTCAATGACATGTATTCTTATAATAAGCAAATGAAGAAAAAGGCACAGCCATTGAAAAGAAAGCTTTGTGAAGACAAACCCAGAGATTGGAGTTTGGCAACCATAGCCAAGGAATACCTGAAGCCAGTAGACAGTGGAAGAGGGAAGGAAGGATTCTTCCTTAGAGCCTCCAGAGGCAGTGGGGCCCTGCCAACACCTTGATTTCAGACATATGGCTTCCAGAATTGTGAGACAAGAGACTTATGTTGTTTAAAGCTGCCTGTTTGCAGTGGTTTGTTATAGCAGCCACAGGAAAATAACACGTTCTTATATGTATTGTATCAAAATCACAACTGCCAATTGGTCATTTTTACCTGAGTAACACAAAAAATATCTTCGAATGTTAGTTTGAAGCTACCTGGCCTAAATTTTCTTAATTTTGACATTCAGTTTTAAGATGTTGCTTCTGAAATGTCATTTGCTTCCAACAAATAAAGTTTCTCTTTGCTCTGGAGATTGAAAGTACTCACATATAGGGTTGTGAAGAAGTTAAAATCTGATGCCAGCATGAGGGAAAATGCAAGGAGCCCCGGCAGAAAAACATAATATTTGAAGCAATGTCTGGATTATTTAATAAAATGTAGGACTTTCTCTTTCTTTCGCCCATTTCTAAATGTTTACATACAAATAACAACCCAACTTGATTATTGACTACGTATCCTTATCATTTTCACTCATGCAGAGCAGTGTTTCCTATAAATATTTATGGAAAAATTGTTCTTTTATGCACTTAAAATCCTTGCTTGATGGTCTTGAGTTGATTTCTGGCACTGTTCAATGTCAAGGGCACTGCAGTTTCCTCTGAACAAAACATCCTGGTTATCTGTAAAAATGCAGCTGCAGATGCAGGCTTTGCAGTGTTAGATCAAGAAGGCCAGCATTTCACAGAATCCTGAAAGTTGACAGATGGACACACAGACACACTCATACAGATGCACATGCACACATAATCTTCTACATACCAGTCTTTGTAGCTACGTTATTGTAGGTGGAGTATCTTGAAGCATGTAAGGAGAGCCACAGTACTGCATGTGTGCATGCACAATGTTTTTGGTTGTATTGACACACAGATGTGTCTTCAAATACCATGCAATCTTTTCAGACACTGGTAAGTAATAAGTAAGTGACACTTCTATTACACTGATTGACATTTCATTATCTAAATGCTTTGCCTTCTTTTTGCTTTGGGAATATTAGTCATCAGTTCCTCAAAGCAATTACACTGTCTGTGTTACTCCAGTTATTCAAAGGGCATCGGGGGATTATTTAAAAAAAATACTAAAATAAAACAAGTCCTTAGAATAATGTCCTGAGCTCAGAGAATTCGGCCACTGGAAAATAAATAAATAAATAAATAAATAATCTTGCAACTCCTATGTTACTTGAAGTTAGGAAAGGCAAATAAGTTATTTCAATCAGTGTCTCACCAGTGAGGTACAAGAATTGGGCAAGATCAATGAGATTTTTTTTTCCAGAAGTGAAAGTTGTGATTTTAAGAGTTGATGACACCTGTCATTATGCTGAATATGAAACTTTTATCAAAGTGTAGTTACCTCTCCTAACCTCATACCTTAGGAATAAACTACTATTTAGTTTTGCATAGCTGTATATTCAGGATGTCTTAAAAATTTCTAGAAGTATCTCTTTTGCTATTAATATTTCTCTTCTTGGTAGCTTCATAGGACATAAAAAAACATTATATTTCTTTGGTTCTAGGGTTATTATTGAATTTTTAAGTATGTTCAAATTCACTCTGTAATGATCTATATAAAGTGAAAGCACTGGGAGAATGAAAATACACATATAAACAATACACAAATGTGAAAGATGGATAACAGTGCATGGCATCAGGCTTGTGGGTTGATACTGGAATTTATTTAAGTTATGGTCACAAGTATAATGATGAGAAATCAAGAGGAAGGGACTGACCCAAAAGGGAGGCTCTTACCTAAGTTTCAATACAGGGCATAAATCGAGCAGCCTAGAGCAAGGACTTATGTGAAGGTGAGTATGTGCCAGAAAAGATACAACTGTAGAATGCCGGAGCTAATTGGGCCCTAGAGATCATCAAGTCTAGCCCCTTTCATTAAGACAACAAAAACTAATTTACTTTTTACTATCAGTTAGATGCTGAGTATTTAATGGTAAGCTGGAATAACAAGGAAGGCCCCCCTGCCTTCACTCATAATACATAATCAACCACGGGGAAAACATGGGCTCAGAAAGGGGAAGAGACTTGCTCCAGGTCATCCATCTCATTTGTACTGAGTGAATTCTACAATCTGGGTCTCTGGAATTCTTGAAATGGCTGCCAATAGCTATTAGGCAATAGCACTTATGGGTCACTGCCAACTACCTGACATTCAAATGCTTTGTCTTTTTAGCTGAATAAATTACGTGGCCTGGGCTATCCTTCCCTAAACCTAACTGAGCTACCTACATAGTTTCATGTTCACAAGGCACGTGGTCATCAAAGCCTTAACTGAAGATGACAGATTCAGCAACTAACTGTGCAAGCACAACTTGCCAAAAACTACTCCAGCGTCTAGCTTGACTGCACCCTAACCATCTATCATCAGAGATTTCAACTGCTAACTTTTTAAATTTTTTAAAAATTTTATTTATTTATTTTTTGAGACACGGTCTCACTCTGTTTCCCAGGCTGGAGCACAGTGGCATGATCATAGCTTATTGCAACCTTGACCTCCTGAGCTCAAGTGATCCTTCCACTTCAGCCTCCCAAAGTGCTGAAATTAGAGGTGTTAGCCACCATGACCAACCTCAACTGCTACCTTTTTAATACATATTTCTTCCAAATGACCTACACCTTGCAAAGAGCTCTCATGTTGCTGATATGCAGTTGCTTTTGGAGTGAATACATAAGTTTACTGAATATCCCATCTATAAAATAAGTTGCATAAGTTTACTGACTATCCCATCTATAAAATTTTCCAAATGACACGTTGGTAGATATTTAGAAGTGAAGTAACTCAGTTTTAAAGACAGTTGATAGCTTTTTCCTTGGGTCTGAGTCTGTGTGCTCTTGTGTAGGGAAAAAAAGGGTGGTTAAGGACTGGCGGAAAGGTCTCCCTGTTAAAAATATTTTCTCAGACATACTAATCACAGATCATTAGAATTGGAACATTTGCCCCATTTCCTTATGTTATATTTGAGGAACATCATACACAGAATTCAAGTGACAGTCACTTAGTGACAGAGCCCAGGAATTAAGTGGATATTCTGGTGTTAATCCCAGTGTTCGTTCTGTGTTCCACTGTTGTTGGTTATTTCTTCAAAATTATACATTGCCTCACATAGACAATCTCACTGTTCATGCTAAATTGAATGCAAGAGAGATTAAATATCATTGAGAAGATGTTTTGGTGCTAAGTGTCCGTAACACCAACTGTCATTGGCGGATACCAGCCATCCTTGCTTAAGTACAGGTCTAGTTCTTCACTGAGAGACACATTAAAATACATTTTAAATGAGTACTTGACTTTTTATTTTTATCCAAGCAAAAAAGCTCTCAAAGAGAGTAGTCAACATATATAACTAAGTTACATTAGCCAGCCCTTAGTAGATGCTCAGTAAATATTAGTTAGCTGACTAAATAGTCCAAGAGGAAACCTCAAAGATACTTGTAGCAATGAAGAGGCAACATAATTTGGTTTAAAGATCAGAGAATTTAGAATCTTAAGTTTGGGATCTTGGGCCTTTGCTTAAGGTGTTTAAAGCTCAGTTCCTTCGGTAAGAAAATTCAGAAAACAGTACCCACCTCTCAGGACTGTGGGGGAGATTAAATGAAATAATATTTAAAAGTCCTAACCCTTATATTAAATGCTACAAAATATACTTAATAAATACTGATTGTCATTTCTTGCTAGAATATATTTGCCTCTCAGAAGAAGTGGAATATTATTTTATGCAGTGGTTCTTGAAAGCTGAGAGATGGACTGACTGCATGACAGTCATCAGAGAAACTTGGAAAAATATAGATTCTTGGAATTTACCCCAACGTACTGAGTCAAAATATCTGAGAAAGGGGCCTGGGAACCTCAATGTTTGCTTGTAGCTCTTTAGGGCATTCTAATGTGCACCCTCATTTGGTAATACTGATTTTTTTATGAACAGCACTCCCTTGACTTAATGATCTAAATCCTCTTTCTGGAGGCTCCGTAACTCTGGTTACATTTTTTTTTTTTCTGAATACAGGTTGTTTTTTGGCTAATCTATTGCTTTTTTTTTTTTTTTCATATTTTAGGTGAGCATTTGAGTATTCTCAGCCAAGTAATAAACATGATGTAGCAAACATCTTTGGCCATAAATTGACATTTGTTATTTAATTTCTAAGTAAACTTAGGAGGGGACACGTGTGCACACACACACTTCTCTGGGAGAATATTATATATTCATAACTTAAGATGACTATGCTATAGGCAGACAAATAGATTTATTTATAAATAGATTTATCTTTGCAAGTGAAAGATTCAGTTATTTCTCTACTTTACAAATTACTTCTGTAATTGGTAAAAAAAACAGCAACGCACACCATTTGGTCATTTACTACCTAAATTATATATGCCTACTTGATTAGAAAACCAATTTTTATTTTCTTGTCACAGGGCGTGACTTCCAAGCATTCACTTTAATATTGTCACAAGAATTTTCCAAAAGATATCTGCCAAAATTGACACCTAATGAAACTTCTAGACACAACAAACATATTTTTTTGGCAAGTTAATTTGAAATGTCATTTTCCCTTAAGGGGGATAGCTAGACCTCTTTGTCAAATAGAATGAGTTTATGAGGCTACCTGAAGCCTGGTTCATGCAGTAGCACAAACTATTTCTGTGAATTTGGCCTAGTCACTTAATATCTTTGCATATAAATGATCTCGTGAAATAAAATTAAATATTGAATAAATAGTTTTTAAGTTTCTTCGAGTTTGACCTACTAATATTTTATGAGTTTATAGGTTTCCTTAACACTGGGGACAGGAACAATCTGGAATAAACTCTCTAAAATGAAACTGTACAGGTCTCATCAATGGAACAGGAAAAACAAAGATTTAGCTTCATAGATTTATTTAAATGAGAATTAAAAAAACTATAAATCTCACTGAAAATGTGCATGTGACTTATGGTTATCCAGAGGCTCAATTATAGGCTACCCTTTGAGAGTTATTAACTAGGAAGCATCCCAACAATAATGGGTAATTGCCTTAGAAAACCCAGTCTGGCATAGCTTGAATGAGTCTGGTTCCTATTCACAACCCATCATTTAAAAAGGATCCATCATTTAAAAAGGATACATCATTTAAAGGATAAATATAAAATATGAACTTTATAGTCCAATGAAATGATGCTCATCAAAATTTTGATGTTTCTTAAATCTACACAAAGTGGCACAAAGGGAGCCCGGAGCATAGCCAGGCAAGAGAAGGCTCCGATTTGACTTGTATTCTCCTTAATTTCCCACAGGATTCCTTCTCCCCACTGGGGGAAATATGGACGGTGATGAGGAGAATGATGACCAGCATAATGTAGGATGTCTAGTCATATTCCTTTAATACAATTAGAAATACATTCAGATCCCCAGCATGAGCTATCTATTGCAACCACTTTTCCTCAGCCAATTTATACTCAAATCCATCAATACCACTTAACATGCACTGCTGTTCAGGCTCATTTGGCATTTTCTTTCTTAGTCTCCAAGCATCATGCACATCAATGCATCAACATATTCACCATCACCCAGACAAGACTGCCTCTTCATAAGCTTTGTCTGTAGCATTTGCTCTTCCTTCACATTATTTGTCTATTTGTCCCTTTCTTATCTTTTACTCTTTTAAATTGTAGAAAAGGGAGGTTCCCACTATTTTGAAAATAAAAGGGAAATAGTTGAGCTCTAGCTACCTCCTTTAATGTTAAAAATTATTCTGTTCAGGCGATGAGTGGGTATATGTCCTTTGTTTGCCAAGATGTCACCCTTTTGTTCCTTTCCTTTCTCTTTCCACATAATTGCAATTCTTTCCAGAGAGCTTGTAAATCCCTGCGCCCAGGTTACCTGGCAGGACATACAGCTCCCCCAGTGTTATAATGCATTGACATAGTGTGTATGAGAAGTTAACTTTGACAGGAAGTTAGAAGATAAGAAAGGTTCTAGTAACTGGCTCTGTGACTCAGGGCAAGCTACTTCTTTCTGAGCTTTACTTTTTTCATTTGAATAATTAGGTAATTCAACTAAATCAGTAGATTTTGAGTGGACACTGCAAGGCCTGAACTAGAATATGAGAAAGAGACATGTGGTTTGGCCTTTTCAACACTCACTGGGTTTTCATTTGAAGGAAAATAAACAACAACAACAACAACAACAAAAACCACTAGGAAATGTTTAATGGCCTTTCTAGTCGTATGGTCCACAATTTGGGAAGTAACAGATTATGATAACCATAATAATGTTTTTAATATTGCTTCATGGTTTGTAAAGGATTTTGAATCCATGATATAGGAAATAAATGAAGCTCACCACAGTGAGAACAAGCAAAGGCTATTTATTCAGAGCTTACTAAAGTAAGGAAATCAGCCACCATCCCTTATTCTGGCAAAGACTCCAAGGCAGGCAGAAGAGAGAGAAAGCCTTACAGTGGAAAAAAAGGAAAACTTTGGTTATGCTGGCACAGGGAAGCTATAGACAAGCTAACTAGAAGCAGGGTATCGTATGTGATTGATTAGGTGTGCATATTTGGCTTTATCCCATTGTTCCTAAGTTGGAAATGAGGGCAAAAATTAGAAAAGCTTTCAGTTATTAGATTTCTCACTCTGCATGAGAGGTGACTCTCAGGGCAGCATCTTGATTTCTGATTAAAAAGGGGGAAAGAAGAGAATTGAAGAGTTGCAAGAACCACTGTCACCTAGAGCAGTCAGGAAATTTAAACCAATTTCCAGGTATTAAAGAGGATCTAAAGAGGGAGAAAGGCATCTGTGTGACCTGTGTTATCACTTGTGCTCACAGAGGACTAAGAGTGAGGGTTAGTAATTGTCTGATGTTTGGAAAATTGTAAAATGTGTCTTGTTTAATTTTTGAAAGCACTGCATTTCGGTGGCTCCTTAGAATGGTCTTTAAGGGGGTGCTTTCATCTAAACAGTCATTCCAAACTCCAAGAGACAAGATATTTAAAAAGAAGAGTGACTTGACATATATACAGTAGCCACCTCCGTGATAAAGTACCGAAGGCTCTTTTTCCTCAGATTATCTTCCTAGATGGGCCTGCTACAGTACCAGATAGCCTCTCATTACTCCTTCCAGGGAGTGACTGGGGCCTCAGAGTGTAGTGGAAGGGATGAAAGACCAGGGGTCAGAAGACCTGGATCTTCTCTGGGCTCTTCCATGTACCATGTGACTTTAAGCTAATCTCCAACCTTTGTTGACCTTGATATTCTCACTGTAAAGGATGAGGTAATCATTCCCACCCTGCCTTCCTCTGTGAGATTATTGTCAGCCAAAAAATAAGATTATTGATGGCAAGAGGTCTTACAACTTTTAAAGATGCTTACACCTTTTGCTTCTTCTGTCCCTGATTTCTCCCCCTGACTTTCCACCCTCTTCCCTTCATCTCTTATTATCTTCTCTTTTCCTCATTTCCTTTTTTCCCACTTTATTTCAGATATGACTAAAGGCAGATAGTAATTCATTAAGTTGATTAGCCAACCTGTCACTTAACAGAGATGTGAGAGAAGTGAAAAAGAGACAAGTAAGTTTCATTTAGTCTCTAGAGGCAGGACTTGGGACTTCCAGAATGGCTGTGCGAGGAGGTTGGTGGATTATCTCCCTGGGGAAAAAAGTCATTTAACTAGTTATAATTATAAAACATAAACAATCCACTGAAATCTCTGAAAGTTGTCCTAACAGCATGCATCAAATGGAGAAACAGGGGTACGAGACGCCCTATGAAATCTGAACAGGAAGAGTGAGAATCTGCTGCATTTAGGCCAGGCCAGGCCAGGACCTGCTCCTATCCCATGCACAGCTTCCCCATCAGCTCTCAGATTTAGAACTGCTTGTTCAGGTGCTCTATTTTGGGTGGTTATGGCCAAGAAGACAAGGCTGTCTGTCCCTGCAATTCCTAGTCTCGGGCAACCAACAGTTTTACTCTGAAAGGAGCAGGCCACAGGCATCTCTTAGATCTGCCCTCCAAACTCCATGTTACAAGTTTTATTTTGGGTGAGCATGGTCGAGAGGAATGAGGCTCCCTTCCCTCACCCAAGTTTCCACTCATTGGACAAAAGCCCTGCCTTAGACACAACAGGTCAAAACTCTTGGGGCCCAACTTGTTTATAGTATAGAGGTTTTATGCTGGGAAGGACAAGCTGAGAAGATAAAAGGCTGCTGTACCCCTGAGTGCTGCTAAAGTAAAGGAGTCAAAGGACTGCTGTTCCCAACTCCCAGCTTTCAGCTTCATGGCTCTGACTAAACGGACTGACTTTACTTGGCACAAAGCATGAGGGAGTTCATGGCTAAAGATAAATGCAGATTTTGTTAACAAGTGATTAAGAGTAGCTGGTAGTTCTATGATCCTATTGAAATTAAAAATGGAAGACCAGCCAGAAGTAATAACAGAAAAAGACAGCCAAGGAGACACCTCTTGGGATCACACTTATCCCTGGGGGTGTGAAAGGGAGTGTGCATACACTAGGCTGCATTCATTTCAAGTAATCAGAATGGGACATGGGGCGGAATGGAAAGAATTCCTTAAGCAACACAGAGATCCATCAGCAAAAGGGAGAAGCCTCACTGACTCAAGAGGATTAAGCACAACATCTAACTAAACACTAGCTGAACAATGTAATCCTCTGATCCAGGGTCAATACCTAGAAACCAGGCTTAAAAGTAATCACTCTCCACCCTGGTGGTCTGGAAGAGTGTGCCTGGCCAAAGCTGAGCCCTCTCATGAATAACTGGAGAGGAAACTTCTGAGCTATTAGTCCCTGGTTGAATGTGAAACATAAACTTCCTGAATTATGAAAGCAATATCCAAAATATCCAAGCCACACACACACACACACACACACACACACACACACATATCCAGAGGTAATGAGTGGTGGAAATTTAACTGACCAATGGGGCTGAAGCACAACCTTTAACCAATATTTGGGGTTTATGGACTCAGGGGCTAATCTCAGGAAACTGAGCTAAAAGACGCAAACAAGGAGAAAAATTTTGAGAAGGGACATCTGAGGCTGCACATGGGAGGGAAAATGGGCTTCACAAAATCAATTCAGACAAATTACTAATAAATAAACAAAACAAATGCCAAAACAAACAATAGCAACAAGTCACAGAGGCAGAGGAGTCAATATATAATTCAAAGTGCTTAGCACATTGCCAGGCTCATATTAATCACTAGTTTAGAGTCAAACTGACTGAGTCCTAACATTGTTCTGATACTCACTTGCTGTGTGATCTGTGCAAACTGCTTTTCTCCTCTGTGTCTTAGGTTTCCTGTAATTCAGTGATAATCATATTTATACTTCAGGGTTGTTGTGAAGATTAAATTAATTATGCACGAAAATAACTGACACGTAGTCTATGCCCAAGTAATATTAGCTATTATCATAATTAGGTATGGGTTTTCCTCTTTTCCATATATAGTGTGTGCTGGTTACCGAAATCCCTCTAATAGATTACTATCCACTTTGAATCAATTATGAATGCTTTTAAAATGTCAATAGTCCTGGGAAGGTTTGTCTACGATGTCATGGACACTTGTAATAAATATGTTCACCACTTTTTCATTGCCAGAGACTAAATGGGGCAGGAAAGCTTATGTTTGACCAAAAGAAAGGGGAACATCATGATGGAAAGAAGAGAGCCAAGGAGGTTAGCAGATGCTAAATGACACATTTCACTGATGTTGCATTTTCACTTAGTCCAAGACATCTATGCCCACCCTAATGAGTTAGAACAGAATTCTGGAGGTGAGTGGCATTCAATTGCATAGATCAAGTCTTTCTGATTTCTCTAAAACTCAACATCCCATTGCTTGTTGCTAGGTAAGCTAATCCTGTGATTTATTTTTGATTGTGAATAGACAGAAAGACAAACTATATCACAAGATCCCTCTAGAACACTGCAGGATTATTTGGCTCAGCATTTCTTACAAGCCAAACGCTAGATCAACATCACCATCCATGATTCCATTTGCTGGCATTAAAGCCCAAATCTTCCCCAGAGCTTTTCTGACTGCAGAACAGGTCTTGCTAAGAAATAAACTTAAATGCTTTATTACAAAAGGAAAAATGCAGGAAACGGAAAGCCACCAATCTCCCTTACACTAGGCTCACGAAGAAGGGAAATACAATCTTTCTTGCAACTAGAATTTGGTTTCCTTGGTTTTAGCCATAGACATGACAATAAATATAAATTGCCTCAGGGCACATTTTTATTTAAAAAATCCCATTTACAAAGGTTAGCAGTTGCATTACAATTTGAGTAAGGTTTATAAAAAAATGGCTTTATGTGCTGGGTACTTGTTTTACTTCTGAAAACAAATTAGCCATCATTCTGTGCTCCTGATTAGAGCTTTGTGTTTCCTAGAAGCCTTATTCTTTTAATTATTCTCAAAGTTTATAAAACAGATGAGAACTTTTTCCTTTTTATTATTTACATTTATTAAAAGCTACTCTAAAAATTTTCAAACATTAACAAAATAAGGACAATGGTGTGAAAAACCCCACAAACACATCTTTCAGACTCAAGAATTATTTAGGTTTTGCCACACTTGCTTTATCTGTCTCTTTATATTCAATTTTCTTTTCTACTTGTTTTTTCTTTTAAACACAAATCCTTGTAACCATCTAATACTTAGTTTATAATCATATTTCCTCAGTTGTTTCCTTACAACTTAAAGTATGGGTTGCTTCAATAAGGGTTCAACCCACGTCTATCATTACATATGGTTGTTATGAATCTGAGCCTCTTTAATGCTGGACTAGTACATTTCCTTTTTTTCATGCTATTGATTTACGCAAAAAGAAAACAAAATAGGTCAGCCAATTTGAAGGACGTTCCATATTGAAGATATGTCTTTGTTTTTTCTAACCTTATTATTTCCTGAAAACTGGAAATGAGCTCTCATGACTTACATTCTACTAGAATCAGGTTCAACCATTTGGTAAGAATATTTTACAGATGGTGCTAAATATTTTATATTCACCATATCAAGAGACACAAAATATGTAACTATCTCTTGGTGATGCTATGATTTACCTGTGAGTTCAGGGTGTGACAGCCCCATCCTCTTATTCTTTTTCTTATCAGCATTTCCCATGATTGTCTCCTGTTTTTAATTATTGGTGCCAGCCCCAATGATTAAATGGGAAATTGCAAAATATTTGTAATTCTATCATTTCTTCTACATATATTAGTAATAATTATTTTAACAAAGAATAACTTTTCAATATTTAGATAATAGTATGATTTGAGCAAACTGAAAAACAATTGCAATAAGAAAAGCATTTAATTCTTAAGTTGTTAGAGAAAGGATTTGGGGCCTGTTACTTCTAATACAACCAATTAATTGGGAGAGGTGTGGATAGCTCTCTTCTCCTACCTCTTTCTTTCTTTCTACATATCATCATAATTTTACAGGTATTTATATATGAAATGAGTCTGAATCAATTTCAATTATTATTTTTTCAATGCTTAACTTTTGTCATTTTTGAATCTTTGGCCATTAGAAGTCCCTTCATGTTTGACAGTGACCCTTTGACATGACATATGTCTTTGTGCATCCCCTTTCTTTCCAGCAAAAAGAAATGACAGACTTATGGAGTACCTATGTTTCCCCACATCTGGGATTAGACATTACCTCTGGGGCTCTGGGCCCACAACCTGGGAACTAGATGAACTAAGTGTTCTCAAACTCTCATTACTTTCAAACATTTCCTGTTGTGAAAGTTAGAAAGTATGTATCTTAAGAAAAACAGTAATGAATTTATTCTAGTATGTCCTATTAAAATTTGCTGCTATGTTTTTTAAAAGCACACAAATAACTCTTTTACCTGTGTTTTTAATTATGGCCTTTAGTTTATAAAGTTTTCTTGTTTGGTTAAATTCTACCTTGTCTGATATCAGAATTACAACTTCTTCTTTTCATTTGTATTTTCTTCATGTATCTTTGCCCATCCTTTTATTTTTAACTTTTCTAAATCATTTTATATTAGGTGTGTCTCTTGTGTTCAGCAAACAATTGGATATGAATTTGTTAGCCAATCTAAACATCTTTTTAGTTTTTTTAATAAAGCTAAGCACATTTATATTTACTAATGAGCTACTCAAAATTCTAATTTCTGTCATACGATTTTGCATTATATTTATATAATCACACACTTACACACAGTAAATCTTTCACTACATTATGATTTTTTTAAATGTTGATGGTATTTATTTTGGTTTTTAGGATAGTTTATCTTTTTGTTCTAGTGGTTTTCATTATACCAATACCTTTCTTTATATAATATCCATAGCACTGTCTTTTCTGGATGATGTCTATTAGCTACTTACAATGAACAATAATGAAGATAGCTAGCATCAATTTTTCTCATTTTCTCTCCTCCATTACTTAATTTCAATGACAAACATTACCTTAAAGATATTTTCGACTCTTTAAA
Source organism: Homo sapiens (assembly GCF_000001405.40). Taxonomy (NCBI): domain Eukaryota; kingdom Metazoa; phylum Chordata; class Mammalia; order Primates; family Hominidae; genus Homo; species Homo sapiens. Next base: position 21,917,478 of record NC_000011.10, on the reverse strand, counting down.
AATGCTTAAGCTTTTGTTATTTCATTTTTCTTACAAGTCAATACTAATGAGGTCATCAGCAACCATATTCCATTATCCACTTAGTCTCATCTTCTCCCATTTTTGTTATTTATATTACATTTATATTGTCAGATTATATAACATTTACAAACTAGTTTGTCATCTTTATCTTGTTGATTTATTCCTCAAAGCTCACTACTGGGATCTACACTATAGCTTATCCAGTCATTTTGGGTGCCTGAGATTTCTAAGGCATTTCTTAGGGAGCATTTATGAGACCAATATTCCCTAAATGGTCAGGAGACATTTTGGAAGATTAAGAAACTACACTGTTACTGTGTGTATTAATCCATTCTCACACCACTATAAGGACATAACTGAGACTGCGTAATTTATAAAGGAAGAGGTTTAATTGACTCACAGTTCTGTAGGGCTGGGGAAGCTTCAGGAAACTTACAATCATGGCAGAAAAGGAAGAAAATATGTCCTTCTACATATGGCAGCAGCAACAAGAATTATAAGCAAAGGGGTGGGGGAAAGCCCCTTATAAAGCCATTAGATCTCATGACAACTCACTCACTATCATGAGAACATCATGAGAGTAACTGCTACCATGATTAAATTACTTCCCAAGGGGTCCTTCCTATGACATGTGGGGATTATGGGAACTACAATTCAAGATGCAATTTGGGTGTGGACACAGTCAAACCATATCATTCTGCCCCTGGCCCCGCCCAAAGCTCATGCATGTCCTCACATTTTAAAACACAATCATGCCCTTCCAACAGTCCCCTGAAGTCTTAACTCATTCCAGCATTAACTCAAAAGGCAAAGTCCAAAGTTTCATCTGAGACAAGGGCAGTTTCTTCCACCTATGGGCCTGGAAAATCAAGAGCAAGTTAGTTACTTCCTAGAGACAATGGGTGTACAGGCATTGGGTAAATACAGTTGTTGCAAGTGGGAGAAAATCACCCACATAAAGGAGGTACAGACCCCATACAAGTCCAAAATCCAACAGGGCAGTCATTAAACCTCAAAGTTCCAAAAGTATCCCCTTTGACTCCATGTCTCACATCCAGGTCACACTGATGCAAGAGGTGTGCTCCCACAGCCTTGGGCAGCTCTGCCCTGTGGCTTTACAGGCTATTGACCCCCTCTTTCATGATACTTTCACGGCCTTGAATTTCTCCCCAGAAAATGGGTTTTTCTTTTCTATCACATTGATAGGCTGCAAATTTTCCAAACTTTTATGCTCTGCTTCCTCTTGAATGCTTTGTCACTTAGAAATTTCTTCTACCAGATACCCCAAATCATCTCTCTCAAGTTCACAGTTCACAGATCTCTAGGGCAGGGGCAAAATGCTGTCAGTCTTTTTCATAGCAAGAGTGACCTTTACTTCAGTTCCCAATGAGTTCCTTATCTCTGTCTGAGACCACCTCATCATGGACTTTATTGTCCATATCACTATCAGCATTTGGGTCAAAGCCATTCAACAAGTCTCTAGGAAATTCCAACCTCTCCCACATCTTCCTATCTTTTGAGCCCTCCAAGTCTCTAGAAACTTGTAAACTTTCCCACATTTTCCTGTCTTCTTCTGAGCCCTCCAAGTTGTTCTAACCTTTCCCTGTTACCCAGTTCCAAAGTGACTTCCACATTTTCAAGTATCTTTACAGCAGCGCCCCACTACCGGGTACCAATTAACTGTATTAGTCCATTCTCATGCTGCTAATAAAGAGCTGCCTGAGACTGGGTAATTTACAAAGGAAAGAGGTTTAATTGGCTCACAGTTTAGCATGGCTGGGGAAGCCTCAGGAAACTTACAATTATGATGGAAGAGGAAGCAAACATGTCCTTCTTCACAAGGCAGCAGGAGATAGAAGAATGAGCAAAAGGGGTAAAGCCTTTTGTAAAACCATCAGATTTCATGAAAACTCACTCACTATCATGAGAATAACGTGAAGGTAACTGCTTCCATGATTAAATTACCTTCTACTGGGTCCCTCCCAAGACACGTGGGGATTATGGAAACTACTATTCAAGTTGAGATTTGGGTGGGGACACAGCCAAACTATATCACTGTGAGGCACTGCTGGCAGTCCTAGAATAGATATTTATTAGGTACCAACCATGTCAGGTGATTCAGTGATTGTTAAACTGAAGCTCTTGCCTTCAAGAATTTCACAGCTTTTATTATGTAATAGTGTTCTTTTGCGCTAGGAATCTCAGAGTTCTGCTAAGGTATTTCCTTGTTCAGGTAAATTATCAGCTATATTTCTGAACACCAGATTTCGGACTCTTCAAGATCAATCTATTCCTTTGCATCTGGCCCAGGCTACAGCCCTCCAGATGACTAAGAGTTGCACTAATGTTCATGGAGATTCATGTCAGGGCTGGAGAAACTTTATGGTCTCTATAAGAAACCACCGGACCATACTAGATTTTAAAATATCTCAAATTTATCCATGATCTCTTTTTCATTCTCTTGCTAAACTCCTTTTTCTTGTCAGCTATCTGGTGTCATGAGGCTACCTGCCCTTTTCCCAATGCATACACAATGCTGTAAACCTTCCTTAGTTTATCTCCCTATTTCCATCAAGGTTGAATTGAACTTTATTCCATTTACCCAGGACATTACTCTTATCCAATTCACTGTACTAACTCAGGGAATGAAAATAGATTTCATTTTCTATGCAAACTTTCATACAGTGTGCATAAAAATACTGCACTAAAACAGCTTCTAAGGCCACATCCCATCTCAGTAGGGCTACTGTAATTAATTATGGATGTTTGCCAAAGGATGAAGGAATGCCAGATGGAAACCCTGTTATTTGCGAACCTACACTAACTCATGATGATACTGTGCTACTTTATATGACCTGGCTCACTTATATTATGAGCTCTTTTAAGATTTGGGGCTCATTAAGTATTTGAATTTTTAATCAGATAGCAACAAGAAAATATGAGGAAAATTTCAACGTAGACACTCCCATTTCTTGAAGACTTTGAGAGAGTAAATATTTTTGGTTGATTAAATGACATGGTCATCTTTTTGATACTTAATGGCATTAACTAAATGTCTTAAGTAAAGTTCTTGGTATTCAGTGATGAAAAGCATATTTACTTTAGAGTTTAATTTTAATTACGGAAACAAGCTAATAAACAAAATTAATATTATATCATAGTTATTTGTAAGAGCTTTGTGCATTTGCTTTGGGAACATCAAAAAGGTCTAGTTCAGAAAATCAGGTCAGAGAAATCTTCCCGGGGGAATGGTGTTTAAGCTGATTGCTAAAGGATAAATTGGATTTGGCAAATACAGGGTGCTGATGAGGGAGAGTTTTTGCAAGAACAGAGAACACTTGGCACTAAAGCATGATGTACTTGTAGAGCTAGTAATTCACTTCAGTGTGAATGTAGAGTAGGATGCAAGTGGGAATGTAGAGAACTGAGACTACAGTGACAGGCAGAGACCAGCCATTATGTGGCAGAGACACACATCATGTGTCCTTGTGCCAACTTGAGGCTTGTATTTAAACAATCCCTGTTAAAACAGACTATGGGAAGCTCCAAGATATTTTAAGCAGAAAATGCAATAATAAGAATGAAAGATTTTGTAATAAAATATGCAGGTTAAAACTATAGACCTAGCATTCATTAATTCATCTAACTACTTACCATCTAATAAATAAGCATCTACTATGTCTTCACCACTATTCTAGGAACTGAGGATTTAATAGTTAGCAATAGCAGACATGATCCCAGTTCTCGTGGTTGTAAATTCAGCTTGCCTTTCTTACTTTTAGATCCATTCCTCTGGTATACTCTAGCCTGCCTTTATTTACATTATTAATTTATCTATTGATTAGCTTACTCCAATTTTCTTGCTGACACTTAAAAATATCTTCCTATTTAGAAAGTAATAAAAATATACAAAACCAATAAACCTACTAGCCAAACAAACGAACAAACAACTCGCTCTTCATCACACTCCTTCTATTGTGGAATTTCCTTGCTCCTCTTCATAGAACAGCCAATTACTTCCTCCCCTTTCTCTTCATCCCAAGAAGGATTTTGTTCCTACCATTTCACCAAAACAGCTTTTATCAAGGTCGTTGCTCTCCATCTTTGCAAACTCATGATGAATTCTCTTTCTCTACCTCTTCAATCTCTCAGCAGCGTCTGATACTCTTTCTTGCAGCACTTTCTCACCAAGCTTTGTGACTCAACACCCTCCTGTTTTCTCTGTAATACCTTCCAGATTTCTCCCTCTCAGACTTCTTTGTTGACTTCCCTCAATCTGTCCGGACTCTAAAAGTTGCAGTGACACATGGTCTGTAATCCCCTGTCCTTCTTCATCTAGATTCTCTATTTAATTGATTTTATTTAGTTTCATAGCTTAAATGCCACTTGTATATTTATAACTCCCTGATGTATATATCTTATTTTACTCCCAGGGCTCCAGAAATGCGCAAATGTCTTCTCAATGTTTCCACTTGAATGTCTCATAGACATGCCAGGCTAAACATACACATCCAAAATAAAACTTAAGATTCTTCACTATCCACTTTCCCTCAGATCTGCTTCTTCCCCAGTCTTTATCACTTGAGTAAATGGCACCACAATTCACTGGCCAACAATTTAGGAGTCAGCCTTGGTGCATGTCTTTCCCACTTGCCACTCTTCACATTCAACTCTTAGCAAGCCTTGTTAGCTTCTTGCAAAATATATTCAAAATACAACCCCTTTTATCATACCCTCTGCAGCTTCCCTAGCTACTATCATGCTGCCTTAGAGTGAGCATAATAACCTCCCAATGAGTTACCTTGCTTTGTTTCTGCTCCGCATAGTCTCTTCAGAGAGCAGCCAGTGTTGTTTCTCAAATGCAAATATGGACATATTCCACAGGCCTTTTCTCCTACTTCTGCTAGTATCTTCCCATTACAACTGCAACATTGCAACATAATCTAGGCAGTGGGGTGGAGGAAGTGGAAAAAAAAATCTCATCTCCTCCCTTTTAAGAAGAACTTCCAGTAGTACCAAAAGGCACTTCTTAATATTGCACTGGCTGCAACTCAGTTATATAGCAACACTTAGCTACAGAAGAGTACAGGAAATGTGTTACTTTTTCTTGGTGATCATGTGCCCACTAAAAATTAGAGCTCTATTACTAAGAAAGAATTACTGATATTGGGATAAATAATCAGCAGTCTCTGCCTCATTGCTCAAGTGACTCCTCATTAGAAGGGCCTTTATTGATCACTGTATATAAGGTATACATATTGTTATCTTATTATTTTGGTTTATTGTCCTCAAAACACATCACTACCTGAACTTATGATACTGATCAATCCTTGTCTGTCTATTCTTCTAGAATTTTCTCTATCTAACCATACGTTTATTTGAAATCTGTTCACATATTTATTGTCTGTTTTTTTTATTTGAATATAAAGACTCAAAAACCTGGGACATTATATGTCTGTTGGATAACCATATTCCCAGCAACTAAATCAATGCCTGTTATTTAATAGGCACCTAATGCATTTATACTGAAAATAATTTCCTCTGTGAAGTGGAAGATGAGGTTGTATCTGCTGTGAACAAAAACATATGTGTGTATGATTGGATGGCTCCTGGGGATATCAGAGTTTTAAGAGAATTGGCAATGTTTAAAATGGTTAAGGAGAATGTGAGTGAAATGGTAAGGTTTGTGTATGATGTTCAAGGCCCATGTGAGACTGGTTATCATATATTTTATGATGTAAATGTTTGGTAATACGACTTTCTCCAGCAGTGCTCAGTTAGTAGGATTCAGATAACAGGAAATAACTAGTTGTTAATCTACTGTTGAGAGTTTAAGATATTGGTAAAAGTATTGTTGAAATAGTGAAAATTTTTTATTTTTCTTGGTCATTATAGAGAAAACAATGACTATAGTTATAATAAGTAATTTGGATGAAAATAATAAAAAGAGAAATGAGTTAGAAGAGAATAATAATACTACATATTAAGAGTGTTTTTAGGTTCAAAGTGGTAGTGTGTGCATGTGTCTTTATGTAATCTCATAAACGTATAAATTTAAGTTTCATGAGTGTATAAATAAAAATAACCTATGACATTTTCAAAGCAGACATTACTATCCTTATTTTACAAATGAGGAAATTACAAATGAAAGAGTTTGATGACTTCCCCAAACACAACAGGAAATTAAAGTAAAAAGCAGAACAGGGATCAAAATTTCCTGAACGTTTGTCTAATTCTCCAAAAGAGATATATAGGAGACATCCTGCTGTCTTCAATTAGAATGGTTTCATTAACTTGGTTTGAGTACTTTAATAACATAAGGACATATTATATTTTGTCATTTTCTACTAACTCAAAGGAAGAAATGCATAGATATGTGTTTTTTGCTGTTGGGAAATGAGTAATGTTGGCTTTCACTCAAGACACTCACACTAATGAAAACATAAGTAGGTGGAATAGTGTACTGAATTTTGCATGAATAATGGTTTCAAAATTAAACCCATTAAAAGAATAACATCTCTTTTTGAAAGATGATAGGTGCATATAAACCTTAACATTTTCTTAGTGTGATATAAATATAAACTTCAGGCAGCAAGGTGTACTAGAAAAAGTATGGACTTTGAAACACACAGATTAGAATCCTTCCCTAGTTTTCTCTGAAAATTAGTTTTGTCATTCACAATATAGGAATGATAAGCACTTCTTCATAGCATGATCAGGAGCACTCTGGACAGACTCGTACCAGAAATTAAATTCTTATTTCTGAAAGTGACACACTTCTGCTCATATTTTACTAATTCTAGCAGTCATATGTCCATGCTTAACTTAAAAGGAAAGGGAAAGTAAAATCCACATGTGGATCTAAAAAATGGAGAATGAGAGGTATTGGTGAGCACCCTCATGGATACCATAGTGATTTAATTTAATCAGACATATTGGCCAGGTGCCATGGCTCACGCCTGTAATCCCAGCACTTTGGGAAGCTAAGGAAGGTGGATCACTTGAGGCCAGGAGTTTGAAACCAGCCTGGCATGGTGAAACCCCATCTCTAGTAAAAATACAAAAATTAGCTGTGTGTGGTGGCCTGTGCCTGTAGTCCCAGCTACTCATGAGAATCACTTGAACCAGGGAGGCGTAAGTTGCAGTAAGCCGAGATCACGCTACTTCACTCCAGCCTAGGAGACAGAACAAGACTCTGTCTCAAAGTAAATAAATAAATTAATTAATCAGAAATATGGATAAAAATAGCAATAAATAATACAACAGCATTTTCCAAGGCATATTTTGCAGAATTCTATCCAGAAGAATATTTGTAGGTATTCACAGAATAGTTTCCTTAGGTGAATTTGCCAAATATTCTGTTACTTAAAATTCAAGATTGTCTACTGTAAGATTTCACAAAACTTGTATATGCTAAAATGCATCATGGATCTCTAAAGTGGGAGATGGTGATTAAAGTATGTAGCATTTTTAACTCTTATTGAATCCTGGAATCTTTTTTGTTTGGTTGTCTGCTTTTTAAGGACAACTATATGAGATTATGTTCATAACAGTATTTGAACATTTGGTTGAAAATTTGTGGCTGAGATGATCTGAGGTCTGATGAGAATGGAGGTGTTTTTTGTTTGTTTGTGTGTGTGTGTGTGTGTGTGTGCGTGTGTGTTTATTTTTTTTTCTGGGTGAAAGGACAATGGCTTCTAAGTTTCCAGGATGATTGCCTATAAAGGCTAAGTTATAGATACCTCAAGCCTTTAGGTGTTCTGTCATTGGGAAAAGAATGCTGGTGAGTAGAAGGTTTAGAAATAAAGTAACTTACTGAAAATATGCAAATTGGAATGCTTGCCAAGAAGAAACTAAGGATACCAAATGCACATTGCTCTAAGGAGCATAGGAAAGAGAGTTGAGGTTGGATCAAAGCTCATAGTTTCATCCCAGAGACTGAGGCCTCAGTTGTATGTGGTTGAGGCCAAGTTAGGTGGTATATATTTCTCCCTGTGTATTGATTGCTCTCTCTCACTTATCCATATTACATCGTTAATGGGCTTGATAAAGATTTCACTGTAAATGCTGTGTCACAAGACTGATTGCATAAAAGTGTAAATAGAGGTCAGAAGGTAGTGACTCAGAAACTGTTTATTTATGGACTTGCACATTACAGGAAGGTGACAGGGTTGTCAATGTGGTGCTCTCAACAGATTGGTAGTCAGCTGATTGCTGTCAAGAGGGATTCAAAGTGTCTTATCTCCAGATTTTGAGTCGTAGAAAAATAATTGGGGAGTTTAATACCTGGTCCCACCTCCAATCAGTTTTGCTATCACCATTAAAGATCATACACTAATGATATCATAATGTACTACCATCTCCTGCTTGAGATACAATTTTTTAGCTACTTTCCCTAATTTCACTCTTACCCTCACTCCCACTGACTTATTTTCATAGCAGGAATAGCACTTAATATTATAATTCATCAGTGACTGATTTCCCATTTCATTAAAAACCCATTTCATTAAATTACCACATATTCTGGTCTCTGCCTAGCTTTTTCCCCATCCTTAACTTCTCTCCAACCATTCCTATTTTCTTCTAATATCCTGAATAGGCCAAACTGTTAACCTTGCTCAAGGCCTATGCAAATAATATTTCCTCTTCTTGGAATGTTCCTTTGATCTTCTTTAAAAGTCTTATTTCTGCATTTTTTTTAAAAAGACTCGCTTAAATGCCACATCTTTAGAAAAACCTTTATACTTCTTGGTTTCACTCTTTTTTATTTTCTCAATAATGTTTACATGATTTATAATGCTGTAAATTTACTTATTTTAGGATTAGGCTTTTATCTATCTCCCTCACAAGAGTATATAAATAATAATAAGCCAATGAGAGCAAATGATGAGGCCTATTTTATATATTACTTCAACTCAGCACCTAGTTAGAACAATACATTTATAACAAAGGAATGAATTTAAAGAAGGAAAGAGAGGGAGGGAAGGAGGGAGAAGGGAGGAAGGAAAGAAGAAAAGGAAGGAAGGAAGGAAGGAAGGAAGGAAGGAAGGAAGGAAGGAAGGAAGGAAGGAAGGAAGGAAAGTACATTTGTCAGAATAATGCCACCACCTGGGGAGGTTTGGGGACTGTCAACCAAAAGCCTTGTTGCATACTTTCCACTTTGTTCACCTAGCAGTTTTAAAAATGCCACCTCTTTACCATGCTTATTTCACTAGTGAATTCTTCAGTATGGTCCTACAGAATTACCCTAGGTCTCCATTCATCTTCATATTTTCCTGTCCCAATACTTTTGATCAAAAACCATTTTTTTTTCAATTAATGTTCTGTTCAAATGCCACCTTTTCTATGAAACCTAATCAATCCTGACTCTAGACCACCAAAACATTTTCTTTGAATCTCTTTTATTAAAAAAATCACTTTCAGGTCAATATTTTATAGTCTTTCAGGTTCATATCTTACATCTTGTCTTTTTCCAGACTATGAACTCCCAGAACAGAAAGGATCAATAATTAATTTTTTTCTTAAAGTATCTGGTGTGCTACCTTACCCATAGAATGTTATCAATAACTTTTGTTGTAATTTAATTCTCCATCCACGTGGAAAAAAACAACAAATGTTAAAACAGCACCAATTTTCACTATTGTTTTAGACCTTGTTTTTAAAAGATGCTTTTTTTAGATGAAAAATTAGTTGTATCATAATTTTATAAATCTTATTTATACTGATAAAAAATATTACAGTAAAGCAATTCCTCCAATCCACTTATTTGCAGAGCATTGGGTATACAGATATTTAGCATCTACTGCACACATAAACACTGAATATTAGGAAAATAAATTGCTTTTTTATTTCTTACTTTTTTTCTGTCCTTCTAAATGCCAGTACAGTAACAGTTCTGTCAAAACAAGATGCTTAATTATGGCACCTCTGCACTGGGAGGTTATCAATGTAGACAAAACTGTTGACACATTATAGCTAAGATACAGCAGAGTGAAAAGTTTAATCAGCTGTATAAACACCAATGAATTGGATCTCAAATATGATGGGCCATCACAGGAAAATTATTATTGATATAATTCTAAAAATAAGGCCTTGGATGGGGAATCTTGCTGAATAAGAAAATGTAGGTTTACAGCATTCTGTCCTAAAAGAGAGACATTGGCTATAAAAAGAAAAGCTTGATGTTCCTCTCTCTAATAGGAATCATTTGGTATCATGCCATGAATGGTGAGTTTGCAGAATGCACAGTGTAAACTAACACATAGTATTCCCTTGTCAGGTGCAGGTTCATAGCCAGAACTCGAGACTTGATGAAAAATACCCAAATGCCATATATCCAGGAAGTGTAATCAGTTATTGTATTTGACTTGTTCTTTGTCAATGTATTATTACACCTGAAAAATTGTAATGAGCTCAAATTTTTTCTTGCTTCAGGGTTTTTACACTGTTCTTCCCTCTTTCTGGAACACTATTTCTTAGATTGCTGCATATGTGTATCCTTCTCATCACTCAGATCTCAGTTCAAATGTCATCTTCCCAGGAAGCGATTCCATAGCCACCATATCCAGTTTACCCAACCCCTCTTAGTATTAGGGTACATTGTCTTGTTTCTCTTTTTCATCATATTTGTCAATACCTGAAATGGTTATTTATCTGATTGTTTGCTTACCATCTTTTTATACTACTAAAATGTAAGCTCAATACACACAGGATGCTTGTTTGCCTTATCCACTGCTATGCTTCCAGGGCTGGAATGATGTCTGGTGTAGTTATTCCATCAATAATTTATAGAACAAATGGATGAAACATATTTGCTGCATCATCTTTCCCCAGCATTGTAATACCAGTTTTCAGCATATTAAGAGAGGTCAATAATACATCAGCTATTTTCCTGCTGCGAAAATGAATTGGAAAGATTCACTGTAAGTTCACTCATGATATTGATTATAAAAACCTGCTGGAGTTCTCAAATTTTAGAAGGAAAAGGTGCATGTAAGGAAGAAAACAGAAGGCACAGAATTGCCATTTATTGGGGTTCTACCATGTGCTAATTAGTACGCAGGATATATTAGTCACATTATTATGAACCATAATAATATCAATAATAACCAAATGTATTAAACACCTTCTCTGTGCCCAGTACAGCTCTGAAATGTTCTATTTTATTTTCTCATTAAATTCTCATAATTAAATTTATGAGGTAGGTACAATTATTATCTTCATTTTACAGCTAAGAAAACACCTTCTTGGCAGGTATTATTTTCTTAATTAAGATTGTAAAATCAATGTTAAAAGTAATTTTTTCAAGTCTACAAATGTAGTAAATGACAAAACAGATTGGAACCTAGATGTTTTATAATCTGCACTTTGCTTTTCTGATGACAAACAGAATGCATGTGTATGTGTATTTATGTGGGGTCTGCCTTCAGTTAAGTATTGTAATGAAAACACCTTCGATTAGTAAAAAAAAAAAGAAAATCATTATCTGAGTGCCTATCTATGTGCTGAAATTGAGTTCATTTCTCTAAGAGTATACACATAGTATGAAAGAGAGAATAAGCCACAAACCATCTGGTATAAAATGGTAAGTTTTAAAAATAAATTATTAAAGAATAAGATTGCCTTGAACAACGTGCTGGTTATTGGGTATGTATATAAACTCAGCACAGAGATTAGGGAGAACGAGCTTAAAGCAGCCCATTAGAGCTTAGGTTGGGTCTTGAAAGATGGAAAAGAACAAGGAGAACATCAGAAAGAGGGAGAGAGAGAATAGTGTTATATTAGCAAAGGCACAGAAAAAAGGAGCAAGAAGCTACGCGTGCAGTATGTAGATGTAAAGGAAAGGAGAGGTTCACCAGATTGGAACTAAGAAGGTGGTTCAGAAAGGGCAGTTCAAATAGTTACATAGGACCAGACTATAGCACTTAAATGCACATCTCTTCCTGTTCTCTTTTTCTACTGGAATCTTGGCATGGGTGCTTCAAGTAGTGTGTGAAAAGCAAGAGGGTGAAGGGGAAGCTGTCTTCTCTTATAATCAAAACAGATTGTGATGACAGGGGTCTCAAAGAAATATACATGAAGAATAGTTTGATAAAGATGAGATTCTCCTGGAGATGCACATTAGAGCTAAAGATAAAATGGGTTTCTGCAGTGTGGAAAGAGAAATCTGCCAATCCAATTCATTGTGCTTCTGATCAGTTTTCTATTTTTATGGTTAATTGCTTAAATATGAGTTTTTGCCTTACTAATGAGCTTAGGGATTTTTATGTAAACGATGCATTTTCATGGACTAAAGAGACTATAAAAAATGTCTTACCCCCTAAAATTAATTCTGGCAGGAAAAGTCAGTGTATAAAGTAAGCTGTTTGGGAGGCATTCCATTGAGAAAATTTGCTGTTGCTATTGCTTTAGCAGTACAAAAATAAATTGATGTTTACAAGAAAATTATCTTGATACACAGAAATTCTGAAGGCAGAGTCTTTGCCAAGTGTGCTTTATTTTATTTTGTTCAGGATTTTAAAAGATAATTAGTTTATGGTTTATTGAACCAATATTCAATGATTAAATCTTTGAGAAACTACTATGTGTTTCGTGCTTTCATACATATATATTATTTCATTTAATTCTAACATCCTTGTAATTTTACCAAAAAATCCAAGGTTTAGCTTTTGCTCAAAGTCACAGACACTGTGTGGAATTTAAGCTTGTATTCTAGTCCTATGCTCTTTCTTCCCCCCTACATTTTTATTCTCCAGGATTACGAAATTCCCCTAGCTTGAGGGTAATGATGTTTTCTTCCTCTCTCCTTCCCCTGTTCCCATTCTCCTTCCCTTTCTCCATCCCTGCTTTCCTTTCTTCCTTCCTTCCACAGATATTTAATGAGATCTAGGTTCAAAGATTGATTATAGGTACTGTAGGTTCAAAGAAAATATGACATTGGCCCACACCAAGGAGGAATTACTAAGCTACTGGGGGGACCAGGTATTTAAATAAAAAATGTAATGATGTAGTAACAATGCGATTATTGTGTATATAAGTGGCACAAAGGCATGGTCTATTTTGCCAAGGAGGGTTATAAAAGGCTTCATAACAAAAGTGACAATTGAACTGAGTCTGAAAGGATAAGTGATATGATTTGGCTTTGCGTCCCCACCCAAATCTCATCTGGAATTGTAATCCCATGTTGGGGGAGAGACCTGGTGGGAGGTGATTTGATCATGGGGTTGTTTTCCCCCATGCTGTTCTCATGATAGTGAGTGAGTTCTCACAAGATCTGATGGTTTTATAAAAGGCTCTTCTTCGTTTGCTCTCTTCTCTCTCACCTGCCGCCATGTAAGACATGCATGCTTTCCCTTCGGCCATGAATAAGTTTCCTGAGGCCTCCCCAGTCATGTGAAACTGTGAGTCAATTAAACCTCCTTTCTTTATAATTTATCCAGTCTTTGGCAGTTCTCTACAGAACTGTGAAAACAGACTGATACAATAAGTAACTACTTGCAAGAAAAATTGGGGACAATGGCAAGAGACATCCTCAGCTCCAGAAACAGAATGTATGAAGGCACAGAAATTTTAAAAATACTTCAAGCAAAAAATCTCACCTTTGCAAAAAGCATGTGAAGAACAACAATCTATGCAGTCTTTCATAAATCCTCTTTTAGGTAATTAGCTTTCTGGAATATTGCCAAATAATAGCAAATTTCCCCTTCTCATCTCTCTTGGGAATATTTGAAATACAGGACAAATATTCATACCACGAAACAATGTTAACATACTCAATTTGCATAAAACTCCATTTAACAACACTGACATAAAATGTTAAATGAGTTGATTGGTTCCAAACATAACTTTCTGGGCAGTTTCATTCCGAAAACCTTGTTAACCTCACCCAAAAACCTAATATTGAAAGATGATTTAAAAAAATTTTGCTCCCTTTACTAGAGGAGTATTTGAGGCTTAGTAGTGCATTAATAGTGTTTGTCCTGAAGCATGGACAGGACTAGGAAGTCTCTTGAATTCAAACATTCTTCTGTAATGTACAGTAATACTGCTTCTTATGGTTGGATCATATTCTTATCTCTTTCTCTGCAGCACCTGAAGGAGATGAGCTCACGTTACATCCATTGTCTTAGCAACTCTTCTAGGAAAATGTCCAGATTTAGAAACAAAAGAGTAATAACAACTCCACATTATTGTGGGAGAAGATCTTTGCCTTCAATCTACTGATCACAATTTTTTCCCCATGGACAATTTATCCCTCAGCTAGAATGTCACTGGATCCTCCAGAGATCTCTATGTTCATTCCTGTATTACCACCTTTTTACAGACTCATCATACATGCATCCTGCTGAGCTGGTACAGGTGTGTTTAGCAGGTACATCAGCTGTGTCACATCTGCTGTCAGAAACAGCCTTTTATAGAACAGTAGCGCAGGCCTCACCACAGTGGGAGGCATGAGGGGAAACTTCTGGATTGGATTAGTCACCTCTTACTGCCTCATTATGTTTGATGCCCACAAGGGACAGATTGATCTCAATTTAGACCAGATTAAAGTTTTCAAAACTTTTCTATTGAGCTGCTTCATTTGGCACCCTCTTTGAGAGTGCCACGTTATGGTGGGTTTAGCTCCTCCCTTTCAAAGCATTTCCACCGACTGGGATGATGGTAACAAGCTTCTTACCATGACTACTGAAGCTGCAGGTAACTTCAGGTGGTATGTGCTGAACCGGGCTTGTGCACTAATCTGGCTCTCCTTGTGAATGGCTTGTTCATTATGCCAATATCAAAGTGCAGGGAGACAAGAATTTGAAAGAGTAGTCTTGGGCTATGGAGTTTGATAGATCTAGATTCAAGTTTCTGTTCCAGTCACTTACTAACTGTGTGACTTAGTACAAATGACAGTTGGGTTGATGGCAATGGAAATTTTATTGTCTGGCTTATTCAAGTTGTTTTACTTCATGCTGGAGAAAGAAGTAACTGTAGAAAGTAAGATGATAACTATCATTTATCCACAGCCCGTATTGTGATAGATAATCAAGTGTTTTAATAGTAATCATTAAACACTTAGGTAGAACTTACTATGCCCCAGGTAGTATTTCAACTACTTGGCATATATTAACCTATTAATTGTCATAATACACCTATGAGGAAGACATTATCACTATTCCTACTTTATAGATGAGAAAATTGAGGCACAGAGATATTAAATGACAAAAAATATATTTGCTGACATGAGAGGCCCATTGTTTCTCCTTGCCGTGATCAAATATAGCACTGTGCTCTCATCCTGCTCCTCTATCGGCCCCACCTCTGGGAAGCTGAAATTGCCTCCTGTCCTACCACTACCTGCTGATTGGAGGAGCACTCAGGGTGCTGGGTTGTGGGCCAGTGGACTTTCTGAATGTAGAGTACCTCCATGGATACTGACTAGGCCGCACTGATGTCCCCAAATTCTACTCTGGACAGATCCAGACAAAGCCCAATGATAGGATATACTGTGTGTGATTAAAATTATTTAAAATGTGATGTGTTTTTCAAGCCAGGAAACGTGGAATTCCATTTTAAGCATCAATATAGTGCAAGAAGGTATACATTATGACCTTAAATTAAGATTCATAAAGATTAAGTATGAAAAATCTAATGTGAAGGGACAAGAGTGTATTCTCAGTACCTTAACATTTTTATAGCAGGTGATTTTTTTTGGTAAAAGTGTTAATCCCGTTTATTGTACCTTTGAAGGCATGCATGACTTCTCTGATCTCTTATGATTCATTAAAGGAAAATCTTAACTTTAGACACAAACACAAACATACATGTGCTTACTAGATTTTGTAAAAACACATAATTATAAAATTATCAGTGAATTATGCCAGACTATAAAGCAATATTTAGGAATTACTGAAAAGATTTTTTGCTACATCCGCATTACCAGGATTACAAACAGAAATCAAAAAACAATAACCAGAACACTAGAGCTTTTCCAATTTAATCCTGATATTTTTTTTCTTTTCTAAGCCATAATTTAAATTCTCTAAGGCAAACATTGTTTTTGAGGACTTACTGTTTTTCTTTCTTTTTTTTCTTTTTGAGACAGAGCCTCTCTCTACTGTGCAGGCTGGAGTGCATTGGTGCCAT
Source organism: Homo sapiens (assembly GCF_000001405.40). Taxonomy (NCBI): domain Eukaryota; kingdom Metazoa; phylum Chordata; class Mammalia; order Primates; family Hominidae; genus Homo; species Homo sapiens. Next base: position 21,901,326 of record NC_000011.10, on the reverse strand, counting down.
CTTGGCTCACTGCAGTCTCCGCCTCCTGGGTTCAAGCAATTCTCCTGTCTCAGCCTCCAGAGTAGCTGGGACTATAGGCATGCACCACCACACCTGGCTAATTTTTGTATTTTTAGTAGAGACGAGGTTTCACCATTTTGGCCAGGCTGGCCTCGAACTCCTGACCTCAACTGATCTGCCCACCTCGGCCTCCCAAAATGCTGGGATTACAGGCATGAGCCCCCGTGCCTGGCTTATTTTTTTTCTTTTTAATTACAAAGCATACATTACATTTGTGTTAACAATACATCACATCTTGCTTGTGCCAACAGTAGAGCCATTCTAAAGCACACTAATAGTTCAAAGTTACTTTGGAATGGCTTTTGAGCATACTATAACTGGGCTGGGAGCAGTGGTCTATTTATAGAAAATAACCCTCACTTAGTGGGTAGAAACCATTATCTTTGTCTAATGATGACAAAGGACAATCAATGACCAATGATAACTGTCAGTGGAGTTTTCACTTAGTTTGTGGCATATATAACTTAATAGGTACTATAGCGGGGAGTTCTAGGCAGTAAAATAAAGTGTTAGTCAACCATAAATTAACAGCTAGCTTTGAATGGGATGGGCCACTGATACACTTGCTTCACAACAACCCTGGTTGGATCTATGCAGTGGTTACTGCTGCAGCTGACAGTGATTGGGTGAAACAAGGCTCCGAGGCTTGGAGCTCAAATTGAGTTGTTTTTTTCTCATTACTAGCACTCTGGTATCTTCTTTTATACTGCCCACAGGTCACCTCTATCATGTTGTTTCTTCCCAGGCACCACAGTGAGAGGTTATGGCTTTGCCTGATCTTTGTCACTATTTTTAAGTTCTTCAGGTGATGACACTATGTTTCATGTCACCCTTAACTCAGTCAGTCGAAGAGTCAAATAAGTAAATGCCTAAGATCACAGAATCCCAGAATAGCTGCACTTCTGTAAAACTGCCAGCAGGCCTGAAGACCTTCTCTAAATATTTTTCACTTACGAATCCCAAGTTATAGCTGAGAAACCTTTTCAAATATGTAAATTTGTGAAGTATCAGAGATGACTTACTGATTTTTCCTTGGGTACAAAATCAGAAGGTGGGTTTTTATTTTCATTGTCAATATTTTCATTCCTCTAATTGATATTAGAGGGATAGTGATCAACCCTTCAGTTCATATTCTTAAATGCTAGTTATATTCTCTTGTTTTGTGTCATGATGTTGTATAGCTATAGGAGAAGGAGAACGGGAGGGCAGGACAGAAATGGTGGCAGAAACTGTTTTACATTCTTCTACTACAGTATTTTGAATTCTTTTCTAGCTCTTATACTTAAGGTTCCATCATTCTATATTTTCAGTCTGGGGTTTGGGCCATGAATTAAATCCAACAGAAGGTGTTGATAGCTACTCAATTCAGGTGAACCAGAAGTCAAGTTCTATAGGGTTAGATAACAAACAACGCAATGCAGGTACCATTATAGGTCCAGGAAAGCAAGGGCACATATCTAGAAAGGGATCCACAAATTAACCAGTTAATTAATTAATTTAACTTAATAGAAAGTGAAGAAGCAAGGCTGGTAAAATAAGGAACAAACAGATAAGGAACCAGACAAATGTTCTGAGCTATAAAAATTCAAGAACTAAACAGTTGCATTTTATGTGCAGCCCATTAACAACCAGACCTCTTTCCTTTGCTGTTCCTTTTATTCCTATTAGAACTCATCTGTTTTGAATCACATTCCTAGAGACTCGATTTTATTTTCTCTTTTTTTTTTTTTTGAGATGAAGTGTTGGTCTGTTACCCAGGCTGGAATGCACTGGTGCGATCACGGCTCACTGCAACCACCACCTCTCAGGCTCAAGTGATCCTCCCACCTCAGCCTCCTGAGTACCTGAGGCCACAGGCCCTCACCACCACGCCCAGATAATTTTTGTATTTTTTTGTAGAGATGAGTTTTCTCCATGTTGCCCGGGGTTGATGTCAAACTCCTGGGCCCATCCCCACCTCCCAAAGTGCTGGGATTACAGGCGTAAGTCACCATGCCTGGCCCTTGATTCTGTTTTCTAAGATGACAGCTGATTGAACTTATTCTGCAGAGGGGCTCCAAAGTGGATCAGATGCTCTAAGCCTTAGCTGCACATTATAATCAGCTCATGAGCTTTACAAATATAAGAAAAGCCCCGGCCCTACCCACTACCAGTTAAAGCTGAATATCCAGGGTTGATACTGAACATGAGCAGGTAACATCAGCATCATTGATCCCTAAGCAAGCAGCATCAGCACCATTCAGTGGCTTGTTAAAATGCAGAGTCTCAGGCCCAACCCCAGATCTGCTGAATAAGAATATGCATTTTAAAGAAGGCATCAAATGATTTATATGCATATTAAAGTTTGGAAAATGCCGATCTAGGAGAGGTCAGCAAACTTTTTCTTTAAGAACAGTGGATATTTTAGTCTTCGTGGGCCACATATAGTATTTCCTTTTTAACAACCCTTTAAACATGTAAACATCATTCTTAGGTTGGGGCACACAAAATCAGACCATAACTGAATTTGGGTCACCCCATAATTTATGATGCCAATTTACTAATGAATAAACTAAAGGTCATGAGTTCAAATTTCTTCCCTAAGACTAGAGAGTAGTGGAGTGGTAGCTACAACCCAGAGTCTGCCTGTATTCTTTCTACTATTATATTCTGCTCTTTTAATAGCCTACATCTCTTAGGGGTGTTTTCATTTTTGACTGTGCTCTAAAAGGAGCAAAGACCAAATTACTACATCAGTCAATAATAGCCCCACTTCTTTAGTACTTACTACTTGCCAGACACTGGATTAAGCTTTCAACACATATGAACTCATTTAATAATCTTCATATCAGTGCTATGTGGAATTACTATCATTATTCCCATTTTCATTTGAGGAATCTGAAGATTAAAAAGGCTATATAGCTTACCCAAATCTCACAACTTTTAAGTATAAAAGCTAAGATTGTTGGACTCCAAGGCTCATGTATGGACACACTACACTGCAGTCTTTCTACCCTTTAAAAACCTATAAACACCATACTTCTCAACGTTAGGTGAATATAAAAATTACCTGTGGTATTTCTTAAAAATATAGATACTTGGGTACAGCCTCTGGAGAGTCTTATTCAATAGGTCTGTATGGAGGCCTAGGTAATTAAACTTTATAGATGCTTCTGGTGCCCAGTGAAGTCTGATGAATATTATATTAGCATATGAAATAATGTCTCAAGTATTAAAAATGTAGATAGATTGTAATTTCAATACACAAAAAGAAAGTTGCATATGTTTTAGAACATTCAGGAGTATGACTAATCCACTTCTGCTGGGGTTTTGACACCCTGCCTAGACTTACTGGGGATTTGGAAAGAAAGGGACTACGTACTGCTCCCTTGTCATACACTAACTGGATGTAGTCCTGTTTTATACAGATTATTTGGAACCACAGATTTACCATCTGCTTCCAGAGGCTTCAGGATGCATTGCTAATGGTTGAGACTCTCACTATGGTCTACCATCTGGGCCATGGGATAATATATGGACTAGCCAGCTACTCTGGTGGTTTCTGAAGTGGGTTATTTTCCCTAGCTCTAAAACCACAGAGTTGTATAGTCTATTCCTTTTCCAATAGATCACAAGCCTGGCTTCGGTAAATAAACACCCTCACTGCCAAGCAGTGCCCTCATTTCTATGTCTTCAACAACTAGAATGGTCCACTGAAATTTTCCAATCTACCTTCTACTGCTTCAGCACCTTCCAAAGTTCCCTTTTGACTATGGTAAGTTACAGAAGCTAACCCATCTACATCTAGCTCTGAAATAACACGCTTAATTTCTCTTGGTTGCTCAACAGCCTTCCCTCAAAACCTCTCCCACTGCCCTGAGGCTGTTAAGTTTCATTTTCACTCTCCTTCTGTGGCTCCTTCATATGGTAGGGAGCTTGCAAACCACTGGGTTTTCAACCTTCACTTGCTGTTCCATAGCACTTCGCTATTGGTTGTGAAATTTATAGAGCAGTTGGTTAAAAGCCCTTAAATCAATCTGGCTGTTTAAAACTGGAGACTGCCTTTGGCAGAAACATTCCTAAGCATCTTGCTTGGCTGGTATTTTTAATTAACACAGCTAATTGCCTTGTAGTATTAGTACAGGCCAGTAGGACACAATTAACAAGAGAGACAAAGACAGAGATGTTGTTAGGTCTAAGGACCAACTTGGGAGAGCTTGGTCTAAATCTTATTGCTAGGTTAAACGAAGTTGCCCAAAATCCTTAGAAGCATTGCCTTTATCAGACCCTCCATCTGAAGTTTCTAGGCTTTGGCAGCAGCAAGGTTCTCTATGGAGGTTCAAGCTCTGAGGATTTTTAAAGCAAGGGACTAGGGTTAACTCACTGCAAACATTTCACAATCAAAGATACTTAGTCAACATTCAACACCTACTCATGTAACCTAACTGTAAATAACATTGTTTTAGACTGAGAAATTATCATTAATGCACAAAAAACTAATTTCATTCTCCAACCATTTCCAGGGGTAAATATTAATATCCTAGTTTTTGGTTGGAGACTCAAGAGGTTTAAGCAACCTTTCCAGGAGCTAAAGATGTGGTAAATACTAAAGATGTAGTAAGTAAACGGTAGAGTCAACATTTAACACAGCCCTCCTAATATCAAATTACCTATAATGATACCATAATCACATAACATTTGATTTAATAAAAATCTTAACCAATGAGAAAATTGCCAGCTGATACTTTGAACAGTGCTTATTAACTGAGGCAAAGGAGACAACTCTCAGTATGACACATGTAATCAATCCATCAAAGATAGAATGCAAAAAATGTGTCATTTGCTGTGGCCTAATTTAAGCTTGCACTTGAAGTGGACACTGGGAACTGTGTCTCGTTTTCTTCCTTCTTGGTGAGGATTAGTTTGGGTTAGAATCCAACTGACTTGGGAAAATGTATTTGTATCCTTTGTAAGTAACAAAATAGAAAAGGAAAAAGACAAAGCTCCAGATTGGGAGAGGAGAACTCCCCGTTTTATAGCCAGTACTTGACTTACAAATGCAGTGAAAACTCAGGTTGGTTTACCCGCTCCTTCCCAATTTATCTCTGTCTTACAGTGAGTGTTCACAAATGTTCTAATATGAAGATATAATTAGAAAGTAAAATCTTAGTTAGCTAGAGCTCAATTAACTATACCAGTTGTCTAGCTCTTTTTTTTTTCTTTCTGAACTATTCTTATCAAGAGAGGCAGATCTCAAGTAACAAGCTAACAATTAGGACAATTAAAGATAAAATAAGATTTTTTCAGTATCCAGGCTGTGTCCTGAGGTTGGGGTGCATGTAGCTTAATATCCTGCATCTAAATTAACCATGAAATCACAGACATATCCAATTATACTGTGAAGTCTCCACTCCCATTTGTGGGTTAGTTGAAGGAGGCAGCTGTGTGGTAGGTAAATAGCTAGGTATTGCTGCTGGATATTGTCACTCATACTTAGTGTTTCAGTTTGCTCATCTATAAAATGAAGATATAATCACTGATCTCAAAGGGTTATCTTGAAGGTTAATTATTATGTTATTTTCAAAATTTTTTAACCTGTAAAATACTATCAATTTAATAACAGTTAACATTATTTGAGTATTTACTATGTATTGAGCTATTGTAAACATTATATACATATACACATACACATACACACAGTATTTTGAATAGATATTTATTTAATCTTCACAACAACTAGAGGTGGAGAAAAATATGAGGAAACTTAAACACAAATGATTTTTATATGCATACAATAAATATTATCATTCATTCAAAAATATTTGCTAAACACATACTTTGAGTCAAGTACTTGTCTTCCTTTATTTTTTCTGTTTTAACACCTCTCTTCTCTCCCTCCTTTCTCTCCTCATCTCTTTTCCCCCTCATCTTTCTCTTCTCTTTTATTTCCCCTTTCTTTTTTCTTATTCTTCTCTTCTTCTTCAACCTCCTTCTTAAGACAATAGAGAAAGAATGGAAGATTCAGAGTCCAAAGACTGGAAAAGTTCTGGTGTTTTGTGACATTGAGAAGATCAGCATCTCCTTGATTTATTGTCTTTGACTTTATAGGTGATGCTAAGGATCAAATGATATGAGAAAATATTTCCTACATTTAAAAATGTTTACAAAGGTAAGGTAGTGAAAATGTTACCATCGACACAACTACTACTAAACAATGTCTAACATCTTTTCACGCCTGACATCCTGCGTCTATGATTCTCTATCTGTAACACAGCACAGAACTGATGCATTGGATGATGAGTTGGGGAACCATTCAATGTCAAACAAAACAGAACAGCAGACTGGAGAGTGACCTTTAGTTAACCAGAAAATGACAGCAGCTAGGCCATGACTTGAACAATCAAGCTTATGAATGTTTTTAGTCTGCATTGAATACGTACTGATCTACCTAGGAACCTGATGCAATTGGAGAAGAGACAAACTGCTAGATATGAAAAGGTACTTAAGAGTTATAATAGCAATTTGTCACATTCTATTAACTGAATGAAGATATGTACGCTTATCGAAAAAAGAAATTAAGACTGTCTGCTCTGAAAGGGAAGAGAATAAGTCAATTAAACTTGCCCTGCGAAGCACTCATCTGTTCATATGGTTGCTGAATAAATGCTTATTGATGATAGGCATGAAGCAATTAGGAGTTAGAAGCATAGTGATAAGCCTTCCAAAAATTGGTCTGAAAAATCTTTGGCCAAAATTCTAGCAGGCTTAATGGATTTGTGAAAAGCTCTGGTGTTTTTCATTTAATTTAGCCATGATCATTAGTAAGCCTTGACTTTGTGGCTAGCATGGGGTAGGTGCTGGTGATACAGGAAAGACTGCTGTTCTCACAAAGTTTTGTATTTTGCACATTAATTGTCCCTGTTATGATGTAGGAGAGCTCTTATGTGGAGGAGAAAAATAGCCCCAACAGTGGTGGAGTTTGGAAATTAATCGGACAATAGAAGATCACTGGGTCAGAACAAGAACTGAAACCCAAAAGACCCATGAGAATCTTGCAACCTTTAGTCCTCTCCAGGCTGGCGGTTCAGTGGAAGAACACATAGCAGAAGGGTGGTAACAGTTCTCCAATAATTTGAGCATCTGAGTCTCATCAATTGGAATGATATGGGGAACAACCTCATTTCTATTGAATCATAAAAATTCTTCATGTGTGTTTGTATATATGAGGGAAGAAGGGAATTAAGACCATGTTTCCAAACTAGTACTCATAAAATGCTGCTATATACAATGTTAATTAGTAAGTCAAAAAGAAAAGGTTAAATGTTGAAAATATGTTATATCCACGCATTGCAGCGCTCCATAAAGACTTTAATATGCCTATGCACCTTGTAAATCTCTAAGAAAAAGGAAAATCCAATTATAATGCCTGAGACCAAGGCTAGCCTTGAATCAAATCACTTAAGCCCTGGAACCAGTGACTGGTGACACAATTACCACTGGAAATAAAAGGGCTGAAAGAATCATGCAAGCATTTTAGTGAGTTATTTGTATATGTCCTTACAATCTGGAGAAGTACAATATGACTGCCAATTCTTCCTTATGCCCTCCAAATTCCCAGACAAATGCTTTGTGTCACAATTTATTCCCTTACATCATAAATCATACTTTGAAACCCTACACTTATAAAACTTCATTTAGTTGCCATGATGTATCTGGTAGCCATCATCACAAGAGTATTAAGGGTTCAGTGTGTGTACACACATATGGATGTGTGTGTGTCTGTGTGTGTGTGTTCTCTTTTCAGAAGACGGATCGTCAGCACAGTTCCCTGCTATTGTGTGAGTGGTAAATGCCACAGTGCACAGTCATTTATTGTATCTCAAACTGTTACTGGCATTAATAACTGTAGAACTATGGCTGTATTTGTTGTGTCAGCCAGACATATTCTTGCTATTAACTTTTGAATAACAGCAGCGGCCCATCTAATGAAAAATAATGACTTTAAAACAAAGAACTCCAAATAATTCGATTCCACAGAGAAGCCAACAGCAGAAAAGCAGGGGATCTTCTTCAAGTTCCCACTTTTCCTGCAGCACTAGTTCTGAATGACATTTTTAGCTGCATCTCTGTAGCAGTGTGGGAGACATAAAAATTAATTTGAATATCTTTTTCCTTTCACCCCTAAGGTCTCTGGGGATCTGAGCAATGCATTTGAAATGGTTGATTATAACATTCTGTTGGATAAATTAACCTCCTAGTGTGTAATGCTTCAACTCAAAAATGGATCACAACGTATGCAAACCTAATAATTTGAAAAGGCTGGGCAATTTTCCATTGTGTGTGTGTGTGGAGGAGAGGATATTTTTATTCCTCTTAGTAAGTTATGAGAAATAGGAAACAATCACATTCTCCGCTCAATAGGAGGTTTTTTTTTCTTGCATTTGCAATGCCAGTTCTGAATGTGCAGTTGCAAAATGGCATCTTGGCTTAAAAGGCACACCACTGTGATTGTGTAGATTATAAAGTCATTTATTTATGCACCCATTTGTATACAGTCTTTGTTGCTACAGCATCTGTGAGTCTGACATTACTTAAAAAACACAATTAAATTTGAATACCTCATACTGGAACCTTATTATAAGCTTGTTATTTCTCTTCCCTTAATTGCATTCCATTACTCCTCATTATAGTTTTCTATCATAAACAGTTCTTCAATTATTTTTCCCCCTGGGGAATTCACAACCAGAGATAAAACCATTCTTTCTTCCTTCCACTCCTATTTCAGTCTCCTGAACAGTGGCAATAGGGCCCAGGCAGCTCATACTATTTTCTATTTCTAGGACACTCCTATAAACTCCTTAAAGACTGAAGATCCTGTCCAGGTGAATGTAATTTATCTGTACCTAAATTCAGGGTAAAAACCAAAACAATGGTGGCAGTTATCTTAAGTTTTAATTGTTGCTAAAGTCCAGCAAAGTTGGTCTTTGTCTCGAAGACTGTTTCCTCGTCCACAAAATAGGCATTAGAAATTTATTCTACCCATTTCACAGGGTAGACCAGATGTTTTTATTTAATAACCTGGAAGTGTGTTTTGAAATCATGGAATCTTATTTGATGTTAGAAAATATTACTACATAGTTAATGTTTATGGAGCTGTTGCTATGTGCCAGGCACTGTGTCAAACAATGTGTGCACATTCCTTCATTTTATCCTCCCGGTAACCCTTGAGGTAGGTACTATTTTAATCCCCATTTACAGATGAGGAAAATAGGCACACAGAGGCAAACTAATCTATCCAAGGTAAAAGCAAACAAACAAACAAACAAGCACACACTAGGAAGAAGCAGGGCTAGAACTGAATTACAGGTCTTTCTGGCTTTGTAATCTGACTCATAGTAGTAGAATTGGAAGCGGATTGAAGGTATGTGCCATCTATGATCTATGAGGTGGATTCTCTTGGGAGCCCTGAAAGGTAGTCAAGGTAAGAAAATTATCTACACTTGAGTAATGAAAAATGTGATGCTGAAATGAATTTTGAGTGTGGGCTGGGTTTGGAAATATAGGATTGATAAAAATGGTGACTCACGCCTGTAATCCCAGCACTTTGGGAGGCCGAGACAGGTGGATCACCTGAGGTCAGGAGTTTAAGACCAGCCTGGCCAACATGGTGAAACCCCATCTCTACTAAAAATACAAAAATTAGCTGGGCATGGTGGCAGACACCTGTAATCCCAGCTACTCGTGAGGCTGAGGCAGGAGAATCTCTTGAACCCGGGAGGCGAAGGTTGGAGTGAGCCGATATTGGGCCACTACACTCCAGCCTGGGCAACAAGAGCGAGACTCCATCTCAAAAAAACAAACAAAAAAATGGAAGGAGCAGCACCTCAACTGGGGGGAACAGTCAGGGATCTGTAGATGATTAAATTTTGCTGAAACGAAGGCTATTCAAAGGAGTCAAGTGGTAAGTCAGGTAGGCTGGGCTCATTAAGAGAGAGATTTGAAAGACAAATTAGAGATTCTGGATTTTCTCTGGTGGAATAAATTATGAATCCATTTTAGAGTTAATATTCCAAAAAATTAATATAAGAAGAAGAGGAGGTGGAAAAAGGCTACAAGAAAGAGGGGGAAGAAGAGTAAGCAAAAGAAAAGGAAGAAGAAAAGAAAGAGTAGAGGAAGGAGGAAGAAAAGGAAGGGGAACAGAAAGATGGAGGATGATGCAAGCAACAACAACAAGGACAACAGCAACAAAAACAAACCTGGCACACATGGGGTTTGTTCTGGTAGAGAAATGAGATTCTGTACCTCCCCAATCCTACCCCCTTCCTGCAACCCCCCACATTCACACAAACAGATACAGTAAACTTATGCTGAAACACCCAAACTCCAAGCTGCTGGTTGTTTTGCACTAAGGATGGAGCCTCAGGTTAGGTGGCACTTTGATTTAAGAAGTCATTACTTGGGCATGTTTATTGGATAAAGGCATTTCCCGAAATCTTGGCTAGAGGACTTAAATGGCTGTACATAATGAAGTGTTAGGAACTTTAAGTTTATGTTTTATGCTCAGAGTGATGCATAATGGAAGTGATGTTTCTGCACATTCAGAAAAGAGAAGTTCTGGAGGAGTGCTTCCTAAGAGAAGGTAAAGGCAATGTAGTGAGAAGCTATGGTCTACGGAGAGTGAAAACTGGCAAACTAATTTCATGCAGATCTGATGTTCGATGTTCAGGTGTTTTCTGATTAATTCTATAATTCTACTTTGTTTTCCGTGATCTTCAATTAAACTCCGCTTTGACAACTTAAGTGACTAACAATGAGAAAATGTAGTGTGGAAGAGGGACAATGTATTCAAGTTTTGGAGCAGCTCTCAATCATGGCAGGGTGGCAGGGTCAGTCTGAGAGAGATCAAGAACTGAGCTAGAAGCTAAAATAATACTTAGGGCAGTAAACAAGCTACACCCTCCCCCACCCCAGGAGTTATCAAAAACCTGACAATGCACTGGACTTCTTACATTTTGTGCACTGGGAGTCTGGAGTTCTTTTATTTAGATACCAAATCAAGGGGGTCTCAGGATGTTAGAGGATTCAGTGACATTTGGGCAATGTAAATAACACTTATGAGTGTTCCCTATTCATTGCTGTATTTTTATTCATTTACTCTTCTGTAAACAGGAATTTAAATAGCTTTCTGGCCAGGTGCAGTGGCTCATGCTTGTAATCCCAGAACTTTGGGAAGCCAAGGCAGGAAGATCACTTGAGCTCAGGAGTTTGAGACCAACCTGGGCAATATAGCGAGATTCCATCTCTACAAAAAATGTTTTTAAAAGTACCTGGGCCTGGTGTTGTGAGCCTGTAGTTTCAGCTACTTGAAAGCCTGAATTGCTAGGAGTGCTTGGGTCCAGGGGGTGAAGGCTGTAGTAAGCTATACTCACACCACTGCATTCCAGCCTGGGGAAGAGAGCAAGATTCCGTCTCTAAAAAAAAATTTTTGGTAGCTTTTCTTTAGCATCAAGGATGTCCTACTGACTCTTGACTATTGATGAAAGCACTTCTCTCCTTCATATTATCATCAGCATTTCCCTCTGTTCCAAAGGGTAGGTTAGGCCACAGGGTCACTGGCTAAGGCAGAAGGTATCCTGTTTCCACTTAGTATTGGAAATTTTTCTGACCAAAAACTATTTAATGTCTCTTATCTTTTGCTGATTTTCACATAGTATTTGGACAATTTTTATTGGAGCTCTTCTCCCTCATGAGAATAATTCCATATTTTTAACAAGTGTGCCAGTTTCATGAGTAGGAGACATATTTATAATTTGGATATATTTCTGCAAAATCCTATTTGAACATCAAAGCATGGGGTAAAAATACTCTTTTTTCCTGGCTTGATTTAAGCAAAAGGTCCTGACCAAAGGATGCCACACAGCAGATGCTTAGCATAGATAGCAAATATCTAACTGCACACAAAACACAATATTTACATGTTCATTTATACCTTTTTAATGTCCGGAAGGTAGTCTTCACATCCTCATAAAAGATTTAATTATTTGGTTTATGTCAGGCTTAAATAGTCACTGAAATTCATAGCAATTAGAACTAATTTTCTTTTAGGAGTGCTCTTTCATCCTTGCAGTTTTCTCAAGATAAATCATCTGACCTCAGGCACACAAAGATTAGTCCAAGAAAAGTATGATTCTGAAATAGCACAGCCTCAGCAAATGATGAGTCACAAAGACTATTTGAATTCACCACTCGGGGATTCAAGATCATACACAGCAAGGGGTTTGCTCAGTGTTGCAATGAGTGGCTAACCCAACCAGAGTAAGAACTTTTATTCCCAACTCCCAGGCTAGTGATGTGTTCATTACCACATTCTTCCCCTTTAGTAAGCCATTAGAGTCAGCTGGCATGCTTGAGCAATAAAAGCCCAGCTTTTCCTATGTCCATGTGAAGATCAACCTCCTTCCCTCAACCTTTCCCTTAGGTAGATGTTTTTTCTGTCTTTTTTCTTTGTCATATTAATTTACCATAAGAGCATGTTTTTGTTTGTAAGTTATTAATACTTTCTTGGTCAAGATCTTCCAGTGGCCACCCAATAGCTAGAGAAAAAAGTTTACTAATTTTAGCCTAGTCCTCAGAGGTTCCTCAGAGTTTCCTATTATCTAGTAAGCTGGCAATTCAACTTTATTTTTTATTCATGAAAATAGCAGCTTCCATTATGGAGCACTTATTCAGTAACAGAAACTGTGTATCTACTATATCATTTAAACCTGTGAAACAGGCAGTATTGTCATACTTATTTTTATAGATAAGAAACACTGCAGTGCTAGAGAAGTTAAATAACTGGCCCAAGGTTATTCAGTAGGCTTATCAGACTAGTCTAACTCCTCAGCTGCTGTCCTTCTTGTCTTCAGCCCATCTCACCTCTTCCATGTGGTCAAAATGCACACTTCCCCACCATATACTTGGCTTCTTTTCACATTTAGGCCTCTGCTCATCATTTACCACTCACCCAAATTGTCCCTCTTTATTTTCACTCCATATCCTTCTTTCAAGCCCTATATTAGTTCCCCATTGTTGCTGTAGCAAAATACCACAAACTTAGTGGCTTAAAACAACATAAATGTGTTAGTTTATAGTTCTGAAAGTCAGAAGTCCCAAAATGTGTCTCATGAGGATAAAACCAAGGAACCCTCAGGGCTGCATTTCTTCTGGGTGCTCTAGGGGAGAGCCAGCTCCTCACCCTTCCCAGCAACTCGTTTCCTGCACTCCTTGCTGAGGGGCCTCACTCTGACCTTGGCTTCCATGCTCCAATCTCCTCTGACTCTCACTCTCCTGCCCCTCTCTCTCTTTAGAAGGATCTTTGTTAATGTATTGGGCCAACCTGGATAATTGAGGCTAACTTTCCCATCTTAAGAGCCTTAATAACAACTGAAAAATTAGTTTTCCACGTAAAGTAGTATGTTCACATGTTCCAGGAATTAAAACATGGGCATCTTTGTGGGGGGCAAAATTATTCCCATCACAAAGACCAGTTCCAATGTCATCTCCCCTCTCAGGACTTCCCAAAAGGCTCAATTGCCAGGCTAGTTTATCCTATATCATATATCTTGATATATCCTATACAAGATATATCCCATATCTTATTGCTTATATCTTCTTAGTTTTTAAAAATTTGCCTTCCATTCATTTGTACATTTGGAAATTAGGCTCCATTTGTTATGGGCTTGGATTGTTACAGCTGAAACCTTAGAGAGTATCCACTCCAGGGATGACAAACAAGTTTCATCTCAAATGTCACGTCCATGCACCTGGTAGAAGCAGTTCAAGGTTGGGTATTGGAAAGAATTTTAAAGCTCCTTCTGGTTTCAAAACAAAGAGGGCTGTGATCAATTACAATGTTTGCCATGAAGGCATAAAGAGAGGGATAGCAGCTTGGGGACTACATGCTGGACAGTTTTACCCTTCTTACCTATGTCTCTCATTTTGAAAATGAAGAAAGACAGTTAGAAAAATGAAGCTAGCTTTTACAAAAGGCCTACTATGTATCTGGCACTGTTTTGGTATATAACCCAGTTTAACTCCTTTGATTCTCATAATGAGCTTATAAATAGATGTCAGAAGTAGAAACTAGGTTTCTCAGAGTTTAAGGAACATGTTCAAGTGTCCAGTGGAAAAACGTGAGATAAAGATATAGACTTACATAATTGCAAATCCAATTCTGTTCAGTATAATAAACTAGAAGATTAAATTACTTACACAGGCCACATGAAACCAAAAACAGAGCTGGTATTTGTAACTACCCTTCCCCCAAAAACACAGGACACATAGATGGACACATGGCCACAATGCTGAATACTTAAACTGGAACTTTTATAAGAAATCCAAGGTAGATAGTTGCTGCAACTAAAATGCACTGCTTCACAGAGCATAGGTTTTTGTATTTGTTTGACTGAACTCAGTGATCATAGGACATTATTTATTTTCCCTAAGTGAAAAACTGGCTGATGTTTTTGGTATTGAGATATCCCCTTCTTTTCTCTACACCAGGGCCTTGGCTATATATATATATATATACACACACACACACACACACATATATATATTCCTGTAAATATATATATATATATTCCTGTAAATATATATATATTCCTGTAAATATATATATATATATTCCTGTAAATATATATATATATATTCCTGTAAATATATATATATATTCCTGTAAATATATATATATATTCCTGTAAATATATATATATATTCCTGTAAATATATATATATATATATATATTCCTGTAAATCAGACCTTCCTGCCTCCTCTGTCCCTGTCATCTGAATTAACATGCTTTGCAAACTGTGGTTCTGATCAAGATGTCAGAGACCAGTTACTTTAGCTCTCACCTGTTAGTACCCATGCTAAGGAAACATTCCCCCTAAGCCAAATTTTTTTTTCCTAAAGCGCCACTTGTTAATAAAACTTCTTGCAATTAGGGCAAACATGATTTCCCAGCTATGGATCACCTCACTGTCCTGCTTAAGATTTTCAATCACTTCCCATGTTTTTCTAGGGAAAAGCCACCTTCTTTTTATTGGCCACAGAGGCCTCCTTGTCTTGAATGCTGTCACACCACTAACCTCATTCCTTCCTCTCTCCTCTGGCTCCCTCCCTTACCACCTTGGGCTCCTTGACTCTGCCTGCCTGCTTCTTTGTTGCTATCTGTCTTTTTGTCTGGCTCCTGGGTTTTTGCCATGCCTTAAATTATATTCCTTAGGTTGCATTCCCTTCCCTTGATGTCCACACAGCTGCTTGTGTGATTTTTTTTTAAATGCAAATCTGACCCTGTTATTTTCCTGTTCAAAATCCTCAGTGGCTTTCTTTCATTCAGATCAGTGGTTCTGAAACCTGACTGATGCGTTACTTGTGTAGTTGTAGTTCCAAGTCTCACCATTCAGTCCACACCAGAGCCAAGTTTTTAATCAAAAGGTCTGAGGTGAGGTCAATAATAATTTCCAATGTCTTATGGATCATTCCAGTGAACAACCAGGCCTACAGGAGAGGCCCAATCCTTTATCATCACATATACAGACCTTCTGGTTTGGTCCCATCTAGATTTATATTTCATTGCAATCTACATTAAACTTGACCCCCACCCTCACAGCACCAACCAATCCCCAGCACTGCTAGATTTTGGCCACTCCAACTTAATCATGGTTTTCTGCACATTGAATTTTCTTTGCTACCTCCATGTTTTTTTACCTAGCATTCTGTGCTCTCAAAGAAGAACAGGTTAACTGTTTTTTGTTTTTTAAGTGGTCCTCTAAATTCAGCTCAGGTGGTCAGTTCTTGAGGACTTCTCTACTATACTCATAGACTGAGTAAATTACTTTCTCCTTTGTATCATTTCTTTTTTTTTCCTATTTTATGCATACATAGTAGGTGTATATATTTATGGGGTACGTAGAGATATCATGAAACAGGTATACAGTGCATAATAATCACATCAGAATAAGTATTCATCACTTCAAATGTTTATCATTTCTTTGTGTTACAAACAATCCAATCATACTCTTGTAGTTATTTTTAAATGTACAATAAATTACTGTTGACTGTAATCATTCTGTTGTGCTATCAAAACTTAGGTCTTATTCATTCTATCTGTTTTTGTACTCATTAACCACCCCTGCTTCCCCCTGCAACTACTCTTCCCAGCCTATGGCAACCATCATTCTGTCTACATGAGTTCAATTGTTTTAAATTTAGCTGCCACAAATTAGTGAAAACATACAAAATTAGCCTTTCTGTGCCTGGCTTATTTTACTTAACATAATGTCCTACAGTTCCATCCATGTTACTGCAAATGACAGAATCTCATTTTTTTTATAGCTGAATAGTATTTCATTGTGTATATGTACCACATTTTCTTTATCCATTCATCTGTTGAGAGACACTTAGATTGCTTCCAAATCTTGGCTACTGTGAATAGTGCTGCAATAAACATGGGAGTGCAGATATCTCTTTAATATACTGTGTTCCTTTCTTTTATGTATATAAATAGCAATGCCTAGGTATTTTCTTTGTAGCTTTATAAATGTGATTACTTTCTTGATTTCATTTTCAGATTGTTCATGGCTGACATATAGAAATGGTACTTATTTTATATATTGATTTTGTGTCCTGCAACTTCACTGAATTTGTTTATGAGTTCCAATAGTTTTTTGTGAAGTCTTTAGGTTTCTGCAAATATAAGATCATATCTACTGCAAGCAAGGATAATTTGACTTCTTCCTTTCCAACTGGATGCCCTTTCTTTCTTTCCTTCCTTCCCTCCTTCTCTCTCTCCATTTTCTTTCTTTCTTTTCTTTCTTTCTTTCTTTTTCTTTCTTTTCCCTTTTCTTTCTTTCTCTCTCTCTTTCTCTCTTTTTCTCTTTTCCTTCTGTCTCTCTCTCTCTCTTTTTCTTTTGATTGCTTTAGCTAGGACTTCCAATACTGTGTTGAATAACAGTGGTAAAAGTGGGCATCCTTGTCTTGTTCCAGATCTTAGAGGAAAGGCTTTCAGTTTTTCCATGTTCAGTATAATGCTAGTTGTGGGCTTGCCATGTTGACGTGTGTTCCTTCTATACCCAGATTTCTTACAGTTTTTATTATGAAGGGATGTTGACTTTTATGAATGCTTTATTCATCATTAACTGAAATGAACGTATAGTTTTTGACTTTCATACTGTTGATACACTGTATCACATTGATTGATTTGTGTATGTTTAACCATCCTTGCATGCCAGGATAAATACCATTTGGTCATGATATATGATCTTTTCAATGTGTTGCTTGTTGTTGAATTCAGTTTGCTAGTATTTTTTTGTTGAGGTTTTTTGTTTTGTTTTGTTTTGTTTTTGTTTTTGAGACGGGTCTCACAATGTTGCCTAGGCTGGTCTCAAACTTGGGCTCAAGTGATCCTTCCATCTTTCCACCTTGGTCTCCCAAAGTGCTGGGATTACAGGCATAAGCCACTGTATCTGCTCATTGTTGAGGGTTTTCTCATTAATATTCATCAGAGATACTGGCCTGTAATATTCTTTTTTTTTTTTTGATGTGTCCATGTGTGATTCTGGTATCAGGGTAATAGTGGCCTCATAGAATAAGTATAGAAATATTCCCTCTTCTTCTATTTTTTAGAGTAGTTTGAGTAGAATTAGTATTACTTATTCTTTAAATGTTTGGTAAAATTCAGCACTGACGTCATTAAGTCCTGGGCTTTTCTTTGCTAGGAGACATTTTATTACAGCTTCGCTCTCATTTGTTGTTATTAATCTACACAGGTTTTGGACTTTTTCTTGGTTCAATCTTGTTAGGTTGTATGTATCTAAGAATGTGTCCGTTTCCTCTAGGTTTTCCAATTTTTGGTCTATAATTGCTCATAGCAGCATCTAATAATCCCTTGAATTTCTGCAGTATCTGTTATAATGTCTCCTTTTTCATCTGTGATTTTTTTTATTTGAGTCTTCTCTCCTTTTGTTAGTGCAGCTAAAGATTTGTCAATTTTGTTTATCTTTTCAAAAAAATCAACTTTTTGTTTCATTGGTTTTTTTGTATCAGTGGTCTAATCTTCCTTATTTCTGCTCTAATCTTCATTCTTTCTTTCCTTCTACTAATTTTGAATTTGATTTGCTCTTGCTTTTCTAGTTCTTTAAGATGCATTATTAGGTTTATTTGAAATTTTTCTACTTTTTTGATGTAAGTGCTTATTGCTATAAACTTTCCTCTTAGTATTGATTTTGCTGTATCTCATAGGATTTGTGTGTTGGGTTTCCATTATTATTTGTTGCAAGAAAATTTTCAATTTCCCTCTTAATTTCTTTATTCAGCACTAGTCATTCAGGATCATATTGCTTAATTTCCATGTGTTGGTATGGTTTCCAAAATTCTTCTTATTGATTTCTAGTTTTATTCCATTGTGGTTACAGAAGATACTTAATATGACATCACTTTTTTGAAATTTTTAAGCCTTATTTTGTAGACTAACATGGTCTATCCTTGAGAATGATCCATGTGCTCAGAAGAATGTGTATTCTGTATCCATTGAATAGAATGTTCTTTAAATAATCTATTAGGTCCATTTAGTCTACAGTATAGATTAAGTCTGATGTTTCTTTGTTTATTATCTGTCTTGCTCATCTGTCCAATGCTAACATTGGGGTGTTGAGGTCTCCAGCTATTATCATATTTGGGGGTTGTTTCTCTCCTTAGCTCTAATATTATTTGCTTTATATATCTGGGTCCTGCCGTGTTGGGTGCATATATATTTCAAATTGATAGATTCTCTTGCTGAATTGACACCTTTATCATTATATAATGATCTTTTTTATCTTATAGTTTTTGTCTTGAAATTTATTTGTCTTATATAAGTATAGCTATTCATGCTCTTTTTTTGGTTTCTATATGCATGGAATAGCTTTTTCCATCTGTTTATTTTCAATGTGTGTCCTTAAGGATGAAGTGGGTTTCTTGTGGGCAACAGCTCATTGGATCTTGCTTTTTATTCATTCAGCCACTCTGTCTTTTTGATTGGAGAGTTTAGTCCATTTAACTTCAATGTTATTATTGATAAGTAAAAACTTACTACTGTAATTTTATTATTGTTTTCTGTATGTTTTCTGGTCTTTTCCTTCCTACCTCCCTTCCTTCCTCCCTTCCCATCTTCCTTTATGTGAAGGTTATTTTCTCTGATGGCATGTTTTAATTTCTTGCTTTTTACTTTTTGTGTATTTGTTGTAAGTTTGTTGATTAGAGGTTACAATGGTGCTTGCAAATAACATAACCCATTATTTAAAACTAATGGCAACTTAACACTGATTGCATAAAAAACTCACAAATAAGCAAAGAGAAAACTCATAAAAACTCTAACTTTAATTTCTTGATCCTCACTGTTTAACCTTTTGTTATTTCTATCTTATTATACTCCCTCTGTGTTGAAAAGTTGTTGTAGTTATTATTTTTGAGAAGTTCAACTTTTAGTGTTTCTACTCAAGATATGAGTAGGTTACATACCGCAATTACAGTGTTATAATATTCTGTGTCTGTGTACTTAGGATTACCAGTAAGTTTTGTACCTTCAGGTGAAAGATTTGTACCTTACTCCTTGTTAATGTCCTTTTCTTTCAGATTGAAGAACACTCTTTAGCTTTTCTTGTAGGAGAGGTCTGATATTGATGAAATCCATGACCTTTTGATCATCTAGGAAAGTCTTTTCTTCTTCATTTTTGAAGGATATTTTCACTGGATATACTACTCCAGGAAAATGTCTTTTCCTTTTTTCCTTTTAATATATCATGCCTGTAAGCTGTCCACTGAGATGTCTGTTCCTGGATATATTGGAGCTCCTTTGTATATTATTTATTTTTCTCCTGCTGCTTTTGGGACCCTTTCTTAATTTTTTGACCTCTAGGAGTTTGATTATTGAATGTCTTCATGTAATCTTATTTGGGTTAAATCTGCTTGGTGTTCTATAACCTCCTTGTTCTTGAATATTGATATATTTCTACAGATTTGGAAAGTTCTCTGTTATTATATGTTTGAGTAATATCCTTTCTACCCTTCTCTCTCTCTCTCTCTCTCTCTCTCTCTCTCTCTCTCTCTCTCTATATATATATATATATATATATATATATATCTTTAAGACTCTTTAGATTTGCCTTTTGAAGCTATTTTCTAGATCTTATAAGCCTGCTAAATTTTTTTTTGTTTACTCTGACTGTGTATTTTCAGTTAGCCTATTTTCAAGTTCACTAATTCTTTCTTCTCCCTTATCAATTCTGCTATTGAAAGACCCTGGTGCATTCTTCAGTATGTCAATTTAGTTGTTCAATTCCAGAATTTCTGCTTGATTTAAAAATAATTATTTCCATGTCTTTGGTAAATTTCTCTGATAGGATTCTGAATTCATTTTCTGCATTATCTTGAATTTTGTTGAGCTTCCTCAACATAGATATTTTGAATTCTCTGTCTGAAAAGTCACATATCTCTGTCCCTTTATGATTGATCACTGGTGCCTTATATAGTTTGTTTGATGAGGTCCTGTTTTCCTGGATGGTGTTTATGTCTGTGGATGTTTGTTGATGTCTGGGCACCAAAAAGTCAGGTATTTATTGTAGTATTCACAGTCCAGGCTTGTTTGTACCCTTCCTTCTTGAGAAGACTTTCCAGGTATTTGAAATGACCTGGGTGTTGTTATCTAAGCCATATATGCATCAGGGGGTATGCCAAGACCAGTAATGCTGTGACACTTGCAGTATTATAGAGGTCCTGCCTTTGTGGGGTTGGGTATGATCTGAGAGAATTATTTGGATTACTAAGCAGAGACTCTTGTTCTCTTCTCTTACTTTCCCCCAAACAAATGGAGTGTCTCTCTCCATGCTGAGCTGCCTTGAGCTGGGGTAAAGAGTAACACAAGCACCGCTGTGCCACAATCACTGGGACTGTGCTTGGTCAGACCTGAAGTGAACATGGCACTCAGTCTCACCCAAGCCCTGTGGCAAGTACTGCCTTGCTACTGTTTTTTTTTTTTAATTTTAATTTATCTATTTATTTATTTTATTATTATTATACTTTAAGTTTTAGGGTGCATGTGCACAACATGCAGGGTTGTTACATATGTATACATGTGCCATGTTGGTGTGCTGCACCCATTAACTTGTCATTTAGCATTAGGTATATCTCCTAATGCTATCCCTCCCGCTTCCCCCCAACCCCACAACAGTCCCCGGTGTGTGATGTTCCCCTTCCTGTGTCCATGTGTTCTCATTGTTCAATTCCCACCTATGAGTGAGAACATGCAGTGTTTGGTTGTTTGTCCTTGTGATAGTTTGCTGAGAATGATGGTTTCCAGCTTCATCCATGTCCCTACAAAGGACATGAACTCATCATTTTTTATGGCTGCATAGTATTCCATGGTGTATATGTGCCACATTTTCTTAATCCAGTCTATCGTTGTTGGACATTTGGGTTGGTTCCAAGTCTTTGTTATTGTGAATAGTGCCACAATAAACATACGTGTGCAAGTGTCTTTATAGCAGCATGATTTATAATCCTTTGGGTATATACCCAGTAATGGGATGGCTAGGTCAAATGGTATTTCTAGTTCTAGATTCCTGAGGAATCGCCACACTGACTTCCACAATGGTTGGACTAGTTTACAGTCCCACCAACAGTGTAAAAGTGTTCCTATTTGTCCACATGCTCTCCAGCACCTGTTGTTTCCTGACTTTTTAAGGACTGCCATTCTAACTGGTGTGGGATGGTATCTCATTGTGGTTTTGATATGCATTTCTCTGATGGCCAGTGATGGTGAGCATTTTTTCATGTGTTTTTGGGCTGCATAAATGTCTTCTTTTGAGAAGTGTCTGTTCATATCTTTTGCCCACTTTTTGATGGGGTTGTTTGTTTTTTTCTTGTAAATTTGTTTGAGTTCATTGTAGATTCTGGATATTAGCCCTTTGTCAGATGAGTAGATTGCAAAAATTTTCTCCCATTCTGTAGGTTGCCTGTTCACTCTGATGGTAGTTTTTTTTGCTATGCAGAAGCTCTTTAGTTTAATTAACTCCCATTCACAATTGCTTCAAAGAGAATAAAATACCTAGGAATCCAACTTACAAGGGATGTGAAGGACCTCTTCAAGGAGAACTACAAACCACTGCTCAAAGAAATAAGAGAGGACACCAACAAATGAAAGAACATTCCATGCTCATGGATAGGAAGAATCAATATCATGAAAATGGCCACACTACCCAAGGTAATTTATAGATTCAATGCCATCCCCATCAAGCTACCAATGACTTTCTTCACAGAACTGGAAAAAACTACTTTAAAGTTCATATGGAACCAAAAAGAGCCCGCATTGCCAAGTCAATCCTAAGCCAAAAGAACAAAGCTGGAGGCATCATGCTACCTGACTTCAAACTATACTACAAGGCTACAGTAATCAAAGCAGCATGGTACTGGTACCAAAACAGAGATATAGACCAGTGGAACAGAACAGAGCCCTCAAAAATAATGCTGCATATCTACAACTATCTGATCTTTGACAAACCTGACAAAAACAAGCAATGGGGAAAGGATTCCCTATTTAATAAATGGTGCTGGGAAAACTGGCTAGCCATATGTAGAAAGCTGAAACTTGATCCTTTCCTTACATCTTATACAAAAATTAATTGAAGATGGATTAAAGACTTACATGTTAGACCTAAAACCATAAAAACCCTAGAAGAAAACCTAGGCAATACCATTCAGGACATAGGCATGGGCAAGGACTTCATGTCTAAAACACCAAAAGCAATGGCAACAAAAGCCAAAATTGACAAATGGGATCTAATTAAACTAAAGAGCTTCTGCTACTGTTGATGCTTATTCAAGATCCAAGGGTTCTTTAATCAGCAAATGATGCATCCTGCCAAAACTGTGTCCTTCCCTTCAAGGAAGTGGGTTCTCTTCTGGCCCAGGGTGTGTCTAGAAATGTTATCCATTTGGGAACTAGAGCCTGGAATGGGAGGCTTGGGACTCTGCCTGTTGTCCTATCCTACTGTGTCTGAGCTGGTCTCAAAGTAGCAAGAGTTTTCTTTACTCTCTCCTCCCTCTCTTCAAGCCCAAGGAAGAAGTCTCTCCCAGAGCTTTGAGCTGCACTACCTGGTGTTGGGGGGAGGGGTAACTTAAGTGCTCCCTTGGCCACTGTAGCTGCTCACCCTTCTGTATCACTTCTGATTACTATATGATTTTTATTTCACATGCAATACTCCATTTATAAAAAAGACAACATATTTATTTTATGCATTAAATAGAATGTTTATGTTTCAGTCAAACTTGGCATTGTGGTAGAAATACAACTGCATTTTACTTATAAAACTTACAAAGTGGTTTTATTCTTATAGTACCTTATGTGATTCTTTCAACAGCTCTACAAGGTAAGTCAAATATTACCCTTCCTTTAGAGATAGAGAAATGAGATTCACAAAAGGGCTTTCCTCATATAACAGAGACAAATAATGTGAACTCAGTTTTCTCACCCTAATGAGGTGCCACAAATGATATACCATATAACATCATGTGATATAACATATGCCATCTCAAGATATAAATTTCATAGTGCATGATATAATGTCTCAGATTAATAGAGAGGGCATAAAGCAAATGTTTTACATAGGACATTAAATCTTTGTTAAGAAATGTAATGCACTATTTCATAAGAAGGCACACTTACATTTCTATTAATAATTATATCCATTAAAATAAAAATGCCAAAATTATCTGTTAGAAAGTAAAATAAGAAAGGCTTATAAGCTTTCCCATCTCCAACTATTTCCTTTTCCACATTTGATGATTACAATGTCCTAATTTCTATTTTGGTAAGTAGGTTTTCAGCAGGGTTCCCCAGAGGCCCAGCAAGCTCAGGCAGATACAAGAGCAGCTGCATCCAGAAAAGTGTTAGACACCAAGGAATTCATCTAAATTCCTTTTTTACAGCCATTCTTCAGTTTATTCAACAACTTTTGGAGACTGAATCCATTAATAAAATGTCATGATATCATTTTATTTATTCTGACTGTTACTTTCAAAATCAGAAAAAAAGTCAGATTAGGTATAATTCTTTAGAGTGCATGATGAATATTCAGTTTGATAACTCTTCATTCATTCAAATCTAAAGATATAGACTTTCACTTTCAGAAGAATATAGCTATTGGTACTACAGGGAAAAGCTACATGGGGACCAGGCAAATAAAGAATTAATTTTAGAAATTGATAACCCTTCACATATTAAGAGGAAGAACAGCTTCTCTTCATACTGATGTTTTCTATTAAGTCATCTATTAAAAACCCTTGACTTTATTATGAGAGGATTTGTCACGGACAAGTGGCATTAATTAAAACTCTTCATATCATGCCTCAGGATTCTTTTGTCCATATCCATTAAAATCTTACTTTAAAATGATAGAAAATAATTTTAAAAGTATGGCCGGGCGCGGTGGCTCACGCCTGTAATCCCAGCACTTTGGGAGGCCGAGGCGGGTGGATCACGAGGTCAGGAGGTCGAGACCATCCCGGCTAAAACGGTGAAACCCCGTCTCTACTAAAAATACAAAAAATTAGCCGGGCGTAGTGGCGGGCGCCTGTAGTCCCAGCTACTTGGGAGGCTGAGGCAGGAGAATGGCGTGAACCCGGGAGGCGGAGCTTGCAGTGAGCCGAGATCCCGCCACTGCACTCCAGCCTGGGTGACAGAGCGAGACTCCGTCTCAAAAAAAAAAAAAACCAAGAAAATAATTTTAAAAGTAGCATCTAGGCTGGGCCCTGTGGCTCACGCCTGCAACCCCAGCATTTTAGGAGGCCGAGGCGGGTGGATCACAAGGTCATGAGTTCGAAACCAGCCTGGCCATCATGGTGAAATCCTGCCTCTACTAAAAATACAAAATCTGGTGGCAGATGCCTGTAATCCCAGCTACTTGGGAGGCTGAGGTGGGAGAATCATTTGAACCTAGGAGGTGGAGGCTGCAGTGAGCCAAGACCACGCCATTGCACTCCAGCCTGTGTGACAGGGCGAGACTCCATCTTAAAAAAAAAAAAAAAAAGAAAAGAAATAAAAAAGTTTCATGTAACATAACTGGAATACCACAGATACTGAGCTCCAAAACAGCGTAATCTGGGGCCCAACAGGGAGGGTCATTAAAGACGTTGATTTTTTCTATATTTTTAGTCACCATCTCTGAGAGGTTGCTTCTTCAACTTGTGTGGCAAGATGGCTACAGCTCTTATGGAATTACGTTCAGAGAGGTCAACGTCCATAGGAAGGGGTAGAGTGGTCTTTCTTCATCTTTCTTGGGAGTGGGGAGACTTTCATCAGACTAATCCCCACCCAAGTGACTTTCCTCCATGATCAGAATTGTGTCACATGAACATTTTTCTGGATAGGTGAATCATTGGCAAGGGTGAAATGGGTGCTGGGAACTAATCACAATGTCCATCACATGCTATATTTTAGAGTGTTTCTTTGAATCAGAGTAACACAGCTCTATACTCACTGCAAGATGAGCAGATTAAAGGAGAGGCTGGCCAAGTTGAAGGTAGTGCAGGTTTAATGTAGAGTATCGAAGCATATGGCCATTAAAAGTCGTGGTTAGACCCACAATGATGTTATGGTGTTTTCTAAAGGTGTGGAAGAAATTTGGAAGTCTAGCTCCTCATGGGCATGGGCTTCCTGAAGCATGCCCCTTTGTTAGCAGCAGCATATAAGGCCATTTTGATATTCTAGAGCACGAAAAACTAAAATCCTTTACTTTCCTTTGGGTGAAGAATCTACCTCTTTCAAACCACTGGATTTATAGGGGATGAGAAGCAGCGTTAAAAGTTTATTTTCTTTAATTCTTATCAGCTCTGTGTTTTTTGTATTAAGTCCCACTAATTTAGAGGAAATAAATGTCCTTAGTTCACCTGAGAATAAGAAAACAGGTCTCTAATCAGACCAATACAAACATAAGCTCCTTTTGATGCCAACAGGCAGAGCAGTTTAATAATTAGTCTCCCAACTCAACCCATTTCAAATACACAATGAAGCAAAAAAAGAACTGAAGCTGCTCAAATTCTCTACTGAAGCATGGATTGAATTGGGACTGGGAATGAAGGTGAGAAGGTTAGTGGGTGCAGATGTGCACAAAAATATAATCAGGGAAAATATTGCCTGAATTGGGGGAACTGACATTTCAGATAGCAAACTAACTTTCTGCTGAGTAACACTGGCCACATAAATAAAGAAACATTTTTATGAGCCATCTGGATGCCCACATCATGTTACCAAATCATGTCAAACTAATTCATCTTAGGACGTGTATATTTTAACTCTTTAAAAACTTATTTAGACTTAACCTGGAATTATGATTTTTAGTCTGAATTCAGCTGCAGGTTCTCAGAGTTTTACTACTTTGCGGTAAAGATTTCCTTTTTTCTCAGTTTAAGACTAGCAAGTGATAGGCAATATTATTTTAGTGCATTTTAATGGAGAATATCCAAAAAATTAGACCAGTTGTTTTAGAATGATAGAATGTGCTCACTGGTGTGAATACGATAGAAAGACATAAAACATCACCATGTGGAATATAATCATTATTGCTATTATTAATATTTGATTAATATTCAAGTCTGTCATCAGGACTGGGCAGCAACAAATTCTTCACTCTCATTGTTTTCCAGAATATTTCCTTATATTTCTTAAGTATTAAGATCTTTGTTTTTAACTTATAAAATATCTAGTACAGTGATATAAAGGGGGTAGAGTAGAACCCCACACTTGAATTATTCAGTTTGTCAAATAAAGTTTTACTTAACTTCAAGGTTATGAAGAAATAAGAGGCAAATAATATGAAGAAAACTGTAAACATGACACTGAGGAGACAATGCTTGTTTCCCTCTTTGTTTCTGGGATTCTAAGGATTTCCCTAAGGAAATCAAATTTTCCTTTTTACCATTAAGCCTCATTTCAGAACTTGGGGTTTTGGCGGAAGTGGTTGTATAATTGTATTATCTAAAAAATAATGGTGCTGACTATATAATCCCTTAAAAGAATTTCTTTTTTAAAGAGTTAATATGAGGAATTTTCCTTAGAGGTTAAAAGAACTGAGAACTACATAATGAATTGCAGAGAGGAGTGTGGTGGAGAATTATAGTGTGCCTTGCTTCCAGAGACTAAATCCCAGTGAAAACTTCTGAGGAGACATGGCAAATAGTAGAGGGAGGAAGAAGTCATAAACAGCTTGCTGGATGAGGTGAGTTTTCACTGCTACAACATAAGATTAATTTGTAGAAGACTAGCTTTTCCAAGTGGCTACTTAAATTTCTGCTTCGATGTGTAATTGTAATTCAAAACTGAACATGGCCAAAATTAAATTCTTGCCTTACTTTGCTTTCAGAATGACTTCTCTTCTAATCTGCATTTGAACAAATGAAACAGCATAGCATCAGCCCAAAACCCAGCAGTTGCTTTACTTTATCTATTTTTCTCATGGCTGACTTCCAATTCATGGAAACCTCTTGTGATCTCTATCTTTAAAATACGTTGTGAATTTGACCACTACTCACCCTTTCTACTTGTTAACACATTAATCTACCAACTTCCCTCATCCAGATTATTACAATTCCTGAATTAACTTCTCTATTTCTATTATTTCTTCCTAAAGTCAATTTTCCAAATAAAATTTAAGGTCATCTTTTAAAAATGTACATACAAACAGTTCACTCTCCTGATCAGAACCATAATATGGACTAATAAGAAGAAAAGTACTCTAAGTTCTGAGACAGTTGTATATCACCTACCTTCTTAACTCTATGAAAATCTGTCTCGTTATTCTCTCCCCTCATTCACTGTGGTTCAGCCCTCTTCAACATCAGCCTTCTTGCTATTCTTTAAATGTAGAAGCTTATTCTTAGCCTAGGTCTTTGCCATGTTTTACTTCCTCTATAAGGTTCTCCTCTTCCTTAGATTTATTCATGTCTCTATTTCCTCTTAATAAAAGCCTTTATGTTAAGGTGGTCAGTTAAAACAGCAATAATCAATAATGTGAAACTTATATTTCTGGTCAAGATAGATTATCAGGAACTAGATTTATCTCCAAACAAAAACAATTTATAAAGTACACAAAATGTATAAAAAATGGCTTTCAAATTATTGGACATTAAGCAACAAAGGACAGTAGTTTATAAGATATGGAAAAAATGAGAGAAACTTTATAATTTCCATCGCTTAATGGCTCTGATGCATATAATTTGCATTAAAGGGTGGAGAACTTAGGCAAGTTCATTATACTCAGTGAGGCAAGAAGATGGAGCCAGCATTCTGTGGAAGCAAGGGTGGTGAGAGTTAACAGGATAAAGTGCCAGAGAGAAGAAAACTACACAGGCATAATGCCAGAGATCCCTACAGGGTCCTCTTCAAGTATTTAGTTAAGTACCAATCAGCACGTAAAACTACCCAAGGTCAGAGAAAGAACCCTCTGAAAAATTAGAAAGAACGACCAGCTCTTAACAAAATGCAGGAATAGAACCTGTTTTCAACAATCAGAGTAGAGGCCTCATAATTCACAAGAAATCAGTTAGACTACTAAAAATATCTTGCCTTAGTAGTAGAAAAATTTAAACCTTGAATAAAAGCTACTCTCCCCCTCCACACAAATCTTAAAAGCAAAACCCAGAAATGTGTTAAATAATATTTTCTGGAATACAAAAAATATTCAGCATTCCAAACAGGCAAAACTCACAAGGACTTGCCTCCAATAAAAAATTACCAGAAATGGCCTGTAATCCCAGCACTTTGGGAGGCAGAGGCGGACAGATCAAGAGGTCAGGAGATCGAGACCATCCTGGCTAACACGGTGAAACCCCGTCTCTACTAAAAATACAAAAAAAGAAAAAAGAAATTAGCTGGGCATGGTGGTGGGTGCCTGTAGTCCCAGTTACTTGGGAGGCTGAGGCAGGAGAACGGCGTGAACCTGGGAGGCGGAGCTTGCAGTGAGCCGAGATCGCACCACTGCACTCTAGCCTGGACGACAGTGACAGACTACGTCAAAAAAAAAAAAAAAAAAAAAAAAAAAAATACTAGAAGTGCAAAAAAGCAGTAAATTATGGCTCACAATAAGAAGAAATGTCAGTGGAAAGGTAACCAAAAATGACACAGATTATAGAATTAGTAGACAATGAAATTAAAACAGTTAAACAACTGTATCCCACATGTTCTTAAGCTAGAGAAAAGACTGAACATGATATAAGTAGAGACACAGAAAATAGGCTGGGCACGGTGGCTCATGCCTGTAATCCCAGCACTTTGGGAGGCCGAGGCAGGTGGATCATTTGAGGTCAGGCGTTTGAGACCAGCCTGACCAATATGATGAAACCCCATCTCTACTAAAAAATACAAAAATTAGCCAGACGTGGTGGTGTGTGCCTGTAGCCCCATCTACTGGGAAGGCTAAGACAGGAGAATCGCTTGAACCCAGGAGGCAGAGCTTGCAGTGAGCCGAGATAGTGCCACTGCACTCCAGCCTGGGCAACAGAGCGAGACTAGGTCTCAAAAAATAAAAAACAAAAGAGACATAGAAAATACATTGAAGAAACAAATCAAACTTCCAGGAATAGAAATTACAATGTTGGAGATACAATATACTAGATGGAATTAATGGCAGATTAGACATTGCAGAAAAAATATAACCTTTGAATATGAAGGCTTAACAATGGAAACTTTCCAAAATAAAACACACAGAGAAACAAGAATAAGGAAAAATAACCAGGGAAACAATAAGCAGTTGGACAACTTAAAGCAGTCTAACATGCTTTTAGTTGGAATTCTTGAAAGAGAAGAGATGGGAAAACAAACATAAAATTGTATGTGTGTTTGTATGTATGTGTATGTGTGTGTGTGTGACACAGTGGCAGAAAATTTTGCAAATTTGATGAAAGTTATAAAGTTATAGATCCAAGAAGCTCAATGAACCCTAAGCATAAGAAAAATGAAGATAACTATAGCAAGGAACATCATAATTATATCATATTTTTTAAAAATAATGATATAATTTTTAGGTAATCAAAGGAAAAAATAAACAGTTTGTATAAAGAAAAACAGAAAGATGGCAAATTTTTCATTGAAAACATTGCAAGTAAGGAGACAGTTAATCAATTTAAGTCAAAAATGAGGGAAAGAAGTCTTCTGTCAATAGCTCTATTTAACATACACTGAAGGTTCTATTTGGCACATTCAGTTAAGAAAAAGCAGTAACACATATCCAGGTAAGACAAGAAGTAAAACTGTCTTTATTTGCAGATAACATGACCGTCCATAGAAAAAAATGTGATTTAATCTACAAAAAGGCTACTAGAACAAATCAGTGAGTTTGACAATGTTGTAAGACGTAAGATTATTATGTAAAAAAATTTCTACTTCTATAAACTAGTAAAGAACAATTGAAAATTGTAATTATAAACTGTTATTTACAATAGCACCACAAATAAGAAATACTTAGGATAAATCTAGCAAAAGATGTGGTTGACCTATAAGCAGAAAACCATAAAAATTTGCTGAGAGAAATTATATTACTTAAATAAAAGGATAATACATATTGTTCATGGATAGCAAGACTTGATACTCTTGCAATGCTAATTTTCTCCTAATTGAACTACAAAGCCAATGTAATCCCAATCAAAATCAGAGTGGATTCTTTTGTAGAAACTGACAAGCTAATTCTATAATTCATATAGAAATGCAAAGAATATAGACTAGATTGCACAACTTTTAAAAAGAACAAAATTAAATAACTTATACTACAAGACTTTAAAACTTACCATAAAATTAATGTAATCAAGGTAATATATTAACATTAAGATACTTTGATTAAGGGAAGAGAATGGAGTTGAGAAACAGATTTATACATATATGATTAATTGGGTTTTGATAAGGTTACAGAGATAATTCTGTCAAAAAAAGTAATGTTTTCAACAAATGGTAATGAAAAATGTGGATACCCATATGCATAATTCTATGCTTCATATCATATACACAAATATATGTTATAAACCTAAATGTATAACCTAAAACTAATACTTCTAGAAGAAAACATACGAGAAAAATATTTGCAGTATTTAGGCAAAATTTTCTTAGATATGACCCCAAAAACATGATATATAAAAGGATAAATTGATAAATTGGACTTCAAATAATTAATAACTGCTCTTCAATAAGCATGTTTAAGAAAATGAAAAAGCAAGCCACATATCAGAATAAAATATTTGTAACTATATATCTGATAAAAGACTTGAATCCAGAACTTACAAAAGTTTTCCAAACTCAAGAATACAAAAATCCATTTAAAAATGGACAAAAGGTGTCAATGGACATTTCACCAAAAAAGATGTATGGATTAAATATTAAAAGATACTAATCTTCATTAATCATTAGGGAAATACAAGTTTAAACTACAATGAGATACTACTCTACATTTGATAGAATGGGTAAAATTAAAAACCAGCCACACCAGGCAGACGTTAGTATGTAGAGCAAGCAGGGTTATGTCAAGGTGACCTATTATAACTTTGATTTCATGTTCTAATATTTCCTTACTAGAACATGGAAATACAAGATTTTTGTGATTAGATCCAGTATTCTATAGCTTTGTTAACTTTTCTTAATTTCTCACTTATTTTTGTTGCTATTGTGGATTCCATAAGGTTATCTACATCTGCCTGCTGTTTTGGAAAGTATTTTTAGGCTTTATCTAGGTTTATTTGTAGAGTGATTTGTGTCATTAATGATATCTGTCAGTGACACATAAGGAAGCCGTGGGAGCAAACATATAGCTCTTTTTATTCCTAATTTATGCTAATTCCCACTTCATATAAATAAGAAAATTAAGTCTCAGAGAGGTGAAGTTATACACCTAAGTATGGTAGAAGTAAGCCAACTTGTGTACATTCTTTCTTAAGTACAGTTTTTACTATGCGTCCCACTAACTTCTCCTCAAAGTCTTCCTGAAATCTCATTTTTCTTCAGAAATAATTCAAGCCTAGTCTTCCCAGATAGAATTGTTTTATCCTTTCCTTGTGGATACACTGTCCTTAGATCATATCTGTATCATGACCTATATCTTAATATTTATTTCATTTACTACAAGGCAATCCTCTTAGGTGGGAAGTGTGCATACACACTACATTATCTTTAACTCTTAAAAAAAGTGTTATTCCTTATAAAGATATCTATGTGGTTTAAAAAATAAGCAAACCACAACAATAACAAAATCCTAGAGATTAAAGGGCATTGATCACACACTACCTTATAAGGTATCCATTGTAAAGAACAATTTCCCTTCCTTTGCACTAATTAAATTGCTTTAATATAATAGAAGCTCACTGAATTCAAACATATTTTTAAATCTTTGGAATATAAATTCCTTATAAACCAAAAAATTGAACTTCTAATGTTAGAAAACCCACACTGAAGCAGGCTAGTGAAAGGCATATTTTTAGCAGGTGGCTTCCCAATGATACTAAAAATGAGGTTTTGCAGGCAGCCATCTGTTTCTCCTCCTCACCAGTCTTCCTGCTTTGTATCCTCATTGCAAATATGTACTACTATGGGGCTAGACTTCTCATGATTTAATGGATACTACTTACTCCTACTACTACTAATAATAAATTAACAATAATAATAAAGTACTTATTTAAAGTTTAAGTAAGGGAATCATACATACTATACATGGCTAGTAAAACGGCTTATGTCATTGGCCTATGTGGTCAGTCTATTGATTTGCATTAGAGAATTTTTTAATATAACTGAAATATATAAATTAGGAACCTTTAAAATGCAAGGAAGTACACAAAAGAGACCCTCGTTTATGGGGTGAATTAAAAAAAATTCAAAACTAACTAAAGGCCACATTTTGTTCTACAAGATTACATATGCATGAGGAAATAGAATATACATTCAAACAAATAAAGAAAGTGTACACTCAGGGTATTGTGAATACCAGCAAGTGGCGAACTAGTCTTTGCTGCAGAATATCTGTGCATTTATTTTTACCAAAGCCAGGAGCTGACTTTTGTCATTGCCCATACCACATCTTAAGGAAAAAAAAAATCTAGTTGAAGAGTTCCAGTAAAAAGAGTTATAAAGTGTATCACTTTATCGAGGTTAGTCACCTTCTTCTCTCTCCTAAACTCTACTTGTGCTGCTCTTGCACATAAAACAAATGAAAATCAATTTCTCCACAGCTTAGTTTGATAGAAGGAAGAAGAGCTTTGTTTATAATAAATCTGGGGTCAATTCTTGGGGCTCAGTGTCTTAATATCCTTATTTGCAAAACTGGGATGATAGTATCTGTTTTGCATGCATTATGAAACTTATAAACAATACAGAACAAAATCCTTAAAATTAATAAACAAGAGCCAGGCTTGGTGGCTCACGCCTGTAATTCCAGCACTTTGGGAGGCTGAGGCAGGTGGATCATGAGGTCAGGAGATTGAGATCATCCTGGCCAACATGGTGAAACCCCATCTCTACTAAAAATACAAAAATTAGCTGGGTGTGGTGGCGTGTGCCTGTAGTCCCAGCTACTCAGGAGGCTGAGGCAGGAGAACTGCTTGAATCCAGGAGGCAGAGGTTGCAGTGAGCCGAGATCACACCATTGTACTCCTGCCTGGGCGACAGAGCAAGACTCCATCTCAAAAAAAAAAAAAAAAAGAAAAAAAAGAAAAAAATTAGTAAACAAAACAATAGCAGTATTTGTTTTTTGTTCATATGAGAGCTAATGGAAGGTTACAAAATTACTTGGAGAGCCAATATTTCATTTTCATTGTTATTGTGTTCTCCTTTCCAAGCCCTCAAATGCTATAGCATTTGGCTGTTATTGGCCTTTGAATGAATGTGTGTTATAGGGTGTTGGTCTATTGCAATGTTTGTGAGTTTTCAGTTACTTAGTAAATTTGCCCCTTCATAATGCAGGTGCCGATGTACAAGGTCAATGGCAACATTACAAACTCCCCAAGTGAAAGCTATTGAACTGTATTATCCATCACTAAGTACAGTAGGAAATGATTTGACCTTCTTTGAATAGTAGTTACTGAACAAATTATTTTTCAGCTTGAAAATAATTACAGATCTCAGATGCTTATTTAACCTGCTGCCTCCTAAATTTACACCAATCTTTCATGCTCCTGTTGCTACTACTGATAAGTGCTGAAATAGCATGTGGTAATGGGATGACATAAGGCTTTGGATTTGGAGACCTAAATTTAAACTCTGGCTCTTGGCCAGGCATTATCTCAGCACTTTGGGAGGCTGAGACGAGAGGATCACTTGAAGCTGGGAGTTTGAGACCAGCCTGGGCAAACAAAGCAAGGCCTGCATCTCAACAAAAAATAAAATTAATTAGCTAGCATGGTAGCGTGTGTCTGCATTCCCAGCTACTCAGGAGTATGAGGCAGGAGAATTGCTTAAGCCTACGAGGTCAAGGCTGCAGTGAGCTATGATGGCACCATTGCACTCCAGCCTGAGTGACAGAGCAAGTCCCTATCTCAAATAAATTAGAACCAAAATAAAATAATAAAAAATAAACTCTGGTTCCTTTTCTGTCTTATTAATTGTATGGTTTTTGTCAAATTACTTTCCTCTATCTTAGTACTGATTTGAAGTTTAAACAAGATATGTTTTAAAAATACTGTTGCTCAGCTTCAGCTCCAGCATGCAAAGAACTTTAATGTCATCACTCAAGGTCTTTGCAACAAGAAAAAGTTGAATAAACTTAAAACTAAATGTATTTTGTGGGCCCATCAGAAAACTGAGGTTGCTGGACAGACCACCAGCCCTAAATCTGGAGCGGTTGGCACATCTAAAGGGACACTGCTGAGATGTGCTTACCTGGAGCAGAACTTGCTGCAGCCATAACAGGTAGGGACACTGAAATGGTTATTTTGATGAATTGCTGGAGGTTGAGTGTGCATTAGCCTGAGAGTGAGAATGTTCCGGTCACTGCAGTTTAGTTGTCTCACACTTTCACAGGCTGTAACACTATGAAATGCATTAGGCTCTCATGAGGGAGATCTAAGAAGGCGAGACAGACCCCCAGGTGGTTTTGTCAGGGAGAAGAGTAATCATTGCAAAATATACCCAGAGCCTTTTCTATAGCAAATACTTACTTTCCAGCAGAAGGAACTTTGCCAGAGCCTTATCCTAGCTTGGGGAAAGAAACTGCTCCCGCTCTATTTCCTTCAGGGTTCCTGTTTCAGCTGAGAGGGGAGAAACACATTTTCAACACTGGTCAGGGATTGATGAAAACAGGTTGGTAATAATGCAGCCAGGGAAGGGAGTAGGAAGCAAGGAGGAAAAAAGCTGTATCACTGGAGGAACATTTGCAAAGGTCACAGTGCCACGAGACAGACCCACTCAAAGACTGAGATATAATTGGAAGATTATAGGAAGTTCTCTCTCCCCCATACCCTAGCAGTATATCAAGAAGTCTCCAATAGAATTACAGTGAATGACAGCTTAACAAACTGCATGGCAGAGGACGTCTCTGAGGAGGAGTATTGAGGGAAGCACAAAGTCAGGAAGAAAGACAAAAACAAGGGCACTAGAGGACTTGGAAGCTTCTGGCCTGTATAGCTATGGAAAACATTAAACACAGCTGACGACCTAGCAAGATAAACATAAATCCTGACACAGAAAACCGATTTACCTCAGTTCCTATTACCTAATAAAACATGCCTGGCTTTTTACAAAAGATTGCAAGGCATGCCAAAGA
Source organism: Homo sapiens (assembly GCF_000001405.40). Classification (NCBI taxonomy): domain Eukaryota; kingdom Metazoa; phylum Chordata; class Mammalia; order Primates; family Hominidae; genus Homo; species Homo sapiens. The sequence goes on along the minus strand of NC_000011.10, from coordinate 21,865,482 downwards.
GCAAATATGCAGTCTAAAGAAACAAAGTAATCATTAGATTCAAACTCAGATATACTACAGATGTTGGAATTGTCAGACTGGAAATTTTAAATAACTATGAGTAATATAGTAAAGGCTCAAGTGGGAAAAGTAGGCAACATGTAAGAATATATCAGTAATGTAAGCATTGATATACAAATTCTAAGTAAGTATCAGTAGAAAATGCTAGAGGTCAGGAGTGGTGGCTGTCATCTGTAATCCCAGCACTTTGGGAGGCTGAGGCAGGAGGACTGCTTAAGCCTAGGAGTTAGGGACCAGCGTGGGCAACATGGCGATACCCTATCTTTACAAAATACATATAAAAAATAGCCAGGCATGGTGGTGTGCGTCTGTGGTCCCAGCTACCTGGGAGGCTGAGGCAGGATGATGGCTTGAGTCTAGGAAGTCAAGGCTCCAGTGTTTGCACCATCGCACTTGAGCCTGGGCAACAGAGTGAGACTCTGTCTCAAAAAGAGGAGAAGGGGAGGGAAGGGGAGAGAAGGGGAGGGAAGGGGAGAGAAGGGGAGGGAAGGGGAGAGAAGGGGAGGGAAGGGGAGAGAAGGGGAGGGAAGGGGAGAGAAGGGGAGGGAAGGGGAGAGAAGGGGAGGGAAGGGGAGAGAAGGGGAGGGAAGGGGAGGGAAGGGGAGGGAAGGGGAGGCCTACAAAGCAAAAACACTGTTACTGAAATGAAGGATGCCTTTGATGGGCTCATCTGTAGGCAGGACTCAGCCTAGAAAGGATTACTGGGCTTAAAGATGGGTCAATGGAAACCTAAACTGACATACAAAGAGAACAAATATGAAAATACAACACGCAAGAACTGTGGGACAATATCAACAGATGTAGCATATACATAATTGGAATAGCAGAAGAAGAGAGGAAGAATGAGCAGAAAAAATATTTGAAGTAAGTATAATAACAGATAAAATCTTTAAAAAGATAGACACCAAACTATAGATCCAGAAAGTTCAGAGAAAACCAAGCAAGATAAATACCGACACACACGCACACACACTCATACACACATATCCCAAGGCATATCTTACTGAAATGACAGAATATCAACAAAAAAGGGAAAATTTAGAAAGTGGTGGTGGTAGTGAGGACATTACCTATAAATGAACAGAGATAAGAATTACAGTGGACTTAATAGAAACCATGCAAATAAACAGAGAGTGGAATAAAATAGTAAAGTATTGAAAAAAATCCCCATTCAAACTAGAATTCCATATCCAGTAAAATTCTTCAAAAGTTGAAGGCTTTCTCAGAGAAAACCTGATGGAATTCATCACCAACAGACCTAACCTGCATGCAATGTTAAAAGAGTTATTGACTAATATCTTTCATGAACATAAATGCAAAAATCCTCAAAAAAATTAACAAATCCAAAAATGTATAGAATGAATTACTATAGTACTTCTTTATCCACGGTTTCACTTTCCATAGTTCCATTTACCTGTGATATAGTATGATAGGATATATTGAGAGATGACATTCATATAACTTTTATTACAGTATATTGCTATGTTGTTCTGTTATTACTTATTGTTGTTAATCTCTTACTGTACCTAATTAAACTTTATAATGTGTATTATATATAGAAAAACAACACATATAGCGTTTGGTACCATTCCTCATTTCAGGCATCCACTGAGGAACTTAGAGCATGTCTCCTGCTGATAAGGGGAGACTGCTGTATATACTACAAATAGATTTATTCCAAGTGTGCAAGCCTGGTTCAATATTGACAAATCAAATCATACAATTCATCCATTCAACAGGCTAAAAGAAGAACTATCATATATTGTATCAGCAGATGCAGAAAAACTAGACAAATTTCAACACTCATCCATGTGAGAAACTCTCAGCCAACTAGAAATAGAAGGAAATTTCCTAAACTTATAAAAAACATTTATTGTAAAAAATTCACAGCTCATATGCTTTATAGTGAGGAACTTCAAGTTTCCTTCCTGAGATCAGGACAAAGGTAAAAATATCCCATCTCTCACCATTCCTATTTAACATCATATTGGAAGTCCTACTTAATGAAATAAATGAAGAAAAAATATTTAAGTTGGGAAAAAAAAACTGTCTTTTCTTGCAGAAAACATGATTTTTTATGTAGCAAATCCTAAATAATCAACAAAAAACTCCTGGAATTAATAAGTAATTATCACAAGTTTACAAAGTTAACACATAAAAGTTTGTTGCTTTCCTCTATACTAGCAATGGACAATTGGAATTACTTCTATTTATGTTCATTTTTAGTAGAGATGAGGTCTTGCTACGTTGCCTAGGCTGATCTCAAGACCCTGAGCTTAAGCCATCCTCCTACCTCAGCCTACCAAACCACTGGGATTAAAAGCATGAGCTACCATGCCCGGCCAACAGTTGGAATTTGACATTAAAAATAAAACATCATTTACTTTAGCACCAAAACCATTAAACTTAGGTATAAATGTAACAATATGAGGAAAACTATAAAACTCTAAAACAAATCAAGAAGATATAAATAAATGGTGACATATTTCATGTACATGAATAGGAAGACTAAATACTGTTAAAGTATCACTTCTTCCCAACTTGATTTATAGATTCAACACAATCTCAATCAAACTTCCAGAAAGATTTTGTAGATATTGACAAAGTTCCCAAAACAGCTTTATTTTTAATTGCCAAATCTTGGTAGCAAACGAGATGTTCTTCAATAGGTGAATGAATAAACAAACTGTGGCATATCCATATAATAAAATATTGTTCAGCAATAGAAAGAAATGAAGGATCAACTCACAGAAAATGGAGGAATCCTAAATGCATATTGCTAAGTGAAAGAAGCTAGTCTGAAAAGACTACACACTGTGTAATTCCATCCATATGACATTCTGGAAAAGGCAAAACTATATAGACAATAAAAAGATCAATGGTTCCCAAGGGAACAGTAGAAGGGAAAGAGGGATGAAGAGGTGGAACACAGTAGATTTTTAGGACAGTAAAACTATTCTATATGATAATGTAACAATAGATGCATGATATTATATATTTACCAAAACCCACAGAACTATGTGACAGAGTGAATCTTAATGTAAACTCTGGATTTTAGTTAATAATAATATATTAATATTTATTAATTGTGATAAATATACTAACATGTTAATAATAGGGGAAACTGGGTGTGGTGTACATGAGACCTCTCTGTGTTATCCTTACAACTTTTTTGTAAGTCTAAAACATTTCCAAATTACAGTGTTTATTCAAAAACGACCTGGCATGTACTAAGTTTTCAGGAACTTCCCCTTTATAATATTGACTATGTCATACATAGCCTAAATTCAATTCAGAACACTTGCTGTTGCATAGGATGATGTGGAAGGGGATTTTCTAATAAATCAAATAGAAAATTTAATAAAGTATAATCATGTAATATGAAAAGATAACAGACTAAAAGTTTAATAACTGACAAATAAATCTCTGCTGAGTGCAACCTAATGTTTTTTGATAATTCAAATGGCACTTGGGAATATTTGAAAGCCTTAAGTCATCATTATAAGCATCAATTATTTCTGTATGAATGACAAGCAAAATTTTACTAATAGAGACCTCTTATTATAAGAATGCCAATTTTAATTTGTTTAAGAATATGGATTCATCAAGGGCATTCCAGATTTTTTAAACTAGACACGTGAAAAAAATCAATCAGCATGAAAAATTAGGGTTGCTACTAGAATCACTCTAGTTTGAAAAGTTAACCATATTAGTATTTTCCTGTATTAGTTATTTCCCTGAACGAAAAGAGCTGAACGAAGGCTTTAAGAACCAGAGACAGTCAGAAATAAATATGAAAGCTATCTTTGTCATCTTGGATAAACAAGGACATGTTTCCTGCAGATTTTGCCTGAGTCTATGTTGAAACATTTTAAGTCGTGAGGATGTTCTTTCCATTGCAAATAACATAGCAGGATTCCTTTGAATAGCTCAATGGGTGGGGTGAGAGAGCTCTTTGAACTCTAGTTTCCTAGGATGTCTTGCTACTCAGTGTGATAACAAGTGTTTTTCCCTGCCATAATATAGAAACTCATACTCTTCTGAAGAGGATTTTCTTTTTTTTTTCTGAACGCTGCAAGAACACAAAAAAGAATCTGGAGATGGAGCACAAAATAAACTGGATAAGCATGAGGAATTTGAGAAATTAAGATCACGTGAGAGCTAAGAGCTACCACCTTTAAAACCTCCAAAATCCAGATATGATTTCCTTCCGGGTTTGGAAGATTTCAGTTGAAAGGAAAACTGTCATGAATTTTGCAAGTCTGACAGTGGGCAGATTTTGATTCAGAAAATGAAACTAATAATCTTTGAAGTTGTGTGAACTTAACAAGGCTTTTGTCCATTATAAAGAACCTTAATTCAGTTTACCAACTCAAGCTCAGTGCATTTGACCAAATCCACTGATCCTATAAAATGATGCTAGGCTTCTCTGTACCAAAAGAAATCAAGCATTCAATTAAATGAAAACAGATTACTTCATGTCTCCAAGCCAAATATGTTTAGTTCTTTAAGATGCCCATTTAAGTGTGAAGGAATTAGAGGAGGTAGTCAGGGAATAAGTCTCTTCTAAAATCTCTAGTTAGAGGACAGCTACATTTCTTTCAATTAAAATTTAAAAAGAAACTTAAAGATCATCTCCTCCTTCAGCTATGCTGGCAACCTGAATAGTTAATGTTTCTCTTTGCTCTAAATTATGCTCATTCTTATCCTTAGCCATCAGTAGCAAGAACATAACTTGGAGACATATTGATGGGAGATAATTTCACCATAAAATGTATTTGGACACACAATTAAAAATACAAAGTCTTTTTAGCCCAAAGGCAGATAAACAACTAACCATAAAACCAATGCTCTATGAACCCACGGACACAAAAAATAATTATTTTCTTATCACTAAGCCAATATTTAAAACTATTAATTGATCTCTCTTAGCCTCCCTTGCCATTTTAGATAAGGTCTTCATCCAACTTAATGTTGTAAAAGCTAGTTAAATCAACAAATTACTAAGACCCTCTTTTTTACTGCTCTAATTAAGAGTTTGACTGTTTAAATTTTGATTCTATTTGCATTCATGCAAAAAAACAAATCTCACTGTACTTCTACAACAGTTTTTACTTATCTTTTTTCCAAGTTACTTCTATACTAGCCTAAAAAAACCTGGAAACTCAGCATCAGTGGATTTAGAAGTCACCTATTCCTGCATACCATATAATGGGCCACCTGATTTTATCATAATACATTTCAGGCTTTTCAATTATGGAATATCTGTGCTAAGAGAGAGAATATGGTATAATGAAAGGAGCACAGAATTTGGAATATAAGAAATTTAAGTTTATATACTGACACTGGCACTTCTTAGCTGTGAGACTTCAGGGAAAGAACTAACTAGAGTTTCCTCCTCTATAAAATGATGATTATGTGGATAATGTCAATACTTCTCTCAGAGGATGACTATCACATGCTTAGTACATATACTATGTCAGGTATTGTGCTGATATTATATGCACATGAATTTTGTTCATCTGCATGTAATATTGAATATTGAATCTAGTTCATGTGTATATAATATTAGCATAATGCCTGACATAATGTATGTACTAAGCATATGACAGTGATTAACTCTTTGTAATTAAAATTAACTCTTTGTACAAACAGTGATTAACTCACTCTTTGTAGGAATGATATTCAAAATATTTAAAATGAATATGACACAGGCATATCTCAATCAGTATGAGTGCTGACCTTAAACATCTGGGACTCTAGTTGCTTGCACAGGCTGAATATCAATCCCTAGTACAAGAAAGTAGAAGGAAATACAACTGGAAAAGGCAGTTGGGAGAGATCTGATGAACGGTTCATTATGTCCAGGAGAGCACTTCAGAGTACCTCTCTGCACCCTTCATCACAAGTCAAAGAGCAGAAACATGCACACCAGAAACCAGCCTCCACACACAGTTTCTGATTAGCCTAAACCATGAATTTTACTTGAAACCAGGGACAGGAAAGGCAGCTCCTATCTGACAGCAAAAGTCATGTCTAAAATGCATGAAACACACTAACATAAGTTAATACCCTATTATGTACTTTATTCATTTTTTATCTTTGAATTTTCAGGATAATTCATCAATATGGGGATTATTTACCAATTTTCCATATAAGGAAACTGAGGTTCCAATAGATAAAGCAAATCCACCAAGGTCATGCAACTTGAGAACTGGATTTGAAAACAAGGTCCGTCAGACTCCAAAAACCTTGCTTTTTCTGATACACTACGATTGTTAACTTAATCTGTTTGCAAGTTGCAGATTCTGATGTGATACCTTCAGTCTCCTGCTCCGGATAATTTCAAAACTGTGTTATTTAAAGCACTAGGTTTCTGTGGGAGTGATTAAAGTTTTGCTACAAAAGGTACAGTGGAAGCTGAGAGGATAGAGCTTGCCTCTCTCCCAGAACATGGCCCGCACATTAGTCAGAAACTTCATCTCTTTCCTGTACTAAGATTTTATGTTAGATTTCCTTTAAATCAAAATGTTTCATTGTTTTAAAAAATAAATGCTTAAAAGTCATTGTTCTACTTCAAACTGTATTCCTTACCTCTGCTTCTATCCAAATACCACTTCAGTCTAAATCCTTAGTCATACATTCAGGCTTGTCAGCTCCCTGTGGCCTGGGTTGGTCAAAGTTAGCTGACTTCTGTGATAGAATTTTTTTTTTTTTTTTTTTTTTTTGAGATGGAGTCTCGGTCTGTCACCCAGACTGGAGTGCAGTGGCGCCATCTCGGCTCACTGTAACCTCCGCCTCCAGGGTTCATGCCATTCTCCTGCCTTAGCCTCCCAAGTAGGTGGGACTACAGGCGCCCGCCACCAGGCCTGGCTAATTATTTTTTTATTTTTAATAGAGACAGGGTTTCACCGTGTTAGCCAGGATGGTCTCCATCTCCTGATCTTATGATCCACCCACCTTGGCCTCCCAAAGTGCTGGGATTACAGGCGTGCACCACCGCACCAGACCCTTGTGATAGAATTTTAACTTGACTTTGGGTTCTGAAAATTCACCTTGACTTTTCTACTCAGCCTCTGAGTTTGCCACCATCTTGTGTGGATTCTAACAAAATACTCTGACTCTGTTTTTTTTTTCCTCAGGACATTATGTGACTTAAGATATATTTTCTCAATTTCCATAGTCTTTGGCTTGATCTTTAGCTATTTTACACATTGGCTAAGACCTTGGCTCTGCATTTAGCTTTTCTTGAACTATTGCTATCAAAGATCAAATACATATCTTATGATTTCAAGTCAGATCCAGGAGGCGATATGCCCAATAATTTAAAAGTAGTCCCTTTAGGCTAAGACACCATCTGCTGAAAATAAGTCACCATGTCTTTTGTCCTCCAGATTTATTTCTTCTTATCAATTATTTGCTTCTGCTAGGCCTCAGTTTAGCACCTTAGACTCCAGTTACCGCTCCACTGAAATCGTTCCATCATCCCTACTGACTGCCAGAAATTGACCTTTCTTTTCTTTGGGCCCTTGCCTTTGGGACTGAGCTTGATGAATGCCTACCTCAAAAGTTAATCCTACCACTCTTTCTCCAACACTGTGTGGGAAGCTTTTTCAAAGCTCAAGTAGTAAATCCTTGACTGCCAGCTTGTAAAATTTGTGTTTAATTTTCTAGACGGTGTTTTTATTGACTTTCCACATCAGTTCTTTGCACTCATGACGATTCCATTCTCTCTTTTTTAGGATGCATCCAAACCAACCACGATATTTTCCATTTCCAAACTCCTCATATTCATGCACTCCTGGCACAAATAGAAGTGACTCTGTTGGTGTGTTTGTGAGTGTCTCCCAATCCAGGTAACATTGCATTCAATTCACTAGTGTGCATGCTGCCTTCACTATTAACAAAATTCAGTAAGGTGCCAGGATTTAAAATTAACATGCAACAATCAATATTCTTCAGAGATACAAATAATAGAGTTAGTGACGACACATAAATTTAAAACACTTAGAAACTGGCTACCTAGAAATATATAAAACCTACAAGAAGAAAAATATTTAAAACTTCTGAAAGACTCAAAACAAGTCATGAACAAATGGAAAAATCACCTGTCCTTGGACATAGAAGTTTAACAATTTAAAGAGACGATTTTGCATAGCTTTACTTATAAATGTAATAATGTAATGCAATTCCAATACAATTTTAACAAGCTTTCACCTAGAGCTAGAGAAGTTGATACTAAAGTTCATATGAAAAAATAACATTTAAGAGTATATTGCAAACTATGGTAAAAAAAAGCACTATAAAGGAGACCAACGCTACAAGATTTAAAACATACTATAAAGCATGTGATTAAAACTGTGTGTTCATGGCACATAAAAAGACATACAAGCCAATGGAATCAAATAGAAAGTTCATAATGAATACAAATAAATGTAGATATTTTGTATATGATAAAGATGCTATTGAAATTACTGGGGTAAACACAAACATTTTCATAAATAATGTTGAGAGAACTGGATAGCCTTCTGGAAACCCATAAAATTACGATAATATCTCATACCACATACAAGAATAAATTCCAAATACATTAGAGATGTAAATGTAAAAAAAGTACTAGAATAAAACATGAGTACATTGTTCTAAAATGGGTGTGCTGTGAAAGAATTTATAACTTTATTAAATCTCCAGGTGCAAAAGAAAATAATTAAATTCAACTACATCTAAAAATTGCAAGCAAAAGTTTAACAAAATAATACAAAAAACTCACAAATGACAACTGAAAGAAAACATTTGCAACATATATCACAGATAAAGGGCCAATATCCCTATATCCCTACATACTAAATTTATAAAAATTGAGCAAAAAAAATCTAATAGAAAAATGGGCAAAAGACAGGAACAGAAAATGCATGTAAGTGGAATTACATGGCCCTTAGACATTTTAAGAGATGTTCACCTTCACCCATGAGAAGAGAAATAAAAAATAAAACCAAAATGTAATTTCTTACCTATCAAGTTGAAAAAATTTGAAGTTTTAAACTTGGTGAAGCAGTAGGGAAAGAGGCTCTTTCACACATTGCTAGAAGAAACATAAAATGATCCAACACTTACACTTGAGAATTGGGCAGCATTCAGTGAAGATACATATGCATTATACATATATACATATTATTATGCATATACCATTAAAGAAAAAATCACTTCTGTAAATTTTGTCTGAAGATATACTCCCTATGATACAAAATATATTTGTGACTATAAAATATTATAAACTACCTAATTTCCCAAACATATGAGATTGATGGAATAACCTATGATTTATTCATATAAGACTGCTCTGCAGCTATAAAGAAGAATGAGGAAAATCTCTGTAAGCTGATATGGTGAATACATTGAGTAAAAACAAAAAATACAGAAGAATACTTATGTAGTAGCTATCTTTCATGTGAGAAAAGAGGGAAAATTACATATAATGTGTATAGTGATTTTTTTAAAAAAATTAGAAAACAAAACTTGGAATGGGTAAACTATGGGAATGAAGTGGAAGGCATAGGGGAGATAGTGCTGCTTTTCTGAATGTGTCTGTCTTTTTGTATAGATTTGCCTTTTATAACAACGTGAATAGGCATGTTCAGGAAAATATAATTAAAACTTTAAGGATAGGAAAAACCCCCAACTTTAATGTAAACAGGATTCAACTGCATTTAATCTAGCCACACTGAAGGAAATAAAGAAACTACTTCAAAGCACTTTTGCACACAGCATTTTGACCACATACCCTCAGCCTAAAGACAAAAGGAATATCAAACAAATCTTGAATTTCACATAGTAGATTTAATTTTTTTAAAGAAAGATGTAACTATTTTCTGTTTATTATAGAATAGAGCAAATTCATTAATAACATACTAATGTTAGAAGCCAGATTTTTCACTCTTAGAAAAATGAGATATGAATATGGAGAGGCGGGAAGCTAGAAAGAACCCTGCAGTATTGGACTAGAATTCAAGATCTCAATATTTATAAACTAGTGGCTTTCAATATTATATGTATGAACACACACACACTCTTAGAGAGATGAGATAAAGAAAGATAAATAGTAAATACATTTATTTAGTTCTGTCCACTGAAAAGCCCTAGAAAAAGACACCTAGAAAAGAATATCTCAGTAGCAGTGAGCACACCGAGCTCTTAGATCTGAGGTTCTAAATACCATTTCCAACTAAAAGGAGACAATGCTCTCTGGAGAAATAGCTAATTCCAGGGTTAGAGGAGGAGAGTACAAAACGAGATAAGAACATTTTGTCATGCCAGAAATTAAGGAGTGCTAAAAAGTGTTGGGTGCATGTCACAAAAACAGAGAAGCTAGCTTGAAGCCCCAAGCCCCAGTCAAATGGCTTTTGCAAAATTATGATCATAAGAGAAATCTGACATCGTTAACTCCAACTTGCTTCTAACTTCCAAGCTATCCTTGGTCATTCCAGGGTGTAGACAAAGCTGACTTTCGGAGAAATTTAATTTATAGCTTAACCTTAAATCAAGGATGAAAATAGCCCTTCTCCAAACTAAACCACCATTGTAAAATTAATGAAAGTCCACAAGGTTAGGATTAAGAGATGGGCCTGATTACTGCTAAAATGGGGATATAATCTCAGGAGTCATGTAGCAGGAGGTAGCAAGATTTGTGACTTCCTCAATTACTCCTATAGATAACATCACTGTTAGAGAATCTAAGATCAGTTTTTTGAGATGTCTTTCAGATCAATCCCACCGGAACTCCTGATTCATGACTCAGCTGACCCTCTGGCCCCACCAATAGGAGAACTTAGCACACGAGGACGATTTTTCACACCCCAGTGATTTCATCCCCAACCAATAGATAGTCCCCATTCCCTAGTCCCCTGCCCACCAAACTGTCCTTGAAATCCCCTAACCTTTGAGTCTTCAGAGTGATTGATTTCAGTAATATCTCTTCCCACACAAGGTGTGACCAGCCTTGAGTCAATTAAAATCTTGTTTTACTGCCACTCCATGGTCTCAGTGGATTGATTTTGTTTATGCAGTGGGTAGGAAGAACTCAATGGGCAATTATACCAGTGTCCAAAGCAAGGGTAATCAAAGAATCAAAAAGTGAAAACACTAATAGATTATAATCCACTAAAACAGTAAAAGTGTATAAGTCCATTGATTTAAAAAATAGATGGAGAAAAAGGAAAGATTCTTCTTTATAGTAGTACTATATGCAGAAATAATAGAATAGAAAGAATAGAATGATTAATGGATGCTATAATTAATGGGTGCAAGTTTGATGTGGAACATGATACTTAGAGAGTCTCAAAGTATTTCACCCAATAGTTATGTATTAATTACAAAGGAAAAATAACCTTATAATGGAAAAACTGGGAAGATACTATCTTGTTAAGTAACCGCAGTTAATGAAACCAAACTGGCCAGTGCAGTGACACATGCCTATAATCCCATAATTTGGGAGGCTGAGCTAGGCAGATTACTTGAGCCCAGGAGTTAGAGATAAGCCTGGGCAACATAGAAAAACCCTGGCTCTACAAAAAATACAAAAAAAAAAAAAATTACCTGGGCATGGTGGTGTGCACTGTAGTCCCAGCTCTACTTGAGAGGTTCAGGTAGGAGGATCAATTGAGACCAAGAGGTTAAGGTTGCAGCGAGCTGTGATCATGCCACTTCAGTCCAGCCTAGGCAACAAAGCAAGTCTCTGTCTCAAGGTAAAAACAAAAAAATCACATAACAAACCAATACTATGCACTTCTGGATGTGAGGCTCTAAGATGAACATAGTTACACTTTGTGGGATTCTTGCCAAAAATTTGTAACCTAAATCTAACCATTAGATAATATCAGATAAATCTAAATTGAGAAATATTCTACAAAATAATTGCTGTGAACTTCAAAACTTTCTTTTAGTGTCCATTTATATTGTATTCTAAGGCCTCTAAAAATTTTTCCAGTCTTTTTTACTTTCCGGGCTATAATTTGAATAGCTTTTATGATACAGATTCACACTCACTGATCTTTCCTTTTGAAATGTCCAATTTGCTTAAAAGCTCAGTCAAAAAAGTTTTCACTTTATTTATTCTATTTTTCAGTTCCAGAATTCCATTTTTTAATAGTTTTCACATCTCAGCTGAGATTTCTCATCTTTTCTTTCATTATGACTGTATTAATATATAGATACTTTAATTTATATAATAAATACTTTAACACCCTTGTCTGCTAATTCCAACATTGGTGTTATCTCAGTATCTATTTTTGTTGACTATTTATCACCAGGTTAGAGTCACATTTTCCTGTTTCTTAGCATAGTGAGTTTTTTAAAAGATTTATACTGGATATAATGAGTACTACAATAAGAGGATGTTTTATTTTACTCCTTTAGAATATGTTGAATTTTGCTCTGACAGCCTGTTAATTTACTGGAAGATTGGCTTTATACTTTTAAGGCCTGATGTTAGCCTTTGTTAGAATGTATCTACAATAGCCCTTGCTTTGGTTCTAGTATAGTATTACTACTAAGATTAGAACTTTCTATAGTATGAAATAAATTATGCCTGGTGTGTTAAATTAAGTCTCTCCACTCTGGTTGAGCCTAGCACTGTGCCACTCCCACAATTTCTGTTCAGCTCACACCTTCCCTGTATGTATTCTCTGATAAGCCATGAAGAGTTTTACTCTATGAATGCACAGCTTATTAGCTGGCCAATGCCTCAAAGTCATTGCTATGCAGATTTCCGGAACTAAAGAAATAGGTCAGTGGTCACTGGTCTCATTTTGTAAGGTGTTATCCAAACTCATTGTCTCATGACCAAGAGAACTGAGGGGCATGGACACAAAGGGAGAGGTTGGAGTGAAATTTTAATAAGCAAAAGCAGAAAGCTCTCCACAGCAGAGGGGAAGCCCTAGTGGGTTGCCATTTTTACAGCTGAATTCAAAAGCTTTTATAAGAAACTCCTCTCATCTCTGTAGCTCTTTGAGTAATTTCTCTCATCTGAAAAGCTGAACAACTCCCCCTTATCTATGTAGTTGTGGGTATATCTCTAGGCAAGCACAAAGTGCCACTTCTCTTGTTCATATAACTGTAGGATTGTTTCAGGTAAGCCCCCCTCCTCCCTGTGCAAGTTCCCTCCGAGACCATTGTGTATATGCCTGAAAAGGCGAGCAAGCTTTTTCGTGGGAACTCGCTAATCACACAAAGGATAAAAAGGTATTGCCTAGGTTTTCTACTAGGAGTTTTATGGTTTTAGGTCTTATGTTTAAGTCTTTAATCCATCTTGAGTTGATTTTTGTATAAGGTGTAAGGGGAACCAGTTTCAGTTTTCTGCATATGGCTAGCCAGTTTTCCCAATAGCATTTATTAAATAGGGAATCTTTTCCCCATTGCTTGTTTGTGTCAGGTTTGTCAAAAATTAGTTGGTTGTAGATGTGTGGTGTTAATTTCTGAGGCCTCTGTTCTATTCCATTGGTCTATATATCTGTTTTGGTAGCACTACCATGCTGTTTTGGTTACTGTAGCCTTGTAGTAAAGTTTGAAGTCTGGTGGTGTGATGCCTCCAGCTGTATTCTTTTTGCTTAGGATTGTCTTGGCTATGTAGGCTCTTTTTTGGTTCCATATGAAGTTTAAAGTAGTTTTTTCTAATTCTGTGAAGAAAGTCAATGGTAGCTTGATGGGGTTAGCATTGAATCTATAAATTACTTTGGGCAGTATGGCCATTTTCACAATATTGATTCTTCCTATCCATGAGCATGGACTGTTTTTCTATTTGTTTGTGTCCTCTCTTACTTTTTTGAGCAGTGGTTTGTAGTTCTCCTTGAAAAGGTCCTTCACGTTCTTTGTAAGTTGTATTCCTAGGTATTTTATTCTCTTAGTAGTGATTGTGAATGGGAGTTCGCAGGGAGCCAAAGGCCCATGGGACGTGACCAACTCAACATTCCGCTGGGGGCTATATGATCAAACAGCAAACTGTTTATCATGAATGTAGGATGTGGGCAAATTCACACTACCCTGCCACCAAAAGGTTTGCTGAGGGACATCACTCCCTGGTTCCTTGAAGTTACCTACTGAGAAAATTAGCACCTATTGTTCCAAGGATGCAGTCTCACAAGTCTGCTGTGAAACAAAGGGCCAATGGACAATTATCCAACAATCACCCCCCTTTTCTCACTATCTCTGTTGCCTAATAAATACGGAGGGCTACGTAAAGCTCAGGGCCCTTGTCCACTAGAGACAAGGTGCCCCCTGACCCCTTCTTCCAAATATACTCTCTTGTCTTTGTCTTTTATTCCCACGTTTGCCCTATTTTGTTCAGTCCCCCTAGGTCTGTGCAGGTGGAGTTCACTCATGATTTGGCTCTCTGTTTGTCTGTTATTGGCATATAGGAATGCTTGTGATTTTTGCACATTGTTTTTGTATACTGAGACTGCTGAAGTTGCTTATCAGCTTAAGGAGATTTTGGGTTGAGAAGATGGGGTTTTCTAAATATACAATTATGTCATCTGCAAATAGAGACAATTTGACTTCCTCTCTTCCTATTTGAATACACTTTATTTCTTTCTCTTGCCTGATTGCCCTGGCTAGAACTTCCAATACTATGTTGAATAGGAGTAGTGAGAGAGGGCATCCTTGTCTTGTGCCAGTTTTCAAAGGGAATGCTTCCAGTTTTTGCCCATTCAGTATGATATTAGCTGTGGGTTTGTCATAAATAGCTCTTATTATTTTGAGATACGTTCCATTGATACCTAGTTTATTGAGAGTTTTTAGGATGAAGGGCTGTTGAATTTTGTCGAAGGCCTTTTCTGCATCTATTGAGATAATCATGTGGTTTTTGTCATTGGTTCTGTTTATGTGATGGGTTATGTTTATTGATTTGTGTATGTTGAACCAGCCTTGCATCCCAGGGATAAAGCTGACTTGATCATGGTGGATAAGCTTTTTTGATGTGCTGCTGAATTCGGTTTGCCAGTATTTTACTGAAGATTTTCTCATCGATGTTCATTAGGGATGTTGGCCTGAAATTTTCTTTTTTTGTTGTGTCTCTGCCAGGTTTTGCTATCAGAATGATTCCAGCCTCATAAAATGAGGTAGGGAGGATTTCCTCTTTTTCTATTGTTTGGAATAGTTTCAGAAGGAATGGCACCAGCTCCTCTTTGTACCTCTGGTAGAATTCAGCTGTGAATCCGTCCGGTCCTGGACTTTTTTTGGTTGGTAGGCTATTAATTACTGCTTCAGTTTCAGAACTTGTTATTCGTCTATTCAGGGATTCGACTTCTTGCTGGTTTAGACTTGGGAGGGTGTATGTGTCCAGGGATTTATCCATTTTTTCTAGATTTTCTAGTTTATTTGCGTAGAAGTGTTTACAGTATTCTCTGATGGTAGTTTGTATTTCTGTGGGATCAGTGGTGATATCCCCTATAACATTTTTCACTGCGTCTGTTTGATTCTTCTCTCTTTTCTTCCTTATTAGTCTGGCTAGCAATCTATTTTGTTGATCTTTTCAAAAAACCAGCTGCTGGATTCATTGATTTTTGAAGGTTTTTTTGTGCCTCTATCTCCTTCAGTTCTGCTCTGATCTTAGTTATTTCTTCTCTTCTGCTAGCTTTTAAATTTGTTTGCTCTTGCTTCTCTAGTTCTTTTAATTGTGATGTTAGGGTGTCGATTTTAGATCTTTCCTGCTTTCTCCTATGGGCATTTAGCACTATAAATTTCCCTCTCCACACTGCTTTAAATTTGTCCCAGAGATTCTGGTACGTTGTGTCTTTGTTTTCATTGTTTTCAAAGAACATTTTTATTTCTGCCTTCATTTCGTTATTTACACAGTAGCCATTCAGGAGCAGGTTGTTCGGTTTCCATGTAGTTGGGCGGTTTTGAGTGAGTTTCTTAATCCTGAGTTCTAATTTGATTGCACTGTGGCCTGAGAGACGGATATGATTTCCGTTCTTTTGCATTTGCTGAGGAGTGTTTTTACTTCCAATTATGTGGTCAATTTTAGAATAAGGGCAAAGAGGTGCTGAGAAGAATATATATTCTGTTGATTTGGGGTGGAGAATTCTGTAGACGTCTATTAGGCTTGCTTGGTCCAGAGTGGAGTTCAAGTCTTGAACATCCTTATTAATTTTCTGTCTCGTTGATCAGTCTAATACTGACAGTGGGGTCTTAAAGTCTCCCAATATTATTGTATGGAAGTCTAAGTCTCTTTGTAGGTCTCTAAGAACTTGGTTTATGAATCTGGGTGCTCCTGTGTTGGGTACATATATATTTAGGATAGTTAGCTCTTCTTGTTGTGTTGATCCCTTTACCATTATGTAATGCCCTTCTTTGTCTCTTTTGATCTTGTTGGTTTAAAGTCTGTTTTATCATAGGCATGGGCAAAGACTTCACATCTAAAACAACAAAAGCAATGGCAACAAAAGCCAAAATTGACAAATGGGATCTAATTAAACCAAGGAGCTTCTGCACAGCAAAAGAAACTACCATCAGAGTGAACAGGCAACCTACAGAATAGCAGTAAATTTTTGAAATTTATCCATCTAAAAAAGTGCTAATATTCATAATCTACAAAGAACTTAAACAAATTTACAAGAATAAAACAAACAACCCCATCAAAAAGTGGGCAAAGGATATGAACAGACACTTCTCAGAAGACATCTGTGAACAGACACTTCTCAAAAGAAGACATTTATGTAGCCAACAGACATAAGAAAAAATGCTCATCCTCACTGGTCATTAGAGAAATGCAAATCAAAACCACAATGAGATACCACCTCGTGCCAGTTATAATGGCGATTGTTAAAAAGTCAGGAAACAACAGATGCTGGAGAGGTTGTGGAGAAATAGGAATCCTTTTACACTGTTGGTGGGAGTGTAAATTAGTTCAACCATTGTGGAAGACAGTGTGGTGATTCCTCAAGGATCTCGACCCAGAAATACCATTTGACCCAGCAATCCTGTTACTGGATATATACCCAAGTGATTATAAATCATTCTACTATAAAGACACATGTACACGTATGTTTATTTCAGCACTATTCACAATAGCAAAGACGTGGAACCAACCCAAATGTCCAACAATGACAGACTGGATAAAGAAAACGTGGCACATATACGCCATGGAGTACTATGCAGCCATAAAAAGGATGAGTTCATGTCCTTTGCAGGGACATGGATGAAGCTGGAAACCATCATTCTCAGCAAACTAACACAAGAACAGAAAACCAAACACTGCATGGTCTCACTCATAAGTGGGAGCCGAACAGTGGGAACACATGGACACAGGGAAGGGAACATCACACAACGGGGCCCGTCATGGGGTGGGAGGCCAGGGAAAGATAGCATTAGGAGAAATACCTAATGTAGGTAACGGGTTGATGGGTGCAGCAAACCACCACGGCACGTGTATACCTATGTAACAAAACTGCACGTTCTGCACATGTATCCCAGAACTTAAAGTATAATAATAATAATAAAGAATAAAAAGGCTTCTATGATGGACCTTGCCTCCCTTGCCTGCTTATCTGTGCAGGTTAGTCTGAGTGTCGCCCAGGCTGCTCTATTTTTGCCTGTAGCTGTGATTTTTCAGGGAGGCTGCTTCTCCGAGGACTAATCTTAATTGTCTACCCAACTGATTTTTCCTTTTCTTCACCCTCATTACTTCTTTTATTCTCACTATTCTTTTCCATACTACCCAATCTTTCCAATTCTGGCTTCATGACTACATGGAACCCTGTTTTCACAGTCAGGTGAGATTAATATGTTCTCTGTTTGGGCTCCACTCTCCCCTTCAGTAATTTGGAAGGTAGAGCTAATGTTTCTTTATCTCAATCATCCTGGGCTATTTTCCAATATCTTAAAACTGTTAATTCCTGTAAGTTTTTTTTTTTTTTTTTTATGGCAGCACATGTGCTTAGAGACCTTCCTTTTGTTTCTCCCGTTAGTTTAGGACAACGTTTTAGGAAACTCAGCGGATTTTCTCTATCCTTCTTAACTAGAGTTTCTTATGGCCCTGGACAGGGCTTTATACCCATTGAAAAAATTTACATACCCATTTTACATTTTAAAAGTCAGTAATTTCACAAATTCAGATCTAAAGTTATATGTTAGTTTGGATTCTGGAAAATCAAGATGGTGATAAGATGTCTGAGGGTGCTATTTTCTGTAAATATAATAAATAATGTGATTCTATGCAACATCACCTATGCTCCTTGTTATTGGTTGAATCATATACTCCCAACATATATTAAAGTTCTAGTCTCCAGTATTTATGAATGTGAGCTTATTTGGTTGTAATTAAAATACAGGTTAAGCTTGGGTCACAATAGAGTAGGTTCTTAATTCTGTGTGGCTACTTTCCTCATAAGAAAAACAGAAGAGATACAGAGACAGACACAAAGAGAAAAGACACCATGTGATGAAAGAGGCAGAAGCTGGAGTGATGTATCTACAAACAAACGAGTGCTAATGTTTGCCTCAATACCAGAAACTAAGAGAAAGGCATGAAACAAATTTTCCCCTAGAGCCTTCAGATAGAGTATGATGTTATCACCACCTTGATTTTGGAATTCTTACCTCCAGAACTGTGAGAGAAAAAATCTCTGTTGTTTTAAGCCTATATTTGGTGCAAAAGTAATTGTGTCTTTTAATGGCATATATATCATATATATAAAAATATATCTATATACTCTATGTTAATATATAGTGTATATATTAGATATACTATATGTTAATATATCATATATACACTATATATATAAAATACATATATATGCATATAAACAAAATTCTGTATGGAATATACATTAAAATTCCTCCCTCTCATTGAACATTGTTAAGGTAGGCTATCTGTGATCTATGTTAAACTTGGTCAAAAACAATTTTGAAAAAATCTTGATAAAGTTTCCTATATAATATGGTTTGGCTGTGTCCCCACCCAAATCTCAACTTGAATTTTATCTCCCAGAATTCCATGTTCTGGGAGGGACTCAGTGGGAGGTAATGGAATCATATGGGCCTGTCTTTCCCATGCTATTCTCGTGATACTGAATAAGTCTCATGAGATATGCTGGGTTTATCAGGGGTTTCTGCTTTAGTTTTTTTCTTATTTTCTCTTGCTGCTGCCATTTAACAAGTGCCTTTCACCTCCTGTCATGATTCTGAGGCATCCCCAGCCATGCAAAACTGTAAGTCCAATTAAATCTCTCTTTGTTCCTAGTTTTGGGTATGTCTTTATCAGCAGCATGAGAACAAACTAATAAACTATAGTTTCTCTTTACTTCAGATATATAAAAATAATTTTCAAGTTTCAGTGAATGAACATTGACTTGTTGTTATTGTTACCCCAGGATTCTCAAGAGTTCATAACTTCCCGGTCCTATATAATTGCACTTTTAGTGCAATTAGTTGTTACAAGTTGCATCTCTGAACTGTAAGATGTCCAATCAATGTTATTTGAGCAGAACTGAGCTTGCATGGCCTGAAGGATTTTAGTGCAGTTTAAGAACTCTCATGTAGCTCTAAAACCATTGCCAAGGTACTGACCAGGAAATCTAGCTTACCAAGTCTTCAACAAAAGTGTTCTGGCAATACAAAGGTGTCCATAAAACATTATGCTTTTAAACAATAGTCCCTTCTTGAGTACTCTATAAAGTACTTATCAAGAACTAATGTAATCATTAAGAAAATACTGAATTTCCTCTGAATAAGGCTACTTTTGTAATGCAGATTTGGCAAAATTCAACCCCAGCTTGTGTGTGTAATGTGTGCAATTTGGGCAATCAGCAGGACAGATACTTCCTGAAAGTGGATAATAGTATTGCTTATTGCAATTCTAATAGCAATTCTGTAGAGCTTTGCCAAAGAAAACTTATTCCAATCATTGTGAATCTTGCTCTTTTATGTTTAAACCAAGAATAGAGTTCGATATGACTGTGACTGACAAGATAAAATACATACTTGATGCAGCCTTCTTAAGTGTTGTTAAGGTCAATTCAGAAGGTAAAGGAATCAGGCATCTGGATTTTGCTTTTCTTCCTTCCTTTCTTTTCTCCTGTATGCATTACTTTCTATTCTTTGTATTATAGAACCCTGAAGTAATCATAAAAGTTTTCATAAACAGTTAACCTATTTGCTTGCTAGAGAAAGCAGAGGATATTAGTTGTTTATTTTTTCTGATGCATACGGATTTTTGAATCGAAAAGAATAAAGTACAAAGTAATGTTATGAAATTTAATGCTGAGTCTAGTCTCATCCCAATGTCAACTCATGAAGTATTGAATAAAAATAATTGTGGTGTAGTGAATCATCCTATTTGAATTTATTACTGGTTTATTGTTTTATATTTGTGTTATCAGTCACGGTTCAACCAAACACATGGAACCAATGGGAGGGAGGTATATATTAAAAGATAAGGTATTGATTTACAAGTTTGTGGAGATGGTCAAGGCAAGTCTGAAATCTGCAGGGCAGGCTGGAATGCTCTGGGATGGCCTGAAGTTGCTATCTACAGGTGGAATTTCTTCTTGCTCAGGCAAACCTCAACTTGGTCTCAAGGCCTTTCCTCTGATTAATTCAGACCCATTCAGATTATCTAGGGTAATCTTTTCTCAGAGGCAACTGGTTATGAACATTAATCACATTTACAAAAAACCTCCACAGCAACACCTAGGCTAGTGTATTAGTCTGTTCACACACTGCTGATAAAGACATACTCAAGACTGGACAATTTTCCAAAAAAGAGGTTTAATATGGACTTACAGTTCCACATGGCTGGGGAAGCCTCATAATCATGGTGGAAGGCAAGGAGGAGCAAGTCACATCTTACATGGATGGCAGCAGGCAAACAAAAAGAGATTGTGCAGGGAAACTCCCCTTTATAATGCCATCAGATCTCATGAGACCCACCCACCATGAGAACACCATGGGAAAGACCTGCTCCCATGATCCAGTTACCTCCCACCAGGTCCCTCCTATAACACATGGGGATTCAAGATGAGAATTGGGTGGCGACACAGCCAAACCATATCAACTAGTATTTGAATGAATAACTGGGTAGAGCTGCCTAGCCAAATTGACACATACAATTAACTATCACAATTTATGTTACAACATTATTTATTTTCCATACTAGCTTACTAATAATGAATAGTTATATACTTAGTAAAATAAAAAGTTGAAAATTTTCAATTGGTCTCAAAATAATTTTCTGAAATTTTTCTTGTCTATGAAAGCCAAAAGTCTGGAAGACTGCTGAAGCATAATATTCTTCTCCTAAATTCCCATTTCACAGATGGAAAGATACTGAGCCCAGACATAAACTTAATAAATTTTGGGGAATATGTTTTCATTAGTTTTGTTGAATTAAATTTTCTAGTATAAGGCTTACCTTGTTGTCCTTTAGGTTAAATGAGACCGTATCAGTTTCCTATTGCTGTGTAACAAATTATGACAAAGTTTATTACCTCACAGTTTCTATGGATCAGGTGTCAGGGCAGAGATCCTCTATTCAGAGTTTCATCAGGCTGAAATCAAGGTGTCAACAGAGGCTGTGATATCACCTGGATTGCAGGATTGTTTCATATATTCATTTGTTTGTGGTGGAACTTAATTTCTTGTGTTTGCAGAATTGAAGTCTTTGGCTTCTAGGACTGCCCACCATTCCCCGACAATGTGGCTTTCTCCACCACAAAGCATATTGCTTCTTTCAAGGCCAGCAAGAAAGAGAGTCTTTGATGGTTTCAACCATGCTGACTGCTTCTTTCTCTGACCTCTAAATCCTCCTTTAAAGAACTCACCTGATTAGGTCATGCCCACTCAGCTAATCCCTCTTTTCATTAGTTTAAAGTTAACAGAATAGGAATCTTAAAAGGTGTCCATCAAATCCCTTCCAATTTGCCACATAATGTAGCCTAATCTTGGGAGTGATATCCCTTCATATTCATAGGTTCTGCCTATAATCAAGGGGTAGGGGATTATTCATTGCATGCATACAAGAGTGCAGGAATCACAGGAGTCATGTTAGAATTCTTCCAACTACACAGAGTCAATCATTTTTTCAACATCATCTTATTCCTACTTTAACTGGGACAAGATGAAAGAAAGGGGAGAAAATTTAATCCATTTCATGTAACAGTGCCTTTGGGATGACACTGAACTGACTAAAATTGGGTTTATAAAAGTAATAATCACCAAGCATTATTATGTAATAGATTTTATTCAACTAAATCAATGTATAATATAACCTAGATAGAATTAAACTGGAAAAAAAGTACAGAGATTTTTACAAGCTGTAGAGATAATCAAAAGAAAATGGGATAGAGATCATGGGTTGACATTTTTGCATTGTCTCAAGCTACGAAATTGGGCAGATAGATTTGCTAAATGATAAAGTCTCTTCTCATTTGACTGCTATTCAAACATACAATTCCTCATCATGTAATTTTGATAAGAAGTATAGTGAGTCAGAATCATAATAAGGGTAGAAAAATACTTCATTAGAATATGAGTGAGCTCTGCACTCCTCTCAGGGTTCAAAGGTCAGCAGTCCATGGCTCTTTCATATCTGCCTTGGCTTTCATTCTTCTCCTCAGAAGTGGATTTACTATGACATGAAAGAAACGTAAACATTAGGCCTCTCACTTACCCCTTCCAAGGCCCTAGTGGCTTTTGTGATATAAGGCAGATTATATGTTTTCACAAAATATTCAAAATAGAAATATTTTAATGTAAGAGGTTAACACTGCTGTCTCGTTCCATTTTAACCTTCCCTTTATTATCCTTTCCCTTGAGGTAGGTGGCATTGGAACAGCTATGAGCAATTTTGGGATACAGAGAAGTAGAAGTTGACTTGGGGATCCATTTACTTGGGTTTCATGGTGATGTATTATGTGGTTCACAGTCAGTTCTGGGCATAGTTATCACTAAATTTAGTTATTATAAATCTGCCCAGTGTAGCAACAGTTTCCAGGTATATTTTTGCCACCTCCTCTGCTAACTCACCTAGGAATATGACATAAAGATATTAAGAAAATCTTGTTAATGAAGGTCAACAAGTACAAGAATATTTAAAACCCAGCATAGTAAGAGAAAACTTGACATGTTTTAAAATAAGTCAACTCATGTGTAAAAAGAAAACCTGATTGATCATTTCAAAAGCAAAATTTCCAAACATTTACATGATGAAAATCATGAACCAAAAATAATTGTAAACTATTATCAAAAGTTGTTTTTGGTTAACAATACTTAAAGAAAGTCTAAACTATCTTTGTAGTCTCTCCGTAGATAATAATATTATAAATCTGTTATATCAAGATTCAATCAACGAGTATAGAGTCAAATAATAAATGAAAAAAAGTATTATAAAGGTATGTTAAGCGGCTAAATAATATAAAATACTCTTATGTTTCTATGATCTTTGTGTTCTGTGATTTCTTAATGTTTCTTTTCTTATTCTAAATAAATTTCTACTTTTATTTTTAATTTTGTATTACTTTTCTTAAAGAGAACCATCTAGATTCTTGTAAGCCTAAAGCTGGATTTATCCCGAAGCTCTTCCACTTTGTTATCTCAAAGACTATCTTTTGTGGTAGGTTATAACCACTCTCTAATATTGTGTGCTATTTTATGATGAGTATTATTTATTTATTTATTTATTTATTTATTTATTTATTTATTTTTGAGGCGGAGTCTCACTCTGTTGCCAGGCTGGAGTGCAGTGGCATGATCTTGGCTCACTGCAACTTCCGCCTCCCAGGTTCAAGCAATTCTCCTCCCTCAGCCTCCTGAGTAGCTGGGATTACAGGTGCATGCCACCAGGCCCAGCTAATTTTTTAATTTTTAATAGAGACAGGGTTTCACCACGTTGGCCAACATGGGGGACCTCAGTTTCTTGACCTTGTGATCCGCCCTCCTCAGCCTCCCAAATTGCTGGGATTACAGGCATGAGCCACTGCGCCCGGCCCAGTATTTATTTTATATTGATATGGAAAGTTTGTTTTCATATACAGTTAACACTAACCAGCTCTCTAAACTTTGCTGTGGCTTAACTTCTTTGAGTTTCAGTTTCCCTGTCTGTAAAATTGGCATCCAATTGAATGTTTCATATAGCAGTCCCCAAATAAATGTAACTTTCATTGTTTTGTGTCACTATTGCTATTATTCTTACACGTAGTGGCATTCTAAATAAAGTATTTTACCCATAACTGAAGTAGTTTGGCAAAATACGTTCATTCAAAACATGGGCTAGCAAACAAAGGCAAAATTAAAGAAGCATTTTCTGAGTGAGTCATACTTGCAGATAAAGGAGAATGATAACAATGATATGACTCTAAACATAGATTACAGTAGAGCCTCTCCAATATTTTTCCTGAAGTGGCTATCCTATTAGAAAGTACTATGTACACACTGAGTTTTGGCATGTGATTGAATTTATCTAATTAATACTGTTAAAACACTTGAACTGTTATACAAATACAGAAATTGGCTTGGTGAACCTTTTATCTAATTCTGCAGCAGGATAAGTAGAGGTGGTAATTGAAGAATGGAATACGGACATAGGGGGATTGTTCCATAATTCAAAAGGAAGATAGATATTCAACCTGTGTCTTCACAGGGAGAAAGGGCTGTAAACAGCTATAAAATGCACCTATAAAGGGAAATCATTTGAAATAAAATCTATAGCTGAAAACACAATCATATTAATAATTAACATCTGTGTGGCGATTTGTACTTTCTAAGTTGTTTTCACCTATGTGATGTCATTTTTCTGGAAGCATAAAATAGAGATGTGTACAGAGCCTCTGTGATATATTTGGTATATGTTCACTATCCTACAATTAGTCACAGAACTCATGATTTCTATCACTAATTTATTGTGTTATTTCCACTACCACAGAGTGTAGTCAGTTGTGTCATATAAGAAATGAGGAAAGAAAGAGAAAGGGAGGAATCAAGTAGAAAAGAGATATACCTAATGTAAATGACGAGTTAATGGGTGCAGCACACCAACATGGCACATGTATACATATGTAACAAACCTGCACGTTGTGCACATGTACCCTAGAACTTAAAGTATAATTAAAAAAATAAAAAAAAAGAACGAAAGTAGGTTGTCAGTAGGGTTAAATAGGAAACTGGTATTTTAGAACATGCCCCTTGTTGCACAGTATCTCTTAATGGCCGTTCTCACTGAGGATGTGAGCTGGGCTTGGTGGAAGCACTATCACAAGGAGTCCTGCCAGGGTTAGGAGGGTTGCACTACTAAATTGAAACAATAGAAGTGTTTAGAAGAGGTGACCCAAAGCAATATATTTGCTTTACAGAAAAGAAGAAGGGCTGTGGAGAGGGGTCAAGGTCTGCGGTTAGAGCTGGGAAAACAGTAAAGAATGTAAAGTCCAAAGAGCAAGGCAAGAGAGACATGAGACACTGAATATTAAGGTCGTATCAAGAAAGTCAGTAACAGGTTGGAATCACATGTGAGGAAGACTGATGGGAAAAGTGCAGATATAAGGCTTGTGAGGTGAGTATGTGCTTGCCCTGGCCTTTTACACTGTGCTCAGGAAAAGCAGTGTATATAAAAAGTATATATAAAAAGTAGTAGATATAAAAGTGACTTAAAGAAACATTGTGCTTCAGGTAACAACTAAATATTTCTTTAGATCAACAGATTTCTATTATTCTTAGTAGCATAACTCTCTTTAAAATAATTATTGTGCAGAAATTTGATATATAAATGGATAAAAAAAGAATTGATCTTATTTAGGTGCAGGTAGAATCCAAGGTGATTTCACTAGCCAGCCAGCTGGGCCCTCAGCCCTTTGGGATCCCCTCAGTAGCTTTCCTGAGTATTAGAGCCTGTATGGTTTGAAAACTACTCTTCTAAATCTTTGAAGACATGTCCTTATATCAAGTCACATAATCAGAAACTGATATATTTAGACTTTATTAAATTGGTTGTCTATCACTGAATAATAACTTATTCATTTTTTGTTTTTAAAAATTTATTTACCTTTATATGTTTATGGGGTACAAGTGCATGCATATATTGCACAGTGTTGAAGTCTCTGTTCTTAATGTACCCACTGAATAATAATTCAATATGCCCTGATTTTTTATTATTATACTTAAAGTTTTAGGGTACATGTGCACAACGTGCAGGTTTGTTACATATGTATACATGTGCCATGTTGGTGTGCTGCACCCATTAACTCATCATTTAGCATTAGGTATATCCCCTAATGCTATCCCTCCCCCCTCCCCCCCCCCACCCCACAACAGTCCCCAGTGTGTGATGTTCCCCTTCCTGTGTCCATGTGTTCTCATTGTTCAGTTCCCACCTATGAGTGAGAACATGCGGTGTTTGGTTTTTAAAGATCAGCACAAGAAACAACTATGAGAAATGTTGTTTTTTTAAACATTCAGTAGAATTGCCATTAAAAACCTTGTTCATTTCTTGCTTATTTTCTCTGAAATGATTTCATGTGATAAATATATCTTAGAAAATTGGTCTCAGGGACTGGCTATTATTATTTTTCCCATCTGTGATAAAAGGTAAGATTTGATGGATTCTAAACATCTCTTCAGTTATTAAATTATATCATTCTAAACAACTTGGTTAATTAACATTTCTTTTAAACACAACGTTTATTCAGGAAGTTACTTTGGAGAAATCTTTCTGTTTTCCAGGCTCAGTACGCCATCTGTGAAAACAGAGAGGAGTTTGGTTCATTCTATCATTTCTCCATCCCTCCCTCTCCAGTCTCAAGGGTCTGTTTCTGTTCCCAGACATGCCAATCTTATGTCTGTATTAAACCTGTCTCCACTTGCTTTTATCTCTGGCAGAGCCTCACTAGTTGGCACCTCCTCATTTTTCAATTTTGTTTCAAGTATCATCTTCTTAGGGGAAATTGCCCTGCTGTCTCCATTTAAAGTTGCTTCTTTCCGTCTTCTTCACTTTATATCACTTCATGACTTGCCAAACAGTAGGCATTTAATAAATATTTGTTGAATAAATAAAAACATTAAAAAATTTAAAATGAAGAATCAATTCCTAACACCAAGAGCTCACTAATTGGTTAGAGACAAAGCTATAAACAATAATAATATTTTAAGCACTCTAATGAAGATATGTGCTACATATAAACAAAATAAGAAATGTCTATGCTAGGGAATTCTAGGCAAAGGCAATCACATTTGAGCTGTGTTTTGATGAATGGATAGAAGAACATCAAACAAGGAAGTAAGAGAAGAATATGCCAGTAAAAGGGAAAATGTGTCCCAAAATACTGAGTTGGGAAAGATCACAGGGAAGAAGTTCAGAAGGTAAAGTAGCTTCAGGATTATGGAAGCAATGTTAAAACGTGTGGACTTTATTCTGTAACTGCTGAGGATTTTTGAAGAATTTTAAGTGAAAAAGCAACATGAATTAGATCTTTGGGTAAAATAGATTTCACTTGTGTAACAGCGAAGAAAACAAGATAATGGGTTTTGCTGTTTCTTCTGAAGAAAGAGGAGTAGAATTTCAATCATAGGCGGAAATGTTCCCTTGAAGCAGGGCACAGAGCCATTTGCATTAGTGTGTGTGTGTGTGTGTGTGTGTGTGTGTGTGTGTGTGTGTGAAACATACACACAATGAGCTTAAAAACAGACAAATAACAAATCCAGATGACATAATAATTCCAGTAAAAAAGGGGAGAAGGAAAATAATGTCTAATAAAAATAATTTCTGACTTAACAGTAAGTAGGAGCCATTTTTTTCTAGGCTTACCTAGACCGGCACCTATGCCCAGTTGGTCAAACATTTTCTTCCAGATTCACTTGAATGTCAAGTTCTAGGCATAAGCTTAGGGTTTCTCATAGAAACACAAACAAGGCCTGATATGTACTCATTAATGAATTCTATGCATTTTCCTTAGTCTTGTGCGGTAATTATGCTATTTCTAATGGAGAGAATGATCACTTTTCCCTGTCACTACCCAAGAGCATCTCTAGCCTTCTAATTACCATTCAATGTTTACTCAATGGATAATCATTATCAGATTAACTTTCAGTGATGGAATGTGTAATTAAAAATGTAGATCAATAAAATGCTATTATGGCTGGATACATTAACACTTAAAAATAATAGCAATTGAATAAAAAGAATTATTTGTTTAAATTTAACAAACACAACTGTTAGAATTTTCTCCTAGAAAAGATATGAGTTGAAATGTCTGATAAATCTATGATAAAAACTCACACAATAATTACTTCTGTATAAAAGAAACTATGTATAAAATAGGTCACAAAGTTTAACTAACTTCCCCAGAATTTGTGGTGGCTTTTCATTGCAACCCATGACCTGAAAATAGGTTAGGCCTCTTCTAAGGCTGTTTCCTGAAGGGTTCTTTGTTTCTTCTTTCCTTGCAATGTGGATTCTCTCAGGTCAAGACCAGAAATTTACTGAAGTAGCTACTCCTGGACTCCCTGTTTCTGCTCTTGGCCCTCTTGTCTTTTATTTGCTGCACAGGAACCAGAGTGGTATTTTTGAAAACAAATTAGCTCATGTTACTGCTTTTGCTTAAACATTCTTCGTTAACTTCCCATTGTATTCAAAATAACATCCAATGTCTGTAAAATAGCCAATTCCAATATTCTGGGTATTTTTCAATTACAAGTGGATATTGTGTTTGTCAAAGGATTTTTTAGCGTCTATGAAGATAATCATGTATTGCGTTTTGCTTAGATCTATTAATATGTTATATCATATTAATACATTTGCTAATAGTGAACAAATATTGCATTCTTCTCATAAATCTCACTTGATCATTGGGTATTATTTTCTTCTTGTGACATTGGCTTCTGTTAAAAAGGTTTTATTCTAGTTTTGCATAAGTGATATCAGTCTGTAATTTCCTTCCTGTCTTCAACCTTTATCAGGTTTAGGTATTACTGTTAAAGAGAAATTTCAAAAGTTCCTTCATTTTCTAGGCTCTGGAGAAAGTTATACATATCACTGGGGCTATCTTTGGTCTTTGGACATTTGGTAGAACTCTGATCTAGGATTTGTATTTATATGTTTTTTTAAAATACCATTCTCTGTTTTCTTCAATGGAAATTGACATAGTTAAGCTTTCCATCTCTACTGTGGTCACAGCAATCTATAACGTAGTCTCTTAAAACATTTTTGAATGTATTCTGTTTCAATGGTTATTTTCCCTTTGTCATATCTTATTTTATATTTATGTTTCCTTTTTCCCTCGATTAAGTTGACTAGCAGTCCATCTATTTGTTTTTTCTATGCTCTACATATATTTCTATGCTCTTCAAGACATTTGCTTTTAATTTAATCATTTTGTTTCTTACACTTGCTTTGAATGCACCATTTTCTTAGCATTTTAGATAGAAACTTAATCCCATTGTTTTCCGTCTTTTATGGTTATGAATTCATTTATTTGTGTATATTTTAATTTTCCATTGATTCTTATTTAAATATGTCCCATTGATTCTGATTTATTATATTTTCTTATTAATTTTTAGAAACTCTATAATTTTAATTTTCTTTTTCACTCACAAGTCATTTATTATATGATTTTTTTCATTTTCAGGTTAAAGGGCCTGAATTTCTTTATATTGTTATTAGTTCTACAAAATAAAAATCTGAGCACAATAATATTTTAAAGAGTATATTTGAGTAAGAAGCAATTCATGAATTTGGAAACACCAAACTGAAAGAGGTTTAGCGTTCCAAAGGCAAATTTTCAGAAGCAGGTAGTTATGAATTAGAAGGTGAGTACAGAAGCAAATAAATTATTTGATTGTTGCAGTTACAAAATTCCCTTTTTTGGTTTATCTTTTTAGTCCATTTTCTGCTGCTATAGCAGAATACAACAAACTGAGTAATTTATCAAGAAAATAGATGTATTGGCTCATGGTTCTGGAGGCTGGAAAATCCAAGAGCATGATGCTGGCATCTGGTGAGGATTTCATCCCATGGAGGAAGGCATCACATTGGGAGTGTGCAAGACAGAGAGAAAATGAGGACCAAGCTTTATTCTTTTATCAGGAACTCACTGTCTCAATAACTAACTCACTCCCACAATAATGGCATTAATACATTCTTGAGGGCAAAGTCCTCAGTATCCAATCACCTCCCAAAGGTTCCACCTCTAACATTAAATTTAAACATGAGTTTTAGAACATTCAAACCATAGCATGGTTGGAAAGTGCCTAAATAACCAAATGTTAACTGACTGCTTATCAATGGCTGAGGTTGTATAACATAAGCATTTGTCAGAAATGACCCTAGTTAAATTTTCCATATGTTTGCAATTTAAGCAAGGTTAGGGCTATTTTCATTGTTTTTATTGTTTCTGAAACAGGGTCTGGTTCTGTTGCCCAGTTTGGAGTACAGTGGTGTGATCATAGATCATGGCAGCCTCAAACACCTGGGCCCAAGAAATCTGGGCCCAAGGGAGGTGCCAAGATGGGAGGATACCTTGAGCCCAGGTGTTTGAGACAGGCGTGATCTGTGATCATGTACACCACTATGCCCAGCTAATATTTCCAATTTTGAGGGAGAGATGGGATCTCACTATGTTGCCCAGACTGATGTCAAGCCCCTGGACTCAAGCAATCCTCCTGAGTTGGCTTCCTAAAGTGCGGAAATTACAGATGAGAGCCACTGCATCAACCGGTTAAGGCTATTTTTAAAGCCCAGTTGGTTTTGCTCAGGAATTTACAGGCCTAGTACCTATTTTAACTTTGCATTAACAATTCCCCTCTTTTGGTCATTCTCTCAGCAAGCTAAGAATGTGACCAAATAGCATAACATTAATCTCAGTTACCACTATTGATGTAATTGCTGGAACAAAGAGTCAAGTAGATGTTGTTATTATCAATAGGTTCACTAGGGTTTAGCGTCATATAACCACCATCAGCAATTCCATAGTCAGTATTGGTTTCCTTGTCTGACCATGATGGAAATCATCTGACATGAAAGGAACGGCTGGAAAGCATTTAAAACCCTCGAAAGAATACAACACATGGAGTAAGAGGTAAACATAATAACTATAAAGAGAACAATAGCCAAGGATTGAAAAATTCCTCTGAGCAAAGATTACCAGAAGCCAAGATTTAACCAACTGAATAAATAATTGCAGGAGGCAGTGCTTATCTGATTAAAAAAAAATGTACTTGTATTTAAGATCTTTTAAATTGAAGGCATGTCTGATTTGTTAACATAGAAATAACACTTTTCACAATTAGGGCAAAAATTCCTCTCAAGCCGTTAAAATATCAATACAACTACTATTTTGGAGTACTATTGAGGCCAAATTATTTATGCCAGATTGTACTATTTTAGGATAATTCAAAGTATCATTTGAACTTTTTTCAAATGATACTTGCTGGAATATTAATAAGCATGTTTTCAATTTAGAGACTGCCAACTGAGAAAAAAATAATTCTTACAAAATAATGAAATCTGGAACCCCTTTGTATAATTGGGTTTGGAAGATCATAAGAGGCTCATTTGTAGGGGTCGCTTTACATATGAATGACACTAAATTAGTTTGACTTGCATTTAAAAAGTCATATCTGGTCATTTTAAGTAGGAGATAGCCCAAACCACAGCATTCAGATTATTTATGTAGAAAACTTTTATATATGTTGTTGCCACACACAACGAATAATCCAGTACTATTAAAGGAAAAGGATCAAAGTGGATCCTATCACCCACCAGTTGGAGGTGATATAAATGTCATGGTTATTTGTTGTCATATCTGCATCTACATATTGCTAGGCTAAACTTGTATGGTTTAGATAGGAGTAGAAACAAAAAACATTTTATGAATTTGATAAAGTAACCCATGTATGCCATAACCAACTAAGAATTATTGATTTCCTCCTCAAATATGCTTTAGATATTGATATATCCAATAAATAAGACTATCATTTATTTTAGATAGTGGAACTAAAGAAGCATTCCATTTGCCTTTAGAGTTTCCAATAAACCCATGTCTAGTTTTGAGGAGTTGTCTGATAACATGGTTGAGGGTATCATTGTCATGTTCTGATTTTATATCTGTGTCATTATATATAAAAGTCTAGTCTTCATTATTTATGTAAAATCAAAGTGTTTCATTACAGAAGGAGTGTGTAATATAGCCTAGATTAGGTCCAGTTCCATTAAGGTTTTCTATGCCTGAAGATAAATTACCAGTAATAAAATCAATAGCTATAGGGTATCCCTTGTTTCTATTGCTTTTTGCCAGTGCCAAGTCATTTGAGCATAAATATGCCTGCCAAAGTAAGGATACCAAACTTTTTATAAATCCAGCTTCCTAAATTGATCACCCAAGTGTGTACTGGTGCATGTTCTAGTATTCATGGTGGTTGTGCCCATTCATCTAGATGACTACATAGCCAGCAATTGCTTTCACTAATGAAAGTAGCTATATTTTCAACAGTAGACTATAGAAGATATGCAGTATAAATAGTAAAATTTCCTAAAAAATAAGAGTTTGAACATTTTTTGTTAATGTAAAATAGAAACAAGTTTTAGTCAATGGAGTGGAGTCAAATGGACTCTTGTTCCCCATATTGGTAAAGCTGTCTACTTCATGATGTCATTTGCTTCTAGGGAAGGCTCTCCTTTGCATAGCCTTAATTTTAAGTCATCTGTATTTAACAAGTACAAAAGTCTAAGGGAATTCTCTTTATTTGAGAGACATTGACCCAAGGCTCAAGACCCTGAGATTTTGCTGCAGTGTGTGTGGTAAAAAGAACCAAATATAGTATCTTCCAGTGATGCTCAAAGGCAGTTTTTCTGTGGTGTTATATCCAAAAAGACCCAATCTCCAGATTCTAGATAATGAAAGGCCTGATCACCATTGCTAAATGGGTCACAGAAACCATCTTTCATTTGGTGAAAATATACTTTGGAATAATGCATCAAGGTCTTGCAGTATTGAGTCAGATTTAACAAGTGCAGGAAAAACATGGTGTTCCATTATAAATGGCATAGGTATTTCATTAATTATTTTATAAGGAGTCAGTTTGTTGTACCCATAGGAATTGATCTAATTGCCACTAAGGTCAGTGGTAAAACTTTTGGCTTAGGTAATTCAGTCAACTCTGTTAGCTTAGCTAATTTTAGTTTTAAGATTTTACTTTTAAGATACCATTTGCTCTTTCAATCTTTCCAGAAAACTGAGGATGATGAAGGCAATGTTAGTGTCATTGGGTTTGTAAAATCTCATTTAATTTTTTGATAATCTGTCCAGTAAAATGGTATGCCCTATTGCCAGAAATTTATTTAGGGATGCCCCACAAAGGAAACAAATATTTTAATAGTTTTGCTACTGTTGTGACATCATTCTTTCTGCAAGGAAAAGCCTCAATCCCTCTTTAAAAAAAGGCTCTTAATCACAAGAATATATTGATATCCAATTGAAGTTGGCAATTGAATGAAATCCATCTGCAGATGTTCAAATTGTCCAGCATATGGTAGAAATATGCCACTGGAAACCTTCAGGGTTTTTTTTAGTATTATGAGTTTAACCAGTCAGACATTGGTTATAAACCATTTTGACTGCTTTAGAACAATCACCCCATAAGTTCTTTTTCATAATTTGAACCGTTTTGTCTACTTCGTGATGGGTTGTGGAGTAAAGAACCTTTAACAGTAGCAATTTTAGGAACTCAGGAAGCATGAAATGACTGTCTAGGCCTTCAGTAGGTCCCATTTAACATTTAAATTTGCATCACTTTATATGCTATTTTTGTTGTTCCAATTCAGGTGCACAGCATTTTTTATTGAACAAATTATCATAAGTGATCTGATTGGGATACGTTTTATGAAGTTCATGAAAATTAAATATTTTAATAATTTTAGTGCTCTCTGACCTGATATGAAAGCCTACTAATGCATTTCTTTCATATTCAGGTTGTCTTACAAGTATAAGCATCAATGTCAATAATAGCAACCTATGAATGTAGCAGAATAGCTGAAAGAAGTTTATCCTATTGAACCCCATTTTTGGTGGGGTTCCACTGGAAGTGAGAAATTCTCTGTTTCTGTACTATTCCAAAATCACAGACAACTCCAAAGGCATATGTAATATCTGCATACATATTAATCGATTTATCTACAACAAGCCTAGTAAGAGCATATAATTCTGCAAGTTGTGCTAAATAAAATTGTGAGAGTGTTTCCTTTTCTATTAGTTCATGTTAATTAGTTACAGCATATCCTTCTTCATATTTCCCTTCTATAATTTTTGCATAAGATCCATCAACATAAAGTATTAATTCAGGATTACCTAGTAGTTTCCTGTAAGTCAATGTGAAGAGTCAATAGTTATAATGTCACACTTATAGTCTTCTCCATCTTCAATCAAAGGCAGCACAGTGGTAGGGTTAAACAGAATATAATATTTGAGATGGAGATTAGAAGATAAAAAGAGATGGATTTCATATATTGTTAGTCTACTTGAGGAAAAATGTTAGGTGTAATTGCAATTTAATAAGTTTTTGACTGCATGTGGAACTTGTAGGTAAAGCTCATTCTCTAATACTAAGTGAGATTAGGTTTCTAACAATCTAGTTGCTGTGGCCACTGCTTTTAGACAAATTGGATATGCTCTGGCCACTGCATCTATCTGTAGGACATAATAACCAATAGGTTAATGTCATTGTTCCTGAGTTAAGGACTTCCAAGGCTTGATGATCACATTTGTGAACAAACAAGGAAAAATTATTTATTACTTGGGAGCCCTAATGTTACAGGTTGTTGCAAAGCTCAAAACCTTTTAATTGTCTTTGAGTTGTCAGACTAAGAAACCCTTCAATTATCTTCACTTTTTCAGGTAAAAGGGAAATTCATTCTGTTGTCAAACTATGTCTTCAGTAGTGGACCTTTTATGAAGAGAACTGAAGTTTTTCCATAAAGGCCATATGACCCTTGTAAGCTAACTGCTGTAAAAGATAAATTGAATCTTGATAAAAGAAGATAACAGTAGATCATGAACAAATTGAATTAGAGTGGAATTTCTAGAAAATTTTACAATTGACAAGTCTTAGTGTAATGCCTGAAAGAAATAAGATGGGGTTTCAGTGAACCCCTGTGGCATTACAGTTCAGGTACATTGCTGATTTTTCCAGGTAAAGGCTAACAAGTGTTGGCTCTCCTAACAACTGGAATACTAAAGAAGACGGAGCAGAGTTGTATCACCGTGAACGACTTAGAATGTGTAGGCACATTAGATAACAAAGTGTTAGGATCTGCAACCACAGAAAATATGCATACCCTAATTTTATTTATTGTATATATGCCTTGAACAGATCTCTAACCCCATCCATTCGATTTTGTTTTGTTTTGTTTTGTTTTGTTTTGTTTTGTTTTGTTTTGAGACGGAGTCTTGCTCTGTCACCCAGGCTGGAGCGCAGTGGCGCGATCTCGGCTCACTGCAAGCTCCACCTCTCGGGTTCACACCATTCTCCTGCCTCACTCTCCCGAGTAGCTGGGACTACAGGCGCCCACCACCACGTCCAGCTAATTTTTTGTATTTTTAGTAGAGACGGGGTTTCACCGTGTTAGCCAGGATGGTCTTGATCTCCTGACCTCATGATCCACCCTCCTCGGCCTCCCAAAGTGCTGGGATTACAGGTGTGAGCCACCGCGCCGGGCCCCATTCGATTTTTTAACTAGTAAAATTGAAGTCTTACAGGGAATAACAGAAGGAATTGTAAGTCCTTGTTTTACTAATCTTCCACAATAGGTGAAAGTCCTTAAATTGCCTCTGACTTTAGCAGGTATTGGGGCAATTTAGGCAATAGCTTAGAATAGTCTATTTGAACTTTCATATGTTTAGCACATTTAATTTTTTCTATGTCAGCTGAAGAAGAAGCCCACATATATTTGGGTACTTCAGAGAGATCTGGTTTTCCCGTAAGTTTTGGGTTCAACATTATAAACTCCTGTTTGTAGGGAACAGAACAATTGAGGTTCAGGAGGGCCAGGAAACTCTAGGAATAATTATCCTTCTGAAGAGAATGTTATGCGTCCTCTCAATTAGGAAAGCATAGCTCATCCCAGTAAATTTACTGGAATGATATTACATAGTAGGAAGGCATGCCTTTCTGAGAATGGCCTAAGAGTCATTTGGACTAATTTAGACACAGGAATTCTCTGACCTTAATTTGAAAACACTACCACATAAATATTTTCTTTACTCCAAGAGATTTGTTGATTTAGTAGGCTGGGGTTTAAAGTGGATAAGGTGGCTTTGGCATCCACCAACACTATACATAGTTCCCTGTTGATTGAGATCTTAGTTTCCCTATGTTTATTTAAGGATATTATGAGAATAACTTAGTGGAAAATCTCTTGTAGCCCCATCCGTGTTGATTATTGTTTCAAGAGTCAAGCTCTCGGGAATTTCATCTAATGCAGAAACAATCTTTTCACTGTTTTATTTCAGCATTTGATTCTTTTCTTGTTCTAAAGTGCTCTCAAAATATTCAGCTATGGGGACTGCTTCAGTCATATCAGTGACTTCCCATTCAATCTTATGGGTTGTTGTTTTTTTTTTTTATTTTGTTTTTATCAGGTCATGCAGCTCTGGTCAAAGCCAATTAATGAATAGGGCCATTAAGAACCATTTCAGTTCCACCAGGAAATACATGCTGCTATATTTTAAGACCAGAGTGTTTAACAACTAAGACTTCCAATTTAGCCCTGAAATCAGAAAGAAATGTATCTCTTTTTTCTATTTATATGATTTAATAATGTACCAGTCAATCTTTTCTGGGAAGACAATGGGAATATCTTCTATAAGTTTTTCAGGCAACTTAAGAGCCATTTCTAGAAGTGTCTCTTGAAAGGTCATCAGCACTTTCCTGAGGCTTATCCCATCTCCCTGTAGTTACCTATTTATTTTCTTCCCCAGGTTATAATATCATGTGCATAAACTGATTCAAATCAGGGATCACCAGGTTATAGGCCCCTATGAAGATTCTAAATTCCTCAGTAATTCTTTAATGGATTTTCTCTAATATTTGAAATATCTTTTGTTATAGCTCTGAGTTTAGTTTTTGACCAAAGAGTAAAAGTAGTTACAAGAGCCAGATCTGGCTGTTCTGAAGATCTAGCCTTATAAGACATTAAGCTAACTGTCTTTTTCTCGTTATTCTCGGGGCAAAAGGATAGTTGAGCAAAAGAGTTAGTAAGTTCAGGGCAAGAAGATAGTTGAATAAATGGGTTAAAGGTTCAAAATAACCTTTAGAGAAGGTAGAGGAGGATAAAGGGAGAAAAATGCTCATAGATACATCAGTTACCATATAATTTTATTTATTTTCACCCTCAATTTGTTGTTTAAGTTTTAGATGCCTTATTTCCCTTTAGTAAAGGGTCTT
Organism: Homo sapiens; assembly: GCF_000001405.40. Lineage (NCBI taxonomy): Eukaryota > Metazoa > Chordata > Mammalia > Primates > Hominidae > Homo > Homo sapiens. The sequence continues at coordinate 21,828,012 of NC_000011.10, read as the reverse complement.
TTTAGAGAGTCAATTTTGTAATCAGTAAGTCTTTTAGAAGACTCTATATCCATTACAAAATGCATCCCATTGATACTGGGGTGTTCAAGGTTGCTTCCTTGCCAATAGATTCAATAAATGAATACTTTTATCTCAAATAAAACTTCTCCACTGCAACTCTAAATCATCTCCGGCAAGGTAGGTACAACCATGTCTCTAGAAAGGTGCAGGCTTTGAGTCCATAATTTTTGAACATAAAATTAGCTAGCATTCCAAATAGAGAAGTCCCTGACTCCTTAATGCTTATAAACCCATCACACTCAGTCCTTCTAAGCTTTTACCTACCCAATGCCTCCAACTGGAACCAGTTTAGTTCCTGTTGAATACTCAGTCCAATCTCCACACCAAATTGGAACAAATTTACTCAAACTCAGAAAGCTCAGGATGTAAAATGTGGAGCACAGAATAAGAAAGACACTTATTCAGGAACTCCGGTTGCAGGAAGAAAGCAGTGGGCACAATGAGCTCCGTGTGGACCTTTCACCTGGCTCCATGATACTCCCAGGAGTCACTGGTGATTGCCTTCATATCTCACTTCTGCCACCAAACTGTAAAAGAAAACTCTTAGGCATAATACAATTTTAAAGAGTTTAAGTAAGCAATTCTTGAATCAGGAAATGCCAAGCTGAAAGAGGTTTAGTGTTCCAATGACAAGGTGACATAGACAAGTATTTACAGGGTCAATGGTTGGTTGTAGTTACAAATTGCCCTTTTTTGGTTTACCTTATTGAAAAGTCTCTAGTCACATAACCACATGTTAGCTGGCTGCTCATCATTAGCAGGACTTTGTTTCTGTCTAACATAAGCATTTATCAGAAATGTCCCATGGAAAGTTCCACTTACGCTTGCAGTTTAAGCAAGGTTCAGGCTATTTTTAAGGTCTATTTGGTTTTGTTTGCCAGGAATTTTTCAGGCTTGGTCTTCATTTTAATTTTATTTTAACAGTTCCTAGTTTTATTCTATTGTGATACTAGTGTATGCTGTTATAATATTTCTACTTTATAGAACTTACTAGTTTTCTTAAATTCCCCACATATGATTATATTTTGTGACAGTTCCAATATTCTTAAGATGAATGTGTGTTTGCTATTATCAGGATGTATACTTCAATATGTAGCCATAAGGTTGTCCTTACTGATTAGGTTGATCAGGTCCTCTGTATTCTTACTTGCTTTTTTGGCCACTGATATGTCTTGTACAGAAAGTGGAATTTAAAATTGTTCTTATATTAGTGTATTTTTATCTATGTATTCATGTATTTCCTGTAATTTTTTCTTTATGAAGATAATTACTATCATTTTGTGTATATAACTTATATAATTATTCTAAATTATTGGCTTTAGCATTAGTAAAAGCGTCCTTTGTTGAATTTGATACTTCTTAATGCAAATTACACTTTGAAATCAGCAAAATAATGTCTACTTTATTGTTTCTATTTGCCTAGTATATATATTTTCCACGGTTTTGTTAGCCTTTTTGTATTATTCTTTAGACATGTCTCTGGTATACAGATTATAGTTGGGTATTTCTTTGCTAGACAATTTTGAAAATAATTTTCTTTTTAATAGGTGACTTCAGCCTATTCAAATTTATTGATATAACTGATATATAGAATAATTTTAAAATTTTCAAGTTAAAAAATACCTTAGTGACCATATAGCTAAAAGGCCTACTAGAAGTTTTAGTATGTTACATTAAAATAAGTGCAGAAATTGAATCAGACTCTCTCTGGACTCCCAAAATTCTAAATAAGGATGATAGAACCCCTTATGTTTTGGTAAGTGTGTGTGTGTGTGTGTGTGTGTGTGTGTGTGTATGCATGTGTGTGTGTATCTGTGTGTGTTTCTATGTATGTGTGTCTGTGTGTGTGTATGATATTTTCATATGCATCTTTTGAGCTACTCTACACACACACACACACACACACCCCTCAATAATATGAGCTACTTGGCTTTATGTACAACCTCCACCTCATTATTCCTCATTCTGCTGCCACGTGCATACAAACATCACTAGAATGCCAGGCACATGGTAGGTGGTCAGTAAATATTTGCTGTATTAATTAATAAATACATAAATAACCCAGAGAAAGAGCCCTCTTAAAAGTTAATTATATTTATTAAATTATGTGCATTCATCCCTCCAATTGCCTGTGGAGTAAAGTTATAGATATATACAATGTATTTATCTTTCTGGTTTGGGTGGAATATAGTCTCATTGTTTTAATGCATCCTGTTTTCATGTAATATTTTCTTTCTGTAATGGTTTCTAAGGTCAGACACCTAGTAACTGTCCGGCTATGAACAGTCCAGCTTATTAAACTGCACTTTCTGTGTTTTTAACTTTATCCCAAAATCATATCTCATTTGAAAAACTATTTAAACTGTTGCCTGAGAGCTTCAATAAAAACATTTCTACCACACTTGGCATATGATTCAGATTCCAGGCCCAACCCTACTATATTGACTAGCATAATTGCTCTTTTTAGGGAACCAAGGGAATTTGAAATAATGTTGATTTATTGGTGCCTTAGAAAAGCACTGGTATCACAGGCTTATTAGTGCAACTCCCTGGCATGCTTTCTCCCAGTTTCTGGTGTTCTGATTTAGTTTCCAGAAAGAATACAGACGCTTTAACTTTGAATCTGGATCATTAATTTCACTAAGTCATTTGGACAGCAGGGCACTTAAAGCTTCCTCAGCAATTTGAATGAAAGAAAACTTTGAAAATGCCTCAGTCGAATGCTTCTTATTCTAAACTGAAAGCTTTCATTAGAAATAGACTACACTGTTCATGGAAGATTTATGAGTATATGACTGAATCATTAATGACAGATATGATGATGATATGTGCAGCTTTCCAAAAGGTACAAGTGAAAAGCATCGTTTTTATTTTCAATGTGCCATGCATATATCATCAATTTAATTAAAATTAAAAAACATGCTTGTGAAGGAATTGCTATAGTATTCAAGTTGGGTGTTCCTATGAATACTTAGAGGAATTAAAAGTTATAAAAAATAAAGCAGTGACTGAAAACTATTTGGGTTATCATTTTTAAAAATAATTAAAATAAAATAATTTTTCTATTAAAAATAAATATTATTTCATTGTTTAAAATATTTAGAAAATACTGATTGACAGAAAAAGAAGAAAATGTCTCAGCTGCTTAAGATTTTGGTATTAAAAACTTGTAGAACTTTTTAATAAATATATATGTAGGGGCCTTCACAGTTTGTTTTAAATTAGAGTACCCACATCCATATTCATATCAGGGTGGACATTTTTCATGTTTTGATTGCCCAGTATCAGCACATTTTTTTCTATATTTGAGGGATTCCTTACCTTGTAAGTACTAACTAAAGGCTGATCTTGCCTGCGATTATTTGGCTGGAGACACTCTCCTCACTTTCCCAGATTTTTGACCAACATGTTTAGAAAGGTGTTCCTAAGCTTAGCTAATCATCATAGTTCATCCTAGAGCTACTGACATAAGAGGAAGTTTTTTCTTGCAACAACAATAAAGGCAGCAGGTCCTTCACTTTTCTACTGATTAAAATGGTGGCAATTCAAGCTGCAGTGTTTTAAAACGAGGATGTGTGAGTCCCTAAACCTTGTTTTCCTTTCTCAAGATTGTTTTGGCTGTTCTTAATCCCTTCCATTTTCATATAAATTTTAGTATTAGTTTGTCAAATTCTTCAAAAAAAATTCAGCTGAAATTTTGATAATGTTTGTTTTGAATCTGTAGATTAACTTGGGGAGTGTTGCTATCTTAATAATAACTACGTCTTCTGATCCAGAAACAAGGTTTGTTCCACTTCTCTAGTTTTTCCTTAATTTCTTTCAACAATGTTTTATAGTTCACAGCATATAATTTTTTCACTGGCTTTGTTAAATATATTTTTAAGTGTTATATTATTTTTAATGCTATTGTACACAGAATCATTGCAGATTGTTCACTGCTAATATATATACAGATAATTGATTTTTGTATATCAATATTTTGTTCTGCAACCTTGTTAAACTCATTTATTCTATTTTTTACTAGTTTCCTTTGAAATTTCTAAATATAAGATAATGTCATCTGAAAATAGTTTAATTTATTTCTTGTTAAGACATAAACTACCTTTTATTTCCTTTTCTTGCTTAATTATTTTGCCTAGAACTTCCATTACAATGTTAGAAAGAAATAGCAAGAGTCAATATCTTTGTATTTTTTATGATCACTCAGTCATTCCCCATTAACTATGATCTTAGTCCTAGATTTTTGTAGATGCCTTTTATGAGGTTGAGGAAGTTTCTTTCAATTCCTAGATCACTAAGTATTTTTTATTAAAAATGTGTTGGATTTTGTCAAATGTTTTTCTGTATTTATTGAGATACTCATGCAGTTTTTGTATTTTGATACAGTGTATTACATTGATTTTCAGATGTTAAAACAAACTTGTGTTCCTGGGGTAAATCCCACTTTATCATGGTACATCATTCTATTTACATGTTCCCTGGATTTAGTCTGCTATTTTTCTTATGATATCTTTATCTGGTTTAGGATAATACTGGCCTTATACAACAAGCCTGTACTTTTTTTATTTTCTGGGAAATGTTTAAAGTACCAATTGAGTCTCTTGATTTATTAGTTATAGGCCTATTTACATTTTCCATTTCTTCTTAAATAAGTTGTCGTTGTTTTGTCTTCTTAGGAACTTGTCCATTTCTTCTATCTAGTTTGTGGGTATACAATGGTTTGTCATATATATTCCCTTATGATCCCTTTTACTTCTCGAAAGTCATTAGTGCCCTCTTTCCTTTCTGACTTAGTCTTCTACCTTTATTGTCTTGGTTAGGTTAGCTTACATTTCATCAATTTCATTGATACAGTCAAAGAACTAATGTTTAGTTTTGTTGATTTTCTCTTTTGTTTTACTATTCCATGTTTCACTAATTTCTCCTTAATCCTTATTATTTCTTTCCACGTGCTTGCTCTAGCATTAATGTGCTTTTTTTTTTTTTTTTTGGTGTTCAGTGTCAACATTAAAGGTTAAGTTTTCTATGTGTTATCTTTCTACTCATTAAATATATCCAACATAGTTATACATTTCCCTGTAAGCATGGCTACTTTCACTGCATCCCATTGCCTTTTGATTGAAGTGTTTAATTCATTTGCATTTAGGATAATTTCTCATAAGTTAGAACATGATCTTCTCTTTTGGTTTTATTTTCTATTTTGTTCATGTCTTCTTTGTTCTTCTATTCCTTCTTCATGGTTTTCTTTTAGGATAAGTGAATATTTTCTTGTACAATATTTTTATTCCTTTTATAAATTTTTATTTATTAAAAATTTTTAGTGTTTCCTTTGGGGGTTACCATATATATCTTATCTTACCCTAATCCTCTACAAATTTTTACTAATTTAATTCCAATGAAATACAAAACATTGTTACTATATAGGTCTATTTCTTCTTCCTCCTTTATGTAACATTATTGATATACATGCTACATCAGTATGTGTTACACATCCAACACTCTGTTGTAAAAATTATTATTTTATATAATTTTAATTTTTTATAAAGCTGAGAGAAGAAATAACATCAAGCATATAATTGTAGAGTTTGTAATAATAACTTTCTTATTTACCATATCTGGTTTTCTTTACTTGTTCCTGTGAATTCTAGTTACTCTCTGGTGTCATTTCCTTTTTCCAATATAGCTTTGCTCTCACCCACCTCCTTTTGCTTTTATTGCCAAATATTTTACATTTCTATATGTCACAGGCTCAACAGTAAAATTATATACACATTACTTTATATAATTGATAATTAAAGAAATTAAGAGATGAAAGGAGATGAAATGTAATTACACAGTCTAATTGTCTACATAATTACCTTTACCAGTACTCTTCATTGCATATGTGTGCACACGCATGGATTTGAACATTTCTTTTTAGGATCATTTGCTTTCTGAAGAACTTTCTGCAGTATTTCTTTTCCCTTTTTTTTTTTTTTTTTTTTTGAGACAGAGTCTTGCTCTGTCACCCAAGCTGGAGTGCAGTGGCATGATCTCAGGTCACTCCTACCTCAGCCTCCTGAGTTGCTGGGATTACAGGTGTGCACCACTGTGCCTGGCTAATTTTTGTATTTTTAGTAGAGACAGGGTTTCACCATGTTGGTCAGGCTGGTCTCGAACTCCTGACCTCGTGATCCACCTGCCTCGGCCTCCCAAAGTGCTGGGATTACAAGAGAGAGCCACCACACCTGGCCTCTTTAGTATTTTTTGTAAGGTGGATTTGTGAGCAACAACTTCTTTCAGTGTTTCTTTATCTGGGGATGTTTTTATTTGCCTTAATTTTAAAACCTTGTTTTGCTTTTGCTTAATATAACATTCTTGCTTAAAAGTGTATTTTTCAGCACTTTGAATATGTCACCCCAGTGCCTTCTGGTATCTGTTATTTCTGATGAGAAATTAACTATAAATACTATCGGGGTTTCTTTTTATCTGATATGTTATTTTTTCTCTTGGTACTCTCAAGATTTTTTCTCTCTTCCTCTCGATATTTTTACTGAAAAGTGTCTAGATTGAATCTCTTTTTGAGATGGGATCCTGCTCTTTCACCCTGCTCAGGCTGGAGTACAGTGGTATAATCGTAGGTGACTGTAATCCTGAACCCCTGGGCTCAAGTGATCCTCCCTCCTCAGCCTCCAGAGTAGCTAGGACCACAAACATGTACCTGTGTCTGGCTAATTTTTTTAATGTTTTATTTTTTATACAGGTGGGTTTTTGTTATGTTGCCCAGGCTGGTCTCTAACTCCTGGCCTCAAGCAATCCTCCTGTCCCTGCCTCCCAAAGTGGTGGGATTACAGAAATGAGCCACCATGCCTGACCCAATCCTTTTGGCTTATTTTAGGTAAAGTTTCTTGAACTTCTTTGATGTTAGCTTTATAATTTCATCAAACTTGGGACATTTTAAGGTATTATTTCTTTGAATATTTATTTTGTTCTTTTCTCCCTCTCTTTTTCTAGTATTTCAATTATACATAGGTTTTTTCTGCTTAATATTTGCCTATATTTCTTTGGGATTATATTCATTTTTCTCACATCTTTTTTTCTCCCTCTTTTCTGAGGATAACATAATCTCTATTAAACTATTCAAATCTATTGTTGGGACCCTCCAGTGAGTTTCTCTTTTATGATTTTACTTTTCAAATATAGAATTTTTATTCAGACCTTCTATGACATTTATCACTTTACATTCTATGTTTGGAATTTTTGTCTTTTCTTGTGTAATTATGGTTTACTTTTATAACTTTATTTCTTTGAGCATGATTATAATGGCTTCTTGGAAGTTTCTGTCTGCTAAGTTTTACATCTGACCCCTCTGACAGGCAGTTTCTATTGCCTGTTCATTTATCATCATAATTTTTATTTAATATGCCCATTTTAGATAATGTATTTTGCTAACTTCCTACTGACCACATCCAGGGCTTATTGTTATTGGCTTATCTATTTGTTTAGTTCTTTGGTTAGGCTATTTGGATAAAGCCTATTATCTCCCACAATGTGTAGACTTTATCTTCACTCCTCAAAAAGTAGAGTGTGGGGCATGTGTCTAGTGTTTGTGAGATTACAGTGGTGTTAGCAGGGTTCTTGTTACCTCTATTTTTGATCTCTTTTTTAATCTGTGTGCTTCTGTTGGTATAACACTCAGCTATTAGGCTAACTAATTACTGGCTTATTGCTCTAATTTTTTCAGGACTGTGTGGAAAAGGAGTGTTCTTGACCTCCCAGCTGCAGAAAGTTTGATTTTAGCCTCTCCAACATGAAGCTTGGAAAGATAAGGAAATATGGCAAATCGCCTCTCCCAGGGAAATGCTATAGTCCTTAAATGAAATGCAGGTGTTGGGGACAGAAGGAGCCCTGTTTTTTGGCCTCATCTACCTGGACTGAAATTTACACCATGGTGAATTAAGATAGGAAGAGTGAGTCGTAACTCAAGTGCCACAGAATTCTGATGAAATTCAACAGATTTTCTTGAATAAATGTTTATCCATTTGTTTTACGTCCTTATGAAAATTTCCAAAGATTAACTAGTTGGATGTTTTACATTATAGTTGGTTCACTGCAGAGAAATTCATGTGGGTCTTCACCATTCTAGAAGTTGTCATCTAGCTTGTGTCTGTCCTTTTGATAAACGGTCATTTTGCTTAAATTAGCTAGAATTGGTTTCTATTATAATAATTGCAGCTAACTGTAATACTTTCAGTCATGCCCCCTACCACCTGCACAAAAGGCTTACACAGAAACACAGAAAACTGCCAAATTAAGACCTATCATTACTTTATGTATAAAATATTTTTGTTGAAATATGTGACCTTTGCTTAAAAGTTATAAATTCTCTTTAATATTGGCAATTGAGTATTTTTTGTTTCAGCAAACTTTTTTTTTTTTTTTTTTTTTTGAGATGGAGTCTTGCTCTGTCGCCCAGGCTGGAGTGCAGTGGCGCGATCTTGGCTCACTGCAAGCTCCACCTCCTGGGTTCAAGCAATTCTGCCTCAACCTCACAAGTAGCTGGGATTATAGGTGCCCACTGCCATGCCTGGCTAATTTTTTTGTATGTTTAGTAGAAATGGGATTTCACCATGTTGACCAGGCTGGTCTCAAACTCCTAACCTCAGGTGATCCACCTGCCTCACCCTCCAAAAGTGCTGGGATTACAGGCATGAGCCACTATGCCTGGCCCGGTTCAGCAAACTTCTAAAAAGACAAAAGTGAACTTCAAGATATAGTTTCTTTCCACTGATGCAGATGTCATATAAATATAAGATGGAATAATTCTGTATATAAGATACATATTCTGACTTTTTTCGGCTAATATATTGTGAATGTTTTATAATTCAATAGTCACTAATGTAAAATTTTTAACTTCAGATTCCTAAATGCACTTGGGAAATCATGAACATTTTCGCATTTTGTTCTTATCTCTGGACATGATTTTAGGTAAGTCCATGTACATTTTAGAAGAGGAGAATGCCCATAATGTTTATCCTATTTTTACAATGGTCTGTGACTCTCAAATTTCTAAGAATCATAATGCACAGTGACAGTGACCATTAAAATAACTGAATAGCATTTCAGTTATTGATATATGGCAATTTATTAACCATTTCTGTATACAGGAACTAGATCGGTTCTAATTTTTACTCTTATGACTAATGTTGTCATGAGTAACCATTCTTTAGCTAGATAGTTGAACAAATCCTTCTTAAAACTAATTTCTATGATTGAAATTGCCTACACAAAGGATATGCACATTTTAAGGCTTTTGGTATGTATTGCTAAATTATCCTCTAGAACGGGTGTATTAGCTCTGTTACCAGAAAATCCTACAAATTGCCTAATTTTATAGACTAAAAATGGCCTATGGTGTCTGTGGTCATAAACTAGTGAAAAAACTGACCATCATAATTAAACATATTGAGTTATGTTTCTCTCTTACTATAGATATATGATGCATAAACTTCTGTAGTTGCACTTCTGCACCTTTAGTACTAGTAAAAAGCCTAGCTCCAATTGCAAAAAAAAAAAAAAAAAAAAAGCCTCTTAATAATGGCAGCCAGCCACATTCATTCCATTGCGTACCTGCTGTGGATCCATGCAGAGTGGTCTGGCCTCATCATCCTTAGAATTTTCCATGGCATACTCTGTGAGGCAGCTATCTCTCAGCTACACCACAGAATACATGCATTTACAACTTTGGTAGACATCCCCTGGCTTCCACCTGCTGCTGGGATACAAACACTTCTATACCATCTCAGATCCTCTCCTGTGACAGAAATAATGTCAGATAAATGGAAAGTCAAGATTGGGATTTGGCTACCTGCTTGTGTGATATGTTGATATCACTGGGAAACATTTGTAAGCCTCCAAAACTATTTTTTTGGTCCAAGATACAAAATCTTTTCCCATGCAATACTCATCTTGAAGAATTGTAAGGAACCAAGTTTATGATTTATAGTTATTCATATTTGAAGTGATTTGTGGTTTCCCTTCTGTGTGGGGCTGGACACAAAATGAAGCCTTCTGATGACACTGCACATTGCAGTTTCTGGACTTGAATATTTTCAGTTTATGGGTTTTCATTTCTGCATTTGAGTGCATCGGTATTGCTGTTGAGAAAGTTTTGAAAATAGATTTTACTTATTTTTATCTCTTTCTCTTTTACTCTCACACTTGCAACTACTTTCTGGCGTTCACAGGCATTCCATCATATGTGACTTACGGCATTTATTTGGTAACTCTGAATGATATCCCTATTCAATAAATGTTACTTGGATAACTGGCTAGACATATGCAGAAGATTCAAAATAGACCCCTTTCACTATACACAAAAATCAACTCAAAATGAATTAAAGACTTAACTGTAAAACCTAAAACTATAAAGACTAGAAAAAAAATTCTAGGAAATACCATTCTGAACACTGGCCCAGGCAAAGGCTTCATGACAAAACTCTGAAAGCAACTGCAACAAAAACAAAAATTGACAAATGGGACCTAGTTAAACTAAAGAGCTCTGCATAATAAAAGAAACTAGCAACAGAGTAAACAAACAACTTATAGAATCGGAGAAAATATTTGCAAACTATGAATTCGACAAAGGTCTAATATCCAGAAACTATAGCAAACTCAAACAAATCAACAAGAAAAAAAAATTTAAAAAATGGTCAAAGGACGTGAACAGACACTTCTCCAAAGAAGACATATATGTAGCCAACAAACATATGAAAAAATGCTCAATATCACTGATCATCAGAGACATGTGAATCAAAATCATAACAAGATACCATCCCATACCAGTCAGAATGGCTATTATTAAAAAGTCAAAAAATAACAGATTGTGGTGAGATTGTGGATAAAAGTGATACCCGTGTCCATTACACTGCTGGGGGGAATTTAAGTTAGTTCAGCAATTGTAAAAGGCAGTGTGGCTATTCCTCAAAAAACTTAAAAAATACTCACCATTCAACCCAACAATTCTATTATTGGGTATATACCCAAAAGAATATAAATCATTTTGCCATAAAGACACATGCATGTGTATATACATCACAGTACTATTCACAATAGCAAAGACATGGAATTAACATAGTTGCCCATTGATGTCAGACTGGAGAAAGAAAAGGTGGTATCTGTTTATCATAGAATACTATGCGCTATAAAAAATGAGATAATGGCTTTTACAACAGCCTAGATGGAGCTGGAGGCCATAATCCTAAGTGAATTAATGCAAGAACAGAGAACCAAATACCATGTGTTCTCTCTTATAAGTGGAAGCAAAACACTGAATACACATGGACACAAAGAAGGGAACAAGAGACACTGAGACCTGTTTGAAGGTGGAGGATTTGAGGAGGGTGAGGATTGAAAAGACTACTTATTAGGTATTATGCTGATTACCTAGGTGACACTAAATCCCCATGACACACAATTTACCCATGTAACCAACCTGCACATATACCCCTTAAACCTAAAATAAAAATTAGAATGAAAAATAAATTAATTGGAGACATATTTTATAGTATTTCAATGGAATAAGCTGGACTACAACAAATACATGTATACTACAAGATAAAGAATCTCTGTTTTCCTGTCTTGAAAGACAAATAAAACACTGTGAATATCTGACGTCTGAATCCAAAAGTTGGGGATGTAAAGCAAAGTTTAAATTTCTATTGTTTAGGACTAAATATGAAATAAAATTGCTTAAAATCCTCCTGCATGAGAACATTCAAATGTTTATTCACAGTATTTTCATTATTATCCTGACCCATAAATTGCTAGATGAGGCAAATTTATTCTGAAAATTGACATAAATTAAATTTCATTTTGTGTCTCTTTTACAGACATTTGTGAAATTTAATTAAATCAGTTGAAGAAGAGTAAAGACTTCCAAAGACTCAACTGTCAATAGGGCATTGTGTTTGAGAGCACAGCCTCTGGAATGGTGCAGAACTGGATTTAAACCTCAATTCTGCCCAAATCTACCTCATATCTACATTATATTAGTTACATTATCTTTCTGAGTCTATTTATTGATATATTAAAGAGGGCATATCAACATGAACCTTATAAATTGTTATAAAAATTGAATAAGATAATTATTTAAAGTGTTTAACATGATCCCTGGCACATAAGTGGCTCTCCTTACGTGGAAATCAACATCTTGGCACACAGTGGGTGCTCAGTGAAGACTTGTTTAATAATAGAATAGAATATCTTCCTAAAGAATGCAGGATTAAGAACAAATTTTCAAGTTTGTGTTTAAACATTGTGCAGAATATGAGAAAAAGGTATCAAAAGGACATTTTTTCCCACTTAGTGCTGTCCGTTGCTGCAGTCTCATGCATTGAGAACTTACAAATTCCTGAAAGATTTTTCAGTGGCACTATTGCTAATCTTTTGCTAGTTTCCTACTTCCTGTGGTAGGAAGGACTCTGCAATAACCTGAGATCACATAACAACTTGGCTGCTGCTGCCTCATATTTTAATTGCTTTTATCTTGCATCTCTGTATCTGAAGAAAATCAATATAAAAATCTATTGACATTCATATTCATATGTATTTTTAGAAATTTTAAAACACTTCACCCACATTGTTTCATAGAATACTGGTAACGGCCTTGCAAAGTCTCCCATTCATAGATAAAGAAGTTGAGCATAAAGTTGTGACATGGTTGAATGTCTACAGGAATAAGCAGAGCCTGTCTCCTAACTCTTGATTCCCTGCCTGTCACCTCCAGTTTAGCCATGACACTCCTCATGCTTACCCATAAAGCAATAGTTACTTCTGGTGTGTTTCCCTGGAGGGCTTTCTCTGCACAATAGTCAAATGTCCAATCATAATCATTCCTTTTCAGATTAAAGCTCTGATCTCTCTGGGAGATCAAAAGATAGATGTCCTCGAGAGAACCAGCTTTAAAACTTTAACTTTCCTTGTGATGTTAATATGACTGAAGAGTCTCAGGGAAAATTGCAGGTGAAACAAATACATGAGCATGAGAAGCCAGGGCTTATTAGAAGGCTTGAAATTCAGCCACTGTTTCAATTACAAATTTGGCCCAGAGTCATAATTCCCCCTTCTTTGTGCATATTTTCATAAAACTCTATGTAAGCTAAAGGCTAAAAAGATATGTTAATATTTAATGCTTTTCAATTTTGGACCAAACTGTTAACCCCTGCTGTCAGGTTCCAACCCAAGCTGGGGTTCAACTGGAGGGGTTGGAAGGTGGCGGGTAGCTGAAAGAACACTTGAGGGACCATAGGTAGATAGATATGGCTTTACTCTCTCTCTCTCCATCAGCTTTTGTCTCGGCCACCATCTTCAGCCCCAGCCCCTCTCAGTGCTGGCTCCATGGCTTCTGCCACCCCCATGCCTGCAGCTGCACTCCCTGGTGTGCTCGCCACTTCCTGGCTCCCCATTGTCCACTTGCAAGGCAGTCAGGAGCTCTGTCTCTTAGAGTCAGCAGCGCAGTTCAGTTATGTTACTTACAGACAATAGTGGCTCAGAGCCAGGTGATAAGCTCACCCATAACATGGTTACATAACTGTGGTTATATAATGCATGAGACTGTGTGCCTGCACTCCAATCCTGCTGTGTCATCTTGCATCAGATGTTTACCTCAACCTATTCTTGACTGAAGTACAGCCATTTTCCTCACACTTTATCTGCTAGGCCAAGGGAGGTCTTCTAGTAGGGAGATGCACTCACGGGGCAGAACCCCCAGGCCAGTCCCCCAAGGAATGGTCAATCATGGAGGCCATGTATTAAATACCCAAGAAGTGACTTATAAATCATACCGTAGACTCTCCCATCAGGGGGCTACAATAGCCAGCCATCTGCAGTGGGGGGCTTGGAGGGTCCATGGCCAAAGCCAGGTTTTTGTTCCCCTTCCTTTAGGGGTGTTGGGGCAGACAACGACAGGTTCCATTCATCCCCATACCTGGTTGGAGGAGGTCATCCTTCCTCCCTTAGGTCTTGCCACATGTCTTGGCCCCAAATGGGCCAGTGACCAACTAGCCAATTCTGTATCTTCCAGGTATTTAACCACAAGGTTAAGCCTCAAAAAACTGCCCAACTATTGGTGCAGATTACCATAGGTGTCACCTCCTTGGTGATCACCATCCACACTGCTCTGAGTTCAGCCCATTGGCTACTTTGTTCACACCCAGTATCAAACCATATGCTATCAATATAAGGCTGGACCACAACAGTGGTCCAGGTAGAAGTAGTACCCTGGCTGGACCCATCCATATATCATGCCCCATCATGGATGGGGGCGGGGAGTGGCCCTCTTTAAACAGTTATGGCTCAGGGTCTAAGGGTGCCTCAGGCTGACCCATGGCCTTATCTTGAATCAGGACTACAGGTCCCAAGACTTCTTGTAATTCTATTAAGAGTCTCATACTCAGAGTACTCCTCTGTTCTAAGTAGGCACCCCAATTTGCTAAAGTGGATGACTGTGCCATCCCATTCCTGGGGGTTGTTACCCATGAACATACCCACCTCGCTATTGGGTAAGTTGTCTACATGATGACCATAGCCTGTCCCATTACACTCTCATGAGCCTGAAGGGCAGCATATGAAGCTGCTAACTGCTTTTCTATTAATGTGTACTGGAGCTCAGCTCCCTTTCCAAGTTGGGATTAAAAGCCTACTTCTGTTCTAAAGTGCTCCATGTACTGCTATGGGCCCCATCCAAACCCACCTGTTGTCACATGCACATCAAGTTCAAATGGGTGCTCCTGGTCAATGATTTGTAGGGTCTGTGCTTGCTGAATAGCCCCTTTGGATGCCAGAAATGTTGTCTCAGCTTCATTGTCCCAAGTAGCCCCCTTTTCTGTCAACCGATACAACGGTTTTATTATTTGAGCCAAATAGGGCACAAACACCCGGCAATACCCCAGGAGGCCCACAGAGGTCTGCAGCTGCCCAACTGTGGTGGGCCAGGGATATGACTCTTAAGAATTTGGCAGGCAATCCAGGTCCTTGGACCCTGGATTTATGGTTGCCCAACCACGTGTGGGCACAAGAGGGGTGTTGTCACAAGAGGGGTGTTGCTGCTTCTAACTCTGCAAGAGAATCAGACATTAACATAATATCATCAACATAATGGAACAGGTGGACCTCCTTTGGACATTTCCAGGTGGCTAAATCTGTGGCAACGAGACCATGGCATATGGTGGGTCTATGCACATAGTCCTGCAGCAACATTGTAAAAGTTCATTGTCGCCCTTCCCATGTGAATGCAAACTGTTCCTTGCTCTCTAGAGCAATGTCAATTGAGAACAATGCATAAGTCAAGTCCACCACATAGCGGTACTGTCCCTATTACATTGCCAAGTAATCCATCAAACCCATGATAGATGGCATAGCTGCCAAGTAGTGCAAAATATCCATTCCCGGCGGGCGCGGTGACTCACGCCTGTAATCCCAGCACTTTGGGAGGCCGAGGCGGGCGGATCACGAGGTCAGGAGATCAAGACCATCCTGACCAACACGGTGAAACGCCGTCTCTACTAAAAATACAAAAAGTTAGCCGGGCGCGGTGGCGGGCGCCTGTAGTCCCAGCTACTCCGGAGGCTGAGGCAGGAGAATGGCGCGAACCCGGGAGGCGGAGCTTGCAGTGAGCCGGGATTGCGCCACTGCACTCCAGCCTGGGCGATAGAGCGAGACTCCGTCTCAAAAAATAAAAAATAAAAATTAATAATAATAATTATAATTCCACTCCCAAAATGTAATTCAGGTATGGGAGACACAAACACAGTGTATAAGTGGGGAGCCAAGCAATTGATGCCAACGTGCAAAGATACAGGTTACACTCACTGACCAGCCTTCATACCCATATATGTATGCAGCCTTGCCCGGAAACTTATCCCAGTTCCCATAGGCAAGGCTATAATCTGTGCTAGTATCTACCAGTGCCAGCACCCACTGTACCCTGGTAGGGGACCAGTGGATTGCCAAATTCATATGTGGCCTCTGGTCATCCAGTGTCCCACCAAGCTGGGCACCTCAGCCAATTCCCTAATCAAACACAAACGGCTGTATTCCTCCACCCATCTGCAAGTAATCCTTTAGCTGGAGCACCCAGGCAGGACTGGGTTGAGCAGCATCATCCTGCCCCATCGTGGGCATTTACTGGAATTGCTGCTCCGGGGACCATTGCCTCCACAAAGTTAACAGCACTTCCCAGGTGGGTAGGGGTTTCCCTGAATGCTGCCAACATTGTTTGCCTATGCAACTCAGCGGGGGGTGTAGACACTATAAGAAGGCCTACCTTTGGGTCTCAAGTAGCTGTTCATGCTCTATTTTCTGGTGGACCAAGGGGCAAGCCCACAGAGGGGGTTTTTCCTCCTTAGTATCAGACTAAGTGGGAGTTTCCTACCTGCACTGCATCCTGCAGGGACTGAGCATGCACTTCCCTTAGCACAGCAAAAATGCCCACCTAACTTTGCCGGCAAAGACTCACTCTTTCTTGGTGCACTGTGCTTCCAGATGCTTCAGTGCTTTCTCCATGCTCATGGGGGACTCATCCACCACCGCCCATGTTTCCACCGGGGCCCATCCAAGGAGCACGGACACATAGCCGACCAGGGATTATTGGAGACTGAGGGCTCACTCACCTCAGAATGCTGCTTAGTATGCCAAGTGTCAGGTTCCCACCCAAGCTGGGGTCCAAGGGGAGCTGGTGGATAGGTGGCAGGTAGTTGAAAGAACACTCAAGGGACTGTAGGTAGACGGGATATTGCTTTCTTCTTTCTCTCTCCATAAGCCTTTTTCTCAACCTCCTGCTCTGACTGCAGCCCCTCAGCACCGGCTCTGTGCCTCCTGCCCACCCCCATGCCTGCAGCTGCACTCCTTGGTGCACTGGCCTCTTCTTGGCTCCCCTCTGTCCACCTGCAAGGCGGCCGGTGGCTCTCTTTCTCTAAGTCAGCAGTGCAATTCAGTTATGTGACTCACGGACAATAATGGCTCAGAGCCAGGTGATGAGCCCACCCATAACATGGTTACGTAACTGTGGTTATATAATGTATGGGATTCTGTGCCTGCACTCCCATCCTGCTGTGTCATGCTGCACCGGATGTTTACCTCAGCCTATTCTTGACTGAAGCACAGCCATTTTCCTTATACCTGCTTTTCTCCCTTATTTAATGTTCACAACACATTCACAAGGTAGCATCATCTTAAGGGAGCAGAGAGAAAACGGGGTTAACTAACTTGTCCAAAGTCATATGCCTTTTAAATATCGGAGTCAGGATTAGAATCTAGATTGGCCTAAATATGAAACTCATGATTTGTCTAAGAACATTAAATTGCTATTGTGTTCTTCCTGGGACTTCTTAGAATCTGAAAAAAAATAGAATATTGATCACTATAAGAGCTCTTTGCCATGAATCTTAGCAGTGTTACTTGACTAATATTAAGTCATATTTTGGACTGTCCCTTTCTTGCCTCCAAAATGAATAGATAATGCCTCTTCTCTACCCCCATAATGTATGCAGAGATGGAAGTGAAGATGCACAAAGTCTCGCTCTTCTGCTCTCATTTGACTCTCATTGTCAATCAACTTCAAAGCATGGTTCTTCGTATTAAAATATCAAACATATTCATATCCTAAAATATAAATTTGGAGAAACAGTTTCTCAATTGATATTATATTGTATGACCACTTCAAAACAGATTTTCTATCAAAACTAACCAAAAAACAAACTAACAACAATTAAATAAAAACCCATGGAAACCACAAACATTTCCCAAAGGTTAGATATTTAAAAGCTTTGAAGGCACCTCCTTGTTGAGAGAACAGAGCTCTGATTCCTAGTTCTGTGCTATGTAACCTAAACTCCCTTTCTTAGCTAATTCTCTATTCACTCAAATCCAGCAAAGAACAAATAATTTATTTATTTTTAATATTTTATATACATTCTTCATCACCTTCATGGTTTTTTTTCTCTCTCTTGCTTAGAATGTCCTTATTCCATAAAAACACTGACCCTTCCTCCATAAAGACAAATCCAGCTCATCTTTACCAGGAAGTAAGACCACCTGCATCATATAGCTTAATGCTGAGGATTGAAAGCTGAGCATACCTGTGTCAACAAGACTTAACTATTCCAAGAAAATGTTAAGCCAATAAACAACTTAGCTGATTGCTTCATGATATTCCTGCATATCAGTGTATCTGAATAAGTAGTGTGCTCATCTGAGCAAATGTTTCTCATAGGATAATGGTTGCTCAACTGGGCAAATAGCTTGCTTCTCAGACAAACAATTTACTTATTAAGATTTGCTTCACTGTGCTGTGTGCACCAATACTGAACAATTACATTGTTTCATTTTTCAGTTCAATTTTGGTACCTACCCTAAAAGACTTGATTTAAATTACTGGAGGTTAGATCCCAAACTTTATAAATATCTTTTGACTGATCTCTCCTGGTAAGAGACCACTGGGTCTCTGCCAAAGTGCTGTATATTACTTTACTGGGTTTCACACTGCTTTCTTTATTGAAGACTGTTATCATGCTGGGGTTTTTTTGTTTGTTTTTTGTTTGTTTGTTTGTTTGTTTGTTTTTTGTCTATAGTCAGCAATGTTGTATTTTATTATTCAGAATTTTTTCAGAGGCAAGCAATAGAAACCCCAACTGAAACTTACTTAAAAGAAAAAATGGCTTTTTTTTTTCTCATGTAACTGAATGACCACAGAAAAACATAGAGTCAGGGTTTCTAAAGGGTATAAATGTTGTCACCAGAATTCAGCTCCGATCTCCCAAATCTTATCTCCAAATGGCTTCTTCTCAGGGAAGAATGCTTATTGTAGAACATGTTTGCATTTGGTTCCAGACTGAAATCCTCCCTAAGTCTGAGTTACAGAAGCAGACTTTGAGACAAAAATTCAAGTCCAAGTACTTTACTTTAGAGGTACAGGAAATGCCAGTGGAATGTAAGACAGGGAAAATTTTTTTAAGAAGCCAATAATGTACATTATAACATCAACTATCAATGTGGGCAACTAAAGCTTGACTTTGTAGGGTGATTTGGTGCAACAGATATCCCAAATTTGTACCACCTTAAACCAGGAAGATTGAATATTTGTACTCCAACTACCATCGATTATTGTTTATAGCAAGCATATTCAGACTGATGTACCTGAGGTTAGAGCAGACATATATTACTTTAGAGAAAGTCTTTCAGAGGCAACCATATGCAAACATCTGTAACTGGAAGTTGCCAGACATACAGTAAAATCAGAAGGGCTAGAGAATATTGACAATGCACCTTAAATAACTACTATATGCATACCCCAAGTCTTCTGCATGTACAAAAGTAAAATCATTTTCTTAGGACTAGCTTAAGTCATTTGCCTGCAAGAACTGATCATTGCAAAAACTAGGGAGAAAGTGATATCAGTAATAAATGTCAGAGTAACAACCTCCAAACATCTCATCTTCAAAAATCCATGAGAACACTGGCAGAAATTTTCAGTCTTTTTCAGAACTCTGATGATTAACCAAAAGTTTGCAGATATCTAGGGAGTGTTTATTCAAGGAAAATTCTCAATGTTGATAAGAACAGTGAGATTTGGGGGGTTTTAACTATCGCTATTTTAATTCTTCTCATCTGAGCTCCACAGCAACATAGAAATCCAACCACCTACAATCATGGAGAAACCCAGCAGCCTGGAAGCCACTGGAAAGAAAAGGATGAGGTTAAATCTACTTCAAGGCCCTCCAGATAGTTTTTATTATTTTACATGTTAAACATAAAGGTAAACACAGGGTTAGCACATAACACAGTGATTCCATTCATAGTATGTACACCAGATAATTGAAATTATATATTACTACAAAAACTTGTACATGAATGTTTCCACCTTTGGGGCCCAAAGGTAGAAACAACTCAAAAGTCTGCCAAATGGTAAGCAGATGAACAAAATGTGGTACATTATTTAGCCATAAAAATAAATGAAGTACTGACACATAGTGCAACATGAATAAACATTGGAAAAAGTATACCAAGTAAAAGAAGATAGACATAAAAGGGTACATATTGTATGATTCCATTTGTATGAAATGTCCAGACAGGAAAATACAAAGAGATGGACAGTCAATTAGTGATTGCCAAAGGCTGATGGTGATTAGGAATGAGGAATGACTGCTAATAGGTACAAAGTTTCTTTTGCGGGCAATAACATTCTTCTGAAAATTAGATATTGATGATAGTAGCACAACTATGTATCTAGGCCGAAGACCAATGAACTGTGTACTTCAAAAGTTTTATGCTGTTTGTATTATATATTCATTTTTACAGAAAAAACATCCTGTTTTATCAGGCCTGGGTTAAATATTCACTCCTGTGGCATGAGAGAGGTTTCAACATATGCTGAAACTCAGTGGTGACAAAGGAAATTAAAGGTGCTGTTAGCAGAAAGAGGAGCAATGGGTGCCACCCTAGCAAAAATAACTTTCCTTGACATACATTTTCCATAATTCAAACCTATTTTTCAAACTATAAGAAAGTTCTCTCCTATTCTCAGTTCCATATTTAGAACTTTATTTGTACACCCATTGATATAGTTTAGCTCTGTGTCCCCACCAAAATCTCACCTTGAATTGTAATAATCCCCACATGTCAAGGGTGGGACTAGGTGGAGATAACTGAATCACAGGGACAGTTTTCCCCATGATGTTCTTGAAATAATGAGTGAGTTCTCACAAGAGCTAGTGGTTTTATAAGGGGCTTCCCCCTTCACTCAGCACTCATTCTCTCCCCTGTTGCCCCGTGAAGTGGTGCCTTCCACCAAGATTGTAAGTTTCCTGGGGCCTCCCCAGCCATGTGGAACTCTGAGTCAATTAAATTTCCTTCCTTTATAAATTTCCCAATCTGGGGTATTTCTTCATAGCTTCATGAGAACAGACTAGTACACCCATCAAACTCTCTTTGCCCTATACCTTTTATTTATGGTTGTTTATATGTGTGTTTTTTATCCTTTTTATGCAATGGATAAAAATTTCATTTTATAAAATGATGCAAAGAAACTAAGGTTTTTCTGCATGTGTGATACAATTTAATTTAATATATGGCAAAATTATTTATTTCATATAAGGTGAGAGAAATAATTTTACTTCAGGGCAATATCTACATTCTGGATGTAGGACAGGGCTGACATATCATTCAAAAGTGTTTAGATGATAGAAACCACCAGCCTTTGATGTCCTTACCACATTGACACCTGTTAAGATCCGTGGTAGTCTAAGATTTCTTTGTATTCTTGGGCATTGGATCACACCTGTTCCTCCTGACATTCTTTTGTATCTGACAAATTATTTCAAGGCTCCTTCAGGGGGCTCTCTCCATCATTTCTGGGTGGGTACCATAAATACTTTTTGTTGTTGTTGTTTTGCTACTCCTATGCCTTGTTGAAGGTTGTGACACTCTGAATCTTTCTAAGGCTTCCTCAGCCTAAGCCATTCACATTTATTTTCATTTATACTCAATTCTTTGAGAGAGCTCTATGTCACTGTTGCCAATTCTACTGGCAGTAAAACTGAGAGGAAGTTCATTATAGGTGAAAATTTTAGTGGATGAATGAAGTGAGGACACCTGTATTACTTATCAAAAATATTTTGCAGAGATTCCTTTATTTTCCTATGTTCTAGGTGAATTTGCTGGATAACTGATAAGCCACCGTAGTCACCTAGCACTGGTAAATACAGAGAACTCAGGTTGTATATTACCTGAGTACCTTTGACAATTGGCTGACTTTCTGAGTTGCTAGTGTGGCTGAGCCAGGGGAGGGAACAGATACAAACAGTTTTCTTTGTTGTTATTTTTGCTTCATGACAGCTTGAGAATGTTTTAAAGTTAATAAAGTCCTATTTTAGATTTAATCATTACAGAGAAAAGTGTTTCTCAATATTTACAAAGCTTGATAAGATTCTAGCCATATGCACTACGTGTTTTCTATTTAAAGATTTTTTTCATATGTGAAAATTATAGACAAATTCTAAAGGTCTCAACCACTTTTAGTGAATTCTAAATGTGAAGACCAGACACACAATTTATTATGCATGTAAACTTAGCCAAGCATCTTACCATTTCTAAAACTCTTTTTATTTTTATTTTTTATATTTATTTCTTTTTGAGACAGAGTCTTGCTTTGCCCAGGCTGGAGGGCAGCAGCAGTGATGCGATCACAGCTCACTGCAGCCTTGATCTCCTGGGCTCATGTGATTAAACTCCTGAGTTGCTGGGACCACAGGTGTGCTCCACCATGCCAGGCTATACTTTTTTGTTTGCTTTAGAGCAGGGGTTTTCACTATGTTGCCCAGGCTGGTCTCGAACTCCTAGACTCAAGTGATCCTCCTGCCTTAGCCTCCCAAAGTGTTAGAATTTTTAGAATTTATAGCCACAGCATCCACCCCTAAACCTCTTTTAAATTGATTGTCAAGTGTAAATAATAATGATGTTTCATCTTGTAGTTAAAGATTATAAATTACATATTGTTCATAAATTAGCACATTTTATTTATTTTTATATATATATATATATATATATATATATATATATATATAGTAAGACTTCAATGAATAGTAGTTATTATTTGAGTGAATGGGAGGATTTATTAAGAAGCATATTAGTACTTTCTTTTCTTGATGTATGTTTGCTTTGTTTTATTGGGTTTCAGCAACAGTATATAATTAATCTTCATATATCCCCATCTAGTCATTCAAAGAGAATCTAGGCTATTTTTATAACATGTGACTTAAGTAACAAGGGTAAAACAATAGAGCTTTAAAGCTGAAAAGTATTATTTTGGAGACTGATATGGTTTGGCTGTGTCTCCACCCAAATCTCAACTTGAATTGTATCTCCCAAAATTCCCATGTGTTCAGGGAGGGACCCAAGGATAGGTAATTGAACCAAGGGGGCTATTCTTTCTTGTGCTATTCTCATAATAGTAAATAAGTCTCATGAGATCTGACAGGTTTATCAGGGGTTTCTGCTTATGCTTCTTCCTCATTTCCTCTTGCTGCTACCATGTCAGAGAGGCTTTCACCTCCTGCCATGATTCTGAGGCCTCCACAGCCACGTGGAACTGCAAGTCCAATTAAACCTTGTTTTATTTCCAGTTTTGGGTATGTTTTTATCAGCAGTGTGAAAACAAACTAATACAGTAAATTGGTACCAGGAGTGGGGTGTTGCTGAAAAGATACCCAAAAAATGTGAAAGCAACTTTGGAATTGGGTAACAGGCAGAGATTGGAACAGTTGAAGGGCTCAGAAGAATACAGGAAAATGTGGGAAAGTTTGGAACTTCCTAGAGACTTGTTGAATGGCATTGTCCAAAATCCTAACAGTGATATGGGCAATAAAATCCAGGCCAAGGTGGTCTTAGATGGAGATGAGGAACTTGTTGCGGAACTGGAGCAAAGGTGACTCTCTCTTCTTATGTTTTAGCGAAGAGAGTGGTGGCATTTTGCCCCTACCCTAGAGATTTGTGGAACTTTGAACTTGAGAGAGATGATTTAGGGTATCTGGCAGAAGAAATTTCTAAGCAGGAAAGCATTCAAGAGGTGACTTGGGCACTATTAAATGCATTCACTTTTATAAGGGTGGCAGAGCATAAAAGTTTGGAAAATTTGCCACCTGACTATGTGATAAAAAAAGAAAAACCCATTTTCTAGGGGGAAATTCAAGCTGGCTGCAGAAATTTTGCATAAGTAGCAAGGAGCCTAATGTTAATCCCCAAGACAATGGAGAAAATTTCTCCAGGCCATGTCAGAGACCTTCATGGCTGCCCCTCCCATCATAGGCTTGGAGGATCAGGAGAAAAACCTGGTTTCCTGGGTCTAGCCCAGGGTCTCCATGCTGCGTGCAGCCTAGGGACTTGGTGTTCTGTGTCCCAGCTGCTCCAGCTGTGGCTGAAAGAGGCCAACATACAGCTTGGGCTGTGGCTTCAGAGGTTGGAATCCCCAAGACTTGGCAGTTTCCACGTGGTGTTGAGCCTGTGAGTGCACAGAAGTCAAGAATTAAGGTTTGGGAACTTCCACCTAGATTTCAGAAGATGTATGGAAATGCCTGGATGCCCAGCCAAAAGTTTGCTGCAGGAGTGGGGCCCTCATGGAGAACCTCTGCTAGGGCAGTACAGAAGGAAAATGTGAGGTTGGTGCCCCCACAAAGAGTCCCAACTGGCGCACTACCTTGTGAAGCTGTAGGAAGAGGGCCACTGTCTTCTAGACGCCAGAATTGTAGATCCACTGACAGCTTGCACCATGTGCCTGGAAAAGCCGCAGACACTTAGTGCCAGTCCAAGAAAGCAGCCTAGAGGAAACTGTACCCTGCAAAGCCACAGGGGCAGAGCTGCCCAAGACCATGGGAACCCACCTTTTGCATCAGCATGACCTGAATGTGAGACCTGGACTCAAAAGAGATCATTTTTGGAGTTTTAAAATTTGACTGCCTCGCTGGATTTTGGACTTGCCTGGGCCCTGTAACTCCTCTGTTTTGGACAATTTCTCCCATTTGGAATGGTTGTATTTATCCAATACCTGTACCCCCATTGTATCTAGGAAGTAACTAGCTTGCTTTTAATTTTACAGGTTCATAGGCAGAAGGAACTTGCTTGGTCTCAGATGAGACTTTCGACTGTAAACTTTCGGTTAATGCTGAAATGAATTATGATTTTGTGGGACTGTTGGGAAGGCATGATTGGTCTTGAAATGTGAGGCCATGAAATTTGAAGGGGCCAGGGGTGGAATGATATGGTTTGGCTGTGTCTCCACCCAAATCTCAACTTGAATTGTATCTCCCAGAATTCCCACGTGTTGTGGGAGTGACCCAAGGGAAGGGAATTGAATCATGGGGGCTGGTCTTTCCTATTACTATCACTCATAATAGTGAATAAGTCTCATGAGATATGATGGGTTTATCAGGGTTTTCTGCTTTTGCTTCTTCTTCATTTTTTCTTGATGCCACCATGTAAGAGGAGGCTTTTGCCTCCTGCCATGATTCTGAAGCCTCATGTGGCCATGTGGAACTGTAAGTCCAATTAAACATTTTTTTCCCAGTTTTGGGGATGTCTTTTAAGCATGAAAATGAACTAATACAGAGATCCTCTAGTATACAAATAATCCTTGCATGTTAGCCTGGATTAATTGGTTGTTTTTGCACAGTTCAAATGTAGAGATTAAATATACAGTAATGCTTCACTTAACGATGGGGATATGCTCCAAGAAATGTGTCATTAAGAAATTTTGTCATTGTATGAATATCATAAGAGTGTACTTACATAAACCTAGATGGAATAGCCTATTACACACCTAGGCTATATGGTAGACCCTATTGCTTTTAGGTTACAAACCTGTACAATGTTAGTGTACTGAATACTGTAGGCAATTGTAACACAATGGTAAGTATTTGTCTATCTAAACATAGAAAAGGTACAGTAAAAATATATTATAACCTACAAAGCCACCATATATGCAGTCCATCATTGACCAAAATGTCATTATGATGTGCATGGCTGTATACATATTTCTGAAACCAAACCAAAGGTTTGCATGAGAGAGTGCTGGGATCCATTAACTGTGTCCATAAATAATCCAGGACAGGAGAGAGATATCAGACAAGCCATATATTTGCTATTTCTTGATCCTAGGCAACCTAATTTTTAAGAAGGTAATTGAAATTGACATGGATAAAATGTCACTTCCAAGACTACATGGCTAGTTATCGTGTAACTTAATTTTCCCTAAATCTCACCAGCCTGTGCATTACAATTATTTTGTGGTGTACTATGTAAGAAAATATTTTCATATTATTTCATATTTTTCTACTTTGGCCATCTCATCAAGGGCTAGTCCCACAAACCCTTAGATTGGAGCTCTTTATCAGTGCTGCCAGTTCTACTGATGCCTTTATTAAAATTACTGCTTTCCCTCTGCAAAGCTGCCAGATGCCCTAGTGTTTCCTTTTAACTTTGCTTGTGTCAGGACCACAGTGGTTTCTTATCTCTCCCTGGTATCTGTATACCAAATTACCACCCCTGCCCCTGCTCTCTCTACAACAACAACAACAACAACAAAGCAACAACAAGAAAAAGCCTGGAGTTGCCATCACTAAAAATCTTCCAAACTACCATCCCCAAATTCTTATAAATTTTTATAAATATCACCTGAGTAGTAGAGGAACGTCTCAGTAGACTCCAAGCCAATTTCCCGCTAAATGCTCAGCTGAGACCATCTTGGCTATATTAGCACAGATAAGAAATACAGTCATGCCTCCTGTGCCTTTACATCATACATTTTTCTATAAAAAGCTCTGTGACTGAGCATGTAACTATGGATGTCAAAAGAAAAAATTAGCAAAAAAAATTAAACATTTCTTCAAAATGGAAACAGAAAATGGCTGACCAGTATATTGGAATACTGAATTTTTGGTACCCCTACATTTTCAGACTCTCTCTCTCTCCCTCTCTCCTTCAGAAATCTTTTTGTTGAGAGAGAACCTGATTTTCAGAATTAAATGTCTTCCCCCTTTTTAGTATGTTATCCATGCAATTATTAAATATTTCAACAACTAGCTTAAAATCATTTTCAAAGAGATATTGACTGTTGTTTGTGCTTTTGTGTTAGCTTGGAGAGATGGCTTACCATAGAGTTTTATAACTGAGTGCCTTTTTACCAATGACAAAGACAAAGCAATAAAAAGTATGTTTATTATGTTTCAAAATTATTTTGCTGATTCCTGACTCCTCTAAAGCAACAAGGTCTAGGTTTTGGTTATCCTTGTCTGATCCATTCAGTCTCTCAAAGCTGAAGAACAATCTGAGGACTCTTTCTCAAAGATCTTTCTCAACATGCTGGGTTACATGGACTTAGTTTTAACTCAACCTGCTTTTTGTCAGTAACTTACAGAATATAGGAAAACTCTATGATCTTGTTCTGTCAGCCATTTATTTTCCACAGTCTGAGACTCCTCTCACTCAGCAGGGGAGGAATGGAGTTCCAAGATCAAGGATACTTCACTTCAGTTTCTGTTATCTCTCTCAAGAGTGAATCATAGAAAATATCTACTAAACTCTGCTTTTCATGTCTTCTCTTTGCAACACCAATTTGCTGCTTTATAATTATTCATCCAAAGTTTTAAAGTTAGGAGATAATCTAGCCTAAAATAAAACATCAAATTTCAAAATCTCAGTAATACTTTGAAAAAAGAACGGCTTCATGAAAACTGAGTAAAATGGATTTTGAATGACAATAAAGATATAAATTTTTGAAGCAATTAACAGACAAAAATATGAACATAAATATTTTTACTTAAAAATCAGGTAATATGCAGGATCATTTTTCAAATATACTAAAAATAACCAATTATCTTCAAATGTTAATTTTTGTAACTGCCTGCTACAGTTATAAAGGAACACAATAGGCCCCGGTGTGTGATGTACCCTAAAACTTAAAGTATAATTTAAAAAAAAGGAACCCAATAATATCTGGGAATAGGAAATTAGAAATTACACAGTTAAGTAATTTAAACTATATTCTATTAGGTAGAATTTTTCTCTACTAATTGATACTGTCCTTGGCTAGAGAATTAAATTTTAATCTCAAAATTTATAAAAGCCAACTTTTGTCTCTAAGTTTGATAGTGAACTTCTGTTTCCATGCTTAAATAAAAAAGTAAATCTATATAATTTAAATGGCTCTGAAGTAAAACCATTCTTTTTTTTTAACAAAAGTTGCCTAAAATTAAATAATTGTGCCAAGTTTGCTTCTTGAAATCAATTTCAGTATACTAATAAAAACCTGAGATAGTGACATTTTATCTTTTGGAAAATACAACTATGCACGTAAAACAATGAAGACAATGACACTAGAGTCAAAGCATAAATAAAACTTGTGCCTGGATAACCTATTTTCTCCTTGATTTGTACTCACTTGCAACATCTCAGAAGCACAAAAGGCGGTCATTCCAAATGAAAAATGCGAAAAGACCGACTATGGAAACAGGATTTGGAATAGTGCAAAGAAATGGAGAAGAAAGATACTGAAACTGGGTCACTGACATAATGAGCATGCTTGTTCCTTTTTTTTTTTTTTTCGTCGCCAGGAAGAATGAATTGGAGGAAAGTGAATATTTTGATGGCATTAAGGAAGAAGCTGAGCTTTGCATGTATTTCTCTGCTGGCTGGCTCCTTATCCTACAATGGACTGCCCACAAATCAAATAATAATCAGATACGATTTGATTTATGCTTCAAATCAAATCAGATACCTTGAAGGAAAAGTACTACTTAAAGACTTGCTTGATTTTTAAACTAAGCAACGTGACTGTGAATGTTTTGTCACTTAAGGAGAAAAAAAAAATACCATCGAAATCCAATATTTGCATATCTTGAAGATAAATATATTCTACTATAAAAAATATAATCAAGCTAAGATGCTGTAAATACACACAAATCAACACAATATTCTCATGGAATCTTGTAGATTAGAATTTACCAACCCTTCAGATTGTAGAAGGATTAAGCTCGTTAAATTTAGAAAACCCGAGAATAAATATCTCATGCACTTTACTTTCTAATGTAAGCTCATTTTTATAGCCAATTTGATCCTCTTGATGCTCTGCTCTTAAACCTTGTCTTTTTGCCCTCTTCAGGAATCCTGCATCTTGAACTATCCCTCTGATTATTTTCACTTATCCAGCTGCTGCTTACTCTTCGAGACATGACTAAAAATATTATCTTTCCCCGAAACCTTTTCTGACCTGTCTAGCACATATTCACTTGTTTTTTAAGTTAATTCCTGCAGCCTTCATTCTCTGTACTACTCTTCAAACACTTTTATATTTTTGGTGTACAGTATTCAATAAAATTATCTCATTGTAACTTTAACTACCCAAAACTCAGCTCAGTGACTCTAACTGATACTGAAATCCACTGAATGATAAAAATGTTCTTTGAAGGAAATATAAAGTTTTAAATTATTGGAACCACTATGTCAAATTTTAGATGTTGCCTCAACTTCTCAGGATTGAGCAGACTCCAAGAAAACAAGGATTGCCCTGCTTGAAGAAATGATGTGAAGCAAAAATTTTGTTTCACATTGCTTATAAAATATGTTCAGACTCCTGAGCATGCAATATGGCATTCAAGGACCAGAAAGAAATCCCATGTGGATAGAGCAGAGTGAATAAGGGAAAATCTAGGAAAGAATAAGTCCAGAGAGTCAGCATAAAACTAGGTTGTGTGGGCTTTGTAGGCCAATGAAAGCATGTTGGCATTTTCTAAATGAGATAAGCCTACATTGGAGCAACTACAAATATAAAGCAAATGTTAATAGAACTGAAGGAAGAGATAATAGTAGAGGACTTCAAAAACCCATTTTCATTAATGGATATACCATCCAGAGAGAACATCAGCAAAGAAACATCAAACAAACTACACTCGAGACTGAATGGACCTAACATTCCATCTAGCAGCTGCAGATTACACATTCTTCTCAATTCTTCATGGAACATTCTCCAGGAGAGATCAGACGTTAGGCCACAAAGCAAGTCTTAACAAATTTAATGAGGCTGAAATTTTATCAAGTATCTTTTCTGACCACAATGGTATCAAACTAGAAATAATAACAAAAGACACTTTAGAAATTTGACAAATACATGGAAAATGAACAGTAAACTACTGAACAACCACTGACTCAATAAAGAGATTAAAAGGGAAGTTAAAAAACTCTTGAGGCAAATGAAAATGGAAACATACGAATCTTCTAAAAAGGAACTTTATAGCAATAAACACATCCAAAAAAATGAAACATCTCAAATAAACAACCTAATGTTGCACCTCAAGGAACTAGAAAGAACAAGAATAAGCTAAGCCCAAACTTAATGGAAGGAAGGAAATCATAAAAATTAGAACAGAAATTAATAAAATAGAGATTATAATAGCAATGGAAATACAGAGAGTTGTTTTTATAAAAAGATAAAATCAACAAACTGAAAGCTAGACTAAATAAGGAAAGGAGAGAAGACATAAAAAATCAGAAATTATCAAGAATACATTACAACTTATACAACAAAAATACAGAGGATCTTAAAAGACTATTACAAAAAAGTATATAGCAACAATACAGATAATCCAGAAGAAACTGATATATTTATTGACATATACAACCTACCAAGATTAAATTATGATGAAATAGAAAGTCTGCACAGAACAATAATGAATAAGTACATTGAAATGGTAATAAAATATATCTCATTAAAAAAAAGCCCAGAACCTGATGGCGTTACTGCTGAATTCTACCAAACATTTAAAAAAAAAAAAAACTTTTGCTAATTATTTTCAAATTATTTCAAAAAAAATTGAAGGAGAGAGAATACTTCCAAAGGCATTTTATAAGACCAGTCTCACCCTAATGTGAAAGCCAGAAAAGGATACTATAAATAAGGAAAACTATAAGACAACACCCTGATGAACATCAGTGCAAAATTTTTCAACTAAATACTAGCAAACCAAATTTAACAACACATTAAAAATATCATTCACAGTGATCAAGTGGAATCCATTCCAAGAATGCAAGGGTGGTTCAAAATATACAAAATAATAAATACAATACATCACATTAACATAATGAACTACAAAACCCATATCATCATTTCAGTAAATACAGAAAAATCATTCGACAAAATTCAGCATTCTTCCACAATAAAACTCTCAACAGATTAGGTACAGAGGAAATGTTACTAAACACAATAAAGGCCATATATAACAAATCCATAGTGAAAATTCTCAACACTCAAAAGTTGAAAGCTTTTCCTTAAGGTCAGAAATGATATAAGGATACCCACTCTTACCAATTCTTTTCAACATAATACTGAAAGTTCTACCCAGAGCAATTAATCAAGAGAAAGAAATAAGAGACATTCTAATAGAAAAAAAAAAGAGGTAGAATTGTTTCTGTTTACTGATGATGTGATCTTATATATAGAAAATCCTGGGGACTCCACACACACACACCAGAAAAACCTGTTAGAACTAATAAAGAATCCAGTAAAGTTATAGGCTACAATATCAACACACAAAAAATCAGCAGTGTTTTAATACACTAACAGCAAACTATCTGAAAACTAATTCAAGAAAACTATCTCCTTAACAATAGCTACAAAAAAACTAGGAATAAATTTAACTGAGAAGGTGAAAAATATTTATCTTGAAAACTATAAAACTATGATGAAAGAAATTGAAGACACGAATGAGAAGACATTTCATGTTCAGAAATTGAAAAAAAACTAGTATTGTTAAAATTTCCATATTACACAAAGTGATCTACAGATTTAATGCAATTACATCAAATTGCCAATGACATTCTTCACAGAAATATAAAAATACATTCTAAAATTCTTATGGAACCACAAAGACCTTGAATAGGTAAAGTAATCTTGAGCAAAAAGAATAATCTGGATGCATCACACTACCTGACTTCAAAATATACTACAAAGCTATCATAACCAGAATATCATCAAATACTGGCTTCAAAACTGAAACACAGACCAAGAAAACAGAAGGGATAGCCCAGGAATAAATCCATAAATTTATAGCCAACTGGTTTGAAACAAAGGTGCCAGGATTACAAAATGGAGAAAGAAGAGTCTTTTCAATAAATGGAGTTGGAAAAACTGTATATCTAGATGTAGAAGAATAAAAACAGACATAATCTCACACCATATACAAAAATCAACTAAAAATGGATCATAAAATTAAATGTAAAACCTGAAAGTATAAAACTACTACAAGGAAAAAATAGGGGAAAAAGTCTGTGGCATTGGCCTGGCAATAATCTTTTGGATATGATACCAAAAGCAATGGCAATAAATACAAAAATAGACAAGTGGGACTACATCAAATAGAAAGCTCCCGCACAAAAAAAAAAGAAAAAAAAAATCAACAGAGTGAAAAGACAACCTATGAAATGGAATGAAATCTTTTTAAACCATTGATCTGATAAAGGGTTAATATCCAACATCAGGGACTCTCACAGTACAGGAGACAAAAAAGGAAATAATTCAGTTTTTAAAATGAGCAAATGGAATGAATAAAATTAATGAACTCTTCTCCAAAGAAAACACAAATGGCCACTAACTGTAGCAAAAGGTGCTCAACATAACTAATTATCAGCAAAATTAAAATTAAACCTGTAGAATATTACATCACACCTGTTAGGAGGGCTTTCATGCTTAAAAAATAACAAAAGAGAGTAAGTGTAGACAAGGATGTGGAAAAAAAGTAATTCTTCACACTTTTGGTGGAAATGCAAATTAGTACAGCTATTACGGAAAACAGTATGGAGACTCCTCACCAAATTAAAAATAGAACAATAATGTGAATCTGTGATCTCACTACTATATTTGAATCCAAAGGAAATGAATCATTATTTTAAAAAGAGATCTGCATTACCATTTTTACTGCAGCATTAATCACAGTACTCAGTATATGAAATCAACTTAAGTAGCTATCAATGGATGAATGAATAAAGAAAATGTAGCATGTATGTACAATAAAATATTATTCTGCTAAAAGAGAAGGAATTCCCCCCATATGTGATAACATGTGGAACCTAAAGGACATTATTTGTTGGGAAATATGTCAGGTACAGAAAGACAAATACTGGATGATCTCACACTTATGTGGAATCTAAAAAAGCTGATCCAATATAGGTAGAGAGTAGATGGGGCTTACTAAGAGCTGGGGGAAGGGGATGGGGTGATGTTGGTAAAGTATACAAAATTTCAGTTAATTAGGAACAATAAGTTCAAGAGATCTATTGTGCAATATGATGACTATGGTTAAAAACAATGTACTGTATTCTTAAAAAATGCCAAAAGAGTAGACCAAAGGGTGGAACAAGATGGCCGGAAAAAAGGCTACACTGATCTTCCCCCAGCAAGGACACCAATTTAACAACTATCTACACACATAACAAAGCACCTTCATAAAGACCAAAAATCAGCTGAGTACTCACAGTGCCTGGTCTTAACTGTATGTCACTAAAAGAGGCATCGAAGAGGCAGGAAAATCAGTTTTGAATCACCAGCACCACTCCTTCCCAGCTTCTGGCAGCAGGTACGTGGTACAGAGAGAGTTTCTGTGCTTTGGGGAGAGGAAGAGGCAAAAACTGTGAGGCATTGAACTCAGTGCTGCCCTGTAGGGAAAACAGACAAAACTCAGCTAACATTTGCCCACAGTAGGAGTATTTAAACCCATCTGCCCAAGTCAGAGGGGTATCTCTGATCCCAGTGGTCACAATTTGAGATCCTAAAAGTCCCGCTACCTCTGGCTAAAGTGCTCTAGGGCCACAATAAACTTAAAAGACACTCTAGGACACAAAGACTGCAACTTCTGGTGAGTCATGGTGATGAATTTGGCCCAGAGCCAGTGGAATTGGGGGAACAGGTGAACTACTGAGATACTACCTGGAGCAGCTAAGGGAGTGCTAGCACCGCCCCTACCCTAACTCAGGGTGCACAATTCATGGCTCCAAAAAGGATCCCTTCCTTTCACTTGAGAAAAGTAGATGGAAGAGAGGAGAGGACTTTGTCTTGCATGTTGGATACTAGCTCAGCCACAACATAATAGAGCATGAGGCAGAGTTGCGCATTCTCCTTTCCAGGCCCTAGCTCATGAATATTGTAGACACATGATGGGCCAGCAAGGAATGTGCTGCCTTGAAGAGAAGGACCCAGTTCTGGCAGTAGTCATCACTTGCTAACTGAAAAGTCCTTGGGTCCTGAATAACCCACAGCAACACTCAGGTGCATTCTTGAGTGCCTTGGGTGAGACACTGAGACTTGTTGGCTTTAGACGAGACTCAGCACATTCCCAGCTGTGGAGGCTACATTTAAAGCAGTGTGTAGAGGGAAATTTATAGCACTAAATGCCCACAAGAGAAAGCAGGCAAGATCTAAAATTGACACCCTAACATCACAATTAAAAGAACTAGAGAAGCAAGAGCAAACAAACTCAAAAGCTAGCAGAAGGCAAGAAATAATTAAGATCAGGGCAGAACTGAAGAAGACAGAGACACAAAAAACCCTTAAAAAATCAATGAATTCAGGAGATGATTTTATGAAAAGATCAACAAAATGGATAGACTGCTAGCAAGACTAATAAAGAAGAAAAGACAGAAGAATCAAATAGACACAATAAAAAATGATAAAGGGGATATCACAATGATGCCACAGAAATACTAACTACCATCAGAGAATACGATAAACAACTCTACACAAATAAACTAGAGAATCTAGAAGAAACGGATAAATTCCTGGACACACACACCCTCCCAAGACTAAACCAGGAAGAAGGTGAATCTCTGAATAGACCAATAACAGGCTCTGAAATTGAGGAATAATTAATAGCCTACCAACCAAAAAATATCCAGGACCAGACGGATTCACAGCCAAATTCTACCAGAGGTACAAAGAGGAGCTGGTACCATTCCTTCTGAAATTATTCCAATGAATAGAAAAAGAGGGAATCCTCCCTAACTCATTCTATGAGTCCACCATCATCCTGATACCAAAGTCTGGCAGAGACAACAAAAAAAGACAATTTTAGACCAATATCTCTGATGAAGATCGATGTGAAAATCCTCAATAAAATACTGGCAAACCAAATCCAGCAGCACATCAAAAAGCTTATCCATCACTATCAAGTTGGCTTCATCCCTGGGATGCAAGGCTGGTTCAACATACGCAAATCAATAAACGTAATTAATCACATAAACCACATGATTATCTCAATAGATGCAGAAAAGGCCTTTGACAAAATTCAACACCTCTCTTCATACTAAAAACTCTCAATAAATTAGGTATTGATGGAACATGTCTCAAAATAATAAGAGCTATTTATGACAAACCCACAGCCAATATCATACTGAATGGGCAAAAACTGGAAGCATTTTCTTTGAAAACCGGCACAAGACAAGGATGCCCTCTCTCACCACTCCTATTCAACAGTGTTGGAAGTTCTGGCCAGGGCATTCAGGCAAGAGAAAGAAATAAAGGGTATTCAATTAGGAAAAGAGGAAGTCAAATTGTCCCTGTTTGCAGATGACATGATTGTATATTTAGTAAACCACATCGTCTCAGCCCCAAATTTCCTTAAGCTGATAAGCAACTTCAGCAAAGTCTCAGGATATAAACAACGTGCAAAAAACACAAGCATTCCTATACACCAAAAACAGACAATACACCAATAACAGACAAACAGAGCCAAATCATGAGTGAACTCCCATTCACAATTGCTACAAAGAGAATAAAATACCTAGGAAACCAACTTACAAGGGATGTGAAGGACCTCTTCAAGGAGAACTACAAACCACTGCTTAACAAAATAAAAGAGGACACAAACAAATGGAAGAATATTCCATGCTCATGGATAGGAAGAATCAATATCGTGAAAATGGCCATACTGCCCACGGTAATTTATAGATTCAAGGCCATCCCCATCAAGCTACCAATGACTTTCTTCACAGAATTGGAAAAAACTACCTTAAAGTTCATATGGAACCAAAAAGGAGCCCATATTGCCAAGCCAATCCTAAGCAAAAAGAACAAAGCTGGAGGCATCACGCTACCTGACTTCAAACTATACTACAGGCTACAGTAATCCAAAGAGCATGTTACTGGTACTGAAACAGATGTATAGACCAATGGAACAGAACAGAGGCCTCAGAAATAACACCATACATCTGCAACCATCTGATATTTGACAAACCTGACAAATACAAGGAATTGGGAAAGGATTCCCTATTTAATAAGTGGTGCTGGGAAAACTGGCTAGCCATATGTAGAAAGCTGAAACTGGATCCCTTCCTTACAACTTATACAAAAATTAATTCAAGATGAATTAATGACTTAAATGTTAGACCAAAACCTTAAAAACCCCAGAAGAAAACCTAGGCAA
Organism: Homo sapiens; assembly: GCF_000001405.40. NCBI lineage: Eukaryota > Metazoa > Chordata > Mammalia > Primates > Hominidae > Homo > Homo sapiens. Next base: position 21,791,962 of record NC_000011.10, on the reverse strand, counting down.
TATCATTCAGGACATAGGCATGGACAAGGGCTTCATGACTAAACCACCAAAAGCAATGGCAACAAAAGCCAAAATAGACAAATGGAATCTAATTAAACTAAAGAGCTTCTGCACAGCAAAAGAAACTACCATCAGAGTGAACAGGCAACCTACAGAATGGGAGAAAATTTTTGCAATCTACCCATCTGCGAAGGACTAATATCCAGAATCTACAAAGAACTTAAACAAATTTACAAGAATAAAACAAACAACCCCATCAAAAAGTGGGCAAAGGATATGAACAGACACTTCTCAAAAGAAGACATTTATGCATCCAACAGACACATGAAAAAATGCTCATCATCACTGGTCATCAGAGAAATGCAAACCAAAACCACAATGAGATACCATCTCATGCCAGTTAGAATGGTGATCATTAAAAAATCAGGAAACAACAGATGCTGGAGAGGATGTGGAGAAATAGGAATGCTTTTACACTGCTGGTGAGAGTGTAAATTAGTTCAACCATTGTGGAAGACAGTGTGGCAATTCCTAAGGATCTAGAACTAGAAACACCATTTGACCCAGCCATCCCATTACTGGGTATATACCCACAGGATTATAAATCATGCTGCTATAAAGACACATGCACACATATGTTTATTGTGGTACTATTCACAATAGCAAAGACTTGGAACCATCCCAAGTGTCCATCAATGATAGACTGGATTAAGAAAATGTGGTACATATACACCATGGAGTACTATGCAGCCATAAAAAGGACGAGTTCATGTCCTTTGTAGGGACATGGATGAAGCTGGAAACCATCATTCTCAGCAAACTATCGCAAGGACAGAAAACCAAACACCACATGTTCTCACTCTTAGGTGGGAACTGAACAATGAGAACACTTGGACACAGGGCAGGGAACATCACACACTGGGGCCTGCCAGGGGGTGGGGAGCTGGGGGAGGGATACCATTAGGAGAAATAACTAATGTAAATGACAAGTTGATGGGTGCAGCAAACCAACATGGCACACGTATACCTATGTAAGAAACCTGCACATTGTGCATATGTACCATAGAACTTAAAGTGTAATAATAATAATAATAATAATAATAATAATAATAATAATAATAAAAGAAAAACGCAATTGACATCCTGGAAAGAATGCATCAGAATCTTTTAATAGCAGAATTGATAAAGGAGAAGAACAGATTGGTAAGCATGAAGACAGGCTATTTGCAAACACACAGTCAAAGGTGACTAAAGAAAGAAGAATAAAATAAAAAGCACATCTGCAGGATTTAGAAAATAGCTTTAAAGGGGCAAATCTAAGACTTATTGGTCTTAAAGAGGAGGTAGAGAAAGAAACAAGGGTAGAAAGATTACTCAGAGGGATAATAACATAGAACTTCCCAAACCTAAGGAAAGATATCAGCAATCTTATAGTGCAAGTGCAAGACAATTATAAAACATAAAGTAGATTTAACACAATGAAAACTACCTCAAGGCATGTAGTAATCAAACTCTCAGAGATCAAGAACAAACAAAGGATCCCAAATGCAGTAAGAGAAAAAACACAAATTACATACAAAGACCTCTAATATGTCTGGCAACAAACTTTTCAGTGGAAACCTTAAAGGCCAGGTGAGAGTGGCATTACATATTTAAAGTGCTGAGGAAAAAATACTTTTATCCTACAATAATGTATCCAGCAAAAATATCCTTCAAACACACAGGTGGTAAGTACACATGAAATCACAGAATACTGTGACACTTTGACCGTGGTATGTAGATTACTCTTATCATAAGTAGAAAGACTAAAAGATAAAGCAATCAAAAATAATAACTACGACAACTTTTTAAGACATAGACAATATAGGAAGATATAAACAAAAACAACAGCAAGTTTAAAAGTAGAAGATAAAGTTAAGGCAGAGAGTCTTTATTAGTTTTCTTTCCGCTTTTTTGTTTATGGAAACAGTTGTAAGTTGTTATTGGCTTAAAATAATGGGTTATACGATAGTATTTGCAACCCTCATGGTAACCTCAAAACATAACAGATACACACAAAAAAAGCAAGAAAATAAATCATATCACCAGAGGAAAACACCTTCACTAAAAGGAAGATAGGAAAGAAAGCAAGGAAGCGAGAGAGCAAGGAGAAAAGTAAGGGAAGAGACAGAAAGAAAGGACTACAAAGCAACCAGAAAACAAAAAATTGGAAGGAGTAAGTTCTTACTTATCAATAATTATATTGAATGTAAATGGACTAAATTCTCCAATCAAAAGACATAGAATGGCTTACTGAAGAAAAAGAAAGACCTATTAATCTGTTCCCTACAGGAAACATCCTTAACCGATAGAGACACATATAGAATAAAAATAAAGGGATGGAAAAAGATATTCTATGCCAATGGAAACCAAAAAAGAGCAAAAGCAGCTATACTTACATCAGACAATATAGATATCAAGACAAAAACCATAAGATGAGACAAAGAAGGTCACTATATTATGATAAAGGGGTCAATTCAGCAAGAGGATACAATTTTAAATATATATGCCCCAACAGTGGAACACTCTGACATATAAAGCGAATATTATTAGAGTTAAAAAGAGAGATGCACCCTGTATTAGTCCATTCTTACACTGCTGTGAATAACTACCTGATATTGGGTAATTTATGAAGAAAAAAGTTTTAATTGATCCACCGTTTCACAGGCTGTACAGGAGGCATGGCTGGGAAGGCCTCAGGAAAATTACAATCATGGCAGAAGGTGAAGGGGAAGCAGGTACGTTTTCACATGGTGGCAGAAGAGAGAGAGAGTGATGAGGGAAGTGCTGCATACTTTCAAACAATCAGATCTCATAAGAACTCACTCACTATCACAAGAACATCAAAGGTAAAATCTGTCCCCATGATCCAATCACCTCCCACCAGGTCCCTAACCCAACACTGGGGATTAAAATTCAACATGAGATTTGGTTGAGGACAGAGTCAAACCATATCAGACCTTAGTACAATAATAGCTGAAGACTTCAGCATCTCATATTCAGCATTGGATAGATCTTTCAGACAGAAAATCAACAAACATTTGACTTAATATGCACTATAGACCAAATTGATATGATAGATATTTATAGAACATTTTATTCAATGGCTACACAATACACATTCTTCTCCTCAACGTGTCGATTATTATCAAAAATAGACCATATGTTAGGTCACAAAGAAAGTCTTAAAATATTCAAAAATTGAAATAATATTAAACATCTTCTCTGACCACAACAGAATAAAGCTATTAATCAATATAACAAGAAGAAATTTGGAAATGATACAAATACATGGAAATTAAACGATATGCTCCTGAATGACCAGTGATACAAATATATGGAAATTAAACCATATGCTCTTGAATGACCACTGGGTCAATGCAGAAATTAAGAAGGAAATTGAAAAATTTCTTGGAACAAATCACATGATACACAACATACCAAAACCTGTGGGATACAGCAAGTGTAGTACTAAGAGGGAAGTTTATGGATACAAGTGCCTACATCAAAAAAGAAGAAAAACAATAAACAATCTAACGATACATCTTAAAGAATGAGAAAAGCGAGAGTGAACCAAACTCCAAATTACTGGTAGAAAATAAATAATCAAGATCAGAACAGAAATAAATAAAATTGAAATGAAGGAAACAATACAAAAGATAAAGGAAACAAAAACTCAGTTTTTTGAAAAGTTAAACGAAATTGACAAAACTTTAGCAACATTAACTAAAAAGAAAGACATAAAACCCAAACAAAGAAAATCAGAGATGAAAAAGGAGCCATTACAACTGATACTGCAGAAATTCAAAGGATTGTTAGTGACTACTATGAGAAACCACATGCCCAATAAACTGAAAAATCTAGGAGAAATAAACAAATGCCAAGACACATACTATCTACCAAGATTGATCCATGAAGAAATTAAAAACCTGAACAGACCAATAACAAGTGGCAAGATAGAAGCCATAATAAAAAGTCCCAAAGTGAAGAAAAGCCCAGAATCCAATGGCTTTACTGCTAAATTCTACTAAACATTTAAAGAATTAATACCAATCCCACTGAAGCTATTTCAAAAAATAGAGGAGAAGGGCGAACTTTCACACTCATTCTATGAGGTCAGTACTACCTTGATGTCAAAACCAGACAAACACCCACCAAAAAAAGAAAACTATAGGCTAATATCTCTCATGAACATCAATGCAAAAATCCTCAAGAAAATATTAGCAAACCAAATTCAACGACATGACAAAAGATCATTCATTCTGACCAAGTGGAATTTATCCTTGGGATGCAAGTCAACATTTGTAGTTAAATCAATGTGATACATCATACTGAACAGAATGAAGAACAAAATCTATAGGATCATCTCAACTAATGTTGAAAAATCATTTGATAAAATTCAGCATCCCTTCATGATGAAAACCCTCAAAAAACTGGGTATGGAAGTAACATACCTCAACATACTAAAAGCCATATACAGTGGACCCACTGTTTTGCTTTGTTTTTGAGACAGATTCTCACTCTGTTGCCCAGGCTGGAGTGCAGTGGTGTGGTCTCAGCTCACTGCAACCTCTGTTTCCCGAGTTCAAGCGATTCTCCTGTCTCAGCCTCCTGAGTAGCTGGGATTACAGGTGTGTACCAGCACGCCTGGTTAATGTTTGTATTTTTAGTACAGATGGGGTTTCACCATGTTGGTCAGGCTGGTCTCAAATTCCTGACCTTGTGATCCGCCTGCCTCAGCCTCCCAAAGTGCTGGGATTACAAGCGTTGAGACACCATGTCTGTTAATATACTCAATGGGGAAAAACTAAAAATGTTCCTCTAAGGTCTGGAACACCACAAGGATGCTCGGAGCAATCAGACAAGAGAAAGAAGTAAAGGGCTTCCAAACTGGAATGAAGAAGTCAAATTAGCCTAGTTTACAGATAATATGATTTCATATTTGGAAAAACCTAGAGACTCCACCTAAAAAAGCTATTTGAACTGACAAACAAATTCAGTAAAGTTTCAAGATACAAAACGAATATACAAAAATCCATAGCATTTCTAAATGTTAACATTTAACAATCTGAAAAAGAAATTTTTAAAAAGTAATCCCATTTACAATAGCCGTCAATAAAATTTGATACTTAGGAATTAAATTGACCAAAGAAGTAAAATATCTCTATAATTACACCATAAAACGTTAATGAAATAAGTTGAAGAGGACACCAAAAATAAAAAAGATACTCAATGTTCATGGATTGGAAGAATCATTATTGTTAAAATGTTCATACTACCCAAAGAAATCTACAGATTCAGTGCAATCTCTACCAAAATACTGATGATAGTTCTCACAGAAATAGAAAAAAAAGCCATAAAATTCATATAGAACCACAAATGACCCAGAATAGCCAAAGCTATCCTAGGCAAAAAGAACAAAACTGGAGAAATCACATTACCTGACTTCAAGTTACACCTCAGAGATATAGTGACTAAAACAGAATGGTACTGGCATAAAAACAGACACATAGACCAATGGAACAGAATAGAGAACCAAGAAACAAATCAACACACCTACAGTGAACTCATTTTTGACAAAGGTGCCAAGTTTATACACTGGAAAAAAAGGCAGTCTCTGTAACAAATGGCATTGGGAAAACTGGAGATCCGTATGCAGAAAAATGAAACTAGATGTCTATCTCTCACCATATACAACAATAAAATCAAAATAGATTAATGACTTAAATTTAAGACCTCAAACTATAAAACTACTATAATAAAACTTTGGGAGACTCTCTAGGACATTGGTCTGGACAAGCATTTTTTAAGTAATACTCTACAAGCACAGGCAACCAAACAAAAGTGGACAAATGGAATCACATCAAGTTAAAAAGCTTCTGCACAGAAGAGGGTATAATACACAAAGTGAAGAGACAACCCACAAAATGGAAGAAAATATTTGCAATCTACCCATCTGACAAGGTATTAATAACCAGAATACACAAGGAGCTCAAACAACTCTAAATGAAAAAAAAATCCAATTAAAAATAGGTAAAATATTTGATTAGACATTTCTCAAAAGAAGACATACAAATGGCAAACAGGAATACGAAAAGGTGCTCAACATCACTGATCTTCAGATAAATGCAAATCAAAACTACAATGAGCTATCACCTCCCCCTAGTTAAAATGGCTTCTATCCAAAAGCCAGACCATAAAAAATGCTGCTGAGGATGTGGAGAAAAGGGAACCCTTGTACACTGTTGCTGGAAATGTAAATTAGTACAAGCTACAAAGAACTGTTAGGAAGTTCTTCAAAAAACTAAATATAGAGCTACCACATGATCCAGCAATCCTACTGCTGTGTATACGCTCAAAAGAAAGGAAATCAGTATATAGAAGATATATCTGTACTCCCACGTTTGTTGCAGCACTGTTGATGATGGCCAATATTTGGAAACAACCTAAAGTCCATCCAACAGATGAATGAATAAAGAAAGTGTGGTACATGTACACAAAGGAGTACTATTCAACCATAAAGACAAACGAGATCCTGTCATTTGCAACATAGATGGAACTAAAGATCATTCTGTCAACTGAAATAGACCAGGCACAGAAAGACAACTATTGCATGTTCTCACTTATTTGTGGAATCTAAAAATCAAAACAGCTGAATTTATGGAAATAAAGAGTAGAAGGATGGTTAACAGAGGTTTGGAAGGGTAGTCCATGTGGGGTGAAAGGTGGAAATGGTTATGGGTACAACAAAAAATTAGAAAGAGTGATAAAGTCCACTATTTGATAGGAGAATGGAATGATTAGAGTCAATAATAATTTAATTGTACATTTTAAAATAACTAAAAGTGTAAAGTTGAATTATTTGTAGCATAAAGGATAAATGCTTGAGGGGATGAATACCTCATTGTCCATAATGTGATTATTATGTATTGCATGCCTGCATCAAAACATCTCATGTACAACTACTATGTACCCATAAAAATTAAAAACTAAAAATTAAAAAATGTCGAGTGGATACTAAGTTTTTTTATCACAAAAATGATAACTATGTGAGGCAATACAAATGTTAATTATAACAGCTACATTTAGTCATTTCACAATGTATATATACTACAAAACATCTAGTGTTACATATAAATTCATACAATTGTATCTGTTAGTTTTTTAAAAACTTAGAAGATAGACAAATAACCTCTCAAAATGATATAAATTTAGATGGTGTTTAAAAATTATATCTTTTTATCAATTATTTTTATTTAGAAAGTAGAGCTATTATTCATAGAATATTTTTATTAAAATATAATGGATTTGATTTTTTTTTTTCCAGAAACAGTGTCTCACTCTGTCACCCAAGGTGGAGTGCAGTGGCATGATCACTGAGGCAAGAGGATAGGTTAAGGCCAAGAGTTCAAGAGTTCAAGTACAGTGAACTTGAACTCTTAAACTTGAACTCTTGAACTCTTGGGCTTAAGCTATCCTCTTGCCTCAGCCTCCATCGTAGCTAGGACTACAGGCACACACCACCATGCCCAGCTAATTTTCTTTTCTTTTCTTTTTTTTTATACAGATGGATCTTGCTATCTTCCCTAGGCTGGCCTCGAAAGCCTGCTCTTCAGGCTCTGGAGTAGCCACTGTGCCTGGCTATATATACTAAAATTTGTAAGGAAGGAGAGAATGTGTGAAGCTCCTGAAGGAATATTGTGTCTAGTTGCAGAAGCCTAGAGCTATTTTTGTTGGAGATTTCAGAGGCCTACGCAGAGGTAGAACAATGAGGCTCCACCCGTGGTGATGCAAATGAGTGATTAACCTCTCCCAGCCTTTATCATGTAACCTTGAGAAAGTCCCTCAACCTCTTTAAGATACAATTTTCTTACTATGAGTTAGGTTAGTACCTAGCTATAGGGTGGTTGTGAAAATGAATCGAGACAACACATATAAAGTACTTACTACAACATGTAACATCTATCAATTATTATGATTATAAATATCTCCCCGGCAAATTTGTATTATTTTTAAGGAAAGACATCCTATTTCAATCATCTTACTTTCCCCTTACCCATCTAGCATAGTGCTAGGTATTATAAATGTTTGTTCAATTGAATTTATATGACTTACTAATTTTCTATTTCAGACAGTATATTTTAAAAAATAGAAGTAAATGAGAAACTTAAAGATACACCTTAGCTCCTAGGATATTAATCAGTACTCAGCAGCAGGTCAATAAATGCTTCGTTAGTTGGCTGAAAACACTAATCTCCACCTATGCTTTGGAGTCGCTGTTAAATGAGTATAATGATACAGGAAATATTTGCCAATAGAATTAAATTGTTGCCAAATTTAAACTATATTCTATTTAATTCAAGATGCATCATGAATTGTGATTTTTCTATTTAAGCCCAAAGCTAGCCAATAGTTTTAACTCTGGAATAGATATTTTAGCCAAGGCATTTTATATTTGAGTTAGAATTGTGTCTTTTATTGTAATATTTTTAATTTGTCAATGGTTTAAAGTGTCTCAGAAACATGGAATTTAAGGGTGCAAATGTGACTAGAAAACGGATTAAAACCTTCACTTCCAATTTAATCAAATGCCTTGCTATATTTTTACATAAAACAATCCATAATTGACTTTTAAAATATGAAAATTGGTTTTGGCCAATGTCCCATTCATCTGTTGCTAAGATCAGACCTCTCTAGGTAATCTACATAGGAATGGATCAGAGAGGAAAGGGAGTTTATAATTGTCATTGCAGCATATGTCAAATTTATTGATTGCTTGCTTTATGCTATTCTTTCATTTTTTAGCAAGCATATTTAGCTCTCACAGAAGCCCTAATAGTAACTGATGCCATTATTAGTCACATTATACAGATGGGACAAGTTAAGTAGAGAGAGATTATTTCACCTGTGCAAATGTTACAGGTAGTTAGATTGGCATGAGTGGGGCAGGAGAGGCCTCTTCTCCCCCTACTCACTAGGAGTATCAGGTGATGGTTTGACGATTATCACACTGCTCTCTAAAAATAATAATTTGGCAGCCAGTGCCTGGGCGCCAGGGAGAAGACAATCTCCTGACCATCCACAGCTATCAAATCCACAGCTATCAACACTAAAGAACTAATTGAATTGCAGATGCCAGCGAGAATAAACTTTCTGGGAATGTGTGTTAAGAGATGAAATGGCAAAAAACGACCTACCAGGTGCACTCCACTGGAGAAGGGAAGAAAGCTTCAGTTGGGTATGCGTACAACTTCCTAAACGCACTGCGCGTGCTCACTTCCCAAGGGTAAGGAGGGCACTGCGCATGCGGGAAGCCCAAGCTAAGGGAAGAATCATGGGAAAGACCCAAGCCTATAAAGCCCTAGGATCAAGGTCAAAGGCTCTCTTTGATCTTCAGGAGCCCACTTGGATCTCTTAAGTGAACTTTCCTTTCTTTCCTGTTCGAAAGCCTTTTAAAATAAACTGCTCCTGCTCTGAAACTTGCTTTAGTGTCTTGGTGTCTTTCTCTGCCTTATACCCCTCAGTCGAATTCTGTCTTCTGAGGAGGCAAGAACTGAAGTTGCTGCACACCCACATGGATATGCCACCGGTAACACAGGGTAATTTGGATACCTTCCACAGAATCATCCAGATCATAAGTAGAGAGCCAAGAGTCAAACGTAAATAGTATGGGTTTGTAATACGATTCAAGTGGCTACATTTTAAATCACCACTTGAATGCTTTGACACTACCCACTACCACTTTGATATAGGAATGGCCTCCACCCTCTTCTTAGGTGACAGCCATCTTTCAGTATTTAGCATCTCTTATGTGTTTATTTTTAAAAGGCCTTGGACATATAAGAACGTGTTTATTTTTATGATGGCTTTATTTTACTTCTGAGGAGACATTTTACATGCTGGGAAAGCATAAGAGCATCTCATGTCTACTCAAATAAAAAAGCAATTAATCAGAGCTTAACATTTTTGACAGTGTCTTAACACCTTGCAACGGGGTCGTTAATTATTTCTTTCTAGTAGAGTTCTTGAATGATTAAAGCTAAAAGCTTCATGGAGTAATTTCTTAAGAGTGGTTGTGACAGAATATCATTGAATTTAAGTGCATTTTGTTTCATGGAGATATGTTACGATATTTGTTATTATGACATAAGTAATCTGAGAGAAGAAATACCTACACACCTAAAGTCAGCAATTATTTCAGCGTAATGCAAAACATGATATCACCTAGAATTAAATGCTTCCCTATTTTATTAATTTATTTTATTTCAAAAATGATTAAAGGAAAACTAAAATTAAAATTTCCCTTTTGGGGCTAGAAAAAATAAGATTGCTGGATACAGTGGAATGAACGCTAAATTAGAAACCCCAAAATATTCCTCCAAATTCCTGCTTTGCCTTTGATTAGCTAATGCTCTTGGGGAAATCTGTCTTTTCTCTTATAAAGTAAGATATTTTAGCTAGATGCTCCCTGTCCTTTCCAACACCTATCCTAATATTTCCTTTCCACTAATACTCAGTGCACAATAAACATATCATCGCTCTCTCACTTTCTTCCTCTTTTTAAAAAAACGTCTCATATGTCTGTAAACCTTTCAAGAGTAAATGAGAGTTTTAGTTTCCAGATGGTTTCCTCTAATGGTTTTTGTGGGACATATATCTGAAAATTAGGACTTAGTATTTAGAAGGAAGTGAACCATACAATAGTCTTACCTCTCTATGGAACCCATCATTTGTCATAACCATTCAATTCATCATCCATGAGCTACTATAACTTCTATTTTCATAACTTTATTAAATGAAGATAGTAAATGATTGCCCTATGCCTAAATGTGCTCCTTTTTTAGAACTAGAATTATGATACTTTTGAGATAATCTCTGCTTTTGAAACACGTGTTATTATAGTGTCATAAACCCATTATTTATTAGCAAACATATTTAAATAAAAAAGATGATTTTTAAGATTTCAAAAGATGCTACCAATGTTTACGTTCTTGCACATTCTTCTTTCAAAATCTTTTTTCATGGTTTCCTCTGATGATCAGTCCAAGTTAGACTAACAGAGGAAACACAGCTAAATGCATGAAGCCTATGATTATTTTGGCAAATTATTCCAAGGTGTTTTCCAAAATGACTAAACTTACCCATCCACAATAAATTCCTAGTAAAGTTTCAGTGGAACTAAAATAGATATGAAGCTTATTTCTCACTATTATGGCAGAATGGACAATGTTAAGTGGACAATTATTGATTTCCTGTCTAAACTGATTGACATTAATTTTAATAAGCTGGGACCTTTCTCCCTTATTTCAGGCTGTTGTTCATGAGTTCAAGATTTTATTCCTGAATTACGACTAATAGAATGGCTTGCTTACTTTTTCTAAAGTCTTTCCATGGTCAGAAAAACAAGTTATTATTAAAGCCCAGAAGCTAAATTATAATTTTATAAAGAAGCTTTTAGTCTGTTAATGTTTGATTTGTTGTTTGACTGCTTTCCAAATAATTAAAATGTTCTTCTTTCAACCCCTAATGTGAACTATAGAACCTCTGAGAATTTTACCATAACTAACATGGATCATTATTAGTTATAAGATTGTATTTACTGGCGCCACGTAACAATAATTGGCAAGCAAGCAAATTAAATAGAGTCAAACTAAGTCTAAAAGCTATACTGGAAGAATACAGCTTGTACTTGTGACATCTGACTTGATAAGAAAAAATAGATAGATAACAAATGATGTATTGTAAAGCCATACCTCTTCCCTCAACATGACAGTTTTTGAAAATGTCTTTGGAAGCAAAAATTAGGATGGAAAATGCAAAGTCCAATACAGATAGCAGTTAAATCAGTTAGTTTAACGACTCTGCGTCTCCTAACCACCACCTCTGTTCCTTATTTTAATCACTCAACAATGAACTCAAAGTTAGAATGAGAGGTCTATTGCAAAATAAGCTTGATATTGAGGGGGTAAAACCCTACAATAAAATAATAAATAATTAGGAACATACTGAGTTGATTTCATTTTTTGCCCTTGTGTAAATCTAGCATTTAAATGAGATGATTACATTTGATTGTATCTTTTTTTGCTTACTTATGAAAGGAGAGCATAATAACTAACGTATTTCTCCATATATGTTTAGTAACGAAGATATCCATTTCAATTTCATCTTTGCAAAGAAACATGCTTTGCCAAGTGCTCACACCTGCAAATATGTTTTCTAACTCTTCATTTTCTTCTCTAATTACTCCTTGATTGTAGGGTAAATTCTCCAAGCTGTAGTGAAAAGCAAATCATTGTCTTTTTATCACCTCCCTGGGGAATTCATTACACTTGTTTACTGATGTGTATGGCTGACTGAATAAAGTGATTCCTAATTAGCATATATGAAATAATCATTGGTCTATCTGGAGTCATAATTAGTGCATTAGGAAGAATTTACTCAGTGTCAAGAAGATAGGTATTAGAATAAATTAGCTTATCTTACCTGCGTTGAAGCACAGAGAATACCTTAGATACAATGTTTATTAAAACAGGGCAATAACAATATGGCAATTTCCTAAAATCATTAGTGCACATCATTGAAAATATAAATTTTTGCACCTAAACTCCCCTCTACATAATATGCCACAGAAATAAAAAGCTAACTTGACATCTTAGTAAATGTAACTGAAGGTTTGAAGACAGGAAAAATTCAATTGTTTTTCCAGTATTCTTTAATAATTACTATATTTAGTATTTTCCTGGGCTTGGGAAAAACCCACCTACTAAAGGAATTTTTTCATTGAATGCAATCTTTAGTTTGCTTTAGGCATATGTTTCATTTCTGGATAGGATTGGTAAAGATTTGAAGCTAAAAACACAGAAGAGTTGAGGGTTTCAAGGGAAAAGCCAGCTGGCTGTCTTTGTCTTAGAGAATTTGACATGGTCTACAGGCTGGCCTTCAGCCTCACCAGCTCAAAGACTGGTTAGCATATTAAGCATATAACTGGTTAGCATATTAAGAAGTGCTCTTTTGAATTCTCACAAATCAAACTTAGGATGAGTGATGTAAAAAGCAGAGCCTATCTTATTGATTTACAATGAGAAGTATAACTGTCAAAAGGATGAGTACATTTGCATCAATATGACCAGTTCACTCTCCCACTAAGCAAATCTTCTTGGGAAGCCAAATTACGACCTAAATTTGCTTGCTGAACATGGAAATATGTCAGGTCACTCAGTGGTTGTGAGTGTGTTGAGTATCACCAGACATAGTCTCTGATGTCTCAATGAGAAAATCTACACAGCATAAATCACTTGGCCACAGGGACTGGGATATTGAGGATTTGTATGAGGACTCTCCTTCGCACTGGGAGGATAGAAACTGACTGGACTAGAATCTCTAGCTCCTCCTTTCTGCACTTCCTGACTGATGAGCTGCTTCCTAATGGGCACATTTCTCTATAGAGAAGTTAATCCCTTGGGTGAAGAGCTTAGTTTTCTTTCCATCTCTTATGATGTTTTTGCTTATCTTGGATCTTTGGCATTATACATTCATTCTACATTTTAATTATGAGTCATAATTTTTCACACGTTCTTGTAGAGGAATCTTACTATTGACCTGTGTCAAATGTCTTCATACAAAAATCTAAAAGGAAACATTCTCATGAGAGTCTCAGTTGTATAATTTGTTTGAACTGAAAAGTCTAAGATACCTTTACCAAGAATCCATAGTCATAGCACACACAGTCCTGTTCTATGGAGAGGATATGACATTGGCCTTCCATACACCCCCACTCTGCCCTTTCTACACTCTTTCTCACGGACATTCAGTTGCTCTCTATCATCCCCTTCCTCCATCCACCTTTACCCTCATTTCAGCCCTCACACACATACATACCACATCACTCCCCAGTGGGCATGCAGCTTGCCCCACTTTCTGTGATCCCTCATCTCCATGTGTATATTTATTTTCAAAAATGTTTAATATATATAAAGAGGCAAACTAGAGAGGATCATTGGAAAAAATTTTAACGCTCTTCCATGAACTTTAATGTAGCTTTGGGAAAACTCTCTACCTTTCTCTGTGCCTCATACCAACAGTTGGGGATTTTATATGATCTGCATATTTCATGAGTTTTTATTCCTTAAGTACAGGAGAATTTGTTCTTATAGAGCATTAGACTTGGGTTAGAATACTGTTCATTAAATTAATCTGATAACTGCCTCAATAATCCAGTTAGGTGCATACCATTAAAAAACATGTATGTACATGTGTGTTAGTAGTAGTACAATGTTATGCATTGGTGTATGTGTGTACATATGTAGACAGATGCAGATGGATGGATAGATAGATAGCTAAAAAAATGTATGTAGACCAACGATTTTAAAATAAATAAGAAAACTCCAAATAGGGGGAGTTCTAAGGTTAATAAACTTTGGAAATCTGGGTTCAAAACAATAAACAAGGTTCTTTAACTGCAGGAAATCTCAGAGCTTGTAAGAAGCTAGTATGTTTGTGAGAGAGTTACAGAGTTTTCACATTTTATTTGATTACAAAAACTTTTGTTATAAAAAATCAGTTCTTAGAACTTTATGTTTTGCAGAGCACACATCTGCAAATTTAGTTGTAAGAGGCTTATTTTCTAGAGTCCATTATTAATTATCACTTTTGATCCAGATACAGAGAGTTACTCTGTATATACTATCGATAGAGACAAATTGTCCTCATGCTCAGATTATCAGTTGGCTATTAGTTAATAAAAAAATGATGTGAACAAGAAATGTCATTCAAAGTAAACAAATAACTAGGTAAACAAATTACAGTACAATCATTAGATGGAATACCACTCAGCATTAAAAAGTAATGGAATACTGAAACCCAAAAGGGCATAGCCGAATCTTCAAAATATTATTCTAAGAGAAAGAAGCCAGATATAAAATGCTATAATTTAATTATATAAAATTCAAGGACTGACAAAATTAGTATATGGTTATATAAATCAGAAGAGTGGTTGCCTCTGGAAGTGAAATGATTGACTAGAAAGAGTCATCATGACACTTTTTGGGATGATAAATATGTTCTGTATCTTGACTTGGGTGATGACAGTTCAGGAAATTTTATTTGTTAAAGATCATCAAACAATTAAGATTGTTTAAACAATCTTCAACAATTATGATTTGAGCATTTATTTTATTGTACATAAATAATACTTCAGTATGGAAATATTTTTTAAAGAAATGTTATGTAAAGTTTGAGATTATAGTGCTCTGTTTACAATAGCTTTTGTTAACTGGAGTAGAATGATACTCATGAGAAAAATAAAGTGATGAAGAGCTCTACAACTGCATTGCATTCTACAAATATAAGAGGCTGTCATTACTATGTTTCTCATCAGTATCATAGTCAGGGAGGAATTTATCTTAACCCTGATTCCCAGGAAAGCAGAGCCTGTTGCAATATTTAGATGCCAATGCTGATTTGGGACATGCAATCCTGGGACATTAAAAGTGAAGGAAAGGGGAAATAAGGCAGAGAAGGATGAGAAGCAATGTATTGTTACACTGGTTATTGTATCATTATTTGAGTGAGGGCAATACACTTAGTTGACAGAGTCAGTACACTGGCTTAGGTTCCTAGTGTGTTTCCAGAAAGTGTGAATAGACAGAACTGTTATTGAAGGGAGAAGAAAAAAAAGACTAATTACTTTCTCCTATCCTCTGATGCACAGTGATCAACATTTCCCCCCAGAGGAAGCTATGTCCTTTGCACTTCTGGTTTACATCACTTCACCCATTTGGTAACCACCTTGGGTGCAAGGTCCTATACCTTGTGATATGGCCCTTCAACTGAATCCAAAGTCTGTTAGAGCACATAGCTGATCAGCTTCAGGAAGCAGAACCATGTGAGCATGGACAGAATTAGCCCTGGTGGCAGGTGAGATGGAGCAAACATGATGATTCAAGACACAGACTAGATGCTGAGAGAACTGAAAAGCTTTATCTGATACTGCCAATAGAGGGTCAGGTTAGTATAATAACAACTACTATGTGGATTTCTGTTAAAGTTGTTGTGAGAATTAAGTAAGTTAATACATAGGAAATTCTTGTAAGCTCATAATAAGTGCCTAATATATCTTAAATATAAATCTTATATTTTATTATATTCTTATCACTGCACAACATATTTTTCTAAATATAGCCTCATTTAGTTCTTATAACATTTTTTTCAAGTAGTGTTTTTCTCATCTGACTTTACATCTTCTGAATATGAAGCTTACACAAATTAAATGTTGTAGCAACTTAATAGTGAGTGTTTTAATGTGTACAGGCCATGGAACTGAGGACTAAGCTTTACATGACTTGACCAGCATCATGCAGCTATTGAGGAACTATGGCACGACTAGAATACAGAATATGTATCTCTTAGTCAAGAATTTCCCATGTCACACCATGCTACCTTTTCCCAATTATGTGTAAAACTACAAATATTTTAACGATACAAATATTTTACTAATATATTTAAGTATACTGGTTTCCTTTTTAGGCTTCTAAGAAACACAAAAAATAAAGTGTTACAACAGGCCATAAAAATTTATTTCTTAAGTCCGGAATTTGCTGAGGTTTCTATGGGCATAAACATAGTAAACATTTCTGGGAACAAAATGGAAACCGTCTTATTGGCTCATACATGTTTTACTGATTCATAAGTGTTTTTTCATCTTTACTTTGATCAAGTGGTTCAGGCCTGGTCCCTTTCCTCCTGCTCAAGTTCATCTGTTCATGCATTAATGAATCTGTCTATGCCCTGAAGAGCAGGTAGTTTAGAGGGGGAGATAGATAAGTACACAGTTATAAAACAATGTGATAAATGCTAAAATGAATGTAATTGTGGGTGCTTTGGATGGTCAAAGAAGTCTGTTATAAGACATTAGTAATGAACACCCCATTTTATAGTGATAAGAATTTTATTAATTTTAAAGCATCCCTTTAAAATATAAATCTAGTTCTGGATAATTTGAACCATATTTTTTTTTCATTGAACCATTATGTAGTGGTGACAGAGCATTAACTAAAGAAAGTTCCTCCCAGGTAGGAAAAGCAAGTAGAAGCTCCTCATTGCTAAAGTAGAAGGATGTTTTACAGGGGATGAATCCATGGAGAGAATATTACATGAGTCCCTAAAAGGAACCCACAATTTCCAACACTTTAGGTATTGATGAAAGTGGAAATTGGAGTGATAAAACTCCTTGAAAGAAACGGGAAAATCTAATAATATCTAGTATGCTGCTCCTGACCACATGCAGCAAGGCTTAGGAGCAGCAGAGGAGCAAGGGCAGAGGAAAGGGTCTAGAAATAAGTACTCAGGGCTACTCCCTCTTTGGCCATGGTCAACATGCCATGTGCAGTAGCCCCAGGAGTCCTGTGTGCCCTGCCAGCAGGGTATAGAGCTGCTAAGAGGGCTGCCAGTGGAACTTATCAGAGGAATTGGAGCAGCATGAGTTGGCCACAGAGCAGGGTCCATGCCAGGAGTTTTGGCAGTGGTTGTCAACTCCAAAAATAGGGAATTAGTCATTCCTGGGCAAACACCAACAGGAGTTCTCCAGGGACGAGATTACACCTCTCCATATTAGAGTAAACCACAGCATTCCCTCGTAGGCCTCCCTTTGTGACTGTGAACATATACTGGAGAGGTAACCTTTATATAGTCACCACCTTGGAAAAGAGGCAAGTGAGGAAAAAAAACGAACAAACTAACCACTAATCTTACACTGAACAGGGAAAAATTAAAAGCCTTTCCTCTAAGAACTGAAACAAGAAAAGAATGTCCACTTTCTCCACACTTATTCTTCAAAGTACTGGAAGTCCTAGTTAGAGCAATTAGGCAAGATAAAGAAATAAAGGCATCCAAATAGAAAAAGAGAACATCATGTTTTTCCTTTTTGTAGATGACATAATCTTACATAAAGAAAAACCTAAAGACTCCATCAAAAACCTCTTAGAACTGATAAATTTCATTAAGATTGCAGTATACAAAATCAATATACAAAACTCAATAGCATTTCTATACAGTAATAATAAACTAGCTGAAAAAGAAATCAAAGAAACAATCCCATTTATAATTGCTACTAAAAAACATCTAGAAATAAATTTACAAAGGAAGTTAAAGATCTCTACAATGAAAACTACAAAACACTGATAAAAAAAAATTACAGAGGCCACAAAATATGAACAGACATTTGAGGCTCCTAGATTGAAAAAAATTAATATTGTTAAAATGACCATGCTACCCAATCTAGAGAATCAAAGTACCAATTACATTATTCACAGAAATGGAAAAAGAATCCTAAACTTCACGATAAACCACAAAAGACCCTGAGTAGCTAAAGCAATACTGGACAAAAAGAACAAAGCTTGAGGCATCACACTTGCTGACTTCAAAAATAATACAAAGCTATAATAACCAAAACAGCATGGTATTAGTATAAAAAGAGATGCATGAATCAATGCAATGGCATATGGAACCCATAAATAGGCCAGGCGCAGTGGCTCACAGCTGTAATCCCAGCATTTTGGGAGGCCAGGGTGGGCGGATCACCTAAGATCAGGCATTTGAAACCAGCCTAGCCAACATGGTGAAACACTGTCTCTACTAAAAATCCAAAAATTAGCCAGGCGCGGGGGTGGGCACCTGTAATCCCAGCTACTTGGGAGGCTGAGGCAGGAGAATCGCTTGAACCCAAGAGGCGGAGGTTGCAGTGAGCCAAGATTGTGCCATTGCACTTCAGCCTGGGTGACAGAGCAAGACTCCATCTCAAAAACAAACAAACAACCCATAAATAAATCCATGTATTTACAGCCAACTGATTTTCAACAAAGATGACAAGAACACACATTGGGGAAAGAACACTCTCTTCAACAAATGGTGCTGGGCAAACAGGACATTCATATGTAGAAGAATAAAATTAGACCTCCATCTCTCATTGTATATGAAATAAACTAAAAATGGTTTAAAGCCTTTAATGTTTGACCTGAAACGATAAAACTACTAGGAGGAAACATAGGGAAAATGTTTCAGGACATTTGTCTAGGCAAAGATTTGATGAGTAAGATTTAAAAAGCACAAGTGAAAATTACAAAAATAGACAAATAGAAATATATCAAACTACAAAGCTTCTGCCCAGAAAATGAAACATCAACAGAGGGAAGACAACTTGTAGAATGGGAGAAAATATTTCCAAACTATTCGTCTGACAAAGGACTAATATTCAGAATATATAAGAAACTCAAATAACTCAACATTAATTATAGATAATCTGATCAAAAAGTGGACAAAGCCAAAAGAAGTCATATAGGTGACCAAGAAGTATATGAGAAACAATGTTGAACATCACAAATCATCAGAGAAATGCAAATCAAAATCACCATGATATATCATCTCATCCTCATTATGATGGCTATTATAAGAGATAAAAAATAACAAGTCCTTGCTAGGATGCAGACAAAACGAGATTCTTATACATTGTAGGTGAGAATGTAAATTAGTACAGCCTCTATGGAAAGCAGTATGGAGATTTCTCTAAAAACATCAAATAGAACTACATGATCCAGCCATTTCGCTACTGGATATTTATACAAAGGAAATCAGTATATTGAAGAGACGCCTGCACTCCAGTGTTTATTGCAGCACTAGTCACAATAGCCTAGATATACAATCAACCTAAATGTCCACAGCCAGGTGAATGGATATAGAAAATGTGGTATATGTACACAATAGAATACTATTGAGCCATTAAAATATGAAGCCCTGTCATTCACAGCAACATGGATGAGCCTGGAGGACATGATGTTAAGTGAAATAAGTCAGGTATGGAAAGACAAATACCATCCACTTTCACTCATATGTGGAAGCTAAAAAAAAAATGAGTTCATAGAAGTAGAGAATAGAATTCTGGTTATTAGAGGCTGTGAGGTAGCGGGGAAGAAAAGATAGGGAGAGATTGGTTGATGGGCATGGAATTACAGTTAAATAGAAATAATAAGTTCTAGTGACATAGTACTGTAGAGTAAATATGGTTCATAATAATTTATTATATATTTTCAATAGCTAGAAAACAGGATTTTGAATGTTTATGACAAAAAGAAATGATAAATATTTCAGTTGATGGATACTCTAATTACCCTGATTTTATCATTATCCATTGTGTGCATGTATAGAAATATTACTGTTTCTCCTACAAACATGTGCAACTATTATGTGTCAATAAAAAAGAAAAAATATATACTTTTTTTAGGAGTTACACTTTCAAGCTCTGAGATAATATTTTTCCATGTACTGTATCTTTTAGAATTTACAATAAGCCTAAGAGGTAGATAGAAACATTATCCCCAATGTATAGATGGGAAGGCTAAGTTACCATTAAAATGTTAATTGCCCATGTTCCTTTAGGGGCCATGTCTCCTATTTGAACCCAGACAAATCAATTCTAATATCCATGATTTTGGCCACATTGTCATGCCTGGCTCCCATGCTTCATTATTCTGCATTGAGGCAATTTTAAGAATGAGGAAAAAAAGAGATGACTAATGTAGGTATTCAGTGCCCAGTTTTTTCCATGAATGTGTTGCTCACAATAAACGTCTGTGGAACTTGCCTATGCAGCAAAAACTTAATTGAGTGGCTGCTGGGCAACCCAAGCCAGCTGCTGGGAAATTGTGCCCTTGTTTACAGAATCAAGTCCCTTTTTTATTCCTGTCAACAGTTTTGGGGATTTCTATATTCTAAGCTGATTCTGCATTTAATGTATAATTGCAATACAAGATTGAAAATTCTGTTTACAGTGTAATTCTAAAGTAGTTTACACTCTTGCATTATTGAAATGGCTTGCTTGAAACAGCTCACTACACCTAGAAAAGCCTTCTTAGCTAAGTAGGAGGACTTACAAGTCCATTCTTTACAAAATGCTACAGCCAGATGAAGTATATCCTGTTGCTGGCTGATTTTTTTTAAACTAAGAATTTATTTTAAACTTTTCCAGTTTAAGGCAATTATTCCTTCCTGTTCATTGGCATAATATCTTGGGGGTGCATTTATAAGTTTATTAATGAAAATCATTCATTGATTGAAGACAACGGTAGAAGGTAAAAGTATGTCATAAACTAGGAAGTTTTCCAAATGCAAGTTTTTATTATTATTCTTCAAAAACAATACCAATAGTTGGTGCTATTAAAATAATATTTACAATCTTTGCTGGGATAAATTTCCCAACTTTAAGATACACCTTGTGGACATTAATAATATGAATATTCTGTAGTCTTTGCTAGTTTCCTTTCTCCTTAAGATTAATTTCTATGAAAGAACATCGTTTTAGCCTTTGAATTTCAACTAACATTTCAAGGTAACCTAGGGTTTATAGGACACCATGCTAAGCACTCAAAAAAAAATGAAAAGTTATAAAACATGGTCCCTTCCCTTTAGATCACTAATGTATGCCAGGGAAGATTACCTGATGTATTTGAAAGAAGTAGAAAAAGTTCACTTCCAGCTCTAGTACTAGTGATATGACTTTCTATGTTATTTAACCTGAGACTCAGTTTATTAACCAATAAAGTGAGGTTCATAATATTTGTTTTGAAAATTTTTATGAGGCTTACATGAGATAATTTATGTAAAAGTCAGCACAATATCAAACAGAGTAGTGTTTATACATGCTAGGAATGTTTATGATGGTGAATAAACACACACACACACAAAAAAAAGAAAAGTAAATACCATACATTTTCAATGGCTATGACAAAACAAAAGCTAATTTCATGTTTGAGTATTTAAATATATTTATGCTTAAAAATATTAACCGTAAGCTTTAATATGTTTAACTTGCCAAAAAAAAACCCCAATAATATTCCTGAATAAAAAATCTGGCTGGGGTGTAAATCAATACCCCCAACTTTAATTTACTCAGTTAACCAGAAATTAACCTAATTGCATACCTGAGAGCTTGAGGAATGAAAATGGAAAAGAATAGGGTAGGTATTTTGCTATTCGCCAAGATGGAAAATCACAGGAAGTGGTAACCAATGGCCCTAGAAAAGAGGTTTGGTTTCAGAGAGCCTCCGACTTAGACTCTGATTCTTTTTAACTGTGTGATGGCAAATAATGAAACTTATTTCTTCCTCAGCTTTTTCATCTTAAAAAGGATATATTGTGTGTAAAATGGTTATCACATAACCTGCAAGAGAGTAATTGCTCAAGAAAAATGAAGTTATTATTCTTTTAGCTGTTTTTTAAAGTATGAATTGAATTAAGATTTGGTTTGCATTTCTGACCATGAAGCATCAGTACAAAGAAATTGTTGGGTCTAATATGTTGAGGAGCTCAGGTCACTGATAGATTGTTATAGAAAACTAGATTTGTTGCTAAAAAGGATGCTCTCATGAAATTACCCACAGAAGTAGTCAGGGAAGATTCCACACTGGAAAGAAGCTGCAGTTAATTTTCACACTGTGTTTCATGTCGCCATAAAAGTCACATGAATTACCCGTGGTCACTGTAAAATGCTAATAATAAGACCCAAGAATGTCCAGCAGTGAATGGAGCACAGATTTTCCATTGAGTAACACTACCCAGCTTCAGGAAGAGCTGAAGAAAAAGCCCGTATTTGCTCTCAAATTCCCCAGGGTAGGCCAGTATGTGGAAGTTAGAAGTTTCTTAATTGAGAAACTGTAAAATTGTAATTTTACAGTGTTATGTGTTCATATTGCATTGTGCCTTTTTCAGATAAATTTTGATTGACCTAGAAGGTTCTATCCAGAAATGTTTATTGCATATATATACACGTGCACACTCACATACACAGAAACACACATACACATATATATATTTAAATACAAATATATATATTTTAATATTTCAGATATTAAATTACAAACTCAACAATTTAATTTGTAAATTTGTGGTAGGCAGAATTCTAAGATGACCCATGATGATCCTCACCCTTATATAATCCCCTCCCAATGACTGTCGATGGGACCTGTGAGTATGATTAATTAGCCCTCCCATTATTATTTCACTTTATATGGCAAAGGGATTTTTCCGATATAATCAAGTTTCCCAGTCAGTTGAGTTAACTGAAAGGAAGATTATCCAGACAAGCCTGACCTAATCACATGAGCCCTTTAAATCTGGGTCTCGGGTCAGAAACAGAGAAGATCAGAGATTCAAAGCAGCAGAGATATTCTCTCGCTGGCTTTGAAGGAGTAACTGTCATGTTGTGGGGACAGCCACATGGCAAGGAATGGCAGCAGCCTCTAGAAACTAAGAATAACCCCTGACTGGAGGTAAGAATTCTGCCAAGAACCTAAATAAAATCGGAAGGGGAACCTGATCCTCAAACAAAATAGTAGCCCTAGCCAGCAGCTGATTTCAGCCATGCAGGTCCTGAGCAGAGATGCTAGTGAAACCATTGCAGACTTAATTTGCAGAAAATGTGAGATAGTAATTTTGTATTGTTTTAAGCCACTAAGATTTTAATAATATGTTACACAGCAATAGAAAATTAATGCAAAGCCTAAGACAAAGAACTGCAGATGTTCTATCTTGAACTTCATGTTTAAAGACATGAATAGGTTCAAATGTGCCACAACTGAGCATTTTTGTGCACATTGTACATTTTGAATTAGAACATAATGAATCTCTTATGCAGTTAATAAGCCAGGGCCTCAAAAATATGCATGAATGTGAAACAAGCTTAGCTGCTTCCCTGAAAAAAGCTAACATTTGAGTGGGTAAGAGAGACATGTTCAGGAATTAAACAATACAGGGAGTGAACAATGAAGGTAGGGCCCAAAAAGAGCTAAATATGTGCTAAGGATGCAGAGTTCCATTTTCCCAGCTCTTATTTGAAATATTGGCTTTACAGTATAGAAGAGAGGCTTTAAAATTCAATTCCACAGACATCAGGACTATTAGAAGCTCCTCTTCTGGGCTTTACTTTGATTACAGCAGAAATCAGTTATACCACATTTCAATTTAGAAAAAGTTTACAGTAGGGTTCCAAGTTTTGGGATTTTATCCAGTAAATTTATTATTGGTTTGAAATGTCAAAAGTAATTGATTGTTTCCCTCACCTTTCAGGGTCATATTGAAAGCTCAAATGCAACAGAATCTGATGCAACAGAAAAAAATATATATATATATATAATATATATATAATATTTAAAAAGCACTGCCATAGAAAAATAACTAAATGTTATAAGGAGTCATATGCAGAGGATGCTGCTCTAATGTCTGAAACTCCTTTTTCAACTCTCCTTATTTGCAGTGGACTTTAATTATGATGCCCATGAATGACAGGCATTCTTTTTTTTTTTTTTTTTTTTTTTTTTTGAGACGGAGTCTCGCTCTGGAATGACAGGCATTCTTGAAAGAAGGGTAGAAAATGGCAATAAAATCCAATCCTGCACTAATGGGAGCAATGCATATTTAACCTTCTCCCCAACACCATTAATTTCCAAATCCCGAAGTTGCAGTAACTTATGGTAATTACTCTATAGTTTAGTGCTGCTTTTGTCAGAGTAGTCCTTCCGACTTCCTTTACCAGGGTGAAAATAGAGAGATGCCAACAATCCTGCTTGAGAGTGTGCATTTAACAAGAATGAATTAAATTTTCATGCTTAGAAAGGAAACTAACAGCCATTCATTTGGAAATTCTCATTTCTAAGTAAGGTATGATTTGGAAGATGCAAATCTTTTTTTTAACCTGTTTGTGAAGACAAGGTCAAGAAGCCAGCTCATTAATTAATTATTTCATGGTTCCATCAATTTATACATAGAACATCTGCTGAGGGCCAACTATGCTGCTTGAGAACATAAATATGGCTAATAGATGTTTCCTGTCATAAAGGTTTCTCAATTAAGAGGAAGATAATTATATGCCCAAATTACTTAGACCCAAAGTGACAGGTGCTATAAGAGACTTGTGGCCATAGGAGAGGTATACCTAATTCAGGCTGGGAATAGAAAGGAGGGCTATTTTGTGTAGAAAGTGCTAAATAGGAGGTTTCCTAGTAACCTAGAAAACCCAGGTACAATTGTTAATATTGGAAGGAGATTATCAAATTATTCTACAAAGATTTCAAATATTTTAGCGTTTATGTATTAAAAATTAATGTGCTAAATTGTGCATCTTTCTAGTCTAGTCCTAAAGCAGGACTTACTGACTAGTCATCTTTTTAGTCAAATAGTTTATATAACTTGAAGCAAAAAAGTTATTTAAAATCATTCTCTAGTCTCCTTTTGTAACCTTGCTAGTGGAGACATTTTTCAAATTATTATTCAATATCTCTTACCATAAAATGTATGAAGGAACTCTTTTATTTTAATGCTACCAATGAGTTTATCAACAGATTAAGAGAGGAACTTCTCACTATCAGACACGGAGAAATATGTTACCCTTTTGCGTTGGTTACCCGGAAGCTTAAAGATACACTTTTATTAAAACTCAACTTGTTCTCATTACACGTAGAAAAATAACCTCATCACAACATAATTCTTTTTAATGGCACCAGACAATATCTGTGTTGTGTTAATTGCTTCAAATCTTCTGATGTAGGCAGAGCCTAATAACAAAAAAGTTGTATGTATATTCTCTTTAAATACATATCATATTTTATATATGTTTATATATGAATATATTATATAAATACAGTCAGCTCTCCACGTCCTCATGTTTGGAATCTGTGGATTCAACCGACCACATATCAAGAATATTTTTAAAATAATAATGTAACCATAAAAAACAATATAAACTTAAAAATATGGCATAACAACTATTTACACAGCATTTACATTGTATTAGGTATTATAAGAAATCTACAGATGACTGTATATTGTATATGCAAATATACCCTATATGCAAATGTTACATCATTTTACATAAGTGATTGCGCATCCTGAAATTTTGGTATTTACAGGGATCCTGGAACCAGTCCCTCATACATACTGTGGAACAATTGCATGTCTATGGGTGTGTGTATATATGTGTATAATTATATATAAAGTTACATGTGAAATTATGTATATAAATCTTATATAAATATATGTATATGTGTGTGTATATATATATTCTCTAAGACAGATAATTCAAATTAATAAAACTTGGCTTAAACACTTTAAAAGGTTTTAAGCCTCATCCCAAGACTGTTTTTGAAAAAATCTAGACGTTTTTATCAAATAAGTTTTTACTTAAATCCTCAAAAACATTCTTGTACCCATGTTTCTACTAATCTGCATAGCAAAGCCAAAGGATCCAAGATTTTCCACTTAGTGGATAAACGGATGGATGGATGGATGGATGGGATGATTGACTAATTGTTTTATTCATTTAGTAATTAATACAACAAATATTGACTATTTATTTTTACATTTAGAAAAATTAAAAATAATAGAGCCTCTGCCTTGCCTTTAAAGAGCTCCCTATATAGTGGAACAGGTAGATGTAGAAAGAGATAAAATGTAATTAACTATTTCAAATGCAAAATGGACAATATATAATGTGAGCACAGTAGGGGAAATATTAATAGTTACCAATTAATTCACTACTAGATGCCATAATAATAGTTATGATTTGATGCTTTACTTGAATTAATCTCATATAATCTATACAACAATCTCTGAAATTAGCTAAAGAAATTAAATTTATCTTTCTTTTCATTCTTAATATTGTTGATTTATAAATTTATTTTTGTCCATTTTAGTTATTTCATTTAGCATTTTTCTAAAGAACTAATTATAATGTTTGATTGTATTGTCTTCTGCTGTGCTTTTGCCTGTTTTTTAAATTCAACTTTCTGTTCATTATCTTTTTCTTCTATTTATTTAAACTTAATGTGCTGTTCTTGTACCTTTTTAGTTTAAAAGATTAGCGACTTGTTTACTTTTATTTATTTATTTATTTATTTATTTTGAGACGGAGTCTCGCTCTGTCGCCCAGGCTGGAGTGCAGTAGTGCGATCTCGGCTCACTGCAAGCTCCGCCTCCCGGGTTCGTGCCATTCTCCTGCCTCAGCCTCCCGAGTAGCTGGGACTACAGGCGCCGGCCACCACGCCCGGCTAATTTTTTTGTATTTTTACTAGAGACGGGGTTTCCCCGTGTTAGCTAGGATAGTCTTGATCTCCTGACCTCGTGATCCACCCACCTCAGCCTCCCAAAGTGCTGGGATTACAGGAGTGAGCCACCGCACCCGGCGCAACTTGTTTTGTAATATGTGAATTTAAGATTATATGCTTTTCTTATAAATATTGCTTTGGTTGCATTCCAAAATTTTTGTACAGAATGTATTTACTGTTTCAATGATCTAAATTTTTTATAATTTTCATTATATTTTGGGGACTATGAATTACTTAGTGTATGTGACATTTTTCTTTACATTTCTAAATATGTTTTTTTGAATTGATTTTCACTTGAATAGCATTTTTTTGGTCACAGCACTTAGTTAATAATAATATTGATTTTTTAGTTTGTCTTGAGACTTCCTTTTAGGAAGTCTCTAGGCTCTAATACATGATACATGTGTCACTACTAGACTCTAATACGTGATAAATTTTGAAAATGTTCCATGTGAACTTAAAACGTGTTTGTATAGATGATAATGTTCATGAGAAATATCTTTGTTCTATTCACAACTATAAAGTGCCTCAGATACACAAGGCTTTTAAAATATACATAACTCTAATAAATTCACTAATTGCTACATATATACATTTATTATGATATATTTTAAAAGTGTAAAGTTCATCAATACTTTTTCCTCCTGCCCCAAAAATATAAGCACCCAAAACTTTACTTACATTTTCCTGCTTTCATTTTATAGCTGCCTAGTACTTTAGTTCAACTTTCTATTTTTACTTTATATTTTTATTTATGTGTATATTTAATTTTCACTCTTATATTAAAGCCCAAGGCTCCAATTTTTATTTTATGCCTGTTTGTTTCTCATCACCAAATTGCACACAAATGTAAATCAATATATAACTACAGGGTGAGATTTATTTTGTTTTCACTATATAGTTTGTAGATTTATTTTATGACTATATGTGAATAAATCAAGTTTATATGCTAAATTTATGGACTTTTATTTTTATCCATTTTAAATCAACTTTTATGTTTCTTAAAAGAATCCATGCGGATAGTTTAAAAAGTTAAATAAACATAAGCTTATAAAAAATATAGCTGTTCCTCTCATTCTCCTACTATCACCTTTGGAAATTTACCTCCCATCCATTTCTTCTCTTATATACCTTTAAAATTGTGAGCGCATGCACACACACACACACTCATCTTTTAAATATTTAAATGTATTGATTGACACAGTACTATGAAATAAAAGGTAAAAATCTTTTACCTTTCTTATACTTTTCACTCTTCTTCTTTATCCTTTTCAATATGATTATACCATAATTATTAAATATAGTGTTTAAGTATTATGACTATAAATACTTTTGCTCATAAACCAATTTCCATTTTTTTAATGTCATTGATTATTTTTTGGCATTAATAACTTTTAACTTGCTTATACCTCTTGACAAATACCTTTATATCTTCCAATGATTCTGTAAAACACTTTCAATGCAATATTGCATGGTGCCAAAATTATCAGATAAAATAGTGGCTCAGCTAGGAAAAAAAACACCTCAATTGCTCTATTTCCCTGCTACAAAAGTGACCTTTTCTACCTTTATAGTTAAAGGATATTTTGGCTGGGCATTTGGATTCTAGGTTGAGAAATACTTTTCTATCCAAATGTTTAATATGTACCTATATTATCTTTAATTAGATATATAATTGCATTAAGAATTCAAACATGGCCAGGTGTGGTGGCTCACGCCTGTACTCTCAACACTTTGGGAGGCCAATGGGGGGTAGATAATCTGAGGTCAGGAGTCCGAGACCAGCCTGGCTAACATGGTGAAATGCTGTCTCTACCAAAAAATACAAAAATTAGCTGGGCATGGTGGCATGCACCTGTAATCTCAGCTACTTGGGAGGCTGAGGTGGGAGAATCACTTGAACCCGGGAGACGGAGGTTACAGTGAGCAAAGACGGTGCCACTGCACTGCAGCCTCAGTGACAAAGTGAGACCCTGTCTAAAAATAATAATAATAATAAAAGAATATAGACATCATTCTTTTTTTTGGTGGTGGGGGGAGTCCTGTGAATCTATAAAATATTCTTCCACTAATACAAATTTGTATTTTCTTTTCTTCTCAATCATCTTGGGTGACTCAATGGAGGTGAAGGGGTTATGGAAATATTTTGGTTAACTAAAATGTAAATAAACCCTGAGATAACAATGTAGAAAAAAATATCGTTTTAATTACTAATAAATTAGAAATAGGAGATTGTGGCTTAGGTGTATGAGTGGCAACAATTGGCTTCATAATATTAGACTTAATGATTAAACATATCTACATGCCTAGTCACAGGATGTGCTGGAAAAATGATGCAGCCACACCCATCCCTACTCGACAACTTTTAACATAGAGGAGCAGACGAAGAGACAGGGCTCCTGGTGACAGCTAATTTCCATAGAAAAAGGGAAGAGGAAGAGGTGATGCCATTGATGCCTACATACTACTCCCAATTATACATTCAGAATTTACTCTCCTTCCCTGAAAAGACCAGTAAATGAGGCAGAAGATAAAAACCTGAATGTCACATTAAATTTTGTCCTTAAATATGTGCATCAGGTTCCTAGGGCTGCTGCAACAGATTATCACAAAAATGATGATTTAAAACAAGAGAGATTTATTTTCTCACAGTTCTGGAGGCCAGAAGTCTGAAGTTGATGAGTTGGTAGGGCTACATTCCCTCTGGTATTGTTTGAAGATGTCCTCCAAAGTTCATGTCTTACAAACATGATCCCCAATGTAACAGGATTAAAAAGTGAGACATTTAAGAAGTGATTAGGCCATTAGGGTTCTGCTGTCATGAATAGATTAATACTCTCATCACAAGAATGATATTATCACAAGAAAGGAAAACTTTGTAACCCCTTGCCCCTTCTCCTTGTCTTTTTCTTCCTCTCACTTTATTTCTATTTCTCCCTCTCTAGCCATTCTGCCTTTCACCATAGGATGACACAGCAAGAAGGCTCTTACAGGATGCCAGTCCCCCAGTCTTAGAATTCTCAGCCTCCAGAACCACGAGCCAATAAATTTTTGTTCATTATAAGTTATCCAGTATCAGGTATTCTAGGTCAGGTACAGCGGCTCATGCCTGTAATCCCAGCACTTTGGGAAGCCAAGGCAGATCGATCACTTGAGTTCAGTCAGGTGAAATCCCATCTCTAATAAAAACACAAAAATTAGCTGAGCATGGTAACACATGCCTGTAATCTCAGCTACTCAGGAGGCTGAAGCAGGAGAATCACTTGAACCTGGGAGGCGGAGGTTGCAGTGGGCTGAGATCGCACCATTGCACTCCAGTCTGGGTGACAGAGCAAGACTCCATCTAAAAAAAAAAAAAAAAAAAAAAAAGAAAGAAAGAAAAAAGAAAAGAAAAGAAAAACCCCTTTTCTAGGAAAGCATTCGAGCCTGCTGCAGAAATTTGCGTAAGTAATAAGAAGCCAAATGTTACTTACTAAGACAATGGGGAAAATGTCTCCAGGGCATATGTGAGACCTTTGTGGCAGTTCCTCCCATCACAGGCCCAGAGGCCTAGGAGGAAAAAATGGTTTCTTGGGCCAGGTCCAGGGCGCCTCTGCATGTGCAGACTAGGGACTTGGTGCCCTGCATCCCAGCTGCTCCAGCCATGGCTAAAAGGCACCAAGGTACAGCTCAGGCCAGGGCTTCAGAAGGTGCAAGCCTCAAGTCTTGGCAGCTTCCACATGGTATTGGGCTTGCAGGTGCACAAAAGTCAAGAATTGAGGATTGGGAACCTCCATGTAGATTTCAGAGGATGTACAGTTGTTCAGGAAGAAGGTTGCTACAGGAGTTGGGCCCTCATGGAGAACCTCTGCTAGGGCAGTGTGGAAAGAAAATGTGGTGTTGGAGTCCCCACACAGAGTCCCCATGGGGCACTGCCTAATGGGGCTGTGACAAGAAGGCCACTGTCCTCCAGACCCCAGAGTAACAGATCCACCAACAGCTTGCCCCGTGCACCTGGAAAAGCCACAGACACTTAACATCAACAATGAAGGCAGCTGGGAGAGGAGCTGTACCCTTCAAAGCCACAGAGGCAGAATAGCCCAAGGCCATGGGAGAACCACCTCTTGCAACAGCATGCCCTGGATGTCAGCCATGGAGTCAAAGGAGATAATTGTGGATGTTTAAAGTTTAATAGCTGCCCTATTGGATTTCAAATTTGCATAAAGCCTGTAGCCCCTTCATTTTGGCCAATTTCTCCCAGTTAGAATGGGTGTATTTAGCCAATGCCTGCACATCCATTGTATCTAGGAAGTAACTAACTTGCTTTTGATTTTACAGGCTCAAAGGCAGAAAGGACTTGCCTTGTCTCAGATGGGACTTTGGACTTGGACTTTTGAGTTAATGCTGAAAGAAGATAATACTTTGGGGGACTGTTGGAAGGGCATGATCGTGTTTTGAATTGTGAGGATATGAGATTTGTGAGGGACCAGGGGCAGAATATGATTTGGGTGTATCCCCCTCCAAATCTCATCTTGAACTGTAGTTCCCATAATCCCCATGTGTTGTGGGAGGGACACTGTGGGAGGTAATTGAATCATAGGGGTGGTTACCTCTATGCTGTTCTCATGATAGTGAGTGAGTTCTCACAAGAGCTGATTTTGTAAGGGGTGCTTATGTTTTATAAGCGGTGCTTTCCCCTCTTCGTTCTGCACTTCTCCTTACTGCTGCCATGTGAAGAAGGACACATTTACTTCCCCTTTCAGCACAATTGTAAGTTTCCTAAGGCCTTCCCATCCATTCTGAACTGTGAGTCAATTAAACCATTTCTCTTCATAAATTACCCAGTCTCCAATATGTCTGACCCAAGTGTACTCTTATCTGCCAGCCTCTTACAGAGTTTCTGCCTGGCCACATCTGCTTGCAGCACAGCTTCATATGCCCAACTAGGGTCCATCTCAGCAGACACTACCATAGCTCTTTCATCAGCAGCCCTCATTTAACCATCAAAACCTTTTGCAGAGGGGCCTCTGCCAGTGTCCACCTACCCACAGCCTCATTTTATTACTTAGCTGGCATGCACACATGCTGCAGACCCCACCATGCCACTACCCTACCACCAACCCACCTCTGCCAGCAAGCACACACAGATGAGGATCCAGCTGCCCTGGTGCCACAGGTACATGTGAGTGACTGTGGACCATAATACCACTGGCCCACTGAAGCAAGTTTTCTGGCACTCCCCGTCAAAACATTGTTGCCAGTGGACTAGGAACACCTTGGGTTCTCCAGTGTAGCAGCTGCCTAACCTTGAAGGGCCAGAGGACAAAGCTGTGAGCTTAGTCCCAGCCACCCAGTGATAAAGTACACAGCCCAGAAGTGCTAAGCTGAGCCTTGACCCTTGAAATCATCCAGAAAAAAAGCCAGTCAACTAAACCTAACTTATACCACAGCCAAACACTCAAGAGCATTGAAGAATACAAAGGCAAAAAGTCCTATCCAAAGGACAGCAACTTCAAGGATTAATGGAACAACAACCCACACAGAATGCAAAAGAAACAGCATAAAAACTCTGGCAACTCTAAATGCCCGAGTGTCTTCTTGCCTCCAAATGGCAACACTAGATACTCAACAATGACTCTTAATCAGGCTGAAATGTCTGAAATGACAGACATAGAATTCAAAATCTTGATGCCAATGGAGATCATTGAGATTCAGAGAAAGTTTAAACCCAATCCAAGGAATCTAAGGAATCAACTAAAATGATTCAAGAGCTGAAAGACAAACTAGACATTTTAAGAAAAAAAAAAAAAAAGTAGAGTTGATAGAGCTGAAAAACTCACTGCAAGAAACAACTGGAAGTATTAACAGCAGAATAGACATAGCTGAGGAAAGAATCTCAGAGCTTGAAGACTGGTTTTTCAAATGAACTCAGTCAAAAAAAAAAGATAAAGAATATTTAAAAATATACAAAACCTCACAGAAATACAAAATTATGTCAAGTGACCATACCTATGACTTATTGGCATCCATGAAAGAGAGGGAGAGAGAGAGGGCAACTTGGAAAACATGCTTGAGGATAGTCTCCACCCAACCTCACTAGAGAGGTTGACATTAAAATTCAAGAAATGCAGAGAACTCCTGTGAGACGCTAGAAAAGATGACAATCCCAAATCATAGCCATCAGATTTTCTGACATTAATGTAAAAAATATATATAGTAAAGGCCACTAGAGATAAGGGGCAGGTCATATACAAAGACAACTCCATCGGACTGACAGCACACCTTTCAGCAGCCAAATTGTACAATCCAGAAAAGACTGGGGGCCTCTATTCAGCATTCTTAAATAAAGAAATTCCAACCAAGAATTTTATATGTAGCCAAACTAAGCTTTATATACATAGGAGAAATAAAATCCTTTTCAGACAAGCCAATGCTAAAGGAATTTGTTACCAGACCTGCTTTATGAGAGGACCTTATGGGAGTGCAAAACATGGAAATGAAAGACAGTTACTGGCTACCACAAAAACACACTTAAGTATATAAATTATTGACACTTTAAAGCAACTACACAATCAAGTCTAGATAATAACTGGTGAACAACATAATGACAGGATTAAATTAGTATCTATGTATCTACCTATCTAGACAGGGTCTCAGGGTTGCACAGGCTAGATTGCAGTGGTGCAATTTTGGCTCACTGCAACCTCCACCTCCTGTGCTCAAATGTTTCTCATGCCTCAGCCTCCTGAGTAGCTGGGATCACAGGCATGCGCCACTATGCCTGACTAATTTTTGTGTTTTGGGTAGAAATGGGGTTTTGCCATGTTGGCCAGGCTGGCCTTGAACTCATGGCCTGAAGTGATCCACCTACATTGGCCTCCTAAAGTGCTAGGATTACAGACATGAGCCATCATGCCTAGCCTCACACAAATCAATATTAATCTTGAATGCAAACAGCATAAATGCCATCACATAAAAGGTGCAGGGTGGCAAGTTGGATAAAGACACAAGATCCAGCTTTAGGCTGTCTTTAAGAGATCTATCTCACATGCAGTGATGCACCATGGGCTCAGAGTACAGGGATAAAGAAAGATCTGTGAAGCAAATGGAAAACAAAAAATAGTGGGAATTGCTATTCTTATTTCAGACAAAACAGACCTTAAAGCAACAATAATCAAAAAGAACAAAGAAGGGCATTATATAATGATAAAGGGTTCAATTCAATAAGAAAATATATTTGCATCCATCACTAGAGCACCCAGATTCATAAATCAAGTTCTTAGAGACTTACAAAGAAATTTAGATAATCACACAATAATAGTGGGAGACATCAATACCCTATTGGCTATATTAGACAGATTTTTTTATTTTTATTTTTTTTTTTTTGAGACACAGTCTCTCTCTGTTGCCCAGGAGTGCAGTGGCGCAATCTCAGCTCACTGCAAGCTCCACCTCCTGGGTTCACGCCATTCTCCTGCCTCAGCTTCCCGAGTAGCTGGGACTACAGGTGCCCACCGCCACACCCAGCTAATTTTTTGTATTTTTAGTAGAGATGGGGCTTCACTGTATTAGCCAGGATATTAGACAGATTATTGAGGAAGAAGACTAACAAAGATATTCGAGACCTAAACTTGACACATGGCCAAGTGGACCTAACACACATCTGTAGAGCGCTCCACCCAACAACAACAAAATATACATTCTTCTCATCCACACAGGGTACATACTCCAATATTAACTACATGCTCGACCATAAAGCAATTCTGACCAATATCCCTGATGAACATTGATGCAAAAATCCTCAGCAAAATACTAGTAAATCAAATTGAGCAGCACATCAAAAAGCTAATTCACCTGATTGATATGGTTTGGCTGTGTCTCCACCCAAATCTTATTTTGAATTGTAGCTTCCATAATCCCCACATGTCACGGGAGGGACCAAATGGGAGGTAATTGAATCATGGGGATGGGCTTTTCCAGTTCTGTTCCCATGATAGTAAGTCTCATGAGATCAAATAGTTTTATAAAAGGCAGTTCCCCTGCACACACTCTCTTTCCTGCCACCATGTAGGACATGCCTTTGCTCCTCCTTCACCTTCTGCCATGATTGTGAGACCTCCCCAGCCATGTGGAACTGTGAGTCCATTAAACGCCTTTTTCTTTATAAATTATGCAGTCTCAGGTATGTCTTTATTAGCAATATGAGAACCGACTAATACAATGATCAAGTAAGCTTTATTCCTGGAATGCAAGGTTAGTACAACATACACAGACCAACAAGTGTGATTTATGATATAAGCACAATTAAAAAAAACACATAATTATCTCAATAGATACAGAAAAGTCTTTCAATAAAATTCAATATTCTTTCATGTTAAAAATCTTCAAGAAATGTGGCATACAAGGAACATTCCCAAAATAAGAACCATCTATGAAAAACTCACATCCAACATCAAACTGAAAAAACAAAAGCTGAAAGCATTCCGCTTGAGAACCAGAACAACACAAGGATACCCACTCTCACCACTCCTATTCAACATTGTTCTGGAAGTCCTAGCCAAAGCAATCAAGCAAGAGAAAGAAACAAAAGGCATCCAGATAGAAACAGATCATTAAACTATCTCTCTTTGCAGATGATATGATTCTATACCTAGAAAACACCATAGTCTCTACTCAAAGGCTCCTAGATCTGATAAACTTCAGCAAGGTTTCAGGATGCTAAATCAATGCACAAAAATCAGTATTATTTCTACATACCAATAATGTCCAAGCTAAGAGTCAAATAAAACATGCGATTGCATTCACAATAGCCACACACACACAAACCTAGGAATACAACTAACTAGGGAGGTAAAAGATATTTACAACAAGCATTACAAAACACTAGTAAAAGAAATCAGAGATGACACAAACAAGTGGAAAAAACATTTCATATTCTTGGATAGACTCAATATTATTAAAATGCCCATACTGCCCAAAGCAATTTACAGTTTGAATGCTGTTTGTATCAAACTACCAATGTTGTTTTTCACAATTAAAGAAAACTCTTCTAAAATTAATATGGAATCAAAAAAGAGATGGATAGCCAAAGCAATCCTAAGCAAAAAGAACAAAGCCAGAGGCATCACACTATCTGACATCAAACTAGACTACAAGGCTACAGTAACAAAAACCACATGATACTGATACAAATACAGGCACATAGACCAAAAAACAGATTACAGAACCCAGAAATAAAGCTGCACATGTACAACCACTTGATCTTCAACAAAGTCAACAATAATAAGTAATGGGGGAAGAACTCTTTATTCAATAAAGTGTGTTGGGATAACTGGCTAGCCATATGCAGAAGATTGAAACTGGATGCTTACCTTTCACCATATACAAAAATCAACTTACAATAAATTAAAGACTTAAATGTAAGACCTAAAACTATAAAAACCCTGGAAGAAGACCTAGAAAATATCATTTTGAACATAAGCCCAAGCAAAGATTTCATGATGAAGACTCCAAAAGCAACTGCAACAAAAACAAAAATTGACAAGTGGGACCTAATTAAACTAAGGAGCTTCTCCACAGAAACAGAAACTATCAACAGACTGAACAGATAACCTACAGAATGGGAGAAGATATCTGTGAACTGTGCATTCAACAAGAGTTTAATATCCAAAATCTATAAGGAAATTGAACAACCAACAAGCAGAAAACAAACAACTCCATTAAAAATGCACAAAGGACATGAACAGATGCTTCTCAAAAGAAGACATACACATGGCCAGCAAGCATAGAAAAAAGTGCTCAATGTCACTAATCATTAGAGAAATGCAAATCAAAACCACAATGAGATCTCACAACAGTCAGAATGACTGTTATTAAAAAGTCAAAAAATAACATATGCTGGCAAGATTCTGGAGAAAAGGGAATGTTGATACACTGCTGGTGGGAATGTAAATTAGTTCAGCCACTGTGGAAAGCAGTTTGGAGATTTCTCAAAGAACTTAAAACAGAACTGCCATTTGACCCAGCTATCCCATTACTGAATATATACCCAAAGACACATGTACTCATATATTCACTGAAGCACTATTTACAATACCAAAAACATGGAATCAATCTAGATGCCCATCAATGATGCACTGGATAAAGAAAATGCAGTGGATATACACCATGGAACACTATGCAGCCATTAAAAAAAGAATGAAATCATGTCTTTGCAGCAACATGGAGTTGGAGGGCATTTATTCTAAGGAATTAACACAGGAACAGATAATCAAACACTGCATGTTCTCACTTATAAGTGGGAGCTAAACATTGAGTACACAGAAACAAACAAAAAAACGAGAGACGCTGGGGCCTACTTGAGGGTGGGGCATCAGAGGAGACTGAAGATAAAAAAACTACCTATCAGGTACTATGCTTACCACCTAGGTAACAAAATAATTTGTATACCAAACTCCAATGACACACAATTCACCCACGTAATAAACCTGCAAATGTACCCCCAAACTTAAATTAAAAACTGAAAGGGAAAAAAATACAAGGAGGTGGTAAGTCGTAGTTCCATATGGGCACAGGGCAAAATCAGAGGTTATTCATGCAGATGCAGGACCCACAGATTTATCAATCAATGAAACTTATGCCTAACAAAAGGAGTACAAAGTTTTGATTTCACAAATCTTGTCAACAAAAATGGAATTTGTTACTGGCCTTTCAATTTTGTACAAGGCTAAAATGGAAGTTGTTTAAGTCAGCTTAACACTCGGAGTTCGGCTTTTTAGCAAGAGTCTTGCCGATAACTTAAAATCTCTCTTGTATCCCTTTAAAATTCCATCCCCTGTCTGTGAACCCACTATCCACTTTTTCTGTGTCTGTATGTAAGTGATACTAGAAAAATCTGCTTAACATTGCACCTTATTATCATTATATTTCCATGATCACCAATAGCAAACACACCTTCAACACTCCTGGTGAAACTGGCCAGCCTAGTTTTTTTCCTCATTGAAATAACTTTTTTGAATTATTTCTTCTCAAACCTTTACCTTTCCCAAGTTGCTAACCTCAGCAGATGTCCTTACCGGCTTCATGGAGAAAATAAAAGTCATCAGATAAGACCTCCTTCTGAAAGATGACAGCGTGCTCTCAGTCCTCACAGCCCTCGCTCGCTCTCGGCGCCTCCTCTGCCTGGGCTCCCACTTTGGCGGCACTTGAGGAGCCCTTCAGCCCGCCGCTGCACTCTGGGAACCCCTTTCTGGGCTGGCCAAAGCCGGAGCCGGCTCCCTCAGCTTGCGAGGAGGTGTGGAGGGAAAGGCGCGGGCGGGAACCCGGGCTGCGGGCGGGAACCCGGGCTGCGCGCGGCGCTTGCGGGGCAGCTGGAGTTCCGGGTGGGCGTGGGCTTGGCGGGCCCCGCACTCAGAGCGGCAGGGAGCCCCTGCCGGCCCCGGGCAGTGAGGGGTTTAACGCCTGGGCCAGCAGCTGCTGTGCTCAATTTCTCGCCGGGCCTTGGCTGCCTTCCCGCAGGGCAGGGCTCGGGACCTGCAGCCCGCCATGCCTGAACCTCCCCACACGCCGTGGGCTCTTGTGCTGCCCGAGCCTCCCCGACGAGCACCGCCCCCTGCTCCACGGCGCCCAGTCCCATGGACCACCCAAGGGCTGAGGGGTGTGGTCGCACGGCGCGGGACTGGCAGGCAGCTCCACCTGCAGCCCCCGTGCGGGATCCATTGGGTGAAGCCAGCTGGGCTGCTGAGTCTGGTGGGGCCGTGGGGAACCTTTATGTCCACACTCTGTATGTAGCTCCTCTGGTGGGGACGTGGATAACCTTTGTGTCTAGCTCAGGGATTGTAAAGGCACCAATCAACGCCCTGTCAAAATAGACCACTCGGCTCTACCAATCAACAGGATGTGGGTGGGGCCAGATAAGAGAATAAAAGCAGGCTGCCCGAGCCAGCAGTGGCAACCCGCTCGGTCCTCTTACACACTGTGGTAGCTTTGTTCTTTTGCTCTTTGCAATAAATCTTGCTACTGCTCACTCTTTGGGTCCACACTGCCTTTATGAGCTGTAACACTCACCGGGAAGGTCTGCAGCTTCACTCCGGAAGCCAGCGAGACCAGGAGCCCACCGGAAGGAACAAACAACTCCAGACGCCCCGCCTTGAGAGCTGTAACACTCACCCTGAAGGTCTGCGGCTTCACTCCTGAGCCAGCGAGACCACGAACCCACCAGAAGGAAGAAACTGAACACATCTGAACATCAGAAGGAACAAACTCCGGACACGCCGCCTTTAAGAACGGTAACACTCACCGCGAGGGTCCGAGGCTTCATTCTTGAAGTCAGTGAGACCACGAACCCACCAATTCCGGACACTCTTCTATTTCTTGCTGTCACAAATTTCAACTTAGTTACTTTGAAACCCAGTATTTCCTTAGTATCTCCTGTTAAAATACAGCCTATCTTTTTTCTTTCCATTTTCACCCTTCTTGGGAGCCTGTCTCCTCTTAACATTTTCTGAATATTTGCAGTATCAATTATTCATCATTAGGAAAAAATTACCATTTGAAATGAGTTGAAGTATGTGGGTTGCAGTGTTGACAATTTGGAAATAGCAAGCATAGACAACTTTTGGCTCTCACATGGAATATAGACAGAGACTATGAGGAAAGCATGCTTGCTTCTTAACCACTTCAACAGCACGTAACACACATCACTTTTGTCTATATTTCTTGGCAAAAACTTGATGCATGGGGTTGGAATTTCTTAGAAATAATTTTATATTATAGAAAGATAAAGTAAAAATTGTTGGTGGGGAGCCAGCTGGCCATTTCTCCCATGCTAGATATCTAGTTTCATAAGCCAGAGACTTAGAAAATCACATTTGATACTCCCTTCACCCTAATCTCTCACATCAAATTGTTTGCCATTTCCCTCAGTTTTAGCTCTTACACATACACTCATACACTCCCAATCTTGATTTTGGTCTTAGGTAATGTGCCTTCCCATGAGGGATATTCCAACAGACTCCTAATCTGTCTAGCCATATTCATTCTCATGGCCCCTGTCCATTTACCATTTGCAACCAGAGGGATCTTTAAAAAAATGCAAATCTTAATTGCGTTTCTTCTCATTGATTCTCATTGATGGACTTCTACCATCTAACACTGACTTTCCCAAAACTTTTATTGGCTATTGGGATAAGACCCAGCCTGCATAACATCATCTGTAAGAATTTGCATGGTCTGGACCTTGCCTACTTTTACAGTCTCACCTCTTTCATTCTCTCATTTTCTGTTATAGGTGCACTAAACTTTTTTTCAGTTCCTAGGGTAGGTGATGGTCTGCCCTTCCAGAGAGTATTATGACTGGAAAAGTCTCTACTCCCTTTACCTAGTGAATTATTTCCTCGACAGACCACACTTCCCCAGAGCTGGGGGCGGGGGGGCATTCTCAAAACTTCTGATCAACTAAAACCTTCCAAATTTGTACTTTCATTGTACCACGTAACTTTCCTACATTTGTTAATATCTTAGTTTTATGTTAAACATATCTTCATTCAATTTTTCTGTTAAGGTCTGTCTCCTCACACTAAACCTAAGCTTCATGTGGACAAGAACTGTCATTGTATTTTTCACCTTTGTATCATCAATGCCTAGAAAAATGCCTAAAAATTATTGCTGAAAAGTTATGACTAGTCTTAGGATCAGCAATGACTTCATTTTATGCCACAGTTAAGAGCCATAATTTGGTTTATCATTTCTCCATTGACAGTGTAGTTTGAGTACCTAATGTATATATAAAAAAAATGCCCTACTGGTAGGCAATACAGGTTTTAAGATTCATGGAAAAGATTGTAACCTTGCCTCCATGCCATTCAAATATTTTAATGTTAGAGGGATTTACCTTTTACTCACAATAATTAATTCATTAATTTATTTATCCATCTGAAAATATGTATTTAGCCCTCACTAACTGTAAAACATCTTGCCAAGCACTGAATTAAATTTGTCTATGCTTTCCAGATGGACTATCTCTGGTGCTTTAATTTTGCAAAGAGTTTCTATCATCACCCTTGTTACCCATTTCATAGGGCCTGCCTTAAACCAGTACATTAAATGTTCATTTCATGCTTGCCTCACAGAAGCCCAGATAAACGTTTGGAATTGCAATGGTGTAATTATCTTTGATTAGTGACTGAACTAACTAACACCCCTCCATGCCCATCCTTTATTTTAAACAACAGAAAAATAAGTAGATGTTGATATTAGGCACTAATGTAGAGCATTCATGCATAACTACAATTCTACTCATGAATATGCATAGGTTATACGTTATTTGTTATTCTCAAGAGTGTGGAATGTACCTCAACCAGTGCTACACTCATTTAGGGTTAGAAAATAGACGGGGATAAGGAAAGCAATTCTGGGGAAAATACTGGGTCGGAGCCAAGCACTCTTGCTTTTGCTTCATATGGAAGTGGTCCCTCAGTCTTTCATCACATAAATTGAGGCTGCTGATTTAAGATTCCAACAGAAGAGCTATAGCAATTGTTAGTAGCAGCTTGGAATAATGCTGATGTTAGGATTATAAAACAACGACATTTGGAAGCAACACAGTTCAATGGAAAGGTTCTGGTTTCAGGCAGCCCTGACTTTAAATTCTGCTTCTGTTGCTTTCTAGCTGTGTTAACTTAGATAGATAATTAG
This sequence comes from Homo sapiens, assembly GCF_000001405.40. NCBI lineage: Eukaryota > Metazoa > Chordata > Mammalia > Primates > Hominidae > Homo > Homo sapiens. The sequence continues at coordinate 21,750,107 of NC_000011.10, read as the reverse complement.
CCTCTTTAAGCTTCAACATCTTCAACTACAAAGCAGAAATAACAATGGCATTTCTTAGAATGTTTATCTGAATTAAAAGAATAAATATGTAATTTTAAAATGCTAGTAAGTAGACAGGTTGTGTTTTTGAAATGAAATTTAAATCAATCATGTTGATGACATTTCGTCTTTTTAAATAATCTTGTAAATTATTTAAAAAATATATGTCATTTAAAAACTTCACTTTACTGAAATTATTTTAATTATCTCTGAGTCAACTGGCTAAACTTCTACCTGTTATCTGAATGGTAATACATTCTGGCCTCTTATCTTCTATGAGAACCAAATTATTCTCTCTTGTTTATAGATTACTCTATGTGCATATTAAGCTCACATCACTCTTCCTGAGAAAAGTTGATAACCCAATTACCTAGTGAAGTATAACACCATCCTTTGCTCCATTCGCTGTGTTCCCACCCACACTGACAACAACTGATAGGACCAGTAGAAAACACCTAACTTAGCGTGGACAGAAACAATACAGGACACCCAGTTAAATTTGAATTTCAGGTAAAGAATGTATAATTTTTTTACTAAATATATCCCAAATTTTGCATAGGATACACATATATTTATTCGCTATATCTGTCAAGTCCAACCTAACGCGAAATGGAACAGTCAGATTTTCTTCCCTATGAATATGAAATTAGAACATAAGCAAAGCCCCATGACACAAGTTTACCTTTGTAACAAACCTGCACTTTTACCCCTGAACTTAAAATGTAAAACAAAACAAAGCAAAACTCTAGTTAGTCCACAATGAATGCTGGAATTGGTGGATCACATAGATCAGCCTTTGTTCAATCAGATATAGAGAAAGCTGGTCTGCAAAGAGAAAGAAGAAATAACACAGACGTCAGAGGTGCAGAAATCAGAGACCCCATGGCCACAGAGAGATGGAGAGAGTAATCCGAGTTTATAACCTATTTTCATGATTCCTTTCATTCTGAATACAGACTATACATTTTCTACTATTGCTTTTTATGTAATCCCTCTGTATCCAATGAATTTCCTTTTTTGATTAAGCTACTGTGAATATAATTTTGCATCTTGCAAGAATGTTTCTAATCAGTTTTCACTCACCAACTATGCTTCACTTCACCACATCCAGTGTGGTTCTGAAGACCCAGTATCAGAAAATGTTTATCATCTAGCGTGAAAGATTGCTTACCTGTAGGTTCATGCACTTACCTGTGTAGAGCAAATAGAATGAAAATTATGATTGTTGAGAATTAGTGAAATCCTATATATTCCACATTTAAATATTTTTAAATGTTTTGGAGTTTGAGAGACAAAGCAAAAAAAAAAAGACATTATTTGGGGAGAAGTTGAAATCCCTGGTTTTCTTTGTAAAGCATTTGATCATGGGGGTATGATTTCTTCTGAGTTTTATTATCAGATAAATGTATTTAAATATCAGTGAGAAACTCAGTAGATTTCAGCCAAACTAGCCTTTCAGTTTTTTGTCAAATTGCTTTTGAGTTCAGTTCAGTTCCTAGTTATTTCCTGGTTTGGGTCTTTATAATCGCTGTTCTGCATTTTGTTAGGTCTTTCTAGCACATAATGATCAAATCTGATAACTTTAGCTGTTGCTAGTTTAAGAAACAGTTATTGTCCATGTCCTTCTCTATTTTTTTCCTTTCCAATATTATATTGCATTTTGCTCTAATTGTTTTCCTATTTCAAGAAATTGAGATTAGTACTTATATCAATATGGAGAATATTCATAAGATAAAAAGATCTATTGCTATTCACTGTATTTTTTATTTTGAATAAAAATCAAAACATTTGTTAAGCGCAGATAGATTGAATAGGAATAAAGGATGATGTACGAAAGTAAATTGAAATACCAATGATAACATTACCTTATATTTTATTTATTTATTCACTTTAAACATGTTACTTTGAATCCTTTAATAATTAAAATATATTATTTGCTAGGCGTACACTTTCATGTTAAAAGTTAAAAAGTCACACATAAGAAACTTTCTGTGTTAAAATAGCAGATGGTCTAGTAATGCAGACAAGCAAGTAAATGCATAATTTAGGGTTGGCTAAGAAAGGAATGATCAAAAAGGTAATTCTTCAGCTGCCTGTACAAATGAAAAGAGTAAACAGATAAGGAAGGGAATAAGAAAGGATCTTATAAGCAGAGAAAACAGTGCTTTCAAATTCTTGGAAGTATGAGAGAATATAGAAGAGTTTGGAAACTAAAAATAGATTGATACGTTAAGATGAAAATATTCATTGATTTATTCATTCAACAACATATCTTAGGAGAGAAGGAAGAAGGCCAGAGTGGAAGCAGAAGTCCAGATCAAAAGCATCTTTATATACCATGATAAGAAGTTTGAAATCTCTTCTTTAGGGAAAAAGTTTTCAACAGGAGAGCTATGATCAGAGTTACATTCTAATAAGATCACTCAGGTAGTGGATGAGAGAGTTTTTAAGAAGGAAGAGACTTGTTGTAGGGAATCTATTTCAGTGAAACAGGCAAATGTGATGTCTGCCTAAAATAAAACAATGATGAGGGTTAGCAGTTTGTGTGTGTGCTGAAGGGTAGATTTGAGTATTTAGGAAATAGAATGAACAAGTCTTAGTGATTTATTATTAGCAGCAGAAAAGAGAGAGAATATAGTCTGTCATGACTCCCAAAGTTCTGACTTAGATAACTGGATGGGTGTTGAGACACTTCACTTTCTCTCTCTCTCTCTACTTCTTACTCTCTATCTCTGTCCTTCTTTTTAATGAAAGAGATCATAACTCTGGAGTACTGTATAAGTACATTTTAGATAATGCATAATCAATTTATCATTTAAACAGTATAAAGGACTGGTTATTAACTGTGCTATTATTTTCTTTCTCCTTGTTGTCCCTTTCTCTCTGTTTTTCTTTATTTATTTTCAATTTTACCAACCTCCCTCATTTCTTTACTTTTTTTCTTTTTCTTTTATAGACAACATTATCAGACTCTTCACATCATCATCCACTCTTCCAAAGAATAGCTGATTTGAATAACTGGGGAGAACAAATAATATATGTGCTTGTAAACCCCAAAGGTTATGAGAACCTCATGGAAAACTCTTAGCTGATTCAGTGTGATCTCCTTTCCTCTCTTGTCTCGTGAAAGAAGATAATATATGCTTCAGTGAAGTGCAGAGGAAAGAGGAGAGAAGAGAAATATTCACATTCTGGGTTTAATGAGAATGAATCTTTTGCTTTCCCAGCAACTCTCAGGATGGATCCCACCTCACTAATTTAAAGCCTGAGGCAAGATCATGATAGTAGGAAAAAATATCACTGTGCCTTACTGACATGATATTATCCTTTAAAGGAATATATTCAAAATACTTAAAATCTGCTAATTCTGAAAGAATAGGTCATAGAGACTTGAACTCACTTTTCCCTTTCTTTCTCCCTGTTCAAGGCCTCAAGCTACTGTGGAAAAACCATATCGCATTCAAAAGTGTCTTTCAACTATAAAAAGAATACCCCAGAGAATCTTCTCCAAAAACATTTCTTCCAGCTGTCTGTGGGGCCTTGTGAAATCAAAGGTAACTTTTAGCTCATGAGTCGGCAAACAAAACTTTGAAATTCATATATCCTTTTCCAGTGGGTTGGTTTGGGAAAATTTATGGTTTTCCTGCCCTTGGGATAATCCTAGCCCTGAAAATATTCTGTATCATAGTGGAGAAGATAAAGAAAGAAAAGAATAGTGAAAGGGATCACATGTTGTTAACACCTTTTGTAAGCCATGCCCTCTTGTGCTTTCACTTTTAAATACATCATCTCATGAAATATTTATGCTTACACTGCCATGTAGGTTATACTAGCTCTAGTTTAAAATGGAGTAATCTGAGTGTTTGAGAGTCAAATTTAGTCATCAATGGTTAACTCATCTTGTTAGTGACAGGGCCAAAATTCAAACCTAGCTGTAGATGCTTCTGAACTGTGGTGACTTCCCATGTTTCTGTGCTGAAGAGTTAATACTCTATCTAAAGAAAATATGATCAAGTAAGTGGATCTGTGCAACTCATAGCAAGCCTCAATTGAAGGAACTACTGAAAATATGGGGAAAAACGTGCAAAAAAATACATTTTTCTGTTTAGCTCATGAGACAACATTTTTGTGGAAGGCGAAAGATAAGTTGTTAACAATAGGGCAAAGTCTTGTTGAACAGCAAAAATTATAAACTGCTTTAAATTTTTTGTCAAAAATGTTTACAACTTTGGTGTTAGGAGATTTGAGAATGTTTTGGAATTAACAAATTCAGCCTGGAAGATTTGACTTTCTCTGTGTCTAGCAGCTAAATATTTTTACTCCTGTAGAAAGATAATTACCTTTAAAACCATTGAAAATGAATCAGTGATGTGCTGGTGAGTGTTTAACAACAAACTCTATAGGGAAAATAAAAAAAGAGCACCCTGATTTGTAGCACTTACCCATTTCCATAGTTAAAATATGCTTACCATGGCTAAGTTCAAGCTATCAACATACTATTACTAAACATGGAGATACAAAGGGATGCATTATTTATATATTATTTCCGTATAAATAAAGGAGTATAGATACTAAGATGCTATAAATGCTTAGGAAGTGATAAATTCTGAGTATTTATGAACTTTGTTTTTAATGCAATTTTTGTGTTATATAATTTAATTTTTAATAATGGCCATGCTTACAAATTTGCTTTCAAAACTTCTGAAAATTTATGCTGGGCACGGTGGCTCACGCCTGTAATCCCAGCACTTTGAGAGGCCGAGCGGGGCGGATCATGAGGTCAGGAGATCGAGACCATCCTGGCTAACACAGTGAAACCCTGTCTCTACTAAAAATACAAAAAAATTAGCCGGGCATGGTGGCGGGCACCTGTAGTCCCAGCTACTCGGGAGGCTGAGGCAGGAGAATGGCATGAACCTGGGAGGTGGAGGTTGCAGTGAGCCAAGATTGCGCCACTGCACTCCAGCCTGGGCAACAGAGCGAGACTCCATCTCAAAAAAAAAAAAAAAAAAAAAAAAAAACTTCTGAAAATTTAACAATTAGTTCTCACAAGCTGGCACAAAACCTCTCCAGCACCACGCTTGATACCTTCATTCTACTTTTGGCTTCTCTGAGTTCACTTCCTCTCAGTTTGTTCACATCAATGTTACATGCTATTGATCTGTCTGCTTTGAGTACATCAAGATTGATTTGGACAGTGTCCCATTCTTTCATTGTCCCGAGTGATAGATAAGTTTGAAAATTCTCTAATAGACTAACTATATGAAAGACATTCATATGTTTACATTCATAAGAATAATTTCTTAATTAAAATTAATGGAAGGCTAGTGATAGAAATTTTAGGGATCATAGCAGAACAGTATGTAAATATTTTAGGCTGATGCAATTTCTTAGTAACCTGAAAACTACAATGACCACTTGGTCCTGAATCCAGAATCCAGATATCCTAATGCCATTGTCATATGACAGTCAAGTCATCCAATTTTTCTTCTGACATAAAACCAGATCTGAATTTATAATAGTCCAAACTCAATACTTATGATGATCGTACTGGGATTTCTTAAGTAAAGTGGTCTTTTAATAGATATATTATTTATTTGATTGAACTGATAAACTGAAAATGTCATCAAGGCTTTAAACATATAAAAGGTCTAATCTTAGATCTAGAAGGAATGTTGTTAGGTTATGGAGGTGAGTTGAGCTCTTTCTTTGGAAAAGACCGTGCTTTTATCATTACAGACATAGGAGGATATCTTTCTTTAACGTTGTCCAGAGGAAAATATTTAACAGTGTCTCTTGTTCAAGTTCAGGTAGTGAGCTTTATAAACTTTAGAAACCTATTTTTTTAATCATACCTTAGTCTGTCTTGCTACGTCTTATATTTCATAGCTTTCTGTCATTGGCAGAACTGACAAGCACTGGACACCACTATCCATGGTCCTAAAGCAAAGCCATTTCTTGAAGATTAATTAAGCTGCCCCCTACCCTTCCCTTTTCATGTTTAAAATAATTCAATCACTTCAACTTTTCCACAGAAATTTTATTTGCAACTTTCCCTCTGTGTAAACATTTTAATCTCTTTCCAACTAATTACATGGTGGGGTTTTATCAACCACCTCCACTCACCAACCCATATCAATTTATTTTGATGGCTGTAGTGGCATTTTACATTCGGGATTTCATGACTGGTAGCAACCTGCCGCCATAAAAAAATCTAAATCATCCCTTGAAGTGATTTATAACTGCATCTCCTCTTTTTTGCCTTTAAAACCTGAAAAGGAAACCTGGATCCTTGATGCTAGGATGCATCCGTCAGTAAAAAAATAACAGAAATAAGATTACTGGCAATAAACCCCAAAAGAGAATCTGCAGATTCCCTTACAATAATGGTAGTGATGATAATATCACCCAGGAAATGTTCTAATCCTATTGTTATTATAAATAATGATGCCATTTAATAAAGCAAGCTCTTAAATGAGCTTAGTCATTTATTAGCAACATATTTAATAGGATGATTCCTGTATTACAGGTCAGATTTGGTTTAATCTTGGCTCTGTCTTGATTGATAACTTGAACAACTCAATTCCATAAATGTTATTGAGCAACATATTAGGTAGAACAATATATGTGTACTACCAATAAAAAAGAAATATCTCCTGCCTTAAATGTATTCATGGTGCAGTAGGGCAGCTCAGTTAATTTCATTTCAAAGATTTGTAAAATGGGACTATGACTTTAGATTGCATGACCCCCTAGAGTCACTTTGAGCTTTACAAGTATTCAAGTTGAATAATATTGAACATCACTTATTCAATTTAATTTTATTATTTTTCACTGTTTACAAAGTATTATAGAAATGCACAAGTGTCTTTCACCAGCAATCTCATAACTGATAAGCTTGTGTCAACTTAAAATTTTTTCTAACCCTCAAAATCCTCGTGTCCCTCATTAGCAAAGTCAGAATGGTAATATCTGCTTGTCAGAGATGAAAATACCAGTGGAAATAATTTAGGCAAGCCCTGGCACATAGGAAAAGCAAAATAAACAAATAAAATAAATAAAGCCATTCTTTTCAGAAGAATGAAATAAGATAATTTATATAAACTACTTAGTACAGTGTTTGGTGCAAAGAAAGCTCTCAAATACAGGAGCTAAAATTAGTGAATTAGTATTGTTTTTATTTTAAACCACATACATTATCTAGTTTTCATGCATTTACTGAAGTTCATGAGGTAGAATTTTAATATATATTAAGTATTAGACTCATATAGGATAAGCTACATTTTCAAAATCACACAAATTCTCCTCTAAAAACACCTAAAATATAAGAAGACAAAAGGAAAAGTCAGGTTTAGGAAGAATATGACACTCCAATTATTGAGATGCAAAATCAGCTTGCTAATTAACCTCTAGACTCTGGACAACAAGAGTTTCATATGTAGTTACAGGCATGTGAGTATTATTATCGTCACTCCTTCAACAAATTTGTAAACACTAGCATGGACCATGTATTCTGCTGCTGGTGGAGATATAGTTAGCAATAACAAATCTATTTTCTACCTCCATTAAGCTGAAAGTCTAGTGAAGGAGAAATTTATTTGCCAAATGATTACTTCCAAATTACAACTGGGATCCAAGAAATGGTGTGTTAACAAAAGCAAAGGGGATTTGGCCAGCAGATGAAGAAATTTTCCCATGAGGAAGTGATGATTGGACGCCAAATTCAGTACAATGAATAGGAGCTGCTTTGATGGAGGGAGTTGCAGAGTTGTTTATGTCAAGCCGAGAGGACATAGTAGAAGGGAGCATATATGTGTACTAGCAAAAGGAAAATATGGCTAGAACAAGAAGGCAGAGGGTAAAGTGATGCAAAAAGAAACAGAGAATGTAAAGGGCCTAAAGGAATTCAGAGTACAAAATACATGCCTCTTGTTAAAAACCAGGGTTTAACATAAAAGCAATGAGAAACCACCTCCTATGGACTGAACTGTGTATCCTCAGATCATTTACTGAAGCCCTACCCCTTATTGTGATGGTACTTGGGGCCTTTAGGAGGTAGAGTTAGATGTGGTCATGAATGTGAGACCCTGATATGGTTTAGATCTGTGTTCCCGTTAAATTTCATGTTGACTTGTAGTCTTCACTTTGGAGGCAGTGCCTGGTGATTGGATCATGGAGGTGGATTTCTCATGAATGGCTTAACACCATTTCCTTGGTACTCTTCTAATAATTGTGAGTGAGTTCTCATTAGCTTTGGTTTTTTAAAAGCTTATAGCACCTCCCCCATTGATCTCTCTTACTCCTGATCTGGGCATGTAAAGTGTCTGCTCCTTTTTCACCTTCTGCAGTGATTGTAAATTTCCTGAGGCCTCCCCAGAAGCTGAGCAGATGCTAGCATCATGCTTCCTTTACAGCCTGCAGATCCATGAACCAATTAAACTAATTTTCTTTATAAATTATCCAGGCTCAGGTATTTCTTTATAGCAATGTGAGAATAAACTATTATAATGCAGAAAATCGGTATCGAGCAGTGGGGCATTGCTGTAAAGATACATGAAAATGTGGAAGAAATTTTAGAACTAGGTAATGGACAGAGGTAGAAAGAGTTTGGACAGCTCAAAAGAAGAAAGGAAGATGAGGGAAAGTCTGGAACTTCATAGAGCCTGGTTGAATGGTTGTGACCAAAATGCTAATAGTAATATTGACAGCAAAGGCCAAGCTGACTAAGTCTCAAATGGAAATGAGACACTTACTGGAAACTGCAGCAAAGTTCACTTTTGTTATGCCTTAGCAAAGAACTTGGCATCATTGAGCCCATGCCATAGCAATCTCTGGAACTTTCAACTGGAGAATGATGAATTAGGCTACCTGTTGGAAGAAATTCCTTTTTATATTTTATCTTTTTTTTTTTTTTTTGGGACAGAGTCTCACTCTGTTGCCGGGCTAGAGTGCAGTGGCATGATCTTGGCTCACTGCAACATCTGCCTCCCAGGTTCAAGCAATTCTCCTGCCTCAGCCTCCTGAGTAACTGGGACTACAGGTGCATGCCACCATGCCCAGCTAATTTTTGTATTTTTAGTAGAGACAGGGTTTCACCATGTTGGCCAGGATGATCTCAATCTCCTGACCTCGTGATCCACCTGCCTTGGCCTCCCAAAGTGCTGGGATTACGGGCATGAACCACTGCACCTCGCCAAATTTCTAAGCAGCAAAGCATTAAAGATTTGGCCTGGCTGCTTCTAACAACCTATGTCCATATGCATGAGCAAAGAAATTATCTGAAGTTGGAACTTATATTTAAAGGGGAAGCAGGGTATAAAAGTTTGAAAAATTTGCAGCACGGTCATGTGGTAGAAAGGAAAAGCCCATTTTCAGGAGAACTCAAGCCAGCTGCTGAGCATCCACTTGCTAGACAAATTTGCATAACTAAAGGATAGGGAAGTGCTGATAGTAAAAAAATTGGGAAAAAACCTTGAAGGCATTTCAGAGACATTCGTGGTAGCCCCTCCCATTACAGGCCAAGAGGCCTAGTGGGGAAGAATGGATTCTTGGGCCAGGGCCAGGCCCAGGGCTTCAAGGTCCTGTGCAGCTTCAGGACATGGCTCCTTGCATCCCAGATGCTCTAGCTCCAGCCATGGCTCAAAAGTTCCCAGGTACAGCTTGGGTTGCTGCTCCAGAGGGTGCAAGTGGTAAGCTTCGGCAGCTTCCACATGGTGTTAAGCTTGTGAGTGCACAGAGTATAAGAAGTGAAACTTGGGAGTTTCAGCCTAGATTTCAGAGGGTTTATGGAAAAGCCTGGGTGCCCAGACAGAAGCCTGCTGCAGGGGCAGAGCCCTCAGAACCTCTACCAGGATAGTTGTGAGGAGAAATGTATGCGATGTTGTTTGGCTCTGTGTCCCCACCCAAATCTCATGTTACATTGTAATTACCAAGGTTAGAAGAGGAACCTGGTGTGAAGTGATTGGATCATGGGGGCAGATTTCTCCTTTACTGTTCTCATAATAGTGAGTGAGTTCTCATAATATCTGATAGTTCAAAAGCGTGTGGCACTTCCCCCTTCCCCCTTTGCGTCCCTCTCTCTCTCTCCTGCCACCATGTAAATACATGCTATCTTCCCCTTCACACTTCCACCATGATTGTAAGTTTCCTGAGGTCTCCCAGCCATACTTCCCGTACAGCCTTCAGAACTGTAAGTCGATTAATCCTCTTTTCTTCATAAATTACCCAGTCTCAGTTAGTTATTTATAACAGTGTGAAAATAGACTAATACAGTGGGGTTGGAGCCCCCACACAGAGTCCCCATTGGGGAACTGCCTAGTGGAGCTGTGAGAAGAGGCCACTGTCCTCCAGACCCCAGAATGGTAAATCTATTGACAACTTGCACTATGCACCTGGAAAAGCTGCAAGCACTCAATGCTTTTAATTTTCATGCTCATAGGTGGAAAAGACTAGCCTTATCTCAGATGAGATTTTTGACTTCAGACTTTTCAATTAATGCTGAAATGATTTAAGCTTTGGAGGGATTATTGGAAAGACATGATACTGTTTTGCAATGTGAAAAGGACATGAGATTTGGGAGGGGCCAAGGATGGAATGATATGGTTTGGATCTCTGTCTCTACCAAATTTTATGTTGAATTATAATCCCCAGTGTTGGAGCTGGGGCCTGGTGGGAGGTGATTGAATGGTGGAAGTGTTTCTTATAAGTGGTTTATTACCATTCCCTTAATGCTGTTCTCATAATGAAATCTGGTTGTTTAAGAGCCTGTAGCACCTCCCCTTTCACTGTATTTCTTGCTCCTGCTCCAACCATGTGAAGTGTCTGCTCCCCCTTTACCTTCTGCCATGAATGTGAGTGTCCTGAGGCCTCCCCAGAAACAAAACAGATGCCAGCACCATGCTTCCTATATAGCCTGTGGAACCATGAGCCAATCAAATCTCTTTTCTTTTTAAATTACCCAGTCTCAGGTATTTCTTTGTAGCAATGCAAGAGTGAACAAATATAGACCCTAATGATGAGTTTATATGCTTTATAAGAAAAAGAAGAGAGAGAGAGAGATTGCTCTCCTTCTGTATTGGATATAGCAAGAAGGCAGCTATCTGCAAACCAGGAAGAAGATTATCACCAAGAACTGAACTGATTGGCATGTTGATCTTGGACTTTCCAGCCTCAAGAATTGGGAGAAATAAATGTCTGTTGTTTAAGCCATCAGGTCTATGGTATTTTATTATAGCAGCCCATGCAGACTACTATACCATCAAAAACTTTAATTGCTGGACATAAAAGGGATATGATCAACTTTGTATTTTGAAAAGTTCAAATTGGCTGGGAAGGGAAGAACAAGTTGGCATTTTTAATTGTATCATTCAGTGGAATCACTCCAACTACTATATTTGACCTTGTAAGTGATAGCATTGAAAATTACAAATGAGGACATTACCAGTGCTGATATTCTTCTCCCATCCTTAGAGCCTCTTATGACCCTAGTAATATAAAGAAAATAAAGGTCTTTATAGTTTGTTAATTCTTTTATTAACCTGTTGTATGGTAGGATTTTTCTCAAATTGGCTTCAAGGAAGATCTCAATGCCATAATATCTTTCCAAATTGTCTTGCAGTTCTCTCTACTGCCATCACCATCATTCATTTATTCATTCATCCAGCAAATGCATATTGAGTATCTATTATATGAACAATGTTCTAGGTGATGAGAATTTATTAGTAAATAAGAGACTGAATCTCTTCCTTCAATCAGATTACATTTTCATGAGAGTAAGGAGGCAATAAATAAAGAAAATAAGGTGAATCTCCGATTATAAATCTGTTAGATTATGGTTGGTACTGTGGATAAAAATGGAGGCGTGCCAGAGAGAAAGTATGTCAGAGAAACTTCACTAAGAAGATGGTATTTAAGCAAAGAGGAAAGGAGGATATCTTGAGAGAGTGTATTTTAGGGAAAAGAAAAAAACAATTAGAAAGGGCACCAGGTTGGGAAAATGTCAGAGGGGGCTAGTGTGACTGGAACAGAGTGAGTAAAACTTAGAATATAGAAGATGAGATCAGAGAGGTAATATAGGGTGGGGAATAGATTGCATAGATCTTAGAAAACACCCTTTCAGCTTCAGATTTCATAACTTACAGGCAAAGTCATGGAAGATTTTTAAGTAAATGTGTAGCATGAAGATTGGAATTTAATGTCATAACAGTTACTCTGGCTGCCAGATAAAGCAAAGAATGGGCTGGGTGCAGTGGCTCATGCCTGTAAACACAAAACTTTGGGGGGCTTATGTGGGAGAATCGCTTGAGCTCAGAGTTCAAAACCAGCAAGGACAGCATAGTGATACCCTGTCTCCACAAAATGTAAAAATGTAGCTGAGCATGCTAGTACACGCCTATAGTTGCAGCTACTTGGGAGGCTGAGGTGGGTGGATCATTTGATCTCAGGAGGTCAAGACTGCAGTGCACCATGACTGCACACTGCACTCCAGCCTGGGTGACAGAGTGGGACCCTGTCTCAAAAAAAAAATAAGTAAATGAAGCAAAGAATGGAATAAGTGCAATTATTTAGAAGGTGATTGCTATAATCCAGGTAACAGAAAATGGTTGCCTGAATTAGAGTGGGAGCAGCAGAATGGAAAGAATATTCACATTTGGAAATATTTTGACCATAGAGCCAACAGGATGTGCTGAGATTAGAAATAGAAGTTGAGATTTTAAAAAAATAATAATCTAAAATTTTTGACCTAAGCAACTAAAAAAAAAAATGGAGCTTCTATACAGAAATGGAGAAGATGTTGGAAAAACACACTCTATATGGGAAAGTTGAAGTTTGGTTTTGGACATATTAAGTCTGTGTGGTCAAAGTGGTGATTTTGAATAGATGATTGAATATATGAGCCTGGAGTTCAGAGAAGAAACTCATGTCAGAGATAAGAATTTGGGGATCCTCAGCTTTCGTAACTAACTGAGATTTCCAAGGGTGTGGGTGCAAACAAAGGAGAGGCCCTAAGCCTGAGTGATACATCATTTTGTGTTTTGTGAATAGGGAGATAATGAGGAATAAACAAAGAGTGTGGATGGGTTATCATTGTTTTTGGAGAATAATTAAGGAAGTGTTTTGCATTACATTCAAATGAAGAGTTTTAATCAAAAAGGAAAGAGTAATCAACTCTGTTAAAAATATATCAAAAAAGATAAGGGCAGAGAATTGACTTACCATACCCTGCAGTGAACCGGAGAGAAAGGCTTTAGAAATTTTTTCCTCAAGGAATTTGTTTATTTCTAGTGTTGTGGCCCTAGCCATTCCAGAATTCCCAGTAACTCTCACAAGAATAATTATGTCCTGATGTGTATGTTTCCAGAGTCCAACAATTAAATATTAAAAATGCCAGTAGTGGAACATATGCATTATTTGCCTTTATCTTATCTACACTGCTATTCAAAATGGGTTATAACTATTCTTCAACAAGAATGTGTTCAGACTCTCTCCTTGAGATAAGGACTCTCCATTATGTATTTTTTTTAACTTAGAGTGCAGAAGATAGTCATTATGATAAAAAACACTGAGTTTTAGGGGGAAAATGTCAGATTTGTAATTATATTACCAAGAAAGAGTAGAGAGGCAATGGTTAGAAATCCCGTACTATTCAAGCTCAAAATCCAGGAGAGTTGACCCTAATTGTATTTAAAGAGTCTCCTTTCAAAATAAACTAAACAGAGAGAACTCTAACAAAATGGGTTTAAAAAGATGCTTGCTTCTTTGCTTTCAAGTGAGGTGATATCTTAATTACCTAAATGGTGGATGTCAAGAATCTACTCTATGAGCACAAGCATAGAGTTACTACATTTACAGTGGAACCCATTCTTTTTGCTCCTTTAAGAGTTAGTTGCCTTTCAATCATGGAATCAAGGTGCTTGATCCATATCTCTGACTAGACCACATTGTAACTCTGAAATCTTGAGCATTATTTCTTAAACCACATGCACTCTAGTTTCCTTATGGATAAAAAGAGGATAATGTAATATCTATACTATCAGAATTTTATGAGGATCAAATACATGCAAAGCATGTAGAGCAATGCTTGGCCTAAGAAGTGGCTTATTGGAAGAGGACGCCAGAAATACACTGGAGGGTTCATGATTAGTACTTGGAAAGGTAAGGTTAGATAGGAAAAACAAAAATTACTGATGCTTTCACTGATGCTTAAACTGATGTTTTACACTGGCACTTAATCATACCGACCTCTCTTCAGTTGTGGTTAAGGAACTTACTGCATTTGGCCTGGTTTGGTGCGCACTAGGATGAGGCAGTTACTGGCAATAGTAAGATATTGCTACTAACTAGAAAGGCTCATTAGCAAATGATAGTATTCAAGGTAATAACAATCTTAACTTATATAATAGTCAAAAACCAGGAATCTGAGAAAACATGGGAGCTCAGAAGCTGGGCAAAGAACAGTACTAAGTAATAGGATATGAGTTATTTGAAAGACCGTGAAGACAGGTTTTTCTTTTTTTTTTTTTATTATACTTTAAGTTTTAGGGTACGTGTGCACAACGTGCAGGTTTGTTACATATGTATATATGTGCCATGTTGGTGTGCTGCACCCAGTAACTCGTTATTTAACATTAGGTATATCTCCAAATGCTATCCCTCCCACCTCCCCCCACCCCACAACAGGCCCTGGTGTGTGATGTTCCCCTTCCTGTGTCCATGTGTTCTCATTGTTCAATTCCCACCTATAAGTGAGAACATTCGGTGTTTGGTTTTTTGTCCTTGCGATAGTTTGCTGAGAATGATGGTTTCCAGCTTTCTCATGTCCCTACAAAGGACATGAACTCATCATTTTTTATGGCTGCATAGTATTCCATGGTGTTTATATGCCATATTTTCTTAATCCAGTCTATCATTGTTGGACATTTGGGTTGGTTCCAAGTCTTTGCTATTGTGAATAGTGCCGCAATAAACATACGTGTGCATGTGTCTTTATAGCAGCATGTTTTACAATCCTTTTTCTAACGTGTTGTAAGGTCTCAGCTGTAGGATTTTGGTTTAGAGGTATCACTGAAGCTTTTAAATGGTGGATGAAGAAGAGCAAGGCAGGGCTTTAAATTCTTTAACCGTCAAGACCTTGCTTCTGTTTTCCCATAGTTCTGGATACACAGTATTTAGCTTAAAAGACCCATCTTCCTTTTGTAAGCTACCGTTGCTCTATCAGCATCCTGGGTAACTTCAAAGAACATAGAAGAGGCTCAGTTTATTTTGTTTATTTGGAGCCATATGGTGTTTAGGATAAAATATGAGATTCAAATAAGACCACTGGAAGAAAATCTTAGAGAAAGGTCTAAGGTCAAACAAAACACAGCCATCTGAAATAAGACACTCTTTATGGGTTTCAGGTAAGAAAAACTCAGAAGTTCAGAAGGCACAAAGGCATCATCTCCCAAGAATAGTCTAACACAAGTGTGAGAGTGAATACACAGAATACACTGCTGAAGCTGATAGTGACTAACTCAACTGAGACTAAGTGCATAGTTAAGAAAAACATGGTTCTGCTGAAAGGAAAAATCTCCAGAAGGTAAGTGGAAGTAATCACGTCTTTGGTATGAGTGCGACATATTTTTAATCCACTATTTCAGGAAAAGAGATGTCTCTCCTTAATTTAACAATGTTTTTGTTATTGGATTAAATAATTTTTATTTTTAGGCATTTTTAATTACACAGAAACACCTATTTATATGCATAGTAACCTATACATTCTGCTAAAATTTAAAACTAGTATTAGTAAACTTTCCCAAGCAAATCATTATATAGGTAGAATAAGTATATATCTCTGCTTCACAGACGGTGAAAAAAAAGAAAGAATATAGTAGTAACAGTTTTATATTAATCTAGAGTCTTTTAACTGGTTTAAATATATTATACAAATTAACTCATTAAATCTGTAATATACCTTCAAATAAGGAAGCCAAGATTATTGTCACTCTTCTACAGCCAAAGTTACAAAGAGGCCAAATGCATCATCTAAGGTCATGTAATAAAATAAAACAGATTCCAGCTTAGTTGAATCATTCAATTAAGGTTACAAGAGATGGTGGTACTATTATTTAACAAAATGTCTTCTTTTCTTTTTCTTCCAAAATGATTACTTTTTGGGAGATTGATTTATTTTTCTTTATTATTCCAACAATCATGGCATGGCTGTTGCTTCATAGATATTTTCTAAAAGTCCTAGTGTGTGTGTGTGTGTGTGTGTGTGTGTGTGTGTGTAGTAGGAAGGAGAAACCCCTTATAAAAGTGAAATCAAAAATCATCATCTCTTTGTTATGCATCTGTACTATCTGCACAGATCTTCATGAGGTTCTTACAAGTTACTTTCAATAATGAGGAAATAAGAACATTAACCCAACTAGACACTTTATCTGCAAAGATGAGAGAACTGGTTTATTGGCATCAGTGATAGTGTCCGTTGGATAAATTTTTTGTCAAGGTTGAAAATATTGTTTATTTTTTAAAGTACTATATTGTAAACATATATAGGAATAAATAATGGTTTTTATTACTTTAAGTTCTAGGGTACATGTGCACAATGTACAGGTTTGTTACATATGTATACATGTGCCATGTTGGTGCGCTGCACCCATTAATTCGTCATTTACATTAGGTATATCTCCTAATGCTATCCCTCCTCTCTCCCCCCACCCCATGACAGGCCCCAGTGTGTGATGTTCCTCAATTTTAAAATGAAGTTATATGTATGAGATTTAATATCTAGAAAGATTATAAAACTAGCAAAAATTAAGAGCACATAATCAAGTATAGTTTTCAAAATATAATTGTGCTATTAAAATTTGGAAAGGTAAAATTCTGAACAATCCAGGAGAAAAGTGAAAAGTTGTTAGGTCAGAGCTTCATCCAGTGACACAGGGATACTCTAGGACCATCTCAGGCATCATCTATGATATTAACACGTCTTTTTTCCCTTGCTGAGTTCTTCGGTACCTGAGAGATTTCTTCTACTTTCTCACATTTCTAGATACAGAGGATTTAGCTTAAAGGCCCCATCCTCCTTTACTGAGTTGCCATGTTTCTATCAACATCCTTGAACAACTTCAAAAAATATGGAAGAATCTTAGGTGATTTTGGAGCCACATACTGTTCTTTATAAAATGAGAATCTGATTGCATACACATCCAAGATCATCCCATAGAGACACAAGCCGTAATAATGTTTCATTGATTTCCCAAATCCCCAACCAACTTTTGCATTTTTAATGGAAAAGCAGGTAGAGTTTCAGGTTTTGTTTATTCAGTTCCCTTATATAATCGCAATCACATTATCATCACAAAATCTATCATTATGGTAGTGAACAAACATATAATATATTAATAAATTACCTTGTGACTGGAGTGGTACAAAGCATTTTTCATCAAATATGTAATTTAATCCTTACCAATAATTCAAATGCATATGTTATTGTTACCATTTAACAGCTAAGCAAACTGAAGCTTTGAGAAATTAGATAACATGTCCAAGTTTACACAGTATAATGGCCAACACTTAGATATGACTCAGGCTGTTCCTATGTGCCATGCTCTATTCTAAGCACTTTATATATATATTAACTGATTTAATTCTCCCCTAAAATATGGAAAGATGAATCTAATGGCATAAAAATAATAGAAATAATATACTCATTTTAATATACTGATAGTAATAGTATTCAGGCTATCTATTCCCAGAGCCCATGGTCAGTTATGAATATTAATCATCATTGAATAGGCCATAATTGTAGATACACTGTAGGTTTTATGCCAAATTTATTAGATTTGAGACCCAATGAAGTGAAAAACTTATAGAAGAGGGGCCCTTAGTTATGCATGATTCTGATCCCAGTGCAGATCAAGAAAAGCATCCCTTTGGGAAGAACTTAGCTTCCAACACAGAGGAATATCCAGGAGTCCCAGGCACCAAGCACCACAGAAAAGAGCCTTTATATTCTATGGAGCTTATGAGGAACAGAGCACAAAATTTAAAAACATAACAGGACTCTAGCACCCCTGTGCTAGAACTCTTTAGGAGAATCTAGTGCCTGATGATCTGAGATAGAACACTTTCATCCCAAAACCATCCCCCACACCCCCATCCATGGAAAAATTGTCTTCCACAAAGCTGGTCCCTGGTGCCAAAAAGGTTGGGAACCACTGCTCTCGATTATATCATCACAGCATAAACTACATAATTTTTATCAGCATGCAACATATGGTAGGCACTGTCAACAACTTTATTCTAATTTAAGAATGGATACAACTTACACATGAACTTCCACAGAATGTCCAGTGGCTATCATTACACACAGAAAGTTATGTGGCCTCATCTGGCATCAGTGGGAAAAATCTCTGAGGCTTACCATAACCACAGCTAACAGGTATGGTAGAAGGATCTAGAAGAATCACTATTCCCATACCATATGTTACCATCTCTTCTTTAAACCCCAATGCTGCACAAATCATTGATTTTTAAAACTTTGCACATGGTTAGTGCAGAGATTAATCTCTGCACATGCCATTTTATTCTCTATACTCTGTCTCAAAGGAGTAGCTTCATGGACCTCTTAATGTTTTCATCAGTCTAGTTCAAAGAAATTTCCTTACTCACAGAAATCTTTCCACTGTTTGAAATTTTCATACTTTTTATTCTGGTTACTGGCCTAAGGAACATAACTCAAATTCCCAGAGTTGAGATGATTGAATCATTAGATTATGAGCCTGGTTAGGTGATTTCCTATAATCACTCAAATAAGCTCCTGAATCTCATTTCATCCCCTCATGGCCACCACAGCTAGGCTTGGAAGCTGACCCAAGAACTGCAAAAAACAGTCAATTGTGCTACTACTAGATTTATTAGATTATCAACATAAAAACCTCTTTAGTGTTGGCACTATGTGTTAATTGCTTAGTACATAAGCCTTAATGTCAAAAACAGATGGATAGATAGATGAAAGATAGATAGAATTAATAAGAAATCATAGGACTAGAGTAGATGCAGCATAGAAGCATAGAACGTTTAGGAAAGAATCAATATGGAATACTTTTCATATCCAAAACAAAGTCTTCTAGATTCTTTATACATCCTATTCAATGCTCATGTCAATGCTGTGAAGTCAGGAGTCAAGAGCCTGGTCATTGAATCATAGGACCAATACTTACTAGTGCTATGACTTTAAGCACGTTAACTAATCTCATTGTGCTTTCATTTCTTCCCCCTGGAAAATAAAGATAATAATGATACCTATCTCACAGGGTTATTACAATAGTACCTGGTTCATAGTAAGCATTATATATAAACATTAGTAACTTTAATTATGCTGAACTTAGCCAGTGATCACATAGAAAACGGTGATAAATCCTAGCCTAATTCCAAAGAACTAAATCTATAATGATCCAAAACCATTTTTCAAATTTAAGAATTTCCATTATCTTGCCTTATGCTATTCACTGACTATTTTTTCAACAAATATCAATAAGCACCTGTTATGTGCTAGGAACTGGAGACACATCACTTTAAAAAGAGAGGCAAATATTCCTTACCTTGGAAGGTGGTATATTCTAGCCAGTGTCCTCATAAAGGCAAACAATAATCATAATAAATAAATTAATTACATATTATATTGAACAGTGTGATAATTATAGAAAAAAGTAGAGCTAGGTGTGGAGTGGATAGGGTACAACTAACAATTTTAAATAGCATTATTAAGGAGTGTAATGTCAAAAAGATGGCAAAATAAGCGATCCTCCACTCATATCCCCCAGTAGCAATAATAATTTGACAGCCATCCATCAGTAAAAGTGCCTTTGTGGGAGGTTTAAGATCCAAGTAGGAGACTGCAAAACCCAGCAAATCCCAAGATCAAAAAGGGCTGTTTTGAGAGAGCAGATCTGCACCTAGGTGGTGAGCTCACCAGTCATAGTTCTGGCTATAGGTCCAGAAATGGTCTCCTCTACCTGTGGACTTTGCCACCGCACCATTTGGCCTTGATTTTTCCACGAGAATCATCTGCCAAGTGTTCTAAGAAGATATCTGCTCACCTTTGTCTTCAGTGACAGGCCTGCTAACTTCTATCTCCACTGTGGACCGTAAAGCATCTTGTGACCCAGCTTTAGCCCCTCTCATCTGTGGCCTAAAGTCAGTCCTTCCTGCTCAGGGACCCACCCAGTGACCCAGCAGGTGCTTACCCAGGGAAAATAGAGGGATCCTCACCCATCCATGCACATGGTGATAGGCTCACCCTCTGCAGATCCAATTGTGGGCCCTTAAGCAGATCCTTGTCCCACCATTAGCCCTACTAACCAAGGTCCTGGAGGCAGTCCAATCTGCCCGGGTACCAGATGGGATCAACACCTTCTTGATTTCATAGTTACAGGCCTGCCAACTATTGACACCACTGCAAACTCAATAGCAGCCACCTAGCTCCGTTCCTAGTAGACTGTGATCCAGAGGCAATCCCATTACCCTGGGGACCTGAAGAGGTCCCCAGACTGGCTTTGCCAGGTAAAAATCTCTTACAGACTGGATTTGGCAGATAAAGATCCAGTCTGTAAAGGTTGTAAGGGGAATTTGTTTTTTAAAATGCACAGACATCAATACATGGATCATGAAGAACAAAACAAATGATACTACCAGAGGAAACTGGTAAAGCTCCAGTAACTAAACCCAATGAAATGGAGATCTACAAATTGCCTGCAAAATAATAAAAAAAATTATTTTAAAGTAGCTCAATGAAATGCAAGCGAACACAGAAAACTAAACAAAATCAGAAAACAATGTGTTAGACAACTAAACAAAATCAGGAAACAATGTATGAATGAAATGACATGTTTAGTGAAGATATAGGAACCATACAAAATAACTAAAATAGAAATCCTAGAGCTGAAGAATACAATAATAGAACTAAATAATGTAACAGAGAGATTCAACAGAAGAGTCAGTCATGCAGACGAATCAGTTAACCCAAAGACAGGTCATTTGAAATTAGCCAATCAGAGGAGCAAAACTAAAAAAAAAGCATGAAAAGAGAGAAGAAAGCATAAGGGAGCTATGGGACACCATTAAGCAAAAAAATGTATGAATTATTAGAATTTCAAAAAGAGACGACAGAGAGTATGAGTAATAAAGCTTACTTAAAGAAATGAAGACAAAAAATGTGACAAATCTAGGGAGGAATATGGACATCAAGATTCATAAAGCACAAAGTATCT
Source organism: Homo sapiens (assembly GCF_000001405.40). NCBI lineage: Eukaryota > Metazoa > Chordata > Mammalia > Primates > Hominidae > Homo > Homo sapiens. The sequence continues at coordinate 21,728,811 of NC_000011.10, read as the reverse complement.
CAAGTAAGATTAACCCAAAGGAGGTACTCTGAGGTATATTATAATCAAATTTTCAAAGGTATAAGAAACAATATTAAAAGCAGCAAGAGAAAAGAGATTTATTACATACAAGGAAACTTGCATAAGGCAATCAGTGAATTTGTCAATAGAAACTGTGCAGACCAAAAAGAAGTAGAATGAGATATTCAAAGTGCTAGAAGAAAAGGAAACTATTCTAACCAAAGATACTCTACTCAGCAAAGCTGTTATTCAGAAATGGAGAGGTGAAGACATTCCTAAATTTAAAAAGAAAAGCTGAGGGAGTTCATCATCACTTGACCAACCTTACAAGAAATACTAAAGAGAGTTATTCAAATTAAAATCAAAGGACACTAAGTAACAACATGAAAATATAAAACTTACTGCTAAAGGTAAACATGTAGTCAAATTCAGAATACTTTCATACTGTAATAGTGGTACATAAATTATTTTAAACTCTAATTTAAAAATCAGAAGACAAAAGTACTAAACATAACTGTATCTACAATAATTTGTTAATGGATACACACTATAAAAATCAAATTGTGACATCAAAAACACAAAATGGTGTGAGAAGTAAAAGTGTAGATTTTTATATGCAATCAAAGTTATTATTGGCTTAAAAACTGTTAGAAATAGTAGACAAAATCAGTAAAGTGCAGAAATAATTCAATATACAAAAGCCAATTATATTTTATATACTAAAACGCTATTTGAAAATTTAATTAAAAAATGATGTAATCTACAATAGCATCAAAAATTCTTAGGAATAAATTTAACCAAGGACATGAAAGATCTGTATATTAAAACCCATAATACATTAATGAAAGAAACTGAAGAAGATACAAATAAATGGAAAGACATTCTGTATTCATGAATTTGAAAAATTAATATTGTTAAAATGTCCATACTATCCAAAGCTGTCTACAAATTCAATGCAATCCCTATCAAAATCCCAGTGACATTTTACACAGAAAAAGAAAAATCATTTCTAAAATTCATATAGAACCACAAAAGACTCTGAATAGAAAGGCCATCCTGAGAAACAACAAAGCTATTTTCCAACTTTATTTACAAAGCTATAGAACAGCATAATAGTGGCATGAAACAGACAGACACATAGTCCAACAGAACGGACCAGAGAACCTAGAAATAAACCCACACATATATAGTAAACTAATCACTGATGAAATTTTCCAGAATACACAATTGGGAAAGAATATTCTCTTTAATACATACTCTTGGGAAAACTGAATATTCACATGCAAAATAATAAAACCAGATTCTATCTTAGTCCATTATGTGTTGCCATAAAAGAATACCTGAGGCTGGAAAATTTATAAAGAAAATAGGTTTATTTGGCTCACAGTTCTGTAGGCTGCACAAGAGGCATGGTGCCAGCATCTGCTTAGCGTCTGGTAAGGGACTTTGGGTGGTTCCACTCATGGCAGAAGGTGAAGAGGAGCTGGCTTGTGTAGAGATCACATGGCGAGAAAAGAAGCCAGAGAGTGAGGGAAGGTGCTAGACTCTTTTTAACAACTCAGCTCTGTAGAGAATTTCCATGGGAACTAATAAAGCAAGAACTGAGTCCCCCTCCTCCCAGGGAGGGCATTAATCTATTCATGGAGAATCCACCCCCATTACCCAAACACCTTCCATTAGGCCTCACTTCCAACAGTGGAGATCAAATTTCAATAGGACATTTGAAGGGAACACACATCCAAATTATAGCAGACTCTATCTTACACTCTGTACAAAAAAAATAAAATAAAATAACTAGAAATGGCTTACAGACTTAAATGTAAGATCTGAAATTATAACCCTCCTAGAAGAAAACATAGGGGTAAGATTCTTTGACATTAGTGTTGGCAATAATTTTTTGGATATGACACCAGAAGCATAGGCAAGAAAAGAAAAAATAAAAAAGAATGAGACTACATCAATTTAAAATGTTTTTGCACAGAAAAGGAAATAATCAATAAAATACAAAGGCAACCTACAGAGTGATAGAAAATATTTTCAAACCAGATATCTGATAAGGGGCTAATATTCAAAATATACAAAGAACTCATGTAATTCAACAGCAAAAAACCTAACAACACAATAATAAATTGGTCAAAGAACCTGAATACACATGTTTCCAAGGAAGACATACAAATGGTCAACAGATGTAAGAAAAGGTGTCTAACATCACTAATCATCAGAGAAATGCAGGTCAATACCTCAATGAGATATAACCTCACACCTGTTAACAAGGCTACTCTCAGAAAGACAAGGGATAAGGGCCGAGTGCGGTGGCTCACGCCTGTAATCCCAGCACTTTGGGAGACTGAGGCAGGAAGATCACAAGGTCAGGAGTTCGAGACCAGCCTGGCCAATATGGTGAAACTCCAGTCTCTATTAAAAATACAAAAAAAAAATTGCTTGAACCCAGGAGGTGGAGATTGCAGTGAGCCAAGATCACTCTAGCCTGGGAGACAGAGCAAGACTCTGTTTCCAAAAAAAAAAGCGATAACAAGTGCCAGGGGTGATATGAAAAGAAGGGAAACCTTGCATACTGATAGTGAGAATGCAAATTTGTACAGCCATTATGGAAAATAGTATGGAGGTTCCACAAGAAATTAAAACTAGAACTGTCCACAATTGGACAATCCTATTTCAGGTTTATATCCAAAAGAAATTAAATCAGTATCTTGAAGAGATGTCTGTTCTCCCATGTTCATTGCAGCATTATTCACAATAGACAAAAGATGAGAACAACCTGTGTTCGTCAATGGATGAATGGATACAGAAAAAGGGGTGTGTGTGTGTGTGTGTGTGTGTGTGTGTGTGTACACATATATATTGAATATTATTCAGCCATAAAGAAGAAAATAAATCCTGTAATTTTGGACATCACAGATGAAACCGGAAGACATTACACTAAGTGAAGTAAGCCAATTGCAGAAAGACAAATATTGTAGGATCTCACTTATATGTGAAATCTTAAAAAATGGAACTTATAGAAGCAGAGAGTGGAATAGTGGTTGCCAAGAGCTGGGGTGAGGGAAATGGGGAGATGTTTGTCAAAGAATATAAATTTTCCATTGTAATATAGGATGTATAAGTTCTGGGGATCTAAGGTACAGCATGACAACTATGGTTAAGAATACTGTAGTTTATAGTTAAGAATATGTGAAATTTGCTAAAAGAATAGATCTTAAGTGTCCTCACCAAATACACACACACACACACAAACACACAAACACACACACACACACACACTGGAAACTATATCAGGTGAGGGGTGTGTTCATTAACTTGATTGTGGTAAATGTTTCACAATGTATACTTATGTAAAATCACTTTGCATATATATAATTTTTGTCAATTATACTTCAATAAAGCTGGCTGGAACAAGTACACACACACACAGACACACACACATACACACACACACACACACACACATCTCCAATGCTGGAAAAAACACTGTGATGAAGATAATTTTTTTTCAGTGAAGCTTATTTTTCATTCAAACTTCTGTGTAGCAAATAATAAGAGCTCCAATTAATGATGTTATCTAAAATTTGAAGAAGCAAAAGATATCTGTCTGCCTGTTATAGCTGTAATTTAGAATTAAATGATTCTGAATTTGAGTGCTAGCTCCAAAACTGCTGTAGTGTGAGGCCTTGGGGAAGTCTTTGAACCTCAGTTCTTTCGTCCATAAAGGGAGATAATAACATCTACAGTGAGGAGTTGCTAAGAGGATTAAATAAGATAATTTATATGAAGTGATTTTCTCAGTGCTCATTAAGTGCTTTCTCACTGACTACACTTAATGATACCTTGTGTAGGATGCTCACAATGGTGTATTTTATGATCTCTAAATTTAGGGAATTTAGAGTTTATTATTTAAAGCCCAGTGTCTCATGTGTGAGAGTATATTACTTGCCTTTACACATTAATGAAAAGAAAAGATGTATTTACTTCTGGACAAAGGATTAGAGTCTGAAATCCAGCTTAAAGCTCTTGTAGAAAGAACATGTTGTGACTCTTACCCCATCCCCAAGAGCCTGACACTTTGCAACAAAAACTCAAGAGTAGGAATCCATGAGCTGAACCCTTCTTATAAGCCATGCATTGGTGTATCCTTTGCATACATATTTGCATTCCTAAATTTAGGCTTTGTTTTAATGTAGAGCCCATCCAACGGAGGACTGGTTTTATCATGGCCACCATTTACAGTAGTTTTCACTGTGTCCTACACTTTCCTTTGGAAAAAGTGCAACTTGATTTCTATAGAGAACAACAGAGAAAATGAAGTTTGCTTATATGAAATCTGAAACATATGCCTTGTGTGCTCACTGTGTGGGGAGATTGGGCACTAAAGGCTTTCTTCTAAAAGCTCTCTAATAAAAATATAAAGTCCTTTACTCACCTGGGGATACAAACCACAGCTAATAAATGGAATTGGATTCGAGTACTCTACTCGAGACAGAGGATAGTGACCGTCTCCAAATGACTCTACATTGTATCCTTTATTACCTAAATTACACACCAGTTAACTCCCAAATGAAACAATATTTGTTGTAAGGTGGGGCATCCAGATCCTATTTGTGCACCAAGTTTTAATTTTGGTTGAGATTTTAATTAGATTTCTTAGGCATCTCTATTTTACCATAGACATTTTAATCAAAGTACTTTTCCTTCCTCATTTATTTGTAGTAGGTCTTCAGTGTTTTCTCACTACAATAAATAATTATTGTAGAATGGCCACAAATAGTGAACATGCAATATACCTGACAAATTGCTACTCTGGAAATCCAGCAGGACATCCCCACTCTAAGTCATGTGTTAATTTCCTCAATGTAAGAGAGATATTTGTATTTTATGTTGTCATGTGCAATTAAAGATTATGTATCACAGGAGGGTGGCAGGCTTGTTGAAGAGGCAAAACATTACATTTGTTAAGCAGTCATTATGCCTCAGGCATTATGCTTGGCACTTTATAAATACAGACTCCTTCAATATTGTGAGGTAAATAACATGAGCCTAATGTCAATTTAGAGAGGTTAAACTTTTACACAGAGCAACAAATTGCTTATCCTGAGTTTTGAACTACTTGGACTGGCTCCAATAAATTCGTCTTGTACTGTAAGAGAATAACTCTGCCACTCTGACTTGTGTATATAGTTTTATTTTTTTAGTTAAAATATTGAACAATTGTGACAGAGCTAACTTTTTTTTAGTGTTTGAAGGATTTGAGTTTAACTATAATGTGCTCAGGAGTTAGGTAGACTACACATTACATATGTGCACATACATACTTTTGTTTTAGGGATCCTAAGGCAACAGCCTGCCACTCACACAATGGTAAGTCACATCATTTGCTGGTTTTAAATTCTCATCAATTGCATATCACACCATTAATAATACACTTTTTAAAATCACTTCTACCTCATTTTTTTATTGTGATAAAATACATATCATATAAAATTTATTATTTTAACCATTTAAAGTTTTTAATTCAGTGGCATTATGTACATTCAAAATATTGTGTAACCATCACCACTGTCTGGTTCCAGAACTTCTTCATTTCCCCAGAAAGAAATCTCACATCCATTAAGCAGTCACTCCCCATTTTCCTAACTCCTCAGCTCCTGGAAACCACTAATCTACTTTCTGTTTCTATTGATTTGCCAACCCTGGATATTTCATATAAATGAAATCGTAAAAAACATGGCTTCTGTGGCTAGCTTCTTTCACTTAGTATAGTGTTTTCAAGGATTATCCATGTTGTACCATGTATTGGCATTTCATTCTTTTTTATTGATGAAGAATATTCCATTTGTATTAGTAAGATTTCGTTGCTATAAAAAAACCTGAGACTGGGTGATTTATAAAGAAAAGACATTTATTTGCCTCACAGTCCTGTAGGCTGTACAAGCAGCATGGTGTCAGCATCTGCTTCTGAGGCCTTCAGAAACTTACACTCATGTTGGAAAGCAAAATGAGAGCTGACATACCACATGGCAAGAGAGGGAGCAAGAGGCAGAGGAAGAGGTCCCAGACTCCCTTTAAACAACCAACTCTTGCAGAACATACTCATCACCAAGAGGATGGTGCTAAGCCATTCATGAGGGATCCAGCCCCATGGACCAACATCTCCCACTAGGCCACACCTCCAACACTAAGGGTCATATTTCAACATGAGATTTGGAGAGGGTGCACATTCAAACATTATCGCCATTGTGTAGATATACCATTTTGTTTATTCATTTATCATTTGATGGGCATTTAAGAAGGAAAATATAAAAACTGTACATTAAATTTGTATATCAACTGAAAGATTCATCCACCTCTTCGAAAGGCTGAAATATGGTAAAACATAAATCTCAAAATTGAAGAAGTGGGGTCATTTACTAAAAACATTCTGTTCAAGCTGTGTCCTTCTGTATGTTATTTTACAGGATTGAATCAGAAACTAAGCTTAGTGGCTCCTCTAATAAGTTTTGGGTTTATTGGTTAAACAACACTGTATTTGTTTTTGTGTAAAAAAAAAAACTTTAAGGAAAAGTTAGCAAATAAATGAGATAAGTTTCTGCTTTCTTGTCATCTCTAACAAGATTTTAATAATTATAGGAAAGACAAAGACTTGTATGTTCATTCTAGATGTCAGAAAAATGCTGATTTAGTCTGCATTCCTGATACAAATTATAAAGTATATAAAATTAAAATGGACATCCTACTTACACATGAATGTTCATAGCAGCATTCTTCATAATAGTCCAACCTGGAAACCATCCAAATATTCATCAACAGGGGAATGGATGAACGAATTGTGCTATGTCCATACAATACACTACTCAGAAATAAGAATGCCCAAGCTATTGACACATGCATGGATGGATCTCAAAATAATTATGCTGAATAAAGATAGTCAGATAAGTGCACACTATATGATTCCATTCATACATAACTCTGGAAAATACAAGCTAATCTATAGTAGCACAAAGTAGATCAATGGTTGTTTGCTAAGGAAGCAGGAGGAGCAAGAGGGAGGGATTACTAAAAAGAACAAGAAAATGTTGGGAGTGATGACTATTTTCTATCCTGATTGTGGTAACAGTTTCACAGAAATATAAATAAGTCAAAATTAGAAAATTTTATGTTTTAAATATGTACAGTTTATCATAACTCAATTATACCTCAAGGCTATTTTTAAATGCATGTTACTAAATAATTGTATAAATTAATGAGTGCAAGTACCAAATTCATGCCTACTAATGACATTCAGGCAGAAAAAAATTAAAATAAGTCATTACTATTAGCAATAAAAGGGGTCAGGATGGCTAGCATTTAGTATTTTTAATACTTGGCAACAGGGCTCCATCCTACTAGCTATGCTGAGGGAAACAGTTTCAGTTATACACAATCTGGTAATAGGATCATCTAGTAATGACTAAGAGCCTATGTTTTGGCCCTCAAATTTTAACCATAACCTTACCAAAAACATACACACACTTGGTTCCTCCACAGAGATATGAAAAAAATGGCAAGACAGATAGGTATGTATTCATTTCATAAGCAGATTAAAGCTAGCAAGCACTCCGAAGCTGGAAGCAGTCCTATTGTTACACTGCTAAACATGTCACACACCTGGCTAAGTCATGTGGGTGTCGACAACTCGGTTAATGCCAATTCTTTATGGACAGGCTGACCAGGAAGAAAATGCATAATCTCTATGTATAATGACAGAAAAGTGATCAACAAAACAAATTAACACTAAACATAGGCCTAAAATTTTCTGGTTTTGTCTATCCTAAGCCATAGTATCTCAAATATAATAGTCAAGTATGCAGATTACATAGATAACTAAAAGGTTTCCTTGGCATGTGACTTTGGCAGGAACACAAAAGCATTTCCTGAAAGTGGAGACATTCTATTTAGAATCATATATACTTAGAATCATATTCTATTTAGAATCATGTGTACTTAGAATCACTGTTTATGGGACAGAGCCTCAGACAAGAAACTTAAGCCAACTTTATGTGTTCCTACCCAAAATTCCAGTTATTTATCACATAGAAAAGTGGGTTATTAACACTCGTAGCAAATGATACAAGTCTGACCAATATAAAATAATGTTTTGTGTCCCATTCATTTGGATACCCTGGTACCTAGTTCCTTTTATGATGTCTGCTTATGCATTAGAACCTCTAGTATGGTCATTTGTTTTTAGTTATTTCCTGTTAATTCACAGAACGACTGTGTGCTGTTACAGCACTGTTTCTTCAATTTGAGTATTTTAAACCCATGCTGACTTCAATGCCTTAATTCTCTTTCATGATTAGAATTACCTTCACATTCCATGATCTCTCACCTCAGTTTCCTCTGCATGTGTGTGTGCACACACACACAGGCACACAACTTCAAAGTGAATATTCACTTTTTGCTTCAAGTCTTCATGCAAACCCATTGCCTATTGGACAGAAACATGGAAATATTGATGCACAATACCTGTTTGTACAACTTCATTAACTGTTCCCCATGCAATAATAGCTCAGGGAGTTTCTGCTTAATCACTTCATGCCTAAGATGATGTGAATTTTTCAAGGCTGAGCAGAAATCTCCACTACATAGTAGAGATGAGGATGCTGAATGTGCTCATGTGCATCTTCCAGAGAGTAATTTTCTCTCAGTGCTGGATCCCAATCTTCTGATTGTGTCTCACAGATAAATTTTCTCTCAGTGCTGGGTCCCAATCTTCTGATTGTGTCTCACAGATAGAAAGTGTGCTTCTTCCTACGTGTTCCAAAGGGAATTTTTAAAACCCATGTCAACCAAAAGACATAATAAATGGAAAATATTATCTCGGGTTTCCAATGGCATTGCCTTTTTATTTCCATTTGCTTTGGTAATTGGAAGGTAGAACAGATGGTGACAATCTCATTGAATATGTTGTGCCCATTATAATAGCCCATTCTGCCAAGTGATTGTTCATGAGCAAAGGATGTATTATAAAGGACTGTTGCTTTCAGAAACATGATGAGCTCAGTGGGATGGACGATTATGCAGGGGGTAGAGTGGGTGGTTTATGGCCCTTAGATAGAGCTGTTTTGTAAAATTAATGACACCTGTTGCAATTCACAGATGAGCAAATGGAGACATAAAAGTGAGCAAGTGGATTTGACTAGGTTGTTAGCACCAACTCTAGCATGAAAAAGCTCTCAGGCGCTTCGCCAATGAGGCTAACCTTTCCCAAAATAGTGCCCTATTTCTGGCCCTGCCTGAAGCCCAAGAAGAACAACTGCAAACTATGTATATGCCTCATATTTGGAAAGGCCTTGCCAGGCGTGGTGGCTCACGCCTGTAATCCCAGCACTTTGGGAGGCCAAGGCAGGCACATCACCTGAGGTCAGGAGTTCGAGACCAGCCTGGCCAGCATGGTGAAACTCCATCTCTACTAAATTACAAAAATTAGCTGGGCATGATGGTGTGTGCCTGTAATCCCAGCTGCCCAGGAGGCTGAGACAGGAGAACCTCTGGAACCGGGGAGGCAGAGACTGCAGTGAGCAGAGATTATGCCACTGCACTCCAGCCTGGGTGACAGAGCAAGGCTCAATCTCAAAAAAGGAACAAAAAACAAAAAAACAAGAAAAGCCATGAGAAGCAAGTTCAACCATAGGCAGCATCTGTACAAAATATAAATGGAAATGGTTTTGTTCTGAATAATGCAATCACTTCAGAATCAGACAACAGGTAGTTGCTGAAATAGCTCTCATTCTACAGCTTTCTAGATCTACTAACTCTTTGTAAAAATCATCTGCAATTATTTTAGCAAAGACAATAACTTCAGATGAAATTGATATAATACATAAAATGCCACAGGTAAATGAAAATCAAGGTGCGTGTAAATACTATGCCTCTGTACAATTTCCAGTTTGTTGGGAGTCTTATAGAGACTTAATCAAGCATTCAGGTTCTATTCAGTAATGTGGCATTCATTATCAATTTATAGTTTTGAATTTTCAAGACAGGCAATCAAGAAGCTGCTTATTCCCTTCTGGATGTTTTGCACATCATTGGAATAAGCAAAAACAAAACGAGAGAGAGAGAGGCTTAACAGAATTCTGCTGGTGTGTGTAAAAGAAACCAGACCTTTTAAGAAAATACCATTCAAATCCTAAAAAACAACAAAATAACAATAAGATTCTACTTCTCAGTAAATATTTGCTTGAAACTTATTTGTATTGTTTATGTTTCCATTAAATGTAAGCTGTGATTCTCTGCATTTTTTTAGCCTGTCTTTTCTTAATGAAATCAAATCTTTTTTCCATTACATATCCAAGCTTACAAGAAGTTCCTCTTTTTAAATAGAACTGAACACATATTTAATTTGTATTTATTTTTATTATACAAACAGTGCATGCCTACTAAATAAACATGAGACCACAAAGAAAAAGAAAACACAGGCAAGAATTTATGGAAATCTGTCCATGTTAATATTTTGATGTAGCTTTCCGGTTTTAAAATCACTATATAATATTTTAAAATCACAACGGGGATACAACTCTGAATGCTTTATTTTGTAATTAATTGATAACACACTTTGTAAATTAATTTTTTAAATGGTTGGATATTTTATTGATTACCAAAATGTTTAAAACATTCCCTATATTTGTGAACATTCAGGTTGTTTCTAAATGTTTTGATATTATAAATAATATTCTGATAGAGAATTTTCTACAGTCATTTATAGCACAACTATTTATTTAGAAAAAATTTCAAATTTAGACTCTATATTAACAAGCATGGTTTCATTTTACACCATATTAGCAGTTTAGGAAAGCTATTATGGGTATTACAGGGTTTGTTAAATACTTGTTAATTTGATAGGCAAAAATATTATCTCATTTAATTTAAATTTCTTTGATTACTATGAGATGGAGTATTTTTTCATTTATTTGTAATGTACTTTTATTTCCTCTTTTATGAATTGTTCAGGTCCTTTGTATATGTATCTATTAGAGACTTTCAACTCTATTCCTTTTGTGAGTCTTCTCTACAGTGGAAATGGACTGTCATACTTCATGTATTTTTTATTCCTAACTTATTGTCTTCTTTTTGTTTATTTTTTTCTGGGAAAAGCTTTAACCTCCATGTACATAAATGTTAGTCTTTTCTTTTGTCACCTATTCTGTGGCTTTAAAGCTTAGGAAGTCTTTGCTAGTGCCCATATTCAGAAGCTCAATAGTTGTTGAAAAGATCATGTGCATTATTTTCATGTATTTAATGCTTTAATCCATTCAAAATTTATATTTTGTAATAAGGTATAGAAACCGAAATTGATTAACTTTCCTATAAATGTTAACCAACTTCTCTATCACCAGCTATTGGATAATTTTTTTTCTTTGTCACTGACTGGACATCCATAAAAATATGCACATACATATACACACACATAAAACATGCACATACATACATCCATTATGAAGGTAATTTATTTATGTTTCCTTCACGCAATGAGAATCGCTCCAACAGAAGGTTTATCTTATCATATCTTAAGGTATTACCAGAGCTGAGACTTCTGTCAGAGTGCTGTATATACTTAGTCAGCCTGCTCAATACCACCTAAGTGAATTTTATCAGAGGTCATCACTTCCTTTTAGGCCCTGCATATTAGAACTGCTCACTACCTAACCCACTTGAGTCAGTTCCTTAGTCCCAACCATGTTATGTGTGTTCTCAGCTATCTCCCATTAATTTTCAGCAATGTTTGCCTCTGAAGTAGTGTCACACCTTCCAAATGACTCCCCCAAAACAACATACAGACTCAGAGACTTAGAAACACAAATATAGACAGCCATTGACTCCAGAAAGAAACCCAAGACTATTTATTTTCCCGTTCATCCATCACAATGTGTCTCTATTTTCTATTCCCTTATAGCAAGACTTCACTTTCTACTTTCCCAATTATCTGTTACCATATCAAACCAAACTGCTTTGAGGCTGACCCTACACATGCTATCAGAGGCTGCTATATCTGGCATATTATTTTTCAATTGCTGTTTGAACAAATTTCCACAAACTGTAGGCTTACTGACCTAAAACAAAATAAATGTATTCTCTCACAGTTCTGGAAGACAGACGTCTGAACTGGGTTTCACTAGTCTTAAATCAAGGTGTCAAAAATGGCTGCTTTCCTTTGAAGCTCTAGAAAAAAAAATTCATTTTCTTTCTTTTCCCAGCTTTAGAGACTACTTGGTTCCTTGGTTCATATTACCTGGCTTCATGTTCAGAGGCAGCTCTGTAGCATCTTCAAATCTCTCTCTGACTCTCCTGCCTACTTTTACTTAAAAGGACCCTGTGAATCAATTGGACCTACCTGGCTAGTGGAGAATAATCTTTCCACCTCAGTATCTTAAATAACCCTTTTGTCATGCAAAATAACATATTCTCAGGTTCCATGGTATATTAGTCTGTTCTTACTTTGCTGTAAAGAAATACCTGAGACTGTGTCATTTACAAAGAAAAGAGGTTTTTTGCACTTGCGATAGTTTGCTGAGAATGATGGTTTCCAGCTTCATCCATGTCCCTACAAAGGACATGAACTCATCTTTTTTATGGCTGCATAGTATTCCATGGTGTATATGTGCCACATTTTCTTAATCCAGTCTATCATTGTTGAACATTTGGATTGGTTCCAAGTCTTTGCTATTGTGAATAGTGCCATAATAAACATACGAGTGCATGTCTTCACAGCAGCATGATTTATATTCCTTTGGGTATATACTCAGCAATGGGATTGCTGGGTCAAATGGTATTTCTAGTTCTAGATCCCTGACCAAACACCTCATGTTCTCACTCATAGGTGGGAATTGAACAATGAGAACACCTGGACACAGGAAGGGGAACTTCACACACCAGGGCCTGGTGTGGGGTGGGAGGAGCAGGGAGGGATAGCATTAGAAGATATACCTAATGTAAATGACGAGTTAATGGGTGCAGCACACCAACATGGCACATGTATACATATGTAACAAACCTGCAAGTGCACATGTACCCTAGAACTTAAAGTATAATAAAAAAAATAAAAAATAAATAAAAAAAGAGGTTTAATCAGTTCACAGTTCCAAGTCTATGCAGGAAGCATGATGCTGGCCTCTGCTTAGCTTCTGAGGAGGCCTCATGAAACTTGCAATCATGGTGGAAGATGAAAGAGGAGCAAACCATCTCACATGACTGGAGCAGGAGCAGGAGAGTAAGGGGGGAGGCACCACAAACTTTTAAACAACCAGATCTTGTGAGACTCACTCACTATCATGAGGTTAGTACCAAGAGAGGATGGTACCAAACCATTCATGAGAAATCTGTCCCCATGATCAAATCACTTCCCACCAGGCTGATATGGTTTGGCTCTGTGTCCCCATCCAAATCTCATCTTGAATTATGTTCCCATAATTCCCACCTGTTGTGGGAGGGACATGATGGGAGATAATTTGAATCATGAGGGCAGTTTCCCCCATATTGTTCTTGTGGTAACGAATAAGTCTCACAACATCTGATGGTTTTATCAGGAGTTTCCACTTTTAAATCTTCTTCATTCTTCTCTTGCTGCCACCATGTAAGAAGTGCATTTCACCTCCTGCCATGATTCTGAGGCCTCTCCAGTCATGTGGAACTGTAGGTCCAATTAAACTTCTTTTTGTTCCCAGTTTCAGGTATTTCTCTATCAGCAGCGTGAAAATGAACTAACACACAGGCCCACCTACAATATGGGGGATTACAATTTGACATGAAATTTGGTGGTGACACAGGTCTAAACCATATCACAGGGTTTGTGATGTGCAAATTTTAGGGGCCATTAGGGTTACTAATTGAGGCAAATAATGACCCCATAGAGTTGGAGATTTCAGTGCTAAGATAGGATCGGATAGGATCAGTGTGGTAATAATTAAGTGTGTATGTGTGTGCTGCATGGGTGTTTTGGCCCAAGTTATTTATTTATTTATTTATTTTGAGACAAAGTCTCACTCGTTCACCCAGGCTGGAGTGCAGTGGCACGATCTGGACTCACTGCAACCTCTGCCTCCTGGATTCAAGTCATTCTCGAGCCCCAGTTTCCCAAAGAGTAGCTGGGATTATAGGCGTGTACCACTATGCCTGACTAATTTTTGTATTTTTAGTAGAGACGGGGTTTCTCCCTGCTGGTTGGGCTGTTCTTGACCTCCTGGCTTCATGTGATCTGCGCCCCCCTCAGCCTTCCAAAGTGTTGGGATTATAGGCGTGAGCCACCATGCCCAGCCTTCCCAACTCATTCTTTCATAATTCTTCATTTCCTTATTCAGGGGAGAGAACATAAAATGTGTTTAATCAACTGTTCACTGAGAACAAAGTGTCTGATTTCCATCCCTGACTGAGTCTTAGTGCCTAGCAAGCTGTTTAATAACAACTCTGTGCCTCTGTTTTCTCATATATAAAATGGTGACAATAATAGTGTCTATCTCATAGGCTCATTGTGTCCATAAAGTAAACTAATACATATAGAGAGCTTAGAGAAAATTCCTAATATGTAGAAATGTTCAAGAAAAATTAACCCTATCATCATCATTGTCCTTATTGTTATTTGCTCGTTTCACTTAATACATATCTTGAGTCCCAGGTTACATGCATTTTGTTTTAAATATCTCAAAATCTAGAAAAAGAAACAGACACATAAATAAATAACTCAGTAACAAACTATATTTTGCTAAAGTTGAAACATTTACAGACACACAGAAAGCTGAGCAACCTATTCTTCTATAGAGGCTCCTATAGTGGTGAGGGTGAGGGATAGAGGAAATCTTCAATAAAGATGTGCCACTTTAGTTATATATTGAGTAACATGTAGGAGTCTGAAGGATGAAGAATTTAATATATGGTTAAGTCTTCTTCCTCAGCATAATCAATTTGAATCTTCACTGGCTTACAAAACACTTGGATTTTTTTTAGCCTTGATGCTGATACTGTATGCAGTGGGAGAGAGACATAATATATAACATAATAAAAGTGCTGTGTGAGACAAAGTTTACATCCTCAAAACAATGACGGTATATATGCCAGGACACTTATTTGGGAATAATAAAAGATAATCTGGGGGAACAAGCTTTAATTTGCATAGAATGTTAAAAGAACTATTTCACAGTATCCAGATGAAGTCTTTCATTCTATAGATAAAGAGATTGAGAGCTAGGTTTATTTAAGCCCACAGCTGTTAGGAGGAGAATGAGGAATCAAATTCTGATCATGTGACAAATGATAAGAACTCTTTGGGAAAGATTTGTACCTTAAGCTTTAACAAGTTTTCTTCCCTTCTTTCCATTTTTGAGCTATATAATACATGCCTCTGATGCAACTTTATTTATCAGTTAAGAATAACTACTTTTCTGATGGCCTAATGAGGAGTTCTGTACTTTCAATATTGAGAATTTTTGTCTCATAACTTAATGACTGATAATAAGTATTGGGTGTGCATGCTCAAAGAATGAAACATTCTTTGATTCACATCTCACAAGAGACTGTGTGGTATTATCAACATCTTATTATAAATTTTATTTAAAATAACATTTTATCAAGATATTTTTTAAGAAAAAACAAACTTAAAACAATTAAATAACTTGTTCAAAATTATGTTACTAGTAACTAGGGGAGCCAGGATTTGAACACATTTGCTTGTTTGAAGCACTGTGACCTTACTACTTTTGTGTGTTTTTTTTGTTTGTTTGTTTGTTTTACAGCGTCTCACTCTGTCGCCAGGCTGGAGTGCAGTGGTGCTATCTCAGCTCACTGCAACCTCCGCCTCATAGGTTCAAGCAATTCTCCCACCTCAGCATCCCAAGTAGCTGCAACTACAGGCATGCACCACCACACCCAGCTAATTTTTGTATTTTTAGTAGAGACTGGGTTTCACCATGTTGGCCAGGATGGTCTTGATCTCTTGACCTTGTGATCCACCTGCCTCGGCCTCCCAAAGTGCTGGGATTACAGATGTGAACCACCACGCCAGGCCGGTCTTATTTTTTAAATTCACATTCTTCCAACGTTTACTTGGATTCTGGAGATAAGAACACCATTAACTAAACTTTGTTGATTCTCTGAAAAAGTGGCCACATTTTTCAGCAATTTCCAAGACAGAAGCACTCCTCAGAAGAAATTTAAGTCAAGTGAGAGACCAAGGAAAACAATGATTAATATACTCTTCATTTGAAGATGCAATCAGTATCTTCTACCAATCTGCACTCTAGAGAGATATAGTTGGAGGAACATGGTGCAGACTGGCCAACAAAAGCCCTCGTGGAACAAAAGTCATGTCACCAACCATCTCCAACAGCTTTTCAAATAGGTTCACCTTTGAGAACTAATTGAAGTTTTGTTTGGGCTTGGAATTGGGGGCAACAAAAACCTTTCTAGATTTGCTGATAATTTTTAAGGCACAATGCTTGCTAAAGACTTTCAGTGGAATTTAATTATCACTTCCCCTGAGCCCCTTAGTAATATTTGCCCCCAAAAGGCACAATAAGAGCAGTATTATTTCACATTAATTCATTATATTTCTTTCTGTAGTTAGTTCTGTTTTTCCCAAGCCATTCTTTTTTATGGTCTCTCAGTTTGATCTGGAAAATTACTAAGAATACTGGTAAAATTTCTGTATTTATTGTAACTTTTCTTCTTAGAGCAGGTATATCCTAAATTATTATGTCTGTATATGTTAGAATATTTATCATTGCAGTTAGGGAAAGACCAAAGAGGAGTGTGATTGCTGCCATTCAATATTTGAAGGTCTGTCGTATGAAAAGGAAACATATACCAGTTCTTAAATTGGTAGCAAAATAGGTGGGAGAATAGAATCTTAAGAGGTCAGGCAGTGAGGCTGTGCAATGTGGAGGCAGATTTCAGGTCAAGTGAAGAAAGTACTTTCTAACAAGAAACACTAATCTAAAATCAAATGGACTTCTTTATAAGGTAGGCAATGAGCCTTTCTTCATAAGATGTGTGCAGGCATAGGAGGAAAGATTGCTTGCTGGGAATGATACAGACGGTATTCCTACACTGGTAAGAGATTAGAACAAGTGACATTTAGAGTTCTTTCGGCTCTGGGATTATGAATCTATGTAATAAAATATTTATAGTAAAAAGACATTGATATCTAAAATGTAACTAGCATATCCAAAATATGGATGATAATATATAGATGGTAAGTTACTGAATTAAGGATTTGCTGATTAAGGAATAAATAGACAATTGATAATTTCTCATATGATGGCTTTAAAGGATATAGGCATAAATGAGTAACTTTTAGAAAAGTGGTTTTTATTTTCCTCCTTTCTAAGTAATAGAGCCAGGCAATATGTTGAGAAACTTTTTGATTTTTATTTTTAAATCCCTTTGTTTGTTCCTGGAAGCTCCCTTGGAAATAGTGAAAAGGAAGAAGACAAATCTAAGTGGTCACTGAATTTACCATACCAAGTTTTTATGTTGCTACCAGCCAGTTATTCATACCAAAGCTATTTAGAAAAAATTTAGAATTGGAAACTAGGCCCTCTCCACTGCTCTTCCTAACACACAATAAGCTATCTATTGCTGTATAATAAAACACCCCAAAACTTCATGGCTTAAAAAATAGGTGTATTTAACTCACACTACAATTTGAATTGGACTTAGCTAGTTTATATTAGACTCTCTCGCTAAGGTCAGCTGCCAACCAGCTAAGTTTCTCTGCTTATGGAAGTTGGCTGACTGTCAATTTGTCATGGAAGCAATAGGCCATGTGTCTCTTATTATCCAGCAGACTAGTCCAAGCTTGTTCACATGGTGGTGGTGGCAGATTTCTAAAGGCAGCAAGAGAACACAAACACCAAAGTCCATGCACTTCTAAATCCTCTGCTTCACCACAGTTGCTATTATCTCATTGGTTAAAGCAAGTTTTGTGGGTTGAATTATGCCCCCTCACCAAAATTCATATGCTGAAGTTCTAATGCCTGAGTACTTCAGAATGTGACTTTATTTGGAAGTAAGGTCATTGAAGATATAATTAATTAAGATGAGGTCATACTGGAATAGGGTAGGCCCTTAATCCAATATGATTAGCATCCTAATGGAAAGGGGAAATTTGAAGACATATGTGCATACAGAGAGAATACTATGTTAAAATTATAGTAATGCTGCCATGAATCAAGGAACTACCTGAAGCTGTGAGCCAGGCCTGGAAGAGATTCTTCCCTAAGCCCCTTTAGAGAGAGCACGGCCCTGCTGACATCTTGATCTCAAAATTCTAGGCTCCAGAATAGTGCAATAATAAATTTCTGGTGTTTAAACCACTCAGTTTGTGGTACCCTCTTACAACAGTCCTAGGAAACTAATGCAGCAAGTCACATACCAAGCCCAGAGTCAGGATGGGAGTTGACTATCTAAGGGCATGGATACAGGAAAGCGTAAGAAAATTGGGAACCAATTCACAATAAAAAACCACACAGAGTAAGTAGGTAAGACAATAGAAGACCATCCCCAGTATATACAACTAAAAATGTACATTTAAATTGCCGAGTTTTTAAATAATTATCAGTCCTGGGCAACAAGAGCAAAACTCCGTCTCAAATAATAATAATAATAATAATAATTATCAGTCATTACTCTGTGTTGCTATGCTATCAATTTGACACACAGGTTCATTTGTTCATTATCCTTTTGAATTTTAGAGATCAGGTTTTAAAAATTTTGTTTCAGAATTATGTAAATTATTTACACTGTCCCAAATTTAAATATAGAAAACAAAGTACATTCATAGAATTTTAACTTTTCTGGCTGTTCCTACTCTGGAGGCGGATTTGATCTATAGATTGTTAACATACAAGAATTCTTTCCTTCTTTATACCTAACTTGATAATAGCCCATATCATACTGAATTGTAATTTTTTAATGTGTTTGTGTATCTTTTCTTATAGGCTCTTCAATAGCAGAAATAGTGTCTTATTTTTCTCTCTGTCCTCAGTACGTAGCTCAAATTTTTATTCATTTCATTATTTATAAGTTAAGAAAATGTTTATTTAGTCCCTGCAATATGCTAGATCTTGGGGATATGATCATGAAAAAGACAGACAATGCTCTTGTACTTTCAAAGCCTAAATTCTCACAGGAAAGGCAGACCTTAACAGGATAACCATGATAAAGTGTGATAAATATTACAGAAGAGAACAAATGTGCTCTATAAATGTTTATTCAAATTAATATTGCTTTGCTGCCAAAATATTGCTTGGATAATTCTCATTATTTTACTTCTATAAGCCTATTATTTGACCTGGAACTTGAAATTATGAGTCTGGCTGAATTTGTGTGTGCCAAATTTCCTAATTTTTTTTCTCCCTATTGAACTGACGATGACCAATCACACAATTGTTGTTGTGAGGAGCAGAGCAAATGACACTTTCTGCAGTGTTGCTACACAGGTCAATCACATGTAAGCAGCAGAAGGAATGTCAGATTAGATGGCAACAAGGGGCGAGAGTAATAAACATAGACATTAACCAAAAAAGCCTGTACCATTCAACCGATTAAGTCTGTTTATTTCATGTAGGAGGAGCCCAAGTGCCTTCAGTCACAGGAGTTAATTGCGAATGAGAGCTAAGCGAGATTCTTCCATTATTCATGGACACACATCAGTAACAAGCAATTATTGCACTGGGTTATAGGGGTGCAGTTGACATTGAACATGAAAGCAGATGTCTTTATATGAACCTATACAATATCCAAAAGAAGATAACATAAGTGTCTAATTACCAGCCATTGCATTCAATCTGCATACCCCAGCAGTGTAATCCAGCATTTCTCAATTCTGGCTGCACATTAAAATCACCTGGAATGCTTGAAAGAAAATCATGGCCCACCCTGCAAAGACTCTGATTTAATTGGCCTCAGGTAGGGCCAGAGCGTCATGTTTTTTAAAAGCGCTCAGCGAGACCCTCCCATGTGCAACCAAGGAGAACAACCAGCAGGCATTTGAAATCACCTTTAGATAAAAACGAGTGGAATCTTATTAATATGTATTTAACCTCTTTGTCATTTGTATTACAATGATAGTAAACCAAAAATCCCACTGGGGGTCTTTGCTGGAGTCAGGACTCATGAATAGGAACAGGACTTTTATTGTTAACTGATTCTGCAACTTCATGGAAGTTATTCTGCCTATAAGCTTCTTAATTTCCTTGTCTGTAAAAAGGAGTCTTTGGTCTAGATCAGAGAGACAAAGATAAATGTTTACAGAGAGTACAACAGCGAAACACAAAGATTAAGAGTATGGGCTTCAGAGTTAGGTGGTCTGTATTCAAATGCCTACTTGCTTTGATACTTACTACCTATATGAGCTTGGTCAAGTGACTTAATTTCTTTCCACCTTAGTTTTCACTTCTATAAAATGGAAATATTTATACTACCTCACAGTGTGAATGTTAAATGAGTTGATATATGTGAAGTACTCAGAACAAAGCTTAGCTATTGTTGGTTTTGTCATTTGCCCAGTAGTATATACAGCTTGTAAGCACAAGCTATAGATATAAATTTCTGTTGTGCCAAGCCATGATGGTTTAAGGTGGTTTAAGATGGTTTAATTGTTTTATTCATTCCCTCAACATAACTTTCTGTTTTTATATATATATAAATATATATATTTAAATATATAAAAATATATAAAATATATATATAAATATATATAATATATAACTGTAAAAATATAAATATATTTTTATATATACACACATATAAACACACATACACACACACTTCTCAGCAGATTATGATGATTATGATGATTAAACAGTATAGGTAAAACACTTAGAACACTGGCAAATAGCAAAAATTGCTTAATAATTGAGCTTAATAACTCAATAAATAGCACCTATATTATTATTAATTGTAAGGCAAAGCAGGTAAAATTACTATTTCAAATGGCAGGAAGGTTCACAAGCTATCTAAAAAGGGGAGCTAATACTCAGCTTTAATTAATTTTTGCCATATCAGATCTTATGATCTTTTTCCAAAATAGAAAAGACTTACTGAAATACCTGGATTTAAAAATTGGCAACTAAATAAAAAATTGTAAACTAGTGTGAAACCAACATGTCTGATGTTATCAGTTTGCAATGTCTAGTCTAAATTGTTTATGCAACCCTTTTAGCTGCAGCAACACTTGGTTTCAGTTCTTAAATCTTTTCAAATTGCATACACAGTGATTCTCAAAGTGTGGTCCCTGGGACAGCATTACTTAAGAACTTGTTAGAAATGCAAAATCGTGGGCTTCACTCCAGACCTTCTGAATCAGAAACTCTGGGGGTGGGGCCCAATAATCTCTTTTTTAACAAGCTCTCGGGAAAATTCAGATACTTATTCAACCACTGAATCACTAGTGTTGTAGAAAGAGCATGGACTTTGAAAGAAATTCAAACTCTGTAACACATCTATGTAACTCAGTAATTATGCAACCTTGGTCAAGTTGGATGAGATAAACTTGAGGTCAGCTTTATAATAAACCACAAAATCATTAGGAAGAATAAACAAATTGATCCTTTCAATTTGGCCCCTTGTTTCTATTTCCATGAAGAAAAGTTTCAATATTTCCTCCTCTTATTTGCTTACTTTTAGGAGAATAATTCTGTCAAATAAAATGTTCAACTGTAGCATTCTAGGAGTCCAGTTCAATGCAGTTCACACTACATCGACAGAATCTCTCTAAAAAAAGAAACTTTATCCTGTGACAAATAGGTAGGGATAGTTAGACATCAAATGTATCCTGGAAAACTGTCAAGACTCCACAGTAGTTAAGTGCTGGTACTTTGGCTTGTCTCATTCCAGACTCTTATTTATAGTGGATTTCCACCTGTGATTATTAGACTTTTTATCTGTGGACGCACACATCACTTTTCCTCTTTTCTCTTCTTACTTTGTGGAAAAAATCTTGTTTTGTTTTATTTTGTTTCAAACTCTAAAGTAGTAAACCAGTGAACTTATTCAGCTAGTAATTTAGACCTTTATATTGGCACATAAAGAAAGATAAAGACAAAAAATAACTGTGAAAGCCTAGACCATATAGATGATACAAGTAAAATGGAAGAAATCACACTAATTTTCCCTTTCAGTCCTGACTTCCCTCAGCCTGCTGCTTTTGAGAGAAGAGACACACAATGAGTTAGAGGGCAATGAAGGAATTAGGAACACAGATACTTAGGGTTGCAAAAAGCTAGGAGTCATCTAGTCCTATCATTTCCAAATGTAAATATACTATCAGAATGAACTGAAAAGAGGTCTATTTTTAAGAAAAAATACAGATCTGATTAACAGTTCAAATCTACAAAATCATAGACTATTAAATTGGAACTTTAGAATCTGAATATTGTTTTTGAGCTCTGATACAATGGGTTCATATTTAGAAACCAACAGTCTAGTTATTCGTGCTTACTTAATGCTTGAACTCCAGCAAGCAGTTTTCCAATTATCATTTTAATTGTCTCAGGGAGAACTAACTACCAAGATGGCAACGTGATTTTATGCTTATAAATGTTGGTTCTAAGCCAGACTGCCTGGTTCTACATCCTGGCTTTGCCACTGTAGCTGCATTTGTTTATCTCTCTCGTTAATTTTTTTTGCATATCTAATATCCAATCATCTATTAACATCAGGTGAAATTTGAAGAGGTAGAATTCTGGGCCTCTCCCTACTGTGGAAGTTGATGGAAGGCCAGGAAGTCCTGTAAGCAAGGTCATGTGACCTAAGTTTAGGTAATCAGTCAGATGTTCCTTCCTGAGATTGCCAATAAAAACGAGGTAAGGATACTCCTACAGCTGGCATCCCATGGAATTACAGTGAAATCAGTGGTGATGACTCCAGTATGAGTTCTATCCACTGATTCAGTGGCCTGACTTTAGCTGTTTCAGCTGCTGCCCCATTTTCCAAACTCATTTTCTAGTCTTCTCATGTGTTCTTTGTGTTATCTCATGCCTTTCAATAAACTCTTTTTCAGCTTAAGTTGGCTAGAATTAGAATGTAAGTATGTCATTTGGAATAGTAAATAAAAATTGTTATTCACAAAGAGAGAAAAAGGAGGGGGGCTTCTGGTTTAATTCCTTCTGTTATCATTCAGAAAGAATTAATTTTTAATGACTATTCCATTAGCAATTGTCCTCCCATTGGGAATTTGCATATATGGAGTTTCAGGAAACTCTGTCTAAAACCCCACCAGGAAAAAGGAGACTCAGTTCAAATGGCTCTCTACCAATCTCTTTCACCATTTTTAAGAAGCTTAATTCTGTAGGACAGGCCTGTTATTCCCACCAGAGTTTCTCTATATTAAATTTATAGTGCCTCATACTTTGAAATACAAATTTGAGACTGTACTGCTTTGAGCACTGCAATAAAGTTTAGGTTATAGTGCTGAAGCCTATCAGTAAAAATTATAGCCGGTCCACCTTCCTGTAGCAAGTCAGGGACAATATAAACTATGAAACAACACAGTAAAGCCTCAATGTACATAGCTTTGATAAGCCACAAATGCATGTAGAGGGCCTGATGATGTGGGTAGAATAAAATGGTGACAATAGAAATATGTTCAGGCTTCCTAAAATTAACTCGTCTATATTCTAGGACAATACTGTGTATGTGAAGAAGTTTAGTATTTACTGTCTGAGAGTCAGTTATTTATTGAGGTTGGGATAAAGTGAGAATATTTGTCCCCTAAAGGAATAAAGGGTATCATAAAACCATCTCTCACCCCATGCAATACCTAATTTGTCCCTGGTAGTCAATGAAAACATAGCTGAGTCTACTGCATTTTAGTTAATTCCCTTAGTAAATTCAAGGTCATTGCTTGGGTTATGGGAAATATTTATTTTTTTACTGACAATGTGGCACAGAATAAGTTCTTCACTAGATGCTGCTTGAACTCTTTAGCAAAAGCTTCACTTTGGCATCAGGACTCGGGTGCTGAGTCTCATTAAGATAGTCAAGAATTGTTCTGGCAGTTCAGGATAACAGTGAGATTCGAGGCATCATGAGGATGGACCCTGCTGTGCAAACAGCAAGCAGGACCAATTCAGCTCTTCCAAAAAGCCTATAGTAAAATTGAAAGTGCAAGATAAGAGCATTCTAGCCTTTCAGAGTAGAAGTTCAAATAGGGTTGGAAGTCAAAGAAAGTCAAAGAAAAAAGCTCATTATAAAAATCTATACCCCTTAGGTGATGCTTTTGTATACATTCATCAGCTGCATACAATATTTAATTAAATGTGTTCTCTCACCTCTAGCTATTTTTATACTAAATTAAAACTGCAGTAGGAGAGTAAAACCTGTGGAATTAATTTAGGACCCTTATTCAGGGAACTATGTGTTACATAAAGTTAAGTACTGGTAAGACATTCTGATACAGAAAGTCCTTGTCATATGGAAGAACTCATGGGCAGTTCAGAAATCTGTGGGGCTACTAGAGATCACAGTCCAGAATATGATAAAAGGATTCAGCCCTAGGGTAAGGACAAACATAAGGAGAGGGGTATAGCCTCACATAATGATGAAAATAGTGTCAATGAGCCTAACTCTTGCTGCACTTGTCCCTCAGGGACAATTTCCCATCTCACCTGAGCTACATATTATGTTCTTGCTATGTATCACCTTAGCAAATTGTAATTCCCAGATAACTCAGATTATTTTGTTATTTTAAAAATTTTATCTCAACTTCCTCTAATGAAGGTAGGGATTACATATACAGTATTCCGCTCTCGTATTCCTAGTGTTTATCACAATTTCTTGTCCTTCATAGATACTCAGAAAACTACTGAAGAAAGGAAAGGCAAAAAAGAAGGAAGGGAGGAAGGAAGGAAGAGAAAGAGGAAGAGGAAGAGGAAAAGGAAAAGGGAAAGGAAAAGGAAAGGGAAAGGGGGAATTTAGACCATATCTAGGTCTGGAGTCAGCATCAGAAAAGCCCAGAAATCAGTAGGTTTTAAAGAGGCAAGATAAGTAGGTGCATGTAGCAATACATAGAAAGGCAGCCTACAATATAGTGATTTGGTTGCAGAATATGGTCATTGCTAAGATTAAAAAAGAATATTTTCAGGGCCTGTCAAGGATAATGAGAAAGAAATTCAATCTTCAAAAGCAAAATGGGTAAGACAATGCCTGTAAGTGACATAAACAATAAGATAGAAGAACAAATATTTGAATAAGAACATGGGGGTAGGATGCAGAATAAGACAAAGGTAAAGGATAATGTTTTCATTTCCAAGATATTTTATTTTTCATATCATTGAATCAACTCACTCCATTTTCAGTTATTAAAGGCATTAGTTACACATAATAAAATTCACAATTGAGAACGTCTGTTCTTCAAGATATTCTCTTAAGAAAATGATAAGATCAGACAATGATCAGAGAATTTACTTGAGAATCACTTACTTGATAAAGGCTTGGTATTCAGAATATATATAAAAAAATTTCTAAAATTAAGAAATAAAAAATGATCCAATGAACAATGGTCAAAATTTGCACAGACACTTCTTCAAAGATATATTGATAGCAAACAAGCACATGACAAGAGGTCCGTCATCATCAAGTCATATAATGCAAAACAGAAACACAATGAAATGCCATTATACAACTACTGGATTGTCTGAAACTAAAAAAATTGACCATACCATGTACTGACTAGGCTGTAGAACAATTAGAATTCTCATACAATACTGGTGTTAATATATCTCACAAAAATTTGAAAACCTATTTGATAATTTCTTTTTTTTTTTTTTTTTTTTTTTGGAGACAGAGTCTCGCTCTGTCACCCAGGCTGGAGCACAGTGGCACAATCTTGGCTTACTGCAAGCTCCGCCTCTCGGGTTCACATTATTCTCCTGCCTCAGCCTCCCGAGTAGCTGGGACTACAGGTGCCCACCACCATGCCCGGCTAATTTTTTTGTATTTTTAGTAGAGACAGGGTTTGACTGTGTTAGCCAGGATGGTCTCGATCTCCTGACCTCGTGATCCGCCCGCCTCAGCCTCCCAAAGTGCTGGGATTATAGGCGTGAGCTACCATACCCGGCATGACAATTTCTTAAAAGGTTAAACAGACATATGACTTAGCCATTCCACTTTTAGGTATTTACCTATAAGAGATCAACATATACATAAATATCCATAGCAACTTTATTTGTAATCATCAAACAGTGGAAACAATCAAATGTCCTCTAACTGGTGAATGAGAATAATAATCCTGATAAATCTATTTAAAGGATTATTACTGAGTGATAAAAATAAACTATTGATACACAATACAAATCTCAAAATAATTGTGCTGAGTAGAAAAGCTCAGCAAAAATAATATGTATTGTATAATTTCATTTTTATAAAGCTCTAGAAAATGCAATGTAGTCTATAGTGATAGAAAGATCAGTATTTGTCTGAAGATGGGGGAAGGGGCAGGAAGAGCCATGGGTGGGTCTGTTGGAGGGATGGGGGTGGGGTGCAGTGATGGATATATTTGTTATCTTGACCATATTGATGATTTTATGAAGATACACACATATATATAAAAAACATCAAATTGGACACTTTAAATATTTACAGTTTATTTTATGTCAATTATACCTCAATGAAGGTGTTAGAAAATACAAATAACAGGAAACAAATTAAAGGAAGAAATACGTTAAGTAATAAATACGTTTTTTACCACTGCTTCTTATGAATACTAAGGGTTTGATCTATTGTCCCTCTGCTGTTCAAAAGAATTGTGTTTTCTCAACTTACATGCTGCTTTGATTGTCAGGGCATGTAGTACCTCAGTGAATACTGGCAATTGTATCTATTCCTGCTATAAGGCTATGGCTATTATAACCTCTTATTGACTGAAATGTCAGGTCTCTACTTATTTTAAAATTTTTACAATACTTCTGATTAGTTTGTTCTGATATCCCTATATAGAAATACTAAAATATATTTGGTCATAATCTTAAATATGTTTCTTTGCAATGTGTTAGAGGAAAATGAAATCAGATTTATTACTCTAATAAGTATTAATTTATTCTAGGTTGTAAAATACGTTATAATATACTTTGCATTAATAGGGATATAGATTCATTTGTCTACAGTAATTAAGAGTAAAAAGAGTAGAAATTAACACTAAAGTGTTGGTCCATTTTGTGCTGCTGTAACAGAATATCATGGGCTGGTTAATTTATAAAGAATAGGATTTTTTTTTCTTCTCACAGTTCTGGGGACTGAAAGTCCAAGATCAAGTCACTAGCATCTTATCAAGATGCCTTGATCTTGCTGTGTCCTCACATGGTGGAAGGCAGAAGGGATGAAAGGTGTCAAACTCTGTGTAGTCACGCAGTAAACGAACAGAAGAGAAAGAATACATGCTCTCAAGTCCCTTTTATACCCTAATTAATTCATTCTTAAGCACCTCCTATTAAGCCTCGCCTCCTAACACTGTTGCACTGGGGATTGAGTTTCCAACACATTAATTTTGGGAATACATTCAAACCATAGCAGTAAGTAACAGATTCTTGGGCTAATAGCATTTAAACAGTAAAAGTTAGGGTCTTTAAATAATAATAGAAGGGTGTTAATACTTTCTGATGAATAGTAAAGTTTTTAGTTACTTAATTTTGCAAACTAAAAAATGTAATGAGATTAAATTCCAAAGGCAAGGACCCTTATATTAACATAAAGCTGAGCTGTAAAAGACTGCAGTACAACTTTTTCAGTCTCTCCTTCATTGTCCTGTTTCTTTAAAGAAGGCAGCAGCTTGATTGTGGAAGGGTGTGTTTATGTTTTGCTTACTTCAGAGTGTTAACTTTTTGTTGAACTCTAGATCCCATCATATGTGCCTACACTGGTGAGAAAAATGCAAATACTTTTAATCCCATTCCTCCAAGAAAGAGAATAAATTATGCTAAAGCAAACATAAAATGTTGTGGAACTAGACAATCAGTTCAGATACAACCACCAGGAGTGAATTGGAGGGCACAACTTAGATCAATTAAATTTGTGGTGGTGAAGAATACAGAATTAAAGATAACTGCCTGGATTTGAATCCTGATATTAGTATGTATTAGCAGTGTAAGCTTTGAGAAGTTAACTAAGCCTTCTATTTTCTTAATTTTCTCATTTAAATGATGTTAATATTTCCTACCTTATAAAGGTTTTGTGAAAATTAAGTGACATGACCCTATTATTTTATTTAACAAACACTTGTATGCCTATTATGTACTAAAAGGTGTTTATGCACTTTATGAATATGAACTTATATCAGCCTCATACTGCTTATAAAGCACGTACAATAGTGCATGACATAAACTACTTAATAAATAGCATCTTGTATCTTTTTGAGTGCACAGACTCATTTCAGAAAATTCAGAAAGTACATAAACTTGTAAGGAAGGACAAAAAAATTCATACAATCATAAATTCAAAGAAGCCATTGTACATATTTAGGCATATTTTCTTAATCTTTTCCTTTATTGTTAAAAGAAATTCTGCTCATACATTTTTTAACATTTTATCATGCATTTGATCATTACTTTTTTTTAATACTTTTAGTTAATTTTAATATACTTTATTTTTAAAAGCAGTTTTAGGTTTACAGAATAATTGAGCAGATGGCACAGAGATTTCCCACGTACTCCTTCTCTCATAGGAACTGCCTCCCATATGAGAGGGTTTTATCTGTTACAATCTAGGAATCTAAATTGACAAATTATTGCCCAAAGTCCATGGTTTACATTAGGGTTCACGCTTGGTGTTTTACATTCTATGTATTGTGATAAATATATTTTGACATTTATCCACCATTAGAGTATCATTTAGAATAGTTTCACTGCCCTAAATTGCTATGTAGTATTGCATGGTATAGATACCAGGTGTGGTTTTTTTTTTTTTTTTTTTTTTTTTTTTAACCACTCATCTGTGAACAACATCTGGATTGTTTTCAGTTTGGGGCTATGATGAATAAATCTGCTATGAACAATTGTACACGTTTTATTTACATAAGATTACATTTATCTGGATAAGTGCCCATAATCATAATCACTGGATTGTATAGAAGTTATGTATTTAGTTTTTTAAGAAATTGTCAAACTGTTTTTCACATAGTGATTGTATCATTTTTACATTTCCATCAGGAATATATGAGTTATCCAGTTTCTCTGCATCATCACCAGCACTTGGTGTTTTCACTATTCTAAAAACTTTTTCATCATTCTGATATGTATGTAGTGATATCTTATTATTGTTTTACTTTACATTTGTCTAATGGCTAATTTAGATAAATGGTGTGTGTGTCTGTGTGTGTGTGTGTGTGTGTGTGTGTGTGTGTGTTTCCACCTATAAATCTATGAACTCTTCAATTGAGTTGCTTGCCTGTTTTTTATGATTTGTTTGCTTTTTCTATAGTTGAGCCTTGAGTAGTATATATATTCAAGATTCTAATTCATTGTCAAGTATGTGATTTAGGAATATTTTCTCCTCAACTATGTAGTTTGTATTTTAAAATTGGGTCTTTCATATAGCAAATCTTTTTAATATTTCTAGAGTCAAATTTGTCCATTTTTTTCTATTATGGATTGCAATTTTGGTCTCAAGTCTTATTAATCCTTGCATAACCTAAGTTCCTGACAATTTTCTTCTGCCTTTGTGTTTTTTTTTCTTTAAGTTTTACAGTATGTATGACTTAGGTCAAGGCTGAACACACAGTCTTGATTATTATAGCTATATAATAGTTCTTGAAATCGCTTAGGCTGATTTCTTCTACTTTATTCTTTTTTCAAAATTAATGCAGCTATTCTAGTTTATTTAATTTTCATATAAATTTTAAAGTAATATTCATAGTCACAACAGACTTTCTGGGATTTCAATAGGATTTGAACTACATCTGTATATCAGTTAGGGGTGATTTCACATCTATACTATGTTGAGTCTTCAAATCCATGAACATGGTCTACACCTAAATTTTTTTTAGAACTCATTTGATTTCTCTCATCAGCATTTAGCAGTTTTCAGCATCAAAGTCCTACATATGATTTGTTAGTTTTACATCTAAGTATTTCTCTCTCTGATTTTTAGCAACTGTATTTTTAGTTTTTGTGTGCACATGTTCATTGCCAGTATATAGAAATGCAATTGATTTTATCTTGTATCATGGATCTTGGGGAATTTTGGAGATTCCTTGGGATTTTATATGTCGACAATCCTGTCATCTGCAAATAAGAACAATTTATTTCCTCCTTTTTAAAATGAATACCTTTTCCCCTCTCTGTTCTTACCCTTTTAAAGTGGTTAGAAGTTTCAGCACTTTGCAGAATAACAGTGGTTGGAGTGGACATCCTTGCCTTTTCCAGATATTAGAGAGAAATTATTCAGTCTTTTGCCATTTAGTACAATTTTAGCTTTAGCTACTCATTATCACGTTGAAGAATTTCCCTGTTTCTAGTTTCCAGGGATTTTTTTTTAAATCATGAATATGCATTGAGTTTTATCTAATGCTTTTACTGCATTGATTGATATAATCATGCCTATTAATATGGTGGATTACACTGATTGATTTTCAAATGTTACCACACTTGTATCTCTGTAATAAACACTACTCCATCATAATATATATTTTCTTTATATATTGATAAATCCTGTTTGCTAATATATATATGTGTATATATATATGTGTGTATATATATATGTGTGTGTATATATATGTGTGTGTGTATATATATATGTGTGTGTATATATATGTGTGTGTGTGTGTGTGTATATATATATATATATATATATATATATATAATTTTTTTTTTGAGACGGAGTCTAACTCTGTTGCCCAGGCTGGAGTGCAGTGGCGCGATCTCAGCTCACTTTAAGCTCCGCCTCCCGGGTTCCCGCCATTCTCCTGCCCCAGCCTCCGGAGTAGCTGGGACTGCAGGCACCTGCCACTACGCCTGGCTAATTTTTTTTTATATTTTTAGTAGAGACGGGGTGTCGACTGTGTTAGCCAGGATGATCTCGATCTCCTGACTTCGTGATCCTCCTGCCTCAGCCTCCCAAAGTGCTGGGATTATAGGCGTGAGCCACCATGCCTGGCCTGCTAATATTTATAATTTTTGAATCTATATTTGAGAGGAATATTGTTATATATTTTTCTTTCATTTTGTTTTGTTGTACTGCCGCTGTTTTGGTGTTGGGCTAATAATAGCTTCATAAGATAGAACTGGAAAAGAGTGTAAAATTTGTGTTTTCCTTTTTTTTTTTTTGAGACATGGTCTCACTCTGTTGCCCAGGCTGGGATGGAGTGGCATGATTTCCTCCTTTATAAAGTTTGTAAGTGTAACCATCTGGGCCTGGAGAGTTCTCTTTTTTAAAAAAAGAAAACTGTCTATATTTTCTGCTCATTGATTTGTCTAATATTGACAGTGGGGTATTAAAGTCTCCCACTATTATTGTGTGGGAGTCTAAGTCTCTTTGTAGGTCTCTAAGAACTTGTTTTATGAATGTGGGTGCTCCTGTATTGGGTGTATATATATTTAGGATAGTTAGCTCTTCTTCTTGCATTGATCCCTTTACCATCATGTAAAGCCCTTCTTTATATCTTTTGATCTTTGTCGGTTTAAAGTTTGTTTTATCAGAGACTAAGATTGCAACCCCTGTTTTTTTTTTTTTTGCTTTTCATTTGCTTGGTAAATATTCCTCCATCCCTTTATTTTGAGCCTATGCATGTCTTTGCACGTGAGATGGGTCTCCTGAATACAGCACACCGATAGGTCTTGACACTTTATCCAATTTGCCAGTCTGCCTTTTATTTGGGGCATTTAGCCCATTTACATTTAAGGTTAATATTGTTATGTGTGAATTGGATCCTGTCGTTATGATGCTAGGTGGTTATTTTGCCTGTTAGTTGATGCAGTTTCTTTGTAGTGTCAATGGTCTTTACAATTTGGTATGTTTTTGCATGGCTGGTACCAGTTGTTGCTTTCCATGATTAGTGCTTCCTCCAGGAGCTCTTGTAAGGCAGGCCTGATGGTTACAAAATCTCTCAGCATTTGCTTGTCTGTAAAGAATTTTATTTCTCCTTCACTTATGAATCTTAGTTTGGCTGGATATGAAATTCTGGGTTGAAAATTCTTTTCTTTAAGAATGTTTAATATTGGCACTGACTCTCTTCTGGCTTGTAGGGATTTTGCAGAGAAATCCGCTGTTAGTCTGATGGGCTTCCCTTTGTGGGTAACCCAACCTTTCTCTCTGGCTACCCTTAACATTTTTTCCCTCATTTCAACCTTGGTGAATCTGATGATTATGTGCCTTGGGGTTGCTCTTCTCAAGGATTGTATTTGTGGTATGTGTATTTCCGGTATCTGTATTTCCTGAATTTGAATGTTGGCCTACCTTGCTAGGTTGGGGAAGTTCTCCTGGATAATATCCTGAAGTGTGTTTCCAACTTGGTTCCATTCTCCCCGTCACTATCAGGTATACCAATCAAACATAGATTTGGTCTTTTCACATAGTCCTAGATTTCTTGGAAGCTTTGTTCATTCCTTTTCATTCTTTTTTCTCTAATCTTGTCTTCACACTTTATTTCATTAAGTTGATCTTCAATCTCTGATATCCTTTCTTCCACTCGATTGATTCAGCTATTGATACTTGTGTATGCTTCACAAAGTTCTCGTGCTGTGTTTTTCAGTTCCTTCAGGTCATACTCAGCTCTGGACCAAGCAGACCTAATAGACATCTACAGAACTCTCTACCCTAAATCAACAGAATATGCATTCTTCTCAGTACTACATTGCACTTATTCTAAAATTGACCACATAATTGGAAGTAAAACACTCCTCAGCCAATGCTAAAGAACGGAAATCATAGCAAACTGTCTCTCAGACTACAGTGCAATCAAATTAGAACTCAGGATTAAGAAACTCATTCAAAACCTCACAAGTACATGGAAACTGAACAACCTGGTCCTGAATGACTACTGGGTAAATAACAAAATGAAGGCAGAAATAAAGATGTTCCTTGAAACCAATGAAAAGAAAGACACAACATACCAGAATCTCTGGGACACATTTAAAGCAGCGTGGAGAGGGAGATTTATAGCACCAAATTCCCACAAGAGAAAGCAGGAAAGATATAAAATCAACACGCTAACATCACAATATAAAGAACTACAGAAGCAAGAGCAAACAAATTCAAAAGCTAGCAGAAGGCAAGAAATAACTAAGATCAGAGCAGAACTCAAGGAAATAGAGATACGAAAAACCCTTCAAAAAATCAATGAATCCAGGAGCTGTTTTTTTTTTAAAAGATCAACAAAATACATAGACCACTAGCCAGACTAATAAAGAAGAAAAGAGAGAAGAATCAAATAGATGCAATAAAAAGTGATAAAGGGGATAGCACCACCCATCCCACAGAAATACAAACTATAATCGGAGAATTCTATGAACACCTCTACACAAATAAACTAGAAAACTCTAGAAGAAATGGATAAATTCCTGGACACATACACCCTCCCAAGGCTAAACCAGGAAGAAGTTGAATCCCTGAATAGACCAATAACAAGTTCATAAATTGAGCCAGGGCAGCAATTAATAGCCTACCAACCAAAAAAGTCCAGGACCAGATGAATTCAAGGCTGAATTCTACCAGAGCTACAAAGAGGAACTGTTACCATTCCTTCTGAAACTATTCTAAACAATGGAGAAAGAAAGAATCCTTCCAATTCATTTTATGAGGCCTGCATCATCCTGATACCAAAACATGGCAGAGACACAGTAAAAAAAGAAAATTTCAGGCCAGTATCCCTGATGAACCCCGATGTGAAAAGCCTCAATAAAATACTGGCAAACTGAATCCAGCAGCACATCAAAATCTTATCCACCACTATCAAGTCGGCTTCATCCCTAGGATGCAAGGCTGGCTTAACATATGAAAATCAATAAATGTAATCCATCACATAAACAGAACAAATGACAAAAACCACATGATTATCTCAGCAGATGCAGAAAAGGCCTTCAACAAAATTCAACACCCCTTCATGCTAAAAACTCTCAATAAACTAGGCATTGATGGAATGCATTTCAAAATAATAAGAGCTATTTATGACAGACCCACAGCCAGTATCATACTGAATGGGCAAAAGATGGAAGCATTCTCTTTGAAAACTGGCACAAGACAAGGACGCCCTCTCTCACTGCTCCTATTCAACATAGTATTGAAAGTTCTGGCCAGGGTGATCAGGCAAAAGAAATAAATAAAGGGTATTCAGTTAGGAAAGGAGGAAGTCAAATTGTCTCTGTTTGCAGATGACATGTTTGTTGATTTAGAAAACCCCATTGACTCAGCCCAAAATCTCCTTCAGCTGATAAGCAACTTCAGCATAGTCTCAGGATACAAAATCAATGTGCAAAAATCACAAGCATTCCTATATAGCAATAACAGACAAACAGA
The DNA here is from genome assembly GCF_000001405.40 of Homo sapiens. Taxonomy (NCBI): domain Eukaryota; kingdom Metazoa; phylum Chordata; class Mammalia; order Primates; family Hominidae; genus Homo; species Homo sapiens. The sequence goes on along the minus strand of NC_000011.10, from coordinate 21,694,323 downwards.
AAGCCAAATCATGAGTGAACTCCCATTCACAATTGCTACAAAGATAATAAAATACCTAGGAATACAACTTAAAAGGGATGTGAAGGACCTCCTCAAGGAGAACTACAAACCACTGCTCAGGGAAATAAGAAAGGCCACAACCAAACGAAAAAACATTCCATGCTCATGGATAGGAAGAATCAATATGGTGAAAATGGCCATACTGCCCAAAGTAATTTATAGATTCAGTGATGTCCCTATCAAGCTACCATTGACTCTCTTCACAGAATTAGAAAACCCTACTTTAAATTTCATATGGAAACAAAAAAGGGCCCACAATCCTAATCAAAATAACAAAGCTGGAGGCATCACACTACCTGACTTCAAATTACACTACAAGGCTACAGTAACCAAAATAGCATAGTACTGGTATCAAAACAGATATATAGATCAATGGAACAGAACAGAGGTCTCAGCAATAACACCACACATCTAAAACCACCTGATTTTTGACAAACCTGACAAAAACAAGGAATGGGGAAAGGATCCCCTATTTAATAAATGGTGTTGGGAAAAGTGGCTAGCCATATGCAGAAAACTGAAACTGGACCACTTCCATACATCTTATACAAAAATCAACTCAAGATGGATTAAAGGGTTAAATGTAAGACCTGAAAAACCCTGGAAGAAAACCTAGGCAATACTGTTCAGGACATGAGCATGGGCAAAGACTTCATGACTAAAACATAAAAAGCAATGGGAACAAAAGCCAAAATTGACCAATGGGCTCTAAATAAACTAAAGAGCTTCTGCACAGCAAAAGAAACTATCATCAGTGTGAAAAGGCAACCTACAGAATGGGAGAAAATTTTTGCAATCTATCCATCTGACAAAAGGCTAATATCCAGAATCTACAGAGAACTTAAACAAATTTACAAGAAAAAAACCAACAACCCCATCAAAAAATGGATGAATGATATGATCAGACTCTTCTCAAAAGAATACATTTATGGAGCCAACAAACATATCAAAAAAGCTCATCATTACTGGTCATTAGAGAAGTGGAAGTCAAAACCGCAATGAGATACCATCTCAAGCCAGTCAGAATGGCGATCATTAAAAAGTCAAGAAACAACAGATGCTGGAGAGGATGTGGAGAAATAGGAATGCTTTTATACTGTTGATGGGAGTGTAAATTAGTTCAACAATTGTGAAAGACAGTGTGGCAATTCCTCAAGGATCTAGAACCAGAAATACCATTTGACCCAGAAATCCCATTACTGGGTATATACCCAAAGGATTATAAATCATTCTACTATAAAGACACATGCAAACTTACGTTTATTGTGGCACTCTTCACAATAGCAAAGACTTGGAACCAACCCAAATGCAATGACAGGCTGGATAAAGAAAATGTGGCACATATACACCTTAGTATACTATGCAGCCATAAAAAGGACGAGTTCATGTCCTTTGCAGGGATATGGATGAAGCTGGAAACCATCATTCTCAGCAAACTAACACAAGAACAGAAAACAAAACATCACATGTTCTCACTCATAAGTGGGAGCTGAACAATGAGAATACATGGACACAGGAAGGGGAACATCACTCACCAGGGCCTGTCGGGGGTGGGGGGCTAGGGGATGGATAGCATTAGGAGAAATACCTAATTTAGATGACAGGTTGATGGGTGCAGCAAACCACCATGGCACGTGTATACCTATGTAACAAACCTTCATGTTCTGCACATGTACCCCAGAACTTAAAGTATAATAATCAAAACAATTAAAATAAATAAATATTGTAGAAGACATTGGCTTGGGGCCTACATTGTTCATTCAAGAAAACAGTAAATTTCAGCTCAAGGCTAGAGATAATTAACAAAAACAACAAGAGAAAACTCTGTCATTTCAGTTCAGTGATGGGCAATTTGTGATTTCCAAGGTTTGATCAGTTTCATCCAAGTTTTCAAACGTACTTTTTATTCTTTTTTATTCTTGTCACCTTTTAGATCTGGGCAAGGCCCATAGTAATATCACCTATTTCAATCCTGATATTGGTAAATTGTATCTTCTCTCTTTTTCTTTTACCAGTCTTGCTAGAGGTTTGCCAATTTTATTGATATTTTCAAATTAACAGCTTCTCATTTCACTTATTTTCTCTATGTTTTTGTTTTAAATTTCATTGAATTCTGCTCTTATTATTCTTTTTTTCTGTCTGCCCGCTTTAGGTTTATTTGTTCTTTATTTCCAGGTTCTATAGGTAGAAATTCGGATTATTCGTTTGAGCCTTTTCTCTTTTTCTAATGTAAGCCTTTGGTGTTATAAATTTCATTCTTGTTATTGTTTTAGACAAGCTCCACAACTGTGATTATGTTTGCTTTTTCCACATAAGATTTCATTATTCTATCACTGATTTCAAAATATTTTCTTTGTGTTTAGTTTTCAGAAGTTTGTCTTACTGTATCCTGGTGTAGGTTTCTTTGGCTTATCTAATTTGGATTTATGTCAGTTTTTTAGTGTCTGAGCCTTTTTTACATTGTTTTAGTTTAGTTTTTTATTTTTATTTTTTCTCTTTTCTTTGTATGCTCAGATTGGCTAATTTTTACTCTGTTTTTAAATTTACTTATTATTTTCCCTGTCTTCTGTCTACTGCTATTGAGCCCATCCATTGAATTTTTTATTTTGGTAGTTATATTTTTCAGTTCTAGTATTTCATAATTTTTAAAAAAATATGTTTTCTATACACTTATTGAGACTTTCTATTTCTTCGCTAAGGTTTTCTGTTTGTCTTTTGTTTCTTTTTACTTGCTTCAAACATATTTGTAAAGCTTATTAAAATATATTTTATGATGGTATATTTAAAATATTTGTCAGACAATTCTAACACCTTTGTGTTGGCATCTATTGTTTATCTTTTTTCATTCAGATTGAGATTTTTCTGGTTCTTGGTATAAGAAATTTTTTAAATTAAAACATGGGCATTGGGGTATTATATTATGAGGCTTTGTATATTATTTAAACATTCTGCTTTAGCTGGTCTCTTTTGCCCTGCTTCACCATAGGAATAAAGTACCACTTTGTTACTGCCAGGTGGGGTTAAAGTACAAGTTCTTCACCTGGCCTTTATGAACACCTAAGGAGAGTTGGAGCTTCTCAGTACTAGTGGGCAGGGATGGGAGCTCCAGCTCACCACTATGCCTTTGCTGATATCACCCTGGCTGTGAGAGGTAGAAGTGCCTCATTACTCCTTCTCAAATCTCATCTTCTGATAACACAGTGGGAGTGACCTTGTTACCACCAAGCATTGCTGAAAATTTTGATTTTCCATTATACCTTCTTACACCACCCCAGCGGTCCAGAGAGGGTATGGAAGTCCAGGCTCCCCACACTGTTTCCACTAATATTATAGGACAAAGGTGTCCTCCTTGTTGACCATCAGGGATGAAAGTACATTCCCACTGGACTTCCCTGAGACCATCCTAGCAGTGGGAAGGTGGCATTTCATGATATGTTAGCAAAGTTGGAAGTCTACACTCTTCACCCAGCTTTTGCTCATTGGGCTGAGGGTAGGGCCATAGATTTTGTTATTTTAAGGGTGTATATTGTTTTTTCCTTATTTTTTAAATATAATGCATACAAATGGTTGAAAATACAATCATTTATATTTTCAACCATTTGTATGCATTATATTTAAAAATTAATTCATAGTCCCACCATTCATAGACAATATACAACACTTCCATTATATCTTGTCTGCCTGTTCCTGTTTGTATACATTTGTTTTCACATATTGTTAAGAAACTGATGAGATTTTAATAATATTAATGCAGCATTACAATGCCCCAAATATTTAAAGCAACAGAGTCTCACACTAGGATAACACCCAACTAACAAGTGTAGTCCAATCACTGTCTGCATCTCTGTGCTAGCACAATTGAAAATTGATATATGGTGAGAGAAGTAGGAGAAAAGGAAAAGAAGAAAAGATTTGCCTCTTATGCAGAAGGAGATAAATGCCTTCCCATTGTCAGTACCCTACATATAACTAAGATGATATTATTTATTCAATATCATGTTCTCCTTATTCACATACCATTATAGCACATATTTTTCTACATCAATAAAACTGTTTATAACATAATTTTAATAGGTACATAATATTTTAATGTACAAGTACATTAATTTTTATATTCTATTATTAGTATAGTTTGTTATGAGATTTGTCTATTGTTTATAATACTATAATAAACATTCTTATAACTATATATTTTTCCCCAATTTGGGAATACTTTATGATAATCATTTGGAAGTGGAATTACTGGGTCAAAGAGTAGGAATTTTGTCATGATTTTTCATGTTTGCCAAATTATATTTCATAAACATTCCACCATTTTATAGTCTCACAAATAGCATCTGACAGCATGTTTTAAGCTATATTTTTTTTTACCAGAAATGAATGTTGTCATTTTTTTAAAAAAAATAGCTAATTTGTTAGGCAAAAAGCAAATGTTTCTTATCTATGTGGCATTTATTAAATCAAAAGCAAGATTGTGAGAGTGGGAGAATATGATTGTGTGTGTGTGTGCGTGTGTTCCTTTTATCTTATTTCTACTTCTCTGAGCTATCCTTTACATGTTTTCATGTTGTGATTTTTTTTGTTTGATATATACAGGATCTTTTTCTATTAAATATTAATCTTAAATTTTGGCAAATAGTATCTCTTATGATTTGTTTTTTAGTGAGACTCAAACTTTTAAAGATATTTTCTTATTCATGGACATTTCACTTTTGTGTTTTGAAAGACTCATTTTTTTTTCTTTGGTAGTTCTTCCATTGCTTGTCTGCATGCAGAATTCTCCATATGGAAAAAAAAAACCTAAATCATTTTTTATTTTTTCAAATGTTTAATGATTTTTTTAAATGAAAATTTTGAAGTACTGAATTTCAAATGTTTTGTCACTAGGATCATTTTGCCCTTTAAAAGTTATTGAGGACTTCAGAGAGCCTATGTTTATATGAGTTATACCTTGCCATGTATATTATATTAGAAATTAAAGGTGAGACATTTTACAATTACATTTTGGCAATACTTTTAAAATAATTTTGTTGTTAAACTGTTTTAAAAGTATTGCTAAATAATAATAACTTACTACATTAACATAATTAATGTATTTGTAAGGAAAAATAGCTACATTTTTAAAACAAAAACAATTTTTGAGACAGGGAATATTACTTTACCTTTTTGCAAATCTCTTCAATATCTAACTTAATAGAAAACAGCTGGATTTTCATACTGTTTCTGCATTCAATTTGTCATGATAGCTTGTTTTGATCAAAGTCAGTGAAACATATCTGGTTTCACAAAGATACGTAGTTGGAAAAGTGCGCAGTATTCGTATGGCCTTTTCAGAAAATGTTGGATATTTTTCTTGATGCTACAGCAAAACTCGGCAAGTCAGTTTTTCTTTTTCTTTTTTCTTTTTTTTTTTTTTTTTGAGATGGAGTCTCGCTCTGCCCTGTCACCTAGGCTGGAGTGCAGTGGCGTGATCTTGGCTCACTTCAATCTCCACCTCCCAGGTTCAAGCTATTCTCCTGCCTCAGCCTCCCGAGTAGCTGGGATTACAGGCATGTGCCACCATGCCTGTCTAATTTTTGTATTTTTAGTAGAGACAGGGTTTCACCATGTTGGCCAGGCTGGTCTCAAACTCCTGACCTCATGATCTGCCTGTCTCGGCCTCCCAAAGTGCTGGGATTACAGACATGAGCAACCGCACCCGGCCAGGATCTGAAGCCATATCAATTAACTTTCCATATTGTTACATTAAAAGCTATTAGTTTTTCTTGCACTTTTAATGAATTATTCACTCACGCATGATTTGGAAACATAATGCATTACTTATTTGGAAAAATATTGATCACTGAACTATCCAGATCTTCCAAGTTTTGACACCATTAATTACACAATATTAAAAGATCACAATCACTAAATTATCATGGATCTCAGAAAAATCTTTAGGTGTCTGGGCACTATCAGGCTTATGTTGGTAGATAACAAGTTTTCCAAAATTCTAATTTTTGCTTGAAAGCTCAGATTTTTTAATTGGCAAAACACATGGCCAGTTGTTTTCCTTGATGTGACAGGCTCAATTTATTCATTAGCCATAGTTTGTCTGCCATTTTTTCTTAGAAGTAAAAATGGTGTTTTGTGAAAAAAGCAGCTAGTTCCACCTCCAACTCAGATATACAATTTTCTTCAAAATCAACATTATACTTCTACATGGGACAGAGCATTTTTTGCATATTTTCCATTTTGTCACACAGGATATTAGAAAGTTTTATTAAAAGGTCAATATCAAAGAAAATTAACAATTTTTATGGTTTTGTCAAGGACATTCTTAGGTAAAGCTGGTTTTATTTTCCTGATGGCATATGGCAGTAATGATCACAATGAATACTAGTGTAGCATACCAGCCTTTTTGCCTGCTATTGTTTTTGCACCATCAGCACAAATGTCAACTTAGTGGGAAAAATTCTACAACAATCTTTATCATTGTAATATTTTTTTAATCTCATTGACTCCTCAAAAGAGTTTTAGAGACCTCCACGTTTCAAATAACCACAATTTGAGAACTGCTGCTTTAAACTACTTGAATTTTTTTATTCTATTATTTTCTTGGAAGAGTGCAATATTTTTCTTTTTTTCAGAATACTTTACCAGTTTTTTGTGCATTACAAGTAATTTATTAAATATATATAGAGAGAGGGAGTTAGAGAGTTTTTTTATTCATCACTAATTGATTTGCTCACTATTCTACTAGCAGTATTACACTTTTGATTATTTACCTATTAATATGTTTTAAAATCTAGTGAGGCAAGAATTTATTAATAATTTTTATTTTTAAAAATGCCAAAAGTGGTTTATCATGCTTAATCACCCAAGAAAAATTAAAAGTTTTTTAATGCCCACAAAACAATTCAAATTGAGTTAAATTGATTTTTGCATAAGAAAATATTTCAACCTTATAGTTTTCCATAGGTATAGTTTTTATTAATTAAGTATAAATAAACTTAAAAATTAGCTTGACATTAATTTGAAATGTTGTAATACTTGATTCTTTCCTAGGATGATTGCTTTCTCTTTGTATAAGTCTATCATTATACCTTTTAATAAGTAGCTGTAGTTTTCAACATACAATTCTTACATAATTTATATTGCTGTTATTATTTGGATTTTTCTGTGCTATTTTTATGATTATCATTATTTCTTTTATTTCTCTACTGCTAGTGTGTAATAAAGACTTTTTGGTTTTGTTCCTGATTTTTAAATGTAGATTCTGTTTCAGTCATGATATTGAAAATCTTACTATTTGTCCTCATATTGGTTTTATTAAGTTTTATAAGAAGGCAATTAAATCTACAAGGCTAATGCTGTTATTTTAGAAAAGTTATTTGAGAAAAAAAGATAATTTTGTCTGCTACTTGTTTCATACCTTACTTGACTTTTTAAAGCATATAACCGTCTTTTTGTTTGTTTGTTTGTTTGTTTGTGATTGTCTTTTTTTTATTATACTTTCAGTTTTAGGGTACATGTGCACAACATGCAGGTTAGTTACATATGTATACATGTGCCATGTTGGTGTGCTGCACCCAGTAACTCGACATTTAACATTAGGTATATCTCCAAATGCTATCCCTCCCCCCTCCCCCCACCCCACAACAGGCCCCGGTGTGTGATGTTCCCCTTCCTGTGTCCATGTGTTCTCATTGTTCAGTTCCCACCTATGAGTGAGAACATGCGGTGTTTGGTTTTTTGTCCTTGTGATAGTTTGCTGAGAATGATGGTTTCCAGCTTCATCCATGTCCCTACAAAGGACATGAAATCATCATTTTTTATGGCTCCATAGTATTCCATGGTGTATTTGTGCCATGTTTTCTTAATCCAGTCTATCATTGTTGGATATTTGGGTTGGTTCCAAGTCTTTGCTATTGTGAATAGTGCCGCAATAAACATACGTGTGCATGTGTCTTTATAGCAGCATGATTTATAATCCTTTGGGTATATACCCAGTAATGGGATGGCTGGGTCAAATGGTATTTCTAGTTCTAGATCCCTGAGGAATCTGACTTCCACAATGGTTGGACTAGTTTACAGTCCCGCCAACAGTGTAAAAGTGTTCCTATTTCTCTACATCCTCTCCAGCACCTGTTGTTTCCTGACTTTTTAATGATCGCCATTCTAACTGGTGTGAGATGGTATCTCATTGTGGTTTTGATTTGCATTTCTCTGATGGCCAGTGATGATGAGCATTTTTTCATGTGTCTTTTGGCTGCATAAATGTCTCCTTTTGAGAAGTGTCTGTTCATATCCTTTGCCCACTTTTTGATGGGGTTGTTTTTTCTTGTGAATTTGTTTGAGTTCATTGTAGATTCTGGATATTAGCCCTTTGTCAGATGAGTAGATTGCAAAAATTTTCTCCCATTCTGTAGGTTTCCTGTTCACTCTGATGGTAGTTTCTTTTGCTGTGCAGAAGCTCTTTAGTTTAATTAGATCCATAAGATTGTTGTTCTGTGTGATTTTACTGAGAGACTCTCTAGGGTGCCATTATTAACTATGAGATTGATAGTTTGATAAAAAAATTAAACACTTTATTTCACTGTGGAAGTGTCTTCTGTCTAAAAGTAAAGATTTATATTGTTTTTAAAAATAATAAACAAAAAGAGTAAAGTATGTTTCTTGATACAGCCTGGTTAAATATTTACACTTTAAAGATAAAGAATCCCCCAAATATCCAAAGAAAAATAGGTTAATGTTAGATGAATCTCACATTTTTTCAATGCAACATAGTCTGAAGATGAAGAAGTTCCACTTTTAAAGCTACACAGCAAAATATGTGTGACTCCACAATTCTATACCTAGCTAAAAGGCTGCTTATGCCATTAGCAATGTCTTCTGAAAATGCAGCAGATATTTTCTAAATATCTTTTTAAATGTTTCTATTTTTAAATTTTATGATATATGTCTATTTCAGTGTAACACTACTTCTTTGCAAGTTTAGAGAAAATTATTTGAACTGTAGACTCTTTTTATGTTTCTGTAATTTTTTCCCTTCTGTATATAGTTACAAATCTCTGTTTGCCTTATAGTAGCTTACAGTGAACTAGAAGCTGAATTGTTTCTTGTATATAAGTCTGCTAAAATCTTTCACCTGCTGGATTCAGGTCAAAAGGGACATTTAGTCAATTATTAATGTGGAGAACCAACAACTTCAGAAGTAGAATAGCATGAATAATTTTCAAACAGGACCTTAACACTGGCCCCTACTCTGCTTAGAGTGGCTCTTTGTACCAAAAGCAAAGGCAAGTGCTCCTTCATGCCACTGGCAATATCCCAGTAAGAATAAGACAAGCAACGTGAAATCTAAGAGATGGATGAGATACAGCAATACCAAAGTCTACTTTCAACTTGAGTTCACACCTCTCTATTTAAGTGATGTCATTGAAGATGTGCCATGGCTGCTTACTATATACATCTTAGAAACACTCTACCTTGGGAGAGGAATCATGGACTAGTCTCCAGTGGATTTCTTCATTATTTTTATTGATACTACATTTAGCAATTTTTCATGTCTGGAATGAGCTCATCTCTGACTGTAAGCATTCTTGGTACAATATTTCTTCCAAGTGTAAGTATTATGTTTAATTAATTAGAACTATGATTGGAAAAGAGGCTGTAGAAAAAAATGTCATATTGTCCACAACTTTATATTTGACTTTTTGTACTGGAAACATATACCTTTCCTATGTTATTAAAATCTCTTTGTATATATCATTTCCATGTATATTTAAAGTTCCTTTCTACATGTAACAATAGGTGACTAATACTGCAACTTCTTTAGTTAAAATTCATCATAAGTTAAACAGAAATAGGAGCTGCAGGTAGAGGAATGACAACATAGTGATGAGTATATAACTTCTCAAAAAGAGACTGATATTGTTTTCATTTAATTTCTTTGTATATTTGTTTGCTTTGCTTTGTTTACCAGTGACATTGAATTCATCCCTGCAACTGTAGGATCTCCAGGGTTAGAGGCCTTGATTTCCAAATGAGTCCTGAGGCACCAGTGTCCTGTTGAATTATTAGCTATGGCTTCTGCCTACACACTGTACCCCCTTGTGTTCATGGACAAGCAGACAAGAATAGTCACTGTTTGGGCAAGTGTTATTGGCTTCGATTTTCAGAAGTTTGGGATACTGTTACACAATGGAGATAAGAGTGAATTTGTGAGGAATGCAGATGGTCTACTTGTTTGTCTCTTATGTTCCTTTGTCCAGTTTTTATTATAAATGCACTGTCACAGGAGCCCCAGGCTGAGAAAGGCATGATGACCAGGGGCTCAGGCCACTTAGGAATAGCAATAAGTGATCATAGCTAATAGAGCTAGTAGTTGAGAGTGAGGTACATTCAGACTAGTTGGCGGTGGAAAAGATGAAGGTATCAGTTGTGGTCTCAAGACCAAGTGCAGTTTCTTGGTTTGTTCTACTAACCTACCTCTTCTCAGTTTCCCCTCAATAAGAGAGGCTCATGGGAATCCTGGAGGAGCTAACTCCCCAAATACATGTGGAAAAACAGATCTGAGCAGTACAAAGTGTGGATTGTGGGAGAGATGCAGGATGTAACCCAGATCTCTCTTTAAACAAGGACCTGCTGCCAGCCTCAGGAACTATGGTCAACACAGAGTCTTCAGCTCTCAGCTCCTCCTCTTTAGCTTCAGAGAGTGATGCACCCCCAAATCACACCTTTCCTGTAGCAGCCTACATCTAGTGACTGCTGTAACTACTTACCATGAGTCAACTCTGAAAGGCAGGATTTATTCCAGGACTCCACGTTGGGATGACCAAGCTTTGTCTGGCTTGTATTGCAGTTTATAACTTCTCCCTTTGCTCAATGCTAATTCCGGCACTTTCCTTTCACAGTTATGGATTCCTAGTGAACAACTTGCACACGATTCCATCTCAATATACGCTTCTAGAAAACTCAGCCCTCAGTATCTTGTGCTGCCAAAGATATTTTCCATGCATTTTATCTTTGGCTACACTAATAGCTCTGTTTTTGTGAGAAGATTTGAGTGTATTAAAAAGCAATGCTTTTGCACAACTGCCATCTTGCCTCCTAGATTACCTGCCTTTGAATCCTTGCTCTTTCACTTGTTTTGGGATCACAGAGAATTTTGTTTGTTTTTCTAACATAGATGGAACATTTAAAAAAAAATATCGGCTGGGCGTGGTGGCTCACACTTGTAATCCCAGCACTTTGGGAGGCCAAGGCGGGTGGATTGGCTGAGGTCAGGAGTTCGAGACCAGTCTGGCCAACATGGTGAAACCCCGTCTCTACTAAAAATACAAAAAAATTAGCTGGGCATGGTGGCAGGCACCTGTAACCCCAGCTACTCAGGAGGCTGAGGCAGGAGAATTGCTTGAACCAGGGAGGAGTTTGCAGTGAGTCACAATCGTGCCACTGCACTCCAGCCTGGGCAACAGAGCGAGACTCCATCTAAAGAAAAAAAAAGCTAACACAAGGCCTTTGGGTAAACTAAATGAAATTGTGCATCTAAAGCACTTAGCTCAATCCTGGTAACTAGTAAACAATGAATCAGAATTATATCAGCAGTAGTAAGATAGCTGCAGTAGCAGCATGATCTTTCTGAGTTTCTATTACTTAACAAGTGCTTTATTTATTTATTTAGAGACAGGATCTTGCTCTATTATCCAGGCTGGAATGTAGTGACATCCTCATAGCTTACTGCAGCCTCTAACTCCTGGGTTTAAGAAATCCTCTCCTCCTCAGCCTTCTGATTAGCTGGAACTACAGATGTGTGCCAACATGTCTAGCCTAACAAGTGCTTTGGATACACTTACTCAGTTTTAAAGAGTCCTGTAAGACTTCAGATTTGGTTAATTGTCTATGATTATAGGTCTCTCTTATAAGTGGGAAAATTTGAAATCATATCTTTTTGACCCCAAGGTTAAGATTTTCTATTATACCAGGGATTGGCAAACTTTCTGTAAAGGGCCATATAGGAAATGTTTTAAGCTTTGTGTGCCAGAAGATCTGTCTTGTAAATAAGTACTCTACTAGGCTTTTAGAGAAGAATAGTAGTGATAAGACAACACATAAATAAATGAAGATGGCAGTCCTCCCATTAAACTTTATACCAACAAGCAACAGGCCATGTCTGCTTTATATTCTGATTCTTTTATAGGTACTTAGTTACCTAAGAACTTTGAGAATTTCCATAGAAAGAGAATGTCTCCATAAAAAGAGAGCTTATGATCTCTTAAAGAAATAAATGCAATTATATGTCACAATGAAATAATATCATAGTGTTGAGTAATGTTTGCTGATTCTAAATGTTGTAGAAGATTTCTGAAATAAATGATCCATGTAGAATAGTCATTACTGTTGAGATAGATTAATTGAGTATCAAAAAGAGTTGTTTGAAATAGGGAGAAAACAAAATATAAAGCAAGAGTTTGTATCTTGGGAAGAGGGAAAGAAAAAAAAGTTTACGTATGAGATTCAGAGAGACATAGATTACATCTTTGTTTTTGGGCTTCTTAGCTCTATGACACTGGATAAGTTATTCAGTCTTTTCAATTACCTCATCCATAAAGTTTGTGTAAATGCATTTAGGTCATAGAGTTGTAGTATGAAAGAAAAAAACATATTTCAGTAACTGGTTCAAATAGTTTTATTGATAAATTCCACACATCTTTTCTGAGTGTGTGTAATATGTCATACATTCTTAGTTGTTGGAGATATAGTAGTCAGCAAGAGAGAAAAATTCTGTATGGAGTATACATTCTAGGCCTCAATAAATGATTATATTTATGATCATCCAATTATTCTACTTTTACATTGAGATATAAAGCTAACGTGTTTAGCTTTATGTATAAGTACAAGAGTAGGAGTTTGGGATAAACAAACAATATAGAATCAGATATGAAATTGAGTGTTTTTGTGTAAGAAGTATAAAAATATGTTGGAATTAGCAGCTTAAACAGCATTATCAAACATACCCATATAAGCTATACAATATAAAAGAAGTTGTTTAGTACGACAGCCCTAATAATTTGTTGGAAACATTTGAGAATTAACATTGCATTATCAGAGAGATTAACATAGAAGTCTTGTTAACGTCATCCAGCCTGATGAGTTTTAGCTAAAAATGTCAAGAAATCTCAGAGATTATTGAGTAGAATGGTATGCTGTGAGCGTGCTTGTAACCTTTATAGGTGTCACAGTATAAGTGGGAAGACTTCAGGCAGAGTGTCTAATACCTTTTTCCAAAGCAGACATGCTATTCTGCCATCAGATGTTGTTGAGCATTAAACTACAAGATGCAGTTCTATTCAATTATGAATAGTAGCCATTCCCAGGGACAAGCTGATTTCTGTTCTTATCCCAATCTCTCTAAAAATCTACATGGGGGCAATTATTATTCAAATGATTATGCAACTAGTGAATACAACCAGAATTAGAATAGTTCTACCTAAACTGAGATTACACATCTAACCAAGCGTATTCTTTAATTTGCTTTTAACTTTGGAGGGACAGGGGCCGATGGGAGTGGTAAAAGTTGTAGTCATTCATGAACAAGTTTAGAAGTGCTCCTCCATAATATATTCCCATTAATTGTTTCATTTTAGACCTGAAAAGTATCAACTATTCAGGCCTAATTTACTATTTATTCATTTCTTTACTCATACATTTATTAAGCAACTGCTTATTGAGTACTTTTTATATACCAGTTCAGTTGTAGAGACTTGGATAAAGCAATGAACAAAATGGACAAAAATCCCTGCTCTTACTGAGCTGACATTTCCTTCCTTTCTCCTCTTCTTTACCCTTCTTCCTTTCTTCTTTTTTTCTTCATAGTTTTTTGTCTTCCCTATTAAAAAGCAATGCAGTTACTAAAATGAATACAAATAATATGGACATATTTAAATAAGTATATGAATAAAACATCTGCTTCCATTTAGGATATAGAAAACCAAAGAAGACCTTCACTCCTGTGTCAACCAAAAAAGCCTTGCAAAGGGAATACTTGCCAATTCATTCTATGAGGCTAGAATTGCCTTTATATTAAAGCCAGACAAAAACAATGTAGAAAAATAAACTACAAGCCAGTGTCCCTGATTAACATCATCAACAAAATATTAGCAAACCAAATACAATAGCTCATTAAAAGCATCATACACCATGACCAAGTAAGATTTATCCCTGGGATGCAAGGATGTTTCAACATATGCGGATTAGTCAATGTAATAAACCTCGTTAACTGAATGAATGATAAAAATTACATGTTCACTTCAATTAATGCAGAAAAAGCATTTAACAACATCAGCACTCTTTTATGATAAAACTCTCAACAAATTATAGAGGAAATTACCTCAACACAGTAAAGTTCATTTGTAAAAAAAAAAAAAAAAACCCACACAGCTAGCATCATATTCAATGATTTAAAGCTGAAAGCTTTTCCTCTAAGATCTTGAACAAGGCAAGAGTGCCCACTCTCACCTTTCATAGTCAACATAGTGCTAGAGGTCATAGCTAAATAATTTAGGCAAGAAAAAAAAGGCATCCAAATTAGAAAGGAAGAGGTAAAACTATCTTTGGTAGCAGATGACATACTTTAGAAAAATCAACATATTCCACACAAAAAACTAAACAAAAGCAAAACCTGTTAGAACTAAGAGCTGAACTCAGTAAAGTCATACAGTACAAAATCCAAATACAAAATCACTTTATTTCTGTACACTAACAATTACCTGTCCAAAAAGAAAATAAGAAAACAATTCAATTTGTAATAGTGTAATAGCATCAAAAATAATAAAATACTTAAGGATAAACTTAACTAAGGAGGTAGAAAGATTTGTACACTGGAAACTATAAAACATTGACCAAAAAAATTTAAAAGACATAAATAAATGGAAGACCATCCCAAGTTCATGGATTGAAAGAATAAATGTTGTTAAAATGTCTATCCTTCCTGTAGATTTGACAATCTGTAGATTTAACTTTAATAGTATTTTTTACAAAAATAGGAAAAAATATTAAATTCACTTGGAACTATAAAAATGCCCCAAATGGCCAAGGCAATTTCGAGCAAGAACAAAGCTAGAGGTGTCACACACCCGATTTTAAAACATATTATAAAGCTGCAGTAATTAAACTGGTATGGTACTGGTATAAAATAAAATACAATGCAATAAAACAAAATGAACCAGACATATAGACTAATGGAATAGTGGGTCTGGAAATAAACCTATGTGTGCATATAAGGTCAACTGATTTTCAAGAAGTATGTCAAGAATACAAAATAGTGGAAAAACCTGTCTCTTTCAAAAATGGTGTTGAGAGCCAGGCACTATGGCTTATACCTGTAATCCCAGCTACTTGGGAGGCTGAGGCAGGAGGATCATTGAAGTCCAGGAGTTCAAGATAGCAGTGAGCTATGATTGCACCACTGTACTTCAGCTTAGATGACAGAGTGAGACTTCATCTCTAAAAGTAAAAATAATGAATGATGTTGGGAAAGTTGGATATTTACATGCAAAAAAATATGGAATTGAAACTTACTGTCACACCACATACAAGAATCAACTCAAAATGAATTAAAGACTTAAAAATATAAAATCTGAAACAAAGAAACTCTTAGAAAAAAACATAGGGAATGAGCTTTTAGTCACTGAATTGGGCAATAATTTTTCAGGTATGATACCAAAAGTATGGGCAAGAACCCAAAAATAGACAAATAAGATTGCATCAAATTAAAAAGCTTCCACACACATATTGTTTTGTTTAACAAGCATTAAACAATTAATAAAACGAAAGGTAAACGTATGAAATGGGAGATAATATTTGCAGACCATAATCTGATAAGGAGTTGATATCCAAAACGTAAAAGAAACTGAAACAACTCAATAGCAAAAAACAAGCAAAATAGAAAAACAACCAGGTTAAAAAAAGGCAAAGTAACTAAATAGACATTTCTTCTAAAAAACATACAAATGGCCAAAGGGTATATTAAAAAGTGCTCAACATCATTAATTATCAGATAAATACATATCATATCCACAGTGAGATATCACTTCACATCTGTTAGGTTGGCTATTATTTTAATAAAGGACAAATATTGGAGAAGATACGGAAAAAAGAGAACTCTTGCACACTGTTGGTGGAAATAAATTAGTGCAACTACTATATGCAAAGTACTATATGGAGTTTCCTTTAAAAATTAAAGATTGAATTATGATTTGATCCAGCAATCCCTCTTCTCGGTATATATCCAAAGGAATTGAAGGATGGATCTTAAAACATATCTGCACTCCTGTGTTCATTGTAACATTATTCACTAGTCAAGATATGGAAACAACAAATGACTAAATGTCTATTGAAGAACAAATAAAGAAAATATGGTATATACATACAATGGAATATTATTCAGATTTTTTAAAGGAAATTTTGCCAGTTACAACAACACGGATGAAACTGTAAGACATTATATTAAGTGAAATAAGCTAGACACAAAAACACAAATACCACCTGATCTTACTTATAAGTAAAGAGTACAATAATCAAACACATAGAAGCAAAGGGTAGAATGGTGGTTGCCACAGGCTGGAGGAAGATGAAATCAGGAGATGTTAACCCAGGGTAAAAAGTTTCAGTTATGCAAAATAAATAAGTTCTGGAGATCTGTATAACATAAGGCAGAAAAAAGAGAAAAGTACAACAAAATAGAAAATATTTTTGTATGGGGTTAGTGAAGAGTGGTAGATGCAAAGAAGTTTGATGAACTAAATTCCCATGAGAAATAAGCTTCTCTTTGGTATGCTGGAAGTCCTTCAGCATTCATACTGGTAGTAGTGAATTCCTGGGTGGGTTCAGATTGGCAGATGAGTGAACCTGCCAAGATAAAGAGACTGAGCATGAGATTACAGAGTGGGCTATTGGGATGGACCAGTCCCTGGAAAATACCCAAACACAAAAATTAATCACTTAGCTCAACAATTCTTCCCTCAACAAACAAACACATCTTAACAAAATTTTGTTGGAGAAGTGGCTGTGAAAAGGGTTAAGGAAATCAGAAAGAAACCAGGTGCTTCGGCATATGTTTATAGTGCTTAGATTCAGATTCCCTGCCAGAACTGAATTTTAAAAGCACCAAAACTATCTGAAACTGAAGCTTATTTAATCCTTGCTAATGGCAGGTGTCCTCCAGGTGATTAAAACTGTGACCCAGCCCAGCTTGACTCAGTTCTAAGAAAAACCAGAATGAACAGACCCTCACCCTAACTATCACAAATCACAGGCTTACAGTCTCTTTGAAATAAAACAAAACAAAATGTCATACTCCAATCTTCACAATTATTTAATAAAAATAATGCCCATAATATAATAATGATAATATATACAAAGAAGCAGAAAAATTTGATCTATCATCAAAAGAAACACGGTAAGTGGAATCAGAAATTGGAAACCCAAATATACATCAACAGAATAAGGAAACAAACATAGTACATTTTCCCAATAGGATATTGCTAGCATTAAAAGGGAAAAACTAGGGTACCTATTTTATCATACATATAAAAACATTAATATACCTCAAAAACATTGTATTGAGCAAAACAAGCCACACACAGAAGAATACTTGCTGCATGGTTACATCCATGTAAAGTTTTAGAATAGGGTCTATTTTTGTTTCTGGAAATCAGAATAGTGGCTACTTCTTTGGGTAGAGGAGGATAGACTTACAGAAAAGTGACATGCAAGAACTTTCTGGGAAGATAGAAATATTATTTATCTTGCTTGGAATGTAGACTAGTGATGTTTATAAATTTGGCAAACTTTGCTAAAATGTGTATTAATGGAAGTTCCTTTCATTGTTTTTAAATGCCATTTCAATTTAGAATTTTAAATAAATCATATAGATATTAAACATAATTTAGAAATCAGTGCAAGTAAAATAGGTTTAGAAGAGCAGAAGCATAATACTGGAAAAAGATAGAATTCAGTTCACTCATAGGCTTTATCCTATCTAGTTGCTAAAGTTAAGTCACAAATTATTTTGAAAGTTGTGCTTCAACTCTGCCAACTCCTACTTAGAATACTACATTATGACTTGTAGATCTGAGAAAAGGCAGTACACACTTGACTGGCCTTGTTGGTGTACTCATGGGCATGCTCTGAATCTGAGGAATCTCCTCTCATTCCCATCATATCCTAAGTCTACATGGACTATAAGAGGTGGCCTCTCATCTGAATGGTCTTTCTCCTATGCTCTAATAGATACTTAATCATTTTCCCAAGGATGTCTCCATCCTCTTACATGTAATTCATTTTTTTTTCCAAAGCTCTTGCTGTTTCCAGGAACCACTGATAAAACAAGTTAAAAACGTGAACACTTCCACAGACTTTTCTTAGACTAGCTTTATCTATGGGTTCAAAAGAACAGTCCACAAATTGACTGAAAAATGGCAGAGAAAGGTTTTCATGTATGCAGATGGAAAACAAAAGTAAATTTTTACAAACTCGGTTTCCTCCAATGATAGAGGCAAGAGAAATAACATTGATGAAGCCTGTCTGGGCATCATGAACTACTCTACTAAATGTTTTAATACTGAAATTGCTATAGTTTTTAGTAGCAAGTAATAGAATCAATTTTTCTAGGTTGAGGAAAAATAAATATATTAATGGGCATTATTAGTTCATAAAATTATTAAAAGAGTTGGTGAAAAACACTCAAGTCTAACTTTTCAAGAATGATACTGCAGGATGAGGAAGCTGCCACCTCCTCAAACCGATGTAGAACTAAACTTCCTCTGATATTTTTTCGTGTTGGTCTGTAACCAACCGATTTCCTCCTGTAGTTCATCTCTAAATAAAAATCCTGAGTCAGAACTTTTCAAGGTATCTGATGTCTCTTTATGTTCTTAAAAAGCTTCTTTTTAAAAGTTTCGATTCAAGGCTGGTGGCAGCTTTTTACAGGCTGCCAATAGGAGTGTGGTGGCAGCAACTTATGGGTATGCCAAAGAAAATGGGACCATATGCCAAACTCTGGCGTGTGCAGCACCTACAGCTTGCCAGGGCAATGGCATAGGCTCTAGACAGAATTTTAATGTCCTGTCCCAGAAAGTAAGCAGCCCATTCCCACTTATTCCACGACATTGATTAGAAAAGAAGGGAGAGAGAAATTTAAAACCTTGAGGGGAGGAGCCAAGATGGCCAAATAGGAACAGCTCCCGTCTGCAGCTCCCAGCGCGAGTGACGCAGAAGATGGGTGATTTCTGCATTTCCATCTGAGGTACCGGGTTCATCTCACTAGGGAGTGCCAGACAGTGGGCGCAGGTCAGTGGGTGCACGCACCGTGTGCGAGCCGAAGCAGGGCGAGGCATTGCCTCACTCGGGAAACACAAAGGGGTCAGGGAGTTCCCTTTCCTAGTCAAAGAAAGGGGTGACAGATGGCACCTGGAAAATCGGGTCACTCCCACCCGAATACTGCACTTTTCCGACGGGCTTAAAAAACGGCGCACCACGAGATTATATCCCGCACCTGGCTCGAGGGGACCTACGCCCACGGAGTCTCGCTGATTGCTAGCACAGCAGTCTGAGATCAAACTGCAAGGTGGCAGCGAGGCTAGGGGAGGGGCGCCCGCCATTGCCCAGGCTTGCTTAGGTAAACAAAGCAGCCAGGAAGCTCCAACTGGGTGGAGCCCACCAGAGCTCAAGGAGGCCTGCCTGCCTCTGTAGACTCCACCTCTGGGGGCAGGGCACAGACAAACAAAAAGACAGCAGTAACCTCTGCAGACTTAAATGTCCCTGTCTGACAGCTTTGAAGAGAGCAGTGGTTCTCCCAGCATGCAGCTGGAGATCTGAGAACCGGCAGACTGCCTCCTCAAGTGGGTCCCTGATTCCTGACCCCCGAGCAGCCTAACTGGGAGGCACCCCCCAGCAGGGGCACACTGACACCTCACACCGCCGGGTACTCCAACAGACATGCAGCTGAGGGTCCTGTCTGTTAGAAGGAAAAGTAACAAACAGAAAGGACATCCACACCAAAAACCCATCTGTACATCACCATCATCAAAGACCAAAAGTAAAACCACAAAGATGGGGAAAAAACAGAACAGAAAAACTGGAAACTCTAAAAAGCAGAGCGCCTCTCCTCCTCCAAAGGAACGCAGTTCCTCACCAGCAATGGAACAAAGCTGGATGGAGAATGACTTTGACGAGCTGAGAGAAGAAGGCTTCAGAAGATCAAATTACTCTGAGCTATGAGAGGACGTTCAAACCAAAGGCAAAGAAGTTGAAAACTTTGAAAAAAATTTAGAAGAATGTATAACTAGAATAACCAATACAGAGAAGTGCTTAAAGGACCTGATGGAGCTGAAAGCCAAGGCTCGAGAACTACTTGAAGAATGCAGAAGCCTCAGGAGCCAATGCGATCAACTGGAAGAAAGGGTATCAGCAATGGAAGATGAAATGAATGAAATGAAGCGAGAAGGGAAGTTTAGAGAAATAAGAATAAAAAGAAATGAGCAAAGCCTCCAAGAAATATGGGACTATGTGAAAAGACCAAATCTACGTCTGATTGGTGTACCTGAAAGTGATGGGGAGAAAAGAACCAAGTTGGAAAACACTCTGCAGGATATTATCCAGGAGAACTTCCCCAATCTAGCAAGGCAGGCCAACGTTCAGATTCAGGAAATACAGAGAACGCCACAAAGATACTCCTCGAGAAGAGCAACTCCAAGACACATAATTGTCAGATTCACCAAAGTTGAAATGAAGGAAAAAATGTTAAGGGCAGCCAGAGAGAAAGGTCGGGTTACCCTCAAAGGGAAGCCCATCAGACTAACAGCGGATCTCTTGGCAGAAACCCTACAAGCCAGAAGAGAGTGAGGGCCACTATTCAACATTCGTAAAGAAAAGAATTTTCAATCCAGAATTTCATATCCAGCCAAACTAAGCTTCATAAGTGAAGGAGAAATAAAATACTTTACAGACAAGCAAATGCTGAGAGATTTTGTCACCACCAGGCCTGCCCTAAAAGAGCTCCTGAAGGAAGCACTAAACATGGAAAGGAACAACCGGTACCAGCCACTGCAAATCATGCCAAAATGTAAAGACCATCGAGACTAGGAAGAAACTGCATCAACTAACGAGCAAAATAACCAGCTAACATCATAATGACAGGATCAAATTCACACATAACATATTGACTTTAAATGTAAATGGACTAAATGCTCCAATTAAAAGACACAGACTGGCAAATTGGATAAAGAGTCAAGACCCATCAGTGTGCTGTATTCAGGAAACCCATCTCATGTGCAGAGACACACATAGGCTCACAATAAAAGGATGGAGGAAGATCTACCAAGCAAATGAAAACAAAAAAAGGCAGGGGTTGCAATCCTAGTCTCTGATAAAACAGACTTTAAACCAACAAAGATCAAAAGAGACAAAGAAGGCCATTACATAATGGTAAAGGGATCAATTCAACAAGAAGAGCTAACTATCCTAAATATATATGCACCTAATACAGGAGCACCCAGATTCATAAAGCAAGTCCTGAGTGACCTACAAAGAGACTTAGACTCCCACACATTAATAATGGGAGACTTTAACACCCCACTGTCAACATTAGACAGATCAACGAGACAGAAAGTCAACAAGGATACCCAGGAATTGAACTCAGCTCTGCACCAAGCGGATCTAATAGACATCTACAGAGCTCTCCACCCCAAATCAACAGAATATACATTTTTTTCAGCACCACACCACGCCTATTCCAGAATTGACCACATACTTGGAAGTAAAGATCTCCTCAGCAAATGTAAAAGAACAGAAATTATAACAAACTATCTCTCAGACCACAGTGCAATCAAACCAGAACTCAGGATTAAGAATCTCACTCAAAACCGCTCAACTACATGGAAACTGAACAACCTGCTCCTGAATGACTACTGGGTACATAACAAAATCAAGGCAGAAATAAAGATGTTCTTTGAAACCAATGAGAACAAAGACACAACATACCAGAATCTCTGGGACACATTCAAAGCAGTGTGTAGAGGGAAATTTATAGCACTAAATGCCCACAAGAGAAAGCAGGAAAGATCCAAAATTGACACCCTAACATCACAATTAAAAGAACTAGAAAAGCAAGACCAAACACATTCAAAATCTAGCAGAAGGCAAGAAATAATTAAAATCAGCACAGAACTGAAGGAAATAGAGACACAAAAAACCCTTCAAAAAATTAATGAATCCAGGAGCTGGTTTTTTGAAAGGATCAACAAAATAGATAGACTGCTAGCAAGACTAATAAAGAAAAAAAGAGAGAAGAATCAAATAGACACAATAAAAAATGATAAAGGGGATGTCACCACCGATCCCACAGAAATACAAACTACCATCAGAGAATACTAAAAACACCTCTACGCAAATAAACTAGAAAATCTAGAAGAAATGGATACATTCCTCCACACATACACTCTCCCAAGACTAAACCAGGAAGAAGTTGAGTCTCTGAATAGACCAATAACAGGATCTGAAATTGTGGCAATAATCAATAGCTTACCAACCAAAAAGAGTCCAGGACCAGATGGATTCACAGCCAAATTCTACCAGAGGTACAAGGAGGAACTGGTACCATTCCTTCTGAAATTATTCCAATCAATAGAAAAAGAGGGAATCCTCCCTAACTCATTTTATGAGGCCAGCATCATTCTGATACCAAAGCCTGGCAGAGACACAACCAAAAAAGAGAATTTTAGACCAATATCCTTGATGAACATTGATGCAAAAATCCTCAATAAAATACTGGCAAAACGAATGCAGCAGCACATCAGAAATTTATCCACCATGATCAAGTGGGCTTCATCCCTGGGATGAAAGGCTGGTTCAATATACGCAAATTAATAAATGTAATCCAGCATATAAACAGAGCCAAGGACAAAAACCACATGATTATCTCAATAGATGCAGAAAAGGCCTTTGACAAAATTCAACAACCTTTCAAGCTAAGAACTCTCAATAAATTAGGTATTGATGGGACGTATTTCAAAATAATAAGAGCTATCTATGACAAACCCACAGCCAATATCATACTGAATGGGCAAAAACTGGAAGCATTCCCTTTGAAAACTGGCACAAGACAGGGATGCCCTCTCCCACCACTCCTATTCAACATAGTGTTGGAAGTTCTGGCCAGGGCAATTAGGCAGGAGAAGGAAATAAAGGGTATTCAATTAAGAAAAGAGGAAGTCAAATTGTCCCTGTTTGCAGACGACATGATTGTATATCTAGAAAACCCCATTGTCTCAGCCCAAAATCTCCTTTAGCTGATAAGCAACTTCAGCAAAGTCTCAGGATACAAAATCAATGTACAAAAATCACAAGCATTCTTATACACCAACAACAGACAAACAGAGATCAAATCATGAGTGAAATCCCATTCACAATTGCTTCAAAGAGAATAAAATACCTAGGAATCCAACTTACAAGGGACGTGAAGGACCTCTTCAAGGAGAACTACAAACCACTGCTCAAGGAAATAAAAGAGGATACAAACAAATGGAAGAACATTCCATGCTCATGGGTAGGAAGAATCAATATCGTGAAAATGGCCATACTGCCCAAGGTAATTTACAGATTCAGTGCCATCCCCATCAAGCTACCAATGCCTTTCTTCACAGAATTGGAAAAAACTACTTTAAAGTTCATATGGAACCAAAAAAGAGCCCACATCACCGAGTCAATCCTAAGCCAAAAGAACAAAGCCGGAGGCATCACACTACCAGACTTCAAACTATACTACAAGGCTACAGTAACCAAAACAGCATGGTACTGGTACCAAAACAGAGATATAGATCAATGGAACAGAACAGAGCCCTCAGAAATAACACCACATATCTACATCTATCTGATCTTTGACAAACCTGAGAAAAACAAGCAATGGGGAAAGGATTCCCTATTTAATAAATGGTGCTGGGAAAACTGGCTAGCCATATGTAGAAAGCTGAAACTGGATCCCTCCCTTACACCTTGTACAAAAATCAATTCAAGATGGATTAAAGACTTAAACGTTAGACCTAAAGCCATAAAAACCCTAGAAGAAAACCTAGGCATTACCATTCAGGACATAGGCATGGGCAAGGACTTCATGTGTAAAACACCAAAAGCAATGGCAACAAAAGCCAAAATTGACAAATGGGATCTAATTAAACTAAAGAGCTTCTGCACAGCAAAAGAAACTACCATCAGAGTGAACAGGCAACCTACAAAATGGGAGAAAATTTTCACAACCTCCTCATCTGACAAAGGGCTAATATCCAGAATCTACAATGAACTCAAACAAATTTACAAGAAAAAAAAACAACCCCATCAAAAAGTGGGCAAAGGACATGAACAGACACTTCTCAAAAGAAGACATTTATGCAGCCAAAAAACACGTGAAAAAATGCTCATCATCACTGGCCATCAGAGAAATGCAAATCAAAACCACAATGAGATACCATCTCACACCAGTTAGAATGGCAATCATTAAAAAGTCAGGAAACAACAGGTGCTGGAGAGGATGTGGAGAAATAGGAACACTTTTACCCTGTTGGTGGGACTGTAAACTAGTTCAACCATTGTGGAAGTCAGTGTGGCGATTCCTCAGGGATCTAGAACTAGAAATACCATTTGACCCAGCCATCCCATTACTGGGTATATACCCAAACGACTATAAATCATGCTGCTATAAAGACACATGCACACGTATGTTTATTGCGGCACTATTCACAATAGCAAAGACTTGGAACCAACCCAAATGTCCAACAATGATAGACTGGATTAAGAAAATGTGGCACATATACACCATGGAATACTATGCAGCCATAAAAAATGATGAGTTCATGTCCTTTGTAGGGACATGGATGAAATTGGAAATCATCATTCTCAGTGAACTATGGCAAGAACTAAAAACCAAACACCGCATATTCTCACTCATAGGTGGGAATTGAACAATGAGATCACATGGACACAGGAAGGGGAACATCACACTCTGGGGACTGTTGTGGGGTTGTGGGGGTGGGGAGGGATAGCATTGGGAGATATACCTAATGCTAGATGACGAGTTAGTGGGTGCAGCGCACCAGCATGGCACATGTATACATATGTAACTAACCTGCACATTGTGCACATGTACCCTAAAACTTAAAGTATAATAATAAAAAAAAAGAAAATTAAAAAAAATAAATAAAAGTTTCACTATGTTTATTACTGTTATATATAGAAATAGAATTACTTTATATAAGTCTTGTATCTAATAACTTCGCTAAATACATTTATTTGTTTATAGATTGTTTTGAGTTTTCTAAATATGAAATCATATTGTCTACAACAAATCCTGGATGATTGTACCTTATGCTCACATGCTTGCATCCTAGTTTACAGGTAACCCAGGGAATATAATTTTGCTTTTCTTTTAATTCACCCTTGGAACGTGAGGATACATCGTGTATTAAAAGTACTAAAATATACAGAGCATGTTCAAAAGTCTCTGGGAAGATACATGTCTACTACAAATTGACTCTGAGGTTAAAATTAATATGCTGCAGAGCACACAGCTAGAAATGAATGAGAAAATATTTGAACTTAGGTCTGTTTATCTTGAAAGTTTATGTTCTTCTTGCGTTGTCTCCAGTTCATGTATGACTGAACTCTTTACTAACACACAATCCTGTGAGAAGAGCCAAAGGATTTCATCCTGCTCTTAAACGATGACATCTCTTTCAGATTTTCATCTATTGCTTATTGTCGTTAAAAAAAATGTTTTTTAATTAAAAGAAAGAACTGGTTTATGAATATTGGGGTCACTTTTTATTTTATTTCAAAGGCTCAAGCCCTAATAACTCAACAGAGTCTAGATGTACTAACTTTTCCCGTCCAAATTGAGACCTAATTGGGGCCTTTTTATCTATCTTCACTCTTAAAATGATTTTATTTCTTCAGTGGAGAAAGTAATGTTCATTTTCTAGACACATAATTGGACTGGCATAGTTCACACTAATGAGCTATTATAATCGAAAATTACCTTCTACACGACTGGTATTTCTGATTTTTTTTTTCAACTTTAACTCAAGTGTTGCAAAAACACTCTTTGGTATTATTTTAGTAACTAATAAGACTTCATTCGGAATTGGAACAAAGATCTAATTACTCAGTAAGCTACTTTCCTTTAATACTGATGCTTGATATCCCAAGCATATTTTGTTACCTAGAAAATATTTATATTATTGCATTGATTAAAAATAAAAATATATTCAAAATATTTACACAGAAACTCCTCACATGGGTCATTGTGTAAAACTCATGCATTAAAGAGCCTCATAATTTTTCTGAAAACAACTCTTTTCTTCAAGAGGGTTTGGTATCAGGTTTCTCCATATTAGGTAGAGTAAAATGTACAAAGAAAGATGGAGCAGGCCACTTCGGGGATGATCTTTGTATTTTATCTACTTTATGATGTGAATGATGTCTAGAAAGAAAAAGCTGAACTTCAGTCATAAGACAGAATTCATTTTATAGCTATACCACTTGTGTTCCTTTGAATAAGATGCTTAAAGTCCCCAAGTGTGTTTACTCATCTGGTAAATGAATGGCCTAAATCTATTCTCACTGTGAAGTTGGAGCAAAAGTGATTGTGCATATGAAAGTACTTTCTGGACTATAGAGAAAACATTGTGGATTGGAAGCGTGTGCTCCTAAAATTTTCTTCTCTCCAATATCATCTGGTTTTCCTGCTCCACTAGATCTTCAGAGAATGGGAGAGGGAAGGAAAATGGAAGGAAGGAAAGAAGGAAGGAAGGAAGGAAGCAAGCAAGCAAGGGAGGGCAGGCCCCATATTGACCTCATATTCCTCATCAGCTAACACTCATCACTGGCTACAACACCCTGGCCTGTTTGATATTTCGAACACACTGAGCATGATCTTCTTCTCAAAGTCATTGTTCCTAATAGCCCATCTTCCTGGATGTTTTTTTCTCACTACAATTTTCTGGCTAACGTTTCATCTAATTTAGGTTTCTGATTAATACTATTTCTTCATAGATACCTCCTGACAGTCAAATTTTAAAAAGCTCAACCCCATCACTCTCTACCAATTCTGCTTTATTTTACCTTCATACTTGTATCACCACCAGATATTGCATTATATATTATTATTTTTTTATTTTCTGTTTCCTCCATTAGACACTAAGCTCCACAGGTCATGGTATTTTTAAAAATTTTGTTTATTATTATATCTCTCAGTAGCTCAAATAACACTTGGCACATAGTTGGTACTTAATAAGCATTTATTGTTCATAGACCAAATTAATAGACTTTAAATACTGTAAGTTTTATATCACATTTTAGTTAGTGCCCTTGGTAAATGCTGGATATAGTTCAGTGTCAATTTATTTACTTATCTTTTTAAAACTTGATAATGAATACAATAATTGCAGTTTACTTAAAATGTCATGTAACAATGACAATTTGAATCTTGCTATGAGACTGCGTATAAAAATCACACAGTAGGAAAAAATCTTTCTCTCTGATTTTCAAAGGTGTTTGTTTGCTTGAGCACACTCAAAATTTGACTGTCTAGTTTCCCATCCTTCCCTGATTTGCTTAAATAACTAATTGATTGCTCCATGCCGAGGTGTTAATTCAGGGAGAGGTTAATGTCACCTCTCTTAGGAAACTATCTGTCTTTGGTAATGTTACCTCTCTTAGGTAACTAGCCAGCTAGCTAGGTAACTACCTCTCTTGAGTAACTAGGTAACTAGTTAGTTTCCTAAGAGAGGTAAAATTGCTGTGCCTTAATTTATTGCTCTATTCAGTGGTCCTCAACTTCACTACAAAGTGGAAACATTTAGAAAACTCTAATTAATTTTTTTATTTTTTAATTTCCCACACTACACTGATGTATATCTAGGGCACTTTAAAAAAATCTTCATTCCCAGGTTCTACCCCATACCAACTAAATCAGAATGTCTGAGAGTGGTGGCCATGTATCACCATTTTTTTTAATCCCCACATGAGTCTAAGGTACAGCCAAAGTTTGGGGGCCACTGTCTTCACCTAAATGAGTTGGGCGTTTCCATTGCCAAGAATTTGATGATCTGTGTTTCTGTTTTCTCCTAGAAATGTCAACTCTTCGACATATTCATGGTTTTCAAATAGCCAAACTCTTTCTCCTAGAAAGCACAGTGTTCACACAGAATATCCTGTGTTTCACTAAAATAAGATTTTATGGGCACACTCTGTTAGCTCTTGACTTCAGGCCTTAGTTCCCTGAATGGAGTCTCCTTCAAACCTCCACCTGTTTTTACCCATCTTTTAAAGCCTTGTACAAATGATACTTCTTTGATGTCTTCTTTGTCTATCAGAATTGATCTACCACATTTGATGCTGCCATTAATCTTTCTCTTGTTCCTCATTTATCACAATCTGGTACCCATTGCTAATTTGGATAGGTAACATTCCCTGGGCTGTGATTTAATCATGTTTTAAATCAGGGAGTTGAGATTTGAAGTTTCAAGATCCGAAGCTCTCTTCTGGCTCTAAACTGCTATTAGTTCTTATGTCCTGCACACTCTCCTAGGAAAAGCAGCTTTTGTCATCACCATGTATCTTGAGTTGTCACAGCACACCAGTTCTCAGCTGATAATTGCTTTTTGGTTTCTGAGCTGTGAAGAGTAGAACAATTCCACATATGTTTCATTTATCTTGAAAAATAGCAATAGTAATTGTGATAATATCTAATTTATGTATATAGGTATTCTCATATACACTACAGGAAAATTCACATGTATACACACACACACTAGTTATAGATATGTATATAGATATGTATACATAAACACACACACAAACACATACATCATATATTTACCATAAATATATATACACACCACTTGGCAACTCACGTGTGTGTGAAAGTGTATCACACACAAACACACAGGTATAACACATGGCAATCCACAAAGGATTTTTACCTGTGTTTTTTGTTTTATTCTACCCATCTCAACAACATAGTTAAGTAGGTGTACATTACACTGTCTTCCAGAAAAGCAAACTAAAATTCAAAAAACTCAAGTGATTTCCCAAGGCCTCATATTGACATGACAAGGCTTTGTCTAGAATGGATGTCATCTGCTTCCTTGGTTGAGGTTTCTTTCTATTCCACTAGAAGTGCCTCTGTATTTATAATACTATTAGAGAGTTAATGAGACATCCCCATGTTGTGGTCTACTGTACTTTATATTTTCTGTGGGTTTTTCTCAGAATTGGGAACCTAAAACTCAAGGTTTTAGAGCTCTGCTTATGTGTGACCAGTTGGAAGAAACGAAAGTCATTTTGCTCTCTGTGACCTCCATTTACTGATGAATAACTGAGCCAGGGGAAAGTGTCCTTCAGTGTTCTCGGACATATCAAGCATATCTGACACTAACTATTCTTCTTTGTCAGGCATTTCACAGCTTTGTGTCTCGGGAATACAAATTCTGTCATCCCTCACAGTGTCCCAACTGGGCAGTTTGTTTTCAAGTCGGCAGTAATGTAGATGTTTCCTAAAAGGATTTTGGGTAGGTACTGCTAATGGGAGGATATAAAACAGGAGGATATAATCCCTTGAACAATCAATTATTCTAATATTGGCTTGTAACACTTATCAATTGATCTTATATCTATTATTGCCACTCAGTAAAGGAGGATACTGAGGCCTCAGGGGTTAAATATCAGTCATAAGATCAATAATGGTAGAGTTAGGACAATTTCCCACATTTTCTTCAATTCAGTTGAAAAAAGAACAGTTAATTGCTCATTGCACCCTATTCCAATGGTGAAGAGGAACTCCTCCCCACCACCACCACTTTGCTATCTTTTGGGCTTAGAATTAAGTCTTTCAAGCAAGAACCTGGGCCACTCTAGATCTAAACACAACCCCAAATTCTCCCAAATCAAGAAATCTCAGTATAAGCAAGTGCTTTTGCATAATCTTAACTGCCATTTTTGTAATTTCCTTATTTTTTAAAGCTTTTTCTTTTGGGCAACGACTGGGTATAGGTGCATAGGCATTGTCTAAATGTTTATTGTTAAATATAGATGAGGATGAAGATGAGGATGTTACATGTGAATTTAAAGGGGTCAAATGAGAGAGGCTTGTGGTGATGGAACAGTTTTATGTCCCGATTGTGATTGTGATGATTACATGAATCTACATCTCTGATGAAAATGCATAGAATATAGACACACACACACACACACACACACATAAATAAATGAGTGCATATAAAACTTGTAAAATCTGAATAAAGGCAATGGATTACACCAATGTTAATTTTCTGGTTTGATATTGTAGTATAGTTATACAAAATGCTGCCACTGGAGGACATTGACTGACAAGTGCATAGGAACTCCCTGTACATTATTTTTATATCCTTCTGTGAATCTATAAATATTCCAGATTTAAAGTTTTAAAACATAGATGATAAACTAGAATTTTCAATGTAAAAAAATAAAATACAAGGAAACTGGATTGTCCTATTAAAGTGACATTTTTGCAGCACAACTTTCTGAGAAGGAAACCATGCAGACCTCAGTGATGTCTCCTTGTCATTAGGAGAATGGAGTTGATCTGTAGGGGATGGAGTTTTCAGCTTGAAAACTACTTTCAGTGTTGGGTTTTTTTGTTTGTTTGTTTTTGTCTTTGTTTTTGGCTCTGCTCAATAGTATAGAGCGTCATAACCAAACTGGCTAGGTTCAAATCCAGGCTGCTTATAAGCTATGCAACTTCAGGGAATTTTTGTTGCTTCCTTGCACTTCCATTTCTCCAACCATAAAATGAGGTTATAAATGTATACGTCTTATAGAGTTTTTGTGTGGTGTAAATAAGTTATATGTAAGATACTTGAGAGAATAACAAATGCATGTATATGTAAATATATGTAATGTGTTGAATGAAAGCTGTGATTATCGTTGTGTTAACTGTGTTCTACTGAGTAAAATGATATCATAGCATTTTAAATAGAAGAGTTAAGAAATTTTCTTTAGTGTTCAAGGAGTGTTCCTCTAACTTTACTGATACAGGAGATCTTCACTCCTGCATAGTCCTTCTAAGGCACTCTGGAGCTAAAACACATATTAAGGTAGAACATGTATTCAGATTTAAGAAGTGTCGGCTGGGCGCAGTGGCTCACTCCTGTAATCTCAGCACTTTGGGAGGCCAAGGCAGGCAGATCATGAGGTCAGGAGATTGAGACCATCCTGGCTAACATGGTGAAACCTCATCTCTACTAAAAAAAAAAAAAATACAAAATATTAGCCAGATGTGGTGGCACGCGCCTGTAGTCCCAGCTACTCAGGAGGCTGAGGCAGGATAATCACTTGAAACCAGGAGGCAGAAATTGCAGTGAGCCGAGGTCGAACCACTGCACTCCAGCCTGAGTAACAGAGGGAGCGAGACTCTGTCTTTAAAAAAAAAAAAAAAAAAAAAAAAAAAAGAAGTGCCAATTGGAAGTTGAACTTATCGGAAGACACCTACTTCATTTGCCCCTTTTTCTAGATAAAAGCATCTAAGTCTTTTTTAGGAGAACACTAAACATTGTCTTTATTTCCAATGAGATAATTTATAGAAATAATATGCATAAATAATTATATTCAAATTATAAAAGTATATATGTAATATTTTATTACAAAAATGAAAAATGTTAACACTTAATCAGGAAATAGTTGGTCTTGTATTAGCGAATGCTATTGAATAATACCTCTTTGGAAGAGGATATTGATTTATAAAGAAAAGCAATTGGAATTGAAAAATTTTCTTGGAGTATAGGCCTGGTAGAGGATAGAGAGATGCTGAAGTGCCCTGGAATGTTGCTGGGCATCCAGATGTGTTAAGGGGAGAATGTTGATATGCAAATTAATGGGCTTTGGATGGTAGAAGTCATATTTTTGGTGCAGAAGCATTGGCCTAAGACTCAAGGAATATGTTTTCAAATCCTCTATGCTGTCTATCCTTGATAAGAGACCTTAGATAAGTTATGTAACAACTTTCTGACTCAGTATTATTATCTGCATCATGGGAGCAATACCTAATCTACCTACCACATCTTGTTGTAAAATTCAAATAAAGCAATGAATTTGAATATGCTTCTTGGACTGTTGAGTATTTCTTTATAAGCTGGAACTTTAAAAAATTTTATTATAGATTCAGAAGGCATATGTGTAGGTTTATTACATGGGTATATTGCATAATGATGGGATTGGGCTTCTAGTGTACCACTCACCCAAATAGCAAACATTATACCTAAGAGGAAATATTTTTATCTTCACCTCTCTCCTATTCTTCCCACTTTTGAAGTCCCCAGTGTTTATTATGTCCATCTTTATGTCCATGTGTACCCATTGTTTAGGTCTTACCTATAGGTGAAAACCTACAGTATTTGATGTTCCATTTCTGAAATATTTCACCTAGATTAATGGCCTCCAGCTCAATCAGTGCTGCAAAGGACATGATTTTATTTTTTATTGCTGCATAGTATTCCATGGTGTACATATACCATATTTTATTTATTCAATCAATTGTTGATGAGGTTGGTTTCATGACTTTGCTATTGTGAACAGTACTGTAATAAGTATACAAGTGCAGCACTATTTTACATAAAGATTTCTTTTCCTTTGGGTAGATATCCAGAGGTGGGATTTCTGGGTGGAATGGCAGTTCTATTTTTCGTTCTTTGAGAAATCTCCATACTGTTACCATAGAGGTTGAACTAATTTACTTTCCTACCAATAGTGTATAAGAGTTGCCTTTTCTCCACATCCACTTAATCACTCACAGAAGTTTTCCTTCATATAACAGCTTAGGTGCCTGCATTACTCTGTGTGAGGACCCTTAATATTTATTTTCTTTATAAGTGACTTTAAAGATCTGTTCCTAATGATAATTACCTTATATTGCCAATTGGCTATATCAAGTGAATATTATCTACATGTATGTTCCAAATATATAAGCGAAAGATTTTATTTTGTAATCTCTTTTAACTTTCTCCAAGTCAGATAATGCTTATTCCCATTTCACAGACAGTGAAACCGATGTTCAGACACAGCAAGTTACCAATACTCATAGCTAATAAATGGTTCATTTGTGTTCTCATTAATCTGGCTGAAAATCCCATTACCTTCCCACTGTTCAATAAAGTAGAGGACATGTAGCTTTCCCTAGAGTCCCATCTTCGCTCAAGTTATCTCAAATCAAGCAATGATATCCTAGGGTACAATGGTACCTTCAAATATTACAAATATTATAATTAACAGACAGAATATAAAACAAATGCTTCACATGCCTAAAGGACTAAAATTCAGTTATGGTGCAAATTTAAAAAGAACCATGTAGGCAGACATCATCCTAAACAAATGTTAAATTACTATCACCAATAATAAGATATATCAATATCATGTACCCCTGATAAGCACTGAGAAGATCACAACACTACTTCTTTAGATTGTGCCAAAAATGTAAAAACTGAATCTAATCATGAGAAAACCTACACGTTGATAATATTCTACAAAATAGCTGACTATTACTCCTCAGAAGTGTCAGGTCATGAAAGACCAGGAAAGACTGACAAGCTGTCGCAGATTTCAATACATAAAAACTAAATGCAATGGGAATCTTAGATGGGATGCTAAAACATCAAAGGGAAATTAAAGGTAAACTAGTTTCAAAGATTTGAGTAAAGACTGTAGTTCTGTTAATACTCGTTTATCAATGTTAATTTTTTGGTTTCAGTAATTGTTCTCTTAATATGTAAAATGTTAATATTAGGGGAAGCTGGGTAAGGGATATATGAGAACTCTCTGGTACTTTCTCGACTTTTCTTTAAATCTATAATTATTTCAAAATAAGATTTAATACAAAGTATTAAAAATAAATTTAAATTATTGCCCTCATAAAAGAGGCCCAGAAGAGACCTCTGCCTCTTCCACCCTTTAAGGACACAACAAAAAGATGATTGTCTATGAACTAGGAAGAAGGCATTCACTAGACAATGGCACCTTATTTTGAACTTCCCAGTCTTCAGAACTGTGAAAAGGTTTCTTGTTTATAACTCACTCCATTTGTGGTATTTTCTTACAGCAGCCCAAACAGACTATGACTAAGATTAAACAAAGGAAGAAGGAAAAGAAAAGCTAGTGTGCATCTAGTGAAAATTCAGAAAACCCAAGAAAAAAAGAATAGATTTTAAAAAACAGCCAGAGGTTAAAAAACAAAAAACCATCATTCTCAGTAAACTATCGCAAGAACAAAAAACCAAACACCGCATATTCTCACTCATAGGTGGGAATTGAACAATGAGATCACATGGACACAGGAAGGGGAATATCACACTCTGGGGATTGGGGTGGGGAGGGTGGAGCGGGGAGGGATAGCATTGGGAGATATACCTAATGCTAGATGACGAGTTAGTGGGTGCAGCGCACCAGCATGGCACATGTATACATATGTAACTAACCTGCACAATGTGCACATGTACCCTAAAACTTAAAGTATAATTAAAATAATAATAATAATAATAGTAATAATAATTAAAAAAAATAAAATAAAATAAAATAAAATAAAAAACACCAGATAATAAATATTTTTCATTTTGTGGACCATAAAAAAATAAAATAAATAAATAAAATAAAATAAAATAAAAATAAAAATAAAGCAAAACAAA
Source organism: Homo sapiens (assembly GCF_000001405.40). NCBI lineage: Eukaryota > Metazoa > Chordata > Mammalia > Primates > Hominidae > Homo > Homo sapiens. Next base: position 21,659,518 of record NC_000011.10, on the reverse strand, counting down.
AAGATCACTTTCAAATAGACTGAGAGCTGATTTCCCAATAGTAAGAGTGGATGTGGATGTCACATAATATTTTAAAATATTTAATTGACAAATAAAAATCGATATATTTAAGGTGTACAATATAATCATTTGATATACATTATATAATGATAACCACAATCAAGTTAATTAACACATCTATCACCACCCAGTTAGCATTTTTGTCTTTGTGGTGAGGACACTTAAAATCTGCTCTTATTAAGTTTCAAGTAAACAGTACAGTATTATTAACTATAGCCACTATGCTGTACATTAGATCTCCAGAACGTATTCATCTTATTATTGAATATTTTTACCCTTTGACCAACATCTCTCCATTTCCCCACCCTCGAGTCCCTAGAAACCACTTACTCTCTACTTCTATGAATTCTGCATTTTTAGTTTTCATTTAACTCTTGCTTCATAATAAACTATCCCAAAACATAGTGATTTGAGAAACAACCACCATTTGATTATAGCACATAGTTGTTGTGGGTTAGGAACAGGAAGTTTGTGGGTTAGCAATAGTCTTCGATCTTTATGGTCCAGATGACTTCTCTCACATTCTTGATTTTTTTTTTTGAGTGAAGGTAGAACTGGAAAGCTGAGCTCATCCAGACCATACCTCACTCCATGTGGTCCTCGACTCTTTCCATGTGGTCTTTCTGGCAGGGTCGGAATATGTCCTCACATAAGCCCAGTGCTCAGAGACCATGACAGAGCCTCCAGTTTTATTAACTGCTCAGAACTGGAATGTCACTTCTACCATACTCTACTGAACAGAGCCATGCACAGACCAGCACACATTCAAAAAGAAAAATAAAATTTACTTCTCCATAGAATGAATATGAAAGAATTTGCAGCCATCTTCATTCTACCGCAGACTTCATCAAGCAAAAGTAATTTGATTCCGGATGGAAAGTCAAAGTTGTGAAAAGAAATCATGAACAAAAAACCTGATAACTGGATAAGTCTATAGGTATAACAATAATATGAAACAATGATAGTGTTGTTATGCATGTAGAAAAAGAAATAAAACTAAAATATATAACAAAAGACTATATAGCTAGGGAGGAGAGGAAAAGACTTAAAATATTTTGGAGTATTCTGTTTTATTCAAAAGAAAGAAAAACTTCAGATTAACAGGAGGTTTTTGTAAGTGAAGTATGTATATTAAAGATATCAGAGTAACTCCTAAAATTTAAAAAAACAGTTTGTATAGTTTCCAATAAGTAGATTGGAAAAGAAAAGGAATAAGAAGACTTCAAAAGAAAAGAAGAAAAAAGAGGAAATAGTAAAGATGGGACAAATAGAAAGCAGAAAGTAAGATAAAAAATAAATTCAACCATATCAATAATTACAATGAATGTAAATTAACTAGTTATGTTACTTTCCAAAATCTAACTACACGTTGTTTGTAAGAAACACAAATAAAACATAATAAAAATTGTAAAATAAAGACAAATAGCAATTTCATTTCCTCGTAATTGCAACATGCAGATAGAAAAATATACTTTCCAAAAAGATACAATTTATATTAACAATAAATATGTAAGCATTTTAGGAATAAGCCTAACAAAAGATGTGTAAAATGTTTACCAGGGTTCCACCATAAATTTTTAAAGACTTCAAAGAAGACCTAAATAATTGGAGAGCTTTATTATGTTGTTAAAATGTAAATCTCAAAATTTTGAATGTACAATTCTCCCGAATTGATTCCATATATCCCAATAAAAATTCCAAGATATTTGTTCTTGTTTGCTTATTTGTTTAACTTTCCAGGCAATCCTAAAATGTAAGTAAAAAATTAAAAGGCCAGGAAGAACCAAAAGACTTCTGAAAAAGAAGGAAAAGGTTATGGTTCAGAAAGTTATTCTTCCAAATATCACAACCTATAAAACATTAGTAATTATGACAATATGGCTGCACTAAGATAAGCCATAAAACACTACCAATAAAGTCTGATAGCAGATCCGCCATGCATGGAAACTTGATTTGTAATTTGCAGCCATCAAGCCGCAGCCGTAGATTTGCTTGCCTTAAGGGCTTAAGAAACCCAGGTGCTCTGAGCGTAACAGTCCTCAGGCCTCCACCTCTCCATTGGTTGGACCGAAAATGAGGCCATAGAATTTTGGGTGCTCCTGGGAAGACAATTCCACCTCCACTCCCCAATACTTATGCCCTAAGTATCAATCAGGGACCAGTCATTAAGACCAAACCTCCCTAGACGTTTAAAAAGAGGAAATTTAACAGAAGTGCTTACAAAGACATTAGAAGGACTGAAAGAGTCCAAATCTCAAACTATAATTTCTCCACAATAGCAAAAACAAAACAACATCAAAAAGGTTTGTGTGTCCTGAAACATTGTCCATCATAGTAAGTGGCACCTGACCATCCAGCTGCTGAGGCCAAAATCCTCAGAGTCATCCTTGCCTCCTCTTGTTCTTTCATGCCTCACATCACATCCATGGCAGACAGCTGTTGAGGTTCCTACAGAATTTTTCCAGAATTCACACAATTCTCCCCATGTCCTCTGCTACCTCCCTCACTGACTTTCACCATCTTTTTCACTCACTGTATTCCCTGCCTCTGCCCCGCCCACCTATGCTGTGTTCCCCACACTGCACCCAGAGAGACTGAGTAGCGTAGATATTAACGCTATCTACTCAATACTTTCAGTTCTCCCTCCAGCATATGGTGGGATTGTTCATCCCGCCCCGTCGAAGCCTACATAGCCATTCATTTATGTTGACCAACGGAATGTGAATGGAAGAGATATGATCACTTCTAGATGGATGGAAGCTCTAATGGCTGGCACAGGTTTGACCAGTCTTTCTATTTTCTGCCTGTCATGGGAACAAGTAGCATTCCCAACGGTATCTACTCTGTCACTGGATTATGAAGGAAAGAGAATGTGGAGCAGAGTCCCCAGCTGACTTGCAATGAATGTGTAACATCGGGAAAAATAACCTTCATGGTTTTAGGCCACAGAGACTTCGTGATTATTTACTGCTAAATTATAACATACGTGATTGACACAAATTGATCAATAGAGTGATCCTTTGAAAATGTAATTCATATTATGTCATACTTTGGATGCCTTCTGTCCAATATGTTCGGCCCCATATTCCCGAACTCACCTTCTATCTGCTGTTTCTGAACTCACCTTCTATCTGCTGTTTGTTCACCCTCTCCGGATAGGCTAGCCTTCTCAACACCTCAGGCACATTTCTGACTCAGCGATTTTGCTGTTACTCTTCCCTCTAGCTGAATTTTTTTCCCAGATATTCACATAATGAACATAATAATAATTAACTTGCTTCAAATTTTTGCTCTAATGGTAGGTACCTTCTTGGTAAGGCTTTTCATAATAATACTGTTTTTAAAAATGCCACCCCAACCCCACATTTCATATTCTGCTTCTCTTTTTGTTTTCTGATCCCCATTTGACATTTAAATTTTGTTTGTATTTTTTTGGTGTTATCTTTCTCCCGCAACTAAAGTGAATGAATGATCTATTAGAGTAGAAATTTTAATCTAGTTTGTTTCCTCCAGATCCCTAGCCCGTTTCATGGTGCCAGCTACATATTAGCCACTCAGTAAATATTAGCTGAATGAATGAATGGCATAGATGGCCCTGGAGGTAAGGGAAGAAATATGCATTTATAATGAATGATGCTAGGTCAAATGATTGTGCATATGAACTAGAAAATGAAATTGGACCCATACTTCATATGACATACAAAATCATTTCTAAGCAGATAAAAAATTAAATCTGAAAGGCAAAAGTATTCCATTTTAGAAGTCAGTATCAAAGAAATTTTATGGGAAATATTTTATATACATGATAAAGAACAAAGCATAAAGAAATTACTGAAAAATTTATTTATGACAAAAAGCCTCTGTCAAATATAATACCACACAAAACATAAGCAGATAAGTGAAAAATAGAAAGAATTTTGTCATTGTCATGTTAAACTAATAAGAATAACATGAACAACTTAGTAGAAAAATAGTTAAATAGCAGGCACTTCAATAAAGTGGAAACTCAAATAAATAACATGCAAAGGTGTACTCCTCTTCATAAGTAATCAGGCAAATGCAAATTAAAGCCGCAGTATTATTCCCTTTTACATACTCTAGATGTGCAAAATATCAATATCTGACAATATCAAGCATCAGTAACAGTGTAGAAAACTTGAAATAGTGCACACTTTAAAAATAATTTGGCAATATCTAGAAAAGTTAAAGATGTAAATACTGTATGATTCCACAATTCCACATATATAACCGATAATATATTAATATATTTTACACAAATATATAAATATAACTAATAATCTATCAATATCTCTACCTACATTGATAGGTAAACTCATATATAGAGATCCATGTAGAAGTTTATATATAGTAAGATTATTCACAACAAAACTGTAGAGAAATAGGAACAATCCAAATGTCCGTTGACTGGAAATGATAAATAAATTGTGGCACGTTTATGTAACAGAATCATACACAGTAATGAAAATAAATAAATTATAGCTATAAGTATCAACATGGATAAATATTACAAATATGCTATAGAGGAAAATACATAAATCACTAAAAATCCACATAGTATTATTTCATTTACACATGATACAAAAACATTTAAAGTAAACAATACGTTGTTTAAACACAAAACTGAGTATACCGATTACTTCTGATGGGAGAGAAAATAGGACAAAACATGGGAGGAGCAGACAGGAAATTTCAAGATAAATGTTTTTGTTTCTGTGGATTTTTTTTCCTTAAAATATGTGGCTGGTATATGGGTATTTTGTTGTTACTTTCTAGAATATCCATATATATTTTTTTTAAATATTATTTCATATCTACTTAACATTTAATAAAAATATTTTAAAATATCTTTGCAGTGAAGCTTTTTGAGAATCCTATATGTATTTGCCATGCTAACAAACAAAACGCCATTTGATTATCCATTTGTTTCATATCTCTTTGGGCAGCTTGAAACTGTGCCACTCAGCATTATAAACTGCAAGTAAAGCCCTTTTGAGAAAGGCAACAAATCAGAAATGCAAAATGCCATCACTGATTAATTTATGAAAACGAAGTTTTCAGTCTACAGGAACCAGGGGCAAAATGAAACAATAACTCACCAGGGGGCTGTGAGCCCTGAAGTGTAGTGCTTGGCCATGTGTAACTCTTTATCACTCCAGGTCTCAAATCTGAATGATATCAATCATCCTGCTTGCCAGGGCACCAACTGAATATAAATTGGCCTTTCTGGGCATCAATAGGCCTCCTTCTGCCAAGTAATTTGATAGTTCTTTTATTTTAAAACACTTAGAACGGATTATAGAATGAAAGCACACACTTCGGAGCCATTTAGAAAAATCAATTCAAGCCACACTTAACGACAAAGAAAAATCCTTCTGTTCTTTCTGGTGACATATTACTCAATAGAATAGTCCCATGGAGATGCAAATACTTACACAAGGTAAATTTAGACAGCAATGTAATTGTTAATGCGTGTGTCATGACTTAATATTTGTACACGCTGAACCTTCACATTTACTGCGAATGCTCAAAATGTTTTTGTAACCCTGGTTTAGATGTAGGTCCTCAAATCTTTGAGTAAATTTCTAAAGTTTAGGGGTGAATTTTTCTGTTTTTTAGAAAATGTCAAATGTCTTTTGAATCCAAAGTTCACAGAATTAGGTGAGTTTTCAAGGGCAGGAAGTCCTGATTTGGCATGCAAGAGATAGCTTTGGGGAGAAATCAGTCTTGTCTCTCTGAATGGATCATGAAGTGTCACTGATACCAGTTCCCTGCAACAGGGTAGAAAATCTAGACTTCAGATTCAAGTTTCTTTGGGAATCGAGACTTATTTACAAGATTCACTTACTAGCTCTGGAAAAACAAAGTTACTGAACTCCTCTAGATCTCAACTAACTCTCCTGAAAGGATAGTCACAACTACCTTAAAAGGTTGTTACAACAATTAAAAAATATATATGGTTTCTAATATTTTCAGTAAGTGGCAAGTAAATGTAAAATAAAAACATTAAGAGCAAATCAAATTCTGAGATCTCAGATTTAGACAATATTGAGTAAGTACATGAACTTTGGAGTCAGATACACCTAAATCACAGATTCTCTATTTCCTAGATATATAATTTTTATCATTTTCAGAAAACTATTTAACATGATAAAGATTTCTCAACTGAAACATGGAGAAATGATAGTATTTCCTCATGCACTTTACTAATAATCATGTAGATGTTTAGTATTAAAATTTAATTGGCAGTAAATTTAAATGACATAGAAATTTTTTCAAATTTAGCTCTTACCTCAATATAAATAAGGTAAATGACTTCAAGCAGAATGACGTCGGAGCCCCAGGCATGAACATGCAGGCTTTCCTTCATAGCTTTACTAGAGCACACAACACAGAAGTTAAAGAGTGTGTTCTCTGGATTCAAACCACCCAGGATTGAATCTCTGCTCTGTTACCTTTACAAGCTGTATGAACTCAGGCAAGATATTTAAATTCTCTGTGGGTTTTCTTACCCTGAAGGGTACATATGGGTGTTGAGGGCCTAAAGCTTAAAAAATTTGGAAGGTATCTTTTAAGAAAATGAATACAAAATTACAACTATGAAAATAGGTCTCTGATTTTGATATTTCAATTTTATTAATTCTAGATTAAATTTGCCTCTGAAATCTTACAGGGTTGTTGAGGAATCAGATATATGTAAATTATTTTTTTGAAAAACTTTTGCTTGAAAAAAAAGCTGATGCTATTTATTCTTTTTTCCCCCAGGTTTATTTGGCATAATTGACAAATTAAAATAGTATATTGTTACGATGTACAACGTGATATTTTGATATATGTATACATTGTGATTACCACAATAAACCTATTTAACATATCGAACGTATCACCTCACATAGTCATTCATTTCTGTGTGAGAGTGTGTGTGTGTGTGTGTGTGTGTGGTGAGAATGTTTATGATATAATCTTTTAACGAATTTCAAATATAGAATACATTATTATTAACTACAGTCACCATACTGTATAATAAATCTCCAGAATTTATTCTAACTGAAACTTTGTATACCCTTTGACCAATGCATCCTCAACCTCCTCTTTCCCCAGATCCTGGCAACCACTATCCTACTTTCTACTGCTATGAGTTAGACTTTTAGATTCCATATATATGTAAGATGAGGAAATATTTATCTTTCTGTGGCTGGCTAATTTCACATAGCATAATTCCCTCCAGGTTTATCCATTTTGTCACAAATGACAGAATTTATGTAAAATGTTTTGAACAGTGCCTGGCACAGTGATCACTATGTAAGTGCTTGTAATTTTTTCTGTCTCAGTTCCATAGATATATATCCTTCACTCCATAAAAAAAGCTCATAAGTAGAAAAGAGGAAATAAGTCTGTTTTTTCTTACCTATTTTATAAATCTCAGATTATCATGGAGTGTTAAACAGCTGGTTAAGTCCAGGATATTACTAATCATGGCCAGATGCTGAAGACATAAAAAACATGTGCACACAAGAATAAGAAAAAATTCAAGAACATCCCGGGGCAAGTGCCATTGTGAAGACTCTCCCTTTTCCCATTATGGTTATGGTGTTTGGTGGAAAGTCCAGGGAAAGTATTGTGCCTCACTCAGACTAGCCTAGTCTGTGCTCAGTGGAAAAAAAGTGAGTTCACTTTTTGGTTTCACACCTCTCCTCACCCCAACTCATCCCCAACCTGGCCCCACTCCCATGGTTAATCAGCACACCTAAGGTGCAGATTTGACCAAATAAATTTGTCTCACAATGTCCTGCTTATCATTAACTTCATGCTTTCTTCTATTAATTGCACTTTATTTACACAGAGGCAACTAGAAGTGATGATTAATACATAACCCCTCGTTGCATAATTAACAGCACTAAAGAAGAGAGTAAACTTCTATGTCAAGGCTTTGTAAAACCATTAGGTCATGTGTTTTTATCATTTTTATCTAACTAGAATAAAAGTGCCCCATCTGTTTATCAAAATATTGAGGCTAAAAAGCAAAATAATAATAATCATCATCATCTAATTTGCCTCTATCAGCTTTCAAGTACAAAATCTATAACTGAATGGATACACGTTTTTTAGATGTTCCTGAGATTTACCAAAATTTTTGGTCTATCAGAACTGACATTCTTTACTAACTATAACTCCAAAGCACAGGATAGAGACTGGACCAGTTTTCTGAATGGGCTTTGTAAGCATTCTTTTCACAGAAGCTCAGTCCTCATTCAGGAATAACAGGGTTGTCCAATCTAATTAAATGCAATTTACTCTCCCATGTGACATTTCTGGCATGGTCATGGCTATTAAATTGGATTATCCAATTAGATCTTGGTGAAAATGAAGATAGATTTTTTTAATTGAAACTTTACAAATAACCACATTATTATGGAAAGTAAATTGATTTAATAAAGGCCCAGATAGTTTTGTAGACAGGGCCAATCAAAATGTGCTTTTATTTTCTACAGAATTATCATTCTGAAGTTCTCTTAAATTAATTAGCTGAGAATATGCATTACAATTCCTAATAGAACATTTTTTTTCTGAATTCCGAGGGATCCGTTGAAATAAGTTTCAAGGAATTTTATTTGTTTGCACAAGTATATTCAGCTATATTGAGGTTCAAAGATAAGTAAAGATGAATAAAAAGAGATTTTTCTCTTAGGTCTATCAAACAATAGAACCATACTACACTACAAACCATATGCAAAATTAAGAATACAACTGTATTTCTTTCATTAGTTTACCTCAGTTCAACAAAATTAATGCCAATTTGTGAAGGCATATTAAAACACTAAATTGAATACAAAAATACCAAATGAAAAAAATGTAAAGCTGGAATAGGGTAATCAGAGTTAAAATACTCTTACATCATTTAATGCTTAGATGTATAGAAAAGATATTAATTTTAGGCTGTAAAATCAAGTATAAGTAAAATTTCAAAGATAACTTCTTAAAACAAAAGCAGAGATAGTAGGAAGACAGGAAAGAAAAATAAATAAAGAAAAGTCATTAAAACAATACATAGCAAGAAATAGAAAAAAAACACAGAAAAGGCAAGACAAAAAAATAGTCAAAATGCTGTCTATGAATTAGGGGTTAAGACATGGGAACTCGAATGAGAAGACTTAATACAAATCTAATTACAGTCTTAGAATTAAAAGACAGAGAAAAATCATCCAGATATGCATATAATGATAATATATAATTGCTCTAACTTTTCTTAGACAGTGCTGATTGACAGAACATTTCATCATGTCAGAAAATTTTATTGGACAGCATTGGGTCTAGTCAGAAATACTTGCTGTACCAAGTATGTGTACCAAGAAGTTTACACAAAATTGTTTGTAGTAAAGCTATCAAACATACATCAGAAGCAAATAACCTCAAATATCCATCTGCAGAAGGGATATATATTGTGGATGATACAAACAATATAATAGTAAACAAATATTGAAAATGAAAGATAATCAGCTACAAGTATCAGTATGAGAGACTCCCATGATAATATTGAGTTAAAAAGTGCATTGCAAATAATATATACAGTATGATATAATTTATATAAAGCTAGAACACATACAAAACTAACCAGCACATAGTTCAGTGATTTCTCAAAGTAATAATAAATACAAAACCCAGAATAGCATCTCATAACTTGATAAGAAAGGGTGATCAAAAAGGGAAATCAAATCAGAAAAGGATATTCAATGTAAATAGTTTTCTTTTTCTTATTCTGTATTGTGTGCACAGTGTTTATGATTCTTTGTACCTTATGTATACAACATTATGAATAGTTACCTATAGAATATTTTATTATTAAAAATGGTGCTTGTTTTAGTCTTTTTAGTGAGTATGCCTTGAATATATCTTATTTAACTTTGATGTGAGCTTTTTCAAACAGATGTTATAAATAAAATATTTTAGAGTAGTTTTTATACTTTTAACTTTTAAAAAATCAGAGCAAGAGTTAAAACTTACCAAATTATTTTTTAATAATCAATTGGGATATTTATTGCTTGACCTATTTTCATGATTTAGATTCCAAAATAATAAGTCATATTTGCAATTCAGTGGTTAATCCTACTTTTTTTTGGTAAATTATTCTCTTGATGCACTGTTGGATTTGATCCACTAGCATTTTATTCTGAATACTCATAAGTCTCTTTGATCCACAGTTTTCTTTTATGTGCCATCTTTATAATGTTTTGAAATTATTTATACTTGCTTCATGAAGTGAATTGAGTGGCTTTACATCTCTCATATTTTCTGGAAAAAATAGATTTATATAGCATGGAAATTGGCTATCACAAGTCTGAAAGACTGCAAAATAAAAACATCTTACCCCAAAAGGCTTTTAGAAATAATTCTTCGATAACCTTCGAAATATTGTGCATGAGTATTCAAAGATTCAGTTTTCAACTTGACCCTATTTTGTTAATTTATATGAATAGATTAATGGGAAAAATATCACTTAGTTGAGATTCATTCAGTCATAATGCACAGATTAAATAATTTTACCTCCTTTTTATAGCTTCATTCCCCTATCAGTGATTTATTTTTATTTGTGTATTATTTTTTCTTTTCTTTTTTAGATTTGCCAGAAGTATATATATTTGAATATTGTCTCCAAAGAGCCAGATCTCAAATATGTTTAACAGTTCAGCTATTTTAGTAGTCTGTTTTATAAGGAATATAGTTCTCCTTTTGTCTTTATTTCCTTTTATTTAATATTGGCAAACTAGACCAAGATCATGTGAATAGTGGACCTGAGCAGACTTGTGTTGAACTAGTATTTGTAAAAGAACCAAGCTGAAGAAAAAAACTGAGATAGAAAGCTATATTTGGACAATTAAAGCCAATACCCAGAAATAGGTACCAATTCTAGGGGTGCCGGCAGAATCTGGGGAAACTTATGACAGGAGGCTAAGGCAGCAGCTAGTGAGGTGGGTATACTAAAGCCCTATCTGCAGCACCAAATTCCGATGTGGTGCTATGTGGAGAAATTTGGAGTAGAGAGGCTTCTACCTTCTTTCCTCTTTGGGACTCCGAAGGTTGATAATTTTTTTCTTTTGAATATTTGGGGGCAACTGCTTCAGAATAAATACAAAGTCATTAGACACAGAAAGAAACAATATTAATACTTTTTATTTGCTCCCATATGGCATAAATTTTAATGTGTGGCTTCTCAGACTTTAATGTGTATACAGATCACCTTAGCCTCTTGTTAAAATGCAAGTTCTGATTCAGTTGTTCTAGGTAGGGAGCTTCAATTTCTACATTTCACACAAGTTCCTACATGATGTGAGTGAATCTGGAAGCACACCTTTTGAGTTGCAAGGGCAACTCAAAGGGCATTATCTTAGTGTATTTGTGCTGATATAACAAAATTTGAGACTATGTAATATATAAATAATATAAATTATTTTTCACAGTTCTGGAGACTGACAAATCGAAGATCAAGCCACCAGCAAGTTCAACATCTGGTGAAGGCCCTGTCTCCATTTCCAAAATGGTGCTTTGAATGCTGTGTCCCTCACATGGCAAAGAAGATGGAAGAGTGAACAAGGGACCTAGCTGGTTCCCTTCAGGCCTTTTATCGGGCACTAATCACAACCATGACGGTGAAGCTCTTAGGGATTAGTCACCTCCAAAGGCCCCAGCTTTTAATACTGATGCATTAGGGATTAAGTTTCATCATGGATTTTGGAAGGGACACAATCATTCAAGCCATAGCCCACATAGATGTGATTTCAACATTCCTGTACGCCTCATGGTGGAAGTCAAAGACAGCTGAGGGCCTGGGTGGGACAACCTTCCTTCTTGGTGGCCACAGTGAGAGTGAAATGAGCCAATGCTGAGAGCTACCAGTTGTGCCCTTCAAGTTAGAAACCAAATGAGAGTCACTGGCAAACTTCAAGGGTCTGAATTGCCAGTGAATCCTGAGGGGAGGTGGGCCATGAAGGAGAGATGGTGGAGCATCCAAGGAGTGCTTATCCTAGAAGAGAGAATGGACAAAGACTGCCATCATCTTCTGGCTTTAGAAAAACGCAACAATAATAATAGAATTTCTCAAGAAATATCTCAAGATGTCAGAGAGAGTAAGGGTGGGGAAGAGCTCATTTGAGAAAAATTTTGTCATTGATAGAGTATTTATGAAAAAGAGACTCTTCTGTCAAATGAGATCATTGGTAGGTTTAAAGTTCAAGTATTCTCACTGCTCCTCAGCAGCCTGTATATGTGTGTTTGCAGGTGGGCAGGGCTGATGAGAAGGACCATTAGATCAGCTGCAGAAAACGAAGAAGTCAGGGCTGATATGTTCACTAGGCATCATGGACAGAGTGCTTGGGACCTAGAGGACATTGAGTCTCACAAAAAAGTTTATTTTTAATAATAAGAGAAACATTAACCTGTAAGGTCAAAGATTACATTTGTCTTTATACCAATGAAGTTATAAAATATAATTTTCAATATGTGTTTATAGAAGAAGGGGGTAACAAAGGCAAAAGCACGTACAGCATACGAAAGTCACAGTGTGGCCCTCAAAGAAGTTACATTGTCTTTACGTACATAGGTTGTAATGTGACAAAAAGTGGGTGGTAATGGAGAAATGGTTCATGTCATTCTCACAATTTACAAAAATATTATTTTACTACCCCATTTTATAAATCATGTCTTGGAAAGGGTCATACATCCAGTAAGTTGTGAAGCTAAGATTTGGTTCTGATTCTCTACAACTAAGCCTAAGCACAGAAGCACAGAGAGAAACCTCTTGTTTCTGAGAGGCTTCTATCAGGCCTGGGGTAAGGTAACTGACACTAATTATGTGCATCACTTTGAACATCTGCATACAGCTGCCAGCTGCTCCTGACCCTTGTCAAATGCTCCTAAGAAGGACTTAATTAAGTGGATTTGTGGTTCTTCTAGCTTAATCTCTGGCCTGAATCTGCCACCAACTTGCTCCTAACAGTTGCGTTTTGCTTTTTAATACTTTAGCTTCTGCTTCCAGTTTGATATCCCCCAAAAGCCCTTTATCTCTATATTATTAGGAAATGTTCATTTGATGAATTCATTATTATTTATTGTACGGTAGCAAAGAGTTTCTTTCTAACTTTCTGAAAGAACCAAAATGAAAGTTTCAGTCCTTCAACCTATTTGTTGAAGAAAACTGAAGCTCAGAGTGAACGTTGTTATAATTAATCAAACTCACCTATTCCAAACTCTCTATCTTTACTTACCCAGCCTTCCCACAACCTTCCCCCCCAACACATCCTTACCACCAGCTTCTAAGGTTCTAGGGTAACACAAATTAAGAGAGAAAGCTTGAGAAACATTTTACTGTTTTTTTTGCTTCCTTGATAGAAAAAAGGTAAAGTGACAAACTAAACTTGTATTGAAGTTTCACAAGGATTTTAGTAAGTATTAAAATTACAGTGAATTTCAGTATCAAATATTTACATCTGTATAATCAGTGAATTCAAAACTTAGAAGCATACAACTACAGCCAGTTATTTGACTTTTAATTCTCCTAGGCACATCTGGTGTGGCCAAGGACTGAATCTGGGCTTGCTCATGTGACTGGTCAACTTATGGGATAGATAGAAGCTGGCTGGTTCCAAACGTCCCCACTCACACATCTGCCAGTTGACTTGCTCTCAGCAGAGATGATGGGTGTAACTGGGTCACAGATCACATGACTCTCATCATCTCACCAGCTAGCCCATACTTGTTTACATGGTGGCATGAAGCTCAAAAGGCAGCAAAAGAGGAAAAGCCTAAGTGTAAAAATGTCAGACATCTGCTTGCATCTTATTTGCTAAACCGCTGCTTGCATCCTATTTGCTATTGTCCCATTGCAGTAAACAAGTCACGTAGCCAAACCAGAGCTGGCAAATCTGTGAATTCTGTAAGGTCATGGGTATTAGCAGGAATTAACAAATTAAAGGCTGACATACAACAAAGTATCATATTTTCCAAGCAACCCTCCCATTCTTGCTCTTCCCAACATAACAGTACCCATCCCAGGGCCATGGGTAGTGACAACATTGTCAAAGGGGCTTGGAATCTTACACCTTCATAGAGCCAATGATTCTTCCTCTTGGCTCATATATAAAATCAGAAATATCTAAAATTCTGTAATAGAAATAGTGGAGATATGTGTTCACATTTTCAGTTCACCTACTTTTCAGAAACTTTCATTGATTTTATGTTTGAATGCATGTTTGTTTAACAGAGATTTTAAATCAATCATGCTGAGTGAGTATGTGTGAGTGACTAGAGAGTAAACACTCTGTCCAGAATAGTTTTATTGTTGGAAATTCAGTGACATAGGAGCAGTAGCAGATAAAAGGGTTTTTATGCTGTTCATTGCATATTGGGTCAACATATATAGATGTAGTGAGACTGGATTAAGTATCAATCCCTTCTCTGACATAAGCAAGAGCTGTAGCCCAAGGTTTGTGGTTTCAGAAGGCACTAACCCATTGACTCCCAGCCCTGAATGACCATTTCAGCACTATATCTGGATTAATTGTCTTAGACCAGTGGTTCTCAAATTTTTTGGTAACTGGACCCCTTGAAATTCTTAAAAGTTATTAAAAATCATAAAAATAAATTTATTATTATACCAGAAAAAATTAAATACTTTTTAAATATTTATTAATTCATTTAAGAAATTATAAAACCTTTACATGTTAACATAAACAATATCAAACATTTTTATTAAAATATATTTTCCAAAACTAAAAAAATTAGCAAAAATTAGTGGCATTGTTTTACATTTTTTCAAATATCTTTAATGTCTGACTTATTGGAAGACCCAGATTCTCATATCTGCTTCTGTATTCCATCTGTTGTGATATCACTTGCCATGCAGTATCTGGAAAATTCCACTGTGTACTTGTAAGAGGATGAAAGTAAACAAGACAAATAACATATGAACATTATTATGAAAGTAATACTGATGGTGCAGACCCCTTGAGAAGATTTGAGACACCCAGGGGTCCAGGACCACACTTTGCACACTATGGATGTGTGGCAGGTTTCCTAGGAACTCTGTAGGAGGCTAACTTCTGTTTCTCCAGGAAGGCTGCCTGAGATCAGTCTTGGACAAATTAATCCTGAATAGAAGAAAGGCTAGTGTATTAGTCTGTTCTCAAGCTGCTAATAAAGACATACCAGTGACTGGGTAATTTATAAAGGAAAGGCGGTTGAATTGACTCATACTTCCACATGGCTGAGAGGCCTCACAATGATGGAGGAAGCAAAGGAGGAGCAAGAACACATCTTACATGGTGGCAGGCAAGAAAGCTTGAGTAGAGGAACTCTACTTTATGAAACCAGCAGATCTTGTAAGACTTATTCACTACCACAAGAGCAGCATGGGAAAGACCCACCCCCATGATTCAATTACCTCCCACTGGGTCCATCCAGTGACATGTGGGAATTATAGGAGCTACAATTCAAGATGAGATTTGGGTGGGGTATACAGCTGAATCATATCATTCTGCCCCTGGCCCCTCCCAAATCTCATTTCCTCACATTTCAAAACCACCCATGCCTTCCCAACAGTCCCCCAAAGTCTTAACACATTTCAGCATTAACTCAAAAGTCCACAGTCCAAAGTTTCATCTAAGACAAGGCAAGTCCTTTCTGCCTATGAGACTGAAAAATCAAAAGCAAGTTAGTTATTTTCTAGATACAATGGGGGTGCAGACATTGGGTAAATAAACCCTTTCCAAATGGGAGAAATTGGCCAAAGCAAGGGGGGAACAGGCCCCATGAAAGTCCAAAATCTAGCAGGGCAGTCAAATCTTAAAGCTCCAAAATGATCTCCCTTGACTCTGTGTCTCACATGCAGGGCACACTGATGCAAAAGGTGGGTTCTCATGGTCTTGGGCACCTCCACACCTGTGGCTTTGCAAGGCACAACCTCCCTCCTGGCTGCTTTCATGGGCTGACATTAAGTGTCTGTGGCTTTTCCAGGTGCACGGTGCAAGCTGTTGGTGGATCTACCATTTTTGGGTCTGGAGGACGATGGCCCTCTTCTCACAGCTCCACTAGGCAGTGCCCCAGTGGGGACTCTGTGTGGGGGCTTGCACCCACATTTTCCTTCCTCACTGCCCTAGCACAGGTTCTCCATGAGGACTCAGCCCTGCAGCACACCTCTGCCTGGACATCCAGGCATTTTCATACATCCTCTGAAATTTGGGCTGATGTTCCCAAATCTCAGTTCTTGACTTCTGTGTACCCACAGGCCCAATGCCATTTGTAAGCCACCAAGGCTTGGGGTTTGCACTCTCTGAAGCAATGGCCTGAACTCTATGTTGGCCCTTTTAGCCACAGCTGGAATGCAGGAAACCAAGTCCCAAGTTGGTACAAAGCAGCAACTCCCTGGGCCTGGCCCACAAAACTGTTTTTTCCTCCTAGGCCACCTGGCTTGTGATGGGAGGGGCTGCTGTGAAGACCTATGACATGTCCTGGAGAAATTTTCCCCATTGTCTTGGCAATTAACATTTGGCTCCTCGTTACTTATGCAAATTTCTACAGTGGGCTTGAATTTCTTCTCAGAAAATGGGTTTTTCTTTTCTAATGCATTGTCAGTCTGCAAAGTTTCTGAACTTTTATGCTTTGCTCCCCTTTTAAACACAAGTTCCCATTCCAAACCATATCTTTGTGAATACATAAAACTAAATACTCTTAACAGTACCCGAGTTACCTCTTGAATACTTTGCTGCTTAGAAATTTCTTTTGCCAGATTCCCTAACTCATCTCTTTCAAGTTCAATATTCCACAAATCTCTAGGGCAGGGGCAAAATGCACCAGTCTGTTTGCTAAAACATAGCAAGAGTCACCTTTCCTACAGTTTCCAACAAGTTCCTCATCTCATCTCCATCTGAGACCACCTCAGTTTGGACTTTATTATCCATATCGCTATCAGCATTTTGGTCAAAGTCATTCAACAAGTCTCTAGGAAGTTCCAAACTTTCCCACATCTTTCTATCTTCTTCTGAGCCCTCCAAATTGGTCCAACCTCTGCCTGTTACTGAGTTCCAAAGTCGCTTCCATATTTTCAGGTATCTTTACAGCAGCCACACTCTACTGGTACCAATTTATTGTATTAGTCCATTCTCACACTGCTAATAAAGACATATCTGGGACTCGGTAATTTATAAAGGAAAGGTGGTATAATTGACTCATAATTCCACATGTCTGAGAGGCCTCGCAATGATGGCAAAAGGCAAAGAAGGAGCGAGGACACATCTTACACAGTAGCTGGCAAGAGAGCTTCTGTAGGGGAACTCCCCTATAAAACCATCAGATCCCATGAGACTTACTCATTATCACAAGAACAGCATGGAAAAGACCTGCCATCATGATTCACTTAGCTCCCACCAGGTCTCTCCCCCAGCACATAAGAATTATGGGAGCTGCAATTCAAGATGAGATATGAGTGGGGACACAGCCAAACCATATCAGATAAATTATGCAGATGTATGGTTTTTCAATGTCACCCATTACAAAAAAATATAGGTAGAGATAGAGGTGGAAAGATATAGAATATTTGAAGGTTTTTTTAAAAAAAAATATGTTTCACTTAAAATCCTACATAGTGAATGCTTTCTATATAACTGTTAGTATTATTTTACAAAAGTAGTGACTTGATCAGGATCCCACAGTCATTTAGTGGCATGGCCAGAATTACGACTTAGATTTCCTGATTGGCTAAACAAGCACTCATTTATTTATTTTATTTTTCTTTCCTGTAAAGGCAATCAAACCATAACAATCATGTTTAGGAGTTTTCCTGAGCCCAATCTTAATTGTTACATAAAGTTGGAATAATTGCTACCCACGTCTGCTACTGCAGCATGCAATCGAGAGGAAACCTCTGGAGATAGAATGGCATAATTTATTAGAGCCTCTCTACTTCTCAGACCCTCTTTTTTTTTATATTTAAGATGCAGATAATAATAGTAAATGCTTAGGATTGTTGTGAGGAAAGTACTGAGCACAATGGTCATATTCACTGAACCTGCTTTAAAAGATTATTTTCTTCCTATCCCTAAAAATTTAATACTATCATGCCTGAATATCCTGAATTATATCCAAGCTCATTAGCACTATTATGTATCTAGAATAAATTCATGTCCATGACAAAATAGAAGCAAGAACAATCAAGAAAACAAATTCAAAACACAAGTTCTCTGTAGGGTTGAAAGGAATTCAGAGAGAAGTTGTCTCTGTTCCTGAGGCACATGAGTGAGTTTTAGTTTTTTTGCAAAATGAGAATTTCTTACATATAGCCAGAGGAGGGAAGGGTATATGTTCAGCTTATGTGGGAGACAAATATTGTGAATTCCAAGCAAATCAGGCTTCCTAAATCTCTATGAGGTCAGAGAAATCTCCTCTGCTTATTTCTTAGTTGGGTCTAAACTTATAGATCATGCATTGTTTGCACATTTTATTTAAAATCATGTTACATTACAGATCATTGGACTAGCTGGAAAGTTTATTGGATACAAGGAGAAGCAAATGATAGTGAAGAGGAGGGAACTAATGTTTTAGAACACCTATCTTCCACTAGGCACTTTTTTAAAAAAAGAAGCTACCCAACAAATTTCATTTAGAATTCTGCAAGGTAGATGTTATTTTTGTCAAATTGCAGATGTGAAAGTGAAACTCAGATGTTAAGTAATTTGCCCAAGGCCCCAGATACAGCCTTTCTGGATTATATTCTTGTGCTTATTCCATCTTACCTCTTTGCTTCTGGGCATGATAGATACTTGCAAATCAGTGAAGGGTAGTCATGAAAGGAGAAATACGATTCATCTGTTGGCCTTAAGGGATGAAAAACTGAGGCACTCAAGTTTCAACATATTGAGAAAGAGATTTCTACTTAATATAAGGAAGAGCTTTCTCACAGACTAGTTAAAAACAGAATGGAACATTTTAAGAGGTAAACATGAGCCACTAAATAGTCCACTGGTGACAGGGATATAAATTAACACCTTCTGATAATGAGTCAGGAGAGAATAAATAGGAAAAATAATGTATTTTTTTAAAACCTTCTAATTCAGAGATTTTATTTCTAAAAATAGCTAATTTTTCCATGAAACTTTTTTTTCACTCCTTCCACTCATATTCTGTTAATGTCCTCTCTTTTTGTTCTGAATTATTTGAGAACAACAGGATTCACCCTTAAGATATGGAAATGCAGGTATAGTCCCATGCTTTGGAGGCTGAGAAATTAAGAAGTGGTATTATTTCTGAGGGACAATTGGTCTTAAAATGTAAAGCAAACCAATAATGACGAAATCTGCATAGTATTACTATTTGTTTCAAATTGGCTAAACTTACATTTTAAAAATAATTGCATTGACATATAATTCACTTATCATACAATTCATCCATTTAAAGGAAACACTTCAGTGCCTTTTAGTATATTCACAAGAATTGTTCATCCATCATCACAATCAATTTAGAACATTTCATTAGCTCAAGAAGAACCCTGCAGTCATTAGCCGTCACCCATGAATTCCTTCATCCCAGCAAACATAAACAATACATAGTCTACTTTCTATCTTTATAGATTTGCCTATTCTGGAAATTTCATAGAAATGAAATCAATAAAATAGATAGTCCTTTGTGACTGTTTTTTTTCACTTGGCCTATTCTTTTTAGTTTATCCATGTTGTAGCATGCATCAGTGCTTCATTTCTTTTTTATTGCTGAGTAAAATTCCATTGTATGGAATTATATGTTATTTATCCATTCATCAATTGACACAATTGAGTTGTTTTCAGATTTTGGTCTTTATGAATAATGCTGCCATAAACATTTGTGCCAGGTTTTTGTATGAACATGTACCTTCGTTTATCTTGTGTATATTTATATGAGAGGATTCACTGGCCATACAGTAGCTCTATGTTTAACCACTTGAGGAACTCCCAGAAGTTTTCCAAAGAAGCTGCTTCATTTTACACTCCACCAACAATGTTTGAGGATTTCAGTTCCTTCATGTTCTCACCAACACATGTTATTATCTGTCTTTTTTATTACGGCTCTGCCAGTGAGTGGGAAGTCGCATCTCACAGTTTGGATTTATATTTCCCTGATGGCTAATGATGTTGAGCATTTTTTTTTTTTTTTTTGAGATAGAGTCTTGCTCTGTCACCGAGGCTGGAGTACAGTGGTGCAACCTCAGCTCACTGCAACCTCCGCCTCCTCGGTTCAAGCAATTCTCCTGCCTCAGCCCCTTGAGTAGCTGGGATTACAGGTGCCCGCCACCAAGCCTGGCTAATTTTTGAATTTTTAATAGAGGCCAGGTTTCACCATGTTGGCCATGCTGGACTTGAGCTGCTGGCCTCAAGTGATCCTGTTGAGCATAATTTTATGCACATATTTTTATGCATATATTGGCCACTTGTATATCTTCTTTGGAGAAATATCTATCCAAGCCCTTTGTTCATTTTTAATTGGGTTGTCTTTTGATTATTGAAGTATAATAGTTCTTTATATATTCTAGATCCAAACCCTTATAAAATACATGACAACCAATTTCATCCATTCTGTGAATTGTTTTTTTCCTTTATTAATGGTGTCCTTTAAGGCATAGAAGCTTTTAATTTAGCACTGTCAAGTTTATCTAATCCTTTTGTTGCTTGTGTTTTTGGTCATATCAAGAAATCTTTGCTTACTCTAGAGTCACAAAGATTTAATCTATGATGTTTTCTAAGAGTTGCATAGTTTTAGATATTAAAATTAGGCATTTGATTCATTTTTAGTTAATTTCTGTATGTGTTGTGGTATATAGATTTAAGTTCATTCTTTTGCAAATAGGCATTGTCCCAGCATCTTTTGTTGAAACAAATGTTCTTTTCTCATTAAATTTTCTTGGCACCTTTATTAAAAATAAATTGAGTTCAGGCACTGTGGCTCATGCATATAATCTCACCATTTTGGGAGGCTGAGGTGAGAGGATCACTTGAGCTGAAGCATTTAAAACTAGCCTGGCCAACATAGCGAGGCCTCATCTCTACTAATAAATTTTTAAAAAAATTATCCAGGTGTGGTGATGCACAACTGTAGTCTCAGCTATTTGAGAGTCTGAGGCAGGATCACTTGAGCTGAGGAGATCAAGGCTGCAGTTAGCTATGATCATGGCACTGCACTCCAGCCTGGACAACAGAGTAAGTCCTGTATAAAAAAAAGGAAAAAATAAAAAAAAGAAGAAGAAGAAAGAAGAAAAGGAAGGAAGAAGAGAGAGGAAGAAAGAAAGGAGAGAAAGGAGGAGGAAAGAAAGAGAGAAAGGGAAGGCAAGGAAATGAAAGGAAAATCAATTGATTGTAAATGTTAGAGTTTATTTTTTGGTTCTGAATTCTCTGCCAGTGCCACACTGTCTTGATTACTGTAGTTTTGTAGTAAGTTTTGAAAACAGAAAGTGTAGTGCTACATCTTTGTTTCTTCTTTTCCAAGATTGTTTGGCTATTCTGGGTCCCTGGAATTCCCCTATTAATTTCAGGATCAGCTTGTCAATTCTTGTAAAGAAGTCATCTGGGACTTTGACAGGAATTAAATTGAACCTTTAGATCAGTTTTAGGGAGTATTGCTGTCTTAACAAGACTGAGTCTTCTAATCCATGTACAGAGGGTGTCTTTCCATTTCTTTAGGTCTTCCTTCATTTCTTCAACAATGTCCACACTTTTTTTGTTAATCTTATTTCTAAGTATTTTATTCTTTTTAACACAATTCTAAATGGAATTTCATTTCTTAATTTCAATTCTGGTCTGCTGCTGTTTGCCAATGTATAAAAGTGTAAATGATTTTGTATATTTAACTTTTATCCTGCAATCTTGCTGAACTCATTTATTCTACTTTTTTCAGTGAAGTTTAATAATTTTCTGTATACAATATTTGCCATTTTAAAATACAGATAGTTTTATTAATTTCTTTCTAACCTTGATGCTTTTTATTCCATTTTATTGCTTATCTTCCCTGGCTTGAACCTATAATACAATGTAATAGAAATGGTGAGTAGATATCCTTATCTTGTTCCTGATCTCAGGGAAACAGCAACCTTTTACTATTAAGTATGTTGTTAGCTCTGGTTTTCTTGTAGATACCTTTTATCAGATTGGGGAATTTTTTTTTTTCTGTTCCAAGATTGTTAAGTGTTTTTATTAGGCTAAATTTTGTCAGATACTTATTCTGTATCTTTTGAGATGACCACATAGTTCTTGTCCTTTATTCTACCGACGTGGTATGTTACACTGATTTATTTTGTGATATTACATCAACCTTGCATTCCTAAGACAGAACTCACATGATCATGGTGTATAATCCTTTTTATATATTGCTAGGTTCAATTTTCTGGCATTTTTTGAGGGCTTTTGCATCTGTATTCATAAGAGTAAACTTATAATACACATTGTGACACTGAAGAAAATTATAGATGGAAAATTATCATATCATATCATATCATATCATTATCTTTGGCATATGGTCTAAGCTGATTCAGTTTATACAAATGAAACTCAAGTCACTTCATAAAGCTAGTCCTCAAGAATGATTTAGAGGGGACTTTTTCTAAGATAATTAACTAAATTGCACCCCAGCCCCATGGCCTATGTTTTAGGATTCTTTAGAATGAGAAACTGCTCTGCAGATAGATATGGGGTATAGCCATCTGGTGATGACAAAGACAGAGAAGGAAAATAATTAAAAGCACAAACTCTTTGACTAAAACATCTAGATTAGAATCCTGGAGTTTATAACTAATAGTTATCTAACACTGGGAAATTTACTCAGCCTTTAAGTTTTCAGTTTCCTTACTTGTAATCTGAGGATAATAATTAAACTCAATTCATGGTTTTGTTGAAAAGAATTAAACTTTTAAGAACAGTGCCATATATATTAAGAATTTAATAACTCCTAGTGCATATATGACACAAGTCAAACTACCTGGATCACTTGTGACCTTTTAATCTCAAATAACCTGGGAACTAGATTTGGGAGACTTGGAAGTACATGGAAGAATTACGGAATATGTATCCAGAAAGGGTCCTTGTAGTTAGGCAAATTCAATCCCATTATAATAAATATGGGGAGACTGAGGCCTAAAACAGGAAATAATATGCCCCAGATAACACAAGCTTGTCACAGAGCTGGGATAAAGATTCACAGTCTTTGACTTTTGGGATGCCCCATTTATTAATATCTTTATATCTGTGGTCTCTAATTGTGTATCTTAAGCCAAACTATCCTTCCTAATTTTAATACACTCATTAAAAATTAAAATAAATCATATTTAAGCAGTGTTGTTGGAAATTTCTTAGGGTCTCCTGGCTTGACAGATAGTAGAAAATATGTGCTTTCTTATGAAATAAATCTAGACAGGAAGCCTGGTTTTGCTACGTAAGAACTGTATGACATTTTAGCAATTTATCTAGCTTCTCTAATTCCTGATTTCCTCAGCTATAAATTAGTAAACCCTAATATATATGTTCCTCAAATATTTCCTCAGAGGATTAACACATACTAATATAAGTATTTAACACAATGACTAACATGAAAAAATTGCTTTTTGTTTTGTTACTTTTGCTATTTTTTAATCTATTCCTACATTTGCTATTTTTAATCTATCTCTTTTTTTGTTGTTGTTTTGTTTCATAGTCCTTTTTTTTTACAATCCCAATCTGCCTTTTAGACACAGTGCTTGCTATTAATCTCCCCTCTCAATTTCTCAACTTTCCTTCAAAATTTTGGGGAAGCTTCACTTTTTCTACTGTCTTCACTCTGGTTAATCTTCCAGCCTCCCTAAGATGATTCATACTGTGAGATGACCAACTGACTGGTGCTTTGACTAACCACTTTCAGCATTTTATAGTAAAATGTCAATGTCATGGAGAAAGTAAGACACCAGTCATAAAATTAAGCACCTTTGTTTTACCTCGGCTAAGTCTATGAAAGGAGAGATAATTATATCATTGGGTGGTCTCTATTCAATTTATTAATAAAGGTGGTTCTTCACAATGCTTCTGCTTCCATGGTAATCTTGTAAAAATAAATTGAATTTTACTCCTTTTCTTCAATCAGCTATGGTGCAGATGGTTATTTAATTCCAATTATTTTTTTTCCAGGGAGATGATCCAGTTAGATCTCAGCTGTTTCCTGTGTCATTAAAAGAACCTCTACCTTTTTCATGCCTCTCTTTTGCATAACTGCCTTGAGCATGATCAAGGGTCATTCTGTCTAACACTTCACCTGCATTGCATTGAGGGGTGATGTAATTCTCAGGCTTATAGACTTGCTTGCTCAGGGCTTCCTTTTTTGGCTGTGGTTATTGAAGTTGGGGTATGCTGGAGATGGATATATATATATATAGACACACACACATATATACTAAAATTTATTTTAAAATTATGTATTAAAATTTATGTTCAAATTATATATACATCTATATATATGTAAAATTTTAAAATAAAACTCAAGTAACGTGATCTCTAATTCAGAACTGTTCCATTCCTGACTAGGTGAACTGATAAAACTTCAAAGATCAGTCGAAGTTGAAAAAAGAAAAAAAAAAAAAAAAAAAAAACTTCATTTTGCCGGGTCAGGTTTCCCAGAAAGTGACTTCCAGACATCAAGTTGTAGAAAGCAAAGAGAAACATTAATGAGCAGGCCTGAAGCCCACATGCTGCTGATTGGGATCTCATGCAGTATCAACTTAATTGCACACATCTGGTTTGCTACCGGATCCCACAAGCCTTTCCAAATTAAATAAAGATGATGATTTACTTTAATCATAAATAGCTAAATATGTAAATAATTGTGGAAGGATTCTTGATGGTAATGGAGGTAAAATCACCAGAGAAGCAGAAAAGACTTAGTAATAACTGAGAGTTTTAAGAGAATTAAACCTTTATCTAGCGAAATTTAAAATTTGGCTGAATACACAATTGACTTCCTTCACTGGAGAGATAAAATCCACAAAGAAAGGGCAAGAAAATCCACAAAGAAAGGTTCAAAAGCAAATGCAAAGATATTTTATCTTTGGGAATATTTTGTTCAAAGCGATAGCTGACTTAGAATAAGCATCAGTTCACAGCCGCATCTGCGACCTAGGAGAAAGGGTAAGGGCTTTGCCACTGTCACAGCTCTGGCTGTGTGACTGCAGACAATTCCCTGAACCCTCTGAGACTGAGCTGTCTCATGTTTTACCTGGACACAAATAATTCCTAGCTCAAGTGATTATTTTTGAGACCTGCACAATTAAGACAGCAAGTCTTCAACAAATGTTTGCTTCTTCCATCTTATCTCATTAACCTCCTTCGAGACCAATCTTCTCCAAAGAAAATACAGCAACTTCTTCAGGTCAACACAGCATTCTCTCCTTCATTTATGCCCAAAATATTATAAAGGTCCCACTGAGAGTGAGGCCCTGTGCTCAGTGCTGTTTAAAAGAATAAAATAAAATATATCTGTGTTGGAAGCACATGTAATTGTAGACAGATATGCTGGCAACCAAATTTCATTTAATTCATCATTCATTTAGAATTTATAGAGTTGCTGCTATATATCATCACTTTTCTAAGCATTAAATATTGAGCAGTGAGCAAACAGCCCAACGACCCTGCCTTCATGGAGTTTACATTCTAACTTGGGGACAGACAAAAAATAAAATACGTAAGTAAATAATATACAGAAGGTGACAAATGCTAGGGAGAAGGAAGGATAAGGCAGGGAAGGGAAATAAAGACACAGTTTTTAAATAGTCAAGGAAGGCCACCTTGAAGTGTTGAGACTTAAGGAGAATTAAAGGAGGTGAGGAGACAGGTCATGCTGATCTGAGGAGAAGCATTCCAGGCAGTGGGATAAATCTATGGAAGGAACTTGAGTAGAAATGTGCCTGAAGCATTCTAGGAATAGCAGGAGTTCAGTGTGGCTGGAGCAGAATAAACAGGGTTTAGAGTGGAGGAATAATAGGAGAAAACACCTGAGCCATGACTGGGGTCCAGAATATCTACAGCCTTAAAGACCATTATTGGGGGTTTGGCTGCTACTCTGAGTGAAATGGTGACCCACTGAAGAATTTTCAGGATAAAAATGTCTGACTTATGTTTTAACAGTCTCATTCTGGCTGCTGTGTGACAAACAGACTATAAATAAACCAGGATGAAAACAGAGAGACCAGTTAGGAGGCTGTTGCAGTAATTCTGGTGGTGGCTTAAAAGCATCACTATCATGAGATTAAAAGGTTTGGTTAGATTACAGATGAAATTAATGTGGAGAGTGAGAGAATTGAGGAAGAATTTAAATGCTTTGGTCTAAACAACTTCTAAGCATTGGATTGTCATTGATTGAAATAGGGAAGACTGTAGGGAAAATGGGTAAAAACAAAAAGAGGGTAACTATGATGAGTTCAGTTTTTAACCTATTAACTAATGTTAAAATATTTATATATATATATATATATATACAGTGATATGTGTAGGATGTATAAGGATGCAAGCAAAAAAATAAAGTAAACTTTTTGGGTCAGAAAAAGCAAACTTTTATTGAGTAGTTTTCTTAATGAAAGTCATTCTAAATTAAATCCACTCTTAGTTTTAGATTTCATCAAACACATTCTTTTTCTTTTAGAACCCCACCTCCCAGCCAATCTGACCTTACATTTAATTCAAGGTCTTCAGCATAAAGCCATCCTATATCTCCTCTTTTTCTAAATTCCTATACAATTGCCCTTCACTCTGCACTCCTAGAACACATAACCCAGAAATTGATTTAAATCTTCTTTGCTAGTATTTATTTTCTTAGAGCCTTCACTAGTAATTTCTTGTATCCAATATTACCCTCCGACCTAAGGCTTCTTGAGAGCCAGAGCATGTATTCCATATCTTTTCCAACTTTTTGGTGTCCCCTTGCAGTCCTCTTGTCAATGGTTTTGTTTTATACCAGGCATGTAGCATATATCACAGAGGAAAAGGGAGTCAAACAGGACACCACTTTCTGCAATTATCTGGCCTCTCCTCATGTTTCTCTCGCTCAGGTCTTGGTTGGGCATCGTGGCTGCCGTTGTGCGTCAGTAGTGAAAGCTGCACACTGGCCATGCTCTTCAGTCATCCTTAGCCAACAGCTGCAGAGTAGCAACT
This sequence comes from Homo sapiens, assembly GCF_000001405.40. NCBI lineage: Eukaryota > Metazoa > Chordata > Mammalia > Primates > Hominidae > Homo > Homo sapiens. The sequence continues at coordinate 21,632,267 of NC_000011.10, read as the reverse complement.
CCAGTAGAGCCATCATACTATACCACAGGGTATAGGATCTGGCTGCCACTTACCATCTGGCTGGAATGCAGGACAAACAACTCGCTGGGATAAGTATTTTGATCAACGGGAGACAGCAGATGGGAGGAATCCGGAAAGATACACTCTCTATTTCTTCCTGCCTCTAATGACCTGTTTTGAAGCAGCTTCTCAGCACAACAGTCCAGAAATCATTCCAAATGACCTGGATATAGGCACTGGCCAAGAAACCAGCTGATTTTCTGAGAGTACTGAAGTATAATACATGTCAATGCATGACAGGCTCTGAGGAATTCTACCATTGTAAGACTTCTTTAATCTTAAATAACCCAGAATTTTCCAAACTTATAGGACTACTGGACTGTGAAAAGCATTTACACAACATCTAATATTACCCTGAAACACACATTTTGGAAAATGTTGCATTAAATTACTCCCGAGAGTCACAGCCTAACCATATGAGAGGAATAGTCTGGAGCCTCCACCACATTCCTGGGTCCTAGACTCCCCTTGTTCCTTGCTGCCTGACAGCCACTCTGCAGGAAGAGACAGCTGGGCAGGAAAAGTATGGGCCGGCCTCGGCCATGCTGAGAGATGACCAATGATGACTTTGTATGGGAGACACAGAATGGTGTATAATGCTCATCCTGGGTGGCAAAAAAAGGAAGAAGAGTGAAACATTCTATATGAGAGCTTATATTCCCCATGCTGGGATTCCAGACCATGATATCTTGGCCATGTGTCCTCCCAATCTTGTAATTAGACTACTCACTGTGGTTCAAATCACCCTCACACTTCTTGGTCTCAAAAACTGGGGCAGCTCTGTATGTGGCTGTAAATGTGGCAACTGCAGATGAAACAGACAGCAACATTTTTCGGCAGGCAAAATCTGCCAGTTTGGGTCATGGATCATAACCCTCACAATGGTATAATAATTAGCCTCTTGGTGTTTCACTTAAGTAGTCCCTTTCTCTTTGTGTGTTAAGCATTATTTCATATTCTATTATCAGTATCTGTTTGCATTTGGTGCAGTTGTTTCATTATTAATGTAAAGGAGCAACTCAGAATGTCATGATTAATTTTAATGTAGAACTTCCTTCTGTAAATAATTGATGAGAAAGATGATCAGAGCAGTACCAAGTCAAGAACTGATATTTTTTCTGTCAACTCTTATCTTCTCAGTTGCACTCATTTTGAAATCCCCTCTGAGAACCTTCATTTAGTTGCAGATGTTTTGTATTCCCCAACTTCTTGTCACTTAGTTCTTTGGTTATAAGGCTACAAATCCTGTGATCACTTCATAAAGAAAAGAAAACACTACTTTCTCCATTTTTCTCCAACTATTTATAGGAAGAAAACCTGAGGCAGCAGAAATAAAGTTATTTCTATCCTCCTGGGATGCTGAGACCAGTGACAAATGAGTTAGGAGAAATCTAAGGAAGGAAAAACAACTTACTTGTATATAACACATTACACAGAGATTTTAAAATTAAAAACTAAAATGCCAGATCTCATATCTCAGTAAATCGTAAAATACATCTTTTACTCTTCCTCTCTTCTTGGCCATCCCCCTTTTTCTGCTGAATTCGTAATCACTGACACATGTTCTTCTTCTAGGATGTCTAGTATAGGATCTGGGCATCACTGTAAAAAGAAAAAAGGAGATTGTCAGCTTCTCAGTGACACTTGGCGTGACATCCTACAAGTGCATAATTTCACGTTTCTGATAGAAGAGCGAAGTGGGTAAGGAGTCAGGAGCCACACTCTTCAGGAGCCAGTGATGGGAATGGCCCAAGAGGCTGTAAAAGACAACTGCAATAGCCTTGCCCGGGCTTCCTGGTACACATATGTCTCACTTGCCATTGGATCTTTCAGTTTGGTCAGGGCCTCCTTGGGGCTCCCTTGGTCCTCATCTTGGAAATTAGCCCTTCTTGGCTATCCAAACTTCCTTGTCCACAGAGCTTCTAAAATCCTTGAAATTTCCAATGTGATAACACAACAAAAGTGAAAGGAGCATGAGCATCTTTTGTTATTTATAACAAGCCATTTCCAATGACATTAGAATTAATGTTAATGTGTTGACTATTGGAAAGTCCCTAGACAACCGTAAAATGTGGGCTGGTTGCCAGGGAAACCAACAATGTGATTAGAGAGTTGGAACTATTATCCCCCAATCTCCTCCTACCAAGGAAGCAAGAGGGATGGGACATTGACTTGGTTATTACTGGGTACTGATTTATCAATCATGTCTACATTATAAAGCCTCTTTAGAAACCCCAAATGGCAGGGTTTGGAGAGCTTCTGAGTTGATGGTAAACGTGTGGAGATGCTGGAAGAGTGACGAGCCTGGAGAGGGCATGGAAACTCTGCACCTTGTCCCATATACTTTGCCTGTTCCATCTTGCTGTTCCTGAGCTATATTCTTTTATAAAAATCAGGTAAATAAATATGAGAAAAGTGTTTCCTTCATTTCTGTGAGCAATTCTAGCCAATGATCAAACCTGAGAAGAAGGTCATGGGAACCTCTGATTTATAGCCCATCAGTCAGAAGTACAGATGGCAACCTGCACTTGGAACTGGCATCTGAAGTAGAAGCAGCTTTGTGGGATTGAGCCCTTCACCTGTGTGATCCAATGTTCTTGTCAGGTAGCTAGTGTCAGTCAGAATTGATTTAAATTGCGGGACACTCTCTGTCTTCAAGAAGTGGAGTATCCCTCAGTGTGGGAAAAACCCGGTGTCAGAAGTGAAGTATTGAGAATAGTCATAGAGAGAAAATAGAAGTTTTCCTTTCACAGGAATAAAAGAGAAAAATTAGGTTCATAGTAATTATACACTGATGTTGATGTTGAACAGAGGAAATTACTTACCAGGTAGGGATTAAACCTCACTTTTCTTTGGCCTTGGATCTGTGTGCAAAGATTAATTCTCCCTTGCATCTTCATCCTTGCCTCAGCATTCTTCTAGACCTATTCATATTATCTGTGAGGAGCCCAGCTCTAGGCCAGAATCTTATGTGCCATCCTTCAGGGCTGACCACAGGCGATCACAAAGACTTTGCCTGGCAGGCCTCATGAGGGGAAGCTGCCCTCCCCACACCAAACTCCATACCACACAGTCAGTGCATTGCAGCTTTCTGAAGGGAGTTTCTCAGGCCCCCAGGCCAGTTCTGCTGGTATAAATTGCTACATTTCTAAGCCAGGTGCCTTCATTTTGAGGTCTCCTCACTAGGGGTCTTGGCTATAGTGCTTCTAAGGCATCTCCACCAAGATCACCATATCAGGGGCCTTGACCTAGACATTTTTCTTCACTCTGACTCAGTCCTGCTCCTAGACCTTTATCCTGTCCTTCCCCGGGCCTCCTGAGTCTCTAGAAAAACAGAAGCCTTTTGTTTGGTGCCCTTGGCAGTGAGATGAGTCCCTTCCAGCCCCCCACACACTTCATGTCCTCTGACCATTACTCAGTTCCTTTTCATGGGGAAAAATTGAATGCTGAAGAGTCAGTAAGTTTTTCTTTGTCTTCTGCCTTTATTCACAGTAAGTAAATAAAGCTTAATTGTTACATTCTGTTGGATTCTTGTCCTAATTGACCACGTTTACACCGTGACAAATTAGCACAGTAAGCAAGATGGTAATTCACCGCCATGTCTTTGTTTCTTAAGAGACAGGATCTTCCTATGTCACCCAGGCTGGAGTGCAGTCGTTATTCACAGGTGTGATCATGGGTCACTGCAGCCTCAAACTCCTGGGCTCAAGCAATCCTCCTACCTCAGCCTCCTGAGTAGCTGGGACTACAGGAGTGTGCTACTATGCCCAGTTTCATGTCATTTTGAAAGAGAAAAATGCCACAGTATTCCACAAAACATTTCACCAAAGGGTCTTGGGAGTGCTAGTGGATTCCATGGCCACCATGCCAGCCATGCCAGTGGGTCTTGGGGAGTGCTAGCAAATTGTTTACAGACACTTTTCAGTTCAGAGGGAACCAGTGGTCCTTCAGCGAGTCAAATTAGAAATCCAGCAAAAGAGCTCTAAGAAAACTAGGAAAGCAGATCGATCATCACTGCTCATGGTTCTCAGACAGAGACCAGAAACTGTTACGCTAAGTTGTGTACAGTAACTATTGTTAACTCTAAGCCAGTGCCTGGTGCTGATAACAATGCCCTGCAGCTCAGAAGGTTGTCAAGACTCATGCCTTCAGTGAAAAATAGATAAATAAATAAAAGAGAGCTTTAGAATTGCTTTGCTTAGTGCCCCAGAGACCTTGGAAATGTGGTTAGTTCACCTACGGAGATATTTTATTAAATTTAGTGAAAGAAAGTGGCACCTTGTGTGTTATGTTTGTACATATCCCCTCCTCAGAATGCCTTGATAGCAGCCATTATCAAGACAGCAGAATTTGAGCAGCAGCAGCAGTGGCAGTGACCAGGGTAGCACAATCTCTGTGTTGTCCAGCAACTGGAAGGACCCTTGGTGTGCTCACTCAAGCTCCATGGTATGATGGAGAGGATGCTCCCCTTGAGGCTCCCAGTGCATTTCTCCTCAAAGATTGACCAGCAGAGAGAGGGGAGAGAGAGAGAGAGAGAGAAATGTAAGAGAGACAACTGGGCTCTCCCCACCCAAACTCCAGTTCCACCATAGTGCCAGCAGTGCTAGTTTTGGGCAGGAAATTTCCACTGTCCAGCCACGGGCTCCTGGGTGCCACCACCCCTTGTGGAAGCTGGGGCTGCACCCAAACCAGCCCACCCTGAAGTACCCTGGGAGTCTCATGTGACAAACAGCTCTCTGCCTCAAGCCTGCTGGTCCTCCTAGTTCTTCATTCCCCCATTCCAGAAAATTAATGTTCAGATACTGGGCCATAGGTGTGGGAGTTCCAATGGGCAGCCATGTCAGAGTCTGCATGGTGATGGCCTCTGTGATTGACACAAGTTCTAGTCCTTTTGTTCCACCAAATGAGCCTGGAGATAAGTCAGAGAGTCTGCCAACCTTGAAATGGACCTCTCAGCCTCCACAAATAAACAAGACTAGGGGTTAGGCTGAGGTCCCTCTTTCCCCAGATGGGAAACCACATGCCCTGTGCCAGGGTCAGAGTTCAATGGGGAGGTGGAGGAGAATGCACTTCTTTAGTTTTTGGGATGCTGGTGCTCAAGTTTACTGTAATTGCCACATCCCCTGGCACTAGGATGAGAAGAAAAGTGTTCTTGGGTGTTGGATCTGAGATCACCACCACCAGGACCCTTGCCCAGGCTCAGCTATTCATGAGTTTCTTTGGGCCCCTGTAAACCTCCATTGTGGTCCCCTTTGCTGAATGGTTTATTGGTTCAGATGTATTATCTATGTGCATTCTTGTTTACCTTCACCTCTAAGCCCTGATAGAAATAGCTGTCATTAGGGCCATTTTGCTGGGGCATGTGGAAAACCATGAACCTACCTGACTCATAGTCTGTGGCTAATGGATTGGAAAAAAAAATAATAAACCTCTCTGTGGGGATAAGACATTTGGATGAAAATGGGCTCTACTCCTAATAGGCTTATTGTTACATATGTGGATGCTCAATATGAAGGTTCCTATGCTAACGGGAATATAACCACTGAGGAGATTGTGTGTGTCAGTAAAGCTTAGAGACTGAATTGTTTTCCATGGTTGAGCAAGTAGATTTGAAAACAGTTGCCTCCTGGATACACAAGAGGATGGGACATGGAAATATAGACACTGTCCTAGACTGGACCTACATCCATAGACTGTCATTGTCATCAGAAAATGTCAAAACAGCATGGGAAAGCTATCCTATTTGCCAGACCCTGGCCGAGGTGAAAAATACTGCCCATGGATAGATCCCTTGAGCCAACGGGTCAATACCCTAATGTTCAGCTCATGTGAGTCTATAAAGGGGTAGCCCATGCATCTCACTTGGACCATCTCTAAAGTATCACAGTATAGAGATGAAGGTCCTTCAGTCCTCACCATAAACAATACAAAGCTTTGCCTTGGCAGGCCTCATGGGAGGAAGCTGCCTCCTCACCCTAGAGTTGGTACACAGCCAATGATTGCAGCTTTCTGGAGGAAGTTGTGGTTAAGGACTCATCTCTCCAAGCCAGCTGTGTTCATTTGCACATTCACACTCTAGCCTGGGCCCTTCCTTTTGCAGCGCTCCTCATCAGAGGCCCTTTCTGAGACACTTTTCTCACTCCGACTCAGTACTTTTTCACTCCTACCCCTTCCCCATCTTCCCTCTACCGCGATTCTAGGTTCGTGAAAAGACAAGAGCTTTTTTGGTGCTCCTCAACAGTGAGACCATCCGCGTCCCACACCAGTCTGTGCTCCATGTCATCTGACCCCCTCTCAGTGTTGTTCTGTAGGGAAAAAGTGTTTTGAGGAGCAAGTGTTCTTTTTCTTTTGCCTCTTGCCTATGCTGTAGATGTGAGTAAAGGCATGATTGTTACTCTCAGTTTGCCTTGTTCTAATTTACCACCACAATACACCTGATTGCACAACAATTTGTTCCTGGTTTACAGCCCCTACTAGTCAAGATGAGAAAGTATTTTATTTGAAGGGATAAATGTAAACAAATTTTTTTAAATAAACATAAATTTATCGAGTAACTATAATTGTCCAGACACTGAAAAATACTGTGAATTTATCAGTGACAAATTAGACATTACCAGAGTGATACAAGACGAGGAAAGAGTCAATTATAACCAAAGCAAATAAGCCATCTGGCAAGGAAAAATAGGGACTCTGCAGTGGGATACAAAATGGACTTGGGGGATAAAAATGCCTCCAGGATAAAGTAATATCTGCTTAAAGCTGAGAGAAGAGGGAGGTAGGGTGGCATAGTGAGAAGATGGTTAGTTTTCTGGGCAGGGAGAAAAGTGGGTGTGTAAAGTGCAACACGAAAACATGACATTTTATAGAACTAAAATATGTGTTTTGTACCTTTGTTGATTTTATTTATTATAAAATATCCTTTTATCTTGATGTGTATAGCTGGAACATAAAATACAAGAAAGAAATCAATGAAAGCTAAAAGAACTGAATATGAACAGATAGGGTCTATATGAGGAAACATTAAACGGAATTCAAGATTTTAGTGTGATATTTCAATCCATACTGTCACAAAGCCACAGAATCAAAGACACTAAATATTTTAGAATATGTTATCTTATTTGAGCCTCACAACTTCTTTTAAAGAATGATAATATAGGAAATTGTGTGACACATTCTTACAGAGACAAAAAATTAGGAATCCAACAAAATGCGTGACCCACATGCCCTACCCACAGTCACACAACTTGTAAATATTTGAGCTGGGAATCCAGCTCAAAACTCCATATTTCAAAGCTAGTTTTTATCAACTGATTTACATTAGGTTGAGTTCCCAAAGTCTGATACTAGCCTGGGGAGATCCTCTGATTTCTGAGAGAAAAGGACAATTTTGCCAGATTCATTTAATGTCACTAATTCCAAAGGAAACACATAACACTATTATGAAAACTGTGGATTATCTTCTGATGAGGGTAGATAAGACATACTCAAAGTCTCAATCATCCCATCTCATGTCCAGTGCCACAGTTGGTTACATTCTCTACATTTTTGCAAAATCTCAGGAGTTCCCATTGGACTATTAGGAATAGACTTGATTACCCGAGTACTGCTTACACCTCCTCTTCCCCAATAGCTGGGCTACTAGAGTGTGATTACTTAATCTCTCTGGGTCTACAAGAATAGAGTTAAAATTAATAATGTGTTATCAAAAAGTCATCAGCTATTTGCAAATTCAGTAAGACCTACTTAGAAGGCAGGCAGAACAGTCAAGGGCAGTGGCCTTCAAATTTTTGTCTATGACTTATAGTAAGAAAGTTATCTTAAATCCAATAGGCACACATAATTATAATGCTAGTAGTAGTAGTAGCAGAAAAAATGAAAAATAGCAATGATAACGGTAACTTATATGTAGAAAAACGTATGAGTATTTATGTGTCAGGCACCATACTAAGTGCTTTGTATACATTAACTCCTTAAATTTTCTCGATAACTTCATGTGGTTTGTCACTATTATTAACTCTAATTTACAGATAATGAACAGGTTTGAGCCACGGAGAAGTAAAGTAAGTTACAAAAGCACAAGCAGATGGCTAATGGCAGATGCAGCATTAGAAGCCATTTAATCTGGCTCCAAAGTTTGTGTTCTCAGCATTTATGTGATGTTGTTTCCAACCATACCCTCTCTACATACACCAAATTTTATAGAAAACAACTTATACTACTACGTGTAATGCATTTGATATTTGATATTTTCTACCTAGAATTTTTTAATGCAAGTTGAAATGCACTGAATTAATTTCATAACCAATCAGGTTCCCTGTACAATGCATGCAAATGAATAGTGCTCTCTGGAATTGTGCAGTGCACTGCAGTGACCCTGGCACAAATGAGTGGACACTTGAAGTTTATACAATTCTTGCTTTATATTTCAAAAGTTCAGCTTCAGAATAATACAGATCTCATGTACACTACCAATTTAACTATGTCATATTTCTATGACCTTAAGACATTCATTGTTAAGTCACATTTTTATGAGAATTTATCCCATAGGTTTAAGATAATTAAATAAAATAATGCAGTTTAAAAATCTAGTAGAAAACCTCAGCTATATTAATTCTTTAAAATGGGAGTGGATTTTATATTCTTTTTTACCTTTATGTGACATGATCTTGATTTAATTAATTCCAACAGGCAATTCTGAGATTAGAAAAGGCAAAAGATAGAAGGGGCTACCTTGGGATCTGCTCTAACATGTTTTGAAGCACAGATTGTACAGCTACACGATGAGCTATTTTTGGTGAATTCAAGCATTAGGTGAGGGTGGATTTGGACTAGAGACTCTGAAGGTATCAGTAAATTAGTGATTACTCTAACTGGCCCAACGTCCACCGGCATCCTCAGCCATTAGTGACATTTGATGCAAATTGTGCAGTATTCTGTGTCCTCTTGTCTTGCTGAATGTTGGACAGCTCCACTAGCACAAGAATGAACTGGATCCATCAGGCAATGTTAAGAGATGGGAGCTATTTTTAGACTTGATTATGTGATCCAAGTGCAAGTTCAGCCACTACAGTGTTTAGTGGGTGAGACTGAGAAGATCTTTAGCAAATATCAGATTCCGTTTTCTCATATGTAATGTAAGATATGTCAAAACTCCACAGGGCTTTTATAGGAATTTACAGGTAGTAATTATTAAACACAAGGAAACTGAGATAACAAGAGATTAATTAGTCTTCCAAGATTAGAGAGCTTGTAAAACAACAGTTCTTTAGAAAATATTTATTGAATACCTGGTAGGTATCAGCCACTGTGCCTGCCAAATAGTAGCTAGTTAATAAAGTTTCTTCTCCTCCCCTTCATTGGAACAATCCTCTAAATTGCAGCAGGGATGTGAGCTTTTTAAGTGTCTTATGCTTAAAAGACCTTATGCAGTGGAAAATCAGGTGGCAGACTTCCAAACTTCAGGCTCTGGACTGCATTTATATCAGAATGTTCCTGGAGTTCTAATTAGAAGGAAACTTTTTCATCGGTCATTATTCTGCTTAGTTAAAAAACATAGAGGATTGTGCTTCAATGTGGATTTTATATAAAATGACCCTATGGAATTTTTCTAAAATAATTGTCAGATTTTTTTTAGGTAGATGGCAAAATTTTGTAACTTAAGATTCCACTCAGGTTTATTTTTCCCTTTTCAAAAACCGTATGTATCTAAACAAAGAGTGATACAGTGTGTGAAAATTAAGCCTTTCATAACATTTTGTGCAAAGAAATGTTCATCACATCTGCATTGATAATGGCAAAGCACTGGAATAATTTATGTGTCCAACAATAAATGATTAATTAAATAATGGTATGTTTTATTATGCTCCTGGTACATTCAAGATAATCACTAAATATTAGTTGAATAAACATATAAATACTTAAAGACACATAAAAGTTGCTTTTCATGTCTGATTTTTTTTTTTTCTTTCTTTCAGGACGGAGCCTCGTTCTGTCTCCCAGGCTGGAGTGCAGTGGCCTGATCTGGGCTAACTGAAACCTCCGCCTTCCAGGTTCAATCGATTCTCCCGCCTCAGCCTCCCAAGTAGCTGGGATTACAGGCACCCACCACCATGCCCGGCTAATTTTTTGTATTTTTAGTGGAGATGAAGTTTCACCAAGTTGGCCAGGCTGGTTTCAAACTCCTGACCTCAAATGATGTTCCTGCTTTGGCCTCCCAAAATGCTGGAATTACAGGTGTAAGCCACTGTGCCCAGACTCATGTCTGAATTTTTAAAGGAAAACAGAACTATCTAAAACTGAAATTTGTTTTACATTATGTATTGTCGAATGTGTCTGTGTATGTATGTATATATATATATATATATATATATATACTATAATATGCAGGTGTATATAGGTCTAGGTGGTAAGTATTATGGGTGCTTTTATATCTTTATTTGGGCTTTGCAGATTTTTAATTTTCCTACCATGAATATTTATATTTGATATAAAGAAAAATTGCAGTATAAAAAAAGGGTACCTTCAAAAAAAAATCCACTGAAAGGTCTCACCAGCTTGTTTATTCTACACAGTATTTTATAAAGCATTAAAAAATGGCTTAACTTTACATTATAAAACATATTTATGGACTTTCCCCCCAGCTTTATTGAGATAAAGTTGACAGAAAAAATGTATGTATTTGTTGTGTACAACATGATATTTTGGTATATGTACACATTATGAAACTTTTCGTTTTAAGGCATAAGATGTGACAACATTAGACCTATTTTACCACCCTCTGTAACACTCTTCTGTGCCTTAAGCCAGCTCCTTTACCTTATTTGTCTGGCACCTATAGGTCATGACCCCCACTGACCTTCAATAACTATTCGGAGATCCAGAAATTATGCTATTTGAATCCCGCGGTTCAAATTTATCTACAGCAACAACAAAAAATAGTATTTCAGCTTACAAATATGCTACTTGGCTTAGGTTATTAAATACTTAATGAATGCCTACTATGAGCTAAGTAGTGAACTAGAGGGCATTGCTATGGTGAATAAATGAGGACTTCTACCTTTGAGAGAATTAAGGTCTAATCAAAGAGATAAAAAGACATATAGGCAATTTTAATTTAATGTGATAAGTGAATGTAATTAGGGTACACAGGATGCTACACGAACATAGCAGAAGTCCATGGTAGGGATTCAAAATAGTCTTACTAAAAGAGAAGATGCTGAAGTTAAATCTTGAATAATCATACACAACCAAGTGAAAATAAGTGGGAAAACATTTTGCAACCAAGAGGGCTTCAAAATGTATTATTCAACATAAACAACCATCCCATGGCAGGCATGCGGTTTAGAGGGAAAAACTAAACTTTGTGAGACTCCTGACCCATTAATGTTTTATTCCCATTTAATGTGAAATATCAGGATCAGCCACAGAATTCAGAAGGAAAAGAAGATACAGACAGCCACAAGGTGCCTAGACAGTCTACATGAGAAAGAAGATGGGGTGTTGTCATCTCAGAGCCCGACTTCCCCACATAGAAGTGAGATAAGAGCATTAGTTACTGATGCCACCCAGGTTATTTCTATCCACTATTTTCTGAGGTTTGCAGAATCATCAATGATGGGATATGTAATTAAACCCCAGTTTCACATGGCTGAGGGTGGCTCCACCAAGTCATGATCATACTGGACACTGCAGCCTTCAGAGAAAAAGTTCCAAAGTAGGAAGAGCTTTGACTCACCTTGCTTTATCTCTCATACATAGGAGGCTGTCTTGCACAGGGTAGGTTCTATGTAGAGTAGTAAACGTTTGTTAAATAAATGGGTGACTGAACAAATGAATTATAAGGCTGATACCAAACAATAATGATTGAGAAATTATCAGGCACTGTGTTTCTCAGTGAAATGGAATGGAATTCCCAATAGATGTTAATAAATGCTAACTAGGAGAGAAATGCCAGGTAGGGTGGAGAGGCGCTAAGAAAGAGAAACTCAACTTCATGGTCCTATGAATTAGCTGGTTTGGGGGAAAAAAAAAACTCTATTAAACAGATTTCAATACATTTTTATTGTAGGAAAATTTGAAAATCTAAATTATGCTTTACACAGTGTTTTGAAAAGTTATTAAACAAACAAACCCTATTTTAAAGAGCAGCTTGAGGGGATGCTGATCTTCAAAACACAAATGCTTACTGTCTATGGAATTTTGTCCTCTAGGTCAGTGCTTCCCATGCATAATTTTGTATATGAATCAACTAGGAATTTTGTTAAAATGCAAATTCTTGTTAAGTAGGTCTGGTGTGAGACCTAAAATTCTTCTTGTCTAACAACTTCTTCAGTTACGCACATGCTGTCATGCTCAAAGAGTCAATTAGCCCTCTGAATAGCCAAAGAAGACAGAAAGAGAATCAAAGATCTCTCCCAATTGGGCCAATGTTGGTGCTGTTTACTGAGATGGAAAGTTCTAATTGAGATATAGGCATGAGGGGAGAAACAGCTTTACTTTAAGCATATTGACTTTGAGCCTTAGATGCCCATAGGAGACTTTGTGGTAGTGGTTAGATATAGGACCTAGTCCAGTGAGACTAAGACTGGAGCTACGTATTCAAAAGTCAATGGCCTTACGATTATATTAAACCATAGTTCTGGATATAAACTATGAATAGAGGGTAGATTAAGAAGGGGTTTGCAAATTAACAGCTTAGGCACTCTGACTTTTATAGAGCGAGGAGAGCAGGAGGTGGCAGCAATGAAGAATAAGAACAGATCAATGAGAATGAAGGAAAACTAAGAGATTTGTTGTGGTGTCCTGAAATCTAAGACCATGGAAGCATTTCAAGTAAGGTATGATCTACTATCTCAAATACTGCTGAAGACAAATGATTGTTGCATTTGGCAAGATTGAAGATGTTGCTGATCACATTAGTTATTTATTGCTGCCTACAAAGTACCTTAAAATCGACTTGTCTAAAACAAGAAGCATTTATTATTTTGCATAGTTTCTGAGGGTCAGACACTTGGGAGCGGTTCAGTTGGGTGCTTCTGACTCAGGGTCTGTCATTACGTTGCAATTTAGTTATTGGCTGGAGCTGTAGCCTTGTGAAGTTTCTCCAAGGAGGGTCTCATATGATGCTCACTTGCATGGCTATTGGCAAGCCTTTGTTCCTTGCTGCCTGTGGACCTGAATCTTCAGTTCCTCACTATATGAGTAGCTTTCCATGGGCTGTCTGAATGTTCTCTCAGTGTGGTATCTCAGAATGAGAAAATCCAAGAGAGAAAGAGAGAACACAAGTGCCGAAAATGGAAACTGCAGTCTTTATAATCCAATCTCAGAAGCGGCATGCCATCACTTCCACCATGTGCTGTTAATCACACAGAACAAACTTAGTACAGTACAGAAGAGAACATGGGGATACACAATAGCAGGATGTAGGGATCATGAAGGACCATTGTGCAGGCTGCTGGCTACCACAGTGACTTTCCCAGACCTCTTTGGTGTGATATTGGATACTAAAACCTAACTAGGTTATGATGAATAGAGAATGAGAAGTGAGGCAGTAGAGATAAATAATATGAATCTTATGATAAATAAATCTTATGAAGTTCTACAGAACTGGGAAGTGGAATAAAGGAGGGTAGCTGGAAGAGGACATGGAATCAAGGGGGATATGTTTTCTCTTTCTTTAGTGTCCTTAGTGGTGTTTATCCTGTAGAGCAAATTTTGGAGGTTTGAAATTCGAAGAATGAATAGACGTTTCAGAGAGTGCTGGATTTGGACATAAAAGTGCTTTTCCAATGTGAAAGAAATCAGCAGCTTTTCATCCATTAGGTTTTACTACTATTCATTCCCAAAGAGAAAATTTAGTTTTGTCCATAGATGCTTCTTCTGTACAGAAGATCTACGTCTGTCTTGGCAGGCATAGCCTTGCCATGATCATCAGTTTTAGATGAGAACATTAATCGTACCCTCAGCAGTATTAGTTGCCATAGCACATGGCTTTTTATTTATCTTGCAATACAACCTCCCACTTATTTATCTTCCAATGTTTTTTCATAAGTGCATTTCAGACCTACTATGGCTCAGTTTCCAAAATGTGACAAAAAGCACAATTTATGATGTGTTGATAAAATGCTATGCAGTTCATCCATTCTCTTCAATCATTGACAGAAACACATTAAACTCATCTGAAAAGCTTTTAAAAACATCTTTTTTGTGTGGGATTCACCCATAGAGGTTATGATTTAACTTGTATGGGATCCTGTGTGCTCATCAGTATTTTTAAAAACACCTCAAATCTTTCTAATGTTCATTCAGAGCAATAACCACTGGTCTAAATCATGTATTATCTACCTCTGTTCTGAGATGAATCCTCACAGTCTTATTCTTTGGCTGCATCATGTCATTCAACCGCAATTTCTCTTGGATTAGAACTATGTGTTTTAATGTGTTTATAACTAGCATGATAGCTGATAGCCTATAGTGAGAAGCATTACGTGAAACAATCCTTTGAAACTTATCCTGTGATTAGAATAGACATTCCTTTTGTATTTGGAAAAGATAACTGTTGGGTACTGAGCTTAATACCTGGATGATGTAATAATACGTACAACAAACCCCCATGACAATGTTTATCTATGTAACAAACCTTCACATCTACCTCCAAACCTAAAAAAAATAATAAAAAAATAAAAACCTCATGGGAGAAATTATGTCCTCTTTGATATCAGGTAAAAGTTGCTTTACTGGCCTAACTGGTTCATATTCTATTTTGGCCACTGTGAGCCATGTGAATAATAATGTTTCTTTATGACCACTACTTGCTAGAAAGCTTGGAGCCAACTTTGCTATCCATCTAATGCAAGTGAAGAGTAAACTATTACTGTATTAAATTCATTTTTGATCCCACCATAATTTTTCATCTTCCATTTCCTTGTTTCATTTCATTTTTCTATTTGAAAGTTCCTGCATCCACTAAACTGCTTGCACTATTTTACCTATCTTAAGTCCTTTGAGAACAAGGTGGGCTATTGCTTGATTTTAATTCAAACAAATTGATAAATGAACTAAAGGCATATTAATCTAAATAGAAGGTTCTATTTTGGGCATTATGAGTTAAACTATCTGATTTGACATTCTTCTTTTCATATGAATAATAGCTATCCTTTGACCTCAGAAAGAAACTTGGATGACTTAGGTGTCTCTAAATTTTCAAGTCTCTAGTTGCTTTGAAAGCTCAACTACACCAGCATTGCAGAAAAAAGAGAAAACATGTGACCCAAGATAGTCTACTTCAAAATTTTTTTGACCCTTATCTTTCCTTTGTGCCGTTCCATGGATGTTTCTACATTAGAAAATCTATTTTCCATTTTTAATAGGATGGAATATTATAAGCAAGAAATAAGCCTAGTAGAGATATAAATCTTTTCTATTTTATGAATGCTTAACATATCTGCTGTTTCCTTTTGCTCAGGGGAGTTTTCTCTCAGAAGCTAATTTTTTAATCTGATCCTAATCCAATTTAATCAGACTATCTGGAATGAAGACTTTGGTTTAAATCTGTTTCATATTAATGTGATGAAATAACTGGCTTATCATCAGGTTTCCAAGCAAAGTAGCCAATATGGATGGAGAGCACTGAGTTGCTTTAGATAATTTAATTATAAAGCATAGCAAGTGTGTATGTACATGGTAGTGGGGAGTGGCTGGTGGAGCACTTAGGCCAGCATTTTCTGTGTTCTGACAGTATGTTAACACGGATCACTGAAAAAGTCTACACTCTCAAGGTAAACAAAATAACATCGTATTCCAGGAAGTTTTAACATCTGTGTTTATATAACATGTCTCTGAGATATGCCTAGTTGAATATAAGGAGTCATGGGAAAAGCAAGCCACAGTCTTATGTCCTAAAAATCTTCCAGAATTGAGGAACAAATTTCTCACCCTGAATTCCATTCTGGCTTTTTGGCAGAATCAAAGGTTGCCTGGCTGGGCAGTTGAGTTTAGCGAATGAGGAGGGAATCTCTTACCGTGTATCATCTGACTAGTACCTGCCAAGAAAGCTGTGTTTTCCTTTTCTAATTGCCAACCTTTCCTCGTTTCTCCCTGCTTTTGTTGCTCCCAGCTTTCCCCAGCTGTGCCTATTGCAAGATTCCAAGTGCTCTCAACCATTGTGATATTTGGTGTGTGATGAACATTTATAAAGGCTGCCAAGTACTTCTGGAGAATGCTGAGAGCTTCCAGAGGGTGTCAGAAGCTTCCAGAACTATGAAGCAAGGAGACACTCTAACTTAAAATTTCATCCTCTATCTTATCCAGGAGTGGGCAAATTTCTTCTATTAATATTAAAATGACATCCGCAAGCTTATCTATGTTTTCATATTTGTCCTGTAACAAAGAGGAGTAGTTAGTTCCCTGTGTTTTCTGTTAACGATTTACCATTTTAATGCCCATTTCAACTTTGCCTGTCCAAATGTCTCATTTTCCATACATTTTATGTGTTTATTAATTATGTATACTTTTTCAATTCACTTTTGAAATTGTACAATTCTTTTATAGTTATAACCTATGCTACTTTTACACATTTTTATATGCAATTAACATCCCCAATGAGCGCAATTCCATTTTGGAAAAATGGCCAGGGCAAAAATCAGTAGATATATGTTAAGTTGGTAATGATCTTATAATCATGGCTCATCTTATAATAACTATCTATTAATTTCCTTTCCCCCTTAAGAAGTATTTTCTATTTGCAAAAAATAAAGTTAAAGGACACATGTGGAACTAAGTAGTAGAGTTTTGATTACTTAAACAATGATATACAACTGTATCCTCCCTTGAATATAACTCACTGGAAATACAATTAACGTTATTCTATTTATTTTCTTAGTTAATATGAGTGATATTCAAGTGTCAAGGTAATGACCAACTTTCCCAGATAGACGTGGTAATTTTTTGGTCAGGGAATGACTTTTTGCTAAGGCAGCATTTGACCTACATCCTGAATAATGGACAGAAGCCAGCCGTACAAAATCTGGGTAAAGAGCATTCCAACTGGATGGAACCATTACGTCAAAGGCCATTAGATGGGTCAGAGTTTTCTTCCAGGTGGTCTGGGAGGAAGATTGGAGGTTTGCAAACAAGGACAGATGGGTAGATGACATTGGAAGGGGACCAGATGTTATAGAGAAGTAAAAGCCATGGGAATAAGTTTTTATTTTATCCTACTAGCCAAGGAAAGCCACAGGCAGTTACGGTTTTCTCTCCAAGAGACTCAAAATATGAACCCATTATTTAGAGTCCCATCAGAAGACAGAAATATTAAGTAAGTATATCATCACCATTTAGCTCAGGTGACAGTTTTGTTAATTGTGATGCCACTGCATGCCATGCATTACTGGCACCCATTTTCCATTGGCAAAGGCTCAGCTCTACATTCAAATTCAAAGATATTCCCAAACAAATCTGCAAGTCTGGTCTTGCATTATCTGTTTTTTGGTACCAATTTCTATAGCTGTGAGGGGAGATAGAAATCACACCAGCAATTTTAATGAAAATGATTTACTACAAAGAATTGTTAACTAGTTATAACGTTAACCAGATGACTAACGTTAAAAGTTAATTTTAAGGCAACAATTACCAGAAGAAGCTATCCTGATTGGACTGGGCAACAAAGGCCAAAGGTTGCACTTTGTAAAGCCTGGAAGAGGGACCACTTGGAGCTGAAACTCAGAACTCTGAGGAGGCTCTATTGCATGACTGGTGCTTGGAGAAGAGTGATTTCAAGAGGGGCTCTGTGGGCCTGAAACCGTGACCTCTGAGGATGGAAGTCCAGATATCTGGTATGGACATTTTTGAAAAGGATCACTAAGGTGATTTCTGTGAGTGTTGGAAATACCACAAACTGGTCTCAGTGGCTCCTATGAGAAACAACTGCTGCTGCGCAGGTGAAGAAGCATTGATGGGGTGATGACCACAAGAACAGAAAGCAGAAAGAAACCCTGTAGGAAATAAAACAGACAGGAGCAAATCTATTCTTCCTTCAGCTTTGCAGTATCTCTCCTGCAGAAATGTGGTTTTCAGAGTCTAAGTTCCACAATCACAAAGCAGAGTACAGAAGGTGCTGAATGACAGAAATGTATTAACTGCCCCAGGAGTGCAGTGCAGGACAAATCAGTGCAGCAGATGAGAGATGTCCACTGTGGTCCTTCACTGCCGAAGCTAAGAGTCTAGATATCTCACCCCACATTACTTGACTACTGTCCTTTTAAGCCTCCCAAGCCCCAGAGACTTCAGAGTTATGGATTGACCCACCCCAACAATTCATATCTTTTTCAAAGGCATTTCTACTTATGCTGAGCTTTCTCCCAGCACTATGGAAACCAGGTCATCCAGACAAAGAAAGCCTGAGCAATGACTGGTCACAGAGTGGCCCTAACACCAAAGAAGGGTCTTCCCTCCTGTCTAGCAGCTCCCATTACCGCTGATTGTCAGTTTATTAGATTAGAGCTGTTGTACTGACTGCTAATCAGAAAATATTTGATTAAGCCTCAGGTGGTATTTTTATGTAATTAACTCAGGCACCTAACAACTGACTCTTCTTTACCTTTGAAGAAAATCTGATAATACATGTTTCCTTACAGGAGGCCTGGGGGCTGCTGGGAATTTCAGTTCTGACCAAAGCCAATTTGCATGCTTATAGGTGCATGTATTACAATTAGCACAACGTGCTCTGTCTTTGGTCGACATTTAATATCGGCACACATGGATACAGCTATAAGAGCTCTAACTGTTCTAAACCTAGATTGACTTTGTCTTGAGGGGCCAGAGGATCAGATGCAACAGTGTCCGTAAGAAATTTCTCAGAGGTCCCTGTGGCATTATAAAGTACAAGCCAATTACTGATTTACAAAATTGGTATCTCTATATACAGCTTCCTAAGTGGAAATAAAAGAGAGGAGGCAAACATATACAGGGCCCTTACTCTTTATCAGAATATAAGCCTGTTATTTTACATATGTTTTTTATCTTTAAAGAAACTCAAAAATAGGCAATGTTTTCCAAAAGAAAAGCCTAAGTTAGTTTACCCTTAGGTTTACCCAGAAAAGACGTGTGGAGCCAGGAATTCAAGTTCGACTGACCAAAGAATCTCACAGTTTTGTTTTGTTTACAACATCATGCTACCTACCCTGAATGGTGAGGTGAGCATGGGCATACAAATTGTTAAGAGATATCACACACAGTGTGGATACTTGTCTTGGGTATTATTTTTCTTCAGACCTCAACAACTTTTTAAGGAAAAAACCCCAGCAGACCAGATAAAAGTCCTTGGCTACGTGTGAGATGACTCAGTAGTTTACCTATTTTCTTTGTTATTTTTTTTGAACCACAACAGAACTTTCACTATAAGTGATTTTCCTCTATTAGTTATTTCAACCTGATATGTTGCTAAATTCTTAATTTAGAGGAGGCACAATTGCATTCTGAATGCAGGTGTGAGCTGTGGTTGGAGAAACACCTGGACCAACAATGCCTGTTACTTGCAATGATGCACTAGTTTCAGCTGATTTTCCATGCTGCTCACAGGTAAAGTCTATATTCAATTTGCAAGGCTTCTCTCCACTCTGCACTGATAAGGAGGCCTGTGATTTAATCTAACGGGATAAGCAAAAGGTCTTCATGCCACAGATTAGAAATACAGCTTCTTTAAAGGATTGGGGAACTCAAAAGATAACCACCCTGAAATCTCCCTCTGCACAAGGTGCCAAGACAGCAGCAAGCTTTCCGAGGATTTGCAAAGGTAAGCCCAGCCCAAAGCTTTCATCAGGATAGGGGTGGACATAGACAGAGTGGGGGTAGGTGGACGTAACAAGCTTACTTTTTCAATGTTTTCAAAAGGAAACCACTAAACATGAAGTGATACAATAACAAAGCTTCATTTCTGTTTGTAGATTATGTTTTGCACACATTTTTCTTGTGTCTCCTTCAAAATCTCCCTGTATTTTGGAGATTTTACAGTTAGAGACTTAACTGTGGAAAACAGGAAACCAAACTGCTCTCAAAAGCAGTGTGCGATAACCGACAGAGCTCAAACCCACGGACCAGGAGACACAGCTTCTTGTGTTTTCTAAATATCTTAACTATTAAAAAAAAAAAAACCTTCAGATATATGATTTTATTTGATCTTCACAGAAATCCTGAGACGTAGTCAGAGAATAGATGATTATCATCATCTATAGATTAAAAAAAACCATGAAATTCACAGATTATGACTAGAGCAGATCTATTCAATGGCAAAACTAAATTGAATCCAGAACCCCTGACCCATGCCTTTTCCCTTTTGCTAAGCTTCCTGAAGGTGAAAAATATTGTCATCAAAAACATCATTACATCGATAGCTACAAGGTGTTCAGAGCTCACAAGCAAAGGATTATTCAAAGCACTTTCTATAGGGCCTCATTTAAGCTTTACAACAGTATATACATATAGGGTTGCTTAATTACAAAAACATACAAAAGAAAACTGGTTAAAATATGGCAATGCAGAGCTGGAACCAGAAAGCTCTTGAAGCAGAGAGGCTTATTCTTATAGAACAGTGGTAAAAGAAATAGAGTTTGGGCCGGGTGTGGTGGCTCACGTCTGCAACCCCAGCACTTTGTGGGGCCAAGGTAGGCAGATCACAAGGTCAGGAGTTCAAGACCAGCCTGGCCAACTTAGTGAAACCCCGTCTCTACTAAAAATACAAAAATTAGCCGGACATGGTGGTGTGTGCCTGTAATCCCAACTACTCGGGAGGCTGACGCAGGAGAATTGGTTGAACCTGGGAGGCGGAGATTGCAGTGAGCTGAGATAGCGCCATTGCACTCCAGCCTGAGCGACAGTGCGAGACTCTGGCTCGGAAAAAAAAAAAAAAGAAATAGAGTTTGGCATCAGACAGTAAGGGTAGTGACCATAAGTATCTCTGTTTGAATATGCTTCATATGTTGCCTATGTACTGTTAATACACACAATCCAAAAGATACCAACAAGAAATGTAAATATGTATGTGACTATTGGGCAGTGGTGTACCAAAGGTAGGAATGGGAGATTTGGTGGAAACAGTTTTCTCTGGAGGAAAGGAATATTTTATCACTGACTTTGAATTTGTTTAGGATGTCTGGTATATTGTGATAATGAAAAGTACTTTTAGTCAATTTTATTGTCATTTGTAAATGATCTATAAACAAAGCATCCTCTTATTGCGCTGGGGTGCAACACTTTCCCACCTCCCTTTGGTGTAACACTGTGGTCAGGTGTCCCTCAGCTCCTTCTTCAGACATCCATTTTTGGAATTGCTTGTCATCCAGTTATCTCAGCTGTGGTCATGATCACATAATATCAACACATATATTTAAGAGAGAGGGACTGTATCTGAGTCTTTAGAAAAAAGTGTAGCTAGACTAAAAATAATCAGCATCTCTACAAAGCTTTCTGGTGAGGAAAAGACAATTGGCTCAGGTAAGTTCACAACTGCGCATCATCAAGCAAAGTACTTAAAACAGAATTCAGGTTCTAAGTCTGTATTCCTAAGGCCTAGGCTGCATGGTATTCATTAAGTACCAGTTGCTTGTGAGATTCCTCAATTTCCTTAATTTTTCAGGGTCTTAGTTTTCACCCATATAAGGCAATATTATTATTAATACCAAGTGTCTTACATGTCTCACAAAAATTAGGTAAAATAAAGGAAAAATTCCAACATGAGGAATGAAATTTTTAATGGTTCTTGACCAAGAGACTTTTTTTCTTTAGTTTGTGCATTCTTAGGTCAATGGCTGGATCAAGAGACCAAGAGACTTTTTTCCTTTAGTTTGTGCATTCTTAGGTCAATGGCTGGATTGATGGAACTGATGGGACAAGGCTGATGTCTCACCACTGCCGAGGTCATTTGCTACTTCTATACACATTTGCAAATTAATACTTCAACGTTTCTCTATTTTCTGAGCAGGTATATAACACAAAGAAATATTGGGTCTCTTTAATTAAAATAACTTTCCAGAAATACATTCATAAAGCATTAGAAATCTAGATAAGTATTTTTAAGCCAATACATATATACCCTTTTATTCCCCATACTAGGGTAGAGAGATAGGAAATTCGCTAATGCTAAGGAGAAGAAACGTATTCACATTCAACTCATTTATAAATGATTTTTAGAAATTTTTAGAACTCATTGAATTTGAAAAGACAGGACACATTTATACGTCATTTTTTTCACTTACTCCACAGAGCCTGCCCGAATAGTAACTAAAAACTACCTTTAGAGAAAGAGAGAGCATCACTCCAAAAAAACAAAGAAACAAAATAATACACATTGCCCTGTGCACTCCAGTACATTGGAAATGATTAAGTTACAAAAATGGACACCACTGACTTATTCCCAAATTCAAGAGGAAAGTGTATACTATTTCTCCGTTAAGTGTGATATTAACTGCAGTTTTTTTAGAGACAGAGTCTCACTCCTCACTCTGTTGCCCAGGCTGGAGTGAAGTGGCACTATCTCAGCTCACTGCAACCTCGGCATCCCGGGTTCTAGCAATTCTCCTGCCTCAGCCTCCTGAGTAGCTGGGACTACAAGCGCTTGCTGCCATGCCTGGCTAATTTTTTGTGTTGTCTATTTTAGCAGAGATGGGGTTTCACTGTGTTGCCCAGGCTGGTCCCGAATTCCTGAGCTCTGGCAATCCGCCTGCCTCGGCCTTCCAAAGTGCTAGGATTACAGGCGTGAGCCACCGCACCCGGCCCTGCTGTAGGTTTTTAAAATACGTATTTTTAATCAGATTAAAGAACTTCCCATTTAGTTCAAGCTTCCTGAGAGTTGGTTTTTTTCGTTTGTTGGTTTGTTTGTCTGTTTTTAGTTATGAAAGTGTATTGAATTTTATGTTCAAAGTTTCTTCTGAGTAGACTGAGATGACAATATACTTTTTCCCATTTCTTTTGCTATTAATATAGTAAATTGTGCTATTTTAAAATGTTACACTAATCTTACATTCTGGGAATAAACGAGTCTTAGTCATTATGTATAAGTCCTTTTACATATTCCAGAATTTCATATGTAACATTTTAAGACTTTTGTCTAAGTTTTAACTTAGATAAATAATTTTTTTATTTTTATGTTTTAGTATACTTTAAGTTCTAGTGTACAGGTGCACAACGTGCAGGTTTGTTACATATGTATAAATGTGCCATGTTGGTGTGCTGCACCCATTAACTCGTCATTTACATTGGGTATATCTCCTAATGCTATCCCTCCCCACTCCCCCCACCCCAAGACAGGCCCCAGTGTGTGATGTTCCCCACCCCGTGTCCAGTATTCTCACTGTTCAATTCCCACCTATGAGTGAGAACATGTGGTGGTTGGTTTTCTGTCCTTGAGATTGTTTGCTGAGAATGATGGTTTCCAGCTTCATCCATGTCCCTACAAAGGACACGAACTCATCCTTTTTTATGGCTGCATAGTATTCCATGGTGTATATGTGCCACATTTTCTTAATCCAGTCTATCATTGATGGACATTTGGGTTGCTTCCAAGTCTTTGCCATTGTGAGTAGTGCTGCAATAGACATACATGCGTGTGTCTTTATAGCAGCATGATCTATAATCCTTTGGGTATATACCCAGTAATGGGATGGCTGGGTCAAATGGTATTTCTAGTTCTAGATCCTTGAGGAATCACCACACTGACTTCCACAATGGTTGAACTAGTTTACAGTCCCACAACAGTGTAAGTGTTCCTATTTCTCCACATCCTCTGTAGCACCTGTTGTTTCCTGACTTTTTAATGATCACCGTTCTAACTGGTGTGAGATGGTATCTCATTGTGGTTTTGATTTGCATTTCTCTGATGGCCAGTGATGGTGAGCATTTTTTCATGTGTCTGTTGGCTGCATAAATGTCTTCTTTTGAGAAGTGTCTGTTCATATCCTTTGCCCACTTTTTGATGGGGTGGTTTGATTTTTTTCTTGTAAATTTGTTTAAGTTCTTTGTAAATTCTCGATACTAGCCCTTTGTCAGATGAGTAGATTGCAAAAATTTTCTCCCATTCTGTAGGTTACCTGTTCACTCTGACGGTAGTTTCCTTTGCTGTGCAGAAGCTCTTTTAGTTTAATTAGATCCAATTTCTCAATTTTGACTTTTGTTGCCATTGCTTTGGTGTTTTAGGCATAAATGAAGTCCTTGCCCATGCCTATGTCCTGAATGGTATGCCTAGGTTTTCTTCTAGGGTTTTTATGGTTTTAGGTCTAACATTTAAGTCTTTAATCCATCTTGAATTAATTTTTGTGTAAGGTATAAGGAAGGGATCCAGTTTCAGCTTTCTACCTATGGCTAGCCAGTTTTCCCAGCACCATTGATTAAATAGGGAATCCTTTCCCCATTTCTTGTTTTTGTCAGGTTTGTCAAAGATCAGATGGTTATAGATGTGTGGTATTATTTCTGAGGGCTCTGTTGTGTTCCATTGGTCTATATCTCTGTTTTGGGACCGGTACTGTGCTGTTTTGGTTACTGTAGTCTTGTAGTATAGTTTGAAGTCAGGTAGCATGATGCCTCCAGCTTTGTTCTTTTGGCTTAGGATTGTCTTGGCAATGTGGGCTCTTTTTTGGTTCCATATGAACTTTAAAGTAGTTTTTTCCAATTCTGTGAAGAAAGTCATTGGTAGCTTGATGGGGATGGCATTGAATCTATAAATTACCTTGGGCAGTATGGCCATTTTCATGATATTGATTCTTCCTACCCATGAGCATGGAATGTTCTTCCATTTGTTCGTGTCCTCTTTTATTTCATTGAGCAGTGGTTTGTAATTCTCCTTGAAGAGGTCCTTCACATCCCTTGTAAGTTGGATTCCCAGGTATTTTATTTTCTTTGAAGCAATTGTGAATGGGAGTTCACTCATGATTTGGCTCTCTGTCTGTTACTGGTGTATAAGAATGCTTGTGATTTTTGCACATTGATTTTGTATCCTGAGACTTTGCTGAAGTTGCTTATCAACTTAAGGAGATTTTGGGCTGAGATGATGGGGTTTTCTAAATATACAATCATGTCATCTGCAAACAGGGACAATTTGACTTCCTCTTTTCCTAATTGAATATCCTTTATTTCTTTCTCCTGCCTGATTGCCCTGGCCAGAACTTCCAATACTATGTTGAATAGGAGTGGTAAGAGAGGGCATCCCTGTCTTGTCCCAGTTTTCAAAGGGAATGCTTCCACTTTTTGCCCAATCAGTATGATATTGGCTGTGGGTTTGTCATAAATAGCTCTTATTATTTTGAGATATGTCCCATTAATACCTAATTTATTGAGAGTTTTTAGCATGAAGTGCTGTTGAATTTTGTCCAAGGCCTGCATTTATTGAGATAATCATGTAGTTTTTGTCTTTGGTTCTGTTTATATGATGGATTACATTTTTTGATTTGCATATGTTGAACCGGCCTTGCTTCTCAGGGATGAAGCCCACTTGATCATGGTGGATAAGCTTTTTGATATGCTGCTGGATTCGTTTTGCCAGTATTTTACTGAGGATTTTTGCGTCGATGTTCATCAGGGATATCCTGGCAATATAGGTTCATGATGATATGTCATATTTTGATCGTTTCTTTAAAAATATTTTACAATTCTTTATTATTTTCTTCCATTTTGTTATTTCTTGGGCAATTTAAAAGTATTTTTGCTTTAATTTTAAAGTTTTGAAACTTTTTTCTTTCTCATTAATTTCTAGTTTCATTTCACTGTGATCAGAAAACATATTCTATTATTTCATCCTGAAAATCTCTTAAGGGTTTATTTGTCACATTTTAGTCTATTTTAATAAATATTCGCTATAATGATTATTGAACACCTAAATTTATAATGATAAATTTCATAAGTGATATATGGCTGTTTCAGACTCTTGTGCTCCTCAATTAGGTTATTAAGCAGAAAATCAGTCAAAATGTGTAGCACTATAACTTACAAGATGAGTCTTTATACCAAGAGTTACAGCAGTTCTCTCAATCTTGAATAATTCTTTGTTGTCAGTGTTGTCCTGTGTTTTTAGAGGCCGTTCTTGTCCTCTGCCCATTAAGGGGCAGTGGCAGTCCCCCAGGTGCTAGTGTATAAACTAAAAATGTCTTCAGATATTGGCAAATATTCCCTAAGGAATGAAATCACCTCCAACTGAGACCACTGAGCTATAAAAAGAAACATATTCATTTATAAAACCAGTGTACCTATTCAGATATGTATTTATTATGAAATAGTTTTGGTTTCATTGTACAAGTATGGCTGAATACTGTTTCTGGCTGAAGACATTTACAATAATATTTGCATGATGGGGCAAAGTAATAAAATAAACATTAATTAAAAGCATTTTTCATCATAAACAAGCTTTATTTAGAATTCAAAATAAAGTAAAAAGTTTCATAGGAATAGCTCTTGATCTCCAAATAAAAATGAATGCTATAAAATAAGACTCCCGAGAGAGAGAAAGAGGACTTTGTTGAAACTAAACATTAGAATAAACCTGAATGTGCAGTGCATTTCTCTATTTCAAGTTTTCCTGAAGGATTTGGCCCTCTGTAAGCAAAACATTCATAGTAAGTTTATGAACAAATTAAAAGCCTGATTGTACTAGCATATATTGAATTGCAAGGAATATAAGCAATCTCTAAACTACTAAGCAATGTCTGTATCACTTTGGTAATATGTCTTAAGCCTCCTTCTTGTGGTCCAGTGTTTAAAAAAAAAAAAAGAAAGCATCTGATTTATATTCAAATGCTGATTAGATGATATACAACATTTGAAAATGCTCCAATAGCTATGACACTTCAAACAAATGCAAGAAATTCATGTGTCATGAGTGGGAACCATGTGATACGTACTATTCCATATTCCATGCCAATGCAGATATCAGTGTTCAACATGGCACTGCTTTCCCACTGAACCTAGATGTATCTTCAGAATATTTTCCATGGAAGAATTCAGGAAGCTACCGCCAGTAAATCAGAGCAAGAAAATTTGTCCTTCATAAATCCCTGCATAAAGCCCTTGGATTCTTCTCTTCATATTTTACCTTTAATCATTTATCCAGTGGTATTCAAGAGGAATCAAGGAGAAAGGAAGGGCATCTCTTTACTGTTTTCAACGACATGGATTATCTACATGAAGACACAAAGTGGACCTCCAGGTTGGTATGACTGTGTTTAGGAACTCTGTTCTGAACATACAGCTACCACAACTGGGGAGTAAACTATCCACTCTCCTGGTGAGAGGCTAAAATATTTCCAAAATCCAAAATAACCTTCCTAGCTGTTTCAGTTGTGGATGCCCAGCCATGGAGACACCTGTTTATCTTGGCACAAGTGGATTGTATAGTCCAGATCACACAAAATAATCCATTTTATAAATAGAATCAACGGCAAAATGTATGCAGACTCAGAGCACCTCCCGAAGGAAGAAAGAAAAATGCTGTTGGAGGAGTGACTCAGACATGAGTACATCTAGGTAGCTTCTCCTGACAGAATGTCAACTCTATGAAAGGAAGGAGTGGGAGGAAAATCATAATTAAAGAAGAGAGACAAAGCGAAAATTGAAGTTTTGCTCCAAAATCAGCACTGTCTTTATTCAAGAACCATTTTAAAGTAACATTCTTGTATCTTGATATTTCCTTCTATTATTTTTCTATGGATAATTTTCCTTTTTCAAGAAATACAAGCCCAGAAAATAGCTTATATTTTTTCACTGAAATGACAAATTGATAAGAACCCCAGAGTGTTCTTCAATGTTGTGAGGTAAAAAACAATTATGCATTATTCCAAAATAACTGCAGCAGCTAAAAATTGGGGACGCAATACCCAAATGACTGTGGAAAATAAACGGAGAGAATTGAGAACTTTTTAATGTGGAGTTTGTAGCCTGAGCTCAAGTTGTAAATATCAGCAAATGTTCTACCATGCTTCACAGCGTTCCTCTAGTGCAATTTGTTTAGTGCTTCGAGATATGAGACAGCCATATATTTTACTCTCACTGCTAGTAGCCAATTTGCAAGAAAGCAAGTAATATAAAAATGGCTATTTACTCTGTTCAAAGTGGTACAGTCCATTATCACTCTCCACTGATGTCGTTACAAGGATAGCAAATCAATAATCAGTTCTCATTCCCTAACTCAGTAAACCAGCTGCTTCCATTATTGTAAACCATGCTCAGTTTGGATACAACCTTTACTGCCATGCTAGCAGCTGATTCATTTGACAAGACCACAGGCATCACCACAGGAAAATTATTCCTTAATTACCTTTCTCTAACATTTAAATGGTTAAGTGCTAGGGAATTTCTTTGCAATGGGAGAAACCAAAATAGCAAGATGTTGTAAATATATCAACCAAGTGAAAGACTTTGTCTAAATTGTTAAATTACAGAGTCCATCTTGCACAGCTTTTCTTGAATTAAGATTGCTCAAGTAAACATTGGCTCTATCTGGGAAACCTGAGTTAGATATTTCATCACAGCCTTTAAAAAACATTGCTTTCAGAGCAAACATTGAGATCCACTGCAAAATCCTGAAAAGTGAGATGGAAATTGTGGACATGTTGCAGGTTAAAAATTCAATGGCCCCAAGCTCAAGTGTATGCAGTATAACTCTTTGTTTTAAATGTCAGTTTAATTGTTAATTCCAAGCCTCCATTGCACCTGATATAGAAAATGTCATATATTAACTTCCAAGTAGATTCACTAAAATTCTATTTTCTTAATTTACATTTTAAATTTTGTCACTCTCTCTCCCCAAGCCCGATCTTCCCCCTTTTCTCCCAGCATTGTATAGTAAGTTCTGGAGAGGCGAACACAAATGTTGAAGGATGATGTCTATTCCAATCTTATCTATTTCTGTTTTATGCTAGGATCTTTTGAGATTTTTATTTGCCCTTATTTTGTTTCAAGTGTGTTCCCTTTAAGCAGGCAATGCACAAAGATAAAGATACAGAGGCACAGAATGGGCCAACCTTTGTTATTTCTTTTAAAGTTCCATATTTTATTTCAGGTTCTCTTTCTGGCCTGCGGGTTTCCTCTTTCTGCTAACTTCTGTGCTCCCTTCCATAGGCACGGGAAGAATTGGCTGCTATTTTGTGTTGCTTTGGGACTGCAGGTGGTTCCAGAACAGAGCAAACCTTCACCCTGTCTTTATCAGCCCTTGCAGCCATCTCTGCTCTATTGCTTTCACATTAGTGTGACACAAGAGACATTGGAAAAGCTTCTGACTGCCAGAGTTCCAGACATGACCAGGGAGGCACAAGTACTCTTTTTACTAAGATTCGCAGGCTATCTTTGGAATACAGACAGACCAACTAGCACTTGCCTCTTATCCAGTTGCTTTTCTATTTCCAGCTCATGGAATCTATTCCTGGTTAGGTATGGAGCAGGAAAAAAAAGGACAAAACCTAAGTTTGTATGACCATGTGTCCATCTTAATATTTCCTGATTTATAACTGGCCCAAGGCTTTTGTCTTGGAAATCAAGAAGTTGCAATATTTATTCTAAAACTAATAATATTTAGATACTAGGTGCTCTTCTACCTTGTTACATTAAAGGGTCAGAGAAGCACTCGGTATATAGGGAATGTGAGAAAGAGAAAGCTATTTGATACTTAGATTCCTGCCTCAGGGAGAGTAAGATATAGTTGGTCACTTCTGTGTGACTTTGCAGAACAATGAATAGACCTATCTTACAGTATTTATTATACTCAATCAGAACCAAATATTTTTTCTTTCAATTTTGTCCCTGATGAGATTTTAACTACTTTTTTACTACAGTAATGCATACATTTAATTTACATATAAATTACTCCAAAGCTGTCATTTATTTTGGGGGAGGATAAAACATAATCTTTATTTACAATAAAAATATACGCTGAGATCATAGCATAAAAATGTATAGTTGAATGATTATAGAATGAATCTTTAATAACCACTACCAAATCAAGATTAGAATGACACAATTATCCTAGAGACCCTAATGTCCCCCTGAGTACCCTTCCTGAACACAATCACCTCCCTCAATTTATAAGCATATTAGGGTCAGGCATGGTGGCTAATTCCTGTAATCTCAGCACTTTGGGAGACTGAGGCAGATGGATCACTTGAGCCCAGGAGTTTGAGACCAGCCTGGGCAACATAGGGAGACCTCGTCTCTACAAAAAATACAAAAATTAGCCAGGCATAGTGGTGTGTGCCCATAGTCCCAGCTACTTGGGAGGCTAATGTAGGAGAATCACCTTAGCCCAGGAAGGTCAAGGCTGCAGTGAGCCGTTAAAGCAGGCACTGCACTTCAGCCTGTGCAACAGAGTGAGACCCTGTTTTTTAATATACCTATATATATATTAAATTTATATATCCATATTGATTTTATATATGTATATATGCATTCATATATGCATATTGATTTTAAAGATAATTTTATCTCAGTACACACACAGTAATTTCAGTTTTGCGTATTTTGAACTTTATGTAGATAGAATAATTCTGTATGTTTCATTTTAAGTCTTTTGTTCAAATTTATGTTCTTAAGCATAACTATGTTGTGTGCAGCTGCATTCATTCATTTTTGTTGATGTGTAGAATTTCACTTTATAAAACCATATTACATTGATTTTTATCCACTCTAGTCTTGATGGACCGTCATTGCATTTCCAGCAATGCTGCTATTAATATTCCTGTACAGGTACTTTGGTCTACATAAGCACACATTTCTCTAGCATAAATATCTAATACTAAAATGTCTTGATCATTGAGTATATAGATTGTGAATACCACAAGATAATGCCAAATGAATTTTTATGAAGTTGTAAAAATTTAGACTCCCAGCTGGAGTGTATGATTGTTTCTATAACCTCAAACATCTCTTGGTATTTGTCAGGTCGTAAAGTTTTGCCAATCTGGTGGGGCAAAGTTATCACTTTATGTGGCTTTAATCTGAAATTTTCTGATTACTAATCATGTTGAGTCCCCTTTTATATGTGTAAAGGTCATTGACTTTCATCATAAGTAAAATCCCTGTTCAACGTTCTTACTTTTTCTTTTGGGTTTCCTTTTCTTAATGGATTATAAAATGTCTATGAATTTTGAGTACAGGCCCTTTTGCTGATTATAAGTATTGCTACCTGTCTTTTCACATTGTTATCATGTCTTACAATGAGGAAAATTTTATTTGTAATATGGCCATGTGTATTCATTTCTTTTTCTATGGGTGGTGTTTTTATAGCTTGTCTCCTAAGATATTAAGATATTCTCATATAGTCACATTTGCTTTTTGATCTATCTGGAATTTACCTTTGTTTATGATGTATGGTGGTAGATCAATTTTGTCTTTTTTTCCATACAAATTCCAATTTCTTCAACACTGTATGTTGAGAGTTCATGTCTGCCATTTCTATGTAATGTCATCTTTGTGAAAATTTGGATCCATCTATAAGTGTGTCAATTTCTGGGCTTGCTATTTTCTATTAGCTTATTTATCAGCATCACATTGTCTTTATTACTATTGCTTTATAATAATGGCATCTGAGAAAGCAAGTCTCTCACTTTATTATTTTCATTAGCTATAATTATTATATTCTTGAGCCGTATACTTTATTTTTTGAATCATACTCAAAAAATTAGAATTATCTTGCCAATATACTAAAATATTTGCAGAGTCTGAATGGGATAACATAGATGTCTTATACTAATTTGGGCAAAAACAATAACATTAAAATACTGGCTCTTTATATCTGTGAACGTAGTATATCTCTAACTTTGGGTCTTTTTTCAGTAAAATTGTATTATTACCCCTGGAAAATTTTCACAACTTTTGTTGTCCTTATTACTAGCTAATTCATAAGTTTTGATGGTGCAATAAGTTGTTTTTATTTATTTATTATGTATTTGTGGCTGGACAGTAGGATTAAAATTTATTTTTTATTTTGATTTAATATTCAGCAACTGTGAATAACTCTCAATCAATAATTTCACTAATCTTCTAATAATTTATAACAACTTGGCTGGGCGTGGCGGCTCACACCTGTCATCCCAGTGCTTTGGAAGACTGAAGTGGGCAAATTACTTGAGCCCAGGAGTTCAAGACCAGCCTGGGCAACATAGCAAAACCCCTTCTCTACAAAAATTCGCCAGGTGCAATGGTGTGCATCTGCAGTCCCAGCTACAGGGAGGCTTAGGTGGGAGGACTACTTGAGGCTTCAGTGAGCCATGATTAGGCCACTGCATTTCAGCCTGGGTGACATTATTTCCAAAAAAGTAACAATTTATTTAATGATTTATCTCTTTCAATAATTTACAGGTTCTTTAGGATTTTCCATGACCACAATCATATTAACTAAAATTATAATTTATTTATTTATTTTTTATTTCTTTGAGACAGAGTCTCACTCTGTCACCCAAGCTGGAGTGCAGTGGTGTGATCTCAACTCACTGCAACCTCCACCTCCCAGGTTCAAGCGATTCTCCTACCTCAGCCTCCTGAGTAGCTGGGATTACAGAAGTGTACCACCATGCCTGGATAATTTTTGTATTTTTAGTAGAGATGGGGTTTCACCATGTTGACCAGTCTGGTGTCGAACTCCTGGCATCAAGGGATCCATCTACCTCAGTCTCCCAAAGTGCTGGGATTATAGCCATGAGCCACTATGCTTGGCCTGATAATAATTTTGTGTACTTTTTTTCTAATTCTTATACTTTAATATCATCTTAATGATTTATATCTTCTAACAGTTTATCTTCAGATCCTTTTGGATTTTGTATGAATACAATCATATCAAAAATTTTGATAATTTTATGTATGTTTTTTCTAATTCTTATACTTTAATGTTATTTTCTCCCTAGTTTGAGTCTAAGACTTTAGATTAAAAAAACATGAAAAAATGCTCACCATCACTGGCCATCAGAGAAATGCAACTCAAAACCACAATGAGATACCATCTCACACCAGTTAGAATGGCAATCATTAAAAAGTCAGGAAACAGGTGCTGGAGAGGATGTGGAGAAATAGGAACACTTTTACACTGTTGGTGGGACTGTCAACTAGTTCAACCATTGTGGAAGTCAGCGTGGTGATTCCTCAGGGATCTAGAACTAGAAATACCATTTGACCCAGCCATCCCATTACTGGGCATATACCCGAAGGACTATAAATCATGCTGCTATAAAGACACATGCACATGTATGTTTGTTGTGGCACTATTCACAATAGCAAAGGCTTAGAACCAACCCAAATGTCCAACAATGATAGACTGGATTAAGAAAATGTGGCACATATACACCATGGAATACTATGCAACCATAAAAAATGATGAGTTCATGTCCTTTGTAGGGACATGGATGAAACTGGAAATCATCATTCTCAGTAAACCATCGCAAAGACAAAAAACCAAACACCACATGTTCTCACTCATAGGTGGGAATTGAACAATGAGAACACATGGACACAGGAAGGGGAACATCACACTCTGGGGACTGTTGTGGGGTGGGGGGAGAGGGGAGGGATAGCATTAGGAGATATACCTAATGCTAAATGACAATTTAATGGGTGCAGCACACCAGCATGGCACATGTATACATATGTAACTAACCTGCACATTGTGCACATGTACCCTAAAACTTAAAGTATAAAAAAAAAAACTAAATAGAAGTGATAATCGTAGATATCATTGCCATGTTCTTGGTCCCAAAGGGAAACAAATTCCAATATTTCACCTTTTAATATTATGTCTGCTGTACTTCTTTTACCAAAAATCTTTATCAGATTAGTGAAATTCCCTTTTATTCTTAGTTTCATGCTTTCTTTTAATGTGAAGGAATCTTTACTGTTTTCAAGCAATTTTTCTGCCTCTATTAAGATAGTTTTTCTCCTTTATTTTTTAATTTTCTTTATTTTTTATTTTTATTTCAACAGTTTTTGAGGTACAGGTGGTTTATAGTTACATAGATAAGTTGTTTTGTGGTGATTTCTGAGATTTTTGGTGCATCCCTGACCCAAGCAGTGTACACTGTACCCAATATGTAGCTTTTTATTCCTCGTCCCTCTCCCAGCCTTCTCCTCCAAGTCCCCAAAGTCCATTATATCATTCTTATGCCTTTGCATCCTCATAGCTTAGCTACCACTCATGAATGAGAAACTATGATATTTGGTTTTCCATTCCGGAGTTACTTCACTTAGAATAATGGCCTCTAACTCCATCCAAGTTGCTGTATAAAACATTATTTTGTTTCTTTTTATGGCTGAATAGTAGTCCATGGTTTATAATACACCACAATTTCTTTATCCACTTACTGGTTGATGTGCACTTAGGTTGGTTTCATATCTTTGCTATTTGCAAATTGTGCTGCTATAAACATGCCCATGCATGTGTCTTTTTCATATAGTGACTTCTTTGCCTTTGGGTGGATACCCTGTAGTGGGATTGCTAGATTGAATAGTAGTTCTATTTTTAGTTCTTTAAGGAATCTCTATACTATTTTCCATAGTAGTTGTACTAATTTACATTCCCACCAGCAATGGCAATGTAAAAGCGTTCGCTTCTTGCCACATCCACACCAACATCTGTTGATTTTTGATATTTTAATTATAGTCATTCTTGCAGGAGTAAGTTAGTAATCTCATTGTGGTTTTAACTATCTCCCTGGTAATTAGTGATATTGAGCAATTTTTTCCTATGTTTGTTGGCTATTTGTATATCTTCTTTTGAGAATTTTCTATTCATGTCCTTAGTCCACTTTTTGATGGGATTATTCGTTTTTATCTTGCTGACTTATTTGCGTTCCTTGTAGATTCTGGATATTAGTCCTTTGTTGGATGCATAGTTTGCAAATATTTTCTGCTATTCTGTGAGTTGTCTGTTGATTATTTTTTTTGCTGTGCAAAAACTTCTTAGTTTAGTTAGGTCTCATTTTTTAATTTTTGTTTTTGTTGCATTTGCTTTGGGGGTCTTAGTTATGAATTCTTTGCTTCAGCCAATGTCTAGAAGAGTTTTTCAGATGTTATCTTCTAGGATTTTTGTGGTCCCAGGGCTTAGCTTTTAAGTCTTTTATCCATCTTGACTTGATTTTTGTATAGGGTGAGATACGAGGATCCAGTTTCATCCTTCTATATCTAACTTGCCAGTTATCCCAGCACAATTTATTGAATAATGTGTCCTTTCCCCAGTTTATGTTTTTGTGTCCTTTGTCCAAGTTGGCTGTAAGTATTTGGCTTTAGGTCTGGGTTCTCTATTCTGTTCCCTTGGTCTACGTGCCTATTTTTATACTAGTGCCATGCTGTTTTGGTAACTATAGCCTTGTAGTATAATACCAAGTCATGTAATGTGATGCCTCCAGATTTGTTACTTTTGCTTTAGTATTTCTTTGGGTATGTAGGCTCTTTTTGATTCCATATGAATTTTATGATTGCTTTTTCTAGTTCTGTGGAAAAATCATGGTGGTATTTTGATGGGAATTGCATTGAAAATGTAGGTTGCTTTTGGCAGTGTCGCCATTTTCACAATATTGATTCTTCCCATCCATGAGCATGAGATGTGTTTCCATTTGTTTGTGTCATCTGTGGTTTATCTTAACAGTGTTTTGTAGTTTTTCTTGTAGAGATCTTTCACATTTTTGGTTAAGTATATTCCTAAGTTTTTTTCTTTTGTTTTTGCAGCTGTTGTCAAAGGGATTGAGTTCTTGATTTTTTTCACAGCTTGGTCATTGTTGGTGTATAGCAGTGATACTGATTTTTGTACCTTGATTTTGTATACTGAGACTTTACTGAATTCATTTTTCAGATCTAGGAGCTATATGGATGAGTGTTTAGGATTTTCTAGGTATACGATCATATCATCAGTGAACAGTGACAGTTTGACTTCCTCTTTTCCAGTTTGGATGCCATTTATTTCTTTCTCTTGTCTGATTGCTCTGGCCAGGACTTCCAGTACTATGTTGAATAGAAGTGGTGAAAGTGGGCATCCTTGCTTGTTCCAGTTATCAGGGAGAATGCTTTCAACTTTTCTGCATTCAATATAATGTTGGCTGTGGTTTTTTAACAGATGGCTTTTATTACTTTGAGCTAAGTCACTACTATGTCTATTTTACTGAGGGTTTTTATTATAAAGGGATGCTGGATTTATCAAATGCTCTTTCTGTACCTAAGTTTTTCTCCTTTAATCTGTAAATATAATTATTTATATCAATATATCTGTTGCAGTCAAATGTGTTTCACTGTTGAGAAATTAATCTTAGATATGATCTATTATTATTTTCACATTTCTGGATTCTGTTTGCTAATGTTATGTTTACAATTGTTTATGAGTGAGCATGTCCCTTTAAATTTTTATAATGTCAATATTGGGTTTCAATGTCACTATACTAGTCTCACACACTTTCTGGGATTATTTTTTAAAGAATTTATATATGATTAAAATTATTTCTCTCTTGAATGCTTTGGAGAGTTTCCTAATGAAACCAAGTAGGCTTAGAGTTAGTTTTAGTTTTAGAAATAATTTTAACATGAATTCTACATTTTAAGAAAATATAAAATACTTACATAATATTTTTAATGTAGGCTCATTTTATCTAAATTTTTAATTTAATAGTTTATAGGACTTTGTAATAGACTTTTCTTACTGTACCATCTTTTCTGATGTCATTTCTTTTTCTTTTCTGATGACAACTACATGTGCCTTTTCAACTCTTCCCTGTCCCTACCATAGTCAATCTAATCAGAGATTTAACGATTTCATTAGCCTTTTAAAATAGCTGTTCACTGCACTGATCCTTTCAAGTAAATGTTTATTTTATTTTTGTTTGCTTGTTTTCAACATTTTGATTATTATTTCCTTCCTTCTGATTTTCACAAGTTTGCTTCGATATTGTTTCTAACTTCTCGAGATGGGGTCTTACCTTGTTGTACTAGTTTGTTTTCATGCTGCCAATAAAGACATACCCAAGACTGGGTAATTTATAAAGAAAAAGTGGTTTGATGGACTCACAGTTTCACATGGCTGGTGAGGCCTCACAATCATGGCAGAAAATGAAGGAGGAACAAAGGCATGTCTTACATGGCAGCAGACAAGAGAGAGCTATGCAAGGGAACTCCCATTTATAAAACCATCAGATATCATGAGACTTATTCATTACCACAGGAACAATATGGAGGAACTGTCCCCATGATTCAATTATCTCTACCTGGCCCCTCCCTTGACACACAGGGATTATTACAATTCAAGTTGAGATTTGGGTGGGGACACAGCTAAACCATATCGTTCTGCCCTTGACTGTTCCCAAATCTCATGTCCTCACATTTCAAAACCAATCATGCCTTCTCAACAGTCCCCCAAAATCTTAACTCATTTCAGCATTAACTCAAAAGTCCACAGTTCAAAGTCTCATCTGAGACCAGGCAAATCACTTCCCCTTATGAGCCTTTAAAATCAAAAGCAAGTTAGTTACTTCCTAGATACAATGGGGATATAGGCATTGGGTAAATATACCCATTCAAAATGGGAGAAATTTGCCAAAATGAAGGGGCTACCGGCCCCATGAAATTCTGAAATCCAATAGGGCAGTCATTAAACTATAAAGTTCCAAAATGATCTCCTTTGACTCCAAGTCTCACATCCAGGTCATGCTGATGTGAAAGGTGGGTTCCTATGGTTTTGGGAAGCTCTGCCCCTGTGGCTTTGCAGGGTACAACCCCCCTCCTGGCTGCTTTCCCAGGCTGGTGTCAAGTCTTTGCAGCTTTTCCGGGCACATGGTGCAAGCTGTTGGTGGATCTGCCATTCTGGAGTCTGGAGGATGGTGGCCCTCTTCTCACAACTCCACCAGGCAGTTCCCTAGTAGGGACTCTGTGTGGGGACTCCAACCCCACATTTCCCTTCTGCACCACCCTAGCAAAGTTCTCCATGAGGGCTGTGCCCCTGCAGCAGACTTTTGCCTGGACATCCAGGAGTTTTCATACATCCTCTGAAATCTAGGTGGAGGTTCTCAAACCTCAATTCTTGACTTCTGTGCACCCACAGTCCCAACACCACATGTAAACATGTAAATGTCCAAGGCTTGAGGCTTATACTTTCTGAAGCAATGACCTGAGCTGTACTTTGGCCCATTTTAGCCATGGCTGGAGCATCTGGGATGCAGGGCACCAAATCCAAAGGTTGCACACAGCAGGGGGTACCTGGATCCAGCCCAGAAACCCATTTTTCCCCTCTAGGCCTCCAGGCCTATGATGGGAGCAGCTGCTGGCAAGGTCCCTGACATGCCCTGGAAACATTTTCCCCATTGTCTTGGTGATTAGCATTTGGCTCCTCATTACTTATGCCAATTTCTGTAGCTGGCTTGAATATTCTTCCCTAGAAAATGGGTTTTCTTTTCTACTGCACTGTCTATCTGCAAATTTTTCAAACTTTTACACTCTGTCACCTCTTGAATGCTTTGCCACTTAGAAATTTCTTCCACCAGATACCCCAAATCATCTCTCTCAAGTTCAAAGTTCCACAGATCTCTAGGCCAGGGGCAAAACGCCACCAGCCTCTTTGCACAGCAAGAGTGACCTTTACTCCAGTTCCCAACAAGTTCCTCATCTCCACCTGAGACCACCTCAGCCTGGATTTTATTGTTCATATCACTACCAGCATTTTGGTTAAACCCATTCAACAAGTCTCTAGAAAGTTCCAAACTTTTTCACATCTTCCTGTCTTCTGAGACCTCCAAGTCTCTAGGAACTTCCACAAATTTTCCACATTTTTCTGTCTTCTTCAGAGACCTCCAAACTGTTCCAGTGTCTGCCTTTTACCCAGTTCCAAATTTGCTTCCACATTTTCAGGTATCTTTACAAGCAGCACTCCACTACCTGGTACCAATTTACTGTAATTAATAATCTGTTTTCATGCTGCCAGTAGACATACCCAAGCCTGGGTAATTTATAAAGAAAAAGAGGTTTAATGGACTCACAGTTTCACATTTCTGGGGAGGCCTCATAATCATCGTGGAAAGTGCAGGAGGAACAAAGGCATGTTTTACGTGGCAGCAGGCAAGAGAAAGCTTGTGCAAGGGTACTCCCATTTATAAAACCATCAGATCTCATGAGACTTATTCACTACCATGAGAACAGTATGGGGAAACCACCCCCATGATTCGATTAGCTCCACCTTGCCCCACCCTTGACACATGGGGATTATTACAATTCAAGGTGAGATGGAGACACAGCCAATCCATATCACTTGTTAAATTTAGTATTTTTCCTTTTAATGTATAAAAGTGTGGTTACAATTTTTTCTCTACTACAATTGCTACATCCCACAAATCTTAAGATGCAGTTTTTTCTTTAAGTTCAGATTTTTTAAATAATATTTTAACCTATGTGCTATTTAGAAATATCTCTCTCTCTCTCTCTCTCTTTTTTTTTTTTTTTTTTTTTTTTTTTTTTTTTTTTTTTTTTTTTAAGACGGAGTCTCGCTCTGTTGCCAGGCTGGAGTGCAGTGGCACGATGTTGGCTCACTGCAATCTCCGCTTCCCAGGTTCAAGCCATTCTCCTGCCTCAGACTCCTGAGTAGCTGGGATTACAGGCACGTGCCACCATGCCCAGCTGATTTGTATATTTTTAGTAGAGACGGGGTTTCACCAAGTTGGCCAGGATGGTCTCAATCTCCGGACCTTGTGATCCGCCCACCTTGGCCTCCCAGAGTGCTGGAATTACAGGCATGAACCACTGCGCCTGGCCTAGATAATTTACCAACACACAGGACTGCTTTATAAGTTGATTTTTAATTTAATTACATGGTGTTCAGATGATATACCATGTATGCATCTAATCTTTTCAAAACCTGTTGTCACTCGATTTACATATCAGACTATGGTCTATTTTCATAAATACCTTGTGTGTTCTTAAAAAAATATGCAATGTGAGGTTTTGGGTTAGATGTTTTGGGGAATGATGTTTTAAAAACGCCCTTCATTTAGGTCATTTTTTTGTCTAACCTAAGCCTTTTGTGCTTGTTGCTGCATCTAATTTAAATGTTCTTCCCTCACACATTTGCATGACTGACTACCTCACTTCACTCTGGCCTCTCCTTAAAGATGGTCACCTTAGAAAGATCATCCCTTACCATCCCATCCAAAGATACATCTCCTCTCTCATCTCCCTTTACTCTGTGTTATTTTCCTGAATGCACTTATTTATACCTGAGATTACATTATATATCTATTTGTTTATTTTGTTAATTTTCCTGAAAGGTAACCATCTAGAGGTAAGAACTGGTCTTGCTTACTGTGCTATCCTTAGCACTTAGAAGAATATCACATATTACTACAGTGCCCAATAAATATGGGTTAAATTATTAAACCAATTATTTAAATATAATGCTCAAAAGAGAACTCAGCAAATGTATATGTAGGACCCTTACTGTCATTGTTTTCTTCCAATAAATTCAGCAGTGCCCATGTAGGCCACTGGTAGGCCTAGAGGATGGATAAGAATGGAACAAGAACTGGAAAATAAGAGGACCCCTGAAGAAACCTGCTTAAAGCAGGTATTCAATCAATAGTTGCTGTCTGAATTAAACAAAATTAGGGGAAAAAAGTGTAAAACCAAAAGGAAAGAAAGGGAGAACAACAGGAAAGATTAAGTTGTAAATTGAACAGGAGGTGACTGATAGAGAACACGTGTCTCTACTCTTTTTTTTTTTTTTTTTCCTGGCCTGGCTCTGTCATTCAGACTGGAGCACAGTGGTGCAATCATATTCACTGTACCCTTGAACTCATGGGCTCAAGGGATGCTCCCACCTCAGCCTCCTGGGTAGCTAGGACCACAGGCATGTTATTTTTATTTTTGCTTTTTATTTTTTGGTGGAGGAACCTGAATTATTTCTTCCCATTTACCTGCTACCTCCCAAGAAAGAATAAATTACTTATTATTAGCCAATACAGAAAAAAAGCTGGGTGCTTGCAGAACTCAGCTCCTTCTCTCCTCCTTGAATTTTGACATTGGTCTTCCCACAGAGGATGTGCCTCTTACCCTCCTCCTCTATGTGTTACATTTCACAGTGGCAGGCACTACTTTTGTAGGAGGAGAGCTGCTATTGTCCAATGCTAGGTGGATAAATCTATTTAATTCTGGAGATCTATTTTATGAAGTCCACTGTTGCTGCACGCCCAAGTCGCATTCTCTACATCGCTCTATCTATAATAATATAACTTTTTAAAAAATCTCTATTTTCTTAATTTCTTTGTTATCTCTGTTGCTTCTAAAATAAGGCACAGAAGAGATATGTCCAATTATTACAGATACCTATAACATAGTTTCACTGATATAAGGTATTTCTTTCAAGCAAGACTTTTACAATGACAGAAACTATGGGTTTTTATAGAAAGAAAACCAGTCTGAGGAAACTGAGGGAGAAAAGAAAGTTTAGAAATTAATCCAATTTGCCATGTAAGATTTTTGTCATTCCATTATTCAATTATGTCAAATGTCCTCAAGCTTTCTAGACAGGCAAAAGGAAATGTAGAGATGCAGCAATTGCTCAGCAAATTTTGAATGAAAGGGAAAAAGATGTCATGCTAAAGGTGTCAGAAGGATTTACTGGAACAAATTACTGCTGAGGCTTGAGCTCAAAGTTGTCTTCAGAGATAGCCTATATTCTTAAATAAGTGTGATATCCTTCAGAGAAGCTTATGACCAGCTGCACTGGAGAAGACCCTAGTGAACTCAGAGCCATTAAAGAAAGGCTGATCTATAACAGTTTAGATGAACACAACTAGAATTGAAAGGTCCTGAAAGTAAAATGAGAAAGGACAACATCAGGTCATGGTCCAGGGTAATGCAATGCTAATGAGGAAATTGGGTAGGAAGTCTACTTCATGCAGATTTTTTGAATTGAGGCAATTCGTGGCAACACCAAAGGTGACAATCAAAAGTGTAAAAGTAGCCAAATACTATTTTTTTTTTCAGGGATAAGATGGGTTCCCTTTATGGGAATATTATCTTAGACATTCTGGGGTCTTTGAAATACGGCAGAAATTGTTGAAGTGGTAGCAAACCCTGTGTCTAAATATGTAAATAAATCATCAATCATCCAATAACAGACACTTCTCACTCTTACTGTGTGCCATAGTTTTCTTACTAAATATATGCTTAACTGAAATGTTGCATGGATTGTCTTTTTTTCAATAAGATAAAACAAATCAATTCTACAATAAATAATGATGCTTCGGGGGAGTCTAATTTAGAAGTTATTGAGGGAAAATACATAAAGACCTTATGGACACAGAGTATCTAACTGTGGTATTAAAAGTGAGATTTAACTTCCTTAGGTCATTAAGTTCTAACAAAGGTACTTTGTCCATTAGAGCTTCTATAAGAAAATATCATAAACTCAGTGGCTTATCAACCACAGACATTTCTCACAGATGTGGAATCTGGGAAGTCCAAAATCAGGGCACTGGCCAACTCAGTGTCCAGTGAGTTCCTGGTTCATGGGTGGCACCTTCTTGTTGTGTTCTCATTTGGTGGAAGGGGCAAACAAGCTCTCTTGAGCGTATTTTATAAGGACTATAGGACGCTATCCAATTTATGAGGTCTCTGCTCTCTTGGCCTACTGACCTCTCAAAAGGCCCCATCCCCTAATCCCATCACCTTGGGGGTTAGGGCTTCAACATATGAATTTTATGGGGAAACAAACATTCAGACCTTAACAGCTACCATTTCCCTTTTCTCTTTTTTTTAACTTACATCAATGCCACATGTTACCAGCTGTTATCCAAGGGACAGGTGATCCTATCTCTTTCAAGAGTATGCATATCTGTATTCTGTTGCCAATCAGATCTCCTAAAATAGATGTTTGATTTTTAGGAGTTGTGGGCAATATCTGCAGTTTAATTACAAATCAGTCTAAGAATAGAAAATGGAATTGCAGATCAATCAAATAGAGAATGAGCTTCTGGGGCAAACTGGCCTATGAGCTATTTG
Organism: Homo sapiens; assembly: GCF_000001405.40. Taxonomy (NCBI): domain Eukaryota; kingdom Metazoa; phylum Chordata; class Mammalia; order Primates; family Hominidae; genus Homo; species Homo sapiens. The sequence goes on along the minus strand of NC_000011.10, from coordinate 21,589,232 downwards.
TAAAACCAGTCCTTGAATTTTCCAAGAATGCTTTTTCTCCTGGCTCCTAGGAAGGTTGAAATAAAGGGAGAAGTTAGTAGAAGATTGAAAAGTAGAGGGAGGGTAGAAATTATTGTCCCTCTGCCTTGAGCAATGTTCTTAATAATGGTTGTGCTTCCCCTGTGGCTCGAGCTCCCACCCTGCTTCAGCCTTGGCCATGACTCTGGTTTCTGTGCTTTGATAGCACTACCTCCTTGTCATTCCTCTCAAGACTTCCAGCTGCAGCTTATCTCTGGATTAGCTCCTTCTGTTTAGCATCAGAGCTCTTCCAACACGTGTGGTACTAATCCCTTGTATTAAATTCCCTCTGCTTGATTATATCTAACATTGTTCTGTTTTTTCTCACTAGACCCAACCCCAAACATTCAGTGATGAGAATAAAAGGCAGAAGTGTAGTTGAGTAACTTAGTAAACAAACAGGTGAACAGAAAAAAAAAACCCCATAATTTAAAAATTATATTCTAGTACAAACAGTAAATGCATGATTAGCTCAGTTGGGGAGTTGGAGGTTAACTCACCAGCAGGGTCAAATCCCAGCCCTGCCTCTTAAGAACTCTGCAACCCTAGGGAAATTATCAATAGTTAAACTCTCTGCTTCAGTTTCCTCATTAGAAGAATGGTATTTAAAATAGTAACATTGTCATATGCTTATTCTGCACATTAAGGAAATTATAACTATCATAAAGGAAATTATCAGTAATGCCTAGGTCACAGAAAGTAACAAGTGTTCTAATAACCCCTCTACTTCTTTAGTGTCTTGGTAATACTTAGAATTTTCTTGACCATTCTAGGGTTATTTAAGCTGTTTACAGACTTAAAAGTTATCTTCTAAAGTAAGGAACTTCTACTGAACTGATAGATGAAGATATGGATGAGTAAATTAAATAATTATATGAATGAATAGAACAGTGCAGAAAAGAATGAATGAATAAACGAATGCCTAAAACTTACACATTAAAGGTGAAATAAATGGATGAATTCCCTGTCCACAGAGACTATGTTAAGAGTCCAATTATTTCATACAATTCACTCTTTTTCTTAATCCTCAGAGGGAGACTGGAAAGAGGATTATATGCACCCAATCTACTCACACTTTTTTTGGATATTTAAACTTTTGCTCTTTTTTCCAGTTATTCCACTCCCTTAAAGATACACCCTCTAAATTCACTGACACCATTCTATTGCAGCCTTAATAGCTTTCAAAACCAAAAGTAGCAAGAACAGGAGGATAGAAGCCAATGTAGGAAAAATGTATCGTAAGGATTGTAATCAGAGAAGTTCTTGGTCAATGTTTTTTCTGGGATCACCTGTTCTCTGTGCCACCCCTGCCCCACCCCCAATAATGCTGCTATTTCTCCAAGTATATTTGACTCGCCGCTCTGTAGATGTCTTGGTTCCTTTATTCCAGAAGACCTAACACAAAATTGCAGAGTTTCTAAAACCTCTGTGGCAGGTGCTAAAGGATCAGGAGTTGTCAATGCTGAAATATTTTTTTCCTATGTTTAACTTCAGAATTGGATTATCAAAATATTTTCTCTGCTCATTATTTCATTGTTTCATGCTTTGCCCTACAGGACCCTTTAAAACTTGGCCCCAACTCCCTCATTAAACTACTTCTTACTATTTTCCCCTAGCTCTTATTTCACCAGGATATCAGTATGAAATTACCTACAGGCATCATACCGTATCACTCCTCCATGAATTTCTTAAGCTTTTCTCATTTTCTGGAACACTATTTACCACAGCCTTCCTTTAAATATTTCCATCTCAATTTAGGCCTCCTGAGGCTTTCTCTAACAACTTTTCCCTTCAAAGTGTGGGTCACGTGCTTTTCCTTTTTACTTTCTTAGCATCTTATAGTGAACTCTATCACAAATTTTAACACATTATCCTAAAATTCATAGTCTATAACCCCTTATAAATGTTAAGCTCCTCAAGGACAAGGACTAGTATTATTTCATTCTCATTTTTTAACTTTTAAGTTTAGGGGTATAATTGCAGATTTGTTACACAAGTAAACTTGTGTCATGGGGATTTGTGGTACAGATTATTTGATCACCTAGGTATGAAGACTAATACCCATTCGTTATTTTTTCTGATCCCCTCCCTTCTCTGAAAGGCCCCTGTGTATGTTCCCCTCTATGTGTCCATGCATTCTCATCATTTAGCTCCCACTTACAAGTGAGAACATGTGGTATTTGGTATTTGGTATTCTCTTCCCTGACTGACACACAGTGGGTGCATAAGAAATACTTTTGTCCTGAAACCAGTTCAACATGTATGCTATATAATTTAACCTGAGAGATTCATTCTAGAATTTTTTTCTTATAATATATATAATTTAAGCAATTGTTTTTGTTTTTATTCTACATTGGTTTTGGTATAAATCATCTAGATAATTGTATCTGGAAAAGATAATTGCAGCATCTCATACCTGCTGTTTTAATGTTATGTTAGTTCCTTCCTCTCCCTAAAAATCAAATTATAATGTCTATACTTTATCTAATTGGATTCTTGATGTTTCCCTTCCCTGGGAATAGGCAGAAGAATCATTTGTCTATTCTTCGGCATAAGACAGTAAGTGTTAGTATCCGGGTGAAGAAGAGATGGCCCACCTGTTTCAGTCACTCACAGGGATCTTTTTTAGTAAGATTTCATTCTGAACACCCGGATTTGTTTTTTTTTTAGTATTTCTATGAGATATAGTTCAGTCATGGGCAGTGAGTAAATACTGATTGATTTGTCTTGACTGGGCAACTACAAAAAAGACCACTTGACAGCTCACATGGCTGGGACCAGTTGTAGATTTGGGGAAGCCATGCAAGAAGGGGACATGTGAGCCACTCTACTCCAAGTCTTCTCTATGGTTTGAAAAGTTCGTTTTGTCTCCCTCTCTTTTTTTAAGTGAATTTTATTGTGTATAGTGGAGGTTTACAACATGATGTTATAGAATACATATAGATTGCAAAATGGTTACTATATTGAAGCAGATTAACAAATCCATCATCTCACACAGTTTTTTGGTGACAAGAGCAGCTAAAATCTACTTATCTAACAAAAATTTCTAATGTAATACAATTTTTTAACCATAGTTCTCATGTTGCACATTAGATCTCTAGACCTGTTCACTCTACATATCTGTTTGTTTCCTTTGACTTACATCTCCCCATTTCATGCCCACCCCCACTTCGTAACCACTGTTTTATGATTTGTGTGTATTCGATCTTCTTTAAAACACATTCCACATATAAGTGAGATCATGCAATATATTTCTTCTATATCTAGTTTATTTCACTTAACACAATGTCCTCTAGGTCCACTCATGTTGTGGCAAATGGCAAGATCTGCTTTTTTTAAGGCTGAATAATATTTTATTATATAATATATATATAATACCTAAATATATATTATATTTTCTTTATTCATTCATCTATTGATGGGCACTTAGGTTGTTTTCATATCTTGACTATTGTGAAAATGCTGCTGTGAGCATGGAAGTGCAGATACCTTTACAAAATAATGATTTTTATATCCTTTGGATATAAATCCAGAAGTAGGACTGCTGAGTCATTTAGTAGTTCTATTTTTAATTTCTTTAAGTAACTGCATACTATTTTCCATAATTCTGTGCTAGTCTACATTCCTACCAACCATATACTAACTTTCTGTTTTCTCCACTCCCTTGCCAACATTTGTTAACTCTTATCTTGTATGTAATAGTCATTCAGATGGGTGTGAGGTGATATTTCAGAGTGGTTTTAATTTGTATTTACCTATGATTAGTGATATTGATCACTTTTACATATATCTGTTGGCCATTTTTATGTATTCTTTGGAGAAATGTCTGTTCAGGTCCTCTGCCCATTTTTAAATCAAGTTATTTGCCTTTTATTATTTTAATAATGCCACCAAATATATTGTTTATCCAGACATTCCCTCCATTTCTTAACTCTGCAGAGGAATAGGGTATTCTGCATGTACATTTTATGGTAAAGTGTTTCTTCTCTTGCAGGTTTTCCAAGGGAAACAATACCCAGCCTTTTTAGCCACCTAATATTTTATTTATTAGAGCAAATGACTTCAAATTACCTGACTTGTATTTGCCACTGAATTTCAGTCTTTTAGCCAGTAGATAATAATTACCTACTTGCATGCAACTACGTACCTATAACATAACTTTTTATCATCATTCCACTTGCCTATACAGCCTGACAGCAGAATTCAAGTGCTGAACAATTACATAATTTACCCAGCTTGTTAGAAGTTCTTTTATCTTTTTAAAACTACCTGCCACACCCTAAGTGCCCTCATATGTTGCTCATTCATCTCCTTGGAGGGAAACAAAAGCATAAGATATGTGTTTGTTTGATGGCTCATCAATACAGCTAAGATATTAAGATATTTTGGATTCTGAAGAAGAGCAGAGCCCAATCCTTTGCCAGCTACTTATGTAGCTGCTTTAGGAAATGAGACAAGAGGGAGTAGAGCATCTTAAGAGGTAAAAACATCAAAAAAGACTCCTAATAATAACCCATTCATTTAGCATCTGTAAGGCTTATGTACTTAATAAAGTATCTCTTTTTAAAAAAATTCCATTTTAAAAAATGGTACATGTGCAGGTTTTTGATAAAGATGTATTGCATAGTGCTGAGGTTTGGGGCTTCTATTGATCTGGTTACTCAGATAGTGAACATAGTGCCCAATGGGAAGCTTTTCAGCCCTTGCCTCTCTCCTTCCCTCCATTGGAGTCGCCAGTGCCTACTATTCTCATTTCATAAAGTATCTCTTAATTTTGTAAAAGCCCCTCAAGATACATAGTTTTTACTGCTTGTTTTAATAAACAAAAATTTTGACACTCTAGCAGGTTAGTAACTTGTTCACAGTTGACCCAACTAAGAGGTAATGTAACTGAGATTCAAACCCAGGTCTGTCTGGCTCCAAGACTTGTGCTCTTTCCACTTTAAGTTTGTTCTCATTCTTCTTCCCCTTGCCACTGTATTCTCCAGCCTCTATGGTACATGTGACTTTATTCATATGGTACAAGTGGCTTTATTCATATGCCACACTGTGGCATCAAAATAATATCCTGTGACCTCATCCCATGCTCCAAACTCTCCTATTACACACCTATTACATTAAAACTGTGCAAAACAGTTAACTCAGCACCAACAGTCAAATCACAACCAATGTCATTTATTCATTTCTGAGATTGAGGACCCCCAACCTCCTACAGACCTGCTGACTGCCCCTGACGATGCTCCTAGATCTCCAGGACTGTTGAGCGAGTCTGCTTCCAATTGCATTGATACCACAATCAGTCACTGTTCATATGCTGCTTCACAGAGATCTTTCAAAGTAGCTTATAGAGTCTTTGTCCTAAAAATTAGCAACATGAATCCCTAGCCTTCAGAGTTGCTTTTTTTTTTTAATGGAAATGTGTTGTATTAAATCAGTGCAATGCTGTGTATTGTATCCTTTCATATGGAAAGAATGTCATTCCTCCAAATGCCTGGAAAATTGTTTTCTGTACCTTGGTGCTCTTAAATAACATTGTCAAAAAGAAATGCTCAGTAAAATAAGCATTCAATATCTAGCATAAAGATAAGTTAGTAAGTCATTGAAGAAATAAGCATGATCCATAGGCAGTTGGTTTCTTCACATTGAAGAAAGTTCATTGAAAAAGAAATGCGCAGGTGCTTAGACAGGAAGTTCTCAGGACAGTCTCCATAAATCCAACCATCTTTTGGTGTTGTGCTCCAAAGCTTGAGCTAAATACAGGGGTTTGTTTTACTAGCTTGAAGCCACTGCATACTGTCTGTTCCTCACTTTTGCTATTTCACATTACGTGGGCTGTTCACAAAGGCCAGTAAGGCCCTTTTTCTTTATCCTAGTTCTGTAGATTCACTCCTAAATTTTGTCTTTTTTATAATATATAATTTTTTCATGCTCTAAACTGTGGACATTTTTAGTAGTTATGTCCATTATGGAGTCGGAGTGATTTCTCATATTTTCTAAGACTGCTATGTAAAGCGACTAGAAAGATAAATCTCTCCATTGAAAAGCAGTGTAATTGAACCATCTAGATCCAGAGTAGGGAGGCAGATGATGAACAAGCTTCTGCCAGGCACTGGACAGCTGGATGCATTTCACAGCTCACAGTGCAACCCTGTTCCTGAGAACAAAGGAAGAGTCACAAGTCTGTGAGAAAGCAGTAGCAGGATGGCTTCAGACAGCTGAATATAATTACCCATCTTATCCAGAATGTGAAAGTGAAAATTAACAGCTGTTGAATCATGAACTAAGAGAATCCTTCTAGCCATGCATGTGCCAGGCACATACTATTTCATCAAATGCAACATAGCAAAGTCCTATCTAGAATTATAGTAAAAATGGTGGTCCCTCAAGAACCAGAATGTATCTCAGATCTTCTGCAACCCAGTCCAGACCACTTATCTTGACAAAAAGACCTGCTCTAATCTTCACTCATGCTACCTTATTCACCATGCATACTCTCTTCTTTAGCCTAGTTCTTCCATTTCTCTGCCTTCTTATTTCAAGGAAAGTCTTCTTGTTTGTAGTATTTTAAGGCAACCTCAAGTCTTCCTCTTGAAATCTTTTCTGGCTATTCCATATAGCTTTAGCTTCAGAATCGCAAAACCTCTGCCCGCAGCTGTATAAGGCAAGGTCATTTGCCCATTTCCTCATCAGTAAAATGTGGACTATTGTCTCCAACTTTTAGAATTGCTGTAGGCATGGATTGATGCAACATTTGTGTAATGTTAAGTACAATTTCTGTCAAGTAGTAGAGTAGTTCTATATTAGCTTTTTCCCCTCAGCTCTTAGAACACAGAACCGGGGTGAGTTGCCCATTAAACATTGATTTGATAATTAATTGAAATGTAGTTGTTAGCCTAGGGTCTGTTTCCTGAATACAAAATTACCACATTTCTTCAAAATGCCCAGAGATGAATTATTTGCAACTCTTTTTGCATGAAATGAAGGGAGTCATGAGTAAATCTAAATGATAAACTATAGTAATAAATCTAATTGTACAATTAAGAGATGACAACTGATATGGTATAATACCATCAGGTATGCTAGGGAAATTTATTCTTATCTTGGTAGGCAAAGGGAGATATTTGCAACATATACATAATGCTAAAAGAGCATCCATCTCAAGCTTTGTTTGGAATACTGTTAAGTATGAGGCCAGCTTGAAATCGACTTTCAAAGTAGAATTCATAAAGTTGTATGGGTCTCATTGAAATTCCAGATAAATATTTGATTGACTATTTTTCTGTTGTGTAGTCAGAATCTGTTTTTTTGTTTTTTGTTTTTTGTTTTTTTTTGCTGTGTGTATATGTGTTTAAGACAGAGTCTTGTTCTGTCACTCAGGCTGGAGTGTGGTGGCACAATCACTGCTCACTGTAACCTCCAATTCCTAGCCCCAGAGATCTTCCCACCTTAGCCTTCAGAGTAGCTGGAGCATAGGTGTGCACCACCACCACCGGTTATTTATTTATTCATTCATTCATTCATTCATTCATTCTTTGGTAAAGACAAGTTCTCACTATGTTGCCCAGGCTGGTCTCCACCTCCTGGTCTCAAGAGATCCTCCAGCCTCAGCCTTCTGAAGTAAAAAACACCTTGTTTGAAATGAAGTGGTATTCGCTTCTTAATTTTTTATAATTCCCTCCTAACTCCATCCAGGGTTTTAATCCTTTGAGACCTTCAATTCAATTTTTTTTCTAGAGAAAAATTCAGTATTTAGAAGTTATTGTATATGTGTGTTTTGTACACTTTGAATATCAGGGCATCTTTTCTATATGAGAATGAGAATTATATAGACATGTATCTAGTCCAGTGTATAAGTAAGGCTTATATTGTAGAGAAAAGAAGAATTAGAACTCTTTATTACATAATCGCATTAAATTAAGATTTTTTAGGCTTTCTTGATCAATCAATGTTTTGTCAGCTAAATGATGCCCCCTGACATAAATTTATAAGTCCGTGTCCAAATCCCCAGAACCTGTGAATGTTACCTTATTTGGAAAAAGTGTCTTTACAGATATAATTAAGTTAAGCATATTGAAATGAGGAGGTAATATTGGATTATTTAGTGGGCCCCAAATCCCATAGCAATTGTCCTTATAGGAGACACACAGAGAAGAGAAGCAGACAATGTGACCACAGTGGCAGAAATCAGAGTAATGGGGCCACAAGCCAAGGATTACCTGGAGCCATCTGAAGCTGAAAGATGTAAGGAAGTATTTTTCCCTAGAGCCTCTTGGAGGGATCATAGCCCTGCTGACACCTTGATTTCAGACTTCCAGACTCCAGAACTGTGAGAGAATAAATCTCTTGTTTTAAGACACCAGGTGTATTATAATATGTTAACAGCAGCCACAGGAAACACAAGCTACTCTTAATTTTGATGCTCTCCACATTACATAGGGAGTCTGTTTTCACTCTCTTTAATCACAAATTTTTTTAGGTCTGCTGTACCTGTATTTATTCTCTGCATCTTTTCTTATATGCTGAATAACAAAAATGAATGATGAGCACTCCTTTCTCAGTTGGACTGCAGCTACCAAGATGCTCTGTTATTGTTATGAAGAGGGTATTCTGGGCTTTTCTTTCTTTACCTCTCCAGGTGATGCCCCAAGAGCCTGCCAGCAGCTCCTTATGCTTTCCATTGACTCTGTCTACCTGGACTTCCCCGGTCTCCTTTGCTTTGTCTGGTTGTGAATCAGAGTGAGGCTGGAGCGGGGAAGATCTTGGGTCCAACTGTCATGTTCTTTCAACAAACTGCCATAAAATTTAATCATCATCAGTACACCTATGACAATTAATCCATAGTTGTTGTCTGGACAATGCACAGTTCAGGTAACAAATAAGACATTTCAATCTTAAACCTTTTGAATGAGTACATCCTACAAACATATCATTTGTTTCAGAAATGGAAATATTTATGGTGGCTGATGATGCCTTCTAACAGTAAGGTAGGATGCTGATGTTCCACTCACTTGAGAAGCAAGTGTTCTCCTTCTGGTAGAAATGAACTAATTACTAGAAATACCCACATTCATACTTTGCTGAAAACACAAAACACTGAATAAATTCTGGGGATTAGGTACCAGTAAGTGCCATATAATTACAGTGAATGAAAAATGGGGGAAGAGTGCAGTTAGGATAAGGAGCAGAGCAATTGATCTATTGACCTATAAAATTTGGAGTATTAGGTATCTTCTAGACTTTCCAGTGGCCCTAAACCAGGTCTGTGACAAATTGATCCCATGGGTCATATCAATCCATAGATGTGTTTTGTATGGTATGAATTTATTCTTTCAAACCTGGATGAAAAATGTAAAACTCATATCACACATTAAAATTCAAATTTATGCCTTTTTTTGAAAAATTAGAAAGTGCAGGAATACTGAGTCCACATTCTCAACTGGCAATAATCAGCTAACAATCAATGGAGACCTTTGAGGTATGCATTCTTATTGATGTTGCAGTTTTCATCACTCCCTCCATTAGGGACTTCTTTAAATCGCATTGTCCCCTATAATTTGGTATGTTAAAATCTGTTCAAAGCCTCTGTAACTCTGATTTCTAGTTTAGTTGCCTATTCATTAAATAAGTCATTTTCAAATGTCATATATGAAATTAGGTAAAAAAAAAAAATCCCTAGGAATGCCTTGTACACAAGGAATCAGTTCTTTTTCCAATATTATTGAAGGTGATTTGATTTTGCATTTAAAAGAAACATTACCATTTCCCACACTTAAATTCATTTTGCTCATTACATTATTGAAACAACAGTGCTAAAATATTATAAAAGTATGTAAATGTCCCTCTTAACGTTGTGCATTTTTTTATCATATGAGATTGGCATATCAACTGCCATTTAATCTAGATAAATGTTAATTTCCATGTGTTTAAATGTTTCTGATATTTGGCTTCTCAGTTCCTAAAATATTGATTTGCTGCCTCAAAAATAAACCTTTTATTTTTTAAAAAATTAATAACTCCATGTATTGAAAGGTTGCTGGAAATTATATAAATATCTTTTTTTTTCTGGTAACCTAAATTATTTCCACCCAAAAGCTTTGCATTATATGGTGGACCCCAACTTGGAGAGCTGACTACTACATTCTAGTGCTGTTGTAATAGTGGGGGTAGTTGTTACTGTCTCTAGACTAATGAAACAGATTCTCTTCTTCCTCTCTGTTTCCTTATCCCAGTTTGAAACTATAGTATAGGATGACATCACAGTATTGAACTAGACAACTGATTATGATTGCAAAGGGCAAGAACTAAGAAATCAAATGAGGGTACTGAAGAGGCAGCAAATAAGTGTAAAGGCTCTATTTTTTGGTAAGCATTCTTTGAATTTATTTATGGGCATATTATGTCATCTTTTTATTGCTTTATGATAACTCAATCTAGATATTAAATTTCTAATGGAAAAGATGATGTATTTTTCTTCTTATATTCTTGCTAGGTACGTAACAGGAATTCTGTAATGTTTACTGAATAGTAATTAAATATGAATTAATTCAAAGCTAAAAAGCAGATTGTATAAACATGTAAGTCCCTGAAAGAGTGGGTAAATAAATGTATAATTGTTTAATAGGTTCCCATTGATCTCAGAATGAACATGGGACTGGCTATATTAGGACTATGGGCTGCAACATCTGCTCCAGCCTTCCTCTTCAGCCTTGTATCATTTGTCCCTTCACTTACTGGCTTCTGGCTCCACTGATGACCTTCAACACACCATACTTCTTTCCACCTTGCAGTCCTTATGCACTTATTTCTCTTGCCTGGAAAAGTATTTCCATAGCACTTTGTATGTATGGCTCTTTCCCATTCTCCTGGTCGCAGCTTGCCTATTACCCCCTTAGAAAGCTCTTCCTTGGTCACCTCACCCTATATCTAGTGAGATTATCCAGTTCCTCCCCAATTTATCACTTCACAATTTTTTTCCTATTATTAATATAGTAGTTATATTTCTCAATTATTTTCTAGCTTATTGTCAGTCTTTTACATACGAGGCTGCAAAAGCCATAAAGAGTAATTTTTGTCTTATTCATCTCTGAATTTGCAGAGCCTGCCACACTACCACTGAATTAATAAATAGTAAAGGGTGAATGAACAACAAAATCATAAAACAGGCTATACATATTACCTCTTAATGCCAGATTCTATTGTATTCTGAGGAGTGTGTGTGTGTGTGTTTTCTAATCCTAAGAAAAGAAATAGTTGCCTTTGGAAAATGTTTTTATTTTCCCTCAGTTATTTTCCTATAAAGCATAAAGTTGGGTGATTGGGTAGATGGCTCATTGCTATTATGGGTTTAGATATGCTATATGGTCTTTAAATACAAATGTTTCACATAACCCGTTACCAGAATTTTAATAAAGCAAAGTCACAGTCAGATGGGACATAGAACAAAGACAATAACAAATACTACACCTCATCCAAGATTGTCTTTTAATGTCATCCATTCAAAAGGAGTTTAAAAAGCTCACTTGGGATTGAAATGTGGAAACACATTTGGAATTCTTAGCAGAATGGCACAGGGAAAAAAGGTGTGGGTTGGGTGGTAGTTATAGGTCATCTATGACTAATTAGTTGTTAACTCTGGGCAAGTCACTTAACCACTCTGAGTGCTGATTTCCTTTTTTGTAGAAGTTAAGGTGAAGAAATAGGTCAGTGGCTTTCCAGCTGTGCGCCGTTGAAAGTTGTGAGCTGTGGTGGAGTGTGTGAAGGTATTCCAGTTCCAACACCCACACCAATCAGAAAAACTCTGCTTTTAGCCAATTTCCACATTGAAGGACTGAATACATTCTGATTTTTAAAATGAGTCTCATGCTTAAGAATATTTGAAAACCACTAGAGTGGGTTTCCAATATCATAAATTTTTGATACTATGAAAAATTATGAATTCAATATTTGAAAGACTTAATTGAAAACCCACTATATGGAAGGCACTATGCTAAATACTGGTAGATGAAGACTGTACCCAATTAGTATATAATCTAACCTATAGCCTGCAGCCATATGTTTGTAACCACAATTCAAAGAAAATGTATTTTAAAAGTTCATATCAGTACATAAGCACAGATCTATAAAGTTCAGAATTGGGGAAGTTCTGGGAATGAGTGTATATGTGTGTGTGTGTGTGTGTGTGTGTGTGTGTGTGTGTGTATTTACATATATATGTTATGTATGAGTAGATTTAAATATAAATGTATTGTAGGATGCATGAATATAGATTCATATGTAGTATATATAACAAATATACAATGTTATATATAACATATATATACACACATATATTCATATGCAACCTGGCTGTAACAAATGAGGCAAAATTGTGTTCATTAGATATGTGTCTAGTTAATGTGTGGAACTTTCATCTTTCCTCATATTCCACTGAATCACAATGCTTTTATGCTATTAATAATGAGATTTAACACGAGGTCATAGTTCACCAATCCCTGACATATTCAGTCACAAATAATTCTTGTAAATGTCTTTGTTTTTTTCCAACAAAAATTGAAAAGATTTTTTTTAATTGTTGTAAATTTTTCAAAAAATATTATTAAAATTCTCTTCAAGGTTTCATTTAGGGAATTAAAACAGAGATGTGTTCCAATTTACCATATTAGTCTTTGTCAAATGTAGTATTTAAACTGCTGTTATCATAATTCAATACATAAAATTGATTTTATGTAATGAACTTCATCTTCACAAAAAAAATTGGGTATCATTTCCACTGGACAAATACCAATGAATAATAGTTGTCTAAGCATGTAATTTTAAATTAATAATTTGGCTAAAATTTGATATTTAAATTTTTTTAGCATGACTGACTTAACTAGTCAGGTCTTTTTTTAAGTTGTGGAGTGAATGAGAATCCAAAAACCAACTTAATTCAGAGTAATGATGAATTCAAGAGCTGTGGGTATCACAAACCACTGAGATGTGATTTACCTGAAACTATAACCAAGCTTGAATTCTCAGCTCAGATATAATGTCATTTGAGCATTTATTCATTTTGTAAAACTTAATAACTGCCAATTCTTAAAAATATGGTATTGGCTCAAGTGGAAACATTCACTGTTCCAAAATAACTTCTGAGCATACAAATAGATTATCTTAAAGGTGTCTCCTTCATGTATATGAGAGGCAATGTAGTTTAGTAGAAAAAAGCACGGAACAGGAATTAGGAGACTTGATTACCAATCCCAACACACTGTAAATCAACAAATTAGTTGACTGGAACTCCTTAATTCACACTTCTGTAATATAGGGACAATACTTCTGACATGTACTATGATTATAACTTTATTAGTAACTAACTGGGATGCTTTATAAAGGATCAAGTACTACATAAATCTGACACAAAGGTAATTTTGCTTTCAAAGCCAAGAAAAGCTTTAAACATTGCTGCTTCTAAATTGCAGGTTAAATTTTTTGTATTTTTATTTTTTTATTTTTGCAAGAGAGACAAGAATTCTCTTTAAAATTATTCTTTGATTATGTTTTTGGCCCTTCCCCTCTTTGTCATACTTGGCTTCAGCCTGTTTAAGCTGAATGAGTAGGCATTTAAGAAGGTTCAGCACTATGAAATGTATGTATAATGCGACTGGACTCTACATACATATTTTCATCAAAACATTTTACAGGGATCTCAGCACTAAGTATGCAGTAGATGGGACAAAAGTCACAACAGGCAACTTTATTTTAGAATTTGATCCATAAATCAACAAAATAAATAAAAGGAGCTGAGTCTCTCTCTATTATGTTAGTACACAAAATAAACCAAAAAATACATCAACATTTACCATGAGATCATTTAAATGTATTTGCAAATGATCTGATAAGGGAAACATGATTTACAACACGGGAAACTTCTTTTAACAACCATTGACTTAAATGCACGGCACTGTAGGTCACCTAGACTAGGTTAGCAAGAATGAGCAAAGTGGTAGGTCCAAAAGGCAACCTCCAAACACCGTCCTCAGGTGGAAACTTTGGCAATTATCTGTGGTTAAAAAAACAAAACAAACAAAAAAACCAAACTACCGATTCCTATCCTTAATCACGTTGGATGGTCATTTCGTCCATTCTTCTGCGTTGAGTCCACTGTAAATACTTCAATTATTTTGAAGACACTCAAAATCCACAGAACAACAGACTCTTCCATTCTGTACATCAAAGAAACATGTGTTAGCCAGTTGAGACATGGAATATAAATTAGCAGTCTGCAATTTTTATACTCAAAACAACTTTCAGCATTTTGAGACAAACTTCAAGAAGGCTATAAAAAATGACTAGAAAAAAATGCTAGGAAAAAAACTAGAGAAAGAGTAGAAAGAAAGGAAGGACTGACAGACCCTCCAGGGTACTGCTCACTGGGATTCTGCTAGCAGTTCAATTTCACACATCACCTGCACTCAATCCCTGCTTGGGAGGCCTCCCTGGGATTTCCAACTTTTCACATGACCTGTTTGCTGTACTTATTCCAAGCGAGATTCTTTCCAAAAATAAATCCCTAAAAGATAGCAATTTGTCATTTAAGAAGCTATTTGAAAGTACCCCCAACAATCTTCAGGCAAGTCCAAGATGGGGTCCAGTAAGGTTTGCATAAAATCTCTCATGGTGACTATGAAGGGGATAGTGCATAGTTAGGTATATAAATACTTATAAATTCATTAAAAATTTTATGTACTAATGTAAATATACCTTTATAATTCCACATAATTATCAAATAAGTAACAGAGGTCTCCCTGTGTCCTGGTCATTTAGTTCTCTGGGACTGAAGGTACAGATGGGACCATGGACCTTTTTCTATATGAGGTCTGATAGTATCCTTTTTCTACTGGGGCTACATCTTAAGATGATACTTTCCCAGAAAAAAAAAATCTACATTTATAACAGCATAAAGAGGCAAGTTGGGAAGCTTCCACTGATGCTTGAAGCTGAGCCAGGGTTTGATGGGACCAAGTAGGCTCCTAGTTTTAACATGTTTAATCATGGGAATCTTAAACAGATATTTTGGCAGATATTTGACACTAACTAATGATTGTTCCAAATCAGCTACCACTCCAGCTCTTCATGAGCTTTGAAGGGAGAGAATGGTCAGTTTTTTAGTCTTAATGACACATGAGGATGTCTCATGAAAACCCCTCCAAAAAGACAGGGAAATAATCACTGTTAATGAAATGCTGTAGCAAGAGCTGCAGGTCCCCACCTTAGGCACTCTGATAATTAAACAAAGCAAAACAACTTGAGAGGACTTTTTTCCCCTAACATTGACAGTTTAATAAAAGAACTTAGAAACTTTTCCAGGATGAAAGGAAGTTGACTGGTTTCCTTCCTTCCTCCCTCTTTCCCTCCCTCCCTTCCTTCCTTCTTTTCTTTCTACTTCCCTTCCTTGTTCTTTCCCTTTCTTTCTTTTCTTTTTATTTAATATGCATGTCAAAAGAGCCTAAGTTAGTCATAATTAAGCCAAGAATCACTTGTCAAAATTATGTAGTTCAAAGGCAGGAGCAATTCTTTTATTTCATGCTCATTTGGAATTTGCCTTTTTACAGGGTGCAGCTATGATAATATTCATACATATTAAATTCCTATGAGAAGTAAATGTATGCCAGAGTTTCCACCATGTCCATTGAACCTGTGTATTCAGAAACATCAGGAGTGGACCTCCTGCAAGTGTTCTCTGGCAATTGTTCAAGGCTTCAATATCCGCAGAACATCCAATTACCTTGCATTTACAGGTTGTGCAGGGAGATCCAGCCATCGTCCACACTGAGCCACTAAGCCGTGAAACACCATAGCTGTCCAGGCAAGTTTTTCTGATGTCATAGGTGATGTTATCAGCTAGGCAGGGGTCACTGACACAGCGGGGACAACATTCCCCTTCTAAGATAGCTGTATACTCACAGCTCAAGTTGGGGCAAGTGAGTGGCCAGCAATCTACCTCTCCTTCCTGTAGAGGAAAAGCAAAAAATGTCTCATTATTGTTCCTATGCATAATTTTATTCCCAAAGTCATAGAAGGGGAAAGAGAGCACAGTAATTCTCATCACTGAATATTTCTAGTTGACACCATTGAGGATAAAGTACACTTCCTCCTTGAAGACCTACTACAGGTCTCACTTCTTTCAGAATGCTTTTGCTGATCATCTATACTGCAGGACATAGAAAGAGCTAGGTGAGCTTCTTTGTGTGCCAAGCACAGCCTATAATTATTTTAACATGATACTTATATCATAATTAGCACAATTCCACATTAAGTTTTGAGCTTTCAGACTTTCTGCTTGTTACTTTCTCTCCATCATGTTTAGCACAGTTTTGGTCAATAAAGGCTAATAAATAAATTATAAGGTACTGTCTAGTATATAAAGAGCAATTAATTTCTCTTAAGTTCAAAAGCAGAACCTGAAGCACTGTAATATTTCAATCAAATTTAAAGTTAAGATTGGGCAATGTCAAGATAACCATTTCAGAATGGTTTTGAATATAACATGTGACCACTGAACTTTCTAGATTGCAGTTCAAATGGAGCTTTTGTGTGTCTCAGCATCTGGCATCTGTGGCTTCATTGAGCTGCCCACAATAAAACTATTTCACTATGCATCCTCTTCCTCTGCTATCATGAATTATAATCTATGGCATAATACCTTACAATATATGGCAACTTATTTAATTGTTCAGTCATCTCCATAAGACTGTGGGCTTTGTGTAGGTATAGGCCATGTTTATCTTGCTCACTGTTACGTCATACAAAGTTTGGCACATGAAAAGTCTTGAATATTTATTAAGTATGACCCACAGTATTCTCAAGTAATTCATAAGTTATGTGTTTAACAGCTTCAATTTTCCTGAGAAATATTCATCTTAGGGGCTAGGATGGAAGAGGATACACTTTTGAAATTCTATCTATGAAAATTTCATGCATCAAATTAATACTAATTCTTCTGGATGCCTGATGATTAGCTTCTTGGAAAAGAAATGCAATTTGCCAGTCTCATAGGGAAACTAATTCTACAGTTGTATTGACTTTTTTTGTCCTTGGGTGGGAGTTTTAAAAAATGACTACAATTTTTATTTATCTGAGTCATGCTTCTCAGTCATAGGAGTGATTAAGAAAGACATATTCTGTTAAGATTATCTGCACATTCACCTGAAGATTTAAAAAAATCTGATGGAAATTTAGAGCATAATTTATCTGAATACTTGTTTTCATACAGTACCCATAAAATGAGAATCATTCATGTCAGCAAATGTTAAATTACGGACACACAGCTAATAGTTTCCATTACCAATCAACTCAGAATGTTCCATAGTTGTGACTTTACATATGGGACATCACATTCCATGACAATGTGTCCTAGAAGTCTTCCCACTGCTAGAAATCTTTGTGATATAATTTGAAACTGAAAGAACCAGGTCAAGAAATTAAGCCTTTTCTCTGGACTTTCTCAAATCTAATTATACCATTAGTAGCCCTATATTAATATTTATAACAACCTTCATTTTTTCCTTTTTAAACATGTAGTATCTGAAAAGATTTTTCAAGGTAGGAAGTATTAACAATAGTTACTACCATACACTAAGTACCTTCTCTAAGCCAAGTACTGTATTTGTCCTTCTTACATATCTTGTAATCTTTGTAACAGCCCATTCTTTCCCTCAGAGGTACTCACATACCTGTGTCCACTTGAGGGCCAGAATAGTCAGTAAAATGCTAGGACTTGCCCAAGGTAATCATTTTAAGCTAGTATGTGGGAGGACCACATTTAGATTCTAGGTCTCTATGATTAAATCTCTGATATTTCTACTATGTTTTGTTACCTCTTATATTGAAATCTTTAAGGGTTATGGCACAGAAATGAGAGATTTAGCTCTGTCAGGACTACAAGCACTAGTCAAGGTTTTGAAAGCTTCCTTTCTTGCAGAGATTTTTCTTGATCTTGATTTCTTTTTAGTAATAGCTGTAAACTGTCATTGTTTGGGTCAAATCTGTCCCATAAATATGTGCTTTTTACTTTGTACAGTATTTCAAATACAACCTGAATATCTTTAGGAAGAGAACATGACCCTTAGCCACAGGCCCCACAGAGCTCCCTGTATAGTATTATGAAAAACTGGGAACTAGGTCCCACAGACAACTGAATTTGTAACCTCTTTCAGAGTAAAGGCTCAACACCTTATAAAGGAAGCCAACATACCAGACACCGACACTGCTGACAGCTATGGGTCCAATTGTCTCCACTTCGATACAGCTTGTGACCATTTTGGTCTAAACATTGACTTGTGACTCTGGTGTCACATTCTGGGCAACAGAATAGGTCAGCACTTGGATTCTGGCAATCACAAGCTGTCCGTCGGCAGAATATCTTGCCATCCTGTTTAGAAATGAAGTTAAGGAGGTTTCATCATTTAGGACATGATGGACAGCTACACTAAGAGAAATGAACTTCTTGGATGTTTGGTCACCCCCTGGCCACCTCTCATTCTGTTCAAAACTGAAGCACACATGTGTGTTCACACAAACACACCCTTTCTTTCCCTGATTTTGCTTGCAGAGCAGAAAAAATAAAAATAGGAACATTTTTAAGTTTAACAAAAAGTCAACATGTTTTTTGAAAATCTTTTTCAAAGGGGTTCTTAAAAATCGTATTTCTAAGTAAGAATTATAAGTAAGCAGCTAAAAATGCATATATGATCAATAAGTCATTTGAGTGGAAAATCATGCTCCTGTATTTCCATGCTACCACTTAACATATTCAAATACATTCATCTAACTATATCCCTGTCCCAACCGTGAAAGGAAGTCTGATTATGCCCTTTATACAGAAAATTAACGTAGACCCAGAGAGGCTAAACCACTTATCCAAGATGACATAGTTAGGTAGTGGTTCTCCAAGCAGCACCACCAATTGTTATGGTCTCAAAATATTCTTTGGCAAGATCGCCTTAAAGTTGTGTACTACAGGGGTGTATAATAAGGTGCCTCTTTCCACCTTATGGCAGTTCCCCATATTGTAAGCACAGTACAATTTTTGAAGTATTGTCTTTGAGGATTCATAGCTATAAAAAATTGAAAGTCAGCAGCACTTAAGCAGTAAGAGTAAACATTTTGCAGCATGTCTTTTTTTTATGTCTGTTGCTTACAGTAATTTCTTAAACAATGTTCTTCATTGCTGAAAATTTAAGGTAAGACCTGTCTGTCATCACCATTCATGCTAATAACTAATTTGCTGAATATTTTAAAAAACCAAAGAGTCTCAGGGCTGCAAGTTACCTTAAAGAACATATAACCAAGCCTCCTGACCTACAGTTGAGGTCATATTCAACTGCTGAAGTGCTTGAGGCTCTCAGTCTTGGATTCATCACTATGGAGAGAATTCAGTGTGCATCTCTGTACATGTTATAATGTAAAAAATCAGACTTCTCATTACTTCTATCCATTGACCCGAATCCATACCTTCAGTAATAACAGAACTCCAAACACTTTGTCATGTTTCAATTCTTCAGTTTTTAGAAGACAGCTCTTATGTACTCACTGAGATGTTTCATCTCTGGGTAAACACCTCTAACTTCTTGACCAGTCCCCATCATTTATAATCCTTTCACTGTCATAGTTGCCTTCTCTTTCAATGGTTTTAAGTATATATCATCATCATCATCATCATCATCATCATCATCATCATATTCTACCATGTATTTAATACTTATCTTGTGTCATGCATTGTGCAGAGGCATTTACATGCATGATCACATTTAATCCTGATAATTTGTGGAATGCGAATGTATCTCTCTATTTCTCAAATGAGGTAGCTGAGAGAGAACTAAATAGAATTATTCAGCAATGGTCTTTGAAGAAAGAGTGAATTGAATTTAATGCTCACCTTGTTTTAAGTGTTGTAGTTTCTTTAATGCAGGCTTTTTTTTCAATAAAGTCATGTGCCACACAATGAAATTTTGGTCACTGACATACTACACATACAAAAGGTGGTCTTATATAATTTTAATGAAGCTGAAAAATTCCTGTCACCTAGTGACATCGCAGCCATTATGTAATGCACTGTATTACTCATGCATGTGTTTGTAATGATGCCTGTATAAACAAGCCTACTGAGCTGCCAGTTGTATAAAAATATACACCTACAGTCATTTATAGTACATACTGCTTGATAATGATAATAAATGGCTAGGTTACTGGTTTATGTATTTAGTATACTATCTTTTTTAATCATTATTTTAGAATGTATTCTTCCTACTTATAAAAAAAAAAAAGAGATAACTAAAACAGCCTCAGGCAAGTCCTCAGGAGGTATTCCAGAAGAAGGCATTGTTATCATAAGAGATGATAGCTCTGTGCGTGTTATTGTCCCTGAAGACCTTCAAGTGGGACAAGACATGGAGGAAAATATGGAGGTGAAAGACAGTGATATTGATAATCCTGACCCTGTGGAGACCTAGGTTAAGGTGTGTTTTTGTGTGCCGGTTTGAAAAAAATGTTTAATAAGTTTTAAAAAATTAGAAAAAGCTTATAGAATAAGAATATAAAGAAAGTATTTTGTACTGCTGTACAATGTGTTTGTGTTTTAAACTAAGTGTTATTACACAAGAGTCAAAAAGTTACAAAAATTAAAAAGTTTATAAAGTAAAAAGTTACAATAAGCTAAGGTTAATTTATTGAAGAAAAAAAATCTTTTTCAAAATTTAGTGTAGCCTAAGTATACAAGGTTCATAAAGGTACAGAAGTGCACAGTAATATCCTAGGCCTTCACATGCACCCAACATTCACTCACTGACTCACCTACCATAACTGCTAGTCCCGTAAGCTCCATTCATGGTAAGTGTTCTATACAGGTATACCATTTTTTGTCTTTTATATGTATTGTTATTGTACCTTTTCTACGTTTGGATATACAAATACTCACCACTGTGTTACAATTGCCTACAATACTAAATATAGTATCATGCTGTCCAGGTTTATAGCCTAGAAGCAATAGACTATACCAAATAGCCTAGGTGTGTAGCAAGCTATTCCATCTAGGTTTGTTTAAATATACTCTATGATGTTGATACAGTGATGAAAAAGCCTAATGACTCATTTCTTAGAATGTATCCCTGTCATTAAGTGATGCATGACTGTATTTACTTCTTTGACTATGCCATAGTGTTGGCTAATATTGAGCTTAATGAAGACTAAAACCTCATTAAGCCTTATCTCATCTTGGGCAGTTGGCTGTTTAGGGGCAGCAAGTATACAACTTGATGTTTATCTCTGTTGCATTTCATATTGTTAGATCTATTTCATCTCTTCTTCCTGTCACAATGCTTTGCAAATGTTATTTATGTCATTTACTATAGCTCACCGTCCTTCACAGCTTAGTGACATCTGAAAACTTGATGGACTTGCCCTCAGGGTCTTTATCTACTTTATCCACAACAACGCTGAATAATCAGACAGGACTTGCTGAGATGTTTTGTGTCAGCTAAAGTGGAAACCTTAAAAGCTTTATATTCTTTAAGGAGAATGGAAAGGAGACATGCCAGCTACATATATAACAACAGGTTGAAAAATGTATCGTGTGCATTGGCTCTTTTACTATACAAATAACAAGAAATCATAGTGTTCCAAAAATATCAAGAGATGAAAGATTATACACACACACATATACATTTGCATGTGTATGCAAACATGTGTATATAGAGAGCAAGCAAGAGACTCTATATTTTAGCAAGTGAATTCAATCAGAGAATCCAGCTAGTCAGGACAAGGAAGTGTCCTGATCCTAGGAATTTCCCAACAATAGGCCTTTGGTTTACAGCTCATATACCATTATTTTAACTCAGTAATATATTTTGCTTGTGTCACCATGGCCCCAAATGACTCCCTGAAGACTTACTTTAACCAACAAAAACTAAGCAAAGTAATGATAGCTACAACACAAAACCATTTGATCAGCTCAGCTTCCAATGGCACACTATCACTCTTCCCAAGTGTAGAAGGATCATGCCTTAGGAACCAGCATGTCTGTGTCTGTGGCTGGCATCAAACAAAAGGATAAATTCTTTCAGAAAAGGTCGCTGCACAACAGGCTATGAGACTCAATAAGAATGTCAGTTTTCTTCCTATGTGCTGATTAAAAGAATGAATAAGAATAAATGGATAGCCTCCAGGGTTAGTGCAAAATAAAGCAATTTCATATCTCATCAATTATGTGAAAATGCCAAATAGGCCCCTCTTAGCTTCTAACGTGTTTCAGAACAATGGCAATGTTCACTTTGCCTTTGAATTACAGGGTAACTGTCAAGAAAATCATTTTTAATAATGAAAATGTCACAGGTGACTCCATTAATACAATGAGAATGCCATTATAAAACATCAGCTCACAGAGCACAATCACACTAGAAACTAAATTTGGGGAGAGTATGGAGCTCACTGATGATAAGTAATCCTTTTATCAGAGATCTTTGAGGCTGTTTCCAGAGCTTGATCTCTATCCTAACTTGGGTGGTTTGAACAATCCCTACTTATATGCCAAAGATGTATTTTTGCAATCTTCTGCCACAGAAGCTGTTTTGATGCAATTTTATACTGCAAGTTCAATGATAAGCAATTAATAATTATTCTAATATTTAAATTGCTTCTGAATTTTAAAAAGCAGGGAAATAAAGTTTCCTATCTGGTAAAAAAAATACATTTTTTCTTATGCCATAAAAATATTATAGGTTTTTTGCTATTAATTACAAATTTTAATATGGAATAGTCAGTATTTCAGTAATATTTCAGTATTTCAGTCAATATATCAGTAAATACTGATATATTTACTCCAGATTACATAATATCACTCATTTTTTTTCTGCCATAGAGTTTTGAAACTTTTAAATCAAGAAGGTGGACGTAGGTCAGATTATTTCTGTAAAACAGTAATATAAACTTTGGGTTGGAAAACGGATGCCCACGGTACAAATTCAACCTGATGCCTGTTTTTGTAAATGAAGTGTTATTGGAACACAAGTTCCCTTGTTCATTTACATTTTGTCTGTGGGTCTTTTTCACACTGCAATGGCAGAATTGAGTATTTGGGACAGAAGCTTTATGGTCTACAAAACATGAAATATTTACAACATGACTCTTTAAAGAAAAAAACCTTGCTGATGCCTGATATAGACTATGAAATTAGGGTTGGTAATCTAGACGCACCTATTCTACTTTCTCACACACAAATTGAGCTGTGATTTCCAATCTTTTTACAAAGTATTAATTTTGCCTTCAGGTCACAGCCCACAAACTGGTCTCTTAGTCCTAACACCTGGGGTAGAAACACATTTAGCAGTCATTTTATCCAGTTATCTCATTTTAATGAAGAGGAAACCAAGCCCAGAGAGGCAAATGCCTTTTCCATGTAGAAAACTAATAACAAAACAGAAACTTATCCCTAACCTGAACTTTCATAACAATGATTTTCCACTGTGATGCACCTTTTGTATCGTGAGGAGGCTAGGGGATAGGAAAAACTAATTTTAGATAAAGTGATATCAGAAGTATTCTTGGGGCAAAAGTTTTCAAAGTGGCAGTCCTCAAACCAGCAGCATTACCATCTCCTGGGAACTACTGAAAAATGCAAATTCTTGCACCCCACCCCAGATCTACTGAACCAGAAAATACTGAGGGTAGAGCCAGTGATCAAAGTTTCACAAGCCCTGCAGGTGATTCTGGTGCAAAGCTTCAAAATCATGGAGAAAAAACATCACCCAGTCAGATGGGGAGGTAGCATGGTGTAACGTTCAAGCTCCTGCAAGGTCAAAACAGGGTTTTGAACACTACCACAGGGGAAAGAGTCAGGGAAATAGAAAGAGACGCCCTGTTCCTTTACAGGACCCCTAGAGTTTTGAGTGCCAAATGAAACCTACCAATAAGTTCCTCTTTCCAAGGAAAAGAAACACAATCTTACAGCTTGCACAGCTAACTCCAACCATCAAAACCACCACAGACAGGAAAATATTTATAATGCTGCTAGTTGGGTTCAAAGAGCAAGGCAAAGCATTTTTATGAGCAGTTTGCTGGAATTCAGAAAGTTTGCTTCTATCCTGGCCCCAGGCACAGACCAGACTGTTCCCTGGCTTCTTCCTGTGAGTAAGTCCTATTCTTAGGAAGGCAGAACCAGTATGCTGACTGCTCCTTGTGGATCAGATTCTTTCCTCCTTGCCAGAAAGAGATACATGAGTTCTTGAGAGTGTCGCTGGCATGACCATCTTCAGTTTCTGGGAATAGGTTTACATAAACCAGATCAGATGGCCATGATTCCAGACAATCTCATGAAAAAGGTCTTCTTCACTTTGACTTTCCTTTCCACGGTAATTCATCCCTGACTTTATTATAACATGGAATACTGTTATACCATAAATACTGGCTATTTATGGTATCCCTTTCCCTACTCATCTCTAAACCCCAGAAAAACTCAAGAACTAACACTGCTCAAGTCTTTAGTATTACTTTGTTTTCACGATGAAGGCTACTCACATTTTTTAACTGCAAGAAATCATAGAAACACTATCTGGCCTTCATAGTTCGCTCTCTTCCTCCCACTAGATTATCCAGTTACTACTCAAAATAGTATAGGTATAAGTGTACATGTAGGTATAGATGTAGTAGTATACAAGCCCAACTTGCAGACCCTGGTTCTTACTCTTATGTAATGGCACCTGAATCCTGTTCACCTGAGAAAATGGGCAGCTATGTCTCAAACATGCTACTCAGGAGCTTTTTTTTGCCCAGAGAATAGGGAAGACATTACCACAGACACTAAGTCTCTAGCATCATCAGTCATCAGGAC
This sequence comes from Homo sapiens, assembly GCF_000001405.40. NCBI lineage: Eukaryota > Metazoa > Chordata > Mammalia > Primates > Hominidae > Homo > Homo sapiens. Next base: position 21,564,313 of record NC_000011.10, on the reverse strand, counting down.
CCATTTTTCACTTCTGCATTTTCTCCCATTAGATGTTACTTCTCTATCCCTCTTTCAGGTTTTCATCTTTACTCCTCTGAACCTTTACCTCAGCCTAAGTGATTTCTTTCTAGTTAGCTTCTATCTGCTCAGGTCATCCATCATGCTGTCAATCAGACCTTGACTGGGCCCTGCCAATTCCAAACGTAAAATCTCTTACGATCATTTGCTGCCCACAGGATGAAGTCTAAATCCCGTGGCCTGGCTCTGTCTTCAGCCTTAATCTCCTGGCTCATCATAATCTCCTGGCTCATCAGTGACTATACCCTTCTTATACTCTTTTTGTTCCTGATATTTTGAGCTCATGATTCACTTCATATTTCTAACACAACATATATTCTTACACTTCCTCATCTTTGTTCTTACAGTTCCCTCTTGTTTGGGATTCACCTTCCCCTACATCTCTACTTGATTAAATTCCTCATCCTTTAAGGGCCCCTTCAAAGATCACCTCCTCTGTGAAAGGCTTTCCGTATTCACTTCTGCATCTTCCCAGAGTAGAGCATTCAGTCGTCCCTCAGTATCTCTGGGGGATTGGTTCAAGGACCTCTGCACAGATACCAGGATCTGCAGATGTTCAAGTCCCTTATAAAATGGCATAGTATTTGCATATAACTGCATAGTATTGCAAACCACCTATGCATATCCTCCCATATACTTTAAATCATCTCTAGATTACTAATAATACCTAATAGGGTAAAAATGAAATATTTATATTTTTAATTTAAATTTGCATTATCTTTGTTTTTTAAATACTTTTGATCTGGGGTTGGTTGAATCCAAGAATGTGGAACCAACAAATACAGAGGGCAGACTATGCTTCCCCTTTCTGTGTTCCCACAGCAAATTGTTCATAGCTCTACCATATATGACAAGTGGTTAGTTGTTTGTGTATCCATTTTCATCTTCATCTCCATGATCTGCAACATAAACACAACTACTCACACTAAAATACTACATTTCCTAGAAACGAATAAGCTGGGGACGTCTCTACCTTCCCATGTAGCACAGGCTGAAAATAAAGATGTCTTCCTAAAGTCCTAGACAAATTTATGAATGGAAGAGCCACAGATGGGTATCTATGAAAAGACGCTGGGCTGTAACCAAGATTTATGGATCAATCCCAGAGAGACAACCACTTTTCATCTGGGTTCCTGTGGTCTAAATAATGCTGGAGGGACATAAGTTTTAAGCTGTGCAGCAATCTTTCTGTACCTAATTAACTAGGTGTCTAAAGATGCACAAAAACATTGTCACTGCCAAGGAAGTACATAGAATCTAAACAAAAGCCCAAATCCATTTATGCTAGCCTAGCTTCATCATTGAACTCTATTCATCTGTGGACATGTTTCAAGGCCTTTTTATCAATTACCATGAAACACTAGCAGCTAAGCTGGTGTACTGACTCTCAAAGGGGAAAGTAGCCTTTTAAAAATTTTAACTCTATTTCCTTCAGCAGTAAGTCTTGACCTTTTGTTGGTTTGTGTAATTCTGCTGTTGCATAATTTGACGGCATTTAAATCTGAAACATCAAGGATATGATTGAAAAGATAGTACTTTATATCCCAACCTTGATTTTATTACTTAGCTTCCAAGATGATGCCATTATAGTCACCCATTTGGATGTGTAAGTATTGGAGGTATTTCTTATCAAATTGAATTGAAACAGAGCATTTTCAACTTCAAATAATAGAAACAAGGAGGGCCACAAACAGTTCATTTTATAATGGTGACTTACAGAATCTGATTTAGGATGCTTAATTCAGCTCCTAAACCAGGCTGTCTTCCCCCTCCACAACCTCTGGGAAACTGTGCTATAAATGGGCAATGAGTACATGTAGAACACAAACAAACAAAAGATTTATGTACAGAAATCTGCCTGTACTTTATTCAGAAATTGCAGTGCTTTGCAGTGAAGGTGCATCATATTAACAAAATTAGATTACAAGAATTGCTCATCCCCTGTGGAAATTTCAGTCTAATTCTCATAAGACTTTGGAAACACTTCAGGATTCAAAACAGAAGAAATCAATATACGTTGCTTGGATTATTAATACAGTTAATTAAAGAAGCTCTGGGAAATTTTCAATGATTAGTAAGTTCCCTGCTTCATCATGGCTTAAATAAAACAAAAACTGAAAGAAGAATTTTACTCTCATACTAATCAAGACTCCACTAATGTCCTTTGCCTATTCCAGGGACTGGGGACCTAGAAAGCCCAAAAAGGATGTGAGGATATGTAATGATCATCCTCAAAAGTTTAATAACACAATAGTTTCTTGAAATGACCTAGCAAAGAATTCACCCCCATTCTGCTGGCTGAATGGGAGACCTAATTACCATCCTCTTCCATGAGGAATTATGGAAATATTCTAACCCACAATGAGATTTGTCTTCTCTTAAAAATTTTTGCCCTTTGAGTCAGCACCATGTGGTTAAATATTATACTTAATAACTTCAAAACCCCTTGAAGGAATGTCTCACCAGTCACTTACATACAAGGAAGTACATGGAATCTAGTTGAAAGTCAAAAGTCTGAGTTGAAAGTCTGAGCTCAGTCAAGTTAGATTACCAGTTACCTAACTGGTTTTAAATATACCAATAAATATCATCGTAGAGTGTTACAAGACATCTGACAAGATGGAAAAACTATGAACTTTGAGCCAAGCAAGTGGAGTTCAAGTCACAGCTTAGACATTTATATCTTTAACATTTAGGGCAAGTTACTTTATCCCATGGAAATTCAGTTTCATTGTCTTTCAAAGTAGTGCTGTAAGAAGTAAACATGATGCAGCTTTTTTGAATTATAGGGTGGCTGAAATATAGCAGGTGCTCCAATAAGGGAAAACAAACCTAGATTGGAGTGTGGGAAACTAGGTTTATGTGAAAGGGGAAAAAATAGGTGTTGGGGGTAATGATCTAGCACTTGATAATGTGGCCCTCCTAACTAGGTGGCCCCAGGTCTGTGGATGTGTGGCAGATGAAGGCAAGTGGATGAACTGGATGATTTCTTAAGGCTCATTTCAGCTCTGTTTCAGCAGACTGGGAATTTATCAGGAGACTTGGCTAAGAGGCTACTAAGCAAGTAATTTATCTTGGTTCCCATGCACATAAAGCTCAAGATTAAATAGTCCCATCCCAACAGACATAGACATACCAGGCAAGAGCTACAGTAGAGCAATAACAAAGGAAAATAAATAGGCAAGATCAATAAAAGAAGAAATAAAGCACAAAGAGATCAAACAGTTTAATAGACCCATTTTGCAAAGCATAAAGCAAAACCAAATGATGACAGAATTTTATTTTCATAAGCATTAAGCTCACTTTCCAACAACTTAATATAAGGAATGGCCCAGCACTGAGAATAACAAAGAAGACATCAATTTCTAAGAGGCCTCATACTATCATTATCATTTGTTCAAAATGAAAATCCACCTGTCTCAGCACTGGATGCAAGTCTGTTGGCCTTGCTTTTCTAGATGATGTCATAAAGTGAGCAAGTTCATGCAGGTGGTTATTTTAGGCAAAGAGTAGTTTTAATCAGCAAGTTTGTATAAGCGTGGGATGAGGGCTCATTAAAACTCTCACCCAACCAACCTTAAAAGCACTGTAGGCTTTCAGTGGGAGGACTATCATTGGCTTTTCTACCCTGCTTCGCCTTCCCTGCAGTTCCTTCTCAATCTCATACCTCACTTTCCACTAAGAACACAATCAATTCAAAGCAGGCTTCCCTACCCCTTAGCATCATCATTAGCTGTAATGTAGATAAGAACAGGAGAAGCCTGTTCAGGAACTACAGTCAACAGCAAGAGGGAGAGAGCTGGGGAGGTAGAAAAGTGAGGGAAGAAGAGAAAGAACAGTTTCAATTTCTGCTGCACCACATCAGCCTCACCTTGCAGGAGCAGACAGAACACCTGTCTTCTTTCAAGGTCCACACCTGGCCATTGTGCTTCAGCCCCCCTTCATGAGGACAGTCACCAGAGCAGGAGGGCCCAGAGGGGCAGAGACAGTCAAAGCCCCCTGCCAGGTTGATGCAGGCAGAATCGTTCCAACAGGTGTGAGTTCTTAAGGCACATTCATCAATGTCTGCAATATAGGAAGCACAGAAGCTTAGAATCTAGCCAAGGGAACTTAGAGAACAAACAACCATCATTTGCAGTAGCATTAACTAACATCATCGACCATTTACCTTGTGCTAGGTACTGCCAAGCTGTTCACATGTATTATCTCATTTACACTGCAAGTCAGTTCTGCTCTGTGTGGGAGATCTGTCCTTATTCCTATTCTGCAAATAATGAAGCTGAGGTTCATAACTTAAATAACATGACCACTGTCATAGAGCTAGTAAGTGGCTGATCTGAGACCCAAATCTACAGCTAGCTCCCAGACTCTAATTACTAAAATATCCAGTAGCAGTTAGCAAGTTCTTTTAGGATATTCTTAAGAACGATTTCATCCAGAGGCCATAAACACTGTTAATTCATTAACAGTATGCACACACCACCATGGAGATCTGAGTCTTTTAGAAAAGATGTGAATGTATTAGCCACTGAGTAGGAACAAGTGGGCAATTTGGGCAACCTTGAGACAATCAGATTGCTCCTAGATCCTACCACCAAAGTTGAAGGAAGTGGGAACAATTCTTGATAGGTGTCTTTTATAGTCAAAGTCTTACTATCCTTATGGCCAGCAGAATATTTGCCCGTGCATAAAAAATAATTGCTATATGGATGGATGCTGATGAAAGACATAAATATATTGTCCTGCTCTTTATTGACAGCCAACAATGGAATAAAAACATAAATCCAGTCGGCCGATTCTGACATTTAAAGCTTGAGCGACCTTAACAACATCTCAAACACAAACCTGTCCAACCCTGGCTTAAGTCCTTCCCCAAAAGGCAATCCATTACCTTGCAAAATACCTGACTCCACCTTTGGATAACTCTTTTGGAAATGTCTCCCTTAAATTGAGATGAAATATACTACCGAGTAACTTCTACTCATTTGTAGAAGTACTGATACTTAGTGTCTGAGGCCATTGAATAAGTGTCTACTAGTCTACTTGGTTTTGGTTTACCTGCTATGCACAAGTTTCTTTGCACATGGTGCAATACAAAGCAGATGACATTAAGAAATTCTAATAATATTTCTAGAAGTTACTTTTTTCCAAGATCTAATTTTTGGCTTTGTCTTACCAATTTTAGCTTTAGTCAAGACATTTCATTAGTGAACAATGATTTCTCCTTTGAAAATTATAGAAAAGATCCCAAATTATGATGCCTGTATGGTAAGTCAACTAAAATCAAGCCTCACTATATCTCCTCACTGTTACTAGTCATGCCCATCCCATTCTCAGTGTATTTCTATTTGAACATATGGTGCTCCTTTCATATAGCCTCTCTTATCTCTTCAATCTTCTTTCAATTCTCTTATTCTTCTCAACTAAAAGGAGTTTTAAATGTGGGAGTCTGGTGACCAATGTTTGAAACCAAGCTCTTACTTTTTAGTTGAGTGCTTACCATGTATTAGTCATTTTACACGTAACAGTTATATATTCTTTGACATGTTACTTTGTTTTTCTCTCATTTATCTTCTATATACACTATACCCACTCAATGTATGGTCTTCCAAAAATTTTAAACCCAGCATAGCATATAAATGCCATCTAATACTGCAATTGTTATCTCTTGTCCCCTCCCTTTTCATTCAAAAGCAGTGAATACAAAATTTCAGTTAAATAGAAGGAATAAATTCAAGAAGCTCTATTGTCAAACATGATGACTGTAGTTAATAACAAGGTATTGTATGCTTGAAAATTGAGAATATTTTTGTCACAAAAAAGTAAGTGTATAAGGTAATATATATATATATATTATGTAGCTTGATTATTTAGCCATTCCAGAATGTATTCCTATTTCAAAACATCATGTTGTACACCATAAATATATATAAAATGTATTTGTCAACTGATTTTTTTTTAAAAAGCAACGGGAGATCCACAAAGAGGCCATATTGTTTCCTATGAAACAACTGTGTCTTAGAACATGCTTTCTTTTATTATGAGAGTACTCTCTCTCTTTCCCTACTTTTTCTTGTCCTATAGGGAATGAGGTGAGGTATCAATCAATTAATTGATAAGCACTTTCCTTCCTGTACTACTTTCACTCCTACGCAGTCTTAAAAATTCAGGTTAAGCCTCACCATCTCTTATATGGCAAGACAGTCACTACAGATTTTTTGCTTTCTCTGTACCTTATACACAATTCTATCCTGCATTCCTCTCTCAGGAGTTACGTGTTTAACTTGTCTACCTCCAGAGAGAGTGAGCTCATTGAGGGCAGACACTAAATTTTATTTTTCTTTCTCTTCCCAGTGCTGAGTATAACAGAATACTATATGGATATTCGATGTATTTATTCCATTTAACTTTCTTAGGAAATCCACAGACTGAGACTATTATAATGCCTACTTTGCCAAAACTCGGTCTTTAGAGTGTTCAACAAGCATAAGGCATAATCACAACCCTGCCCTTCAGGGAACACATTTTGTTGTTGAGTTCTCATCTGTGAAGGCCCTTGGGTCTAATTTAAAGTAGAAAAAATACAGCAAATTAGCAACCACATTGAAGAAGGGGCAATGCCCTGCCCCTTCCCCAGGAAAAAACTTTTATTTTCTGTCAAATGCTTGAGAACAAGGGCAGAGGAAGCATTAACAAATGGCTCCAGAAATTGTCTGGAAGTATAACTTCAACCCATCCACCACCAGTGGCTACAAAAGGGTTGGTAATTTATGGCTTTCTCTAAAAAATATCTACATTGACAACTAATGCCCAGCTATATTATGCTTTTAAAATATTTGGTTATTTTGCATTTACAAAGTTGCAAATATATTGGTAGTGATTTTCTCTCATAAATTAAGAAGGCTGAGCATAAAGATAAACATACCTATTGTGCACAATAAAAGCAGGGCGCAAAACCAGGATTTGCTTTCACTTCTCCAGAATGAAAAGATTTCACAGTTGAATATAGGACCATATTGCCTACAGAGTTCCATGTAATTGCTTTACTTATGACACAGAAATCTAATTCTGTTTCCATGCAATTTAGCAGATTTATGGAAAGCCAGATGTTAGCAATTATGGAAACCAACATTATTCATATTCTTAGTAATACAGACCTGTTTGCTCTGCACAAAGCCAACTTAATCTATTATACATATCCCAAGGCAGCCAACGGGAAGAGGCACCCTATTTACATATTGCAACTGTTGTTCTCTGCTGAGCAAACACAAAGTTATTCACCCGTGAGACTTACCCAAATCATCAGACAGGCCTCCCAATGACAAACAGGCAATGAAAGAAAAATTACACGAAGTATTTGAGTATTTCGTACTCAAATCTATTATCATTAGAATGTACTTGTTTTTCTTATTGTAAATAATGGCTGGCTGTGATCTCTCTGTGTTTCTTCTTATAAATTCATTATTTAAATGCTTCATGCTCGAATGAAATATTTTTTCAATAAAATTCCATGGCTAAGCTTGCATTAGAACTAATTTTCTTGCATTAACATTTTCACAATTTCTGAAAGCTGTTATTATTGTACTCAGTTTTGCTCTTTAAAACAATCTAGTTGTGCCAAGTCAATCTGCTTTCATCTTTGATGTGAGGTTTTTAGGTTACTTGGGCATGTAAGAAAATAGAATTCAGAGATGTTTATAACAGCAGCAATCAAACCAATCCTAAACTAGCTGCAAACAATTTTCCTACCCTTCAAGCCAAATGGCTCTGCAGAAATTTTTAATAGCATAACCACTGTATTAGTACTTGCCTCAGGAGCTAATACTTCTACAGGTTGATTTCAGAAATCAAAGTAAACATTTTACCAACAGTTTGGTAACAGGTCAAAGCAGTGAACTTTTTCATTACCCCATATTCCTCTTTCTTGAATAACTTTGACAGCACATCTAGTCTTATTTTCAAACTCAAAACAGGTGATGTGTCAGAAACAAAAGTTTACCCAGCGTTTGAATATACAGCTGTGTGTGTGTGTTCCTACCTGGAAATCATTATGAGTGGCTCAGAAATGAGAACAGAGCTTGGGGGTTCATTAATGACAGACAGTCTAGAGAACAGATCCCTCTCCAATATCTAAAGCAGTATTGCTTTTTTTACAGTGGCAGAGAGAAAATTATGGGGGAAAATATACACACTACACGTTAGCAAAATAAGTAAAATAAGTAGCGAATCTGAAGTCTGATGTAACTTGCAAAATAAAAGGCTAATGAAATTTTAACCTGCACAATAAATTTCAAATCCAGGCTAAGCGGTGGCAGCCATGCTCTATCATGTGCTGGCCATACCACACTTGGATATTGTGTTCCCTTTAGCACACAGACTATGAAGAATGAGGTTGACACAGTTAGAACACATCAGAAGAGATCCATTAGCGTGATGAGGAGCTCAAACTCATCTCACTTTGGCAAAACACAGGATGTTCAGCCTGAAAAGACAAAGACTAAAGGAAGAGATAAGTTAGAGATAGCTTCATCTATTTGAGATGCTGCTATGTATCTTTTAGGAAGAATTTTCAATACCCCTTTAGCATTAACTCTTCACTCACTGTTCCAGCCCCAAACCTTTCCTGAGTCAGGAAGAAACCCTTTCCTATGGTGTTCCCTTGTTTGGTGTATAATTTTCTTACTCTGCAATGACTCTTCCCCTTTCTTTTAATTAAGGAGACTCTCTTTTGACAAAGGAAAAATATAACACTGTTTTGGCTCACTATTTCCTTGATCCAGATTTTATTTCCTAGTATCTACAATTAGCAACTATCCGCATTTACTCATTTTCATTCTCTCCTGAATGTGTGCAAGCTTCCGTGGGACCCTCTTCTCGAAGGCTAAATCTTGAAGTCTCTCATAACCACTAGTTTGCAAAATCATCACCCTTGCTTAAAAAGTATTATAACAAATATTGTTATTGATTATTTCAGTCTAAGAGCTCTCTCTGTGACCCTTCTGGAATATAATATTGCCCTCTTCATCCTATTATCTCTTCATTATCTAGTCACTAGTACTCATCAATGAATAAATGAATTCCCTGCATATTTATTTAACATCTACTCTATGCCATTAACATCTACTCTATGCCAGATACACTGCTAAGTGCTGGAGATACAATGGGCAAAGAAGCCAGATATGGCCCTGTAAGTATTGACTTTATAGTTGTCTCTCATTTTAAAAAAATATTTGTATATCCTAAGTTTCCACGTCTGGTCCTTGTTTCTCTTTCTCCTTAGTGGAAGAAGTATAGCATACCAATTGAAAGCTTAACCTTTGTAATCCAGAAACTGCGGATACCAGTTTGCCTGGCACTGAGGGAGTTCCTGAGATAGCTGACTTTCAGTGCTAAAACTGAGAAAGTTCCAGCCCCATAGGGACAAGTGAGTCAACTCTGTCCCAGTCCATCCCTGCAATTTATTAGTTGTACGACTCTAAAAATTTACCTAACATCTCTGAGTCTTGGTCCCATTATGTAGAAAAATGTAGATAAAAATATACTCCATAGAATCATTTGGGTAAATACATAACGATATGCTTGTCATGTAATAATTGCTCAAAAATGATTAGTCACTATTATTGTTGGTCTTGTTCCTATTGTTTCTATAATTTTTCTCTCATACATTTAATCTCATTTAATGAATTTCACTCTCCCATCTCTTCAGGACAGATACTCAAATATACTCAAATCTGTACCACCACTCCTGATCTCTTATGATGCAACCAGCCCACACATTCATCGATTTGCCAAGGATTTCCACGTGAATTCTGATTCTCACATGAATTCACATGGTTTTGATTAGTACATTGGCTAGCCATACCCAGAAATGTTAACATTAAAAGCTTTCTCTGAGCCTTAATCTGATGTTAAGTGAAACATGTTGAAAAACATAATTTTCTTACACTCCATGAACTTGCTTTGGTCACTAATTACATTTTATTTATAGGATGTACAAATTTAGGTGTTTTACTGTAGACGAAGAAAAGTTTCTTCTAAATTAATCAAGTTGGTTTACTTTCTGCTATGAACAAGTCATACTTCTTTAACCAGTGATTAAATCTGCTTAAAATCAATACAGTTCTGACCAGCAGAGAGAATAAATAAAAAATCCATAAATACTGAAATACTTGCTGTTTAAACAGAGTTTTACTGCACAGAGGCTACAGTATTGATGTCAACAACCCACGATTTATATGTTTTTACATATCTGCTTATGAGTAGGAGGGTGGTTTGTATTATTGCTGCAGTCTACTAAATGACTAATACCCAGCTATACACACTGTATTGTTATAGCCATTATATTGTTTAATGTCTTTAACAAAATTTCATCCTTTGCTGAAAAGAATTACTTTCCCTGTATTTTAATTTTATGCTGCCTATGTTGGCTTTATGTTTTCTTGTATGCTTAGCTGTAAGCATTCTATCTTTTCTATCTTCCTTACCCATTCACATTTGTAAGATTCTGGTCTTATCTTTATGTCTCTCATAGCAGCTTTTACAGTGTCTTTCACCTAATAAGAAATGCATAAACATTTGTTAAGTTTAGATTTGGTGGAGCTGTGGTTGAAAAAGAACCCTTGCTTTTGGATGGCCCCAGGCTTCTCTTTGGTAAAATTTAGGAGCTATATAAAATGTTTTCTAAGATCTTGTCCATTTCCAATTTGATATGATTACTTTTCACCTCTGTAAGGCTGAGCTTGTAATTCAAGTTTTAGAATATGAGTGGTGACAGAATAAGAGCAGGTTAGAGGTGAAGGAAAGAACTAGTTTTGGGATAACAAATGCATTTCTTAGAATTAAACAGTTCTCTTGGACATTCCATAATTATTGAAACATTTCTGCTCTCCCTTAATGAGTATTTACAAGCAAGTGCCAATGAGAGGAAGCAACAAAGGAAGAAGTATGTTTTTCCTGTCTGCACTGAAGCCTTGGCAATGTAATCCTCGGTGACAAATACACATGGGGAATCCAGCCAAGGTGAAAACCAAAACTAACTCTCTATTTTGACAGATCATTCTCTCAAGCAAGTTCTCAGATGAGGAATTATTTCTTCTCTCTTCTGTGCCAAGGAAAGGTCTTAGTCACAGGGAGGTTACAAAGTAATTTCATTCACTACAAGAAGCATTCTGCAATTTACACAGAAGTCAAAGGTCTAAAAACATTGTCAATACAGCAATTCTCAAACCAGGTTTTAATGTAAACAAAGGAGGGTCAGATTACAGGAGCTAAGAATTCCAAGTCCTTTCATGCATATTATTTATTATTTCCTTTCACTGCCCTGTGTATTGTAGTTCCAAACTTCTAAGGGGAAGTCAAGGCTTTTCCAAAAACTATGCCCTAGTAGGGGAGTTAAGACATTGATCAAGGACAGTAATTTGAACCACCATTCCAAGAAGGGCAGCATCTGCAGAGAAGAAAAACAAGCTAATTAATGAAGCTTTATTTGATCTCATGGTGTCTTTTCTTGGAAGATTTTATCCCTTTGAATCTTGATCCTCTCTTCATATTTCTTCTATAAAATGCTAAACAAACAACTGGTTCGGTAAAATAGCTCTGGGGCTGCCCCCTAATTTGAAAGGAAGATTCTCTGAAAAGATCTGTAAGGCTTTTCTGGGGACAAGGGAAAAGGAAGCACAGAGTAGGAGACTTGAGTCCACTGCTCTAGACTTTGGAGGATCAAATTCTCTTTATTTTAAATTTGTCTTTTTTTTCTGTGTTTCTTACCCTAAGGGAGGTAAAATCATATAAGCCAAACTAAGTTGGTTTCCAAGGAAAACCAAAGTAGGTCACTAACAAAGATCCTATCCATGACTGAACACTAGTCAGACTCCTCTGAGCAGACTCTCTGATAAATGATTTTGTCTACTCCATTCACCAACCCTCATTAAAAGACTCAAACAAACATTAACTTTTTTATTATTATTATTATACTTTAAGTTTTAGGGTACATGTGCACAATGTGCAGGTTAGTTACATATGTATACATGTGCAATGCTGGTGTGCTGTACCCATTAACTCGTCATTTAGCATTAGGTATATCTCCTAATGCTATCCCTCCCCCCTCCCCCCACCCCACAACAGTCCCCAGAGAGTGATGTTCCCCTTCCTGTGTCCATGTGTTCTCATTGTTCAATTCCCACCTATGAGTGAGAATATGCAGTGTTTGGTTTTTTGTTCTTGCGATAGTTTACTGAGAATGATGATTTCCAATTTCATCCATGTCCCTACAAAGGACATGAACTCATCATTTTTTATGGCTGCATAGTATTCCATGGTGTATATGTGCCACATTTTCTTAATCCAGTCTATCATTGTTGGACATTTGGGTTGGTTCCAAGTCTTTGCTATTGTGAATAGTGCCGCAATAAACATACGTGTGCATGTGTCTTTAAAGCAGCATGATTTATGGTCCTTTGGGTATATACCCAGTAATGGGATGGCTGGGTCAAATGGTATTTCTAGTTCTAGATCCCTGAGGAATCACCACACTGACTTCCACAATGGTTGAACTGGTTTACAGTCCCACCAACAGTGTAAAAGTGTTCCTATTTCTCCACATCCTTTCCAGCACCTGTTGTTTGCTGACTTTTTAATGATTGCCATTCTAACTGGTGTGAGATGGTATCTCATTGCGGTTTTGATTTGCATTTCTCTGATGGCCAGTGATGGTGAGCATTTTTTCATGTGTTTTTTGGCTGCATAAATGTCTTCTTTTGAGAAGTGTCTGTTCATGTCCTTACAGCCAATATCATACTGAATGGGCAAAAACTGGAAGCATTCCCTTTGAAAACTGGCACAAGACAGGGATGCCTTCTCTCACCATTCCTATTCAACATAGTGTTGGAAATTCTGGCCAAGGCAATTAGGCAGGAGAATGAAATAAAGGGTATTCAATTAGGAAAAGAGGAAGTCAAATTGTCCCTGTTTGCAGATGACATGATTGTATATGTAGAAAACCCTATGGTCTCAGTCCAAAATCTCCTTAAGCTGATAAGCAACTTCAGCAAAGTCTCAGGATACAAAATCAATGTGCAAAAATCACAAGCATTCTTATACACCAATAACAGACAAACAGAGAGCCAAATCATGAGTGAACTCCCATTCACAATTGCTTCAAAGAGAATAAAATACCTAGGAATCCAACTTACAAGGGATGTGAAGGACCTGTTCAAGGAGAACTACAAACCACTGCTCCATGAAATAAAAGAGGATAAAACCAAATGGAAGAACATTCCATGCTCATGGGTAGGAAGAATCAACATCGTGAAAATGGCCATACTGCCCAAGGTAATTTATAGATTCAATGCCATCCCCATCAAGCTACCAATGACTTTCTTCACAGAATTGGAAAAAACTACTTTAAAGTTCATATGGAACCAAAAAAGAGCCTGCATTGCCAAGACAATCCTAAGCCAAAAGAACAAAGCTGGAGGCATCACGCTACCTGACTTCAAACTACACTACAAGGCTACAGTAACCAAAACAGCATGGTACTGGTACCAAAACAGACATATAGATCAATGGAACAGAACAGAGCCCTCAGAAATAATGCCTCATATCTACAACTATCTGATCTTTGACAAACCTAAGAAAAACAAGCAATGGGGAAAGGATTCCCTATTTAATAAATGGTGCTGGGAAAACTGGCTAGCCATATGTAGAAAGCTGAAACTGGATCCCTTCCTTACACCTTATACAAAAATGAATTCAAGATGGATTAAAGACTTAAACATTAGACCTAAAAGCATAAAAACCCTAGAAGAAAACCTAGGTATTACCATTCAGGACATAGGCACGGGCAAGGACTTCAGGTCTAAAACACCAAAAGCAATGGCAACAAAAGCCAAAATTGACAAACGGGACCTAATTAAAATAAAGAGCTTCTGCACAGCAAAAGAAACTACCATCAGAGTGAACAGGCAACCTACAAAATGGGAGAAAATTTTTGCAACCTACTCATCTGACAAAGGGCTAATATCCAGAATCTACAATGAACTCAAACACTAACATTTTTTCTAATGACTCAAGGTCACATCACTAGGATGGGAATTCCAAACCCCAAAAGTTTCTGCCTGGAAAAGGTAAAGGCTGCCAAAATAATTTACTGTTTATTTCAGCCAACACTTGAAAATAGGACCCCTCTCCTAGTCTCTGTGGAGGAGTTGAGTCTAACTTCCCTAAGTGCCACTTAACAAATTCAGATGGGCTTCATGGGAAAAACCTACCCTTTCAGCTTTTTGTAAATTCCACTTTCCTGACTCATGTTGAAGCCCCTGCCTCACTCTTTTTCCACTCTTTTATTCACCCTCTAAAACACCCAGTCATTTCTGCACAAATTGAAGTTCATTTCTGTTTACATTGGGCCCTCTTCCCTATTGCAATAATTTATTAGGGATTAAAATCTGTTCTTAACACTTTAGTGTCCACCTTTGGCAATCTTTCATATTACGTTTTTAAAATCTTTAATACTGCTGGTATCTTTAATGCCACTCAGGGTGCCAGATTACAAATAAAAAGATTCTGGCAGTTCATCCCTGGTTGAGCCCAGCTTATTAGGATAAATTACAGATGGGGGCCAATGTACTCATTAATAAGAAAAATGACTGCACTGAGAGTCTCTTTATAAATTCACTTTTCAGCAAATGTTGATTTGCTGTGTCAGACACCGTTCTAGGAATTGGGAATATGACAGCAAGTAAAACAGACACAATTCGTTCTCTTGGAAGGTTAAGACAATAGGAGGAAACAAACAACAGAATCATGTATCTTTCATGTATCTTCCTCAAGAACCTGCAGATGGTTTGCTATCCTGGCCACCCTAGGTACTTTTATTGAGTTATGATTGATTAACACATTTTGATATAACAGAGATTTATCTTTTTGTTATGCATAATAACAATACCTTAGTAAACTCTTATACATTATACTCTTTAGAATTTTCAAAACCATTTCAAACTCATGATCTAATTTGTCCTTGCAAAATACTCAGAATGTTTGTATCAACATCATTGCCACTTAACCAAACTGAGAGTCACTTAAATGATCACTGCTTCTCAAACATTTCTACCAAAGTTATCTCCATGGCAAAAAGAGTGAACACTCACTTGGAATCTTGGATATTCATAAACCCTGTTATGTATTAGTATAGAATATATTTGAAGTTTTATATTTCTATTTTAAAAATTATTTTTGTCTTCTAGTTAATAATATAGTCAGGATTGTTTATATAGAAATCATATTTTCCTGAAACCATGGAGTACAGTAAAATTCCTTTCCTGCTTTTGTGTTATCTTGTATGCAGCAGCATGCTTTCAGCAATGCTAGGACCCCAGTGTAAGAGGTATAGAAAGAGTAACAAAGGGTCAAGTAACTTGCCCTGGGCCAGCCACACAACTAGAATTCTTTTGTCAGGACACAAATGCAGGCATCCTAACTTAAAGCCAGGCTTGTCCCACCTCATAACCAATGGTTGACTCCCAATTCTGTAGAATACAAACACAGTAACCTTATGCAAAGACTAGATGGTAAATCTCTGATATGGTTTGGCTCTGGGTCCCTACCCAAATCTCGTCTTGTAGCTCCCATAATTCCCACATGTTGTGGGAGATAAATGAATCATGGAGATGGTTTCCCCCAGACTGTTCTCATGGTAGTGAATAGGTCTCACAAGAACTGATGGTTTTATAAGGGGTTTCCGCTTTCACTTCTCTCTCATTCTCTCTCTCACCTATTGAGAAGTAAGATGTGCCTTCTGCCTTCCACCGTGATTTTGAGGCCTCCCCAGCCATGTGGAACTGTGAGTTCTCCATTAAACCTCTGTCTTTTGGAATTGCCCCAGTCTTGGGTATGTCTTTATCAGCAGTGTGAAAACAAACTAATACAATCTCCAACATGACAACCTATACATTGATTCTCCAAATATTAATGATACTTAATATTTATAAAAGGCAATGATAAAATGATTAAATCATGCCTCTATCTAAAAACCATTACAATTTATTGGAGTAGATAGACTCTTTGCCATTTACCCCATAATGCCACTTATTCACTCCTCTGCATTTCCACTACCTGGACCATTTATTACAATGGCACCATACTGTTTGCTCTGCCATGGTCTCTTCCTCAAAGAGAAGCTAAATGAATAGTTTGATAATGCTACTCTCATTATCTTGAGGATTTTTTTTTAGCAGGAAAATGATCCAGTTTCAGTTGCGCCATGATTGTATATTTAGGAATCGGTAGAAACTTGTATTTGAATCCAACTCTTACTTACATGTGTCCCCAAACAGTTTTAGGCAGTCATTTTCACAATTTCTCAGCTGAGAAATTGCTACTCACTACGTGGCAATGAGAAAATTCAGACCTCACTGTTCTTCAGTTTGTCTATCTATAAAGCAGGAAGTCATACCAAACTTGAAGGTTCATTATGAGAATTTTAGGACAAATTTAACACATAGTAGTTGCTTGATAATGATTATGTTCAATAGCTGGCTAATTCTGAGGGCCTCACTTTTTCAGAAGAAAGTCATTTGAAGCAAAAGGAACAGCAGAAACAGGTGCAGAAAATCACATTGATAGACTTATGATAGAGTATCTGAAATTTTATGGGAAGTACTACTACATTTGCGTAATTATGTGTCATATTAAAAATTGTGACTTCTTTACAAATGATCACATTTTCACAACAATATTATATAACACTGATATTATGAAACAAAATTCAAAACTTGCAACTCCTCAGCTTAGAACACACTACCCTTCACAATCTGGTCTCCACCTCTATTGAAAGGCTGTGGTCTAATTATTCCTCACCTAAGTCAAACCCATATAGGGTTTGTGGATGAAGCACGTGCTTCATCTACACTGGAAATCTCACCATCCTTGGAACGCAATTAGATTCCTTTCATGACCACATCTATAATCAGGCTGCTGTCACGTCCTGGAACAGATCCTTTAATGAGTAGTTCGCCTGGAAAAAATCCTTCTCATTCAATAGACCTGGTGCAAATATATTTTCTGTGAAAGATTACCATATACATTGCCATCCCCAAATATCCCCACTCCATGAGAAGTTAGTTGCTTTTTTCTTAGAGTCTTTTATGTTTTACTGATTTATAATGTAGCTGGTCCACAATACAACCTCCCCAAATCCTTGTCCACTTCCACTGTCCCCACTCCAGACTGGAAAGACTGTGTCATATTCCTCTCTGTATGCCTAAGACTTAGTACAGGAACTAACACTGACCAGACCCTCTCAATGAATGTTCCTTTAACAAATGACTAGTGATTTTATGCTGACACTGCTTTAATTGGTCTGAATACTATAGTTTAATATTCCCTGCTCATAAACCCACAGGTAAATATTTCACAGCAGCTTGAGTAATCTCAGGGTAAGAACAAAAAACTATTCAATATTCATTTCAAAGAAATTGTAGATAATTGTATTAGTCCATTTTCATGCCACTAATAAAGAAATACCTGAAACTGCGTAATTTACAAAGAAAAGAGGTTTAATTGACTCACAGTTCCACATGGCTGGGGAGGCCTCACCATCATGATGAAGGCAAAGGAAGAGCAAAGGCACCTCTTACATGGCGGCAGGCAATAGAGTGTGTGCAGGGGAACTGCCCTTTATAAAACCGTCAGATCTTGTGAGACTGATTCTATATTATGAGAGTAGCAGGGAAAACCCTCCCCCATGATTCAGTTACCTCCCACTGGTTCCCTCCCATGACACATGGGGATTATTGAAGCTACAATTCAAAATGAGATTTGGGTGGGGACATGGCCAAACCATATCAATGATGATCTCTGAATTGCTGTTTAGACATGATCTTTGGCTCTAACACATTCAAGCCAGGAGTTTCTGTAATGAAACAATTGCTCACACTGAGCCTCAAAAAGGCAGGAAGCTGAAACTACATGGAATTCAATATCAAGGAGTGCTCAGAAACTGACAAAGGAAAGCAGTGAATCTCCCCTGAGACTGAATTATAAATCTTCAGGAAGAAAATACTTATAAGTTAAATCAGAGTCAGAGTGGTAACTGGAAACATTGAGGCCGGATCCTGGTATTTCAACAGTGGTTCTCACATTGTTAGTGGCCAAGATCCCAGGAAAAACTATGGTTCCATTTCCTCCAGAAGATGTAGGCACAGATGTATACACAAGCTTGCATACAGTTTCAGAGTGTTCTGAGGGCTTTCAGTGAAAACCCCAAGGCAGTATTTTCAAAATTCAGTGAGCTTCAGAATCAACCAATGAGAGCTCTCATTAAAACACAGATCACTAGGCCCTTACCCACAGAGCTGCTGATTCAGAAGGTCTAGAGAGTGTGGTACAGAATTTGCATTTCTAACAAGTTCCCAGGCGACTCCCATGATGCTGGTCTGAGGATCATACTTCTAAAATTACTGCCTGAAGCTACAAGGGGCACTGAGTTCACAGGAAGTAATAGGATCTGAGGAAAACCTATTTTTCAGAAATGCCCCCTCTCATTCTGTTTTCACTCAGTTGAGACTGCCAGCTATTCAGGAAGAAAGAAAAAAGACATTTAAAACTTATGAAGAACAATTTGCTTATCAACTTCAAGGTCTTGTTCAGAAAACTAAAAAGCTTCTCCTGTTGCTTGTTTTCCAAAAAATGTCAGGTTCACAGTGAGGAAAGGACCCTAAAACCATAACCACACTACAAAGCACCTTTTTAGGGGAACGTATTAATCTTTTCCTTGTGTATTACCCAACTCTTACTCTTCAAGTTCCAGCTCTCCAATAAAGTCTCAAAGTCCCCAACCCATGTCTTCCTTTCTCAGCACTCCCACCAGGCCAATTCACAGAATACAAAATTGTCATCCAGCACTTGTGAAATCCTGCTTCACAATCCTTTTTTATCCCCAAAGGCTTCTGGGACTTTGAGGTCCTGTCGTCTGAGACATCACATAACCAACTCTTTAGTTTATCAGAGTGGAAAGGAGAGCAACCTCGTAAATGTCATTTTAAAAAATAGAGATTAGCTTGACAATGTGGAAAGAAGACAAAATATCTGTGTAAAAAAGAAATATGTTTGTCAAAAACATTATGACTGGGAACATTTAACTTAGGGACCAACCAGCTATACCTCAATAAACCACTAGAACGTCACTCAATAATCAACAGTTGTTTTGAGTAATTCACATTTTTAGTGACCACATTTTAAAAAAGTAATACACAAATAGACATATATTGGAAGGATATCCTTACACCAAAGTTAAGATAGTAGAAACATTCTGATAGTTATAGAGCAAGTAGTGTATGCAATCATTTTTTGCCACAGAACGGAAAAAAAAAACCTCATCTGAAACAGCTCATTATTCAATGATACTGAGCAAATAAGGTTTTCTATAAATTCCTAGAATAGGAATTTATATTCATTCTCAAGTTTTCAATTAGTGTGTTTTATAATAATAGAAACCAAATCCATAAGATGCCCAGGAGAGGAAAGGGTTATATGACCAAATACATTTAGAACATTCATAATATAAAGTACAGGCTCTTTGTCCATTAAATAGAGATCATAAATATTTCTACCTGGTGGAGTTGTTTTGAGGATAAAGTGAGTAAAGAAATGTCAAGCTCTTAGAAGAGCACCTAGAACATGAAGTAATTAATCTTAGATATTAATATTTACTTTTATTATTATACCTATAAAATACCTAAACCCTTCCATCCTTCAGGTCGAATCAGCCCCAAGAATTCTGTTATGACTGTTCTTTGATATTCTCTAATCACTTTCTTCCCTAATTACCTATATATTTTATAGCATTGACCCCATATTTTAAAGTATAACCTATATCAGAAGGCTGTTGGTTGTTTTATGTAAGCTGATTATTTTTGTCTTCAACATGGAATTTAAAAGTCCCTATGGTATAAATTTTCTGCATCCTACCTACCACCTAGCTTAGTGCTAAAACCACTGTAGGATATTTTTAAGGATATAATACTTATAATAACATCCCAATACTTGTGAAGGTTTTTGTAAGTTTTCTAATTTTTCTCCTTATCATTACTGCCCATGTGAACTTCACCTGAACTAGAATTGCAATTCCCCTGGCTCCCCATATGCCTGTATTGCTTCATGTCATGGTCCAAAGTTGTAGTTTTTTTCTTTTTCTTTATGACTAGTCATAGTTGCCATTAGGAAGATATTCAAAAGACTGAGAATGAAAAGATAATAGACAGGTTCATAATGGCTTACAGGACAGACCCTACTGCTCATCTGAGGTTCTGTTAGACTAACTCCCAGAAATGTTTAGAAACTCCTAGAAAGTACACATAGAAAACAACTTATAGGCTTGCTCTGTCAGCCCAGCTAGGCTGTGGGTAATGAATGAACCTTGGGTTCATGCCCGAGTCTAGTGTAATGCACTCTATTTTGATGTTACTTTGTGAAGTGATTATCATCGAAACGGAGGAGGTGCGCTTGTCTTCCCAGAGAAGTCTCTAAAATGTATCCAATTTAGCCCACATGCTAAATAGCTTCAGGCTTATCTATGTATGGCAGGACTAGAAAAGGAGCAGGCAAGCTTCCAGAGGGTCTGATGAGATTCATTTCTCACCTGATTTATCATCTGCCACTGTGTGTCCACTGTAAGGTCCTTTCTGGGGGACCCAGAAGAGCTTTCTTTTCTATTAGATGTTGCAAAATGTTCTTAACCTCTCCATTCTGCACCCTGATAATACTGATCTTTTTCCATATCCATTCCATACTGAGGTGGTGTCTGGGTCTTGGTCTCTCTGTCCATCTGAAACTTTTAATGACATGTGGCAATTTTGTGTCATGCAACTGAGGCCCTCTGATTCCCAAAATCATGCTTGCATTTACTTCATATTGATTCCTTACAGTTCCATGGTTAAGTGGCATCTGCCTTAAGCAAGGCTCTTCAATAATACAGAATTTAGTACTTTGATAAAACTGTGTGTAAAGCTCTTTGGAAACAACAATTTTGAAGTAATGAGACCACACTAAATATTATCAAAGAAAGGTGGCATGCTATTTAACCAAAAAATATCTTATGTGTAGGGTGGGTCTTATTGTTTAGCATAGAGAGAAAATCCATGAGTGTTCTGGGATTAGTGTCTCTGCCTTGTCTCTTAAACTTTCTTAGTCTGAAATACCCTGGTCCACTAAGGTGCTTTTCCACCCTGACATGTCTCTTCCCTGGAATAGAAAAAACAGCACACTTGAGACTTTACTTCTTGACGATTATGAATGAAACCTCCTTTTAAATTAGAATAATTTATATACTCATGTTTCCCATTTTGCTCTGACTGCCAGGATATTTATGAACATCTTTGATAACTATCATTGGTTAATATAATTTCTTTATTTTTCAAATATTTGTATTTTAAATAACTCTTGAACATGTGATCTTTGTATATACTATTCTAATTGCTTTTAAGAGGCAGTGCATAATAAATAAGTACATTTAAAAAATTGGTTTAAAAATCTGCCGATCATTTTCTCATTCTCTTTATCACCCACCCTTTCTTTCCTTTTTCTTCTCTGGATTTACATCACCAGAAATGCAAAGAAGGTAATGACATCAGTGGATATCCCAGTAGTAGTATTATCAAGGCTGAGGTGCTTTCACATTAACTGTCAAAAACATGTCGCGTAGTTATCCTGCCCATCGCTCAGAAGGATGGCCCCAGAACACATCCCTTGAGTCCAGTGAATAAAATAAGTCCCTAGTGCTCATCACACAGAGATAATATTGTAACTGTCCATCTGGGTCTCATCTGTTTTCTCTCATGCTCCCTTTTTTTGTATTTTCAATCTCCAACTGCTCTGGCTAACATCTCCTCTACCTATGAGCCCATCACTGTTCTCCTCCCTTCCAGAAAGCAGTGCAGTGTGAACATATTAAGAACAGAAGCTTTGGGATCAAACACACCTGGATTATGGCTTCTGTGTGCCATTTATCAGCTGCGGAATTTGGGACAAGTTCTCTTCGTCCTCGAGCTCACATTTTCTTCACCTTTACAATGGGGATAGTAAGAGGGCTTTCCTCCTATGGTCATTGTGAAATTAAATTAGAAAATACATGAAATTTCCTGGTTCTGTGTCTAGCACATCATGTAGTTGTTCGGTTAATGAAAATAACATCTATTGCCTGCTTAAAACCTAAGTGCTGAATGCTTCTTTCCCTTGTTTGCTCACTTAATTGTCACGATTACTCCACAGCAACCCGTATGAGGTTGATGCTTTTGTAAATTGCTGAGAGCAGTGTCTGGCACAAAGTAAAACTCTCAATAAATGTTATCTCTTATTAGTATTACTGTTATTGTTTTCATGTGACAGGTGAGGGAACTGAGGTGAAGGGAGGTTAAATGTTGACTATCATATAATACTTGTCAGGAAATTTGCATATAAAAACACATATTAGAAAAAGTTCCATTGTAAGTATTATCTTAATGCACACTAAGAAAACTAAGGCTTTGAAAGGTTAAATATCTTTCTAAATGCTGCTCAGCTAGAAAGAGGCCGATTTCGGACTGAATCTAGGCTTAATGTCCTTAAAACCCCTCTCCATTACATCACAGTATTGCCTGCAAAGGCTTCATAGCTCCCCTCCCCTTCAGTGAGGTTTGTCACTGAGAGCATTTTTACAGATAGAGCACCTCCAGGTTCTACCCCTTTTTATCGCCACTCCTATGAAAAACAGGCACTGAGCAGAAGCAGTCAAAGCAAAATCATTCTTAGGCCATTTCAATTATTCCTGACACATCCACCAGATAAAATGGAAATTTCTTTCCCAAGGGATTTCAGCGGAACATTTTTGGTTGTTTCATATTGCTTTGCATGGTGACCATGGTTTCAGCAGTACTCTGAGAAGTAAATCCTCACTGTGCCATTTACAGTGGCCTGAGAGCAGGCTCCAGAGTCTAGGAAACTGCTTCACCCAACTAAGTGCTATAAAGCAGATAACAATGGAAGGCCAACAGGTATTCAGTCCCGTAAGAATAGCTGTATGTCATCTTGGAGTGTGTCTCCAGCAACAACATGGGCTTTCTTGTGAATGAAACATTTTATATGATAGGTAAAAATAACACAACCAATACAATTTAATTCAACATTAATTGATAAAAATCTATCAAAAAACACCTAAATTGTACTGTAGGTGATAAAGACGTAATTAAGAACACAAGTCTAATCTGCTAAAGTCTATAAAAGAATGGCAAATAAACGGCTATGAAGACAAATAAGAGGGGAGAAATTTTTATTCTTATTATTAGAAGAACTGAATGTCAGTAGTTCTCTACATTGGCCAAATTGTCTCTCTAATAATCACTTGTAGTCTTTTTTTAAATGACTTCATGAAATAAGCCAGTGATATGGTTTGGATTTGTGTCTCCACCCAAAGCTCATGTCAAATTGTAATCTCCAGTGTTGGAGGAGGGGCCTGGTAGGATGTGATTCAATCATGGGAGTAGATGTTCCCCTGGCTGTTCTCATGATGGTGAGTGGGTTCTCATGAGATCTGGTTGTTGAAAAGTACATAGTACCTCCCCCCTTCACTCTCTTCCTCCAGCTCCAGCCATGTAGGACATGTCTGGTTCCCCTTTACCTTCCCCCATGATTGTAAGTTTCCTGAGGCCTCCCCAGCCATGCTTCCTGTACAGCCTGTAGAACCATGAACCAGTTAAATCTCTTTTCTTTATAAATTACCCAGTCTCAGGAAGTTCCTTATAGTAGTGCGAGAACAGACTAATACAGCCAGGCACCGAAAGGTAAATATTTCATGTTCTCACTCATGTGTAGGAGCTAAAAAAATTGATTTGATGGAGGTAGGGAAAATGATCAATACCAGCGACTGGGAAGGGTGTGCAGGTTGGGGAATGAGTGTTAAAGAGAGGTTGGTCAATGGGTTCAAACATACAGTTAGATAGAAGGAGTAAGTTACAATGTTTGAGAGCAGAGTAGGGTGATTATAATTAACAACAATGTACTATATATTTCAAAATAGCTGGAAAACAGGACTCGTATTTTTCCCAACACATAGAAATGATAAATACTCAAGGTGATAGACACCTCAAATACCCTGACTTGATCATTACACATTCTGTGGTTGTAACAAAATATCACATATACCCCATAAATATGCAAAAATATTATGAATTTATAAAAAATACACTTAAACAAATTTTAGAAAATGGTGTCAATCTAGGTCCCACACCAGACCAACTGAATATGAATCTTCAGGATGTGTGATGTCCCGTCACAGGCATTTTTAAAAAGCTACTGATATGGACAGGAGACAGGGAAATACTGGGTAGAAGAGGGCAGCTCCCTGGCAAAGGGAGCCCTAAATGGGCTAAATGGCCCTAAATGGCCCTAAATGGGAACAGGCATTCCTGTTTTCGCAACCAAAAGTTGCCTTTTGGCCCACCACACCCTATCGGTATCCTGTACCCAGGATTCTGTACACCCTATGGGCTATCTATGGGTATCCTGTACCCATAGAAACCCCAAACCCCAGGCTCCACAAGCAGATGAGCAGACGAACAGAAGAGCAGCAGAGGAGAGAAGAGAAGGAGCATCTGAATGTCTAGAGGAGTTTGGCTGGGGACACTCAGAGAGGAGTGTCTGGCTGCTGGACAGTCAAACTCCAGGGGAAGATCGTCTTCCCAGTCCATCCCCTTTCCAGCTCCGCATCCATCCCACTGAGAGCCACCTCCACCACTCAATAAAATCCCACATTCACCATCCTTCAAGTCCGTGTGTAATATGATTTTTCCTGGACACCAGACAAGAGCTTGAGATACAGAAAGCCGTCACACTGGCCCTCTGTCCTTGTGAAAAGGCAGAGGGTACAATGAGCCATTTACTGCCTGTACACAGCAAAGCTAACAGAACATAGTGTAACACACACCCACTTGGGCTTTAGGAGTTTCAGGCACCCATCCCTAGATATTATTGTGGGGCCAGAGCCCAAAAGTGCTTGCCCCAGCTCCTGCACATCTGTATACTCTCCCTCCCATAAGGAGTTTGGGAGCACATGGCAGGTGATCAGACAAGCCACATCTTTGTCACAAGTCCTACTAAGGGGGTCAGGGAACTCTGCCGTTTCACTACTCCAGTGAATCTACCATGACACAGTTTTGAGAATCCCTGCTTTACAGAGTAAGACTTCATCAGGATTTTAACTAATGGAAATGGGGCTATGGGGATAGTCAGGGAAAAGCACACAAGCAAAGGAGTAGAGGAAAGAGAATGCAGGATTTAGGAAGAGCAGAATAAGAATTTGAGTAGTCTCCAGTATCCATGCAAAGTATATGAGAGAACAAAGGAAAATAAAGTTTCATTTGTGGGAGCAATATTGTGGAAACTGATTGACATTCCGAGGAGTCTGAATCTTATTTTTAAAATATGCAAAGTACTGCTGCTTATACATGCCATTGTTAATTATATATTAGTTCTTCTCATTTCTAAATGACCCAGATAACTATGCCTAGACAAAAAAGCAATTGCTCACAACTTCTATATTAAAACTGAGAATCACTGACTCCTACCACTGCATCAAAACACAGAGTGCATTGTACCCTACAGTGCCAACAAATCACTGTCATTATCATCTTCTGCAAATATTAATTTACAAATTTTTGTGTACTATTTTCTCCTGGCATTATAAAGATATACAAGTTAAAGAGAGACAGACAAAGAGAGAGACAGAGAGAGAGACAGAAGAGACTAACTCTGATAAGCTCTTCAAGAATAGTGACTCTATCTGCCTCTGCAATACTAGGACTGGCCATTTCTTCAATCATATGTTACACTTTAAGAGAAAAAGGCAAATCTTAAACATTTCTTCTCATAAAATAAGAAATCTTGCAAGCATGCTGTTCTTTATGATATCAATATTATTCAAGCTTACAATAATGGATAAAATCAGTAGTGAAGGTGCTATTATCCTCATCTGACAAAAAGTGACATAGAGTGACATGAGACTATTCTTCTAAAAGCCTAAACTGATACATTTTAGATGATAACATATGCCATTGTCTGAAGAAAAAAACATAGCTGAGTATATGCTACAAACCACTTTTAAAAAAAATTGTAAGGGTTATTTTAGATGCTGATATTTCTTTTAAATGTAAGCATTAGTGGTTGATATTATTTAGGGTTTATTCAGATGTGCTCATTTTCAGTGCTATTAAGCTATGTTATTAAGATCCAGAGTACGTCAGGTCATTAATCCTTCAAGAACTGACATCTTAACTTGTTCATAACCATATTCCCAGAAGACTCAAGGCAGTGCTGGTATGATGGTTGTTCTCAATAAACATTTTTTTAAATAAAAGACTCATGGTTTTGTGATATTTAACATCTCATGTCATGCACCACAATCTACACCACACAACTAGTTATATCAAACAAAATAGAAAATAAATCTGATTTGATACAGTTTTGAACATCCATGCCTTCAATCATTTGACATACATGCATTGAATGCCTTCTCTTTGACTATATTATCTTAGGGGCTGCGAGTACAGTAGTAAAAGGCAAACAAGGTCTCTGCCCTCAAACAACTTGTTTGAGGCAAGAGAATATTACACACATGTGCATGTGAATACAAATGCTAAAAAGATATAAAAGTATTATAACAAAGTGAGTAGGGAAGGATTATTTCAGAGAAAAGCCAGGGAGGGTCTCCATGAAGAAGCAACATTTGTCTGAGACCTAATAACATGGCAGCCATACAACAAGAGAGGTGTTGAGAGCTCCAGACAGAGAGAACAGTAAAGGCAAAGGCCCTGAAATTGGAATGAGCTTTTTGTCATGTTCAAGGCATGAAAAGATCAAAAAGCCTTATATATATAGGAAATGAGTCCAAGAAGCAGGCAGGAACAATATCATCTAAAACCATGAAGGCCATATAAAGTTAGAAATTTATTTTACACTCATTGGGAAGGCATTAGAAGGCCATAAGAAGAAAGTGTCATTATCTGACTTACATAGTTGTTTGCCCAAGAAATATTCTGAACCAACAGAGTACTCCCAACTACCACAGAAATAACTAAGTGAGGGTCAGATTTCTGTCCTGATGAAGGATCATTTACAAATGTTTTCCCAAAAGTGTGGAAATAAAAAGAAATTCAGACTACTACCCAAATTAAAAATGCCACTAATCCAATGACTCCAACTCCAAGGAGTCCAGTTCACTGACATTTTCCTTTGCAAAACAGGGATCAGGTTGTAGATGAAGAAAGACGCTCCTTGAGAGTGCAGGAATTTTACCGCATCCTTCAGACATGCCACTCAGCATGTTAGAGAGAAATGAGCACCAGGACAGGTGCCAGAGACATTTATGAGGGTGATAGGGCTCTACAGGTAACATTGAAACAAGAGGCATAAACTGAAACTATTCCTACATGTTCTCTTGACCTAGGTCTGATCCTCAACTTGTATCCAAACCAGTTATGTGGCTGGGAATGAGGTGTCACCTTTCTGAGAGTGAGTGTCTTTATTGATCACATGATATGATTGAATTTTCACATTTATTAAACAACAACCACCAAAGGGCCTCACTGAAGAAACAGAAGAAAAAAGCCCATTCGCTGCTCAATAGTCTAGTCAGAGAGCAAATATATTGTACAAGTGAAGCTACTGAAACATACACCAAGGAAAAAGATAGATCTAGAGTTAGCAGAAGAAAGGAGTGACAAGTCTTTGGAAGGCATCAAAGAATACTTCATGGGGACTTGGTGAAACGTGAGCTAAATTTAGGAAAATGAAATTCATATGTGAATCATCATGTTTCATCCCAGCCAGAGGGACAACGTATATAAAGGCAGAGAAGTGTGCAGTCCCATGGCAGGTCCAAACAGTTATAAAATTGGTTTAACTATATTGAATACACATAGACACAAAGATAGGAACAAAAGATACTGAGGACTGCCTGAGGAGGGAAGAAAGGGGAAGGGTATGGTTTGGAAGGCTACCTATTGTGTACTATGCTCACTACCTTGGTGACAGGATCATCTGTACACCAAGCCTCAGCAATGTGCAGTTTACCCAGGGAAGAAACCTGCACATGAATCCCTTGAACTTAAAAGTAGAAAAAATAATAAATAAAATTGGCTTAACTAGCTGGTCTCTAAGGTCCTTTGTGCACTAAAAAATCTAAGAGTCTCCCCTTTTAATGATGTCAAATATTATCTGTAAAAATTAAAATTTTCTTTTAGCCACCATGCTTAATGTCATATGTTAATATTCCATTTTCATTCCTCAACAATAGCCATTTGACCTGTTCCTATTCATATAACATTGATTTACAATGAGCTGCATATGTACAGAAGTACCTGGCAGTATGTAAAGGAAAAGAAATATGAACAGAGTATGGGGTAGAATGCTGAATACACAGTGACATTTAAAATAATAGCTAACATTTCTTGAACATTTAACAGATATTAACTCAATTATCACAACACTCATCTCAAAAACATATAAACATTATTTCAATTTCACAGATGAGATAGCTGAAATACAGACTGGATAAAAATGTACCCATGGTAAATGACTTAGAAGCAGCAGAGCTAGAATTTGACTGCCAACATCTGGTCCAAAAGTCCATACTTTTAGTAACTATACTGCATGCCTCTCAACAATAATGTCAAGACTATGGGGGATAATTCATGCCACGTGGCCATTGTTCTGTAATTCATCTTTGCTTTACATCAACATCAGTGGAGAAGTTGAAAAAACACTGACTATATCTCAGCAGCAGCCTTTAGAAAAAAAACAATATACCCTAAGCAGAGAAAACAAATATTCAAAATCAAATTCCCACTTTCTAATTCAGCAAGCTAAACTTTGGGAGCCCAAGGTCAGAATGCTTGGCCCCTAGGTTGGTCCAAATCAGCATTAAGAATTCAACTGAGGTGACACAACATGAAAGAATTGGATTGGCTAAGGTTCTCATGGAAACAGTTATGTTTTTGATCAGTTGTTCGGATTTCATGAAAGTTGTAAGGTCTTGAAGGTGAATAACTCCATCTGCTAATTTCCCGTGTTCAGTATTTAACAGAACCACAAGAAGAGACCCAATAAAGCAGACTTTTCAAGAGATGATGGTGGCGGTAATAGCAACAATAATGTTAATGCAACTATATCATATATGTGCATCAATTCAAATCTTGCAATTTTTAAATAGGTGGTATTCTTGTTTAATCTTAATATATGTATCTTGTTATCCTCATTTTTACATATACACAGATGAAGGATTAGAGACTATAGTGACTCTTGCAGTATAAGAGATGAGATTCAAACTAAACTTTCTTAATCTAAATCCAGTATCCAGTATTATTTAACATTTCCTCATCTCTACAGTTGCCTCCCAAACTGTCAAAAATTTCAGCAAGTCATCACGGTTTTCCTTAGAAAGAATTAAGAAGACTAAGGTTTTCCTTAGAACAAAGCCATAACATATAGACCCAGGTTTTGTTCCTCTGTCACAGTTTCTATATAAAAATTCTAGCACCCCACTTTGCATGATCCCTGGCCTAATCCCTGAATTGTAGAGGGAGAAAATTTGAAAACTGATGCATTTAACCAATGAATGGTCATATTTTAACACTGGGAGCTGAACAGAGTACCAAAGCAAGCCACACCTCCTGCAAAGGTCCAAGCAGTTGGAGGGCATGCCTGAAAGCTGCTTACCAATACAGGACTCCCCGGACAGTGAATAGGTCCCATCGTCATGGAAACCGCTTCTGCACTCACAGTGGTACCACCCTGGCAGGTTAACGCAGCGGGAATGGTTGTGGCACTCAATGATTCCCTCTGAACATTCATCAATATCTGCCTCAGAGAAAAACACAAGCCCACCAGGATATTAATTTCTTTTGACACTAACCTTTCAGGAAATGCCTAAAACATGCTCATGTCAACATATCAATTAAAACTGTTTAGTCACCTACAATGAAAGTCACTGGAAGAAGCAAATCCCATATTTTCCAGAATTCAAATGAATTGAAAGCTTCATTCTTGGATGTTTTCTCTCATATTGAACAATGAATGAGAGCTTATGGTCACAAAAAAATCCTAACTCAAAAGCTGTGTTGTCTCTGAATAACTAGGTTGAGGGTGTTTGGCACAGTTTTGGTATTGGGTGTATATGACTTTTTTTTTGGATTAAAAATTTCTAAATTGGCAATTCCAGATTTTATGGTGTGTCCTTTGAAAATTTTTATGAACAAATAAGTTCAGGACACTCTGGATTAAATATTATTAAACTGATTTTTTTAAATGACAGCCCCAGAGACTTGTCATAATTATATGTCCTGCAAAGCTTTGAGATAAGATTGATAATACACACTGTTTCCGAAATTTATTTAGCTAATAATTACCTTTTCTTGGGATACCTTTAATATCTTGCAAAACTAGTGTTGTGGGGAACACAGTTTGGGAACTATCGTTCTATTTCTTTTAAAACTATGGATTGATTATGCTAGTCCATCAGAGATTCTCATTCTTCAATCATTCTTGAGGAAAGGAAGTCTCCTAGGCTTTTTTTGTTTATTTGTTTGTTTTTGTCTAGGCTCTGGCTTTTTAGAATCACCAAATACCCGGTTCATGTATAGATTTTCTAGCACAAAGCCTTGCCTCTGCACTGAAGGAGATTGACACCATTGCAGAAAACAGAGTTGCCAATTTTTAAACCGGGTTCAGTTCATTGTAACAGAATTTCTCCAAGTAATTATTTCTTAGAATGTAGCTACTGCTGCCTGGGAATCTTCTTTGACTTGTCTTGGAAATATCTGAAATATGGGACTCATATGAATATAAATTTAATTAACATTGGAATCTAACCCATAATGAACAAAATGTACTTTGCAATTTCTTTTAACAGGGCCTATAAGAAGCATCAGTTCAGGGGCAATCAGCTACCATTGGTTCTATTATCTTGACAAGTCCCATGTTGTGCACCGGGCTGTTAATTTAGTTTGAAACTGGGTAATGTCATCTCAAGGCATTCTGGCCAAGTAAAGAGAGAAAAGGTGTAGTTCCTCATACTGTGCAACTCCAACTCAATGGTCACCTTCTTCTTCTGTAGCATGTATTGTTCAGCCCATTAAATCTTTTCACATACATCATCCCTTAGACTTCTAAATGCCCTCAGTCCCTAGGGCCTAATATTTGTATAGGATCTTCAGATATTGCAGTTAGGCTGTGTGTGTTTATTATAAATTCCCAGAAAATAAATTTCCAATCACCATGTAGATTGTCATACCTCAAATTTTACAGGTCCAGGTTCTCTGGGACATATGTTGGATCACTAAAAACTTTAAAACTTCAAGTAGAGAAATGACTAAGGGCTGTGGCTCCTGGAGGGAAAGGGCTTATTCTAAATAACACAATCAGCCCACTGCTTTTTGAATACCAGGCAAGAGACACACATATAAACAGACGGCTGATTATAGAGATGACTTCTCTATGTTAGGCTGAAGGATAACTCTCTGTAACAAAGCAGCAACCAATTCTACCTCTGACATTTATTTCCAAAGCTCTCAGAAAAACCAGTCATGATTAACACAGACCCTGTTGCCTACAGGCTGTGGACAATACTTTAGGTAATAGCCATGGTTAGCGTTTTGGGAAATCAGGAGATACACAAATAGAAGCATCTCAACCAAAGCAATCATATGTCCTGGTTTGCCTGGAAAAGTCCTAGTTTATATCTACTTCCCTTTTACTCTCAAAACACCTGAGTTTGGAGGATAAATTATCTGATCAAATAAAGTAACTCCTTCAGCCCTAAATTCAATAGAACATTTCTAGGAAGAACAGAAGTGTTGAATGATGTGCAAATACTTTTTCAATTCACAGATATTTCTATTCCCAAAATGAAACGATAAGGAGTTTCCATGATTCAGCAGGGCAGAAGTTATCTGTATAGCACAGGAGTCTTTCAAAAGCAGTGAAGACAATCAGACAGTTACACATCTACAACTTCCCCAGGGACACTAGGGAATCCCTGGCTTGCATGGGAAATGAGAAAGTAGTGGAGAAGCCCATTTTGCCTGACAACTGTACTTTTCACAGACGATTCCAGAAACTCACTGGAAATAATCAGGTTCACATCACATGCTGGTGCCTAGGCTGTACATTTCTGTTCTCTGTGCAAGGTCTATAATTAAAGCCAGAAAATTCATTTTTATGTACCATATTGTACTTGAGAGGGGCTCACGTTTTCACTGTGTTCCTAACACTGGCTTTCTTCTGTGTAGGTAGTCACAGTAGTATATAAAGCAACCATCACAGACCCAAATATAGAAAACACTTGGAGGCTTTTCAGCAACACTTTGGGGAATTTACAAATTATAAATGATGGTTTCTTCCCAAGCTAGGTTGTGGCTGCCTTTGTCCTCAGAGGCAAAGATTTGTTTCTCCCAGTCAGCACTCCCTACAGGCAAACAAACAAGACAGAAGCTCTAAGTTCACTACAGAATCAACTCTCATTCAAGGAATTCTGATAAATTACTGTGAGCCTGGCTGGCTGCACTCACAATGTGTCAACCATCCCAAAGGAAACAAACAAAAAGTCACCTTTCCTCCTACAGAAAGTCCTAAAATCTTGTTTAAATCTCAGTTTAATCCAGCACAGAGCTGAAAATGTGAACAAGGAAACAAGAGAAGCTGGGGGATTGTTGAGTGAGATACTATGGAGTATTCATTTCTGTATCCTCAGAGTCAAATGTCGACAACACAATAACTAACATATGGCCTGGGTCACACAGCTTACAAATGGTGAAATACAGTTCAAAACTAGCTAGAACTAGTTTTTGTCACAACTATCATATCTTGTTGACAAATCAAGAAAGGATTATTTACAGAAAGATAATACATTTATTCAATTCTGTAAATATCTGTTGAGCTAAAAATATGTGCAAGGATTATTTTTGTGTTGTGTTCAATGCAAAAATGGATGAAACATGACTCCAAAAATCCAGGAGCTCATAATCAAAGGGAAGAACTATATACGTATATGTGTGTGTGTGTTTGTGTTTTGTATTTCATACTAATAGTTAAAGTTTCAAACAACCACCAATATCACCAACTCCCTCCCCTAGTAACTCAGTATCTGTACACACATCTATTTTAGTACTTATCTTGTCCTATCACAGTGATTTCCTTTTAGTGTCTATCACTCAAATGCAAATTTTCCAAGAAAACAGACAACATTTTATGCAGGTTTACCTTGCTAGGGATACCTGGAAGTGGGAGTACCAAGCAATTTGAAAGTGCCCAATACAAGTCCCTGGGAATGAATGTATGAAAAAATAAATGACTGGTAGATTGAATGAAAGGAAAAATTAACCAAGGCTATAATGGAGATTTTCAAAATACCCCAAGATTTCCTGGTGTTTGCAAGTCACAAACTACAATGTCAATTCATAAAACTAAAGAAAAAGTAAATTTAATATTTACATGTTATTTTCCTCTAAAAGACATTATGTAGTTTCTATTTAATACTTTGCTTCTACCTCTAATCTTTAGATATTTTAAGTGGGCAAAATAGGTAACAAAAAAGTTATAATTGCAATGGTGTTATTAGGAGTAATTTTAATCATGATTATAATTATAATAATTATAACAATTTCTATAATTGTTGCAATGAAAAGTCCTACGTGTGCCATGAATTTTTCATTTACAATGAGAAACAGACGAATACCCAAGGTTTGTTTTCATAAAATGTATCCTAAGCAATACCTTTAATCCTTTTGGGGCATATGGTGAATTTCCTAGAGAAAGCAA
Source organism: Homo sapiens (assembly GCF_000001405.40). Taxonomy (NCBI): domain Eukaryota; kingdom Metazoa; phylum Chordata; class Mammalia; order Primates; family Hominidae; genus Homo; species Homo sapiens. The sequence goes on along the minus strand of NC_000011.10, from coordinate 21,530,416 downwards.
TTTGCAAACAAATCCTTGAATTCCTGTAAAATCCATCTCTTGAGCTGGATGGATCTCTTCCTCCATCTAATCTCTTTCCTATTGGATTTGCAATTTGACAATTTATAAAACCAATAAAGGTTTTCTCAAAGCTTATTTTCAAAGAGGTACTTTCGTATTTCATACTAATAGTTAAAGCTTGCACTGAAGTAGTGGCTCAGGTTGTGGATAGATTATACCTTTCCTAAGAGTTTTTAGGGTGATATTGAGTCATGAGAAAAACTTTGATATTTTCATTCATTCAACAAAAGTTTATTGAGCACCCACCATGTGCTAGTACATTTGCCCCATATACTAAGCACTGTATTATATCCTCTGATGCAGACATAGAGAGATAAGGTCTCTGCCCTCCAGATACATAGAGTCTAGGGGGCAAATAGAATGTAAAAGAAAAATAAACTGTTGTTATAAATATAGACTTTAGAGACAAACATGACTTCAAATTCCTGCTTAATAATGCACTAATAATTATTTAGATTTCACAAGTCTTTGTTTTCTAATCTGTAGGTTGAGAATGATAAAATCAAACATCATGTGACTGTTAAACAAAAAAAGACTCTTAAGCACAGTCTGGATATTAACTTTGGACTAAATATTACTGCTATAAAACAGAAGACAGAATAAGTTGATTCTGAAAATAAAAATATATATAATAATATCAACTTGCAATCAGGAAACTGGTTAGGACTAAGAGATTATTTCTGGAACCTTAAAAATAATCATTTGGATTTTGAGACAAGTGTAACCTTGTTAAGCATTCAGGAATAGAATCTATAAATCTATAATACATGCCTCATAAAGATTTAGATTCTCTTGGTCACCAAAAAACTTCACATAAGTTTAAGGAAGTAAAATCAGCAACATAAATTGTCACAAGTACAGCAAACACAAACCTGCTTATTTTCTGCTATTTGCTGAATGCCAGAATTGTACTGAACATAACATGCAAAGACCCTGAGGCAGAAACAGGCTAGTTCTTCTATCTCTTGTTTCTCTTGGGTTCTTAGGGATGTGCCTGGAGCATGCTTCCTTTGAAGATATGTAAGGTCATGTGGCTGAGCTCTAGTTGCAGAGTTAGAAGTGATATAATTTCAATATGGGTCATAAAAATGCCTAATATGATCCTCCAGAATATTTCTACCTGCTCACTACAGGCCAATTTCCAGGAAAACCTTGGAAATCACGTATTGAAAATAGTACAACATTTTTCTGCCTGGCTTCCTGCAAGGCTATGTAGACCAGGGCCCTTCCACAGACCTGAAACTGTCATAGGCTATTTAGGTGAGTAAGAAATATATTTCTATTTTATTGAGCCATTACTGCTTGGAGTTGCTTTTTATTGCTAGCCAGCATTTCCTAATTATTATGAGAGACCCTTTTCCATATTCAGGGAAAAGACTGTGCTCAGGTTAGAACTCATACTGATGCAATATCTAAAAATAAAAACAGAAACAAGCAAACAAGGAAAAAAACCCAGCACTAATCACAGATTACGTAGGCAGCTAAAGGAGTGGAAGAAGTTTTTTGCTAAAAGTCAAGAGTCAAGATAACACATAAAACAAGACAAAGCTTTGTAGTTAGATATGTTTGAGTTTGAATTCTGATTCTGTTACATGACTTTGACTTTGAGCAAGTTATTTATCTTTTTTGAGCTTCACTTTCTTTGGCTTTTAAATGATAACATAACTGTCTTAGTCCATTCTGTGTTGCTATAACAGAATACCTGAGATTGAGTAATTTATGAAGAAAAAAGATTTATTTTGCTCATGATCCTGGTGACTGAAAAGTCCAAGATTAGGTAGCTGCATTTGGTGGTGGTCTCAGCCTGCTTCAAGTCATTGTGGAAAAAAAAAAAGGGGGGGGGGGTGGGTATGTGCAAAGAGATCACATGGCAAGAGAGGAAACAAGAGAGAGAAACTGATGAACCAGACTCCATGGGAGCTAATCGATTCCTGCCAGAGAGAACTCATTCACCCTCACGGGAGGGCATCACTCTGTGCATGAGGGCTATGCCTCCATGACCCAAACACCTCCTACTCGGCCCCCCTCCTAACACTCCACACTGGAGATCAAAATCAGCATGAATTTTGGTGGGAACAAATCACATCTAAACCACAGCAATTACCTATGCCATAATGCTGTTGTTTTAAAGATTGAATGAGATCAATCTAAAAACTACAAATCCAGGTAGACATTCATTAGGCAAGTGATATTTATCGTTCTGTAACTTATAATCCCCACATTCCAAGACAGTCCAAATCTCCAGGCTTCAGTTCCTTCTGTGTAAAATGAAAGGACTGTGCATTTATGGCCTCTATTAGTGTGATGGTTCATATTGAGTGTCAATTTGATTGGACTGAAGGATGCAAAGTATTGTTCCTGGGTGTGTCTGTGAGGGTGTTGCCAAAGGAGATTAACATTTGAGTCAATAGACTGGGAGAGGCAGACCCACCCTCAATCTGGGTGAGCACCATCTAATCAGCTTCCAGAGCAGCTAGGATAAAAGCAGGCAGAGGAACGTGGAAGGACTAGACTGGCCTGAATCTTCTGGCCTCCATCTTTCTCCTGTGCTGGATGCTTCCTGCCCTCAAATATCAGACTCCAAGCTCTTCAGCTTTTGGACTCTTGGACCTAAACCAGAGATTTGCCAGGGACTCTCAGGGTTTCAGCCATAGGCTGAAGGCTGCACTATCAAATTCCCTACTTTTGAGGTTTTGAGACTTGGACTGGCTTCTTGGCTCCTCAGTTTGCAGATGGCCTATTGTGGGACTTTAGCTTGTGATCATGTGAGTCAATTCTCCTAATAAACTCCCATTCATATATTCATCTATCCTATTAGTTCTGTCCCTTTAGAGAACCCTGACTAATACAGATTTTGGTACTGAGAGTGGGGTGCTGCTGTAAAGGTGCCCAGAAATGTGGAAATGATTTTGGAACTGGGTAACAGGCAGATGTTGTAACACTTTGGAGGGCTCAAAAGAAGATAGGAAAATGTGGGAAAGTTTGGAACTTTCTAGAGACTCGGGATGCTCAGAAGACAGGAAGATACGGGAAAGTTTGAAACTTCCTAGAGACTGATTAAAGGGCTTTGACCAAAATGCTGATAGTGATATGGACAATAAAGTCCAGGCTGAGGTGGTCTCAGATGCAGATTAGGAACTTTTGGGAACTGGATTAAAGGTCACTTTTGCTACACAAAGAGACTGGCAGCATTTTTGCCCCTGCCCTAGAGATCTGTGGAACTTTGAACTTGAGAGAGATGATTTAGGGTATCTGGTGGAAGAAATTTCTAAGCAGCAAAGTATTCAAGAGGAAGCAGAGCATAAAAGTTTGAAAAATTTGCAGCCTAATGGTGCAGTAGAAGAGAAGACCCCATTTTCTGGGAAGAAATTCAAGCAGGCAGCAGAAATTTGCATAAGTAATGAGCCAAATGCTAATCACCAAGAGAATGAAGAAAATGTTTCTGGGGCATGTCAGAGACCTTCCCAGCAGCTCCTCCCATCACAGGCCTGGAGGCCTAGGAGGGAAAAGTGGTTTTTGGGGCTGAGTCCAGGGCCCCTCTGCTGTGTGCAGCTTCAGGACTTGGTGCCCTGCATCCCAGCTGCTGTATCCCAGGCTAAAAGGGGCCAGTGTATAGCTCAGGCCATGGTTTCAGAGGGGGCAAGCTCTAACCCTTAACAGCTTCAATGTGGTGTTGAGCCTGTGGGTGCCCAGAAGTCAAGAATTGAGGTTTGGGAACCATCGCCTAGATTTCAGAGGATGTACGGAAATGCCTGGATGTCCAGGTAGAAATTTGCTACAGGGGCAGAGCCTTCATGAAGAACCTCTGCTAGGGCAGTAAAAAAGGAAAATGTGGGATTGGAGCCCCCATACAGACTCCCCACTGAGGTACTGCCTAGTAGAGCTAGCTGTGAGAAGAGGGCCACCATCCTCCAGACCCCAGAATGGTAGATCCACTGACAGCTTGCAACACACATCTGCAAAAGTTGCAGACACTCAATGCCAACCCTTGAAAGCAGCTAGTGGAGAGGGGTGTACCCTGCAAAGCCACAGTGGCGGAGTTGTCCAAGGCTGTGGGAACCCAATTCTTCCATCAGTGTGACCTGGATGTGAGACATGGAGTCAAAGGAGATTATTTTGGACCTTTAAGATTTAATTACTGCCTCATTGGATTTCAGACTTGTGTGGGGCCTGTAGTCTCTTTGTTTTGGCCATTTCTCCCACATTAGTGTATTTACCCACTACCTGTACTCCCACTGTATCTAGGAGGTAAGTAACTTGCTTTGGATTTTACAGACTCATAGGTGGAAGAGGCTTGCCTTGTGTCAGATGAGACTTTGGACTTTAGACTTCTGAGTTAATGCTGAAATGAGTTAAGACTTTGGGGGACTGTTGGAAAGGCATGATTGGTTTTGAAATGTGAGAACATGAGATTTGGGAGGGGTCAGGGCAGAATGATAGGGGCAGAAATCTCACCTTGGATTGTAGTAATCCCCATGTATCAAGGGTGGGGCCAGGTGGAGATAAAATAATCATGGAGTCAGTTTTACCATATTGTTCTTGTGGTAGTGAATAAGTCTCATGAGATCTGATGGTTTTTATAAATGGGAGTTCCCCTGCACAAGCTCTCTTCTCTCCACCATGTGAGACTTGACTTTTCTTCTCATTCACCTTCTGCCATGATTGTGAGGCCTCCCCAGCCATGTGGAACTGTGAGTCAATTAAACCTCTTTCCTTTCTAAATTACCCAGTCTCAGATATGTCTTTATTAGCAGCATGAGAAGAAACAAAAACAGCTACTTTTAATATTCTAGAATATGGGAGACCTTAGCTTTGGGCTCATAGCTTCTTCTGCTGCTAACCAGCTGAATGACTGCTAAAAGGTTTAAGGAACCTCTTTGTACCTCGGGTTCTTCATTAGGCAAATGGCAATTTTAAAAATACAAATTTTGTCTGCCTCACAAACAAGTTCCAATAAGGTATGAACAATCTCCGCAAAGTCAACTGATTGTCTCATAAAATATCTGGTGATGTCATTATTGCTGTTTCTTCTTTGTAAGTCCTTATTAGTAACTAGTTTTTGTGTATTAATCTGAAAGGTACCTGCTATTAACAGTGAAGTCAGTAGTATTGACAATATAGCTCTCTAACTTTCTTCAGTGACTCTGCACAAAACAATCCATTTCTTCCTGGATATGGCCTTCTAATTTTATCTCTGAAGCCTTTCTGTATTTTCTCTAACAAACTGTGCTCAAATTCTTCCTAAAAGAACCCATCTGTTAACATTTCAACTCTCACCTTTATTCTGGAAACTCTCTGATCTATATCTCTAAGCTGACCTCTAACACAAACTCAGAAACGCATTTACTATTGCCTATGGATTTGCAAATCTCATAGGTCTCTTCATTTCAAACTTATTCTGCCCAAAGCTTTACATGACACATGTGTTTCTATGTACCAAATTCATTTTCCTCCCCAGCACTCCTTCCTCACTGTCATTCCTCATAACCAATGAACAAAACTATTGAAATTTGACTGCTATGAAACTTGAAGATTTTAAAAACATGGAACTAAATCTTATTCACTCCAAGACTGAAAATCCTATGATTCTGTGATTTTTAAAAATATCCTGCTCCTCTAGTAATTACAAATGATTCTTATTGTAAAAATCTCCTATCAGGCATTCAAAGCACAAACAATTTGACCTCACTTTGACTATCAATTTGCCTTTATTTCTCAAAATTCTTCATCATAAAACCTTTGCACTCTCTCGAGTGGTTGCTTTACATACCCACCTATTCCATATTCCATTGAATTTGAGGCTTCCCGCCCTGCAAGTGATTGTTTTTAAATTAAAATCCAAGCACAAATCTTAATTCCACCAAGAAGTCCTCTTTCTTTTCTCTGAATTCCTATAGTGTTTAACAGTTCTACCACCCCATTTAATTCTGACATACATTCTATTTTAGAATATTCTACGATTCTTACAGTTTCTCTATTAAATAGGAAGAATTTTTGAACTTCCATATATTAATAATTTACTACGTGTCAGGTTCTCTGACAAGTGCTTTATATTCACAACTCCATTTGATCTTCAGAATGCCTCTGAGATCATTTGAATTGCTCTAATTTTACTGAAAATGGAGGTGTACATGTTTAAATAACATACCCACAGTAAAACATCTGGAAAGTGACAGAGTGGGGATTTAAACCAAGGTCTACTTAACTCCCAAATACATACATTTAATCATTATACTATACAGCCTCTTGTACACTTGGGGGAATACATAGGACTTTGAAGAAACTATTAAAAATATGTTCAAAATGTAAAGAAAAAACATACTGAGTTGAATAGTGAACAGATTTCTGCTACCAACCAAGGTATAGTAGCAGGGATTTAATTTGTTGTCTCATCTGAAACAAACAGGAACAAATGCATACATATACATATACGTATGTATATATGTTCTCATATATATATACACACACACACATATGAAAAAAGTTTTCAAGATACTGGAAATTAGATAACTAAGAAAGTGATCCCCAAGAGACATAAAACAAATGATAAGAGTGCTACAAGTATCCTAGTTTACTACCTTGAGAGAGGTCCAGGCCATGGTAGAAGGAAGAAAACCCATGAGGAGCCTAGTTAACTACCTGGTTTGAGGATACAAAGATGGGAATATAGGAAGACCAAGGCAAGCAGAGGTTATAAAGCAGAGTATTGGAGAGGAGATAGCTGAACAGAGAGGTAATTTTGAAGTTCTGCAGAGAATACCAGTCAGGTAATCAGCAAAGTGCTAATCAGAAAATAAGTGTGATGAAATTATCCAAAGCTGAAGAAAGACCACCAAAATGTATTAGAGGTAATAGAGCCTGGTGCTTACACAGGAAGAGGAACAGTGCATGCTTCCAAAAAGCAGACTGGGGAATCTCATAGGCATTGGATAATATTGGATCTACAATATATATTTAAAAAAATGCAAAATAGTAGACCCAAACCCAACCATATCAATATTTACAATAAATGTATATTTATTAAACACTTAAAGGCAAAGATTGTCAGACTAGTAAAAAGCAATACCCAATTTTTGCTGGATACAAACGATGTATTTGATACAGAAGCACAAACAAGTTAAACTAGAAGTATGGGGAAAGATATTCCATGTAGACATAAATGATAAGAAAACTAGAATAGCTATATTGGTTTCAGAAAAAAACAGGATTCAGCCGGGTGCAGTAGCTCACACCTGTAATCCCAGCTCTTTGGGATGCCGAGGCGGGCGGATCACGAGGTCAGGAGATCAAGCCCATCCTGGCTAACATGGTGAAACCCCGTTTCTACTAAAAATATACAAAAAAATCAGCCGGGCGTGGTGGTGGGCGCCTGTAGTCCCAGCTACTCGGGAGCCTGAGGTAGGAGAATGGCGTGAACCCGGGAGGCAGAGCTTGCATGAAGTGAGCCAAGATCGAGCCACTGCACTCCAGCCTGGGTGACAGAGCGAGACTCCGTCTCAAAAAAAAAAAAAAAAAAAAAAAAGAAAAGAAAAAAATAGGATTCAAGATAAAGAAAATGTGCAAAGATAAAAAAGGTATTTCATAAAAAGAATGAATTGGCCAAGAAGATATAACACTCAAATATATAGATTTGAAAATTTTCTTTGTATAAATTTATGGGGTACAAGTATAACTTTGTTACCTGGCAATATTACATAGTGGAGAAGTCAGGGCTTCTCGTGTGTCCATCACGGGATGTACATGTACCCAGTTAAGTAATTTCTCATCATCCACCTCCCCTCCCACCCCGCACACCTTCAGAGTCTCCATTTACTATCATTTCACATTGTACGTTCATGTGTACACATTATTTAGCTCCCACTTACAAGTGAGAACATGTGGCATTTGTCTTTCTATGTCTGACTTGTTTAACTTAGGACAATGGCCTCCAGTTTCATCTATGTTGCTGCAAAAGATATGACTTCATTTTTTACGGCTAAATAGCATTCCATTGTGTATATCTAACACATTTTCTTTATCTAATCACCTGTTGATGCACAGTTAGGTTGATTCCCTATTGTCATTATTGCGAATAGTACTTAAATTAAAAGATGATTGCAGGTTTGTTTGTTTTTTTTTTTTTTGAGACGGAGTCTCTCTCTGTCACCCAGGCTGGAGTGCAGTGGCACCATCTTGGCTCACTGCAAGCTCCGCCTCCCGGGTTCATGCCATTCTCCTGCCTCAGCCTCCCCAGCAGCTGGGACTACAGGCAGGTATCTTTTTGATATAATGGCTTTTTTCCTTTGGGCACAACAGAGTGAAGAGACAGTCTGCAGAATGGAAGAAAATATTTGCAAGCCATGGATCTGACAGGAAACGAATATCCGGAATTTATAAGGAACACAAACAACCCAACAACTAATCAAACAATCTCACTAATAAGTAGGCAAAAGATATGAATATACATTTTTCAAAAGTAGACATATGAATGACCAAAAGTATATGAAAAGATGCTCATGGCTATTAATCATCAGAGAAATTCAAATTAAACCACAAGATATCATTTTACACCAATCAGAATGGCTATTATTAATAAGACAAAAATTAACAAATGTTGGCAAGGATTCAGAGAAAAGGAACACTTATACACTGTTGATGGGAATGTAAATTAGAACAGCCTCTATGAAAAACACTAGAACTAAAAATAAAACTACAATTTGATCCAGCAATTGATATATAATTTTTAATGGCAAAACTTCAAAACACATGAAATGATAATAAAAGAACCAAAAGGAAAAAAATACAAATCTAGAGATTTTAACCTCTATTTCAGCAATTGATACACCAAAAAAAATCACCAATATAGAAGACATGAACAATATTGGCATTTCTTGAACATTATACCCAATCACTGTAGCATAAACAGTTTTTACAAGTGCGTGTGGAATGTTGACCAAGATGGAAAAAATCCTTGTTCATAAAACAATCCCCCCAAAATTCAAAAGCTTGAAATCTTACAGAGTGTGTTTTCTGGTCCCAACAGAATTAAACAGATATCAAATCAAAATACGATATTTAGAAAAGGTACAAATATTTGGAAATTACACCAGTTCCAAAAGCCAATGAATTAAAGAAGAAACTACAAGGAAAATATAAAATATTTAGGACTGAATGATATTATTAAACAACAGGCTACAATCTGTGGGAACCAGTTAAAGCAGTGCCTAGAAACAAATGTGTAGCTGTAATACTTACATTCAAAAGAGAGAAAAGTATAAAGCCATAACTTTAGATCTGTAAGAAACCAGTAAAAGTCAGGTACATAGATTTTTACCCTACATCTGGTCCTACCCCCAGAATAGGGTATGTGAGATAGGATTAGTACCAACATAAGGGTAACCATAGGACTCTATTGAACTGAAAGAAATATTTCTAAATTTGCCCTGAGGCAGGATAGCCAGATGCATTTATTTTTAAATTAGAAACAAATGAGAGACCAAAAAATGTTTCTGCACATCAAAACCAAAGGAAGGAGTCAAGGACAAATGTTGGAGGAGTGGTCAGGGAATACAGATCTGGGAGAATAGAAATTAGGTCAGCATGAGGTAAGGAGCAGGTGCATGGGGAGGGGCCGGGGCTGAGCACTTGAATCTTAAGCGGGTGCTGATGCACCTTTAGACACTGGGCCCTCTGTTGTAAGTGACACCTTAACCCTGCTTACCTCTCCTCTCCCAAAAGAAACATATTGGCTCACAAAATGTACAAGTGTTGGGGCTCTAGACTCTATGGGATCCATGCAACTAAGCAATATTATCAGGATTTAGGCTCCCTCTGTATCTCCACTCTTATCATCATCATATTACCACCCCTATAGGCCAGAACCTCTTCATGTAATGGCCTCCAGATGTTCTAGGCAAACATCATTTTAAATCTGTCAAAGGGAGAGATTCTTATCAATAGTACTGGCACAAATCTAGGATTTGAGCCGCATTCATCTTGATTTGGTTACATGATGAGTCCTGAAGTAGTTACTGGGTTCATGTCTGGTTACCAGCCCACCCCTAGAGCAAGAGGTAAAATCAGCACTACTTGAGATATCTTAAACTGAGAATTTAGAAGGGGTTGTTCCTCAGAAACTATTGGAATGCCCTTACTAGGATAGGAACTGAATTCTGGTGAGACAAAATCCACAGATGTCCCTTAGGCCTCTTTTTATGTCAGTCCTACGGCATATTGTGAGATGGATGTATTGGCGGAAGAAATCATGCTACTTTGACAGCGTGTGTGTTTTCCTTTGGAATGCTCCTCTGTCTAAAGGGCACCTTCCATATCTCTCTTCTCCTATTAGTGCCAGATCAAAGTTGTTGTTGTTGTTGTTTTTCCCAAAGCGATTGATATGGGTATTTATTGTTGTCAAGAAGGTAAATTAAAAAGGTGTCAATGTCATCTTATGAACTATGTATGAAAGATACCTCTGAGGATTCTGGGAAAATAGCAGAGGAGTCAGCACCAGGAATCTCTCTCCCAACCTGGACTATAATTACACTGGCAGAATCTGCCTGATATAACAATTTTAGGACTCTGGAGTCTATTTGAAGGCTTGCAACTTCCAGGGGAAGGCTTCCAGGTACGTTTCAGTCAATTTTAGCCAGTAGAGTGGTAGCGGCTGTACATTCCCCATCCTTCATCCTGGGGGCAGGCACCATACAGATTTTGTCTTTCTGCTCTACCCTGAGTGATACACCTTCCACCTCCCACACATTCACTTTCAATTAGAAGAACCTTGACTTGCTTGCATAAAGAGTATTGCCCTCTTAATCTAAAAAAAAAAACAAAAAACAAAACAAAACAAACAAACAAACAAACAAAAGGAAGCCTATCTCCTAGCCCAAGGGGTAAATCACTGTTGGTCTCAATCAGTGGTTCTCAAACAGTGGTCCTCAGACTAGCACCATTAACATCAGCAGGAAACATATTATAAATGAAAATTATCTGGTCCCACACAACATACTAAATTAGAAATTCTGGGGGTAGAACCCAGTAGTCTGTATTTAAACAAGCTTGCCAGAATCATCTGAGAACTCTACTTTGAGAACCACATATCTATAATAATAATGGAATTTTCATCCTTTTTCCCAGTGATCTGTCTAGATAAGGGCATGTGACCAAGTTCTTGCTAATGAGAAGTAAGGAGAAGTCTGCTGGAGATGGAGTGGCAGTGGGGTTGACTTTCATGGTTAAATGACAGAATTCCTACTATGTTCATTCTGTGTAGTCAGCTGGCTGGAGAACGTGAGGACTAGAGAGATACAGCCTTCTTTAGTTTATGGGAAAAATTCCAATTAAATCACAGAAATACCAAACTAGGCCTTTGATGTCATTGAGCTGCTGAACCAACCCTGGAGCTACATATTGCCAGAATTCATGTCATGAGAGAGAATTAAAGACTTTATTATTAAGTCACAATTACTTGAGATTTCTATTACTTCCAGCCAAAATAAATTCAACCAATGGAATATTTTTATCTCTATTTTACAGCTAAAGGAAACAAGTCTGAAAGATATTAAATAATTTCCATAAGGCAACATATCTAGTTACATGGTATTCTAAGTTTTAGGCTTGCTTTTCTCTGAATACAAAACTTTATGAGGCTACTCTACCTCTCAGTAGATCACACTGTCACTCCCACCAAACTACAAGCCTGGTGGTGGCCAGGGAGCAAAGGGACTACGTTTCACTTCTTCCCTTATGCCATTATATCTAATCCTTAGTTGCTTTATGAACTTAAGAATTCTATTCTGAATGATGCTTTATTTTCCGGCTTAAAAGGAGGAATACAATTTGATTTTTAATTTATTCTTCATGATGTTAAACCTATCCCTTTAAAGACAGGTCCACATTTTTTACTTTGAGTATTCCAATAGTCTGCATTATTCATATTAGAGGTATTTATGCAGACATGATCAATAAGATAATTCACCTCCAAATGAAACAAGGAGGCTTCAGCCCTGAATGAGAACTGAAGAATTTAAGTAAGTCAATCCTTTAGAGAGCTTCACCATATTTCTGTCATCATCTGATTACACCCAGAGAAAAATTCTTTCATGTTGTGTAAAGGGCAGACAAGTAACCATCATAATGAAAAAGTTATTTTGGAAAAAAAAAGCTTTTGTCAAATTCACAAAGTTTTATCATTGTGCTTCTGAAAGGGGGAAAATCAGCACCTTTTTTTTTTTTTCTTCAGTGAGTTGGGGAAGAAATTAAGATGAGAAAATTCAAGAACTCTTAACAGATAGAAGCACTAGGGTTTATGATTCCCAAAGAGCATTTATGCCGTTTTGTCTGCTTGTGGCTCCATAGCATCCTGGATGCACTTGGCTTAAAAATATCTTTACAGAACTCATGCTGCTCACCATGGATCCAGAGTCAGAGCTGGTCTCATGAAGAAGCATCTGCGACTTGAAAAGGTTGGAGCCAGGACCAAGTAACAAGTGGAAACAAAGGGACTGAATCATTTCTCACTGAATAAACCTAACCATATATCTTGAAAAACCACTTTAGTATGTAGAGAAGAAAGACTGTTGAGAGGGTAGATTATGTGATGGAGATCAATCAGAAATGACTTAAAGGATAATGTCATTGCCCATGACCATTTGCTGTATATCCCTTTTTAGTGCCCATGGAAAAACAACTCTTTTCTATGGTGTGGGTTAGCCATAGTGATACTGGTTATGACTAAGAACGTCTAAATCCCACATGCTTAGAAATCATTGAATCATAGAGGCACAGAGGATTGACATGTCTATACGCTACCATATTCAAGGTCATACATTCCGAAGATTACAGAATCCAGGCAAGCAATCTAAATGAGTGATGTAGCCCAGGTGTTGGTAAACTAGAGAGCGTACATGTTCTGCCCAAGGGGAACAGCTATTATGTAGCTCCAAAAATGTTACCATGCCTTGCTGGAATCCCAGAAAAGATCATTACTATACCCAGTCGAAGGTTTATTCACCGTCTGTCTAATTGGTTACAAGGTTGGTTTTATTTATTTGTTTGAAAATGTCATTTAGACCAACGCTGTGCAGGGCAGGACACATAAAACATAGTTTTCATTGAACTTGAGCTTTCAGTTGCAAATTCTGAGCCCAAAACCACTCTTCTACATGTAGAAAAGTTGAGGTCCCCATGAGAGAGGTGATTTGCCTAAGGTTTCCTAGGTAATAGGACAAATACTTAACAGCATATACCATGAATCAATTCAACAGCTGTTTAAAGAATACAATGGTGGCTGGGCGCGGTAGCTCATGCCTCTAATCCCAGCACTTTGGGGGCTGAGGCAGGTGGATCACTTGAGGTCAGGAGTTTGAAACCAGCCTGGCCAACATGGTGAAACCCCGTCTCTACTAAAAATACAAAAATTAGCCTGGTGTGGTGGTGGGCGCCCTGGGAGGCTGAGGTAGAAGAATTGCTTGACCCTGGGAGACGGAGGTTGCACTGGGCCGAGATCATGCCACTGCACTTCAGCCTGGGCAACAGAGCGAGACTCCGTCTCAAAAAAAAAAAAATACCAATGCCAAATCGCTAGATATATTTAAAAGAAGAGTGTGTGTGTCTGTGTGTGTGTGTGTGTGTGTATGTGTGTGTGTGTGTGATTGACAGACCATGTATACAACAGTGATCCTATAAGAGTATAATATATTTTTACTGTACCTTTTCTATCTTTAGATATGTTTAGATATACAGATACTCACAATCATGTTACAATTGCCTATAGTATTCAGTACAGTAACATGCTGTATAGGTGTGTAGCTTAGGAGCAATAGGCTGTACCACATAGCCTACGTGTGTAGTAGGGTAGACCATCTAGATTTGTGTAAGTGTACTCTCTGATGTTTGCACAAGGACGAAATGGCCTAATGATGCATTTCTTAAAATGTATCCCTGTTGTTAAGCAATGGGTAACTACACATACACACACACACAAGATACACACACGTGTACAGGCATCTATCACCTAACATATGCCCACTCAAATATTCTGCTAGATGCTAAAATTATAAATAAGGAAGAGGATGAATAGTTTTTTCAATGCCTATTAAGTACTCAGATACTATGTTTTAGTCACCATAGCAACCCTGATAAGTACAACTTACTTTCTCCATTTTATAGATTAGAACACTAGGAGTATATGTCACCCTCCCAAGGCCACAGAATGGTGCATGATGGACCTGGGATTCAAGTTCAGGTCTGTCTAATGCCAAACACTCTGTTCTTCTATAAGCAAAGTTGCCCCTTTCTTCCACCTTCTTCTGTGAGACCATAAGTAACCACACATGGCTTCTGCCCTCGGGGATCTCACAGTCTGCTGTGGGAGGAAGATGTAGAAACAAGTATGTCTCCAGGAGAAATGCAGTGTGAATAATACTGAGAAGCAACAGCATTGCTGAGAAGACACCCAGGGCCAGCTCTGCATGAAGCTACTCGTTCAGCTCATTAGAGCTTCATTTGCTCTACCTCCTCAACTTGTAGTGAGCAAAGTTCAGCTGCCAACTTCCTCCTTGCAATCTCTAGACAATGTTCTGGCTTCAAAATCAAAGTCAGATCATGGAGTCCTTAAGAGAGTCTTTTTGATGTGAAATGCTGTGCCTTGGAGGCTTAGCAATAACAACTATCCCTTAGGGCAGGTGCAGCATGGAACCGTAATGGATGTGCTATCATACAATATCTTTATTGATCCTCACATTCCACAGTGAATTAGGCACTTTAAGGTTCAAATTCTCCCTTCAAACATTATGAAACTGAGGCCCAAAGAGAAAATGGCTCAAAGTGGAGAAGTCCAGATGGGGTCTTCTGCCTCTGAGCTCTATGTTCTTTATAACATAATATGCTAGGTATTCAGGTACTGGGGGATGGAGAAGAAAGTTAGTGGCAGGTAGCAAGAGGAAGGCCCCCCACAGAGAATTAGTTAAACATGTTGCAGTGGGATTTGATTCTAGTTGATGATATCTGCTTCCTCTTCATCTGCTGAACTTTTACTTTTCCTATGTCTTTTTTCTTTCAGTAATTTTCAATAAGCTACTCCCATCTGTCCCCTCCTATCATTTTCCCATGACTTATGCCAAAGACTGAGATTTTCAGAAAGAAGTAGAAGCACAACAGTCAGAGAAGTCTACAGATTGTTTCTATTGAGGACCACATGAAGGTCTGTACTGTAAAAATCATGCACATGTTTACATATAATTAAAAGCAAATAGTAAAAGGGAATTATTAAGTACTTTGTGTCAACACAAAAGTGCCAAGAAATAGGAAAGTCATTTTCAGATACTTTCGCCATTTGTTCATTGCTTTACCCTCAATTTTACCACCTACCCGCCCTACCTGCAAGCTATAAGAAACCCCTCTAAGAAGGATTCTATCACCCATTGCCATCGCTGTGACCATTAGTATCACCTACCCCACCCAACTCCTGGCTTCTCAATAATGACATTGGCAAAGGAACAAATACATTGGAAGCCAGTCCTCAATAATACAGGACAGGACTGTACACTGTAAAAGAATAGTTTCTCAATCCATAAGGCAGGGCTTTCTTGTCACAAAGAAAACTGTCCAAACCCCTGTGACAGATGTATTCCCACAGCCTTAGCATAGATGACCCAAACAGTCTGCCCCCTGGCCAGAAACAGCCCACACACATTGTGTGATTTCGTTTGGCACAGGGGAGCTATATTTAAATATTGAATCAGATGCCAACATTAAGAATCTGGATGCCTGGCATCTCTAAAAAAAACAAAAAAGAGATTAATCTGGCAACCTTCAATTCATGTTGCCACATGGGTACAACTGGCAGAACATGAGGAGCAGGTGCTGCCTTTAGGTGGCGCATGGACTCTCCGCTGCAGAGCAGTCCATATCTGGCTCACTTTACTCATACTTGACAGATTTAGAATTCTGAATCTGTGACATCTGCCCTCATATTGACAAGGGCAACAAAATTTCTAAATTCTTTGGCTGGCACACCTCTAACATTATAATTATGTTTAGCATGGAACTCCAACATCTTCATTTTTATATGCCAAATATACACAAAATTTGGAATTAAAAATTATAAGGCAAATATTTTAAATCAATTTAAATTGACAATGTTAAATTGTTATTTGTTAATTTTACAAAACTATTTTCTTTAATGTATTATTTTGATATTTGCAAAATGATGGAATATGTTAGATTCTGAAAATCTTGCTTTGAATTGTGTAACATTTTCTGTGCTAACTAAATGACACTGCCAGGTCAATCATTTGCAATCGAGTTGTTTTGAATTAAAGATTAATCAAGTTTTATGTTTTTGCTTTTGATAAGATAAATACCAATATAGCTGGAAATGCTAATATTTCAATACCAGCATTGGTATGCTCAGTCCTAGGCACAATGCCTGGAATCCCAGGCAGGGGTGGGTGTCTCATCATCACTCTAACATACTCACCAGGGGGGCTCAGGCTCTAAGACACGTATTTTGAGTCAAATTGAACCAAACTCAAGTTCTGGCTCTGTTCCTTAATTGGCTATGGAACCATGTATTTTATATTTCAGTCTCAGTTTCTTCATCACTAAAATAAGAGAAATAATCGCTATATCTCCATGATACTTAAATTAGATAATGCCTGGAAGTTGATTATTGGTTTCAGATTTCAGAGTCCATGCTCAATACTTGACAACTTTTATTATCCTAAATATTATTAATTTCATTCTATTTTAGCTTAGTTAACAAAACAACAATCTCTGACTGACTCAGAGTTTCAAGCATGTCTTTGAGAAAACTAGGCCTATTTTGCAGTTCCTCCTTTTCCATCTGTATGTAAATATATATACTTTAATTTGAAAAAGATATATTTCCGTTAATAGAATCACAAATAATAGTTATTATAGTCTGGCAAAAGTATTTTTTTCTGATATCAAGCCACCAATGTGTCTCTCTCACACACACAGATGTACACATACACACATTCACTGAGGAATGACTTCTTTGCAAAAGAGCAAATCCATATTATTTTTGGAAAAAAATAAACACACTTATAAGAGAAGAACAGTTTGCATTTGGCTTTTCTTCCCCTTACTCAGGTATTATTTCACAGGCATTAATTTTTCCTGTGGTGTTGACTACAATTCACTGAGTAAAATGGTGCTGGAGGGTAGTGAATTACAAATCAGAACCTAATTGAACAGCAGGAATAGACTGATTGGCATTGACAAGTACCTCTTCTGTGCAACTTCAGTAGGGCTGCCTGGGGTCCCAAACCATAGCTGACTGTGGCCTTGCTGCTTAAGAATAAACTTGATGTCCAATCACCTTGACTACTGGCTTTGATTAGGGAAATAGGTGCCATTAACCCCACTCTTTAAATCCAAAATGGTCAAATGTATTTTTCATTTTTAACCCATCAAATATCTGCTGAGCATTAGCTACCTGCCAGGAAACATGTTCAAGCATTGGCGGTAATAGGTTCGGTTAGGTGGAATGTCAACAGGCTTCGTTGGTTTATATCTGTTGCATATTTCTTTTTTTTTTTCTAGTCATGTAGCTTTTATTTTCACACAATTTGGGATGGCATTTTATAGATCTGTTCTTTACTGCCTATGTGGCTTTTCATTCTTCATCCTTGTCTCCCTTGTCTTTGAAATAAAGATAATCGATCTTGCCTTGTAGACTATTTGTGACTATTAAATAAGACTTATTCTACTACTATTTGTAGTAGGTGAATATACACGTTGGTTTTCATTTCCCCCTTTCTTACTAGGGGCACAAAGTTGAATTAGACCCTCTCCTGGCTCTCAGTAGTACATTTTCCTTGAGGGAGACAAGCACATATATAATTACAATATAAGAAAATATTATAATATCACTATATATCAAGCACTGTAAGTATAAAATCAAAGCTATATTGTCATTCTCCCTAATAATAAAATATGCAATAAAATCCTTGGATGACATACTCCCTGATAACATGATTTCATTATAATGTGACTTCTGAGTGTCAGTTAGTCTCATACTCTGTCTTGTCCTAATTATCTAACAGAGGTGGGATAAGGTGTTTATCTTTGGGGGAGATAGAAAGAGAAGAAAAGGCAAGGCCAGCATTAAACAGGAGGCTGGCCTGCTTCAGGAAAGACAATGGGCCCCATGTGCTCAATATTCTCTTAGCTCACTCTTCTGGGATCATTTCAGCTAAAGAGGTACCAACTCACAAGGGTATTTCTGGAACAGCTGCCATGTTCCAGCTAAGACAGGAACAAGAGGTGTTCTCAACATGCCATTGAGGCTTGAGGACCATCGCCACCAGGTGGCACCAAATAGGCAGCAAGAATGGGGTGGATCTGGGCCCTGGATCTGACTCAAGTAGGCAGGCTCATTCCAATTATGTCCTCTTTGTTATGATGTCAGCTTGCATCTTACACAATACAGTATTTTAGTCCCGTATTGTCCATATGTGGGTTCTATTGTGTTTAGATTTTAGTAGGAGCTTTGAACAATATTATGACTCCCTATAAGATCTAGACTGTCCTCATGCTTTTTCTCATCCCATACCATTCTTCCCTGAGCTCATTACACTCCAGACATTCTGGCCTTCTCAAATCCATCATCTGTGTTGGAGCCTTTGCATGAGCCTTTGCATCTACCTGTGTTGTGTTCTTAATATATAATCCTTCTTTTATTTAGCTCGCAGTTCAAATGCCACAGTCTGAAAAAATTTTCTTTGACCACCATTTTTGAAGTAGCTTTATCTTTTCAGCCTCCCTAATCCATTACCTTGCTTCCTTTTCTTCCTAGCATTAACCAGTATTTGAGATGATCCAGCATATATCTTTATTGTCTCTCTTCCTTCACTGCACTGTAAACCCAGGAGGCCAGGGACCTTATCTTTCTCATCCAACATCATGTCTCCATAACACTCCAGATTGCCGTTGGTGAGAATGGCAGGCTTAGTGGAGGGCGCTTCTCTGGAGCATTACTTACCCCTTGCTGAGGCAAATAAAATAAGCCAAATAGTAACTCTTTCTCGAGGAAAAGTACAAATAAGAAAGTTGTAGGAAACTAGGATGGGTTAGAGGAAGTAAACATGAGATTATTACAGGAAGTAAAGAGAGATTATTACAAATGTATTATTACATTATATATTTGCTAGAATATATTGGAGATAACATCTCAGTAATAATAGTGATTAACAACAATAACACAACACCTAGCACACACTCTGCCAAGCACTCTTCTAAGTGCTTTACAAGAATTAGCTTACTTAATCCTCTCAACAACCTGATGGAATAGCTACTATTATTAGCCTTATTTTACAGATGAGGAGACAGTCTCAGAGAAGTTTGAACCTGACCAAAATCATACAGCTGGAAATTGAAGGAGCTGAGATTTTAACATTGATAATCTGTCTCCATTATCTTAAATAAAACTACAACTTCAATTTTAATCATTGAAATAACATACATATAAAAGTTATTCTTTTAAAAAGGAGAGATAAAGAATAGCCAAGGTGGTCTTAGCTAAAAGAGATAACTATGAGTGACCACTAAGGAAGAGGATGGGTCACATATTATAGAAGAAGATCATGCACAGAGTGGTCCAAAGGACAGTAAATATAGAGTAGATGTCAGTGGTGGATAAGGAACTCTTAATAGAGTTCAAAACCTCAATCTGGGAAAAAAGGGACCTCAGTCACAGGTATACCTTTTCATGCTACAGGAATTCATATCACAGTGCAAACATATACTGCCAGGCTGGATCATAACATTTTGGAAGATTTGGGTAGGAGCAAAGACATTACCATTTGTTCCCCCACATTGTATCTAGGTTCAGCTCTCAACAAATGTTTATTTTTCAGCCCAACCGGAGAATGCATGAGAGAGGAAAGACTGATACCAGGAAAAAGGACTAGACTGAACTTTCCTTCATGCTTCCACAGAATTCAAGCAGTGAACAGAAATAAAAATTTGCCCAGTTCTGCTTTAAGAAAATGCTCTACAAATTCCACAGAGCACTTCTAAATTGCATTTGGATTCTGTGCTCCCCTCCAGCATGATTATTCATGATGTTTGTTGAATACAGCCACTATTCTCTGCCTCTATGCACATTCATAAACATGATTTCTAAAAGCCATCCATTATGGATTATGATCTATACTTGGAAACAAGATGTGGCTGGCCAATCGTGCATTCACCAACATTACAGAATCATGTAAAGTCCTCCCCGCCTACCCTACAGTCCTGAAGAGGTCTTGCCATTCAACTCAAGTGCCGAAGATGTTAATTAGGCCTTAGCCCCCAGGTATTTCAGTGAGCTTTTCAGTTCGTGGGTTATCACCATGTACATGCACCTACTGCCTCTCCTAACAGATAAAACTCAAGGATTAAAAATATAAATGGTAATAGTTGGAATCCTCTGCAGTTTGGGATTAATTTTAATCATCATCAGGGCAATGATAATACTAGTAATTCTTTATTGCTCACCTACACATATATTTGTCATTTTTATGAAATGTTAAAGCAATCCAAAAAAGTGTAAAGGATACTATAATATAGGCAACAATATCTGTCATCTAGTTAAATAGATAAATAATTACTAAGTAATCAAAGACGTCTTTTCATGTCTATCTGATGACATCTTCCTAGAATTAGCCAGTATTTTGACTGTAGTTTTATCATTCCTGTGTATTTCTTTATGTATGAATCCCTAAATAACATATAGTGTAATTTTACCTTTTAAAATGATATAAATAGCATCAAGCTGCACACAAAACTTTGTAACTTTCTTATTTCATTTGTTATTTTGATATTTACCCATCTTGAAAAAAAGTAAGCCTAATTTGTTCATTTCCAGTGCTGTTTATTATTTTATCCTACCTTTGATGGAAATTTAGCTTTCTGATATTTGCAATCACAATCAACAAAGCTATGAACAATCCTGCTCATATGTTCTTTTATACATGCACAAGAGTTTCCCAAGTATATTCCTAGAAGTAGAACTGTTGGGTCAGAGATTATGTGCACAGTCAACTCTACCAAACTAGAAAATAATTCTTCAAAATGCCTATAATTTATGCCCCAACGAAAAAGTATACATTTTTTTCTGTTGCTCCATGCTTTGTCAATAGTCGCTATTGTCAGAAATTTTAGTTTTTGCCACTACAGTGGGTGTGAGATAGTAACCCTATGTAGTTTTATTCAGATATTCCTGATTACTAGTAAAACATCTTTCTATATATTTATTGATTTTCTTGTTTCTGTAATTATGTTTGTAATTTTACCCACTTAATTTGTTTTACTATTTATGTAGATTTTTAAAATGTATTTGTATATTTTATATACTCTCCAATCATGTAGCTTCTGTTTTCACTTTTGTTGGAAGGCAGCAGTTTTCTTTGAGGGACATAAGGTAATTTCTGCTAATGTTGAATAATTTTCATCATTTTTTGTTGTATATGTTTTTCAAAACAGTTATAGATTAAGCCTTTATTTAACTAAATATGATGCTTGATATAGGTGTTTGGTAGAAGTCCTATATCTAACATTTTTTTTTCTTTAACATAGTTGATTTTTTTGGAAATATTTTTCTATTTGAGATGATTCTTCATATTTTGTTCTTATATCATTAAACATAAGGAATTACACTGGTACATTAGCTACTCTTAAGACATTCTAGGAATTCCTTAGATAAAAGCAACATGTTCACAATATTTTTTTAAATAATCATTTTAGGTTGTTTTGCTAATATTTGTTCAGATAAGTTTTTAAATAACATATATTGAACTGTAATTTTCCGATTGACTTTGACTAGTTTCGTAGCTGTTTATATTAACTACATTAAGTGAAATTGAGAAATATGTCCCCTTTTTATTTTCTGCAATGTTTTGTAAATATCAATATACATTTCCTCATTGTTTCACTGACCTTGCTCATACTTATCTGCGCATCAGTTTTGAATAGCTATGTGTAGGTGAGTACTGATTTTTAACTACCTGAAAAATTTAATTGTTGTGTATCTACACAATATTTTATTTCTTTTTGACTCATTTTTGATAAATTATATTTTTCTAGTTATTTGTCTATTTCCTTAAATTTTCAAAATTTAACATACATTATTTATTTTATTTTCAGAAACATTTGTTGTATCTGTACTTTAGTCCCCCTTGTTACTACTAATAATGATAATTTGTGCCTTGTCTCTTTCTCCTATTAGTGCTACCAGGATTTTGTTTATATTATAAATATTTTCAAAGAAATAACTTCTGCAGGCCAGTTGTGGTAGCTCACACCTGTAATCCCAGCACTTTGGGAGGCTGAGGCAGGCAGGTGGATCACGAGGTCAGGAGTTCAAGACCAGCCTGGGCAATATGGTGAAACCCTCATCTCTACTAAAGATACAAAAATTAGCCAGGCGTAGTGGTGCACACCTGTAGTCTCAGCTACTTGGGAGGCTGAGGCAGGAGAATCGCTGGAACCCGGCAGGTAGAGGTTGCACTGAGCTGAGATCACGCCGCCGCACTCCAGCCTGGTGACAGAGTGAGACTCCGTCTCAAAAAAAAAAAAGAAAAGAAAAGAAAAAACTTTTGCTTTTAATAACTCTCTGGTATATTTTTATTTTTTATTTCTCATTTTCTTTACTTTCATTATCGCCTTTATTTTTTTCTTTTTTATTCAGTTTGTTTTATTCAGTGGTTCTTTTCCTAACTGCATACATTCTATGCTTTGCTCATTAAATAAAGTCTTTCTTCTATGCTCACAAAATATTTAAGGTACCTCAAAAAAGCAATGTAAGCTCTATTCAACAGATTTTGATTACTGAAGTATCTATTTGAATCCAACATTTCCATTTTCTAAAGGCTTGGACATGTTATTGTCATTTATTATATTTCTTCCACTCAAATTATTTAAAGTCTTTAAATGAAAGATTGTTTTCCATGGGGCTACATCTGTAGGATCCTGTTGAGACCTGAGTTGGTAAAAGAATAAGCTTTTGTTGCTGCCAAATGTCACAAGAGGCTAAAACCTTAAAGTCACTTATTTTCGTATTTAGGTTCTTCCAGGTCACAAAAGCAAGGTAAATGCAAAGATTATTTTCTTAATATGATTTTTATATGAAAGGAAGATATTCAATGAAGAAGAAAAAACTGTGAAACACAAAGTATGTTCAGGATGTCTCAGGCATTGTGATTTGATTGAAGGAGTTCAGCAGTCTTGAGTTTGAATTCTGACATTCCTTCTTCCAAAGTGTGATCTTGAGCAAGTTTCTAATACTTGTTTTACTCTGAGCCTCATTGTTTGTGTCTAAAATTTGGAGAACACATTACATGGATAGTGTGATGATTAAATATACAAGTATGAGCCCACAGAGTTCCTTGAAATAATATGCATCCAATATATGATGTAATAAGTCCTGTCCTTTATTTTTCTACTTTTTCCTTAGGCAAGATACAATGACAGACCAGAAATGAAAGGACTCCTAGGTCCCTTCTAGGAGGAAAGGCCCAGAAGGTCTATTGTCTCTCTGGCTATGGCCCTAAAACCATGATATTTATTCAACCAATACTATCTTCTCCATGCTAGGCAATAAAGGAGAGGGTCATATGCTCAGACACATTAGAGTGGGCCTAATAGCTCTCTAGGGGTTAAGAACATAGTGGATTTAGGCTGGTAGGTATTTTGAGATAATAATAGTAATAATAACTATTATATGTGCTTTGCACATGTTATCTTATTTATTCCCACCATAAACCACATAAATTGTTGGCCCCATGTCCCATTTTCAGATGAGGAAACTGAAGCCCCAAGTCACACAGTGAGAATATGTCAAAACTGAATGAAGGCCATTTTATTCCAGATTCTACTTCAATATTCTTAAAAGACAGCTCCAACTAAAGAGCACAGAGTCATTATACTGTATTATTTTCTTAAGTGCCTTTGGGACCAATTAGGCCATAAAGTCATAAACACATCATTACAACCATGAATGAGCACCATGACTTGGGGCAGTGGTAAGCCTGTAAATTGTTGGGTAGGTCTGAGATATTATTGTGCTGAACAGCAGCTGAACTGTGACTCTGCGGGTCTGTATCACCAAGATCGGTTGTCTTAAGTTTCTTGACAATGTCAGAATAAACTCATAAATTCAGAAAATGGTAGTCAAATTGACAATTCTTTAAAGGATAGTAATACAACCCACATTGGATGCTGGCCTTTTAACAATATCATTATTTTAAGATAGGATACTTAAATTGTGAAAATGCGTTTTTAACAAACACACTAGAATGATTTTTTAAATCAGTTTTCAGCCTGTTTTACCACATTAGGGTATCATATTATGAGACTCTGACATGCTGGTGGCTCTGAACTAAACAGATATTTTGGGTTTTGGTGTATGCACCCAGGAGAAAACTCAGAATTCCAACTTCCATTCATTCATCAATCATTTAGTGAGAGGCTCCTATAAATAAAAACTGGGCACAGAAGATATATGAAGAAAAAGCATGGGCCTACAACTGAGACTCTGTAGTCTACTGGAGAAAATGTAGACAAATAATTACAACAATATTCCAAGTGTTATAGCAGAGGGGATGATTAAAGTTGCTTTAGAAGAGCAGGGAGCTACTATTAGATAAAGATGAGAATTAAGGAAATTCCATAGGAAAGATATCTCAATTGAACCTTGAAAAGCAAGTCGAATTTTATCAGACAAAGCTAAAAGATGACTCTAGGTATAGGAAATATCACATGCAAAAAACCTTGATGCAGGATAAAATACAGTGTTCAGGAAACATTGAAGTATTTGGTGTAGCTGTAGCACAGGGCTTATGGAGGAGTAGGGTGAGGAAGAGATGAGTTTATAAAGTACAGTGGGACCACTCAATGAAAGGACTTAAGATTTAAGTCCTCCTAAAGTTTAGTCACCATCCAGTAGATAATGGGAAATCACTGTTTTTTTTCAGAAGCAGTAAGGCATAATTACATTTCTGTTTTGAAAAGATCACTCTGGAGACAAGAGTCCATGTGTTCCTCTATTCCATGTAGTTTTGATAAATTTATAGATTAGTAGCTTGTATTATATTTAGGTTAACTCTTATAGGTAGGATTACTGCATAGATAAGTAATGGTTTTCTGAGGCACTATCTTGGGAACATTCTGAGACCTAATCAGGAATTAACAGAAAATAAATGCCAAATTGGATTCATAATTTATTGTGGTAGCAGCATGGCTTTTGTAAGATATATGCCATTCCGGGCTTCACATGATACCCACAGCAATGAAGAAGTAAACATAACTTTTCTAGGGGATGATTTAAAACAAATATTTCACTTCATTCAAACTAAACAATAAAAAAGGGGGAAAATGTTTGGGGTATTTATTGTGTAGGATGTGTTGCAATGAGCTTTAAACATGACTTTTAGCTAGAATACCCTTAACTCTGAATCCACCATATTGACATAATCACAGGAAGAGATACCAAGGGTGATATCCATAGAGTGCAGGAGAAGAGGGGTTAGAGTGGCAGCAAGGATCTAGTGACAGCCTGGGGAAGAGACAAGACTGAAAATCTGAGCATGCCTTCGAATTCTCTGCTTCGAGCTAGTGAATGGATGAGTTTAAAATAAATACACTGAAATCAAATATAGAGTAGTATACATTCTCCCTGGAAGCCACAGGAAAAGCAGGAAAATTACCAAATGTATGTAATCAGGAGCAAGATAGGAATGAAGACCTTAAGAAATTTTAAAAACCAAGTTTCCCAAAGCCTATTATAGGTAAATTGTGGTAAGCATCAAGTTAATTAAGACAAAATTACAAAGGCACCCTGTGAATTTATTCAATTATGTACAAAAAAAGGAGTCAGATCATAGGAAAAGCTGTGTGAGTAGAGGGGAGTAAATAGATCTTGTAATCAAAAGACTTAAGTTCCAACTCCTCCTCCACTGTTTACTAACCTTTCTGAGCTTCCACATGTACATCCAAGAACATAAAATTATAATCTCTGCATGGTGCTAATGTGAGGATCAAATGAGATAATGAACGTGAATGGATTTGTAAACTACAAAGCCCTTGACAAATATAAGGTATTATCATGATCGTATTGTCACAATAAAAGTTAAATGCACTCAGAAAAAGCACCCTAGCTTCCAATTATTCTGTCGGAATATTTATTAGACACTTATGTGCCAGTCTGTTGCAGTAAGCCCTGGAGAGCAAACAAGGTCCCTGCTCTCGCAGACCTCTTTCATGGAGCCAGCATTCTCACCACTAGAAAGAGAGAAAGAAAATCAAAAGTTATTCACTAATTTGTGTGGTTTGGGGAAGAGAAAAATCTCTGTTGAGAATCAGCTCAATAGTTCCTGGATCTAGCACTGGACAAGGGATGCAATAGGTTTCTCCCAGTGATATCATAGTAATTATTAGATCAAGGTTGGAACTAATGAAACATTGTGTGTGAAGAGGGTTTGAGGATCAATTACTGTATTTAAAAAAAAAAAGCCAAGTGTTGCAGCTATGAAACAGCTCATAATTAGGGACTAGGCTAGGCAAGCAAAGAATAGTATATGGAGACTCAGGTACACTGCAGCACAGTCTGATGCAGCCATTATTTGCAGGGTCTTGCTGACTGAGAATAGCCTCTAAATGACTGGATTTATACCCAGCGACCCAGCTACTCAAACTGGGAAGCAATGTAAATAATTACCTATTACCTAGAGCTGCTCTGAAAGACACAGGACAAATATTATTCTCTGTACTTGGTATATGCTATATCATTGTACTTTAATAGCAACCCCAAGAAGGATTAGTATTACCATTTCAAAGATGAGGAAATTGAGGCTCACATAGATAGGAGAACTTGCCCAAGAAAAATAGCAAAAGTGAGACAGAACAAGACTCAAACCCAGAATTCTTGGTTCTTTTATTTAATGAGAAACACATTTGGCTTATTTGATTTTTGTCCTAGCGCGTCTTAACATTGGTCTAGTCACATGATTTATAGCTTACAACTGGACTGGTTGATATGTATAGATTCAATTTACTCTTTTAACAGATAGCATAACACTGAACTTCTTTTCATACTTATGCCTGCCTCTTTCAATATCCGATTTACTTATCAAGATTTACTGTGTATGTTCTGTCTTTGCGAACAAAGTATACAAAGGAAATTATTAGGCTGGGTGCAGTGGCTCACGCTTGTAGTCCCGGCACTTTGGGAGGCCAAGGCAGGCAGATTACCTGAGGTCAGGAGTTCGAGACCAGCCTGACCAACATGGAGAAACCCCGTCTCTACTAAAAATACAAAATTAGCCAGGCATGGTGGCACATGCCTGTATCCCAGCTACTCGGGAGGTTGAGGCAGGAGAATCACTTGAACCCGGGAGGCGGAAGTTGTGGTGAGCCTAGATCATGCCATTGCACTCCAGCCTGGGCAACAAGAACAAAATTCCATCTCAAAAAAGTAAATACATAAATAAAAATTTTTTAAAAAATAAAAAAGATAGGAAATTATTATTCTATAAACTTTATGTACAGTAATTAGCTTTCCATGGATCTGCCTGAGGATGAAAACCATTCACAATTGCTTCATTTGTTTTACCTTTTTGAGTAGTCACAATGATGTGTGTATAACCAGAATGGGCCACTGTGATACATCTACTTGCCACATGAATCCTAAAGCTAAAAACTGTCTGAAAGGCAGGTAGTAGGACAACCACAATGACAACTGTGAAGAACAACATACTAAAAGTCCAATAGATATATTTTTGGCACAACTTCTTTCAATATAAAGTTGAATAAAGTTGAAAAAGATTCTGATAAAATCAGAAATACCTAGAGCGCTTAGCTTCCTTAGGGCCATGGGTAAATGCTGATGGTAATGAGTTGTCTGAGTCATGCAGAGAAAGTTCCTAACAATCAGGAGTGTAATAAATGCAAACACCAAAATTGTAAAACAAATTTTTACTTTCTGCAGCATTTTGCAATGAAAAGATCACGGGTTTTGGAGCCAGAAAATCTTACTTGAACTCTGTTGCTACCTTGTCATGTGGCAACAAATCCTTAGTTTTCCCACATAAACCAGTGTCAGGCACTCAACAGAAGTCTCTCAATCAAGACTATTTATTTACTTATCCAGGTTAGGAGTCTACTACCCTATACTGCTCACTCATTCATTTGTCCATTCTGTGTGGATTTTAATCATACAATCTTTTACCTCCATTATTTATAATACTATCAAGAGAGTGGCACCTGTAGGAAATGAGTCAACCATAAATCTTCAGAGGTCACTAGGATTTGCCTTCTAAGCCTTCAGCAAATTCTGTTCCTGACAATACATATGAGCAAGGACAGAGGATTTCAAAGCTATGGTAACTACTTGCCAAAGACAGAGACAGAAGTATAGATGAGCTTTGGCCAGGGGTGGTAATAGAACAGATTAAACTTTAAGAACTTGGGAGAAAAGTGCAAAATGCCAGAGAAGGGGCAAGGCCAGCAAAAGGAACTATACAACATAAACAAATACATTGGCTCCCAGATACTTTTTTAGAAATAATGCTTGTTCTAGTTCCTCCACTTACCCCATCACAAACAGATCACTCCTGTGAATAGTGAATGAAGCCCATATAGAAGAAAACCTACTCCATTGCATTATCAGCTGCAAAGTAATAAGCTGCAAAGCGTTTTTGTCATTCATGACATATTTGTAGTAATTAGAACAGATGGGATAAACCAGTTTAAATCCCAATAATGCACATATTATTGCCCACAGTTGATTGTACATTTCTTTGTCCAGTTCATTGTTGATGACTCAAATAATGAGGTCTCCTGCTACTTTGACTCACTGCATAGGACATGCAGATGAGATGGAATAACAGTTGTCACAATGTTCTCCCCATCAATACCAAGAAAAAACATGCTAATGTGAAATCTTAAACACAGTATCCAAGGAGTGTGAGCTAAGCTTCAGATGACAAACACTGGGTCACATGTGAAACGCCTACCCCAGCAATTTACCAGTATGAACTCACACATCTTCAATTGCTTTTCAGATTGAATAAGAACAAAAAGGATAGGGTAAGAGAACAAATATCTGTTACTTGTTCAGAAAAGACAAAAGATTTGCATCCCATGGAAAAGTTTCTGAGATATCTTTAGCAGTAATAAAATTCACTGAATTAACATGGTTAGGGGCGCATACACACATACAGACACATTTAAAGACCTGTAGATTATGCATGTTGGCAAAGTCATACTTTCAGGGACAATTTACATTAAGATATTATTATGTGATAATATTCACAGACAGTAAGTACTACAAAACACACTCTCTACCACCATCAGGATAGTCACTGGCAATGGTAGCCCCCTACAATCAGTAAAATACCTAAATACTCTGGATATCAGAACACAGCATAGGGGAAAAAACAATTCTGAAATAAAAGTTGGAAAATATGAGTTTGAGTCTTACACTTAACAACGGCAAGTATGATGTTGGACATCAGTTTCCTTCCTCTTACAATGGAGAAAACAATGACTTATTTGCAGAGTAGGAATAAAGTTCAAATGAGGTAACATATCTGAAAACAGATTGTAAAACAAACTTTACGAAGGGTTTGTAAATACAATCTCTCAACTACACTTTCCATCAACACTAAAAAGCACAGTATTATGTCACTGCTAATAATAAGGATAAATTATAACAGAGACAACCTGGATAAAAAGCCATGTCACGTATAAAGCTCTGGGTGCTGAAAATAAAATGTATACAGATCTCAGAGACAAGCAAATTGAATTGTTGGGAACTGTAGGTCAAACTGATTATAAATATTGTGGTGAAATAAAATATTAAAGTCATAAAGGACAAATAATAAATTGGATGTTTCTAAATACAAGCTCACATCTTGCACGGAGAGCTAACAACCTGGAGGTACATAATCATTAGATCTCATAAACTGATTTAGTACTTACAGAGAATTTAGAAATAATCTAAGATTATTTATAAAATTTATTACAGAAAATATTTTTGGGGCCAAACAGTAAAATCCATTGTGGCATAAATAAGAACTCTCATGACAGATGAAATTCCTAATTCTATGAAGTGTTGAAAGTGTTATGTTTTTACTAAGTAGTTACAGATAATCAAGCTAGTGAACTTATCTGGTGAACTAGAGGCTACAAAAGGAAGACAAGATTTTTCTGTCATGCTGACATGGTAGTTTTTTAAAAAATTGATTCACTTAATATTTTTCAGATGATCAAAATAATAAATTCTCATTATAGAAAATTTGGAATAAAAGACTCCAGAAAGATAAAGCTTAAACGTATCCTTTTTACTGCCTCTTTCCACTCCAATCCAACTATCTATTCCTTCTCTTGAGAAAGTCTGGCTATGGCAACTTCACAGGTCCTAGAAGATGTCAGCAAGCTATGCCAGTATCTAAAGCTGAAATTTAAGTTGTTGACATATACTCTTATCCAGAGTTTGAAATGTAATAAGACTGGTGTTAGACAGCCCTGGGCTAAGGATGCAACACAGTGATTACTGGCAACCTTGGCACTCAAAAGAAGAAAGCCTTTACTAAACCTGTGAAAATGACCTTGTGCACACTTGCTATTCCTTTCCCAGAGAGTCATGACAAAACTGAATTGGATTAAATCCTCTCTCCCTAAGGGCAGAAGAATTCTTATCTTTATAGTAGAGTTGACCAATACAGAGAGCCTTCCTCCTGGAAAGAAAACTTACAACTTGCCACAACTCATAGTATCTCTGGTTATAGAAGCAGAGGCAGCTGGACATTCCAGTTGATGAATTTTAATTCTGTGAAAAGGCCAAGAAGAAACTTTGGAGGAAAAATAATATGGACAATTTTACCAAACACCAAATGACAAAGTTTTTCAAAAATATAGTAAATAAAATAATGTGTTATTGATGCATGAATAGCAAATAAACCAACAAAGCAATGTGGAAAATCTGAAAAATAGGCATATATATGAGTGTGAAAATAATAGAAGCATTATCAGTGGAGTAAAGATGGACTAGTCAAATAGATTGAACAAATAGCTCCTCTGACAGAATAATAACAAAAATAGATTCTTATTTCACACAATATATAGAAGTAAATTTTACAATGTATTACAGAGTTTAATAACATACAAAAAATTGTATAAAACTCAGGAAAAAAGTGAAATAATATCTTAATGATCCATGTAATAAAGGATGTCTGAAATATAAGGCAGACACAAAAATTAACCAAAAGAGGAAAAAAAGCATTAATAGTGTAACAAACATGTAACAAAGATATTTGCATGAATGATAAAAAAATGAATATTCAGTGTCTAATTATAAACTCTGTAATTCTACAGGAAAAATGTTAATGAATGATACAGTATAAATATGGGCAGAAAATATGCACTGGAAATAAACAGAATGATCAATAAATAAATTAAAAGATGTTTAACCTCTCTACTAATTAGGGAAAGGCAAATAAACACAAAAGAGGCCAGTTCACATAGGTCAGGTTGAAAAGTGTAAAACGTCAGCCTGCACCAAGCAGCAGTGAAAATATGTAGAAAAGCAACTCTCCTACAATGGTATAAATGGGTAAATCTCTTCACAGAATAATTTTTTGATATCTAATAAAATTGAATATAGTCCTATCCTGTGATGAAATAATTTCACCTCTTGATATATACCCTAAAGAAATTCCTGCAAATATGTACAAAGAAACTTCTGTAAGAATATTAATTGAGACATTATTTGTATTAAAAATGGAAACAATTTAAACGTTGATCACTAGAAGAATGAAAACTAAATCAATCTTGTCTTCTTCAAATAGAATACTATATAGTACTTAAAAAAATTATCAGAACTATGTATGTATCAATATGTGTCTCTTTAAGAAACACAACTGAGTGAAAAACCAATGGTAGAAAAGTACATGATTACTTATTTATAAAATTTAAATACAAACAAAAATTATATGTGTGTCTGTATATATATATATATGTATATATATATATAATATGTTTATGGATGTGTAGCAAAATAATTAAAACATGGGTGAAATGGAGGCATGTCAATTTTTATAATTATTTATGTAATTATCACCAGGGAGGAAAATGTAGAAGGAATAGAGTCAAGAAAGAATATAAAAAGAATTTAGATTTTATTCAAATCTACAATATTCCAATTATTAGTAAAAATAATTTTGGTGCAAATGTAGAGAAATATTGAATATTTACTAAAATAATTCTAGTGTAAAGGCATCTGTAATATTTTCCTGTGTACTTTTCTGCCTGGCTGTATTATTTCATTGAACTGTGAAATAAGACAAATTGAAAATAAAGAGCCAAAATGTATCAGGGAATGCAAAGTAACAGACAAAGAAGGAGTAGTAATATTGATATCAGACCAGTTGAAATTTAGGAAAAAAGACACAGGGTATAATAAAATGGAAATAATATGTCAAGGCCTGAAACAAATATATCACAGGTATAAACTTGTATACAATATACAGCAAAGCAGCTAATTACAAAGAGTGAATACTCATGAATTCAAGTAGAATCTGACATAAATTATTGTTGAAAATGTTATACCCCCTACAGAACTGGATAGATCTAAATGTATAGGAAGAAAAAAACACAAAAACTGGAGTTTATGTATAATATATGATATTTGATTTATATTTATAACCTATAAACCAAGCATATTTTTTTTCTTTGAGGGGTATGAAAGTGATCCTGCCTTTGCTCACAAACAAAATATTAAAATATTTTAAAACAGATATTTCATAATTTACATTAACTAACGCAATTAAATGATAAATAACTGACTTCATAATTATTTAATAACAATTATTCACCTGAAATTAAGAAAGACTTTCTTAATCAAGTTCTGGATCATAAGAGAGTCAAACAAAAATAATATGCTATCCAGAAAATAGTAAAAAGTTGAAGACCTTATAACAAAAACTGGGATATGACCAGAGGAAAAGATCTGCACTGAAATGACAATATTTGGTCTACTTTTTTTAAAAATATTTTTTGTAACTATACTTCAAGTTCTAGGGTACATGTGCACAACGTGCAGGTTTGTTACATATGTATACATGTGCCATGTTGGTGTGCTTCACCCATTAACTCGTCATTTACATTAGGTATATCTCCTAATGCTATCCCTCCCCCCTCCCCCCACCCCAGCCATCCCATTACTGGGTATATACCCAAAGGATTATAAATCATGCTGCTATAAAGACACATGCACACGTATGCTTATTGCGGCACTATTCACAATAGCAAAGACTTGGAAGCAACCCAAAATGTCCAACAATGATAGACTGGATTAAGAAAATGTGGCACATATACACCATGGAATACTATGCAGCCATAAAAAATGATGAGTTCATGTCCTTTGTAGGGACATAGATGAAGCTGGAAACCATCATTCTCAGCAAACTATTGCAA
This sequence comes from Homo sapiens, assembly GCF_000001405.40. Classification (NCBI taxonomy): domain Eukaryota; kingdom Metazoa; phylum Chordata; class Mammalia; order Primates; family Hominidae; genus Homo; species Homo sapiens. The sequence continues at coordinate 21,496,891 of NC_000011.10, read as the reverse complement.
GGACAAAAAAACCAAACACTGCATGTCCTCACTCATAGGTGGGAATTGAACAATGAGAACGCTTAGACACAGGAATGGTTTACTTCTTAATAAGTTAAAAACAATTTGAAATGAAACAAGAAAGTAGGGAGAGAATAAATTTGAAAGCTAAAATGTATAAAGTAGAAATACAAAGAAAAGAACAGGCTGGGCGCTGTGGCTCACGCCTGTAACCCAGCACTTTGGGAGGGTGAGGCAAGTGGATCACGAGGTCAGGAGAACGAGATCATCCTGGCTAACACGGTGAAACCCCGTCTCTACTAAAAATACAAAAAATTAGCTGGGGGTGGTGGCACGCGCCTGTAGTCCCAGCTACTCGGGAGGCTGAGGCAGGAGAATCGCTTGAACCCAAGAGGCGAAGGTTGCAATGAGCTGAGACCATGCCACTGCACTCCAGCCTGGGTGACAGAGTGAGACTCCTCTCAAGAAAAAAAAAAAAAAAAACAAGAGAAGAATAAAAATATGTTTAAATTGTACCTATTGAAAAAAGAAACTCCTATAAGAATAATTAAGAAATGCAAAGGAGGAGCAAAAATCTGTTAAACAAGAAATAGAAAAAGAAACATAATTATAGACATTAAAAGATTAAAATAATTATATGGGAATGCAATGATAATATGTGGTAACTGGCTTCTAAACCTAAGGGAAATGTATAGTTTTTCAAAAAATATAAATTACTACAACTGTGCATATAAGAAGTACAAATTTTGAGAAGGACACATAATCATAAAAAAGCTCAAAAATGAAAAATTAATCTATCATTTTCAAGGTCTTCAGGGTCACGTGACCTTATAGCCAAGTCTAAATTTTGAAAAGCAATTAATATAACTTACACATTTTCAAAATAGAAAGCAATAACAAGTTCTAAATTATTTTTAAAGTGGACCCACTTGGTACAGATAATAGACAACAAAGTCACAGAGCAGCTCATATATGACAATATATTTATAATTCTAAATAAAATATTAATATAGTATGCAGAAACATCAAGAAAAGAGACAACCCGTTTTTAATGTGCAGAGAATCTAACAGACATTTCTCCAAAGAAGATGTACAAATGGCCAATAAGCATATACAAAGATATTCAACTTAATTAGTCATCAGGAAAATGCAAATCAAAAATAAAAGGAGGTACCACAGCATACCCACCAGGACAACTTGAATCAAAAAGTGAGATAATAACAAGTATAGGTAAGGATGTAGAGAAACTTGAATACTCATCCATTGCTGGTGGGCGTGTAAAATTATGCAGCCACTGTGCAAAACTGTTTGGTAGTTTCTTAGAAAGTTAAAAATAGAATTACGGTATGATCCATCAATCCCACTCCTAAGTATACACACCCAAGAGAATTACAAATATATATTCAAACAAATACTGGTACATAATATTAGTAGTGGATTTACTCATAATAGTCAAAAAGTAGAAACAACCCTAATGTCTATAAACTGATGACTGTTTAAACAAATGTGGTGTACCTGTAAAATAGAATATTATTCGGCCATAAAAAGGAATCAGGTACTGATACATGCTATAACATGAGTGAACCTGAAAAACACTACGCTCAGTGAAAGATGTCAGACACAAAAGGCCATAGATTGTATTGTTTCATTAATATAAAATATTCAAAATAGGCAAATCCATGCTGACAGAAAGTAGCTTAGTGTTGCTTGTGGTTAGGGGAAAGGGATTACGCGGAGTGATTGCTTAATGAGTACGGAGTTTCTTTGGTGGGTGATGAAATGTTTTAAAATTAGCTATTGGCAATGGTTGCAAAGATCTTTGAAAAACTGATTTACTCATATGTTTTACATGGGTTAAATGTATGATATTTGAAATATATCTCAATAAAGCTATTCATGAGAGTTTTTAAACAGAAGAATACCAAGAGAAAAACCATACTGTAACCTAGTAGGATGATCAAGTGATGAAAAAGATGGCTCTACATCACTAATTTTTCTAAAAAAGAATAAATATTGATGTATGATGGGAGAAAAGTCAATAGGAACAACTTTTTTGACTTGTTTTTTTCAATGAAAACAATGTTTATAAGATTTATCTACGTTGTTTGAACTGTTGATTTGTTTACAATACTGTATAATATTACATTGCATGAATATTTCACAATTTGTTATTTTCAAATTATTGCAGTTATAAAAATTACTGTTGATACATGTCATCCTCATGTCTCTTGGTTCATATATATATGAATATCTTTTGAGTATACATTTAGGAGTAGAATAAGTTGCTGAGTCACGCACATATATATTTCCCAAAATATATAGTATAATACCATGTTCATAAAGCTCAAAAAATAGTAAAATGTATTATAACATATTTGTTGAAATACACACATGTGTGTGCTAAAATTACATATTTTAAAATGTGAAGGAATAATAAATATGCAATTCTGGAAAAATTTTGCCTCCAAGGATAAGTGACAAAAGGGGATGAAATAAGGGAGTAGCACTAGGATAACTTCAAAATTATGAGTAATTTCTTTTATTTTGAAATTGGATGACTTGTTAGTGAGTGTTCATTTTTATGTCTCCTAATATGTGTTTATGCGTTACAAGTGCTCTTTTGAAAGAATAATACATTAAACAGTTTATAAAACAATAGATGTTTACGAAACACTTGATAAAATTTGTTAATTCTTCCAAACAAAAATTTTTTGTAAAATAGAAACATTAGATCACTACTTAACGTGCCAAGACCTACCTACTAAAAATTATTAAATACATTTTTGTTAATACTATATGTAAATGGCTTTGGTAAAAATCAATATCACACACCTGAAAATATATTGCTTAGCTACAGAAACACTGGTTATGAAAAATATATGTACAATAATGATTATTGGGGTGTTGTTTGTGCTGAGAAAAAAATAAAAAGTGAATGCCTATTAATAAGGGAAAGGAGTAAATTGTGATAGATCCACACCACGGCATATCAATATTTTACTGATACAAAATATTTTACATATTTATAGGGTATGAGTGAATGTTTGTTACATGCATAGAATGTATAATGATCAAGTTAGAATATTTGTGGTATCTATCACCTACACTATTTGTCATTTCTTTATGTTGGTAACATTTCAAGTCCTCTCTTCAAACTTCTTTTAAATACATAATACATTCTTGCTAACTATAGTCACCCTATCTGCTGTCAAATATTGGGGCATATTTCTTCTACGTAACTATATGTTTGTATTCACTAATCAACCTTTCTTAATCTGCTTCCCATCCCACCCATAGACACTTCACATCCTCTAGTATCTATCATTCTATACTCTATCTCCAGAAGATCAATTTTTTTTTTTTTAGCTCCTACACATAAGTGAGAATATGTGGTATCTAATTTTCTGTGCCTGGCTTGTCTCACTTAACATAATGACCTACAGTTCCATCCATGTTGTTTCAAATTACATGATTTCATTCTTTTCTATGGAGAAATAGTACTTCATAGTGTATACATGCCACATTTACTTTATTCATTTGTCTGTCAATGGACACTTAGGTTGATTCCCTATCTTTGCTATTGTGAATAGTTAAGTGCTAAATATGCACATGTAGGTATCTTTTTGATATCCTGATTTATTTTCTTTTGGATAAATACCCCGTAGTGGGCTGGCTGTATCATATGGTGGTTCTGCTTTTAGGTTTTTGAGGAAAGTGTACTGTTCTCCATAGTGGTTTTACTAATTTACATTCCCACCCACAGTGTATGAGTTCCCTTTTCTCTGCATACTCACTATCATCTGTTGCTTTTTGTCTTTTTAATAATAGCCATTCTAACTGGAGTAAGATAAGATGACACTTTATTGTGATTTTGATTTTCATTTCATGATGCTTAGTGATATTGAGCATTTTTTCATACATCTCTTGGCCATTTGTATGTCTTCTTTTGAGAAATGTCTATTATGGGCTTAGCCAACTTCTTTTATTATTATTATTATTATACTTTAAGTTTTAGGGTACATGTGCACAATGTGCACGTTAGTTACATATGTATACATGTGTCATGCTGGTGTGCTGTACCCATTAACTCGTCATTTAACATTAGGTATATCTCCTAATGCTATCCCTCCCCCCTCCCCCCACCCCACAACAGTCCCCAGAGTGTGATGTTCCCCTTCCTATGTCCATGTGTTCTCATTGTTCAATTCCCACCTATGAGTGAGAACATGCAGTGTTTGGTTTTTTGTCCTTGCGATAGTTTACTGAGAATGATGATTTCCAGTTTCATCCATGTCCCTACAAAGGACATGAACTCATCTTTTTTATGGCTGCATAGTATTCCATGGTGTATATGTGCCACATTTTCTTAATCCAGTCTATCATTGTTGGACATTTGGGTTGGTTCCAAGTCTTTGCTATTGTGAATAGTGCCGCAATAAACATACGTGTGCATGTGTCCTTATAGCAGCATGATTTATAGTCCTTTGGGTATATACCCAGTAAATGGGATGGCTGGGTCAAATGGTATTTCTAGTTCTAGATCCCTGAGGAATCACCACACTGACTTCCACAATGGTTGAACTAGTTTACAGTCCCACCAACAGTGTAAAAGTGTTCCTATTTCTCCACATCCTCTCCAGCACCTGTTGTTTCCTGACTTTTTAATGATTGCCATTCTAACTGGTGTGAGATGGTATCTCACTGTGGATTTGATTTGCATTTCTCTGATGGCCAGTGATGGTGAGCATTTTTTCATGTGTTTTTTGGTTGCATAAATGTCTTCTTTTGAGAAGTGTCTGTTCATTTCCTTCACCCACTTTTTGATGGGATTGTTTGTTTTTTCCTTGTAAATTAGTTTGAGTTCATTGTAGATTCTGGATATTAGCCCTTTGTCAGATGAGTAGGTTGCGAAAGTGAACTCCCATTCACAGTTGCTTCAAAGAGAATAAAATACCTAGGAATCCAACTTACAAGGGAAGTGAAGGACCTTTTCAGGGAGAACTACAAACCACTGCTCAATGAAATAAAAGAGGATACAAACAAATGGAAGAACATTCCATGCTCATGGGTAGGAAGAATCAATATCGTGAAAATGGCCATACTGCCCAAGGTAATTTATAGATTCAGTGCCATCCCCATCAAGCTACCAATGACTTTCTTCAGAGAATTGGAAAAAACTACTTTAAAGTTCATATGGAACCAAAAAAGAGCCCACATCGCCAAGACAATCCTAAGCCAAAAGAACAAAGCTGGAGACATCATGCTACCTGACTTCAAACTATACTACAAAGCTACAGTAACCCAAACAGCATGGTACTGGTACCAAAACAGAGATATAGATCAATGGAACAGAACAGAGCCCTCAGAAATAGCGCCGCTTATCTACAACTATCTGATCTTTGACAAACCTGAGAAAAACAAGCAATGGGGAAAGGATTCCCTATTTAATAAATGGTGCTGGGAAAACTGGCTAGCCATATGTAGAGAGCTGAAACTGGATCCCTTCCTTATACCTTATACAAAAATTAATTCAAGATGGATTAAAGACTTAAACGTTAGACCTAAAACCATAGAAACCCTAGAAGAAAATCTAGGCATTAGCATTCAGGACATAGGCATGGGCAAGGACTTCATGTCTAAAACACCAAAAGCAATGGCAACAAAAGCCAAAATTGACAAATGGGATCTAACTAAACTAAAGAGCTTCTGCACAGCAAAAGAAACTACCATCAGAGTGAACAGGCAACCTACAAAATGGGAGGCAACTTTTTAATGGGACTATTTGTTATATTATTGTTGAGTTGTTTGAGTTCCTTGAATATTCTGAATGTTAGTCCCTTGGATAGACAGTTTGCAAATAGTTTCTCCCATTCAACAGATTGTCTTTCACTCTGTTGATTGTTTCTTTTGCTGTATAGAAGCTTTTCAGTTTAACATAGTCCCATTTGTCTATTTTTGTTATAGTTGTCTGTGCTGTTGCGGTCTTAGCCATGAAATCTTTTCTTAGACTGACATTTTGATGTGTTTTCCTTATGTTTTTTATAGCAGTTTTATAGTTTCAGGTCTTATGTTTAAGTCCTTAATTGATCTTGAGTTTATTTTTGTATGTGGGGTGAAATGGGTATCTAGTTTCATTCTTTTGCATATGGATATCCAATTTTCCCAGCACCATTTATTGAGGACCGTGTTCTTTCCTCAGTATATATTCTTGGTGCCTTTATTAAAAATCAGTTGGCTGTAAATACATGGATTTATTTCTGGCCTTTCTATTCTGTTCCATTGTCCTATGTGTCTGTGTTTACAACAAAACCATGCTGTTTTGGTTACTATAGCCTTGTAATATATTTTGAAGTTAGGTAGTGTGATGCTTCTAGCTTTGTTCTTTTTGTTCAAGATTGCTTTGGCTATTCTGGCTTTTTTTTTTTTTTTTTTTGGTTCCATACACATTTTAGAATTGATTTTTTGAATTCTGTGAAAAATGACATTGGTATTTCGATAGGGATTGAATTGAATCTGTATATTTCTTTGGACAGTATGGCCATTATAATAATATTAATTCTTCTGATCTATAAGCATGTAATGTCTTTCAATTTGTTTGTGTCCTCTTCAATTTCTTTCATCAGTGTTTCGCAGTTTTCCTTACAGATATCTTTTCCTCATTGGTAAAATTAATTCCTGAGTATATATTTTTTGGAGCTATTGTAAATAAAATTGCTTTCTTGATTTTTTTCCTCTGCTAGTTCATCATTGTTGTATAGAAATGCTACTGATTTTTGTATATTAATTTTCTCTCCTACAGCTTTACTGAATATATCAAATGTAGGAGATTTTTTTGTGGTGTCTTTAGGTTTTTCTAGATGTTAGATCTTATCAGCAGACAGAGAAAATCTGACTTCCTCTCTTCTGATGTGGATATTTTTTTTCTTTTTCTTGTCTGATTGTTTTGCTGAGGGCTCCCAGTACTATGATAAATAGGATTGATGTAAGTGGGCATCTTTGTCTTGTTACAGATCTCGGAAGAAAAATTTTCAGCTTTTCCCCACTCACTATGATGTAAGTCAGCTGTGGGTTTGTCATATATGGCATGATTATTTTGAGGTATGTTCCTTCTATTCCTAGATGTTGAGAGTTTTTATCACAAAGGGATGTTACATTTTATCAAATGATTTTTCTGTGTCTATTGAGATGATCATTTGGTTTTTGTCCTTCATTCTGCTGATGTGATGTAACATGTTTATTGATTTGCATATGTTGAATCATCCTTGCAGTCCTGGTGTAAATCCCACTTGGTCATGGTGTATTTTCCTTTTCACGTACTGTTGGATTCAGCTTGCTAGTATTATTCTGTGGAAGATTTTTACATCTAATTTCATCAGGGATATTGGCCTATAGTTTTCTTTTTTGGATGTATCCTTGTCTGGTTTTGATATCAGGGTAATGTTGGCCTCAGATAACAAGTTAGGGAGAGTTCCCTTTTCTTCTGTTTTTTTTTTTTTTTTTTTTTTTTTTTTGAAATACTTTCAGGAAGATTGGTGTTAGTTCTCTACACATTTAGCAGACTTCAGCTGTGAATCCACCAGGTCCTGGGCTTTTGTTAGGAGACTTTATATTACTGATTCAATCTGACTACTCATTATTGGTCTGTTCAGGTTTCTATTTCTTCCTCATTCAGTCTTGGTAGGTTGTATGTTTCCAGGAATTTATCCATTTCCTCTATGTTTTGGGGTTTGTTAGTGTATAACTGTTCACAATAGTCTTTGATGATCTTTTGTATTTCTGTGCTATCACTTGTAAAGTCTCCTTTTTCATTTCTGATTTTTTTTCTTTGGATTTTCTCTTCTCTTGGTTAGTCTAGTGAGTGGTTTTTCAATTTTGTTCCTTTTTAAAGAACGAGCTATTCATTGATTCTTTATATTTAAGTCTGTATTTCATTTAGTTCTTCTCTGATCTTTATTATTTAAATGATCTAATTTCCTTCTGCTAATTTTGTGCTTGGTGTGTTCTTGCTTTTCCAGTTCCTTAAGGTGCATCATTAGGTTATTATTTGAAATCTTTCTTTTTTTTTGATGTAGGCATTTATTGCTATATAATTTTCTCTTAGCACTGCCTTTGCTGTATCCCACAGGTTTTGGTATGTTATTTTCCCATTGTCACGTTTTAAAGGCATTTTTTGATTTCCATCTTAATTTCTTCATTGACCCAATGGTTGTTTAGGAATACGTTGTTTAATTTCTTTGTATTTGTATACTTTTCAAAGTTCCTCTTGGTATTGATTTCTAGTTTTCTTCCACTGTGGTCTGCTGACTGCTGCCACCACAGGGACCCGAAGACTGGCCCACCTGGTATCCTAGTCCTCAGCAAAACTTCACCACAGCCTCCACTAGTAACCATACCCTAAGCCCCTGAGGAAATTGCAGATATCACCAATGCTGCTTATAGGCCAGGAAATCATACAAAGACTGAACTACTGCACAAATCCAGAATCAAAGCTGAAGGCCCCACCCACCAACAACATATCTACATCTTCAGCAAAAAGCCTTCTCCTATGAAAGCAAGTTCAAAAAAATAGAAGAAGTTTATTTCTTTTTTTTTTTAATTGGTTGAGAATTTTTGTGTTGCCTAACATACGGTCTATCCTGGAGAATGTTCTATTTGTTAATGAGACGAATGTATACTCTGTAGTTGTTCAATAAAATGTTCTGTAAATGTCTGTCAGATCCACTTGGTCTAAAGTCCAATTTAAATCCATGATTTCATTGTCAATTTTCTGTCTAGAGAATCTGTCTAATGGTGAGAATAGGCTTTTAAAGTATTTCTGAACTGAAGTCAGTTTCTCTCTTTAGATCTAGTAATATTTGCTTTATGAATCTGGGTGTTCCAGTGTTGTATGTATATATATTTAGAATTGTTATGTTCTATTTTTGCATTGATTCTTTTATCATTATGTAATGATATTCTCTGACTTTTTTACATTGTTTTTGATGTAAAGTCTGTTTTATCTGAAATAAGTATAGCTACTCCTCCCGGTTGTTAGCTTCTGTTTGAGTGGAATATCTTTTTTGATCCTTTTATTTTCAGTTTACTTGTGTCCTTACAGGTAAAGTGCATTTCTAATAGGTAGCATATAGTTGGATTATAGCTTTTTAAAATCCATTCAGCCAATCTATATATTTTAAGTGCAGAATTTAATCCATTTAAATTCGAGGTTATTAATGATCTGTCAGGGTTTTTGTCATATTGTTCATTGTTTTCTGGTTGTATGTTCTTTGTTCATTTCTTTTTATCTTATTATTTGTCATTGTGATTTGGTGATTTTCTGTAGTGGAACCACTTGAGCCCTTCCTCTTTCTCATTTGTGTGTATGGTTTACCTGTCAGTATTACAGTTTTATGAGTTTTCATGTTGGTAAATGTTTTTTTGCTTCCAGGTGTAGGGCTCCCTTAATCAATTTTAGTAGGGCTCATCTTGTGGTGATAAATTCCCTAAGCATTTGCTTCTCTGGGAAAGACTTTATCCCTCACTTATGAAGGGTAATTTTACTGGATATATTATCCTTCTCTGTCAGTTTATTCTTTCAGCACATTGAATATGTCATCTCATTCTCTCCTGCATTGTGCTGAGAAATCCCCAGTTAGTCTGATGGTGGTTCCTCTATAGGTGACTAGATGCTTTTCTCTTGCTGTTTTTAGAACTCTCTTTTTCTTTGGCTTTAGACAGTTTGACTATAATGTGTCACAGAGAAGACCTTTATGGAGTTTTGTCAGTTTGGTGATCTTTGATCTTCCTATATCTGGATATCTAAATCTTTTGCCTGACTTGTGGTTTCCATCCATTATTTCATTAATAGGTTTTGGAACCCCTTCATTATCTCTTTGTCCATGGAGACATTGATAATTTCAATAATCAGTTGGTTTATGGTGTCCCAAACACCACAAAGTCTTTGTTCATTCTTTTCTAGGCCTTTTTATTTTTGTCTGACTAGATTATTTCAAAAGACTTGTCTTCAACTATTGAGATTCTTTCTTCTGCTTGATCTAGACTATTATCAAAGTTTCCAAATGTATTTATTTCATTCAATGATTTCTTCAGTTCCAAGATTTCTGCTTCTTTTTAAAAATATCCATCCCTTTGGTAATTTTTAAATTCATATCCTGAATTGTTTTTTATATTCTCTGTATCATTTTTCAGAATTCTCTTGTGTCTCATTTGGGCTTCTTTAAAATCAGTATTTTGAATTCTTTATCCAAAATTTTATGAATTTCTGATTGGGATCCATTGCCAGAGAATTACTGTGTCTCTTTCCAAGTGTCATATTTCCTTTCTTTTCCATGTTTTTGGTTTCCTTATGCTGACATCTGCATAGCTTGTATAACAGTCACTTCTATTTTTTTGAACTTGCTTTCATAGGAGAAGGCTTTTTGCTGAAGATGTAGATATGTTGTTGGTGGGTGGGGCCTTCAGCTTTGATTCTGGATTTGTGCAGTAGTTCAGTCTTTGTATGATTTCCTGGCCTATAAGCAGCATTGGTGATATCTGCAATTTCCTCAGTGGCTTAGGGTATGGTTACTAGTGGAGGCTGTGGTGAAGTTTTGCTGAGGACTAGGATACCAGGTGGGCCAGTCTTCGGGTCCCTGTGGTGGCAGCAGTCAGCTGAGCATGCCTGTCTGTGAGCTCCAGAGTGGTGTATGGTGAGTCTAGTGTTCGTAAGTCCAGGCAGGTTGATTCTTGGGCTTCCAGGTAGCTTGCTTGGATGTTGGTAGTATCAGGAATGGTCCAGAAATTTGGGTGGGTTTTAGGGCCCCTGGTCTATGGGTATTTTGTGGGCAATGGCAGAAGTAGTGGTGAGGCAACCCACCGGAACCCCAGTGGTCCACGGTGATGTTGGCGGTGGCTGTGATGGGCTGGTCAGGGCATCCCTGTGGCCTGCAAGTGGCTTGTACAGGTAGGTACTAGCTGTGGCAGTATCAGCAGTTGGGTTGGCATAACCTCAAACCCTGGGAAAAGTGTTTAGGTGCCAACACATGTGGATTGGGCTGGGCAATCTGCAGGCGCCTGGATGTCATGCTTAAGTATTGTGGGGGTGGGACCAGGACAGCAGGCTTGTCCTCAGGCCTTCTGGTAGGATGTTCTGGCACTGTCTGTAATAGGCAGGAATGGGATGGTCCCCAGATTATTGGCAGAATGTTCAGGTGGGTGCAGTGGTGACTGTGCTGCAGACTGGCCTCCAGGGAGGGCGGGGCCACTCTCAGTGGGAGCAGCTTAAGCAGGCATTTGTAGAACTTGTGATTTTCTCCCACCTCGGTCCTACAGCAGCTCGCAAGCAGAGGCGGTAGTATTTGTACTTGGAATGTACGACATTGCCTAGCTTCCCTTCTCCCTTCCTGGTCTGGCAGTGGCAACAGCAGTGTTGAACCCAGTGGAGGACACAGTCCTCTAAGGGCTGTGAACTTGGACTGGTGCAGGATTGGAGGCCTGCCACTGAGGAGGATGGGGGCCACTCTCAGTGGGAGGAGAATAGGCAGACAGCTATGGGGCCTGTGATTTCCTCACATCTTGGTCCCACAACAGCTCACAGCAGTGGGAGAGGTGAGATTTGTCTTTAGGGTGGATGAAAGTGCCTGGCTTCCCCTCTTTCTCCTTGGTAGTCTTTGAGGGCTGAGCTCTCAGAATGGCACTATGTTGCAGCTGCTCAGGGTTTGGAAATCTGTGGGACTGTGTGAATTCCTTTTCTGAAGCTTGGCACAATCACTAGGCAGCTGCCTATATTAGTCTCAAGGCTGTGAGGCTTGAGGAGCTTTTCCATGGCTAGGATTATACATGGCAAGTATATGAAACCCTGACGTCACTCACTCACCCTTTCCTTATGTCCAGGAGCTTCTCCCAGTTCCTAGTCAGTCCTGGCCAACCAGCCTGCCTATTTCCCTCTCCTTTGCTTTCAGTGTTTCTGGTCACTTCTTGGTTATATTCCAGTGTTCTCTCCTAGGAAATCTATGTGAACTGTGACTGTCTACTTGCTTTTTTGTTTCCTCTCCATGGAAGACATGTGTACTAACTGCATGTAAGGAGTCATATTTCTGAAATCATTTAATACCATCAAAACAAATCAGTCTGTTGATTTGGAGAATATATCCTATGAAATTGAGATGTTTGTAAGTCAAAGCAGTTGAAAATTGACAATTTCAAATGATTTCTATAATTTTATATTTATTCATACATATATGTACATATGTAATGTACATATGTATATATAACACATATATATGTATATATGGATATGTATGCATATCATCTACTATACACAAATATACATATCCATATATGTATACATACATAAACACAAGCCTACATATATATTCTTATGAGTGTGCATTTGTAAATTTATATATTAGGTGGTTACATGGGGAGTTGGTTAAATTACATGAAGATGTGGAAGAATAAATGTAAGGGGAGAGGTAAGGAGAAAAAAAATTGAATAAAGTTGAGCACCATAAAGCAATGTAAATACCTTTATTGTAAAAGTGTATAGTATATGTCAATATTTTTTAAAAAGATGATGCATATAAGAACGGTCACCAAAATGGTGGTGGTTTCTCGGGGCATAAGGAGATGAATTTCACCTTTTTCCTTAGGTGTTTATGTTGCTTAAATTTATTGTGTCAGCAATTTTTTTTTGTTTGTTTTAGGAAAAACAGCAATAGGGACATTTCATTATAAAACAAAAACTATGGAAAGTTTGGAAATTTATACAAAAAAATATAGCATGGGAAAAAAATTATCCTTAAGTTCCGCTACTCAAGACAACCACTATTAACGCTGGCTAAATACTTAGGATATTTTATATAATGAGGTCACATTTGACATATATATATATATATATATATATATATATATATATATATATGTTAAGTAAAATAGGATACCCAAATAATGGGATATTGTTTGGTTATTGGAATATTGGGTGGTTATAACCACCCAAATAATGGAATATTTTATATATATATATATATGTGTGTGTGTGTGTGTTTGTATATGTATATATATACTATATATAATTTCATTTTTCTTTTGGATGGGTATAATAACCACACAATATTCCATTATTTGGGTATCCTATTTTACTTAATTACACCTTATGCTAAATACTTGTTTACTTCTATTTGTTCACTCTTTGAACTAATTACTAATAGCATAATTCATATTTTATATAAAAATATTTGTTTATATTTCACACTATTTTCTAGGCATCCTCTTTAAATTAAGCTTTTACACTGACTCCAAAGGTGTAAAGATTTTCAAAAATCTTGATACATATTGCAAAACTGTTTTACTAGCATTTTTAATTGCTAAACGAACAGGATAATTACTGCAGATAACATCATTCTTGATTCAGACAATGACAATATTAAAATCATTGGATTTGGGAGATCTAGACCTACATTTAACCCTGTGTAGCAGTTCATTTAGTTAGCTTGTTGAAGACGTACTTTGCAGGAAGCATATATTGACAGGTACTGCAAACAAGAAAATGTATCCTTTTTGGGGAGTATATTGTATGTGTACAGAACACATTAGCTTTACCTGGAAGCAGTTCTGTCGACTATATTCATGGTAAAGTGATTCGGTCTCTAGGTAGTTGAGCAATTGAAGTGCTTAAGCATTAACAAAAGGATAATTTTATCTTATTTTCAGACACTTAAATAATCTGGCCTTGACTTGCACCATCAATACAGAGCAGCTATACTATACTATAAGTACCTGTTGGAATTGCCTAACATACTTAATGTTGGAAAGGCAGTGCCAGGCACTCTTATACTATTAAGATTATAGAGGCCTAATGGATCACTCCACCGCACTCCAGCCTGGGCGACAGAGCAAGACTATGTCTCAAAAAAGAAAAAAAAAATTATAGAGGCCTAATGGTAATAATAGTAGAGTAAACCACTATTAATCAAATGGGCCCCATAAATCCATCACATCAATTTTCAGGTATATAAATGTTCTATGACAGTTATTTTGTTTTGTTTCAATTTTAATGCTAATCATTTACAAATACCATGTTCCTTGGGGGGAAAAACAAACAAACAAACAAACAAAAGGAAAGGCACTGTCACAGTTTTTCTTTTTTTCTTTTTTTTTTTTTTAAGCTCTCCAGGAAATTCTCATATACGGCCATGATTGAGGGCCACTGAGTTCCACCACTGGAGAGTGAGTAATCTGCCCTCAAAGAGTTCAGTGTCTAGTAAACAGAAGTCACCCAGTTCCCACTGGGAAATTTCTCCAACAACCATCACCACTACTGTAATTTTTATTAAGACAGCTAGCATTTGTCATCTATTAGTACATGTCATGTACGTCAACTCTAGCAGTAGAATATTATCTCTGCTTTGCAAAAGCTAAGAGTGAAATGTAGTCGACATGTGTAATTCTGGGTGACCAGCATCCAAATTTGGGAAAAATCCTATGATAAGTGGAGGTATGGCATGCTAACAGCCTGTTGGGAACAGATATTCCCTCTCTAGTACCATGGCCCCTAGAGTGTAGGGCATATGACTTAAGAACAACTAATCAGATACTCCTACCCAGAACTTTTGGGGAATGACATAAAAGCGTGGGGTCTGTTGGAGATTACTCAACACTACAGTGGAGTCCACAGTCCATTAGAGCAGTAAGTGTTTAATTGCAGCAAAATTGGTGTGATGCCTTATGCAAAGCATTCCTTTGCCTTGCCTACTCTGGTTTCTGCTACAGCTTAATTTTTAATCTTTCTGTCAATTCTATAAACTAGTCATCTCACTTGTTAATTCCTTTTTGCTTAAATTTATCCAAAGTAGATTTCTATTATTTATCAAAATGAACTCTGACTAGTATACAAAGAACAGGGAGGGGAATTATAAACTATGCTCAAGGTCACCCATCTAGTAAGTGGTAGATTGAATTCAAACCTGGTTCTGATTCCTATAAGAACCTAAAAGCAGGGCCTGCTTTGCCTCCAATCAAGATAACTAAGCCAATACCCGTAAAATTCTTACCTCTACCAGCGGAGCTATGGCATACTCTTTGTGTAAATGAGTTCTTTTTTTCAGATACTTGTCACACATTCAATGGGAGTCAGTTCTGTTTTGGGCATTGTGGGGCTAGCCCAGATTGCCAGGCAATCCTACAGTCAGCAGCAGATGCTGTGAAATTGCCTAAAGTCCACGAGGCACAGCAGTCTCAACAATGTCCAGCCATCAGCCATCCAGATGCTGTCTCTGACAAGTAAACATGCAGGGGCATTTTCTTCTTGACTCCAGCTTTAATATCTATTCTCATCAGCAATAGGAATCTGTTTCATTTACTTGTGCTCTTAGGAAATATCTAGCAGGTCTTGAGAGAATTATAAGGGTGTGTTTCCACTTTAATGCAACCCTTACATTACTCTCTCTGCTACTAACATCAATCATCCTTGAAGACCATTATTAAGTCATGCTGCAATCTTCACTTGCCCAGATTAAAGAATCCATCTCCTCTAACCCTTTCTCAGAGGAATGACCTCATGGAACTTTCATCATTTCACTGCTCTTTTCTGAGCTCTCCACAGTCATTAAGTTTTGTATGAATAGAAATGATGAATAATTTTATGAGCCCTTTATGAAGCTGTCTTTGTAGGCTTGCCCTATAAGCTCTTTGAATCGGGAGAGACTTTACCTGTGGGTCATTCACATTAGAGGAACATTATTTAATATTTAATACAGTTTGATTCTGCATTAAACATCATTTATTGAGCACTTATTATGTGCTACACAGTATTCTAGGAAACTTTCACATGTCCTGTCATTAAATATGTACAATGGCCTTTGGAGAAAGGCATTGTAAAGCCCTCCATTTTATTGAGGAATAAACTGAGGTAAAGTGACTAGTAATCCGGTTAAGTGACTAGTGATTTAGCCAAGACTATATACATATAGTCATAAACCAGAAAAGAAGTTGTGAGAAAGAGATAAAAGGCAAAACAGTAAAAACTAGTTCAGGGGTATTTCCCCAACCATTCAGACCACCCCACTTGGTTTATTAGGGACATATTGAGCACAAAATTAAAATGAAGCATTCTGAGGGGAACAGGATGCCATAACATTATTAACTGCCTGAAAGGCTTCTTTGCCCCTCTCTGGCACAACTGGTTAGGCACATCTACTTACTAATGAGCAGTTTCTGGTGGTGGGAAGAGCAGTCGCTTTCCCATTGCACATGCAGAGGAGCTTAAATCAAACATTCATTGAAGAAAAATCCAGTTAGTTTTCACTAGCCAAAGAGGTCTGAAAGCTATTTTAGCTTAAAGCAGAAATTACTGCCTAGGATTTTTTTGGTCAGATAAGTGTGACAATTTAGCATATCCGTGGCCGACACTGTGAAGCTGAATGAACAGCCTAATAGCTTCACTTCTGAAAGGATCTGCCAGGTTGTGAGACAGTCAGGTTCTTTTCAGACAGGGAAATTGCCCTTCTTCCCTATCCACTTTGACCAGGTCCTGCTGCTGTAACTTCTCACTTGGCTGATTTTCATTTCTACCTGAATAAGAACAGAGAGACAATTTGTGGGATAATCTGCCCTTATCCCCAATTTAATAAGAATGAAAACAAAACTAGCCCCAGGGATTACAAGTTAAAGGTTCACTGATTCCAAAGCTAATAGTAAAAGCATCAGGAAAACTTCTCATTATACTTAAACAGAGAGTCAATCATTAGACATTTCCTGTATTCCAAAGTCTCCTATGATGTCCTAGTTAAATTTGAGAGACACGAAAATAATAGAGAATTTTATATGAGAAGTTTTCAGATCAATTATATTGTTCCAATATAAATTCTGTTTACTTCTGAGCAAGAGAAAGAGAGCTTGATAAGAAGACTACTAGTCAGGGAAAGGAAAGTAGAGCAGAGTCACAGAAACCATATCAGATAAGGAAAAGATGAATGACTTAGAGCTGTTTATCTCGAGGAAAAAAAGACAAGACTGTGGACACTGGTGATGGTGCAAAACCGGAAGGAGAATTTGAAGTTTATCACTTTGTAAAGTTTTAATTTTTGTGGGTACATAGTAGTTTTGTGTATTTATATGGTACATGAGATATTTTGACACAGACATACGATGTGTAATAATCACAACAGGACAAATGGGATATTCATCACCCCAAGCATTTCTCCTTTCTTTATGTAACTAACAATCCAAATATACACTTTTAGTTATTTTTAAATGTACTGTGAATTACTGTTGACTTTAGTCACCCTTTTATGCTATCAAATTATAGATCTTATTAATTTTATCTAAATGTATTTTTGTACCCATTAACCACTTCCCTCCTACCCACTACCTTTCCCAGCCCCTGGTAACCATCCTTCTACTTTTCATCTCTATTAGTTAACTGTTTAAATTTGTAGTTCCTCAAAATAAGTGAGAATATGAGAAGTTTGCCTTTGTGTGCCTGGCTTATTTCATTTAACATAATGACCTCTAGTTCTATCCATGTTGTTGCAAATGATGGGATATTACTTTTTTTTATGGCTGAATGCTATTTCAGTATATATAGGTACCACATTTTCTTTATCCATTCATCTGTTGATGGACATTTAGGTTGCTTCCAAATCTCGGCTATTGTGAATAGTGTACAATAAACATAGGAGTGTAGATATCTCTTTGATGGACAGATTTCCTTCCTTTTGAGTATATACCCAGAAGTGGGATTGCTAGACAATATGGTAGCTCAATTTTTACTTTTTGACGAGCTTCCAAACTGTTCTTCATAGTGGTTGCACTACTTTACATTCCCACTAATGGAGAAAGAAGGTTCTCCTTTCTCCACATCCTTGCCAGGAGTTGTTATACCCTGTCTTTTGGATAAAAGCCATTTAACTGGGGTGAGATGATATATCGTTATAGTTTTGATTTGCATTATTCTGATGATCAATATTGAGCACCTTTTTACATGCCTGTTTGCTATTTGTACATCTTCTTTTGAGAAATACTTATTCAGATCTTTTGGCCATTTTTAAATCAGATTATCAGTTTTTTTTTTTCTTATAGGGTTGTTTGAGCTCCTATATATTCTATTTATTTATCCTTTGTCAGATGGATAGTTTGTAAATACTTTCTCCAGTTCTGTGGGTTCCCTATTCACTTTGTTGACTGTTTCCTTTGCTGTGCAAAAGTCCTTTTTTTTTTTTTAACTTGGTGTGACCCCATTTCTCTAATTTTACTTTGATTGTCTGTGCTTGTGGGGTATTACTCAAGAAATCTTTGCCCAGGCCAAAGTCCTGGAAAGCTTCCCCAATGTTTTCTTTTAGGAGTTTCATAATTTGAGGTCTTAGATTTAAGCCCTCAATCCATGTTGATTTTATTACCTGCATTTGATTTTACAGGCTCCCAGGGAGAAGGGACTTGCCTTGTCTCCAATGAGACTTTGTACTTAAACTATTGAGTTAATGCTGGAATAAGTTAAGACTTTGTGGGACTGTTGAGAAGGCATGATTGGTTTTGAAATGTGAAAAGGACATGAGATTTGGGAGAGACCAGGGGCAGAATGATATGGTTTGGCCTTCTGTCCCCATCCAAATCTCATCTTGAATTTTAATCCCCATGTGTCGAGGGAGGGACCTGGTGAGAGGTTATTAGATCATAGGGATCATTTTCCCCATGCTGTTCTCTTGATAGTGAGGGATTTATCAGGAGATCTGATGGTTTAAAAGTGGCAGTTTTCCCTGCACTCTTTCTCCTGCCACCTTGTGAAGAAAGTGCTTGCTTTTCCTTCACCTTCCACCATGCTTAGAATTTTCCTGGGGCCTCCCCAGCAATGAGGAACTGAGTCAATTAAACCTCTTTCTTTTATAAGTTACCCATTTTCTGGTAGTATCTTTATAGCAGTGTGAAAATGGACTAATACAGATGCATTTTTCTATATGTCAATTACATTTTTCAACTCCAGAATTTCTGCTTCTTTTTATTATAATTTCTTATAATTTTTATAATTTTATTTATTATAATTTATTTATTATTATAAATAACTTTATTATAATTTTTATTTATATAATTTATCTGATAGGAATCTTAATTCACTCTCTGTATTATCTTGAATTTCACTGAGTTTCCTCAAAACAGCTATTTTGAAATCTCTATCTGAAAGGTCACGTATCTTAGGATTTGTTCCTGGTGCCTTACTTAGTTTGTGTGGTGAGGTCATGTTTTCCTGGATAGTCTTGATGCTTGTGGATGTTCATTGTTTTTGGGCAGAGTTAGGTATTTATTATATTCTTCATAGTTTAGGCTTATTTGTACCCATCCTTCCTGAGAAGGCTTTCCAGGTATTTGAAGGGACTGGGGTGTTGTGGTCTAAGTTTTTGGTAACTGCACCTATATTTGCAATGGTAGGCACTCTAAACCCAGTAATGCTATGGCTCTTGCAGATTCATAGAGGTACCACCTTGCTTGCCTTGGATAAGATCTGAAAAAATTTCCTGAATTATAAGGCAGAGACTCTTATTCTCTTCCCTTACTTTGTCCCAAATAAATTGAGTCTCTCTCTCTCTCTGTGCTAAGCTCCCAGGAGCTGGAATGTGGGCATCAGGACTCTGCTTGGTGCCCTATCTTACTGTGGCTGAACCAGTATCCACATTACAAGGCAAAGTCCTCTTTACCTTTCCCTCTCCTTTCCTCAAGCAAAGGCAAAGAGTCTCTCCTGGAGCTGTGAGTTGTACTGTCTGGGCTTGGGGGAGGGGTGGTGCAAGCACTCCCTTGGCCACCAAGCTGGTGTCTCACTACATCACATGTCCCACTAGTCCACTTGCTCTGAGCCTAGCAAAGCACAAGAAGTTGCCCTGGAATTGCAGTCCTTGTAGCCTAGATTGCATTTCAAGTTTATTTAGGACACCAGAGATCTTTAGCCTGTGGTGGGGAGCCTTGCCAGAACTCAGGTTCTGACTGCTGGGATGGACGTTTCCCCTCTCGCTAGAGCTGCACCAAGTGTTCCCTCCATGAACACCAGCTGTGTTCTGCCTAGTGTTGCCTGCTGCTGTGACAGGGCAGCACTGTGTTTTAGTGCAAAGTCCCACAATCATTGTGCTCTCCCTTCCCTAAGTACATTCAAATTCTCTCTTTGCACTATGCCGCTACCACCTGGGGATGAGGGACGGGTGGCATTAGCAATTCAAGACTGTCTTTCCTACACTCTTCCTCTTTCAGTGCCTTTTTCAGTAATATGAAGTTAAAACTAGGTACTGTGATCACTCACAGTGATTTTTGGTTCTTATGAAGGTTCCTCCTTTTGTTCAATTTGCTATTCTTGCAGGGATGATTATTGGTGGAGGCTTCTATTCGGCTATCTTGCTCCATTTCTCTATCATTTTTAAAATCAAAGTCAGTGCCCATGATATCAACATATTATCATAAAAAGATAATTATCTTTTAGAGAAGTGACATTCCTTGTACTCCATCCAGTCTATTTTCTGGTGTGTCTTTCTAGAGGTCCATGAAAGGACAGGCACAGATTGAGCAGTGCCAAATCATTCAGTGAGTATGCTACCCTCTATTGATTTTCCTTTTCATCTTTCTGGTAATGAAGAGAATATCTCAGTTCTCTAACACTTCTTAATAATCCTTGTTAAGAAAGACAATGAGAAAGGCCCATATTAATAGGAATAAATCAGGCACAGCTAAAATTAATAAGTTTATTTTCTATAGTATATATATTTTTACAGAATAACCTTC
Organism: Homo sapiens; assembly: GCF_000001405.40. NCBI lineage: Eukaryota > Metazoa > Chordata > Mammalia > Primates > Hominidae > Homo > Homo sapiens. Next base: position 21,476,158 of record NC_000011.10, on the reverse strand, counting down.
TGTTTAATGCAAATGATATTGGTTTTCTATTTTTTGGTAATGATAACAAGTATCCTGGTTAAGTAAGTTAATTTAAGTACAAAGGTAGAGTTCAATTGAAGAAAAATTATGAGTAATTAACTGTACATGTACAACTCAGATGATGTCATGAATGTATCAGGATTTTAAGGTATCATTTGAATAAATTTCATAAATACTTGAGTAATAGAAGTACTAAGAAAGTAAAGCAAAGAATCATAAAATCTCAAAGTTGAAGATCCGTAAGAGGTCACTGAATCCTGGCTTCTATCCAGTATGAAATTCTGGATTCTACCCAAAATCATACCAAACAGCTACAAGCCACAGCTTAGACATTTCCACTTACAAAAAGCTGTCTTATCAACTACTCAACTTTTGCTATGCTAACAAACAAATCCAACATTTTTCAATGGATTTCACCAGTAACAACAAAACATTTGTTCTTGCACATATTATGTGAAGGCTTCAAGTAATCTCATTCTTTGCTCCAGATCCACTGTAAATCTGCTCTACATGACCCATTCATAACCTCACGATGAGAGAGCAGCCCCTTTGTACAATGCACTGCTTCTTGAAGCAGGGAGGAATCAAACTCAAAGCTCCTTTTTGGATGCAACCTATATCTTGTTCACTCATAGGGGATTGGCCAGAGCAAGTCACATGGCCAGTCCTGACAATGATGCCTACAGGGGGCACTATAAGTTATGTGACAAGGAATGTGGCTGTTTAATCCTCCTATAGGAGTGGAAAGGAAAACAAGAGCTATGAACAACATTACAATATACTACAGAACCGTTTAGGCTGGGGACATGTGGCACATAAATAACATTTTCTCAGCAGGGTGCAACTTCAGACATCAATACTTCCAATTAAAATGACACTGAGATAAAGCTCTGTCATGCCTCCACATAATTAAAAAAAGCATAGATAAAATAAATAAAAGTTCTTTCATGGAAGTTGTGTTATAACCAATGTTAACATAAGGCAAAGGAAAAATTTAGGGCATTAAGTTAGATTTTGCTTTTAGCTTTTTTTTCCTTTTGTTTTTCGCATATGCAGGATATAAGGCTGATGAAAATATCAGAAAGAGTATGGAGACTCACTATAGGGATTTATGTGACATTGAAAGGATCCCTTTCCACTCTGGGTCTCTCTCTAAGATGCCTTCCAGTTCTGATACGCATTGAACTAAGATAAGCGATGCAACAAAAGCTTGGTCAAATAACTAGGAAGAGAGAGACAGACAGAAAGACAGAGAACCATTGCTAGTATTATTTATACCAGTTAAAGTTAGTATATTTTATGCATTAATGATTACTATGTGTAGTAGACTCCCTGCAATTAGTCTACAGAAGATGACAACACAGATTAGGTTTTACTGAAATGGGAAGTGAGAAAAACAAATACCTAATTATAACAGAGGCATTGTGGAAAAAAAGATTGTGCTTATGTAAAACTCTCTACAATACAAGGGAAGCATTTACTAGAGCATGCTCTTCAAAGTAATTTTGGTGCAGTGAAAGGGACAGGGGTACAAATCCTCAGCTGCTTCAGTTATTAGACTGGCAACCTTGCATAAATTTTCAACCTCTCTTGAATATAATATGCTCCTCTGTAAAATGGAGATAACAATATTTTCCTCTATTTTAATAAATATTTATTAAATGCCTACTATGTGCTGAATATTGTTCTTGGCTTTGGGAATTCAGCAGCAAGCAAGATAAAAGTCCCTGTTCTCTTGATTTTTATCTTATAAAGGGAACACAGACAGCTAAAATCAGTGGTGGGAGATCTACATTAAACCAGGTAATAAGGGAAGGGCTCTCTGAGTGAAGACTCTATTAAAAGAGAGTGAGAACCACAGGGCTCTCTGGGGGATGAATTCCCCAATCAGAAAATACGGGAAATCCAAAAACTTTGAGGAAGGAATAAAGGTGTTATTTTAAGTAAAGAAAGTTAATGTGAGTAAAATAATTTAAGGAATGAGGACAGTCACAGGAGATGAGGGGAAAGAGGAAAGCAAGCAGAGGTCAGATTATGCAGAATCTCATAGGCCCAGATTGAGATCACATCTTAGTGTCAGTGAAATGATAAACCAGAAGACAGTTTTGTGCAGGAGAAATATCTTAGAAATAGTACCTCGTACGTAACAGTACTTAGGAAATATTAACTTTTCCTTCTCTTATTCCTCTTATGGTAAAGTAGTACATTATTTTAGATTATCTGAACAGACACCTTGAAGCATGAATCTGTTGGAACCTAAAGACTTGTGGAAATTTTAACGGATATTTTGTTCTCTTTAACACAGAGAGGTAGTGGAGTTATGCAATTCCCTGGTGTGACTCCAATATTGCAATATACTACGGGGTGTCCCACGTAAGCCTTAGAATTTCCTCCTATATTATTCATCTTCCAAAAAACTGAACTGATCGCATACAAATTATCTTGCCCACAATAGCTTGATCCTACCTAGATTTTATTGTGCCCAGTAACATTTCACTAAGGGAATGCCAAGTTAGCTATGGGGACAGTTATCTCTGTTCTGAGGGAATATTTGAAGTATCCCTTCCTTCCCTCAAACAAAAACAGGTGCCCTCATCATTGAAATTGTCTGTGTAGAATTAGGGTCACTTCTTAGAAACTCCTCGTTAAAATATGAACAGGTAATCTTAAATGAATGAAATAATATAAGAATGACATTTTTGTGTGTGGACAAATCAATAGATTGGCCAGTTGTTCACCTAGATGGTGGTTAAGATCCATTCAATACAGAACAAATGAGTTTGATTTGGGAAAATAGATGAAAAAAGAATCTCAAGAGGTTTAAGGGTTGCTGGCCTAGAGATCCAGAGGCTTGTAGAGGAAATAAAGGAAATGACAGAAACACAAGATTTCTCATCTTTATTTGCCTCTGCATTCTTCTACCTGGAATGTTGCCCTCACCCCTCCAACACTCCTATCTTTTTAAAGGTGGAGTACAAATGCTGCTACAGTCATGAAGCTTCCCTGATTCTCTAGCAGGAAGAATATATTTTCTGATCTTCTATAGGCTTATCTGTGCATCTTTTATAGCACTGAGCACTTCCCACCTTGGATTTTAGTTCCTACTTTCCTGTTTTCTCTCCCCTAATATTATAAAAATAGCTTGAGGTAGAGACTAGGTATGATTAATCTTTGTGTCTCCATTCTCTAAATCTGGGCACTTTAAATAATGTTTTACCTATGGTAGGCATCCAATAACTGATAATCACATAGATGGCTTAAATAGAAGGAAAGAAGGAAGGAAAGAAGAGGAAGGGAAGGAAAGGGAAGGGAAGGGAAGGCAAGGGGAGGGAAGGGGACGAGTGAGTGAATTATTAGGAACATTTCCTATTTGATTGTTTCTACCTAGACACTTGTGTCATCTCAGCAGATATCAACAGCATAGATTTCCCAGGCTGGCCAAGGAAAGAAAAGAAAAAAATAAGTATGTAGTTTTTTTCTAGGAATTGCTCCCTAATTAGTATTTTCATACTAGCCTACTTGATTTGATTCAAATATTAGACTAATCCTTCTTTCTCCCTCAGCATAATGAGATAACAAGACACGTAACAAGTAGAAAAAGGTTTTATTTTCCAAGAGGCATCTTAGAACATGCTCTCAGTAGTTAACTGCAAACCTGGTAGCGGGTAAAGGCCAGGGAGTGATTCATGACTCAATAACAATAGAATGAGTAATGTGCTTAGTGGCATGAGTTAAAATAATGTTGTAGTGCTCCAAATCTTTAAAGTTCAACAACTCAGGTTAAGAGAAAGCAAGCAAACAGCATCTCGGGTATCTGGATGTACAATCAAACAAATGATGAACTGAGCTGGAGGCAGAGGAGGGTTTGCTCATTAGAAAAGAAGAATGAATTTAATTTTTCCAGAGACTGGAGGTATTTGCTGAACAGTGAGCCACAGCTGGGTAGAGAAGTTTAAAACAAACAAACAAACAAACAAACAAACAAAACAAAACAGAAAGCAAATCTTGTGTCTTTCTTCTGGGAGCTTAGACAGCTCAAAGGTCACCAGGAAAAAGAAAAATGCCATTCTTGCTCCATATTGACTCTAATACTAAAGTCCCTCCTGAAATTGAACTCAATTGAACTTCATGATCTTCAGAAACAGGCTAAAATAATGTACTGTACCTTGTTTCTTTTTTATTTGTTGATCAGAGTCAATATGTAATGTGAAACAAATAATTTCATTTTTATATATCAGTTGCAGCTTTCTGTACACAATTAGAAGCCAAAATATACTGGCTTTTCACATGTGTATGCATGCATGTATGCATAATAAGCATGTCTGTATGTGCATGTATTTGTTCAGTGAATTGATAAAGAGCATGAACTTAGGAGTCAACAGAACTTATTTAGTATCTCATGTTTGCATCTTTATGTCTTTTGACCTTGGACAAGTCCTAAACTCTCCAAGCCTTACTTTCTTCATTTCTTTAATGGAAATAGAAGTGGCACTACTTCATCACTGAATTGTTATAATTACTAAATGGGGTAAGAAATTTAAAGTGCTTATCACAGTAAACAAACAATAAATGTTAGCTTTTATAATTATATTGTTATATAATTCACTTAATCTTTGAAACTATTTTCAGTTATTTAAAGTCTCTATCATTTAAAGAAAATATCATGCTGCTGACATTTATTTACAAAAATTTCCAGTTCATCAGCTAGAAAAGATGGCTTGTTAGGATGAATCAGAAAAGAACATATTTCTAAATAGTTTTATTAAAGCATGTTCTAGTGGTCAAGACAGAAAATGTGGCAAGCCTAATAATTTTATCTTGGGCTAAATTTTATTCCCATCCTCCAAGCTACTTTTTCTTAACCTCCTCACTTTATTTCCAAGCCTATTTTTTTTTCCAAATAGAGAAAGACTGCTGAAAAGAGGGCAAAAGAGTGAGTGGAAAACAATATGATTCATGTATGGGACCATTTCTTCTTGTCGTTTTATGACCACAAGGATTGACAAACCCTAAAAAATGGCAAAGGGATAAATCTGGAAAGAAGTCCTTTGAAGGCTTTTGCAGCCTTAAGCAGACATGCTGTGGTCTTAAAAGGATTGAGTATAATGCTTTCAAAATATGATGATAAGGATTGATGACAATATTTATAAGTGACTATTATGTAAAAAATAGCTTATTAACTATTTTATATCCATTGTTGTGTTTACCCAACAACCATGGTGAAGATACCACTATTTTTACCATTTTACAAATGAGAAAATTGATTCTCAGAGAGTTTAAATCCTTTGTCCAGAGGACATGGCAGTAAATGCTAGTGCAGGACCTGAGCTCTAGAACTGAGTTCCAAACTGCTGCACAGTGCATCCTATGAATCAGGAACTTGCAGCAAATATGTCCTGAGGTTCTACTCTGCTAGATGCTGGCAATATCAAGATGACTAAGGCATGGCTTCTGTCCTTGAGGTGTTCACAGCTTAATACAGGAGAGAAACACATGAATGTCAGTGCAATGTGGTAAGCTCTGGTTGCAGATATGCACAGACTACCAAGTGAACATACAGAAGAGGCACCATCAGTGGCTTGGAGCTATCAGGGAAATGTTCTAGAAGAGGTGATTAATGTTGGAGCTAAGTTTGCAAAGAGCAGGGGAACATGTACATATCAGGCATTTAAAATGATGAAGACAAAAATGTTTTGAAAAAGTATATTGGGAAACATGTTTGAATGGTGAAATACAAATTTAAGGTAAGAGAAGGCAAGAAATGATATTGGATAAGAGGTAAGGACCAGATCATAGAGAACCTAAAATGTTACACTAAGGATATCAGACTTTGCTCTCTCGAGTCTAAGCAAAGGGAGCCATTGATGTTTTTAATTAGAAAAGTATTTGAATTTTAGATACATTTTCTGAAGAAAGTTTGAGCTCTTAGCATGATTACTTTGTACCAATTTTGCAACCTTGATCATGTTTCTGCATATATCTTTACCTCAATTCTTTGAGAATACCTACACCTCGTAAGGTAGTGGTAAGAATTAAATGAGTTCATAAAGAAAACTACATATATAAGTACCTGGCATAGAGTAATTGTTAATTACTATTGAAGCTTGGATATCATTAATCAAGTTTCATTCTTCATTATACTTTTCAGAGAAAGAATCCAAAGAAAAAATAGTAAGTGTCATCAGCAGTAACATTTGCATTTGGTGTGTCCCAATCCAATTTAACAAGGGGAAAAAGCTAGCAATCTGAAAGTACACAAATAGAGATTTAATCTCTTTCTAAACACGTAGTGCTACTTATACTTGTACAATGTTGTGGATTCAAGATACTACAACCCACCACCCTCGACTCCATAGCATCCCTTGCTTATCTCAAACATAATACGCTTCTATTGAATTATCACCATTGTTGCATTTGCCTATACCTTTTCCTGGACTTTGAGCAATTTGAAATCACATTCCTTATCTTTGCCTCCCTAAACTTAGCAAAATTTGTGGCATATAGATGGTCTTTAATTCCTATTAATTCAATGAGTTTAATTAAATGCAAGTGAAGGAGAAGAAAAAAGGAAGTCCATTTTGATAGGCTATGTCCAAAACTGCAAAGAGCTATGGCAAAGACAATTATAGAGAGCAGAACTGGGCTAGTAAAAATCTCTCTGACTTCCCCTGAAATTATGAAATTCTAAGGCTGGAAGAAAACCCAAGAGCAATTTTCCACTGAGGCTATAGAACTTTCTGTTTAGGTGGGGATGGGTACTCCTGCAAGACTTTTTCTTGCAAGTGGAGATCAGCCCAGTCTTATTCACTTCTAGGGCTCATACAAAATCCACCAGAGAAGCAAAACAAAACAAAAAAGTCCCTCAAAACTAGAATGGTCTTGTGATTGCAAGGGATTTGGTCTTTCAGTCGTCCTACTCTACTTAGATGTTATGTTAGTCCTGAAAAACAAATGCATGTGTTTTCATAGAAAGTAGGCAGGCCCCTGAAATTTTCATATTTTTAAAAATAATCTGATGGATCTGTCTTCCTATCTCTATTAGGATAGAGGTCCTTGGCATTTCAAGGATATGTCTGTTCTTCTTGCTCATGGATGAATTGAATCTGGCAAAACAAAACAAAACAAAACAAAAAACAAACAAAAAAAACACCCAGAATTTCCAACAGAAAAATATCTCAAGTGTCTAAAGGCAGAGTAGCACTATTTCAGATCTGACTCGCCTCTTCCCTGTCATGCTAGGCAGAGTTCCTCAGGAGAACCTTGGCTCATTCTTAAGTGTGGCCTGTCTACTGTGTTCTGCAAACCTGCTTTCAGATGAAAGGCAATAAAGAACCTGTCTCTGGGTGAACATATGCCTCCTTTATCTTACCTACAAGGCATCATGGCTCCTGGCTCCTCTACACCCCATCCACTTCCCAGGTGTAACTTCTGAGCTAAAGAGGGCTTTCGAATTTTATCAATCTTGATCCCTTTAGGTATGGTCATAGGTTCTACCTAACCCACTTCATTTTTTTTCACTTTCCAGTCAGATAATAACTTGTTATTGAAATGACAAACAAAAATTTGCCACTGTAGAAGCAAATTGGAGATTGGGCAAGGCATGCTCATACCTTTTTTTAACAATAGAGGTACAGATAATTCACACTGTAATGGGAATGCAATAATTTTAAAGTCTTTTTATTGCCAACTTATTGGCTCAAAATAATACTATTAAAAATGAGAATCATTACATAACGTTAGGCAGAAAACAATCGCACAAGAAACAAAACTGATATTAATATAACTAAGGATGCATAATTAAGAATAGAAAATAACAGTAATTAAAAGCCATAAGCAACTTAAAACACTTTTAATGTTTGGGTAACAAAGCATCCTTTCCCCAAATTCTAAGAATAAATTCTAAGAATTTTGTCTGTGTCAGCTGAGTTTTTCAACATGGCCAGACCATTGATGGTAGCAAAATATCCTGTGGAATAATAAACTGAATCTTCAATAAACTTGAAGAGAATTGGTGAATTTTATAATTAAAATGCCAGATATTAGTAATCCTTAATATTTTAATACATTAATTACAAATGGCCTTTTATGCAACTGAGAATATTTCCATTGTTAGTCATTTTATTCTTAGTCTACTAAGAAGCTCACTGAGGGGGTTCAGATATATTTTGAGAATCTCAGTCCCAAAGCCATATTTACTGAAGCCCTAAAGCTTGCAAGGGGTCTTAGAGAAAAATAGAGTAGGTTGTAGAAAATTCTTGTTTCTTCTCAGCTTTTCCCAGAGCAACTATGCTTTCATCACCCACAAATTCAGGAGTTCCAAGGGATTCTCATTCACCTATTGCAGCGGTTCACCATCTAATCACACCCCATGCTCCCTGTTACGAGCACTTTGTAATACCTTCTTTAGCACCCTGAAACAACATTTTAATATAAACTTCCTATATACATAATCTTGAAAAATCATCATAAACCTTAAATATAAACTATATAAGGAAATGAATTTATATTAAAATAATGCATACTCAGTATGTAAAAGGCTGAGCATGGCTACCTTAAAAAAACATAATAAAGCAGTTAGATTCTTACCCTTGGCAAGTTTAGATTTAAGTCAATAGGACAACATTAAACTGACATAGTGCCAACACTTTTTCTTACAGTTGATATTTTTAAAGACATAAATATGCACTTCCATGTCTATATTGTAATGACCAGGAATGCAACTCCTGCAACTGCAGGACAATAAATATATAATTGTATTAGAGCCACAAATAACACAAGTAGCACTGTCAGCAGTGTATAATTTTCCTAGGTAAAACATTATTGACTCATTGAGTTCCCATAAAATTTTGAGATAGGTACTATTGCTATCTCCAATTTACAGCTGAGGAAACTGAGACACAGAGTGGCTGAGTACCTTGTCTTAAGTCATACACAGTTAGTAAGTATGGGATCTGCAATTCAAAGCCAGGCTGCCTGACTCCAGAATCCTTGCTTTTAACCTTTTTGTTCTCTCTCTTGGTAAACAAGTCCTGATGAAGCTCCTAACAACAACAATAACCAAAGTCTACTCTTCCTTCAATTATCCCAGTTGTTGCATGTCTGGAAAATACAGTGTATATCAAAACTGTGAAATTAATACTCCATGTCACATATAAAATAGAGTTGGGTTCTAGACTCAGATTTTTACAAATTTCTTTTTCACTGACATGAATGTCTGGGGAGATATTCATATCCGTCATATGAGATACGGGACAAGTCTTCAACATCTAGGCATCTAGGACCATCCTTCACATTGCAGCATACCTGACATCCCTGGCCACTGTCCACTAAATGACAATTGTACCCCCACTAGTCACTACAACCATAGCTTTCCAAAACTTCTCCTAGTGGGAGGTTCTCCTGCTGTCATTAGTACCCAAACTCTGTTGATTGGAGCCTCAGAGAACATTTTATTCTATACTCAAATTCAACAAGAGGCACTCTGCTTTTATCCATTTTATGCACTGGGGTCCCAGGCAAGATTTTGTCTGGAAAAATAAAAGCTTTTGCTATTTTTTAAAAAAAGTTTTAAAACTATTGCTCCAGAGTAGGATTCATTGCTCATCTCTTTCCACTGAGCACAATGGAAATACCTGTTTGCACTTCCTACCATCTGCTCCCACCTTGTTTCTCTCTGGGTGAGCACACTGCTAATGCCCCAGTCATCTGTCACAAGAAAGAGTTGGAGTGACAGACTGCTGGCTTAGCCAGAGAACTCTGCTCCTTGTGCTGGTAGCTGTTTCCTTGTCCTGACTGATGCCCACTCGACCTGTATGTCCCTCTAGACCTATCCCTTATGAATCCAGCTAGTAGGGTGCCATGTCTAGTCGCCAGACCTCACTAGTCCTCCGCAATGCTGAAAGACTGCCCTGTCACCAGGGCTTCAGGTAGAGGGCAATGCATTGTGCTGGAAGGAAAAATAAGTCGGCTATTGCTAATAGAGTCTTAAACTTGGAGTCAGGAGACACAATTCTCTGCCACTAATTAGCTATGTGGCCTTCAGCAAATTCCTCCCCCTCTCTAGGTTTCAGTTCCTTCATGTATAAAATGAGAAGGCTATGTTTCAGGATTCTAAGAGCGCTTTGCATCTCTGGCTCTCTTCATGTCTTGGATCCCTACAGTTGACTGCAGTTAGAAAGGTAGTGTGTATAGCTTCAAGGCAAGGTCAATTGCACAGCCAGCTGAAGACGCATAAGAAATACTTCTCTGGTGCTATGGCTTAGATTTTTTTAATGTTCAAGTAAGTTACCAGGGTTATTCTGACCTCTTTAAAGCATCAGCAGGAGATGGCAGCTCAAGGGAATGAATGGAATGGTATGAACAATAGCAGTGATAACAATGCTTTCAGGAAAATGTGTTTTAGAATGAGCTTTTGCCTGGATTTTATTGTGTACTTATCCACTACATCCTCCTTGGTCCTTTTCTCTTCAGAAAATAACTTGTCTGTGAGGTTGCCCAAGGAATAATAATTTTTAAAAAGGTGAATGAATGAGGGTCTGAGAGAAAGAGAAAAAAACTAGGGCAGAAAGAATTTTATAAGGTGACGATTGATATGCCATGTGTTGCTTCTCAGAAAGAAAATGAAAATGCTATAGTAAATTCTGGAAAGATGCCAAATGCTATTGTCAGGAAATAGATTAGAGAACTTCACACCAAATTAGGGGCCAAGCTCCCAGTGAATTATTAGCAGGTTGCATAGTAAAAAGAGCCCAGAGCTGAAAACAAGAAGCTTCCTATTTGAGTTCTAGGTTAGTCTCTTACTAATTGGGTGACTTTGTGCAAAGCTCATAATTTATTTTTAGCTGCCAATACTTTGTATCATAATTCCTTTCCCAATTTAAATATTATTAAGAGTCTAATATCTGAAATAGATAAAAGGAGAGCAACTCTAGGGCCCCTGCTTCTTCCTGCCCACTGCTTTCTGTGATGGCCCCTATATCACCTCCTCAAGAATCTTAAGGATATTTGAATACCATCAGATTACATCCTCCCTAAGGTCTCTTTCCAAGGTATTCCTTCGTGTACTCACCAAACATTTACTGGGAGCCTCATTGTATCAGACTCTCTACTAGGCATTGGGTATACAAGATAACATCATACCTGCCTTTCAAAGTTTTGTGCAATATTTACCAAATAGCTTTCTAAGTATTATCTGCTTTTTCAGCAGAGTGCTTCCAGAAAATGACTGTGAAGGCCAGTGAATGGCAGTATTTCTAAAACGTCATATTTCTTCATATAAATTATTAAACTGGTGTCTGGTTTATACATTAGTCTCCTGATACTAATGTGATCTCATCACTAAAAGAGTATGGTGACTAATAATGAATTTCAGATTTTGCAAGTCTATGAAGAACTTAGGTCATGGTGAAACCACTCTAGTAGTTAAAGGGACACAACTAGCTTAACATGGGACTTGGCAGGGTCTCAATGCAGCCAGCCTCAACATCCATATTTAATAATCTTTTATAAAGTGGTCCAGTGGTCCCCAACATTTTGTGGTGAACATTTTTAGATACAAAAAAACTATTTTTTCCTCATGAAATTTATTTCCCACAGAATTTAAGTGATCAAGATAGATAATGAAACTCAGTAATGTCATTTTGTGTCCAAAGAAAAGAATAACTACAGACTGTTATTTCCTGAGCCTCCTCAACTGGCTCTATGCTATTACTCTGAATTTTTTTTTTTTTTTTTTTGCCACGGACATATTCATAGAATAGTTGTCTAAGTAAAAAGTAGATTGTACTAAAGAAGCAATATATATTTGGAAACATATTGGGACCTGTTAAAAAGGTAGTTTAATTACTTTGTGAAATGTGTTAGTAAATGTGGCAGTTTAAAAACATAGCCACAATTTTTTGACACTTTCCAGAAAAAGAGGGGAGTATATTTTATCCACTATTGAGTCTGGGCAGGCTGTGACCACATTGACCGTTTAAATATGGTTAGAAGTGAGTATATTTGATTTCCAAAGCTAGGTCATAAAGGCCACACAGCTTCCACCTTGTTCACTGGAACATTTGAATTTGGAGCCCTGCCCACCAGGTAATAAATTCAAATACCCTTAGGCGACCATGCTTTGAGGAAGCCCAAATGACATGAGGATACCATGGATATTTGCTCTGTTCCAGAGTGTCAGCTGAGCCCAGCGCTTAAATCATCCCAGCCCAGTTTTCAGATGTGTTAGTAAAAAAGTCTTCCGAGGATTCCAGCTTCAGCCATTCAAGTCACATCCAGGTTAGAGTCTTCCAGCTGGAGTCTTTCCATCTGAGTCCCTAGATCTCATGGAAAAGAGACAAGCCACCTCTAGTTGGCCTTGTCTGAATTCTTTACCCGAAGAGCTGTGAACGTAATTCTAGGGTCATTGTCTTATGCCACTAAGTAGTGAGTGGTTTGTTATACAGCAATAGATAAAACAGGTAACCAGATACACCAGATGAGGTCTTGATTAGGTACCCTCTCAGTGACAGATGTAGTTCTTATCCTTTAGCTTAGGAATGCAGAAATCTTATTAGGGGATACTCTGTCAAACTACAGAGAGAAGACAAATCTGGTTTGGAAACAAGGAACCTTTGCAAAGTTGTCCATGAGCTAGGAATTCAGTCCCTGAAGAACAGCAAATATACTTTTAGATTTAAATAAGGAGTCTAGAGCTGAGAAACACAGATTGAGTGGTCCCACAATCATCTGCATATTCTTTGACCCTGATTGATGAGGCAGCCTGAGGTGAGGCTATAGTTCAATATGGTCGAATATTAATTTGCACAAATAAATTCATTTAAATTGAAACCATCAGATGGCCAACTCTCCAAACACCACCAGATACTTTAAACTAGATCTAAGACAGCTCACCTCTCTAATTTTACAAAGTGCTGGAGGTGGGAGCCAACAATCACCCAGACAAGAGAACAGATTTTCCTCTTTTGGCATATTGCTAATCTAGTCTCACCACTGGATAGAGACACCATAACTCAGAAGACAGAGGAGAGGCTCCTGGATCCAGTCTCTGTGGTAAAATTTAGGTATTTTTGATAGGTTTTAGAGAATGATTCAGCAAATTTATTCTTAATGAATATTTCAAGGAACCTATTTTGAAACTACGATGCTTTCCTGGCCACATTTTTTTCTTGGTGTTCCTTTTGCCTTGACAAGTCCTGCTTAAATGGTATCCAAACTGCCATTACAGTCAAACACAGGTGCTTCTGGCAACTTTTGAGAATTTATTTTTCTATGGAGATAGGAGAAGAGGAGAGGCATCCAGCAGACTACTCAAAATTTGAACAAGTTTTGGACTCAGGAAATATGCACAATTGCTTATTTTTCTACGTTAGACTCTTGGAAACCTGTGAGCAAAATAGACCTCCTTGACTCTCAGAAGTCATCACCTCCGACTGAGAAACCCATATCCTGGAGCTGCAGGATGAACAAGGGTTCAAAGAGAAACCTGTATGAGGCCAGTAAATCAACCCTGGAGAAAAAATGGGGTGATGGATTTCACAGTGGCTTGCCTTCCCATCCAAATATCCTCTCTAGATAATACAGTTTCCTCTGTTTAATAAAATATAAACCCATTGCTTAACATCATATGGTTCCCACCTCCCAATAGGGGAGACTTCTTAACCCTAAAGAAAATGCCACATTGTAGAGGGGGGAAAGAAAACAATCTATTTTAACCATCCTACCTTAAACTCCCAAAACCATAAATCCTGCTAAAATAGGACATTGCATTTAAAAGCTACTTGGGCTAAGCTAAGGAGCAAGCACTGCCCATTGGTATCCATGATGAAGTAGTTAGTATATCCCTTGACATATAAGAATTTTAAAATTTCAAATGAAATGTAGCAATGTCTGCTGCCTTCCTAGTTATATTTATTTGGCCTAGTATGCTCTTCTTTATTTAATTCTAGTTGTATGAGACTACAGTTTGAATAGATTTCCATGTCTTGATTTAATGAAAATTTCCCATTTAAACCAAAAGGTCCATCCTATTATTGGTCTTTTAAACTCAGCAGGCTTACCTACACACAAGACCATGAATGAGAGATAAAAGCAAGCCACAGACAGTATCCAGCAGTCTAGAAAAATGCTTCAGACTTCTCCCAGTTTATTTTCGGATCACTGCTCTTGCATTTGGCTCTGCTTCTTTGGTTTCCTAACTCTATTCCCTGGCTTCCACATTGGCTCCTGGACCTTTGGAATATGCCACTCCATGGGGGCTGTTTTGTAGTTTCCAGGTCTTTACTTTCCATTTGGTATTCACTGAACCACACTAGCTGATTAAACCCTAGAATAGTTAGCATTGTGACTACAGAAACTGGCTGTGGAGCCAGACTGCCTGTCTTTACAGCATCTTCCACTGCTTCTTAGCCTTGTGAGCTTAGGCAAGATGCTTAAACTCTCTGTGCCTTCATTTCCTTAACTTCAAAATGGTGTTGATGATAATACTGGCCTTCAAAGTTGTTGTAAGAATTAAGGGAGATTTTATAGTTAAAGTCTATAGTACAGAACTTAACTCATAGTGAGCACTTAATAAAAATCAGCTGCTATTGCTAATTCTGACCGACCAACAATGGGAGGGGAATTTGGAGACCTTCTGTTAATGTTTCCTAAAGTTTTCTACAGCACTCTAATTTCTTAAGGGATTAATATTTTTTATAGGGGAGAAAGACCTGGCATAAAGCATGTTAGGAAATGCTAGGTTAAAGTCAATCAAAATGATTTCTTAATATCGAACTGCTCAGAACCTTTCTTATAAAATAGGTTGTCCCTGCTCCTTGAGGTAGAAACAAGGTAGAAACTACTAATAAGTGGTGGGTCCAAAATTCAAACCCAGGGCTGTTGCCTCTACCCAGTCCTCATTCACTGACTTCTTGTATCACTGAGCGCTTCTCCTAACAATTTGGAGTGTTTTACTCTCTGAAATAATTAGTGAGCTATGAGTTGCTTCTCTGTTTCATAAGTGATTGTTATCAATTATGGAATTATTAACACCCCTTCCCATCTGCCTCTAATTTCCAGCTAAGAATGTTAATTAAAACACAAATCCATCCAAGAATTTGGGGAATTTATTACTGAAGATGTTTACCAATGACTCTAGTAAATTTATTCAGTAAATAACAGATATTGATCTCACATTTCACTACATGTCAATAATTCTTCCTGTAGAAAATTATATTACCCCAATCACAATGTGAGGGAGCTAGGGGTGTTTCCTTTCCCCAGTGATTTATCTCGTTCACCTATTTGCCTCAGAACTAATATATATTTTCAGATTTTTATATACATCTCACTGACATGCAAGCTAATGAAGAGACGGTGTACCACCTCAATGGCCTTACTAAGTTATTGGAGCAGAAAATAGAAATAGGCTAGTTACAGAACTTGAGACTTTAGGATTCTAGCAACCAGATGCCTACCTCTACACCATGGAGGGCTAAGAATTGGAGAAAATAGCCAAATTTATCCCCAGTTTATTCTTAAAATCAATGCTCTCGCATTTATAAGGAGTACTATTTAAGAGTAGTTCCCCCACACCAAGCTGCTTTATTATACCCAATTCATGTCAGAAAAGAAACCTGGCACCATAGCTACCTCAAGCCAACGATTCTTTGGCAAGTGGCAGCTAATCACCTCCAATAACCAAGGCAGAATTAGCTTCAAAAGTCATCATAAAGCTTTTTCCATGTTTTGCAATTTGAGTGCTGAGAAAAGGCTGCAGGCTCTTAACATTGCTAGGGTTCTCAGACTGCTTAGGGCTTAGTTAGCTCTGTCCCAGGGCACCTTAGGATAGTCATTATGAGTCATATCCTTTATTCCTGTCACTCTCATTCACTGGACTGAACACTAGTTCTTCCAATCAACAAACATTTACCTGATGCTTGTCCATTTATTTTTTTTCTGTGCATTTTCCCATCATGTTCTTTTGTCCATTTCTGGTCTTCTTTACAAATACTTTCCATTATACTCTCTGCAACCTATGTTCCAAAGTAAACAACCCCTATCCCATCACATCCTCCACCTCTTCACAGAATCCCTCTATCTCCTGCTCTGGCCACATTAATAAAGCCTTTTATTTGTCTATGAGGTTAGATAAGTGGGCATTCAGCATTAACTGTGCATCAGACAATGTTCTGAACATAAGAATATAACCTGCTTCTTCTCCAAGAAAATCCTTCTCTCTATACTCCAATGTCATAAAGTCCATGGCCATTATCCCTGTGCCCTTTGCTGATTGTAGATCTTTAGTTCATTGGTCTGCATACAAAGCCCTTTCATCCTTTGAAGTTGAAGTCATCCCACTTTACCACCTCTCCTCTACCTCACATTTTCATCATTTAGAGATTTTCTAGATGAAGAAGATCTTCATTTTCATCTACTAAGCAATTTGAAACATGCTTCACAGTCTTCCTCTGCTTCTGGTTTCTGTCATCATAGGAATGATTTAGTCATTCATTTTTTCACAGATGTTTAGATAGCTCATCTTACTATCTGACCATATATATAACATCAAAGTCCTCAATCTCTTCCAGGACAACAGATTGTATCAACTTTCCAATTCAGTCCTTCTCACTATGCCCCTGACCCAGCAAGTACTGCAGTTCCTCCCTCTATTCTTTTTTTTATCCTTTACTTCACCTCCCTATAAAACAAAAACCCAATGTTCCATATTAAACTTAGATCCATTCAGCTTCATTTATTGCCAACATCTTCAAAGTTTTCAAATCCTACTTTTTTTTTTTTTGCTAGTGAACACACTGTAACTTTTCATTAATGTAACCCTCTCTCTTTTTTTCTCCTGAACCATGGCAGGTTACTTCATTTATAGCACATGGTTTTGTGAACTGGTGGACCTACAAGTAAGTAATGTTAATAAGACCCTCAGTACCATTAAACCAACTCTTTCATCCTGTTTCTGGTCAAGTCCCCTCAATGTCCCCACAGTGACTACCCTATACATTTTAAGTCCCTCCTTCCCAATGTTGCTCCACTCCTCTCTCAGCAGAAGGCTCACGACTGGACTGTGAATTGGGTATGAATCTCACATCCACCATTTTCTAGAGTGTGTAAAACTTTGAGTATGGTTCTTCTTTGCTGTGCCTTGGTTTGCTTATCTAAAATACTGTGATTATTAAAAACATGGAATAAAAACTGACACAAAATTATCTCTAAATATTAATATTGTGAGTTCCTGAAAATGATGATGGTGATGGTGATGAAGGATTTGCTGTTCATTTAACAGAAAAAAATTCTCTTCATTCCTTTCCCCATATCTACAAATATCCTTCCATTTCTTCATTCATTTAGGTAGAGATGATACTGCACCTAAAACTAACCCTTCGATCACTGTAGTTATCTAGAACCCTTAAGTCAAGGCTGAGGCATTGCTCAGTTTTCTAATGTTCTTCTACTAATTTCTGTATCTTTTCTTTAAATCTTTATTTTTTAGTTTTCAACATTTAGATTACACTCTGCATTCAGCTTTTTTGTTTCTCATTTTTTCACTCAAAATATATTACAAGAACATTTTCTCCAATAATTTGAAAGTCTTTCTTTGAAAATAACATTTACAATGGTTGTGACTACTCTGTGAATACACCATAATTTATTTAATTGTGCCTTCTTTGTTCAGCATAAAGATTGTTTCCTTTTTTCCTTATTATAAATGATTCTGTGATTATTATCTTTGTACATAAATCTTTATCTACATCTCTGATTATATCTACAGGGTGGAATTCTATATGTAGACTTACAGGGTCAAACACTATATTTTTCAGGCTCTTTACACACATTATCAAATTGCTTTTCAGAAAGATTATACCAATTTATACACCCACTAGCTGTGTATGAAAGAGATAGTCTTACCATATCTACACTGTCATTAACAATATTTCCTGCTAAATTTTCAACTCTTCCCTCTCTACTGGTTCTTACAAGGAGGCTAAAAATATATTTAAGTGTTTTACCTACTAAAAACAATAATTTTCTCCCAGTGTCTCTCTTCGGATACCATCTTATCCTTCTTCTCTTCACAGCCAGATTTCCTGGAGAGTGATTAGTCTTTGGCCTTGGTCTCCATCACCTGATCTTCCTATTGTCATCTCAATTAGTCTTTTACCTCGCCACTTATCAAATGTCACCTCTGACCTTCTAACTACAAAGCCCAGCAGATTCTTCTTGTCATTTTCCACACATTACCTTTATGTATGTATCACTGTTAAATATTTCTAGAAATTCTCACTTTCTTTGGCTCCTATGACAATTTTCTTTTTGTTTTTCTCAGTCTTCTTTATTTTTTCCCCAAGGCTACTTAGTATTCCATCTTTTATTCCTTCTCACATTTCTTCTGGATTATTTAATCTGCATTAATGACTTTGGCAACAACCTGTGGTTGATAAATCTCCAAACTCTATTTTAGTACAACTTCTTCCATAAACCGTAGCAAATTATGTAAAATGTCCACTGGATTTCTCTAAGTGGATATTCTCAGGAATTAAAGGCCTAAAAATTCTGAAATTAAATTTACTCCATACCCACCAAGCCTTCTACTCTAGTATTGACAATTTTGGTGAAGAGCACTGCTATCTCTGCCTGTGTTTCAGAAAGAAATCTAGAAGTAATGCATTTACCTCACTGTTCTTAATGAACAGTCAATAAAATCTCACAAAATAATGTTTAATACCTCACAAAAAATTCTTGCAAACTTTTCAGTCCTATCTCTAACAACACCTCTTATCTCCACAACACTCTGAATTCTTTCCATTTAACTTTTCTTCTAGATTACAAAGCACAGAAACCTGACTCATGTCTCTACGACTTTTCATTTTGTTTTCCCATAATATTCCATCAACACCACACATTTCACCAACCCACCCAGCCAAGAACTATTAAATTTTTAGAATCAGAAACATGAACAATATTCTAATCAAGATTTCCTGCTTGCTCAGGTAGAACTGGCCATTCTTTCTGCTGTGCTTGAAATTCAACACTTACATATCCCTTCCTACTCAGTTCTAGAAGACTTCTTTAAATTTATTTATTTACACATTTTCCTCAGCTATATTGCCAAACCTTTAATGGAAGTATTATGTCAGGGTGGTGTGTGTGTGTGTGTATTTCCAGGGAATTTCTTAAGGGATATAGAATTTATCTCAGCTTTCTGAAATCAACATATCAAATTAAAAGTGTTTGTATCTTAGAAAAAAAACACCTCATTTATAAACTTCTCTTTTTTGGTCTGGTTACACCATCTCATGGAAAATAGTTGTTCATCTCTGTCTGCATCACATATATTTCTGTTGAAATTACCACCATGTTTCTCTTTGGTCTCCACCTGCACCCTTTCAACATTTCTGCTACAAGCCCTGCCTTATTTCGTAGTATTTTTTAATCTGTATAGTAGGCTGGCTCCTTGAGGACAAGTTCTTTAAAGCCTAGCATAATAGATTCTCAATAAATATTTGTTGAGAAAGATGAATGTTAGAAATTATAACAGAAGATCAATATAATGAAACTATTATCAAAATCTACTGAGGAAATATTTCCATTCCATCCAAAAAAAAATACTTTTTCACTAAACAAAAAAATAATAAAATCCCCAACAATTTATAAAATAACTGTTTTAGGCTATAGAAAACAGACAGTGTATGATAGTGATCCCTAAGAGATGAGAAATGAGGAAGTACATCGTGCAGTTTTGTACAGCATACTGCTTATATTCTCTGTAATGGATGAAAACCCAAGCAGGAAATTAGGCAGTTCAGATGACAGATCAGTGAAAGTGCAGACACAGCAATAGAATCTGACCACAATGAAGCAAAGAGAGGGAAAAATGAAGTCTCAGAAACATATAGAATAATATCAAGCAATACAACATACAAATAATTTGAGTCCCAAGCAAAAGAAGAAAGAGTAAAAGGGCCAGGCATCGCCTGTAATCCCAGCACTTTGGGAGGCTGAGGCAGGTGGATCACCTGAGGCCAGGAGTTCGAGACCAGACTAGCCAACATGGCAAAACCCTGTCTGTATAAAAAATACAAATAATTAGCCAGGCTTGGTGGCACGTGCCTGTAGTCCCAGCTACTCACTCGGGAGGCTGAGACAGGAGAAATGCTGGACCTGGGAGGCAGAGGTTGTAGTGAGCCGAGATCATGCCACTGCACTCCAGCATGGGCGACAAAGCGAGACTCCACCTCAAAAACAAAACAAAACTTAAAAAAAAAAAAAGAAAAGAAAGAAGAAAGTAAGAAAAGAAAAGAAAAAGTAAAAGGGGGTCAAAAAACAACTCATTTGAAGAAACAATAGCTAAATTATGGCTGGCATCTTTCCAAAGATGAGCAAAACCATAACATCATATACCTAAGAAACTCAACAAATTCCAAGAGGAAGACCATAAAGAAAACCCTAACAAAGCACATCTTAATCAAAATGGATGAAAACCAGGGATTAACAAAATAATCTCAAAAAGTTTGCTGGGCATGGTTGTCCTCGCCTATAATTCCAAACTTTGGGAAGCCAAGGTGGGAGGGTTGCTTAAGCCCAGGAGTTCAAGACCAGCCTGAGAAACATAGCTAAACTCTGTCTATACAAAAACATTTTAAAAATTAACCAAGTGTGGTGACATGCACCTGTAGTCCCAGCTACTTGGGAGGCTGAAGCAGGAGGATCACTTGCTCCCAGGAGTTCAAGGCTGCAGTGAGTCATGACCATGCCAACACACTCCAGCTTAGATGACAGGTAAGGCCGTGTCTCTCTCTCTCTCATTAAAAAAAAAAAAAAAAAGAATAAAAGAAAAAAAAAAGGAAATAGCCACCAGATAAAAAAAAGTCACATTATGTAAAATGTGATCAAATGACTATGATATTCTCCATAGAAAATATTTAAACAAGAAAGGTGAGAGAAAATTTTAAACTACTGAAAGAAAAACTGTAAAACTATAATTTGACATCCAGTGAGAATATATTTTCATAAGAAATGTGTAATAAAGACCTTTGCAAGCAAACAAAAGCTAAGAAAATTAGTCATCAACACACTTAAAGAACACTGAAAGTTTATGGAAGTTCTTCACACAGAATAAATTTGGATCTACGACAAAAAGATTAAAGAGTTCTAGAAATAGTAAATATGTGAGTAAATACAAAACACACTGTTATGGACTAAATATCTGTGTTCTCCCAAATTCATGTGTTGAAGCCTTAACTCCCATTGTGATGGTATTAGAAGATGGGGTTGTTGGGAAGTAACTAGGTTTAGATGATGTCACGAAGGTGAAGACCCCATGGTGAAATTAGTGTCCCTTTAAGAAGAGGAACAATGACCAGAGCTATTTCTCTATCATATGAGGACACAGAAAGAAGGAAACCCGCTGCAGCTGAGGAATGGGGCCTTTACAGTAATCAAATCTGCCTTAAACTTGATCTTGGACTTTCCAGCCTCTAGAATTGTGACAAATAAATGTCTGTCATTTAAACCACTCAGTCTATGGTATTTTGTTACAGCAGCCCTAGCTAAGAGATGTATTCTTTTTCATTTTTAACTTTTAAAAGATAATCTTGTATTTAAAATAAAACTAATAATATATGTTAGAGTTTATAAGATATGGAGAAATGAAATATATGAGAAAAACAGCAGAGAGGCTAGAATGGGGGAAAGATAAATTTACTGTTTTATAAAGAACCTATAAATCATGCTGCTATAAAGCCACATGCACACGTATGTTTATTGCGGCATTATTCACAATAGCAAAGACTTGGAACCAACCCAAATGTCCAACAATGATAGACTGGATTAAGAAAATGTGGCATATATACACCATGGAATACTATGCAGCCATAAAAAATGATGAGTTCATGTCCTTTGTAGGGACATGGATGAAATTGGAAATCATCATTCTCAGTAAACTATCGCAAGAACAAAAAACCAAACACCGCATATTCTCACTCATAGGTGGGAATTGAACAATGAGATCACATGGACACAGGAAGGGGAATATCACCCTCTGGGGACTGTGGTGGGGTGGGGGGAGGGGGGAAGGATAGCATTGGGAGATATACCTAATGCTAGATGACAAGTTAGTGGGTGCAGCGCACCAGCATGGCACATGTATACATATGTAACTAACCTGCACAATGTGCACATGTACCCTAAAACTTAAAGTAAAGTAAAGTATAATAATAAAAAAAAAAGAACCTATGATCAAGTTCTTACACTAAATCTAAAACAGTTTAATGTTATTTGTAGGTAGCTAAAGATGTGTATTGTAAACCCTGGCACAAAATCTAAAAAAAAAAAAAAGGGAAAGAAAACACAAAAGAGTTATAGCTAACAAGCTAATAGTGAAGATAAAATGGAATCATAAAATACAACTCTAAAGAAGGTGGGAAAAAAGGGAAAAAGAAATGAAGAACAGATGGTGTAAATAAAATTTAAGCAGCAATAAGGTAGATTTAAACCCAACTATATAAATAATTTTATTAAATGCAAATAGCCTAACCATTCCAATTAAAAGGCCTAGATTGTGAGATGGAATAAAAGAAAAAAAAACAAGACCTAATTACATGCCATTTAAGTAAGCCATGTAAATACAAAGACACGAAGTTTAAAGATATGGAGACATAAAATGTATACTAAAAATAGCAGAGAGGCTAGATGTGAAAAGATATACCATGCATACAGTAATGAAAGTAAGGCTAGAGTAACTTTAGTAATATCAAAGTAGACTTCAGGACAAGGAATAGGAATGGGTATTAGATAATTATCAGAGGTCAATTAATAAAGAAGTCATAAAAATCCTAAATGCACATGTACATAACAAAGATTCAAAGTATGTGAAGCAATAACTGATAAAACCTAAAGAAGAAATGGACAAATCTACAATTATAGTAGGATATTTTAAGACTGTTCTATCAGCAGTTGTTAGAGCAAGTAGAAAATAAATGAGCAATAATATGGAAGACTTGAACAACACTATTGACCAAAATATCCTTATTGACATTTAGAAAATCTTCCTCCAAAAATTTTCTTGAGGTGCATGTAAACAATTTTCAGTAAATATTAAATGATTTAAATCATACAGAGAATGTTCTATGACAAAAGCAAATTAAAATGAAAATTAAAAATAGAACTATAACTGGAATATTTCCAAATATTAAGAAATTTTTAAATCCTACAATATAATTCACTAATAAAAGAGAAAGCTACAAGTAAAATTATAAAATTTGTTCAAATTAAATAAAAATAAAGATATAAAATACAAACATCTGTGGGATATTGTGAGACCAGTGATTAAAAGGTAATTTATAGTACTGAGTGCTAATATAGTAAAAAAGAAATATTTTAATCAATGATCTAAGCTACTACCTTAAGGAGCTTTAAAAAGAAGAAAAACTTATACACAAAGTACACTGTAGGAAGGAAATAGTAAAGATAAGATTAGCAGTCAATAATATAGGAAATGAATAACCAATAGACAAAAATCAATGATTTCAAAATCTGCTCCCTTGAAAATGTCCATAAAATTAATAAACTTCTAGACAGAATTATAAGAAGAAAAGAAAGAGCACACAGATTACAACTACATATTTCAGACACATAAAATGAATAATCAGGGAATATAATAAAAAACTGTATGTCAATAAATTAAACAACATTGATCAAGTGAACAAACTCCTTGAAAGAATATAGCTACAAAAGTCATTCAGGGAAAAAATAGAAAACTTCAACTTCTTATCAAAAGAAAGTAATGGGACATGTTTTACCCACCTACCACAACCAAAACACCTGGGCAAAATACATGAAAGGATGCTTTTCAAGACATTAGACACCAGACAGTGAATGATAATGAGTTTGTATGCTTTGATATTTTTCATCTTTCAAAAAAAGAAATTTCTCACCTGAGAGATATTGTGAGGTGAGATTTTATATGTGAAAATCTCTAAGATAACAGGTACCACAATCAATGTTTCCTTCCTCTCTCCTTCTCTTTTCTTTTCTGACAATAATTAACTTTCATATGCCAAAATAATTTAAAGGCACTAAATTATTTGTGAGACTGCGAAAGTGTTCCCCAGAATAGTTCAGGTCTAAAACTAGTACTGAACGAAATTTAAAACAATATTTTGATTGTGTTGCCTTATTTCTTAAACACACATACACACCACAAAGCCATTCCAATTTTAATGATGTACTAGATTCCCAGGTTCATCCTTCCATCTCTTCTTCCCTCCCTCCCTCCTGTTTAAGCTAAATAAGTCAAAGTTCTTTGACCATTGTCTCGCCATGACCAACCAAACTTGGGTAATTAAGTAACTTTTAAGAATAATTTTATTTCATAGGGAAGAAAAGCAGTCTCTGAAGCCTCCATTGGTTCCAAACATTTTAGCATTTGTCAGGTTAAATCAAAATATGTGTCACTCTCTTTCAGTCTACATTTAATCATTATATTACATTAATCAGTCTACATTTAATAAATATAATTTAAAATGTAAATTCCTGATTCTATTTCTCAGGAACCTTTTTCATTTCTTTCTGGGACTGAACATAAATGAAATTATGAAATTAATTATTTGAATGCAGCCTCAGAAGAAAAGCCTCCTTGTAATCTGGCTCCAGGTATTTTATAATACTCCATATATTTGGATAATTGTCTCCAGGAAAAAACCCAGGTTTTGGAATTGTAAAGTTCTGAGACTAAATCTAACACTTAATAGTTTTCTGAATTGCTGAACCAATCCCAGTCTCAGGTCCATAATCTGCAAACAACACATCAGCCCTGCTATGTTATTCAAAAGATTAAATCAGAAGAGCCTAATGAAGTGCTTAACACAATGTGTGGCACAAAACCTCTCCTCTGTCCTTGCCTCTCAATTTCTTTTTTCTTTTTCTTTTTTCTTTTTTTTTTCTTTTTTTTTTTTTTTTTAGACGGAGTCTATCTCTGTCGCCCAGGCTGGAGTGCAGCGGCGCGATCTCGGCTTACTGCAAGCTCAGCCTGCCGGGTTCACGCCGTTCTCCTGCCTCAGCCTCCTGAGTAGCTGGGACTACAGGCGCCCACCATCACACCCGGCTTTTTTGTATTTTTAGTAGAGACGGGGTTTCACCGTGTTAGCCAGGATGGTCTCCATCTCCTGACCTCATGATCCGCCCGCCTCGGCCTCCCAAAGTGCTGGGATTACAGGCGTGAGCCACCGCACCCGGCCTGCCCCTCCATTTCTTTCTAAAAATATATGTGCAGTTATTTAATAAAATGTATGCATTTCAGTAAGCAATATATACTCATTAAAAAAACAGAAAAAAATATTATATTAATGTTAAGAAAGGGACTATTCAAAATATTTTATTAGCAATAATAGAGGTAGAAGTGAGTCATACTGTATGCAGTTCCACCCTTCCTTTCCTGTCTGTCCAGATTCGGCTTTCTTCCAAATTCATCATATACATTTCAAATGAACGTGGTGATGTTTCAGGAAGAAATCTGTATGTACAATAACTTTGTGCAACAGTATATTTTCTATTTTTAAATTGTACTTTCAAAGTTGTTAAGATTTCTAAGACATGATTCCATCATTTCTAATTTTCATCCAGATTGCAATTAGTATCATCATATGGCGTATCAATTATACAACGTTATACCTCAGCAGCATAAATCACAACTCTAGCTGCAGCTATAAATATCAGTCTTCAAACTGTGTGTACATTTTCAAAATACACTACAGCAGCCTGATTCTAGAAGGCTTTCCTTTTAAATTGTTTTGTTGTCTGTTTTCCGCTGTTTAAGACTTTGCAGAAAATTTATTGAAAATCCCCCACACATATTTCCAGAGTGATTACAATGACATTATAATAAAAAAGAGAATGACACAGATGGCTCAGTTCTTTCTGAGTTTTGCTATCAGATTAAAAGAGTTTATTTGGAAGGATGAATTTTATTTTGTAAAAATGAATGAACAATAATAAAATGACAATAAATTTCTACTTTTCTACTAATCTTTCAGAAGTAACCTAAAGCTGCATCATTACTAGCCATTTTCATTAGTGTTAACAGGTCACCAACTAGGCAAGCTAGGAATTTGTTTTGATAACTTTCAAAAGAATGAAATAATTTTTAACAAGAAAAACAAAGAGGGCTAACTCTACCTTATTCCAAGGTTATCAACCTACTGTGATACACTCATGTGGTACTAGTTTAAAGATGAACAAACAGATCAACAGAAAATAATAATCCAGAAATAGATTTACTTATATAGGGACAAGTGATGTTTGACAAGGGTGCAAAGGCAGTTCAATAGAGAAAGGTTGGTCTTCTCAACAAATCTTGGTAGAACAAGTGGTAGCCACATGCAACAGAACAATAAAACATCTTTGATCTATATCTTTCCCCAGCTGCAAAAATGAACTCAAAATGAATCATAGACTTAAACATTAAACCTAAAACTAAAATTTCTAAGGCAAAACACTGGAGAAACTCATCATGATTGTGGATTGGTCAAACATTTCTTAGATACAACACAAAAACATAATCTATAAAAGAATAAAAATAGCTTTATCAAAATTAAAACTTCTGCTCTTCAAAGAAACTGTTAAAAATAAAAAGACAAGCCACAAAGCTACAAAATCTGCAGATATTTTCATATGTCAAATATCAGAATTTTATCAAAATCTATAATAACCTCTCAAAAGTCAATAAAAAGAAAACAACTCCATTTTTATAACAATGAGAAGAGTTGCAAAGGAACTTTATAATATTAGACATATGGATGGCAAATAAGCATATGGAAGAATGTCAAACATTATTGGCCATTAGAAAAGTGTAGATTTCAGCCACAAACAAAAAATGAGATCTTACTAGGTATCTCTTAGAACAGCTAAAATTACAAAGACTGACTGTACCCCAGGTTGACATAGATAAGGAGGAAATGGAACTCATACACTGCTGGTGGGAATGCAAAATAGTGTAATCAATTTCGAAAACAGTTTGGAAGCTCCTTTAAAAGTTAAATATTCACCTGCCATATACATGATGTAGCCATTTCACTACTGGGTACCCAAGAGAGGGAATAAAAGCACATGTCAATATAAACAGTTATTAATACTCGTAGCAGATTTATTAGTAATGGACAAAAACTGGAAACAACAAATGTCTATTTAGAGGTGAATATTTTGACAAATTGATATAGCCATACAATGGAATACTATTTGGTATTAAAAAGTAATAAGCTATCGATAGAAGCAAAACATATACAATCTAGAATAATTATTCTAAATGAAAAATGTCTGATAAAATAGGAGTATACTTTGTAAGATTCCATTTATATAATACTATAAAATAGTGTAGTGAGAAAAAGGAAATCAGTGTTTGTCATTTGGAAGTGACAGGGAAGAGTGGGCGAGCAAATTATAAAAATGGATGAGGAAATTTTAGGATTGCTTGATATTTTCATCATCGTGATTGTGCTGATGGTTTCATGGGTGCATACCCACATAAAAACTTATCAAATTGTAAACCTGAAATGGGTACAGTTTTTCTATGTCAGTTAGACCTAACCAAAGTGCTAAAAATATTATATATGTACACCACATGTGTGTTTACTTAGGTGAACTTTGTACCTGTATTTAATCTATATTATGCAGCACTTAATAATTAAAAATTAATTTTATTAATGAGAAACTCTTAAGATATAATTTTAACGTAGTTAGCAAGTTGAAAATATACAGAATCACTGGGTAGAACAAAATGTGAAGAAAACACAAAGAAAATATGAGGAAAAGCAATCAGCAGTAGCATAAAAAAATTTTAATATCAGTAAGATATCAGGAGAGGGTTGCAGTAAGATGGCTGAATAGAAGTCTCCACTGATAGTCCTCCCCACAGGAACACCAAATTTGACAACTACCCACACACAAAAAAACACCTGCATAAGAACCAAAAAGCAAGTGAGAAATCACAGTACCTGATTTTAACTTAGTACTGTTGAAAGAGGCACTGAAGAGGGTAGAAAAGACAGTTTTGAATTGCTAATGCCTCCACTCATCAACTCCCTGGCAGTGGCTACGTGGTTCAGAGAGAATCTGTGCGTTTGGGAGAAGGAGAGAAAAGCGATTGTGAGAATTCAGTGCTGCCAACACTGGGCAGAACTCAGATGGCACCCATGGAAAGAGCATTTAGATTAGCCCAGCCAAAGAAGAAATGCTCATTGCAGTGGTCAGAACTGGGAAGCACTGGCACTGCAGGCTACAGTGCTCTGGGGTCCTAAATATACTTGATGTGCTGTCTAGGCCACAAGGACTGAAACTCCTGGGCAAGTCCTAGTGTTGTAATGGACTCACAGCCAGAGGACTTGGGGGGTATGCAACCTCCCAAGTAAGATACAAGCCAGGCAAGTAAGACACAAGCCAGGGTGGCTAAGGGGTTTTCTTGCATCACCCTTCCCCCAACCACAGGCAATGTAACTCGTAGCTCTGAAAGAGATCTCTTCCTTCTACTAGAGGAGAGGAGAGGGAAGAGAAAAGTCGACTTTGTCTTGCAATTTGGATACCAGCTCAGCCTCAGTAGGATAGGGCATTGGGCAGAGTTGTGTAGGCCCTATTCCAGGTGGACCCAGTCCTGGCATTATTCATCACCTGCTGATTTAAGAGCCCATGGCCCTGAATAATCAGCAGAAGTAACCAGGTAGTACATGCTATGGGCCTTGAGTGAGATTCTGAGACATGCTGGCTTCAGGTATGACTCAGCACATACACAGCTATAGTGGCTACAGAGAGAAACCCTTTCTGCTTGAGAAAAGGTGAGGGAAGAATAAAGGGGACTTTGTCCTGAAGCTTAGGAAAAAGCTCAGCCACAGTGGAAAAGAGCAAAAGGGGCTCTAGGGTTCCCCAATTCCAGTCCTTGGCTCTGGGATGACATTTCCGGACATTCCCTGGGCCAGAGGGGAGCCCACTGCTCTGAAGGGTGAATCCCAGGCATAGCAGTATTCACCATAAGCTGACTGAAGAGCCCTTGGGTCTTAAGTGAGCATCAGCAGTACTCAGCCAATACTACTTGTGGGCCTGTATTGGTGGCAGACATGGGAAGAGACACTTCTGCCTGGGTAAACAGGAGGAAAGAATAGGAAAAACTCTGTCTTGTGGTTTCAGGGTCAGCTTAAACGCAGTAGAATAGAGCAACAAGTAGAATTCTGGGGTTTCTGACTCTGGGCCCTGGCTCCCAGACGGCATCTCTGGACCAAGCTGGGACATGGTAGAACTCATCACCCTGAAAGGAAGGAACAAGACTGGCTGGCCTCACAATGTGCTGATTGTGGAGCCCCAAGGCTTTGAACCAACATAGGTGGTAGCCCAGTAGTGGTTACAGTGAGCCTTGGGCAAGACCCAGTGCTGTGCTGGCTTCAGGTATGACCCAGTGAAGTCCCAGTGGTGCTGGCTACCCCTAACTCAGCTCCAGTCAGCTCAGCAGACCCTGTTTTGTGGGGAGAAAGTAAGGGAAGAGAACTAAGTGGTTCCTTTGTGAGTCTACAAGAACTACAGCATTACTGGACTTGGGGTGATCCCTAATGCAGATATGGCTACATTGACAAAAAACTTAGATTATAATACCCAAGGCCTTGTGAATACTTCAAAAGCCTTCCCAAAAAGGATGGGTAGTAACAAGCCCAGACTGTGAAGACTACAGTAAGTACCTAACTCTTCTATGACTAGACACTGATGAACACACACAGCATAAAATGGTCCAGGAAAACATAACTTCACCAAAAGAACTGAATAAGGCACCAGGGAAAAATCCCAGAGAGACAGAGATATGTGAACTTTCTGACAGAAAATTCAAAATACCTGTTTTGAGGAAATTCAAAGAAATTCAGGATAACACAGAGAAAGTATTCAGAATCATATAAAGTAAACAAATAAATTGAAATAATTTTAAAAAATCAAGCAGAAATTCTGGAGTTGAAAAATGCAATTAACATACTGAAGAATGCATCAGAGTCTCTTAATAGCAGAATTGGTCAAGCAGAAGAAAGAATTAGCTTGAAGACAGGCTGTTTGAAAATACACACTCAGAGGAGACTAAAGAAAAAAAATTAAAAAGAAAAAAGTATACAAGATCTAGAAAATAGTCTCAAAAGGGCAAATCTAAGAGTCATTGGACATAAAGATGAAGTAGAGAGATTAATAGGGGTAGAATGTTTATTCAAAGAGATAATAACAGAGAAATTCCCAAATCTATTCAGGAGAAAGTATCATAACATATTTAAAGTGCTGAAGAAAACAACAAGACACTTTTATCTTAGAATAGTATATCCTGCAAAAATATCCTTTAAACATGAAGGAAAAATAAATGTTTTCCAGACAGCAAAAGCTGAAAACACCAGCAACACCAGACCTGTCCTACAAGAAATGCTAAAGGGAGTACTTCAGTCTGAAAGAAAAGGATATTAATAAGCAATATGAAATCACCTAAAGGTACAGAACTCACTGGTATAGGCCGGGCGCTGTGGCTCACGCCTATAATCCCAGTGCTTTCAGAGGCCAAGGTGGGTGGATCACCTGAGGTCAGGAGTTCGAGACCAGCCTCAACATGGAGAAAACACACATCTACTAAAAATACTAAAAATACAAAATTAGCCAGGCATGGTGGTGCATGCCTGTAATCCCAGCTACTCGGGAGGCTGAAGCAGGAAAATTGCTTGAACCTGGGAGGCGGAGGTTGTGGTGAGCCGAGATCACGCTATTGCACTCCAGCCTGGGCAGCAAGAGCGAAATTCCATCTCAAAAAAACCCAAAAAAACAAAAACAAAAACAAGAACAAAAACAAAAAACAAAACAAAACAAACAAAAAAAACCAACTCACTGGTATAGCAGTAAGTACAGGGAAAACACAGGATATTATAACACTGCTATTGTGGTGTGTAAACTACTAATATTTTAAGTTAAAAGATAAAGACATGAACCTATAAAATAATAACTAGAACAGTTTTTGTAGAAGACATAGACAGTACAATAAGATATGAATACAAACAATAAGACGTTAAAAAATGGGGAGACAAAGTATAGACATTTATTAGTTTTATTTTTGCTTGTTTCTTTATGTAATCAGTGTTAAGTTGTCATCAGTTTAAAATAATGGGTTATAAGGTATTATTTGTAAACCTCATGGTAATCTCAAATCTAAAAATGTACAATGTATACCTAAAATTAAAAAGCAATAAATTAAAACACACTACCAGAGAAAATCACATACACTAAAAGGAAGACAGGAAGGGAGGGAAAAGGTACAGATAATAGAAAGAACAAATAAGAGCTAGTACTGGATAGCACAACAGGGTGAGTATAATCAATAATAATTGTACATTTTAAAATAACTAGAAGAGTATAATTGGATAATTTGTAACAAAAAGGATAAATGCTTGAGATGATGAATACTCCATTTATCCTGGTGTGATTATCACACATTGTATGTCTGAATCAAAATATTCCATATACCCCGTAAGTATATATCCCTACTATGTATCCACAAAAACTAAATGTTTTAAAAAAATCAATAAGATGGATTATTTTATAGCCAGGAAAAATAATTTCTAATCTAATTTCAATTGTACTATTAGCAAAGACTCAAAATAATGCTAATATCCAAAGTTGATAATGTGTTCAAACAGGCTGGGTAGGAATATCAGTAAGTATAAATCCTGAGAAAAACAGTTTTGCTATGTATAATTATACCCTTAAACTTGTGCATATCAAGAAATAATTTCACTTCCAGAAATTGTACCTGAGAATAGTCAATAAATGTGCAAAGATGAAATATATGTATTTCATCTTTGATCATTATTTGATCATGGCAGTTCTTCTTAAAGTGGTAATCAGCCCAATTATCCTTCTGTGTTCACCAGTGAGACACTGCCTAGGATAATGACAAATGTAGGTCTATTGTCTAAAATATACATTCATAATACCCTGTTAAGTGAAAAATGTTAAAACTCTTTAGAGTATAATCTCATTTTTAATTTTAAAATGTGGTGTCAATGTATACACACTGGAAGAATATTGAGAGGAGTTTGTATACATACATACAGAGAGAAAATGTCTTAGTTATATATATAAACTGTTAACTTGAATTATCTCTAGTTAGTGGAAAAAGTGATTATTGTTTTCCTTCTTATAATGTAATAGTATCTTATTGTTTTATAATGAAACTGTAGCATATTTTATAATCAGAAAAAAAATTAACCTACTTTTCTTTTTTTTTTCTTTTTCTTTGAGACAGAGTCTCGCTCTGTCTCCAGGCTAGAGTGCAGTAGAGTGCAGGGTGTAATCTCGTCTTACTGCAACCTCTGCCTCCTGGGTTCAAGTAATTCTCCTGTCTCAGCCTCCCGAGTAGCTGGGACTACAGGCACACATACCACCACACCCAAGTGGTCAGGCTGATCTCGAACTCCTGACCTCAGGTGATCCACCTGCCTCAGCATCGCAAAGTGCTGGGATTACAGGCATGAGCCCAACAGCCAACCTACTTCCATTTTAAAGGAAATAATAAAAACAATAAACTCCCATTTCCATTTTGAAAAAAAAATAAAAGCAAAGACAAAGTAGCCTCAATTTTATGGATATTATTTTTTTTTCTCACCAGAAGCTCTTTATCTAAACATCCTGCACTCATTCAATAATATACAAATTTAAAATCATTCAAGCCTTAGCCAGTCTACTTAACTTATAGTCAGTGCACACAAAGAAAGTGCTATGGTTTAAATAAATCCACCTAAAGTTCATGTGTTGGAAACTAATCCTCAATGCAACAGAGGTGGGATCTTCAAGAGTTGACTAGGTCATGAGAGTTCTGCCCTCCTGAATGAAAATTTGCCATAATCACAGGAATGGTTGGTTATTCAGAAATTGGGCTCCTCATAAAACGATGAGTTTGGTCTAACTTTTTTTTCTCCCTTTGACCTACAAGCTTGCTTGCTCTTTTACTATGTTAAGACACAGCAAGAAAACCCTCACTGGATATGTCCCGTCAATCTTGGATCTTGGACTTCTCAGCCTCCAGAACTGTGAGCCAAATAAATGTCCTTTTTTTGTAAATTACCCTGTATGTAGTATTCTGTTATAGCAGCAAAACATGGAATAAAATAGGGAATGTAGAATGAATGCAAAAAAAAAAAAAAAAAAAAAAAAGGAAAGATAGCAAACATTTCCATTTACAAGGAATAGTAAAGCTAATTGCACCCAATTTCCATCTCAGGGTCTCAAATTGTTAATGTCATGATGCATATTCATTGTGTTTACACTTTTGGCCTTGCCCCTCACTTAGGTAAACTCTCCAAAATGGTGCTGTATTATTGTTAAGTAGTGCTTCAGCTCCAATTCCAGTCTTCATTAGATAGTGGCTCTTTCATTCCTGTGCTGACAGCATACTTTTATTATATATCTCTGAAAATGTGAGCTGCATCTACAGAACCTAGCAAAGTTCCATGCACATAAGAAGTGCTCAAGTAACATAAGTGAAATAACTTAATATGTTGAATATTTTATTGACTATATCTAAATGCCCCCTAAATTTAATTGAAATACTTGATACAAGTAAACTACCTTGAATAATTGAATTTATTATTTAATTATGGTTAATTTAGTCTGGCTTCCTTCCTGCTGACCTATCCTTTAGATCCACAAGTATTTCTTGGGTGTCTCCTCTGAAGAATTTGCAGTGCCAGGTGGTGGAAAATTAACAGTGGTTGAGATGAACAGAGACCACGTAACCATAAGCCGTATTTTCTACCGTTTAACATACACACAAACCAATATTTGGCCAAAGTTAACACAAGGTTGATATATAGAATTCCAGGAGCAGGGTTCTGAATCACAATCTTAGGCAACTGAGGTTGCTAATCTTAGGTAAATCTACTTCTTAACAATAGATTTACCTAAACTGACACCTGAGAAATGAATAGGCATTAACTGAGTAAAGAAGGTGATTAGGTAAATGCTGTAAATTATTTTAAACATCAGTCTACTATATTTCTCTATTGTACTAAATAAACAAAAGTTAATATTTTTTGATGACTTAGGATCAGAGTAAAGAACTCAAAGGTGGACTTACATCATAGGAACCTATAAGTATTTTTATTTTAGTTAGTTATTTTGATTAAGTTATTTTGCTGCATTTAAAAGTATCTATCTGGAGGATGATAAAAGTAACATATCAATATTTCTTGGGTAAATATATATTCCATGAAGTCAGGCTCTTGTTAATCAAATTTTTACCTTATCCATGAAAGAAACAAGGTCAAAATAAATTTGGTACAGGATTATCTGTTTAGCCAAGGCATTTAATATAACACCATAGTGAAGATATACTACCTACTGATGTCAGACCTTATCAACCCAACAATTTATAAAGAAAGATAATTAACATTTATAAATAAATTAAAGTGTCAAACTCTCAACATACATTTTTTTCAATTTTTCATTGCCACCCTAAGAAGCAGGTACCTTTACCTGCATTTTAGAGCTAGAAAACCATAGCTTGAGAGTTTTGTTTAAAATCTAGATCTTTCTAATGAAAGTGTTACAATATCATACAGCCTTTAATGATTATGCATATAATATTAGCACAGAATATTGTGAAAATATTGTACAAAGTAGTACAAGCCATGATCCCTACACAATAGAACTGTGCAATACAAGTGGGAAGATAAAACCCATCAAAAGACAGTTCGGAACATACCATATCATAGAACACACACACACACACACACACACACACACACACACACACACACACACACACGTCACAGCCTCAGAGTAAAGAATATATGGCTGTTCAGAATTATCCTGAAAAAATATTATAAATAGAAATGATGTCAAAGGTTGACACTTTTTAAAAAGGCAAAACAAGGAGGACATTTGAGATAGAAGAAATAAAGACAGCCAAAGTTTGGAATGGAGAATCAAATTGTGTTCTGGAGAATAGCCCCAGTTCTGTGTTGGTGTCAGAAATGATCCCAGTAGTTGAGATGTAGGAGGTAAGATTAAAGAGGTTTAATAATAAAGGAGTTTCAAACATTTGCAAAAACACAGCAGGCTCTGTAGAATTGTGAACTAAATATAAATAACACCTACATTTCTTTCTTTTCATACGTTTTACAGATATTCAATAACATACTCAGGTAAATGTAGTTGTTAGAGGTAAAAGTCTTTAATATAATTCTGGTCTATAAGCAATAAATAAAAGTTGCAGACTTTTCTCAGGCAGGTTTGCAATCATGGCATTCTAGCACTCTGCAAAAAGTACTCTCACAAATGGAATTAATATCTTTGTTCCTACCCAATACCAAGGCCTTTTATTCCTCCCCATTCTCCTTGACTATGTGGCACTGGGTGCTGATTGTCACTGCCTCCTTCTTAGCACACGAATTCTTCAGCTTCCAAGACATCTCACC
The DNA here is from genome assembly GCF_000001405.40 of Homo sapiens. NCBI lineage: Eukaryota > Metazoa > Chordata > Mammalia > Primates > Hominidae > Homo > Homo sapiens. The sequence goes on along the minus strand of NC_000011.10, from coordinate 21,440,678 downwards.
AGTGAATTAATAAATGTTTTCATACCCATTTTTTCCAGACACTAACAACGCTCCTTCAGTAGGTAGTACATCTTCACTATGATGTTATATTAATGCCTTGGCTAAACTGATTGATAAGCCTGCACTAAATTTATTTTGACATTGTTTCTTTCTTGGATATAGTGAAAATTTAATTGACAAGAGCCTGACTTCACGGAATATAAATTTACCCAGAAAATATTGCTGTGTTACTTTTATCATCACCTAAATAAATACTTTTAAATGCAGATAAATACTTTAATTAACTAACTAAAATAAAAATACCTTTAGGTTGCTATGATGTAAGTCCACCTTTGAGTTATTTGCTCTGACCCTAAGTCATCAAAAAAAAAAAACTTACTTTTGTTTACTTACTACAATAAAGACAGAAAGTAGGCTGATGTTTAAAATAACTTAGAGCATTGACCCAATCACCTTCTTTACTCAGTTAGTGCCTATTCATTCCTCAGGTGTTAGTTTAGGTAAATCTACTATAAGAAGCTTTTTTTCAGTTGCCTAAGATTGTGATTCAGAACCCTGATCCTGGAATTCTATGAATTAACTTTGTATTAACCTTGGCCAAATATTGGTTTTTCTGTATGTAATAGTAGATAATATGGTTTATGGTATTCTCCTTTATTTTAGTCATGCCTTTCCTTGGTAGAATAAAAGCTCCCAAAAGGCAGGTAATATTTCTCATTATTTTCTTTATCTGCAAGAATGTCTGGCTTTGTGATCTAAATATTTTATTAGTTGGTAGATAGTGAGGCAGCTAAGCAATGTAATATAGTAAGAGTTTGGAAAAAAATGGTGCTAGAAATGGCCATCAATGAGTGTTCTCAGGTAAATTCCAGAAGGAAGATAAGATCTAGTAAAATTTGTACTTCCTTAAAGAATTAAATAGATGAAAACTCTATGCGGATCACACTCAACATCTAAAACCCTAAACTTGAAACATGGCGTGAAGCTGGGATGCTCATTGACTTGGCTGTATTACTTACTAATACAGGAAGGCACTGTATTAGTAAGAAATGATCCCAAAAGCAGAAGCCTAGGCTCTGAAGTCATGAATTAATTTTGTATGCTTTAATCCATTTAATGCTGATCAAGTCATCACAGTGACAGCTTGACCTATTATCCTTGACCCTCTAAGCCAGTTCACCTGCCTTTGCTCTTGCCATATGACTCCCATCTGTAGACACTGTTCCAGTCAGTGATCCGAGATTAATCTGCTTCTGCATAATCAGAAGACATTAAATATTTTATAATGCCCAGAACCAACTCACCCAGTTCTTGGCCCTGCATTTTCCTTGTTCTCTGGGTACAGTCTAGATTAAAATCTGTCTTGTCCTTCTCTGTGCTTTATAACATCCAAGATTTGGATTCTATCTGTATAACTGAAGACTGGAAGTTTGGTTAGCATCTTACTACCTGTGTAAATATTCACTGACTTTCTGTTTCTGTGTCCTAGTATTTCTCTGACTCTTAGGTCTAGTTATTTTTAGTTGACTTGTCTATAGCCTAGTATTCTGCTTGTGGATTGTTCCTGTTTTCTCAAACACCCACCTTCACCTTTTATGTCACACCTCTATTACCTGCAGTTTGGTCTGTGTCCTACCTCAACTCTAAGCTTTACCTGATGGGATTACCTCTAAGTTTTAATTTCACCCATTGTGGCTTGCCTCTCATGAGTCAACCTCACATGCCTATGGTATATTAGGACAAAAAAATGCATTTTTGACTTCCTTTGAATCCAGTCATTATCACTGATGTTACCAACAAAAATTTGAGTGGAACAAGTAAAAGGAAGCATCAACCAGTCATAACTTCCTCACACAAAATTATTGAGGCATAGAAAAAAACAGAAATCCCAGAACTGTAAAATTCAATGTCTGAAAATAAAAATACAATTGACAGCCTTACCAGTAGTCTAAAACAAGCAGAAGAAAGAAATTCTGAACTTGAGCCAGGGATTTTAAAATAACCCAGACAAAAAATAACTATATAAAGAAATGAAGAAAGCCTGCATGACATATGCAATATGATCAAGTGAAGAAATATTCAAATTTTGAGAGTCCTTGATGGAGAAGAAATGTGAACAGGCATAAAAAACCTATTTAATGAAATAACAGTTGAAAATTTCCCAATTCCTATAAGAGATATAGACATTCAGATACAGAAAGCTCAACAATCCCCAAGTAGTTTCAAAACAAAAAGTTCTCTCTGAGTCACAGTTCGGTCAAACTGTAACATTCAAAGAGAAAAAAGTAGCAACGAAGGCCATCAAGTCACATAGAAAACAATACCTATCAGACTAACAATGTATTTTTCAGCAGAAACCAGGAGAGGATGGTATAATATATTCAAAGTGCTGAAACAAAGAAACAAACAAACAAAAAAACTGTCATGTAAGAATACTGCACCAGTAAAGCTATCCTTCAGAAATGAAAAATAAACTCTATTCCAGATGAGCAAAACTGAGGGAAATTATTATCAATAGAGTGGCACTACAGAAAAATGCCAAAGGAAAATCTGCATCTGGAATTGAAAGGATGATATTTTCCGTCATAAATCACACAGAAAGTATAAAACTCACTGTTAGATACACAAATAGGAAAGAGAAAGGAATCGAACTTTATAAATTTTGCTCACTACCCAAATCAGAAAAATAAACATTAAGAGATAAAGCAACAAAACATACACAAAACACTTCAGAAACCAACTAGTGAAAGGACAGAAGTAACTTTTCACCTATCACTAACAACCTTGAATGCAAATAATTTAAGTTTTCCAACTAAAAGATATAGACTAGCTAAACTGATTTTAAAAAAAGACCCAAATATGCTGCCTACAAGAAACTCACTTCACTTGTAAGTATAGACTGAAAAGGAAGAAACAGAAAGAGATATACCATACAAATGGAAAACAAAATCATGCATAAAAAACAATTTTATCAGACAAAATAAACTGGATGTCAATAAACATGAAAAGAGATGAAGCTCAGCCAGGCACAGTGGCCCATGCCTGTAATCCCAGCATTTTGGGAGGCCAAGGTGAGGGGATCAATTGAGGTCGGGAGTTCGAGACCAGAGTGACCAACATGGAGAAACCCCATCTCTACTAAAAATACAAAATTAGCCAGGTGTGGTGGTGCAGGCCTGTAATTCCAGCTACTCAAGAGGCTGAGGCAGGAGAATCACTTGAACCCAGGAGGCGGAGGTTGCGGTGAGCCGAGATCGCACCATTGCACTCCAGCCTGGGTAACAAGAGTGAAACTTCATCTCAAAAAAAAGTCATTATACAATGAAAATGTGATCAATTCAGCAAGAGAATATAACAACTGTAAATATATATGAACTGAAGAATGGAGTATGCAGATAAATATTTAAAGCAAATATCATTAGAACTAAAGAGAAAGATAGAGCCCAATACAATAGTTAGAAACTTCAACATTCCACTTTGATCATTGGGCAGACCATCTAGATGAAAAATCATCCAAGAAATATTGAATTAAAACTTCACTATAGATCAAAAGGCCTTAACAGATATTTGCAGAACATTTTACCCAAAAGCTACAGAATACACATTCTTTCCATCAGCACATGGAATATTATGCATGATAGACCATATATTAGGTCATAAAACAAGACTTAAAATTTTTAAAAAATTTAAATCATATCAAGTACCTTCTCAGATCATCATGGAATAAAACTAGAAATCAATGAAAGAGTAACTCTGAAAACTGTGCAAATAAAGGGAAATTAAATAATATGCTTCCAAACAACTAGTGGCTCAGTGAAAAAATTAAGAAGCAAAAAAAATTCTTGAAATCAATAAAAATGGAAACATAACATACCAAAACCAATGGGACACAGAAAAAGCAGCACTAATAGCAATAACTGTCTATTTTATAAAAGTTGAAAGATTTCAAATAACCTAGCAATGCACCTCAAGGAACCAGAAAAGCAAGAACAAATCTGACCCAAAATAGGTAGAGGAAAAATAATGAATATCAGAGCAGAAATAAACTAAATAGATACTTAAAATATATTTAAAAATAAACAAAATGAAAATTTGTGTTTTTGAAAAGATAAATTTGACAAATCATTAGTTAAGCTAAGAAAAAAAGAGAGAAGACCCAAATAAATAAAATCAGAAATGAAATAAGAGACATTACAAATGATACTATAGAAAAACAAATGATCATTAGAGACTATTAGGAACACCTATATGCCAACAAATTAGAAAACCTATGGGGAATATATATATTCCTGGATGTGTAACTGAACAAGATTAAATAAGGAAGAAGGCTGAGCACAGTGGTTCATGCCTGTAATCCCAGCACTTCAGGAGGCTGAGGCGGGCTGACCACGAGGTCAAGATTTTGAGACCATCCTGACCAACATGGTGAAACCCCATCTCTACCAAAAATACAAAAATTAGCTGGACGTGGTGGCGCACACCTGTAGTCCCACCTACTTGGGATGCTGAGGCAGGAGAATCACTTGAACCCGAGGCAGAGGTTGCAGTGAGCCAGGATCATGCCACTGTACTCTAGCCTGGCAACAGAGTGAGACTCCGTGTCTAAATAAATAAATACATAAGAAAGAAAGAAAGAAAAAATCTGAACTTACCAATAACACATAATGAGATTGAATCAGTAATAAAAGTCTCCTAAAAAAAGAAATGCCTGGCACTGATTGCTTTACTATGAATTCTATTAAAATTTAAAAAATGAATTAACACAATTTTTCTTATACTATTCTAAAGATTGAAGAGAAGGGAATTTTTCTTAACTCATTCTATGAAGCCAGCATTACCATTATACCAACATCAGACATGGACACACATACACACACACACAAACACACACACACACAAAGTACAGACCAATATTTCTGATGAAAACACATGCAAAACATGCAACAAATTACTAGCAAACCAAACCCAGCAATACACCAACATATAATACACCATGATCAAATGGGATTTATCCCAAGAATACAAGAAGGGTTCAACTTATGCAAATCAATAATGTGATCAACAGAATGAAGAACATCACATCAACAGAATGAAGAACAAAAATCATATAATCATCTCAATTCATACAGAAAAAGCATACAATAAAAGCTAACATCTCTTCATGGTAAAAAAAAACAAAAAACAAAAAACAAAAAACGATAAAAGCTAACATCTCTTCATGGTAAAAAAAAAACAAAAAACAAAAAACAATAAAAGCTAACATCTCTTCATGGTAAAAAACAAACAAACAAACAAAAAACTCAACAAAGTGCTACTGAAGGAATGTGCACAAACACAATACAATCCATATATGACAAACCCACAACTAGTATCATCCTGAGTGTGGAAATGCTAAAAAAACCTTTCCTCTAATTGCTGGAAGAAGATAGAATGCCCACTTTCACCACTCTTATTTATCATAAGAATAAGATAGGACCAGAAGTCCTATCCAGAGAAAATAGCCTAGAGAAAAAAAATACAGTGCATGGAAACTGGAAAAGCAGAATTCCCTCTTTACTGATGACATAATCTTATACATAGAAAACCCCACAAACCCACAAAAAAACCCTCTTAGAAGTAATCAACAAATTCGGTAAAGTTACAGAGTAGAAAATCAACCCACAAATCTTAGTAGTATTTATATACACCAATAATTAACTAGGTAAAAGCATAATTTTAAAAAATTCCATACAAAAATATACAGCTACAAAAATTAAAATAACTAAGAATAAATGTAACCAAGGAAGTAAAAGACTTCTGCAATAAAAACTACAAAATGTTGATGAAATAAATTGAAGAGGACACAAAAAAATGGAATAGGACAGTTAATATTATTAAAATAACCATATTTCAGAAAGCAATCTACAAATTCAATGCAATACCCATCAAAATACCAATAACATTCTTTATGAAAGCAGAAAAAAAATCTTAAAATTCATATGGGACCAAAAAACATTTGGTTTCTTGACAATAGTCAAAGCAATGCTGAGCAAAAAGAACAAAGTTGGAGGCATCACACTACCTGACTTCAAAGTATATTACAAAGCTGTAGTAAACAAAACAGTGCAGTATTATTATAAAAATAGAAAAATAGATCAATGAAACAGAATAAAGAACCCAGAAATAAATCCATGTATTAACAATCATCTGATTTTAGACAAAGACACCAAGAATATATATTGGGTAAAGGGCACCCTGTTCAATAAATGCAGCTAGGAAAACTGAATATCCACATCAAGAACAATGAAACTAGAGCCCCATATCTCACCATATGCAAAAATCAACTAAAAATGAATTAAAGACTTAAATGTAAAACCTGAAACTATAAAACCTACTAGAAGAATTATAAGGAAATGCTTCAGAACATTGGTCTTGGTACAGATTTTATGGGTAAGATTTTAGAAGTACAGGCAACAAAAACAAAAATAGGCAAATGGGGCTATATCAATCAAAAAAATCTCCTGTATAGCAAAGGAACAATCACCAGAGTGAAGACACAACCTGTAGAATAAAAGAAAATATTTGAAAACTTAACCTGACAAGAGATTAATATCCAGAATATACAAGGACCACAAACGTCTCAACAGCAAAGACCATATAATCCCATTAAAAAATGGGCAAATGATTTGAGTAAACATGTTTCAAAATAAGACATACAAATGGCCTGCTGGGCGTGGTGGCTCACAACTGTAATCTCAGCACTTTGGGAGGCCGAGGCGGGCAGGTCACCTGAGGCCGGGAGTTCGAGACCAGCCTGATCAACATGGAGAAACCCCATCTCTACTAAAAGTTCAAAATTAGCTGGGCATGGTGGCCCATGCATGTAATCCCAACTACTACGGAGGCTGAGGCAGGAGAATCACTTGAACCTAGGAGGTGGAGGTTGTGGTGAGCCGAGATCAAGCCATTGCACTCCAGCCTGGGCAACAAGAGTGTAACTCTGTCTCAAAAACAACAACAAAAAATAAAAACAAATTCCATCAGACATATAAAAACATGCTCAACATCACTAATCATCACCAAAATAAAAACAAAAAACCATAATAAGGTCTCATCATACCCCAGTTAGAATGGCTGTTATCAAAAACACAAAAAATAACGTATACTGTTGACGGTGCAGAGAAAAGGGAACTCATACACACTGTTGGTGCAAATGTAAATTAATACAGCCATTATTGAAAACAGCATGTAGATTTCTCAAAAAACTAAAAATAAAACTACCTATGACCCAGCATTCCCAATACTGGGTATTTATCCAAAGGAAATAAAATCATTATAACAAAGAGATACCAACAACCCCATGTTTATTGCAGCACTATTTACAATAGCCACCATTACGTAATAACCCCACATGCCCATCAGCAGATGAATGGATACAGAAAATGTGGCATATATACACAATGGAATACTATTTAGCCATAACAATGAAATCCTGTCATTTGTGGCAATATGGATGAGCCTAGAGAATATTAATATGAAGTGAAATAAGTCAGGCATGGAAAGATAAGTCAGGTATGGAAAGATTAGCATCACATGTTCTCACTCATATATGGGAGCTAAAAGAATGAGTTCATAGAAGCAGAGAGTAAAATTATGGTCATTATAGGCTGGGAAAGGGAAGAGGGAGGGAAGGATAGGCAGAGGTTGGTTAATGAATGCAAAGTTACAGCTAGATGGGAGAAATAACTTCTAGTGTGTTGTACCACTGTAGGCTGAATACAGTTAGCAATCATTTAGTGTATATTTTCAAAAAGCCAGAAGACAGAATTTTGAATGTTCACAACACAAATGATTAATGTTTGAAATCATGGATATGCTAATTACCCTGATTTGATCATTACACATTGTATACATGTATCAAAATATCTCTCTATATACCATAAATAAGTATAATTATTATGTGTGAACTAAACAAATATTAAGATACTTCATAAATTTATCCCTTCCTCATAAAATTACCAAATTCAGAATAGATCTCTATTTCCTTCCAATCTCCCCAGGTCACTTAACACAAGATCCAATCCCGTGACAATCCATACCCCAAAACTTTCTTATCAAAGTACCTACTATTATCAAAAATGTACAATATCCCTTTTTGCAGGAAGTAATAAACTCAACTTTATTTGACTGTAAGTGTATCCTGGGGTCCTTTAGCTAGTGAGCATTAACATTTGTTAGGATTTCAGTCAAATTTTGTGAGGTTTAGGGTGGAGAATCAATAAATTAATGGCTTGAAGACCCAATAATGACAAGCATTTTCACTACAGGTTTCACAAAGAAAAGCTAGTATAATAAGAACTAATATTATCTTAGTATGTGATATTCATTTTGCTTTTTATTTTCATAGCTATCTTTAGGGACATCATAAAAACCTTGTCTTCACTGTCATTAAAACAAACCAAACAGCTGAAAAGTCAAAAAATCAATCAGTAAATATGTATAGTATGTGCTATTATATTCTCTAGGATACACAGAAAAAAAAAGGAATCCTGGATGGTCCTTACTCTAAAGAAATTTATGGTCCACTTGAGCCAGAACTAAAATGACTTTCATTTTAATCTTGAGAGTTTGCTATATGCTATACACTGTTATAATTGCCTCATATAAGATCTTATTCATTCATACATTTCTACACAGAAGAAGCAAGATTATCCCAATTTTCTAGCTGAGTACATTGAGTTGCAGAGCAGTAAGGAAAATAGCCCTGAATCACACATCCAGCTAGTAAAGATGAGTTCAACATAAAAACTCAAGTAGTTTGAATTCAGAGCGCACATACATGCTTAACTTTACTCCTGTTGAGAAACAGCTAACAGCACAAGGCACAACAGAGTTGAGCATAAAAAAAAGCGTAGAAGCAGGTTAAGCAAAATGGTAAAGGCAGAAAGGAGAAAGAGCAAAACAGTCGTGGCCACTCAAGGAATGGGATGAACCACTGGGGCCAACACAAACGGAGACTACTTCCAACTCTGTGAAAACTGCAGCAGATCTGAATGGTAGTGTATGGATACATTAATTTTGTGAAAACTAGACCCCTTACTTTCCAACCTTATCATGGCAAATCTACATACAATGTCAAAATTTTAACTCCTATCTTAGAAACCTAACAATTAGAGCTGACTTTTGAGTGTCTTCTATTCATATAGTCAATAAACATTTATTGAGCTCCTACAAAGTGCTAGACATTATTCAAGGTACTTGGGAAATATTAGTGAACAAAACAAATTAACAGATCTACCTTAGTGAAATTTACAAGCTGACAGCAAGAGAGAATCAGTATACAATAATGACAATAAATAGATGATATAGAACTTTGGAAAGGAAAAGGATTTTTGTAAAAAGGAAAATAAAGGAAAGGTCTTGCAGATCGTGGGTGTCTGGGATGAGGTAGAGGGACAGTTATTAAATATATCATCAGTGCAGACCTCTTTGAGAAGGTGAAATGGGACCATAAATGAAGTGAGAGAAGGGAGGAAGTGAGTAAATCAGCCAAGTAGATGTCAGCAGAAATAAAGCAGGTATCTCAAACATCCTTCTGAATCAATATCATCATAAATTATGATATGATTAGCTCCATAATGTCAAAAAATTAGGTTAGACGTGTTTTGAATTGGGAAGTCACCCAAAGATTTTTTTTCTTTGTACAGTTTTCCCCTAATCATTTGCTTGTTTTAAAATTTATTGAATATCTACTATATTCTAGACCATAATTATAAAGAATACAGAAATGAAAAGAATTTGAGAGCTATACTAAAGTTGCTTGGTCTGGTAGGGGAGGGCTGGTCATAAAAACATAGTGACAGTTAGTAAAACACAAATACGAACACATTGCTGCAGTTGGGACAAACATACTCCTGGAGTTAGGCAACATTCCTGTTGCATTATGCTACAGATCAAGGTGTTTTCTATCTTACCATTTCTGGCTGTCTAAAGTGCTTGAAGCCTGAGTGGTGAATCCATCTCACCCTGCGAATCATTTCCTATGATCTAAGAGGCCCTGCACTACATCTCAGAAGGCCAAGATTCTATTTGAGGGGATTAAATGCGTATCTGAGGTGGTACAAGAGCACTTCATCAAACAAACAAACAATAGTTCCCTAAAGCCAGTTTGCTTAGTGCTGAATTATAAAAATTAAACTAAACTAACAAATTAAAGATTTGGTATAGAGATTTTTAGATAAAATGGCTAAAGTGTCTCAGCTTTCCAATTTACATAAACTAGAAAAAAGATGCTTATAAGATTTCAAAGGATCCTTGTTATTCAGAAGATGCTACAAATTGTACATATATTATACAATCATATAGAAAGAGTCTTTAGCCAAAATAAATAAAACTTAAAACATATTCAAAATGTCAAAATATAAAATAACCAAAGGGGTGCAAACAAAATATCAAAAGGTAGATTTTAAGTAAGCTTTTAATTAGAAAGGTAAATTGAGTGTTGTCAGATTAACAGACAGAGTAGCTAGACAGGTGTTACATTTATTTGCAATACCAATAGCTTAATATCTTTGGCCTTCCATGTACTTGCTTATGGATTCACATTATTTGCTGCTAAACACAAAGGAAGACTAATATCTGTGGAAATGAATGAAAGAGGTGAACATATAACAAGTATCTGAGATGTTTCAAGTTCCGTATAGAAATTGTCTTTGTTATTTAATCTTCACCACAACCCTCTAAGATATTTAGAGGCTATTCTTATACCATTTTACATAGAGACACCAAAGGATTAAAGTAGATAAGTGCTAGGGTCCTTTCCTGCCTTTAAAGAGCTGATGTCCCTCTGAGGTTTTAGTGTTCCTGGCAAAAAAATGCTCTCTGAACTCTTGTGAACCCACATCTCAAAGAGACTAAGGTTGTCAATTTATGTTATAGACAAGGGACTTTCCTGCTCACTGCCTCTTTTAACCTGTAAATATGTAAAGGCTTTGTCATCAATCCAGCCAGGCAAGGGAGAATGCACCATAATATATTTTTCTCCTCAAAAGTGATTTCCAAATCATCTGGCATTTGAATTTCAAAGCTGATGCAGCTCAGAATGTGTGGGTTTGGAACAGCAAACTTGCTTGAAATACCAAGTCATATTTTTGTCATGCACTGCATTGAAGGTGGGGTGTTTACAGCCAAGACAGGATTGAAGCCCCTTTGCCCAACATAGCTTCTGTCTATAATAGAATATCTTCCAAATTCATACACAGATTTTAATAAAGTCAAACTTTGCCCCCAATGAGTTTAAAAGCTAAAATAGGAAATTCAGGTTCAAGCCCTTGATTGATTGAAAATCAGTTAAAACATTTGAATCATATTTCATTCCTCCCAACTTGTCAATGTTACTTTAATATTTAAGCCCATGAGTTTTACATAATTGTCTTAGAGATGTTTTAAAACACTTTTGACTTTTCAGTTTAATTTCAAGTGTTTTAAAATTACTATTTCAGTGAACAAAGCAATCAAACTATTAAACCATTTTTTACATGAATAAATTAAAAACATTTCCTGTGAATGTAAATGTAGAATTCACATTAGTGCCTTAAAAATGCTATGTCATTAGGAATTTTAGGATCAGAGAATCAAAATGAAAAGGTCTATTATTTAAAGCCTCAAGTGTTGGCTATGAATCATACACTGCAATATGGAGGCTCAAAAGGAAAGTGGCTATCAGGCCATTACTACCCACATACAAAATGCCATTAGCAATGCTAAATGGATCCTGCACACCTCGATGTGATAATTCTTAGATTATCCATAGATTATTACAACCAAGAAAGTCACTTGATGTTGCTGCCTTTCACACTTTCCAGAACTCCTAGGTCACCTAACAATACATGTGCTTTAATAGCTTTAGGGCTATATTTTATCATTTGAGAATTAGACACATTTAATTCTCTTTCTTCCTTCTTTGGCTCTTTTCTGATGATAATCACCAAGCCTCTCCTAAACAGCAGCAAGTCACCTGTGAAAGGTGGTCATTATAGTTCCTGTAGAAAAGCAAACAAACAAATTCTAAGTCATAAGCTATAAAAATGAAAACCTTGTTGAGGTTTTTCTTTTGAGTAAAGCAAGACAATAATTTCAAATTAATCTGAAACATTTTATAAAAAATAAATTGAGAGTTGCAGGGAAGTGGAAGAAATGAATATCCCCGGAATGTGTATCAGTCAATAACCAAATCCAAACCTTTTACTCAAATAAAAGTAACAATAATAACTTTATCGACACTATCTCAAATAAATTTATGATTTCAGAGTTATGAAGGCTACCAGAAAACCCTTTTGTTTTACTCCTTTTCCAGAAAATTATTTGTACTAATGCTGATTAATTTTACTTTTCATAGATGACCACACTCTGCTTATTCTGCTTAAGAACTCTAAGAAAATGGAGGCCATCAGATGTTAGCCTTGGTGTGTTCTCTCTCCACCTCAGAATATAATTAATAGCTCTCTATTAACCCTCCCTTCCTTCCCTCTTAAATAAGTTTCAACTAGAAAATCTGTCCACAGCCAGCTGATTGACATTCCCTACGTGTTCTCTGAAAAATCCATATTATTTTAACTTTGGGGCAGTTTCTTTTAGTGTGTCTTTGATCATAGGCACAAACACACTAGCCTTGTCTATTCAGCTTCAGGATCAGCTGCTTGAGAGCACAAACCAAGTTAGACTCATCAGTGAAACCTGCCATCCCTCACAGAGCACCTCACACAGAGTATTGTGCAAACTATGTATTCAGAACATTACTGGGAAGTTGCAGTGGCTTTTATTTTTCTGCAAGGCACTAGTTTTTGGGTGTGACTGAAAGTCTATTAGGTTAGGAGTGGCTGAGATCAGTAGTCAGAAACTGACCTATTTTACTTCTTGGGTTTCTTTTACCTATAAAATTATGCCATTCAACAGGAAAAGAAACCAACATTTTTGTGTGTATGTTTGTGTGTGTGGAGAATGGGGTCTCACTATGTTGCCCAAGGTGTCTCAAACTCCTGGGTTCAAGCTATCTTATCACCTCTCCCTCCCTAAGTGTTGGAGGATTACAGGTTTGAGCCACCATGTCCAGCCTTAACATTTTTTAGCACTTACTATACATATCAGAGAAAGCTGAATATCTTCATGTATGTTTAATTGTTATATTCCCTTAGAGTGAAATAGTTCTGAGGTTTTCATGATTGAAGTTTAGAGGGAGATAGCAATATCCCAAGTTTTCAAAGTTGAAGTTCGCTGTAAAAAATCTGGATTATTGTTCAGCAAATATACAACAAAGACTTTCCCCTTTCCCTGTTAGAAGTGCATCTGTCCTCATCTGTGCTACATTTTGTTACATCAACTTGATGGAGATTGAGAATTACATAGTCCAGAATCCCCTTTACTGTTAGGTTTTATGTTACAGTTGCCAAAACAAAAATGAAGTTTTGCAAGATTTGGAAGGTGGAGAAATGCAGAACCCTTATTCTTGGAAGGCTGTTGTGATGAGACATAGCGACATGAAAAAATGCAGAGATGCCTAACAGCTTGTCCTCACTCTCCCCTGTTTCATGCTGACTTTGTTTTCCACCTGCTGCCCCTACTGCCCAGCAGCATCTCCAGGCCCACGCACCACCAGCTGCCTGGCTGTGGACTGACTGAAGTGGTAATTACATGGGGGCAACAGCTTTCACAGGAATACCCTAGAGGCTTCGTCTTCATAGTTCCACTCCTGAAGCCTTCTGTGCTTGCAATTTCAGATTCTCCCATAAGCTCCATATTATTCACCCCATGCCAGTGCTCCAGATGGACTATGTCGTAATTCTCTTGGATCTTCTGACACCCCTCTTCCAGATCTTCATTGACCAAGCCCCTCCCATACGTGCACAAGATCAATTTCCTATAATAAAATCCTTATTACCATAATATTTACAATAGCTCATTTTTTTCTGACTGCACCCTGCCTGATACACACCCTATTGATGTTTGTCTTGACCATGTTGTACTTGTGACTGAGATAACCAATTCAGTGATTCAGCTGTAGAATCAACCTACCTAATGCAATAGGAAGGAGCTTGCTTAAAAGTGTGCATAATTACATAATATACATTGAAGCTTTGAAGGTAAGAGAATGTATGTGCCTATGCAGAGATATGAAATTTGTCATAGTATGTCTCCTCAAGAATATTTCAAATACCCACTTTTCATGAAAGTCTTTAAAATATCTTCTTTCTCAAATTAACCTGTGATTTATGATGCTCATAAAAGTCCTAATAATGATTATGCATTCATTCATTTTTCAGCCAGAATTTCATTTATTCAGCCACTATATATTGTATGTCAAGTATTGTATCAGGGTCTGGGATATAATGATGAATGAGACACAGAACAAACCCCAGTAGATTATGTGCCAACCACATGCTACTGAGCATGTACTGTGAATGTCAAGCTAAGGGACTAGTGCAGGAAACAATATCATAAGCAGATATTTAACATTAATATGTGTCAAGTCCAGTGAAAAACTTATAGAGTAGAATCATTTAAAAAAGGAAGAATGAATTCCACCAGTAAACAAAAGGGTTTTCTCCTCTCCAATCTCATTGTTTCTTTTTGTGTATTTCTAATCCTACACAATAGATAAACAGAGTTTAAAAATGTCAAATCTTCCCACTTCTGACTTCCAGTCCCTAAAAGCCAGCATATTTCACTCTTTTAGCTACATTTTCTTGGCATTTACCTCCACATTTATAAACAGCTTTCTTATACTGCTCGTTTCTTGATTTTTCTAATTTTTTAACATTTTCTATTGTCTCCCTTGTTTGGAAAATGAAGATACTTCTTTTTAAATTCTCTGCTACTAGTATGTCCCAACATTATCACAAACAAACTCTAAATAACGTTCCTCAAAAATATCTTTATCTTTGTATTAGTTTTCTATTGTTTTGTAGCAAATTACTACAAACTTAATACAACACAAATCTATCACCTTACAGTAGGTCAGAATTCTAAAATAGATTGGCAGGCCTGTGATACTTCTCGGGGCTCTATAGCACAATTGGTTTCCTTGCTTTTTCCAGCTTTGAAAGCCTGCCTGCATTCCTTGGTTCACTACCCTTTCTAGCAAAGGCATCACTCAGACCTTTGCTTCTGTGTTCACATTTTCTCTGACTCCAGTGCTCTTGTGTCTCACTTATAATGACCCTAAAATTACATTAGGTCCACCCTGATAATTCAGAAAAACTGTCTCATCTCAAGGTCCTGAATTAATTCAAAGTTATTTTTGCTAAGGAAGGTAATATAGTCACAGGTTTGAGGACATTTGGGGAAGAACATTAGCCTCCAACCATTTTCATAACTGATTGATACCTACCTAGGTATGGAACTGTATTTTTTTTTGGCTATTCACAGTACCTTGAAATTCTATATGAATTTTAGGATAGGCTTTTCTTTCTGCAACAAAAGACTTTGGGAATTTGTTGAGTCATTGGGATTGCTTTGAATCTGTAGATTGGGATTTTATTGAGTCATTGAGTTTGCTTTGAATCCGTAGATTGCTTTGGGTAGTATGCTTGTATTCCAGGAATAAATCCCACTTGGTCATGTTATATAATCCTTTTAATAGGCTTTTGAATTAATTTTGCTAGTATTTTTTTGAGGATGTTTGCATTAACATTCATAAGTGATACTGGTTTGTAGTTGTCTTGTAATGGCTTGGTCTGGCTTTGGTATCAAAGTACTCCTGGCCTCATAGAACAAGTTAAGAAGTTATCCCTTCTTTTCAATTTTTTGGAAAAGCTTGATTTTGTCATGTTATTTCTGTAAATGTTTGGTAGAATTCATCAGAGAAGCCATCAGGTCCAGTGCTTTACTTTGTTGGGAGATTTTTGATTACTGATTCTATCTCATTTGTTATAGGTTTATTCAGATTTTCTAATTCTTCATGATTTAGTCTTTGCAAGTTTTGTGTTTCTAGCAATTGTCCATTTTGTCCTCATTACCAAATTAGATAGCATACCGTACTCATTTTTTTGTTTTTGTTTTCTGTTTTTTGTTTGTTTGTTTTTGAGATAGAGTCTTGCTCTGTTGCCCAGGCTGGAGTTCAGTGGTGAGGTCTCAGCTCACTGCAACCTCTGTCTCCCAGGTTCAAGCGATTCTTCTGCCTCAGCCTCCCAAGTAGCTGTGATAACAGGTGCCTGACACCACATCTGGCTAATTCTTGTATTTTTAGTGGAGATGGGGTTTCACCATGTTGGCCAGGCTGGTCTTGAACTCCTGACCTCAAGTGATCCGCCGGCCTCAGCCTCCCAAAGTGCTGGTATTACAAGCGTGAGACACCGTGCCTGGCCCGCTGGCATACAGTACTCTCCTATAATCCTCTTTATTTCTATTAAATTGGTAGTAATGTCCCCACTTCCAATTCTGATTTTAGTAATTTGATTACTCTATCTTTTTCTTAGTCAATTTACTAAATGTTTGTCAATTTTGTTGATCTTTCTGAAAAATCAACTTTTGATTTCATTGATTTTTTCTATTGCTTTTCTATTCTTTATTTTATTTTTGCTCTAATCTTTATTATTTTCATCCTTTTGCTAGCCTTTGGTTTAGTTACTCTTTCTAGCTCCTGAAGTTATAAAGTTAGGTTGTTGGATTGAGATCTTTCGCACTTTTCTGTGTAAATATTAAATTTATAGCTCTAAATTTTCCCCCTAGCTTTCAGCACATGCTGTAACTTTGGGTGTGTTATGCTTTTGTTTTCATTCATCTCTAAGCATTTTCTAATCTCCCTTGTGATTTCTTCCTTGATCCAGTGATTATTTTAAAACGTCCTGTTTATCTTCTACCAATTTGTAATTTTTCCAGTTTTCCTTCTGGTATTCATTTCTGACTTCATCCTGTTGTAGACGGGAAAAATACACTGTATAGCATTTATCTCTTTAAATGTTGAGACTTAATTTGGGCATAATATATGGTCTATCCTAGAGAATATCTCATTTGCACTTGAGAAAAATGTGTATTCTTTTGTTGTTGAGTAAAGTGTCGTGCACGTGTCTTTTAAGTCTAATGTGTTTATTGTGTTATTCAAGTCTCTCTCCTTACTTATCTTCATTCTGGTGGTATTATCCTTTACTGAGAGTGGGGTATGAAAGTCTCCAATCATGATTTTAGAAATACCTATTTCTTCTTATAATTCTGTCACTTTTGTTTTATTTATTTTTGTTTTTTATTATTGTTTAAATGTTTGTAATTATTATATATTCATGTTATATTGAAACTTTTATTAACATATAATATCTTTCTTTACCTTTTATAATTTTTTTTATGAAGTCTCTCTCTGTCGCCAGGCTGGAATGCAGTGGTGCAATCTCAGCTCACTGCAACCTCCATCTCCTGGGTTCAAGCGATTCTCCTGCCTCAGCCTCCCGAGTAGCTGGGACTACAGGTGCACACCACCACACCCAGCTAATTTTTTTTTTGTATTTTTAGTGGAGATGGGGTTTCACCATGTTGGCGAGGATGGTCTCCATCTCTTGACCTCATGAACCGCCCACCTTGGCCTCCCAAAGTGCTGGGTTTACAGGCGTGAGCCACTGCGCTTGGGCACCTTTTATAAAATTTTTAAACTTAGAGTCTATTTTTTATATTAGTATAGCAACCCATGTTCACTTTTTTTTACTATGAGCGTGGAATATCTTTTTCCATATTTTCACTTTTAACCTATCTTTGGATCTATAATGAGTCTCTTGTAGACAGTGCATAGCTGGATCATGTTTTGTTTAAAAAACCCATTCTGCCCATCTCTATCTCTTGATTGGAGAGATTAATCTAGTTACATTCAATGTAATTACTGCTAAGAAGGGACTTATTTCTTTCATTCTCTTATTTGTTTCCTATATGACTTTAATTTTTTTTGTCCCTGATATTCTATATTACTGTGTTTTGTTTTAGTTACTCTTTTTGTAGTTTAGGGTATTAATTCCCTTCTTATTTCTTTTTGTGTATATGCTACAACAACTTTGTGGTTACTATAAGTATTACATTTAACATCCTAAACTTTTAGCACTCTGAGTTAAATTTACACCAGCTTCACTCCAATAACATAAAAAAACTTTTTTATTTACAGCTTCCTCCTCACTTTTTTCAATTACATCTTTGTGCATTGTGTTAATAAATATACTAATAATTGTTCTTGTTAAATTCATTAGTCTCTTAAATTGTGTAAAATAAAATTATGTATTATGTCTAAAACCAAAGTTATAATACTACCTTTTAGCTTATAATAGTTTTTCTTTTATGTATTAGTCTCTTAAATCATGTAAAATTAAAAAATGGAGTTACAAATTGTTACAATAATACTAGCTTTTATAATTGCCCATATATTTACCTTTATTGAGATCTTTATTTCTTCATGGAGTTTTGCATTACATTCTAGTATATTTTTATTTCATCATGTAAGACTTCCTTTAAGATTTCCTGCAGGGCAGGGTAGGTCTAGTGGTACTGAACTCTCTTTGTCTCTCTTCTTCTCTCTCTCTTGCACGTGTACATACACGTGCGTGTGTACACACACACACACACACACACACACACATATGTGTAAATGTCTTAATTTCCTCCTCACTTATGAAGGTTGGTTTTTTCCAGACAGTGAATTCTTGGTTGACAGTTACTTTTTTTTCTTTTAGCACTTTGAATATATCAGGCCCCTACACAATGGCCTCCAAAGTTTTGGTGAAAAATCTGCTGATAATCTTGTTGAGGATTCCTCACATGTGATGAGTCACTTCTCTCTTGCCGCTTTCCAGATTATCTTTGTTTTGGGGTTTTGACGGTTTGATTATAATGTATCTCAGTTTGGGTATGTCAGGTCATCTTACTTAGAGGTCATTAAGCTTTGTGGATATAGTTTTATTCATGTCTTTTATCAAACTTGGGGAGTTTTTGGCCATTATTGCTTTAAATAATCTCTCTGCTCCTTTTTCTCTCTCGTCTGCTTGTGGGACTCCCACAATGTGAAAGCTGGCTCTTTAAATCTCCTGGAAGTTGTTTTAGTGGGAGAAGGAGTAGCTTACAGTAATGCTGTGGGGTGGGGACGTGAGGGGGTGGTGGAGAAGGGCTTACAACAATGGCTTCCTGCCTTTGTATCTCTACCTGCAAAATCAGAAGCAGCGATAGTAATCTGAACACAAATCTCTGATATCTGGAGGACAGGATCTTTATTGCCCAGCATGGCTCCTGCAAGCTTCATCCAATATGCTCCAGGAACACATGCATGTGCCACAGAGTTGAGGTGGGTAGGGGATGGGTTGCTACCTCCAGATAAGAGCTGAAATTGGCTAAAATTAAGGGTGGTTTATTGTTCAAGGCTTCCCCTGGACACTGCAAGCCTTGGAATAGACTCCAGAGTTTCAAAATAGTTACGTCAGAAAGATTTGGCCAGTGTAATCATTGTTTAGGTGAAGAGGCAGATTCCTGGTGCTACCTATTCCACTACCTTATACCATGCTAATGTGTACCATATTTTTCTAATCTTCAAATCTTCTTCTGTATTTTTTGAATGCTTCTTTTCATGACATCCTGTTATTGTTTCATAAATACAATGTGTTTTCATTTCTGCAAATACTACGGCCTTTTCCTTGGCATTTTCTTCTGTCTACATTGTCTCTCTTTTTCTGAGTTTCTTTTATCCATTTTGATTGCTTTGTCTCATTTATCTTGTAGCCTTTACTGATTATTTTGTTGCTGAATATTCAAATTCTAGTACCTAAGGGTCTTTTATTTTGAAGTCATCAATTTCCTCAGGGAGGAATTTTCCAATCACCCTCTTGAAAAGTGCCAGACTGCCAAATAAAGGAGTGGAATGGGATACTGCCATTTTGAAGACTGTCTTACACTTACACTTCCTTATATACTCTCACCCTGCTTTTTGTTGTGTCTGGTGCTTCCATATCTGGACCCACTCTAATACAATTTTTTATAAGAGCAAACCTCCAGTCTTCTGATGACAGGGAAGATGTAGCTTCTGTCTGAAAGGGGACCTGGGAGTCTAATTACTCTTCAGAGAAATTTTCATGCCGTCTTCCTCTTTTCGTTCCTATACTTGATCTCATTTTTGGAGGTATTTTATGGTGCCAATTCCCAGGTCTTTCCAAGTTTCTTTCTCAGTAACTCTGCAGATACTTAACTTTTATTTTTCTCTAATCTACTGTCAGTTTCCATTTATTGACATGTTTTGCATTTTCCATTTTCAGCCACTATCACCTCCTTTCCTCTTCTTTTCATATTTGTACATTTACATCATTTTTACAACTCCTTTACTATCATTTATATCATTTTTGTTCCTTTTATGGGGACTTAGGAAGCAAAAGTAAGTGGATTTGTTTAATCTACCATGTTTAACTTAAGTCTTCTCTCATTTAATGTACTATTAAGTGAGTAGTGCAATATTGCAAATATACCTTCATTTGTAGAAGACTATGAGGCTTAATGACTTGTTATGCGACAAAGTTGAGATAAGCTTAATAACTACATTTTCAATAGCATGCATTTCATTGATTTATTCAACATGCACTTGAATGGACCAAGTGTGCAATATGTTTTTGTATCCATTCAAACACACGTACACACACACACACCCACACGCACCTCTAAGTATTGTATTAATATGGCAAGTGTAATATGGGAACACAGAGGCAGATAAGATGAACTCAGCAAGCAATAAAAAAATAGGATTATAACAAATTGTCAATAAGTGACCAGAAATTAAAAATAATTGGAACAGCATGGCAAATGCATGGCAGTGGAAAAGAGCTTTGTATAAGTATCAGGAATAAAAGACATGATATGATCTGTACTTCATGAAAGACAAATTTCTCCTAAACCGTATGAATTAATTTCTCTATCATATTTCAAATTTATATACTTGATATCTTCTATGTGTACTTTTACTTGAATATTGCACCTTTCTCTTCATCGAAGTGACAGCTGATGGCTTTTCTCTCAAATGGTTGGGAAAGATTATATTTTGAAGTCATATTATAAATAGTGCATTAAGCTAATTGCTACAGTGGAAACTGTTTCTCCTTGGGACCAGTAATAAGAAATATTCAAAGAAGAGTGTCATGTTCCTCAGAGAATTTTGGTACATGCCGTTGATGACAACAGTTGCTGTAAAGATTTATGAGAAAAGCTGAATTTATGACTGATTGGACTCTATTTCCGTGACCCCTAAAAGTCTCTTCTATCTACAACTTAGAAGTTTCTTTTTCCTAATGTGCAGGCTAGCATTATTACACAAAAATGTGACGGTTTCCATAATAACTGATGAGGAAACAGTTGATAGAATTTTTTTTCCAATTTAATATGGCAATTTCAGAACTTGCAACGGTTTCTTGAAGGATAAAAGATCAGTTTGGGATTTTTCATCATAGCTCCCCACTTCTCTCACTAATTTTTACCTTTACCAGGATTTGATGCCACTGTTTTATGCTTTGGGCTGAAATGCTAGCTCTCAAGTATAAGAGACTTGGTCAAAGGTCGTGCATTACAGAGCAGTGTAAGTAACCAAAGGAACACAGCCCCCAATTTTCTTCTTCACTCATCCAGACTTCCTGAAACAGGCAAATGTGAACAAGTGTCATTAAGGGGGTGGCAGAAGTGGGTGAGCGTAGAGACCCTCCCTCTCTGCTCTTGTGATTATGCATCGATAATTTTAGGCTAGTCATGCTGTAGTAATAAACAACCTCAACATCTCTGCTTTTTACAATGATAATTCTCATTCACTTTACGTGCTCATGAAGATTGGATGCAAGTGTGCTCTAAACCTCTTCACTCTGAAATCCACACATAAGGAATGGTCTGTATTTTGGACACGCTATCTTCAAGGCACAGATTTTTAAAAAGGAGGTAGCTGAACTATGCAATGGCTTTAAAGCTTCTTATCAGAAATTATACAAGTTACTTCTACTTATATTTTATTGGCCAAAGCAAGTCATTAGGCAAGCTTGATGTTATCAGGGTGGGAAGTATATTTCTTCAATGGGAAAGTATTAATAAGTGGTGGTTTAGAGACCTGAAAGGAAAAGACCCATAAAAAAGAGAAGGCAAAACTTTTGAACAGCAATTAGCACTGTGCTAATATGTGCTCAGTACACATGTGCAGTTTGATGAATGGAACTCTGCCACCCCAAATTCCATTTACATCTACACATTCTATTTTGATTTATTTATTTTAATTAATCCCTCAATTGTTACAGTGACTACATAGGCAAAGTAGTAGATACTACTATAGTTACTACTACTAAGGCAAATCAGTAGATAAGTTGACCAAGATCATATAGCCATCAAGGCCTGAAATGTTGCCTACCTGGTTTCAAAAGCCATTCTTCCACAGCTCCCTTAGCTTCTATCCAAATAACTTACTGAAGCATAAACATATTCATCTGCACGACAGCTTCATGTCTTCTACCACCATCCCCAGAAGCAGAAACCCTATTTTTCTCAGTACTGTATTTCTAGCAACCCATCCCACAGAGTATAACATAAGCCAGTGTTCAGTAAACCCCTGTTGAATAAGTGAAAGTTCAACTGACTAATTAAAGCTGAAAAAAGCATTTCTCATATATATAAAAATAATAACGCCTAGCTCATAGGACTATTTTGAGGATTCATTTAGCCAGTGTATGTAAAGAATTTGCATAGTGCTTGGGACATGGTGAGCCTCTAAATTAATGGTGATTAAAAAGAAGAAAAGTCCCCAGGTGCAGATACTGTTGAGCTGGATGGGATTTGGAGAAGATAGACTTGTTTTGTTTTGTTTCATTTTGTGTTTTTCAAAGAAAACACCATGGGTAAAGGATGTGAGGTGCGACTAATAGGGAGTGAAGTAGGACCCACCTTAGAAGTGGGACTCATAGGGAGGCCTGACCCTAGTAAAAAATCAAATATAAGAGTTAGAATAGGCTCAGGTAATGGGGATGAGAAGGAAGTTGCTTTTGACAATCATCTACTGCTGAAGATCACTAATCAAACTTTTCTAATCTATTAACTACTTTCCTGCATTTTAAATGTTGACCATATCAACTTTATGTGGTAAAATCATTCTGATTCATAACATCTCTATTAGGTACATCACAGATGATTTACTAGTAAAAAGGAAAAAAACCCACAGGGTCATGTTTGAGAGACAAACAAGCTATCCTTCTTTAAATCTGGAAACCCCTTAAACGATGAATCTGAATTGAAAAAAAAAATCAGAAACATTTTTAATACATAAATCTGTAAATACATGAAAAATATAAACAACTTTGAATAATGAATAAAAAGATTCCTAGTAACTTCTGAGTAAATACCACCAAAAAGGTAAGAAATGCAGCACCTCATTAATGGAAACTGGGATATGGTATACTGCACTATCAAAATGAAAATGACAATAATTATTATTATAAAGTAAAGAAGAAGGTAGAAATAAAAGGGAGAGGAGAAGAGGTAGACAAACAAGAGCAAGAACAAGAAGCAGCAGCAAACACTCGGATAACACAGAATACATTCTAGGTCCTGTGCTAAGTCCTTTATACATGTCCACACATTTAATAGTATATATTATACTGTTTAGGTGCATGAAGTTGTAGCCATGCTGCCTTGGTTTGTGTCCCCACTGACACCAGTTGTGGACTTCGGGCAAATTATTTAATTTTGTACTCCTCCAGTTTTCTCATCCACTAAAAAAAATAAACTTATATTTGTGAGGATTACATAGGTTAATCATCATCATGAACTTGAGACAGGATATAAATTAAATAAAATTCAATTTACCCAATTGTTTTCCTGACTCAACTAAATATTGAAGGAAAACAAAGGACCTAGAATTTTTCCATATGTGTCACTGCAAATGAAGATGGGTCAAGCTGCCCATAAGTTGCTTCTAGTGCCATTCCCTGTTAGAATAACCTGTCACCAGCTCCATCATATTAGATGTATGATTCTGAAGACCCAATTGCTGTTACATGTGTTTTTTGCATGTGTTTTAGCAGTGGTTGGAAATCCTTTAAAAATCACCATATTAACATCTTCCAGATTAAAAGTAAAGAGGAAGTAGTGAAAATAGAGAATCTATTTATCTGTCATCTCAACTTTCTTCAAAGAATTCTAGTCTTGTTTTATAGAATTTGGAAAAGATATTTGCAACCGAAGGCCAACATTTCCCCATTTCTTTCTCCTCATTTTCCTTAGTTGATGACTAATTAATGCAGGAAGCACAGGTTCAGGAGCTAAATGTCTTTGAAGGGGAAATGAATGCCCTTACAGGCTACCATTTATGAAGCCAGTCTCCTCACTAATTATTAAGGAGGCAGCCTCACCCAAGGTTACAGCATTAAATTATCCCATCCAAGGTAGTATTTAATTTAGCACATCACCCTTCTATGAATATCATTTTTAAAAACTCTGTCTTTTCTTAAATTACTCCCAAGTCTGAGCAAAGTAGATCAATTACAGTCAAGAGGTGGGTAGGAAAACAGACAACAATCTTTGCTCTCAGCACAGAATCATCAAGCACTTGAAAACACCTTATGTAGCGTTCTATTTTCTCTCTGAAGAAAGATATTTCCTTCCTAGAGTGTTACAGCAGCAGGGCCTCCAGGAGACCAAAACAATGCATACTTCAATTGTCGCAAGAGACATCATTTCTTTGCAGGCACACAGCATTAAAAGTTGTTTTATCAAGAAGCTTCCCTCCGTCCTCTCCCAACTCCTCTTGAAGATGGAGAACATGCTGAATTTTAAGGACTATGGAAATAACAGTCCCTGATGAATGGAACCTAATTAATGACAATTAAAGTGTCATTTGGCATACATCCCTGAGTTTCAAACACCTGGTTCCTGCTTCTGCTTTCTAGCACCAGTGCCAGAGAATGGAAAACCCCCAGCCCTTCTCCTTTTGCTTAACCTCTTAAGTTTAAGCAAAAGGAAGGGAAACATGGTGTAATCCTCTCTTGCAAATTAAGTGATTAAAAACCCCAGCCTGGGTACTCAGCTGTCATCAATTAAAGAGACGCCACAGTGACAGTTACTATCCAGGACAATTCCTGTAAAAATAGAAAAAATAGGGGGGAAATGAAAGGAAATGAATGATAAGCAAAACAAACAAACACAAGAAACAATGATCTATAAACTGGCATCATCACTACATTTTTAATCTAGATGCATACAGATCAACAAGAAGAGAAAGTTGTCAATCAAACTGCCAAAAATGAGATGGTCTGGTGTTATCAACCTCATACTGAGAAATTCAATCCTTTTAAGTCTGGAAAAGAGGCATTTACCCTACCCTGCCTAAATCACTAGTTTTCCTCCAAGGCAACTGGCTTCAAGGTAGTCACCACAGGCTGTGCACCTCTGGACACGGCTGACAAGCAAAGGCACAGTTACCCAGCTTTCTCTAATGGCCCTGGTCTTTCTTTTATAAGTTGCTAAGTGCAAGAGCAGGGGAAGGTGAAGGAAATGATGCTCAATTTGTGCTTTCAGAGATAAGAGTTTCTCAGACAAGTTCAGCTTCCTCAGTCAAAGCTCCAACTCACTCTAGTTTCAGGTAGTTTAACAGCCCTGCAGGAGTGAATAGCATAAACTTGGTATGGTTAACTGAGTAATTCAAGAGGTGCCTCAGGGATTATCGTGGCTCTTTAGTTGTCTTCTTTTCCTGCTTATGCTTTTTTTGGGAGGGAGGGGGGTGCATCTCTTTATTCTTTAATGCCTCATTCTAATGTTGAACAAAGCAAAGGAGATAGAAATTGTCCTAGTAAATGTAGTTGCCTATTAGAAGCTTGAGGAGGGAAGGTGGGAAGAAGGGAAGTCCTGCATTGAAACAGGTTGAAACTATTCCGGGATTATCTGGGGGTTCCCCTTACCCAAAGCAACTGACATTAGGAGATTTGATTATCAAATGCCCATTGCACATAGCCGCATTCCCCTTCCCTAAAATGTACTTAGAAACCCAAATGATGCAGTGAAAATCATAATCAGAAGAAAACATTATATTTTATAATTATGAACAATCTGAAGATTTCTTTTTATTAAAACAAGAAGAACTTAAGAGAAGAGAATGGTTTAGCAGGTATAATATAAACCCTCATGAATACAGGTAGTACACCGGAGGGAGAGTCCATTTGCCGTATCAGTGACTCTTAGGCTGTGATCCAGGAATGCCCACAAGTCAATGAAGAGACTTTCTATGGTCACTAAAAATCCCTTTCTCATTCTCAAAATGTTCATAATGTATATACACATATGCAAATATTTTTGAAGATATTATTCACAACTTCCATTAACTTCCAAAAATGCTGTGTGTATGTTTGAATAAAAAAGAGTAAAACCAAAACACCCTGCATAGCACATCATGTTGCTATAAGTACCATCAGTTCCATCAGTTCTTTCTTTCTTGACCCACCCTCTCCCCCACTCTTCTTCCATAAAAATATTGGAATTACCTTCATTTCCAAAGACCTCTTACCAGGCCCAGCAGCAGAGAACCTCTACTACATCTTTCACCTGTATCAAGCTCATTAGACATGTAATTAGCCTTTCTGGGTAATAATCACAGTAGCTCAAGTTCATGAATTCCTTTCTCCCTAGTCTTTAATTCTAGGTGAGTTTGTGTTGTAAGGCTTCAGAAATACCAGCCTGTCATTAAATGCAGGGCTGTAAAGATTTTACTACCATTGTGAACAACAAAAAAATCTTGATCATTCTATTATTTCCTCTATATGAGGAATATAAACCAGAATGTTGTTTACATGCTTCCACTGATGCCCCCTGCCTCCTGACAGCTGATGAAATATGGCCTGCATTTTACCTCTGGAAGGATTGATTCAAATTGTGACAGGTCATGGGGTGAAATTAATGTTGAGATCTTGCCATACCCTCAAAAATATTTTTCTACATCAGAGAAATTGCTTTGCTATTCCACACAGATGACATACAAGTAAGATTTGAGGAGAAGGGGTGACCATGCAGTTGGGCCACCTTGGAACAGGTGTGCAAACAGACACAGGCTAAAATAAGGACAGAACCTGAAGCCAGGTGTCAGAAGGTCTAGGTTCCTATTTCCGTATTCTTAGTAACCCATGTGAGGCCTTAGGCAAGGCACAGAACCTCTGTGGAAATCAGATTTTGTGAAAGTAAGATGAGGGAATAGGATTTGATTAGAGATTTCTTTAAGCTCGTCTTTCAAAGCAGCCACACTTTTTTTTCAAAATTATTTCTAGAACCATGAAAGTGAAGCATCTAAGATGGATAATGGGGTAGATGCTGAAGCCCACATTTACTATATCTCCCCCCCACCCCCAGCACCCTTGAGTGTCATTTTTCCACGATGCAGTTGCAAAACTACCATAAGAGGAGGTCCAGATTGTCCATCCAGATTTGACATCCTGGGTTATGGTTTATCTCGCATCTCCATCATCCCTCAGAATTCTGGATGACTCAGCAGGGCTGAACATCTGTCACATCGTGATACTGATACTGAGAACCGTGGCAGTGAGCCACAGAAAAGGTATCAGGTGCCTTCTGAATTGGCAATCAAGGGTTTTTTGTTGTTGTTGTTTAATAAAGTTTCTCATATGTTTTGCTACTGTATGAATTTCCTATTAGCCAAAGTGTTGGAATACCTAACACCACATTCCATACATGTCGTTGAGACTAGAGAGTGTGCCATAATCAGGGGCCAGAATTACTTCCCAGGATGACTGCAGAACTGGAGGCTTTCTTCAGATACCCTGGGATACCTCTGGTTGGCTAAGGGTTGCAATGTGAGGGTTGCAAATGGGACTCATGAGACTTTCTGCAGCTGGCAAGCTGCAGGCCTCTGCCTTACCCAAATGCCACCATGTCACCCTCCCTTCCCCAGGCCAGGAGTTATACTTAAGGGGTTAGATTCTATCCACTGAGTTTATAGTAGGTTATTCTCATTTCTCTATTTCTGGAATTTTCACAGCCCAAAACTTCAAAGGAGGTAAACTTCTCTGAGACTGATGTAAATTTTCTTCCTGATACTTCATGTTCCGTAGACACACTTCCCTCTAAACAAAAAGTACAAATGTTCAACATCTAACTCTGGTCTTAATGCACTAAGCATGGACATCATGATTAGAAAAACATGGGTTCAAATCTTGGTTCTGTCATTTATTAACTGGGTGATTTTGCATAATTCAGTTTCTGTAAGTTTCAGTTTCTTTGCCTATAAAATGACAAATCCTAGGAAGCTCATCTGAGTATTGAAGCAGATAGGGATGAAAACTCTTGGTTCACTGCCTGGCATTTAGTAGGCATTTATAAATTATAGCTCCTATTATTTAATTACAAAATCATTTATGTCCTATCTATAAATTTGCTAAATTCACCCCAAACAAAATCATTATCATGTTTCTAATTTCCAGACTGAGTTAAAAACAGGAAAAAATATCTCTAACAGAATTTTTTATAACTATAATTTCAGAGAAAATAACTAAATGAGGAAAATATCCTATTATTTTTCCATCAATTAATCTGTTTTGAAAACAAAGAGTGATATTTTCCTTGAATTTGAGAATGCCTAAACATTTGATACTTTATTGCAAACTTGCCAGCACTGTACTTCAAACTCTGTCATCACAAATTTATGTCTCCTACTATGGCCTGGGGTGAACAGAACTCACACACAAAAGTCTAGGATACCATGTATTATTGACAAAGCAACAGGATGAGAAAGGTCATCAGTACAAACCTCCAAATCATTCAGCAAGGTCTATCAAACTGCTTTTCAGTAAAAATCTCACAGCCAACACTTAAAGTCCTAACAAGGCACTGTCTGACTTATTCACACCTTCATTGAACCTCATAGTTGTGCCATGATTTGATCTACTGAATCAAATCTACTGAATCATTCACCTCACCTGAATCATTTATCTCACCTGAATCATACCTCATTGAATCTCGTCTTTTTAAAAAAAGTAATATTTGTCCATTGTAGATATGCTTGCATTAATTTTCTCTTTTGAAAAATACTGCATTAGAAAATCATTTATCTTGATCACTGAGTTTTTTTGGCAACCTCTTAGATTTTACCTGAGGTAAGGGTCTCACTCATCTCACTGTAGTTTCAGTGCAACTGCAGACCTCAAATAACTTTTTCACACAAACACCCACTAAATATTTTTACTCCTCCAGCCTTTCGTTAGAGTGTATTATTTATTATTATTGCCATTATTGTTATTGATAGACACACATTAATATAGAGGTGTGACCACTTAAGCCATTGCATGAAAACAAACACTCCTCCAGGTTGTAGTTTCAACACAGGATTTCCAGAGAACTGTACAACAAAGTAAAACCCACAGGCATGTTTGCAGAGCCCCAGTGAAACCACAAAGTGGTGTTTTCTCTCATTCTCTTTCTATATATGGCAGGATTCCAACACTTCCTTTTTCTTGAATGCCTACTCTATGATGGACATTACACTAGAGAACTTTATAAGTATCTCACTTAATTCTCCCAACCTTGAAAATTAGATACTACTTCTTTACTTCCAGATGAGGAAAATGAGGAGTCAAAAGTGCTATATCTCCCTTGAGGTTATGATTCAAAATTGTGTGGTTACCAGTATTTGAACTTGTGGAATCTGACTCCCAAATTGGTGCTACTTCTATCACATCTGGTATATTAAGGGAAACAAACTGGCCAGGCTATATTCTCTTCAGAAGATATCACCATATGAACCATCTGTTGGGGGTGGGGGAAGAAATTCTGAGTTTATATTAAGCTAATTCCCTTCACACCTAAATTGCCATTTATCAGCCACCAGCCATAGCGTCTAATTCCACAGAAACGGCACACGCCGTATGCTCCAGTGCAGAGTAGGCAGTTCACCAGGCACACTACACCACAGAGACTTCATGGCAGGCAACCTTGTATCAAATATTCTCTCCACTGAGATAAGGAGACGCAAATCATTTTTGTGATCAAACAGCAGGAAGCTTTTAAATAGGTAGAGATTACATATTACATCTTATTGCTGAAAATCTCAATAAAGATACCATAAACAGAAATCCACACATATAACAAATCACATTTAACTGTGGTTGGTATCTGATTTATGTTAGGTTATAAATTATTGAATTGTGTGAATATGGTGCTGGAAAGGAGCCCAGAAAAGGAAATGTAAAAAAGAATAAAAAATATAAAAGATGGGGAAAAACAATCCTCTCCTCTCCATCTTTTTCTCTTCTCTCCTCTGCTTTCCCTACTCGCCTTCCTCCTCAGAGAGTTTTAAGCAAAACCTGATGGAACTTGAAATTTACTCAGAATGTATTCCCTCAGTTGGCAATGTACTTTCGAAATAACTAAAGGTTTCTCAGTTTACAGTAGAGTGGAAATGAAATGAATGGCACAGGTAGTGAATACTTGATGCACTGTAGACATTAATCATCTTGGTCTCTCAAACAGGTTTGTTTTTTTGTGTCTACATGATGGAACAGTGAAAAAGGGAAAGTAATTTACATTTCCACTGTGTCAGGAAAAACAATGTCCCACTTAAAAAAGAAGGGGGAAAACACTGCAATGCAGAAAATAGTTAAGAACATTGAAAAGGCAAGATTGTTTTGTTTTTCAAATATTCTTCTGAAATGTGTGATTATTGTGAAAATTATTTTTAACATAAATAAAATCTTAATGAAACAATATCCTAAATTAAAAAAATTTAAACTCATTTTTGTATTGTTTCTCTTTCTTCCTGCCTTTCATTAATTATTTCTTGCATTCTTTCATTTTTTGTTTTCTCATCGTCATGCATATGTTTGTGTGTGAGAGAGTGGCAAACAATATAGTATTCCAAATGTCAAGCTATGATCTGTAAGAAGGCGACAGATTGCATCTAGACCAGTGTCTGCTCACCTAAGGTAAAATCTGACCAGTTTATATGGGGAATAAATGTGATGTCAATGTAATAGCCTTATAATTTCGAGACGGAAAATCTATACTCACGTTAAAACAGGTGTGATAGCCTGAATTTTAGGTTCTTTAACAGGGTAATTGCAATTTTTATTTTTTAATTTTTATTTATTTTTTATTTTATTATTATTATACTTTAAGTTTTAGGGTACATGTGCACAATATGCAGGATAGTTACATATGTATACATGTGCCATACTGGTGTGCTGCACCCATTAACTCGTCATTTAGCATTAGGTATATCTCCTAATGCTATCCCTCCCCGCTCCCCCAACCCCACAACAGTCCTCAGAGTGTGATGTTCCCCTTCCTGTGTCCATGTGTTCTCATTGTTCAATTCCCACCTATGAGTGAGAACATGCAGTGTTTGGTTTTTTGTCATTGTGATAGTTTACTGAGAATGATGATTTCCAATTTCATCCATGTCCCTACAAAGGACATGAACTCATCATTTTTTATGGCTATATAGTATTCCATGGTGTATATGTGCCACATTTTCTTAATCCAATCTATCATTGTTGGACATTTGGGTTGGTTCCAAGTCTTTGCTATTGATAATAGTGCCGCAATAAACATACGTGTGCATGTTTCTTTATAGCAGCATGATTTATAGTCCTTTGGGTATATGCCCAGTAATGGGATGGCTGGGTCAAATGGTATTTCTAGTTCTAGATCCCTGAGGAATCGCCACACTGACTTCCACAATGGTTGAACTAGTTTGCAGTCCCACCAACAGTGTAAATGTGTTCCTATTTCTCCACATCCTCTCCAGCACCTGTTGTTTCCTGACTTTTTAATGATTGCCATTCTAATTGGTGTGAGATGGTATCTCATTGTGGTTTTGATTTGCATTTCTCTGATGGCCAGTGATGGTGAGCATTTTTTCATGTGTTTTTTGGCTGCATAAATGTCTTCTTCTGAGAAGTGTCTGTTCATGTCCTTTGCCCACTTTTTTGGACATAGGCATGGGCAAAGACTTCATGTCTAAAACACCAAAAGCAATGGCAACAAAAGCCAAAATTGACAAATGGGATCTAATTAAACTAAAGAGCTTCTGCACAGCAAAAGAAACTACCATCAGAGTGAACAGGCAACCTACAAAATGGGAGAAAATTTTCGCAACCTACTCATCTGACAAAGGGCTAATATCCAGAATCTACAATGAACTCAAACAAATTTTCAGGTAATTGCAATTTTTAATGATCCAGTATCTATATGTCTGTAAGTAGAGCTTCTAGGAAAACTATAGCAAAAGAACTCAAAGCCCTAAAGCAATTGGCCTCCTTTTCTTTGTAGTCTGAAGCAGTGCCCTGGCCTAAGAAAATGGAGAATCAGGAGACAGGAAGATCTCAGCAAAAACTCTGGAACTCTCTCTACAGCTGTAATGGAAGAGTTATGCTGAGTCCCAGGCAAGGTATCTGGTAGGAAGAGTGGGAGTAGTTAGAAGCTCCTATGAGATGGGAGCTACTATAATGAGAATGCCAGTTGAATTTCATTTTGCATGGTAACTCCAATCACTTGGGAGTGGCTTCCTTGACTTCATGTTAAGTGAGGAAGCATTCTGGGCAAGTACCTGGGATCTCAAGAAAGAGAGCTATGATCAACTCATGCTGCTCTCCATGAGCACAATAATCATATACACACCAAGCACTTGCCACCCCTCTATGTGCAACTGACAAATCTCCATATCACAATAAAAGAAAGGGAAGCTCTATTAGAAACATATAAGAAGCATATTATAGGGGTTCCAAGGAGAAAGAGATGCCATTCAGCTGGAAGAATCAGGAAATACTTTATGGAGTATGAGAGTATTTGAAATGGACCATAGAGAGTTGATAGGATCTCAGTTGGCAAAGAAAAGGAAAATTTTTTTTAGATAAAGGATACTGTAGAAACAAAACCATAGAAGCAGCAATGTTTGAGGACTATTCGAAGAAATAATTAGTAACTTTGTTTCATCAGAGGGCAAGGGAAGTGGGTGAGAGGGATGAGAGATGAGGTAAAAAAAAAAAAAAGGTAATTTGGAGAGATACTAGATAAGGTATTGACGGCTGGTATAAAAACATATTACTGGTCTTGGTAGGTAATAGAGAGACATTGAATAATTATAAGGAGTAGAGTTAAGTAACTAGAGTTGGGCTGTGGAATAAACTTGGTAAATAATTCATATACTAAATTTGAAGGAGTTGTGTTTACAGGCAATAGGGAGACTGGCCAAATGACTATAACCTAGGGGTACTGAGAGGTGAGCTAATGTTAGAAAGATAATATTTCTTTTTGTTTGTTTGTTTTTTGAGACAGGGTCTCACTCTGGTGCCCAGGCTGGAGTGCAGTTGTGCAATCAAGGCTTACTGAAGCCTCAACCTCCCAGGCTCAAGTGATACTTCCACCTCAGCCTCCTGAGTAGTTAGGACTACAGGCATGCGCCATCATGCCTGGCTAACTTTGGTATTTTTGGTAGAGACAGGGTTTCACCATGTTGCCCAGGCTGGTCTTGAGCTCCTGGGCTCAAGTGATCTGCCCACTTTGGCCTCCCAAAGTGCTGGGATTACAGGTATGAGCCACCATGACCTGCCAGAAAGATAGTATTTCAAGACAGAATTCAGATAATTTATTGGATACTAACAATCAAACATAAATAAGTTAAACTACAGCTTCACTCAAATTCTCACTCATACGTGGAAGCTAAAAACATTGATTTCATAAAAGTAGTTTTCAGAGGCTAGGAAGGATAGGAGGGTGAAGAGAGGTTGGTTAATGAATATAAACATACAGTTGGGTAGAAGGAATAAGTTCTGGTGTTTCACAGCACAGTAGAGTGACTATAGTTAACAATAATTTACTGTATATTTCAAAATAACTAGAAGATTTTGAAATATTCTCCACACAAAGATAGGAAACATATTTGAGGTGAGGGATACCCTAAATACTCTGATATGATTATTACACACTGTATGCATGTGTCAGAATATCACATGTACCCCAGAAATCTTTATTATGTATCAATAAAAATAAATAGGAATAGAGACTCAGCTTTTGAGCCTGAATGATAAAAACTAGCACTAACAGAAATAGGAGATACATTTGTAGGATGGCTAAATGTCTAATTCTGAAGTTAGATGTAGTTCTAAATTACCTTGGACAAGAAGCTCAATTTATCTTAACTGCATTATATCACCTGTACAAAGAATATAATCCTTATTTCATTTTATGTTTTGAGATTGAAAGTTAAGGTAAAGCACTAGGTAGTATCATAACTGGGAGACAATAATCATTCAGTAATCTACTTCTTCTGGTAATTATTATTATTGGAAAATTCAGGAAAAGCAATCCCTCAATTGGGGATAATTTGGTTGTAAAGAATAAAATACCACTTAAAAATTCAAGAGACAGTATGATTAATCAAAAACACGTACAGAACTTTCAACAAGCCCAATGACTGCCCCCTAAATTCTATATAAAAGCAAGTGACTGAAGAACAGCAAGAATAAAATCATTCAGCCCAGTATTGCTAATCTGCCTAGGAACTAAACAATCATAAAGAAATTTTTTATCTCTCTCTCTCTTTCATTGTCTTCTCCCTTCTCCTGTTGAAGATTAGCTTCCTTTACAAAGTTTTTATTTCTGTTTCTCTATGAATTTTGTTTGTCTGGAATCCACTCTGTTCCTATCTGTGTATGGACTTACAAATGGAGGGGCCAATACAACCTTATTGGCTCAGTCTATGAATTGTGGTTTTAAATCCCTGGAAATCAGAATTCAGTTTCCCCAACATGTGTCCAGTGTCCATTCTGGCCTAGCAAGCATCTTCCCAGGTATCAGGACTAATGTAGTTAAAAGTTCACCATTCCTGGATATTGCAAGGGGCAGGCTTGCAAAGAAAGGAAAGGTTGGGGGAAGGAAAATAATGGCCATTTTTAGTAGAAGGAATTAATGTAGGATGAGGAAAGATGATGTGTCCATCTTTCACCAGGTCAAGGGTCTTTCAACACATTGAGAAATCAATTTTAAAGCAGCATGTGGAGCTAGAGTTTGGAAAGGATTAGTTCCAAGAATATAGACTGGTGAGTCATCTGCTTAGGAGGTGATAATTGATGCTGCAGAGGAGCTAATGAAAATGCTACAGAAGGAAATAGTACAAGAACAGAACTGTTTGTTTTGGCCAACTTTCTTATGGCCCAGAATCTGATTTCTCGTATTAACTTCATAGGAAACATTTCCATTGACCTCAGTTACCTCAGGGCACAGCCATTTGTATTCTGTTAGCACAGAACACAGTGACAAATCTGAAATAATAAACACAACAGAAAAAATTGGAATCCTGTTTCTTTTTACAACAGGTAAAACAAAACTGCAAAACAGATGAACCAAAGCCAAAATACTCTTATATTCTTTACAAAATTGGTGGAGTCATGCATTTTTGTCATTGCTGGGATGCTGAACAAGCCATCATTGAAATGCACAGTGTCAAAGCTAAGAGGAAAGAATGAAGCCAAGGAGCAGCAACAAAACCTAGTGCATCAAAGTGGCTTATGTGATTGAAAAAGAGCTTGGTGGGCCCAGGTGGTCTACAAGTGGAACCACCCAGCCATCGGAAGCCATAACCAAAAGTGCCCTTAGAGATCATAAAGCTAGGAATCTTCATAGAATTTTAACCCCAAACCTTTCTTCAAACACAGGCTTACTTGCCTTGCCTTTATTACAGATATGAAAAGACAGAGCAGCTATGCTGAAGTGGGAGTGGAGGACCTAGAATAGGTAATCTGTCCTAGTATCTCACCCTAAGTGAATAGTAAGGGGACTTCTCTGAGAAGCAGAAATTAAAAACACTGAGAGTCTGATCCCCTTGGGACCACTGAGGAAAGCCCCCAGGGCTGATATTCAGGAGACCTAGGTACAGATCCTAGCAGTAATGCTGAGCTTCAGATAACCAGCTTCAATTTGTTGTACAAGTAAAACAAATTTTAATCCCAGTTCTGGACCATATTAGTTACATGTTGAGTGCCTAAAATTTCTAATTTTCATGATTATTATTTCTATGTTACATGGGATTATTATGATGATTCAGTAGCAAAAAGTATCATTTTACAGTGCCTAGCATCACAGTAAGCCCTTTGGAAAGGGGAAGTTATAATTCCTCTTACTCCTTGAGCAAGTCACAATATCTTTAGGCTTCAGTTTTCTTGTATTTTGAGAAATCAGGACTAGGTGAACCCAAATCAAAATCTAGAAATCTATGAAGCAAAACTGGAGAAGGTAAATCAGAAAATTCAGTCTTACTTTAATTGCTTTCTTATGGGCCACATACTCTAAAGTTCCTTCTAATGCCTTTGAACTGTATTAGTCTGCCCCTAAATTCCATATAAAAGCAACTGACTGAAGGACAGCAAGAATAAAATCACTCAGCCAGTTCATTTTGAGTGTGTGACCTACTGTGGGTCCAGTAAAAGGAAAATATAAGTATAGGCAAATGTGGTAGGAAAATGAATGTACTGAGATATTGTTTGCAATCTTCCTTATATTTCCCCCTTTACTTCTTCCAAAAATAGCCAGGCTGTTTCTAAAGTGCAGGCCTGAGACACAAAGTTGCTTGACTGTCACATGTGTTTTGTGAGACTGAAGTTCAACAATGAGATTGAATTTATGAATCGGTGTGCGTGGTGGCGGGGGGAATATCCAGTGGTTTTGATTGCGGGGGGGGGGGTTCAGGAATGACAGAGATATTTTCCGCCACATTGATCAAGGGTTAGAGGAGGATACAGTCCATAAGTCACGGAACGCTCTAGCTGCTCATTCTTAACATCCCAAAAAAGGACAGAGCTGGAATTGATGGAGATAGCTAAATAGTGTGCTTCAGGAGACAGGACTCAGAAATGGGGATCCCAGCTTTGTAAAGACTCCCACTTTCTGTGTCCAGGTAGATGCTGTTGTTTCTGCATGCCCAACATCCATTCTTCCTTTTTTTTCTGATAACATTCTTGACTTTCCATCAAAGACTGCTCTCTCCTTCACTTCCTGTTGTTCATACAGAATTATCTATTACTGCTGTTTAATCCAATTAGTGCAGTGAGAGCCAATTAAAGGCACATTTTTTTTTTTTTTTGAAGAGCTACAGAGGTCTTTTATATTCACTAGAAGAACCAGGATGTAAGGATGGGTGCCTGGGATGGCAGGCAGCCAACATTTCACCATGGGGCATGAAACTCATCCAGATATGAAAGACAGGGTCATAACGTTGTTTGAGCACCTTTATCTAGCTGTGTCCTAAGATCAGGCTACTATCCAGGACTTTTCAATAATGTGAAAAATAGTTACTATTTTTGTTTAAGATAGGTTGGATTGGATTTCTGTCACTTGTAAAGCCTTCAGATTTAAGAGTCCCTGAAGGTTTGGTCTATGAGCTTCCCAGCACTGACACAGGTAGACTATATGACATGCTTAATTGCTTTGTGCCCCATGAGACCTCAGATATTAATAAAACTCCAGAAAAGAACCCCCTTCAATACAGTAAAGATTGAATTCCTACCAGTCTCTAAAATAGGGGCTCTGCATAGGGTTATAATCTAAGATAATGAAAATAGAGTATGTGGCTTTTCCTGTACATTCAAAACAATTTTATACAATGTAACATCCACCTCAGCAGCAAACAGTGCCCTCCATAGGAGGTCAGCTACCTTTTACTTGATGGTTTTTGTGGCTTCCCTACAGTTATTGACAAGAGTCACAGCCCAGTTCTTCAGGTACTGACCAATATCAAGGAGGTCAGCTAGCTCTTAGCTGCTCTCACCTTTGCAAGGTTACCCAATTAAAAGAGAATGGCAATATTCAGCTCTGTTTCAGGGCTACTTTAGCAGCAAATGGGAAGTGTTCAGACACTTCAATAGGCTTCATATGCTCCTAATAGAAGACTAAGATCTTTCTTTCTCTTAGGTTAAGGACTGTACTTCAAACTACCTTTCACATCATAGGAGATAAAGCTTATTTACTCGAATAGAATGGTAGAGACTAAGGTACCAAGGACTTGTTCTTGAACAAAAGGTGAATTTTGTTTAAAAAAAAAAAAAAAGAAAAGGATCTAGATTTCTACCAAGCATTAGTTAGAATACTCCACAGTTCTAATTTTCTTTCTTAACTCTGCTTTTCTTTCCTTATGATCATACTTGGCAATCTGGTTATGGAGTGATGATGAATGGCCATTTTATAAAAACATCTGGCTACTCAAGCAATGGCTGACACAGCATAAATTTGTGAAACTGCCTGAAATTTCACCATTGGAAAACCAGCATTTCATGCCAAAATTGTCATCTCTAAATTTCCTCTGTAAAACGCAAATATTATGGGTGGGTCTCTTGCTTTAAATCTTCAATGTTTTCCTACAGATGATAATTTCAGGTTACTTTCTTTCCCAAGTTGAGAAGAGTGTGAGGAAAAGGGTGTACTCAAAGTATAGAAAGAGATCAAAGTAGAATCATTCTAGAGTGTAATTGTCAAACTTCATCTGGATAAAAATTGTAAAATGGGTTGACGCCAGGAAAGTTAGATGCGAAACCAGGAGTTACAATGGCTGCTTCTTGACAACTGCAAGGACGGACTAGAAGGCAAGCTGAATTACCTAAGTGTGCATCTGTTCCTTGAGACTCCAGCTATAAATATTTCATGCTGATATCCAGATTTGAAGACTTTTCTAAGATTTAAATGAAAGCGGCTTTTCCTGTTTTTAATAAATTAAATCAAAGGAGAGGGGTGGAAACTGTATTTAAAAATATTCTCTGTTCAAGCACAGTTCTATATCTACATTGTTGCATTTACTCCTCACTACAATTTTGTAAAGTAGAGGTTATTATCTCATTTCATACCTTAGGCTCAGAAAAATCACATGAGTTTGCAAACATCACAGTCATTGGCAGGCAGAGACAGGATTCATATCCAGGATGCCTGGCTTGAAACTCATATTCCTGGTGCTTCCTCATGTTACCTACTGCAAGGTCAAACATGCTTTCTTATCCTATGAATAGCTTAAGCCAGAAATGCTAATGAGTCTGCCTTACTTTCTCTAACCATTAAGTTTCAGTGATACATGTTTCCACCTGCCAGATACAGTCTCACTGATCCTTGGAGCAGATCTGAGATGATGAACCAACCCTGCCTCATTTTTGTGTCAGTTTGCACTTTTTGGCTAGTGTCACTACAGGAAACGTGTTATAACTTAACTAAATTGCTGATGTTAGTAGGATGCAGGACAAATACCAAATGCCCTTCACAGTTCTCACGTGGGCTTTAGTTTGTCAAGTAAGCGATTTTCATTTAAGAATTTAGAGAAAA
Source organism: Homo sapiens (assembly GCF_000001405.40). Lineage (NCBI taxonomy): Eukaryota > Metazoa > Chordata > Mammalia > Primates > Hominidae > Homo > Homo sapiens. Next base: position 21,401,387 of record NC_000011.10, on the reverse strand, counting down.
ATGCCATTTCATATTTCTCAAAGTAACAAATAAAGTCTTCCCAATTGCTCCTTTTAATTATCTGTTTCTTACATTGTACCTGGATAGCTTTATGGTTTCCAGGAGACTTATATCACCAAGATATATATTTTTCTTCCCAAGGAACTTAGGCTGAAGAACTTATACCATAATTCAATAAAAAAAATCTTATGTTTTCATAGAAAAGACACTTTGTATGTTCTATTAAGATTGTTTTATAGCACGTGGTATTTCAGCTTTAACAGCCAACATTACAGAAAGGGTTGTATAATTTAAAGTAGCAAGAAAGGAATAGAGCCTAAATGGGGTGCTTCTCTTTGCCACATTCTTTCTATAGCTCTGTGACATTCAAATACATACTGTGAAATTTGTCTTTGCTGCCATCACTGGTGTATGAAATGTGTTATTTTCTGTGTAACTGACACAGGCCAGATCAGAGTATCCCCCTTCCCTGGCTCCTCTCTTCCATTCCCTGTCCTCCTATGCCTTCTAAGCCTAGTGCTGTGCCCTGGCACCCTGGCAATGAGCTGTGGACAAGGATCACTAACTATGAAGCAGGTGGGCATACAGAGGGAGAAGAGCCAAATTCAGTACAATCATATAGGATGAATTATGCCAAAGGGTGACGTATTCGTGAAACTGAAATTCTCTTTTATTTGTGGCACAGACAAGACATAAGCGCATGCTGATTTATCTTTTTAATGTAGTCTGGCTTGGGCAGAGCAGAAATGAAAGTTTCTCTAGGCTCAAGAAATGGGTAAAGACATTGAGAACATCACATGTTTATCAACTTTCAAGATTACGTTAAACAGGTAGGAGAACGTGAATATACAAGATGGTAGAATTATGACCCTGGCAGCCTGGAGTTGTGGGTCAAATTCAAAAGTGGAAGTTAAATGGGAATAAATGTAATGTTCCTCACTTCCTGAGAAGCTGTCACATAGCGTTTCCTAATTGGCTCTAAAATAGAGACCTAGGACCAATAGCTGAATTATAAAAAGGCAGATTTCATCAGAAAATAAGAAATGATTATAAACATTTAATAAAATTGGATGCTTCTGTGACAGTTAATTCTTTTCATAGAATGCAAACAACAACAACAGACTAGAATGAATTGATAAGAAAACAAGCTTTTGAGGAGAGTGGGGATGGGGTAGGAAACGCATCAGAGAGGATCTAATATTCATCTTCAATTCTGAGATTCTGGGAAGGATTCTGTGACACAAACTATGGTTTTGTGACGGTTGACTTTCTTGAAGAGTGAAAATTAAGGGAAAAACAGAATTAAAAGTTATTTTAAAGTGGTATACAATCATAGAGTAGTTCACCAATAATGCATAGTATACAGAAATAATCTTTTATATTTGCATACACATCCCATCTATAGATCCTAAACTAGTTAGTAATGCTACATTAAAGTAGCTAGGAGGAAAAATCGACTTTCCCAGGTCAGGGTGTCAGTAATGTTATTTTCTTGAGTTAACATCAGCGTTCTTATCAACTTCCATTATCAACATCATCATTATCTTCCATCAGCAGCATCGCCGTTATTTTCCATCATCGGTATCATAGCTTTCACAAATGAGAGATGTATTGCACAGTAAAAGACAGTAGAGTACAGGCTCTGCAGCTAGATTGCTTAAATTCAAGCCCTAGGTCTGCCGTATTCCACCCATATAAACTTGGGTTAAATTACTTAGTCTCTCTTTGTTTTAGTTCCCTTATCTGTAAAATGGAGAAATTAGTAATATATGCTTAAATCAGCAAACACATGTGAAAGCACTTAAATCTGCATCTGGTATATAATGTTCAATACATTTTGGCTATTATTTTTATTTATATTTTAAAAAATTATTTAGCAATGATTCCCTAACTTGACAGGTGAAGAAGCTAAGAACCAAACATGTTATGAAAGTTGCTTAATGATACACATTAATGTTGAAATAACAATTCAAAGGTGTTCCTGTGTCTGGTCCTAAATCTTATGCATTTCTTGGCTACTTAATTTAAGCTAACACATTGCAATACCTAAATAGCAACTGAAGCGATTGTCAACCACCGACACAACTTGACAAAATGCCTAGATACTAGTAATGAACCCAAACACCCAATTCATTGCTTCCTCCCTACTCATCAGTCACAAAGTTGAATCTACTTGTAGATATACAACTGACCTTAAATTGATATTTTATATTCCATTACCATATTCCATTACCACCCTTGTAATGCTTTATTTTCCTTGGCCCTTTGCAGCTAAACGTCAAGAGAAGTGTTTGGAGATACAGTGGGTTACATCTGCTGAGCTCGTCTAATATTTTTTTTTTCTTTCTTCAGAAGAGACATGGCTGTTCTTACCACCAAAAGACAAATCTGAATATTGTAACAACCATTCTGAGTACTGTCACTAACTGCCACTGAATAACTGGATTACCTGGGAATTGTTAGTTTCAATTAGTTCTATGAAAATCATTGACTGGCTTTAAATTCACTTAAAAGTGTAAAGAACTGGAAGCAAAGAGAAATAGGGAAATGGCCACATGAGGCAGGAATGGAATAGAAATAACCTTTTAAATCAGGAAGATATTAATATGAAGTAAAAACAAAAGTAGATTTTTAAGCATTATACAAAGGAACTTAAAATTCAATTCTGTTCAGAGGCCATTTACTGAGCATCTGCCAGACATTGTAAAGACCAGCTGATCATTGGTAGGAACAGAATCTCTGTTCTAATGAGATCTTGTGCTCCTTCTAACTGCCCTCCTCACTCAAACTCTCTGAGGTCTTATCTGGGCCCTTGCTTTTTTGCCTGGGAAGAGTCTACTTTGATCCTCCTCCTGACTTCATTCTTTCCAAACCTAATTTATGCTCCCTCTTGGATCTTTTTTCTCACCAAGACAAAAGTGTCTACTCCCATGGCTCCAGAAACTTTCTATAAAGCTGGACTCATGCACATTTATGAATCACCCAACAGAAGAGCTGACGGAGTGAATCACACAAGGTTTTCAGATTGCCAGAATAGGAGGAACAATACGTGTCATATTTTTTAATGAACATTTAAAGATACAGAGAGCCTCAGGGGACACACTTTGTACCAACGTTCAGAGAATGATGCTTGGAACTATGGTGCCCATCTATAAAGCCACCTATGGGCATGCCAGTGGAGGACACCACCCTCAGGTGAGTAAGCCAAAAAGTCCTTTATTTTCACTAGTATAATCTCGTTCATAAATTAAAAATGGTTTATGATTCATTAACAAAGTTAAAAAATACAGGTTGATTCTTGGTAATTGCAAATACATATTTTAAATTTATATAATATATAAATATACTATTTTTAATATGTAGATCTTAGTTCATTTAGCCTGATATAACAAAATATCGTAGACTAGGTAGCTTATTTCTCACAATTCTGGCGACAGAAGAGTCCAAGATCAAGGTTCAAGCAGATTCGGTATCTGGTGAGAGCTTTGTCTTCTCACTCTAACCTCACATGGTGGAAGGAAAAGAAGTCTCCCTTGGGCCTCTAATATAAGGGCAGTTGTCACAATTTCAAAGGTCTTTTTAGAAAGGCACTAATCATATCCAAAAGTGACCTATTCACTTCCCAGAGGCCTTATCTTCTAGTACTATCCCTTTGAGGGTGAAAATTTAAACACATACATTTTAGGGAAACATAAACATTCAAACCATATCAAGGTATAATTTTAAATGATTTAAAATGTGATAGAGCACACATGGCTATAAAACCTATTTGTGTAATTATAAAATATTTAATATAGATACATGTTTGTGATATAATTTATATGTGTTTTATATGACTTAAAATAATACAATATGTATTTTTCACTGACAAAAATTTAGAAGTGTACGTACACGGAAATACTAGGTGGAAGTAAATAGAGTAATATACATATTTCCTCTTTTAGTATAAAGACTGAGTAATTTTAATTTTCTTTTTTGCTTTTCCATATTTTCCCATTTTTTACAATAAAAATATACTACTTTTTAAATTAATTTTTTAAATGACAAAAATCAATGGAAGCTTTAAGAGGTACCAAAAAATTATGAATCTATTCATGCCTGATGCTCAGTCTTCACATGTTATATATTAATATGCTAATTATTTAAAGAACAATAAATCATTGATGTACTTTGCATGGCAATAAAAAGTTAGCATAGTCTTTACAGCTATATGATTCCTCGTGTGTCTTATAAAATGCTACAGCCCTGGAAAGAAGAGAACTTTTTGTAAAGAAAGTGATACATTAAAAACTTACTACAAACATAGTTAAGAAGAAACTTTTGACACATTATTTCATGATAGAAAGATGATAATGTCCTCAACTCTGCTACTATTTAATATTTTTCTCATATATACTCCTTAAAATCATCAGGGAAAAGATAGGAACTCATCCCTCTACATCTGATGTTAATACAAATAAGTACAATCCCACCTAGCTTTCAAACCAAATTAGTCAGCTTTACCACAGTGTTACGTACAGTCTCATGCTGCAATTTTTTTTTTATGGCATTCTCTCTGTCTGGAATGTCACTTCTCCAGTTTGAGTTAGATATGTCTAAATCATTCCTTAATGTTCCGTACACATGCCTTTCATTCATGACAATTTTCCTGATCCTTTCTCCAATCCTCAGAAACAGAAGCAATACTTTTTCTAAAACCCTACCAAAGATCTAAACCTCTCATACAGAGTTTATCACTTTTAAATCATGCATTAATAATTATTTATGTGCCTCTCTTATCTCCCCTAATGCTCCTAATATGCACTTGTTTTAAATTATCTTTGTACTTGGCAAGTACTCAGAAACCATTGACGTGACAAACGAATACATGTGGGTTCTGCAATTCATAAATGGCCCTGTGGCCAGATCTTGTATTTCCTTAGTCCTTCCTTTATCAATCTTCTGTCTTGCTGAGATAAAACCTGTGTCTGCTCTTGTGTCTAGCATTCTGAAACCATTTGTTATTCACTAAATTAACCATAGATTCTTTTATATTTTTTGCCACGAGTTTCCTGAGCTTCAACATATTATTTTATATGTGAATGAATTAAGAAATCATATAAATGTGGGTGAATTCAGTTGCTGGCACTGGAAAATTAGAAAATGCTTGCCTTCAAAGCTCCTGTCCTACGAGATTAGTGCCCTGTAGATTTTTTACTTTAGGAGAAAGGTAACAATGTAAGTGATGAGCAAGTTCACAGGGTATGGTTTACTCAATTATTGATGCTTTGATGACAAGGCATTGGGGCAAAAATTCATTTATTTGATGAAGGAAGTTCCATTGCCAGGTATATAGAAGTGAAAACTGCCTCAGCCAGAAGTTGCAACCACTTGCTACTGGAATTGAAGAAGGTATTGACATTTTAAGTCTGCATGAATTGACTTGGTCTCTCTAGGTTACATGTCATCCCAGCTAATGTTGATCTTTTTTTGTTTTTTTGTTTGTTTTATTTTTCTAATCAATAAATTCTCACACTTGGTTGATTTTTTTTGGATTGATGTTGCTTTTTTGTTGTTTTTTTCAGGCTCCATCTTTGAGACACAATCGAGGAGTTTTTTTCAGAGAGGCCAATGTAATTTCCACTGATGTCAAAAAGTAGAATTATGCTTTTAATATTTAATGTTTCTCAAGGTTCTACACTCTGTGGCATAACTTGTGTTATTTCCTGTATACTAGTAAATAATAGAGAAATTACTATTACTAGAATAATAGAAGCGATTCCACTGTATCATGAAGAAATTTCTTTATGATCACCAATGCCATTTTAGTGGGTGAAGTGAGCCTTGGAAACTGAATCATTTAAACAGAAGTTAGAAATATTTCTTAAGTCTTTTGCCCCAGGGACCAAAACAGGACTTTCTTTCCATGTGTTTTATTTGGCCAAATATAGATGTAAAAGTTAGAAGAAACTTGTTATGAGTTCTCTAAAATCATTTCATAATCTGCTTGATCTCTCCCAGAAGGGATACTTGACTTTCCTAAATGTGATTAAGTTTCAGTTCAAACCACCTCACCTTATTACAAACACAGAATTCTTCTTAACTCAGGATCTCATTTGGAGAAGCTTGAGAAATTCTGACTAGTTTCAAAGAGAGGGCAGATATGGTGAGGCTAAAGCTGTCAGTCACCCCAGGCAGCTCTTCTCAGTATTAATCTTCTAGATTTCTCCTTCCTAACTTGTTGCTTTCCAATACAGCTGTCCTTTTTAATCATTTTTCTATTTCTTAATGGTTTTCTGTACACTTTTCATAGGTAATTTGTCCATGCTAGCTATTAACAAATAGAACTGTGAAATTTACTTTCAGTCTCTCAAATCCATTTAATATCCCTTGTATATACCTCTCCAAGATATCCTCATCAATCTAAACAATCACATACTATCTGAGTCCCACTACAATTGGTAGCCTATTAACCTACATATAAGAAACTAGTGATTCTGGCTCCTTCTGGGTAGGAGAACTTGTAGCTCGTGGACAAATATAAAGATTTTCAATGTATATCCTTAACTAAGCTTATAGAATATCTGAATATTCTAGCATGCATAAGTGTTAACTCTTGAAGATGTTAATATTTAAATTTTAAAACATGATGACTCAGGATTCTACCCTTAGTGACACTAGTAGAGACTGACATTATGAAATTATGTAATTTCAGCTATGTGTTTATTAGCTAATGTGTCTCCCTTCCAGAGACCCATCATCAATTAACCCAGATACAATACACACCTCCTTAAGATAATGTTTTTTTTGGAAACTGTAGACAACAAATTCTGTTCACATACTTTATATACAAGGACAATTCTGCTAATAAGAGCTGCATATAAAACATGCCTCTGGGTCCAGTCTGTCTTGGACAAGCCCCTAGAACTCTAAAGAATGGAACACACACACACACGGCCATATATATACACACATATATAGGGCTATATACATACATATATATGTATACATTTATGTGTATATATACCTTACATGAGTTCTGTATATATTATTTATGGTAATATTCTATGAGAGATACTATAACATAGCTGGGGAAAATAAACATATAAATCTTAGAAGCAGGCTCCCTGGGTTTGAATCCTACTGTCCTGTGCTTATTAGCACTTAAAGTTATGTAATTTTCTTACATTTTCTAGGTTTCAGGATTTTTTAAATAGCAAATTGGAGATAAGAATAATGTCTAATCCTATAGGATGAGTGTAAGAAGTAAAGGAGTTAACTTATGTGAAGTACTTGGAGCCATCCTGGCACAGGCAATATACTCAGTAAGTGATTGACCTTTTGCCTATGTGTGCCCTTGCGTATATCTGATTTCCGTTTCTAATAATTACCATTATAACTTCATCCAGTCTGCTCTACTGCCCCCAGGCCTTGGTAGAATTCTAACTACTGATCACATTTTCAAAATTAAAGAAGCTCTTCCAATACCCAGACCTGAGAGGACTTCCCATAGTCAAAGGTACTACCAGAAAAGGATATAAAAGTACCTGCCAATCTTCTCAACCACCTAGCACGTTAACACTAACCACCCATATTTAAAAGTGGAAGTCAACTATTTCATAGTCAGTCATCTTTCAAAAGTTCCCCTCATGCTCTACTGCTCTACCCATCATTTCCCAATCTTAATCTCAGGATATATTAGAGTATTTTCATGAGTTTCTAATCTATCTACTGTACTAGAAAATAAGCACATCTGAGAGTTAGAGCAATGCTTTCCTGTCTTTTTAACACTAGCCAAATGCAGGTCACTAAATCCCTGTTTTTTGACTATTAGGCACAGAACAAATACATTATAAAGTACATTTTATTTAAAAATAACTTTATTTCTATAGTCAGAAAGCTTTGCTCTTATCTAAATAAATTGCTCATCAGCCACAGAATTTTTTTTAGCTTTACTGTTTTCTATTCAGCGTTGTTTGCAGTTTAACTACTTTTTTCATTGAACAAAGTGTATTTAATTGTAATTACCCTTCCCAAATTTAATTTTGCTCTTCTGTGCCCACAGCTATCAAAGCTTTTGACCCCCTGGTCTTTCTACACTATTTCTCAGTTCTCCCTGGTATTTGTAACTTCCACAAAGGACCATCTGCAGATTTAATTAACTTGTTGAATTCTCTTTCCAGATCATTAATGAAGTTGTTAAATAAGACTGATCTCAGAGCTCATCTCTGTGGCATCTTGATGGTCCTTCAACCCCAATTATGCACTATATTTCCCTTTACCATTTCCCATTTCCCCTTATTTACATTCCATTGGTCGTATTTTAAACCATTGAAAGCTCACGTCCAAATCACTTGAAATTATATTTCACATAAAATTTCATGTGAAATAGCTCTTGCTTAAAAAAAAAAAAATTCTGACTTAACTATCTTTAGTGGAATGGCAGTTTATAGTCCCAATTTCCCATAACATCCTGCAAATTTAAAAGAATAATTCAAACATTTAATATCTTAAATAATGCTCTATTGGTCTTTGAAATTAGATAAATACTCTACTTCCAAAGGGGAAATGTCTATCTTTGCAGAAAGTCTCTGTTGATAAATTTTTGTAAAGAGTAAATGTCATGCAGTATAAAATAAAATTGTATTCATTCCATTAACCTTTTTTCTTTGAAAGTGGATGACATTTTATATCATATGACTATCTTTATGGTCAGTTATATTATTATTGTATATAAGTTATCACAATGACCAGGACTTCTTGTGACTTTTTATCTATGGGAAAGAAACAGTTTCAGAACTAAGGGGCTAGCTTTTGGTTAAAGATACTGGCTTAAATAATCATATTTACCCCTACTTTTCCCCTCAAACTCTAACGAGATAATACTAAAGACAAATTATAAAGGATATAAACCCTCTTGGGTAAAGCACACAGGAGAAATGATAAAAGTAACATAATTTTGGAATCTAGAAAAGAGGTGGATGAATGATAACTCACTTAGAAGACAGGAGAAAATGACTCATAGCCTGGAGTGGAGAAAGCCAAGAAGCAACTTATTGCATAGGACTCAGTAATTGGTGGCATCAAGTATCTCTGAAACTATGGGGAACAGTGAAGCTAAAATAGGAAAATTAATTGGAAGCTAGATTAAAAAGCAGTTAGATTCCTCAGAGCTGTTTCCTTACCCCAGCCAGGCTACTGCCTTTCTTTTGCCCCAGCAAACACTAGAGATTTAGTCTCAGCAGAGGGTACCACAAAGGTCAGAACATAGTTGAGAGCAGAAATACTATACTGAGACAGGGGTATTAATTAAAAATTTACAAACTGAATTTTACAATCTTTTGTCTTATTCTTCCGACCTGACTCTCAGAATGCTAGCAATCAAGTTTAATTGCTCCAGAAATTTAATTAATTTATAGGATTGATTTCTAGGAAACAGAAAGACTCTTCCCTACAAGATCTGAATGGTTCAAAAGAATGAACCTAAAATCATTGACATCAGCATCCCACATAGGTAAACTGAGCTTTAAATCAACTTTTCATAAGTGGCACTCTGAAAAATCAGCAGATAACCAAGGACTACTGAATGTTTAAGAAAAGGTGAAGATAAGGGAAAAATGCATGCACCTGTATGTAGTCCCAGTTTCTCCAGAGGTTGAGGTGAGAAGATCACGTGAGCCCGGCTGCAGTGAGCCATTACTGCATTACCGCACTCCAGACTGGGTAGGGTGAGACCCTGTCTCAAAAACATTCAGAAAGCAATAATGAAACAGGGTAGCTACATTGAATGAATAACTCAATTAATTTGGAAGATAATGTTGATGAAATGTCTCCTCCATCACCCCACAAAAAGAAAAAAATAATAATAAAAAGAAAAATATGAAAAGTAAGGCAGAAGTAATAACACAATTAGAAAAGAAATCTGAAAGGTTTGACACCCAAATAATAAGAGTTCCAAAAATAAAGAACAGAGAAGATGTAGGGGACATTTTTTTAAGTCCCAGAAATGAAACCAGGGATTTTTAAGTTGAAAGGTTTTTCAAAGTCTCCAGCCCACTGATTTAACAATAGATGCTCACAAAGCCACATCATCATCAAATTTCCTGAGGATGAAAAAACGGCCACAGTTTCTCAGAGAGAGAAAGGTAGAGTTTATATAAATTAACAAGAATAGGACAATATTAAGTTTCTCAAAAGTTGTACTAAAAAATGTGACAACACACTTAATCCTACAATATTCTGATGAAAAATGTTTTATATAACCTAGAATTCTATACCCGTTCAAACTATCAATTAAGTAGAAAGGAAGAATAAAAACATTTTCAGATGTGCAACATTTGAACAACTTAGTTTCTATGCACCCTTCCTCAAGAAGTTAATTGAAAATCTGTTCTATAAAGATAGGGGTATAATCCAGAAAAGGATAAATACAAAGGATTCAGGAACAGGAGATTCAACAACAAAAAAGAGATGATGTTGAAAAAAAACCTCATGGAAACAGTTGTGTTGTAGACAGAAAGAGCTTCCAGTATAGAATGAAGTGGGCAGAATGTTCTGGAAAAATTTATTTCATGGAATTAACATTATAAAATATCAAATACATGTAAATGTATTGGGAGGACATTATTATTAGCAGAGAATCTGAGGTTGACCCAACATTGAGTGAATGAAAAACTGAACAAACAGCAATAACAAAATTAGGTAATCATTAAATCCAGAGAAAGCAAACATTTGTGTAATAAAGAAGTAATAATAGCCAACTTCATAGCTCACCTATAAATATTGCTTACATATACATAATAAGGTAAACACTGAATACTGATCTAATATACAGAATAGAGAAATGGGAAGTGTTTGGGTGCGTGCGCACGTGTGTGTGTGTGTGTGTGTGTGTGTGTTCATCCACACACACTGTGGATGAGCGGTCGAAAAAAGAACTCCTCATCTTCCATGGTGGGAAGTCAATAGGTAACATCTAAAACTGAAAAAACTCTAGAAATAGTAATGTAAATATATTATTTATTATTATTATTATTATTATCATTGTTATTATAGAGATGGGAAAGAAAATGTTTGACTCTGGAATAGAATAGGAGCAAGGAGCTATAGCCAATCTTATAGAACTATTTGACTTTTTAAAACTTTGTGCTTTCAAAAAGAACAGGTAGCACAATAAATAAAAGGGCCAAATTCTTAAATAGGTACTTTACAAGCCAGTATAACCAAATGATCAATAAGCATATATGTTCCACTAGGTAAGTCATTCAGTGAAGTACAAGTTAAAACTATAATGTAATTACCACACTACCAGTATGGCTAAAATGAAAAAGGCAGGTAATAAGTAAGTACTGACAAAATTACAATGCAATTGGAATTCTCATTTATTGTTATTAGGAATATAAATGGGTATAACAACTTTGGGAAACTGGGCAGTATCTACTAAAACTACACCTAAGCATGCCCAGCAATTCTATTCCTAGATATATAGGTATATAGAAATACATACATATGGTCACCCAAGGACATATACAAGAATAGTTATTGCAGCAAAATAGCCCAAACTGGAAACAACCCATATGTCCAACAATGAAATGGATTAATACATTTTGGGATATCCACAAAATAAAATACTATTCCACAGTGAGAAATAACAAATTACAACCAATTCACAGCATGAATAAATCTTACAAATTTAATGTTGAACAAAAGGATCTGGACACAAACAGGCCTTATAGTCTGATTCGATTTGTACAACATTTAAAAACAGGAAAACTGACCTGGAGTGTTGGAAGCCAGGAGAGTGGTTCCTCTTGGTGTGCTTTTCTATATACATATCATAGTTTTCAAAAGTTTGTTAACTTTTTGTGAGTTTTCCAGACCTGCTTTTCCCTCTTTCTGTACTCTTAGAATTATTTCAAGGCTTGAGAGCAGCCTTAAGGAAGGGAGAGCAGAATGTGACATTTACTAATCCAAAGTTTTACTGAATAATGATTCTGCTAAAGGTTATAAGAATTGAGGAGAGAAAGACAGAGTGACTTAAATTTAAAAGCATAAATTATTTTTCAGGAATACTTTCAACAATGCAGATATTTAATAACTTAGAAAACCAGAAACTGCCTATTTTGCCATAGATGGACATCCCAGTCTCAAACCTAACAAACAGCTGTGTGATTATTAACATGTTACCTCTTTCAAGCCTCAGTTTCCTCACCTATAAGAGAGAATAATAAGGGCATAGATCCTATAATCCATTTAAGTACTACAATGGTGGCTGGCACAGACCCATCTGAAAAATACTAGCTATTGATATATTGATAGACTGAAGAGTATGATAAGGTTCTCTGCTTAGATAACCAGCAAATGGGGGACTAGTAACTATTAAAACATGAAAATACGAGTGTAGTGTTCCTGTCATTGGAATGTACTTACTTGACTTAAAAATAAGTTTTCCTTGAAAAAAAGAAAGATGACAGTGTTCAACCAGGGAAGGATCTATAGGTATACATGAAACTAATTTTAGATGCCTATTCAGAAATTTCCAAACTGTTGGTACAGTAGATATCTGAGAACATCTTTCCGGAAATGTTATTTCCCTCTGGGTTTTAAAATTGTATTTCTCTGGGGATGTATTACACCATACCTTAACATGTGGGGATTTTTTAGGATAATGCATAATTATTCATCCCTGTTGAAGAAAGAGGCATCATTGAGAAGCTCATGTTGCTTTCATTCTACTTCAAGTTCAAAGCTTGGAGCAGTGGAACTGAATGATTCATATTAGAATGAACTTACATGAATTATTTAACCTATATGAATGTATTTCTTTGTGGGTAATACGGGAATTAAACTTACTTGACACTGTTTTGTTGAGATGCTGCAAAGAGAAAATGTCTTTGAAAGTGTCTGTGACTATAAAGAACTATAGAAATATTAGCTATGACTGATAAAATTGTTCTTGTTCTCAAATACAGAAGCTCTAGATAACAGTTTGTACCCTATGACTCTTCACTACCTACTAATTTATATTACCTACTGTTTGCTAATTAGACTTTCTCTAATTTTTATAACAATATTGGGAGATACAGATTGAGAAGTTATATAACTTGATCAAGGTCACATGGTGAGTGGCAAAAAATGCCCAGCTCAAAAAGGCATATTGTGACCCCACTGCCCCGATGTAGAAATGCCCTGTGGCTACAGGTATTACAATGTCATCTTTCTGACACTTTCAATATAAAACCTCCATATTAATGATTTGGCCCAAGAAAAATGAACACCTCTGTAGAAGGAAGGCTGAAGGCAGTATGGCATACCAGAAAAAAAAAAAAACATAGAATTTTAAACACCAGACAAGAATTTAAGTTCCAGCTGTCCCCTTGTTCTTAGCTTTACAAACATAAGCAATTTCTTTAACCTCTTAGCCTCAATTTTCTCATCTGTAAAATCAGGATGATGACAGTAATATAATCCTCATTAAATTGTTATGAGATTTTTTAAAAAGATAATATAGTGCCTGGAAAAATGCACTAGACACTTTAAAGATCTGCACTAATATAAAATATTACTATTATAGCAATCCCTTACAAGGAAGAGTGTATTAACCTAAGAATGATGAAGAAAGTCTCTCAGAATATCGATGTGGTGTAGATGGTATATAGGGTTACTATAGTAACACACTCAGAATTCAGAGTTCAATTGAGAAAAAACACAGAAGATATGAGCTCTTGCAGTTGTCAAAACTTTTGTTGTATTCAGCCTTGCTTTTGTGAGAAGAGTGGTAAAGGAAGTTTTTAAAAGCCTGAGCTTTGAGGCACAAAGAGCTGTTCAAATCACAGCTCTGACACCTCCTAATCCTATAATCTTGTCCGTACTACCTTACCAGTACATAATCTCAGTTTACCCAATAAATTAGAATAATCATTGATTCATTCATTCAATAAATATTTCTTGAGTGCAAACTGAGTTCCAGGGACTGTTCCAAGAGCTGGGCTGTAGCAGCAAACACTGACAAAAAAATCTCTGCATTCATGGTGGGTGACCATCAAGTGGGAGGAAGAGACAATACACAAGATAGATTAGTGATACTTTTAGTGTCTTTAATGGTGAAAAGTGCAATAGAAAAAATGAACAGCAGGGAAATTAGGTGCTATTATCTGGGAGAAGATTCAGTATTGCAATTTTAATGGAATGGTAGAAAATGCCTTACTAATGAGTGACATTTAAATAGAGACCTAAAAGCAGGTTAAGAAATGAATCCTGGATATATATGGAGGAAAAACACCCCAGAAAGAGAGAACACTAGGTGCAAACGCCCTGAGGTATTGCTGATATGTTTAAAACATGGTCGGGGGAAGGGATGTAAAAATATGTGGTGAAATTAGACGAGCAATGTGGGGTGAAGGATGTTGGTCAATGCTCACCTTCTGGATTATGAAGATTAAGTGGCATACATCAATCCTGTAGCACAAAGTCTAGCTTAAATGAAGGTCTAGCCTAAACATTAAATAAGAGCTATGTCGTTTAAATGGTTCCTTCACCATTCTGACTCTAATTTTCAGAGACTAGGGAAGTATTGGTACTGTGAAAGACACTGGGAAAAATATATGTACAAAAATAAATGTAAACATCTCCAAAAGGCGAAGGCATAGAATTTATGGAGAACATACAAGTGAATGCAGTATTTCCACATAGCTGGAGACCAAGCATCTGGAAAAATGTCAGCCTTGCCCTTCAGTGTTAGCATCATTTTACTGAAACAGAGTACCATAATAATTTGCTGACAGTAGATTTAAAAGTGCTTAATAGTGCAGTCCGCAGTTCTTTAACCATTCCAATCAGATGGTCTGCTCCAAAAGAAACTGCTGGGCAATTTAAGAACCAGGAAAATACTATATCTGGCCATGCTTATCTGATCAGGAATGTTCTATGAAAGCCTGCAGCTTTGTCTATGGAAGGAAGTGGGGACTCACTTATCTTCCTGAAATGAACCATCTAGTTTATGAATATCAAGGTTTTTTTAAAAAAAGATGTTAATGCTTCTGTCATTCAGAACATGATACGCAAATCCAACATGTCCTCATTTATGTTTCCTATAATTAACACCTTGGAATGGGAAGAATGGCACCAGCAGGAAAGGAACAAAAGAAAAATAGTGTTTCAGTTTGGAGACACTCTGGGTTAATAATTACTACATAGATTTAGTAATACTTTGAAGGGTTTTTTTTTGGCGGGGGTGGGGGTGATTAGAAAGGGAAGTTAAACAAATGTTGGTTGTAATACAGGGATGGGTGGTAAGAAGAGATGGAAGAGAAAACAAGTAAACATGAAATTAAATGTAATACATTTTATGAAGGAAAAACCAAGTTGATATGGAGTGCACTGGAGGGAACCTAATCTTGAGCAAGGAGTCTGAAAAGTATCTTGGAAGAAAAGCTTACAATCTATGTGAGAAAATAGGAAAAGATGGGGACTGGATATTATGGGAAGGAGAAGGAAACTAGAGAAAGAAAATCCAAAGAGTTCCAGCTAGAGCAATACCATGGACAGAGGCAGATTGTTGCTTTGATAAAATCTGACAATGTTTAGTGCAGGAGGAATATTGATTAAAAGTTAAAATGGAAAAGCTACTCGGAGCGAGTCATTGATGCTACTGTAAGAAGGTTGGTGTTTATAATGAAAGCACTGGAAACCATTTAAGTTTTTTCAGCAGAGAAAACATTTGATTATATTTATATTTTATAAGGATTATACCGGCTGCAATGCCGGAAGAACATTTCTGTGAGGGAGGAGTAAGACTGGGGACTTGAAGACTTGTGTTCTGAAATCATTTCAGGCGTAAAACAAATATGAGTGGTTTATACTAGGAGGTAGGATGGAGGGGAAAAAAAAGATGCACTGTAGTGATTGATTGAATGGAAAAGTGAGGGAGAAGGAGACATCAAGGATAACTCTGGCTACATATGATCCAAAAATATCAGGAATGCAGGCATGTGATTGACGACAATATTTTTTTATCCTTCCCAAGACGTATCATAACAGTATTGTGGCTTTAGAGACTAATACGAAACTAAAAGAGCTTCTTCTTGTTAAATTGTCTGCTTTTTCAGTAAATGTTTCACACAGTTCCTATGTGCTAGGTACTACCCTGGTCTCCGGAAATATAATGGCAAAGACAGAACCCCTGCCCTTCTGGAGTTTATTTTCTGGCTGGGCAGTGAAGCCATACGAAAAGTACTATTGTGTCAGAGAGTGATAAAGGCTCCGAAGAACAATAACACAGCAATGGGAAGGAGGAAATGTATTATTTTAGATAGGGGTCAGGGCCTGTCTGAGGAGGTAATGCTTGTGCAGAAACGTTTTTCATAGGAGGGAGGCGACAGTGAAAATATCTGAGGGAAGAACATTCCAAGCAAACAAAGCAGTAAGGAAAATATGATGTGAGTTAGTTGAAAGTAAATACATTAAAAAATTGTAATAAAATAATTTTTAAAAAGTAAGGAAAACATAACTGACATGTTTTATGAAAATGAAGAAGACATTGGAACCAACCCAAATGTCCAACAATGATAGACTGGATTAAGAAAATGTGTCACATATACACCATGGAATACTATGCAGCCATAAAAAATGATGAGTTCATGTCCTTTGTAGGGACATGGATGAAAATGGAAATCATCATTCTCAGTAAACTATCGCAAGAACAAAAAACCAAACACCGCATATTCTCACTCATAGGTGGGAATTGAACAATGAAAACACAAGGACACAGGAAGGGGAACATCACACTCTGGGGACTGTTGTGGGGTGGGGAGAGGCGGGAGGGATAGCACTGGGAGATATACCTAATGCTAGATGACGAGTTAGTGGGTGCAGCGCACCAGCATGGCACATGTATACCTATGTAACTAACCTGCACATTTTGCACATGTACCCTAAAACTTAAAGTATAATAATAAATAAATAAATGTAAAAAAAAAAGAAAATCAAGAAGACAATTATGGCCAGAAAAAGGGGATAAAAAGTGAGGGAGAGCACAGTGAATGGTGAGGACAAACAAATTTAATAGGCAGGTGGGCCCAGAGTAACTAGGGCCTTATAGGCCATTGTAATAATTTTGACTTTTACGCAGTGAAAATGGGGAGCTATAAAGAATGTGAAGCAGAGGAATGACAAGATATAACTTAGGTTTCAATAATGTCCCCTTGGCTACTATGTTAAAAAGAGACTACAGGTGCATAACAGTGGAAGGAGGATGAGTTAGAGGTTTTATGCCATCATCTAGATTAGAGATGATGATGTTGTCATGTAAAAGGGTGATAGCAGTGGAGATCATATGAAGTTGGGATTTAAGATATATTTTAAAAGTTAAGCCAAAGAATTTGAATGTGCAGTGCAAAATAAAGAAATCACAGATGATTTCAAGACCTCAGCCCAGAGAATGTGAAAGATTATAGTTTGCCATCAAATATAATGAAAGAAGACTTAGAAGAAGCAATATGAGTCTATGGCCATACCACCCTTAACATGCCCGATCTTGTCTGATCTTGAGAAGCCAAAGGGTCGGGCCTGGTTGGTACTGATTAGTTAGTAATATTGGGTATTGTAAAAAAAGCATTTTGAGGGGGGAAAATCAGGACTATTCTGGATTACTGGAAACACTCAATAACTAATTTTTCTATTCTTTTTATTAATATCATACTTATGTATAAATATATATACAGATATATTTATATATATATATACATATATAAATCTGTAGGTGTGTAATAGTCAGAAAGAGTATTCCAAACAAAAGCTCAGAGGTTTGAAAAATTAAGGTGCATTTCAGTGACTTGAAGTAGTTTAGAATGGGCTGCAGTTTAAGATTTCTTTAAGGAGAAGTAGGAGATAAAGCTGGAGAGGTAGGAAGAGGCCCAATTATGGAAGTCTTTAGATATTATGTAAGTTGGACTTTATCTTTTAAGCACTGAGGAGGTCCTGAAGTGTTTTTCTTAGTAAGATATTCTTTAATAAAATAATCTTCCAGGATCTCCCCTCATGGACTCAACCTATTTAGCTGAAATTGCTGCCACCCATAGATAACTTCAAGGTCTCTCTTAAACTGGAAAATGCTTTAAAACCACGTTAGCCCAAAAAAACCGAATACTGCTTATCGTTTCAGACACTACCATAATAAATGCATAGACCTTGCTGTTTGATTAATCAATTCATCATACTTTGTATCTAAGTGAATATTTTCAGGAACTACTTTTTCTGATCATTCAGTCAGTCCTACTAGGAGCAAATGATGCAAATCATAAGAGTTACATTCCTTCTGAGTTAGGCTATTGGCTTCAATTAGCCTTTTTCCACATGATTTACAGTGCAGTGCATATTCTTGGATACAAAGACTTATGGCTAGTTACTAGGGAAAGTTTGTAACTTCTGGGCTCCAGTTGCTCACGGTTTCACAGAAAGCTAGATTTTCTTCCTATTTATCCTTTGTGTTTAAAGTTACAGTGGTGTTTGTATTTCCCAGGATATAGGATTAAAAATGAGGATATGAACCAAACTCTTGACTTTCACAGTTCAGTAGTGTGTGCTTGCTTGGTGAGAAGCAGGATCTGCTTGTCATTTAGTCAAGAATTATTTTCTGCATTACTAAATAGGCAAGGTAATCTCTAACAGCTTTTATTTATTTGACAGAGAATGCCAATCTATTTAAAAGACTAGCTCCCTTCATTAATGGTAAAGTTACAAAGGGCCCTATGGAAAGGTGGACTGACAAAGCTATTTGAAATAGACCAAAATTTCTATTCTATTCTTGTTAATGACATTTCTTCCCCCATTCTTGATATAATATACTTTAACTTAGGTGTCTTTTCAATAAGGTTTGAATTGAAGTGATTACAACTTGAGATCTATAAAATCAAAAGAATGGACCATGTGAAATTGAGGGTCCTTGTCTATACTTATTCATTTATTCATTTATCAAATGTTTACTGAATTCAAATGTAATGTAACAAGATATAAAAATCTGATTTTTCCCATGCCAGAGTTTTGATAGACAATAATGTAATAGTTGTTAAGGATTTCTACGTCCCAAAGTTGGGTACTAAACTATGTTTGCAACACTTGTAAAAATCAGTTGTGCCTGCATTAACCATTAGTCACCTTCCACATATTTGGATGATTACTCCCATTTTACATGGAAAAGCTGAGGTTGTCCCTATTCACATTGCTGATGAGTAGTGGAATCGGAGAATAGAATCCAGGTTTCCTGATGCCAAATTGAGAATTAGAATGTTTGCCTTTCTTCAATTTGAGGAATCAACGAAGAACTAAGAAAATATTTGTAGAAGGATAAGTGGGTAGCCTTTTGAATGAGATCTCAACTCTTCCTATGTACAGAGTCACCCATGCTATCAATAATACAGTGAGAACTTGCTGTTAAATCTTCAATTTTAACTCCAAGAGATGAGAAGTAAACAATAGCAAAAAAAAAAAAAAAAAAAAAAAAAAAAAATCCCTTCCAGGGACCATACCCAAGTTAAACATGCCACTATTCCAGGTGCTGAATCAGCTCAGTCTTTCCCCAGAGCAGAACTCTGTTGCATAAATTAACTTTTGTTAGCTTGATAAGATGTTACATAAAATGTTTGTGGGAACAGAGAGAATAGAGCTGGAAAGATGATACAAATAAAATCACTTTACACTTGAATTGTACAGTGAGAGGTTGTAAGAACTGATAGAAGAATGAGAGAGACTTCAGTAGCAAAAGATAAATATAAGACATGGCTTTACTGTTTACCTGCTGAGTATCCTTGGGCAAGCAGCCTATTATTTCTGAGTCTCAATTTTATCCCCTGGTTAATTAAAGTTATCACTAGCTACAATTTCTAGACACTGTGTTCCAGGCTTTCTACCAGGTATTTTAAGTACAATATCTCATTTAATCTCACAATAAAATTATGAAGTAAGTAATATCAACATCTCTTTTCTTTTTTTAGTGGCAAACCGACACTTAGAAACGTTAAGTAAATCTGATCCAGTGTTACAGAGCTGGGTAAATAGTGGCAGCTTAACTAAAACTAAGGTAGTGTGACTTCAGAGATTGTGCTCTTCACCCCTTTTTTGTTTACTCTTTTCCTGTCTTAGGCACAAAAATGTTGAAAGGAATATGTAAAACAATGCAAATGATCAAATAAGAGATTATGGCTCATTACTCACAGGAAAACATAATTTACTTTACCTCCTGTATAATCTGTTAAGTTTAATTGCCCTTGGGCACAGACAAAATGATCACGAGGTAGCAGATTATAAAGCAAAGTGTATGAAATTTGGATTCAGCAATACACGGGTTAGAATCTCAACTTGACTACTGACTGGCTGAATGACACTTATACATGTCCTCATATATGTCCAAAAGGATAAAAGTAACTCCCTCACAGGAAATAATAAATGCAAAATTTGGGGCTTACAATAGATGTATAGTAGATTAATGTAAATTTCACTTCACAGAGGCAGATTTAGTATCAAAACTCAGGCCTCTGATCATCAATACAGTACTCTTTTCAGTATACTAGACTGCATCTTTATTTTCTCGTCCAAATTCTTGTTTGTGAAAAAAAGGCATTGATGTTTCCAGTTAATTGAAATGACTTGAAAATGTGCTGTTTGTCTGGACAATGAGAGTAAAAACAGCTGGAGATATTTTTCCATATGTCTGCAACCTGGAAAGATGAAAATCCTTGCAGGATCAAGGACAGGGTTGTGAAATAGCTTCAAGTGACTCTAAGAACTGTGTGTCAACCCCATTTTTCATCCAAGGGAAGTATGCTGGATCTTTAGCAGAGATGTCATTCAAGAAAGAAGAAAAACATTGAGTGGGTAGAACTGAAGAGATGAAAGGGGTTACTGAACAGGGCAAGACTTCTCAGCTGCTCCAAACATGATCACATTCTCTCAGTCTTAGCAGGTTTAAGCTCCTCTCATCTTCTAGTTTGATGCCTCTCTTCTGCCATTCTTAATTTCTGGAAACATCCAGGACAGGAAATTCTTCAAACCATATTCACATTTACCTGACTTTAATAGAATTTTAAAAGAGCATTTGCAACCCTCCTTTTACTAGTGGGTTTAACTAAATGGGCAATGCAGAGAAACCTCAAATCCTCATATTTCTCTTTTTCAATGATGCCATAGAAGCCCTGCTTACTCCTTTCTGAGCATCAGGCACAAGAAAAGAAGCAACGTTGATGATAGAAGTTGCCATTTACTGAGCAAGTAATCATGTGCCAGACAACCTGAGAAAGCTCAAATTGAGAAAAGTTAAATAATTCTCCTGTCTGCTATGGATGTAAAGATGTACTTTTGCATTCATTCTCCCCCCAGATGCCCTTGCCACAGTCCTGTGATAACTGGAGAGGAAATAGAATAAATATTGTATTCTCTGTTATGGGAGGGGAATAAGTATTCACCTTCTTAAAAATTCTTAAAATCTCCCCCAGTAACAGGGATGGGTAAAGCAGTTACCAATAGATGGATGCTGATAGGGATCTCTCAAAATACAGGCAAGATATAAAATATGAAAGAGCACAGAAGTCTTTGTTTCTGATCATTCTTTTTACCTGGTAAATTGACAATATACTTCAGGCAAACTATTACTCTCTGTCTACATACCTGCAAGTCCGCGGGGCACAGAAAAGAGAGTAGAATAAATTTTTCTGCAAAATTTTTCCTTTAGAAAAGGTTCAAAAAATCACAAGTAACTAAGAAAAATTTTGACTGTTATGTTCTCTTTATTTTAAGCTTTTAAAAATCATTTGTTATTACAAACATAATTTAAATGTATTATTTTGAAAATTGGAAAATCATATAAGCAAAACAGGAGAAAATCACTCAAAATTATATTGTGAATGAACAAAGCTGTTCAAAGTTGTTTGCTTTTTACCGATATCCCTAAATATTCTTGATCAGATACTTACTATATTTCAAAAACACTTGGATACTGTGAGAGGTTCAAAGCTTATGAGAGTTTATTTAATAATAGTTACAGTAAATGAACCTATTTCTGAACAAATGTGGAGGAGAAAGTCAAGGTCTGCTATTTTTATAGCATCAGCATATTTTTTCCAATTATTTTATACTAGACTGTGTTCTAGCCTACAACTTGGGTAGTTGTGTCCAGTTCTCAGTCTGATTCACAAATCACTGGTTATAGATACCTGATATCTACACAATTGTATTTATACACTCTATAATTCATATAATATACAATGTGGAAATGTAGTATAATTGGCAGGCTTGTCTGTACCACTATAAATAAATAACTTGATTTACAGCCCAGTCCAATTTCCTACCAAAAAAACTGATTAATTGAGTGGCTTTGTAATACAGAAAGCATTTCAGTGCAAATTCTCCTTAAAATGTACAAGTGTTGGCCGGGCACACTTTGGGAGGCTGAGGCAGGTGGATCTCATTAGGCCAGGAGTTTGAGACCCTCCTGACCAACATGGCAAAACCCCATCTCTACTAAAAATACAAAAATTAGCTGGGTGTGGTGGAGAACATCTGTAATCCCAGCTACTCGGGAGGCTGAGGCACAAGAATCGCTTGAACCCAGGAGGTGGAGGATGCTGTGAGCCAAGATCACATCACTGCACTCCAGCCAGGGCGATGGAGTGAGACTCTGTCTCAAAAAAAAAAAAAAAAAATGTACAAGTGTGTGTGTCTAAGTCTTACACCATAAGAGAAATTCTTTCATTATTACATACATTTAAATTTTTCTTCTAAGAAAGAGGATAAGTATACTATCTTCCTTTAGGAGAACACAAGGTTTGGAGTCACATGTTCCTTGGGTGGAGTTGGAGAATCATGTTTATTCCACCATTGAGAGAGGGTGAACATAGAGTAGGCTGAGTTTCCATACCAACCTGGTTCCTAAGACTGTAAGAAGGTGTGCCTCTCATAGCACATGATGGATATCATCCAGTCTCTGGCTCTTGAATGGTTAAGCATTTTCTAATCACAGTAAACCCTAAGTACTTCTAAAAATGTTCAAGAGATTATTAAGTGTTTTTCTTGTCAAAAAAAGCTTATAATTTTCATATTATTATCAAATAACACTGAGACATGATTATCTATAATATATATATATATATATATACATATATATGCATATTTTTTAAAAAGACTTTTTAAAATGCTACATCTAGACCACGAGTTCTTAATGGGATGAAATTTTGTCTCCCAGGGGATATTTGGCAACGTCTGGAGAATTTTTCCTTAATTTTACTAGAGACTTTTTAAAAGCTTTATTTAATTTTGAATGCTCTCACCACAAAGAAACGACAAAGGTTTAAGGTGATAGGTATGAAAACATTTTTGATGGTCACAGCTGGAGGTGTACTGCTAATTACATTTCATGGATAAAGTCCAGGGATGATGTTAAACATCCTACAATGCATAAGACAGCCCTCCACAATAAAGAATTATCTGAACTAAAATGTCAATAGTGTCTTCTAGGTTAAGAAATCCTGATCTATGACATTACAACCAGATCCCACAGAAATACAAAAGATCCGCACAGGCTATTATGAACACCACTACATACACAAACTAGCAAATCTAGAGGAAATGGATGAATTCCTGGAAACACATTATCTCCCAATACTGAATCAGAGAGAAATTGAAATGCTGAATAGACCAATATCAAGTTCCAAAACTGAATTTATAATAAAATTCTACCATGCAAAAATGCCCTGGACCAGATGGATTCACAGTCAAATTCTACTAGACATACAAAGAGCTGACCAATTCTACTAAAACTATTCCAAAAAATCAAAAAAAGGGACTCTTCCCTAACTCATTCTACAAAGACAGCATCACCCTAATAGCAAAACCTGACAAAGGTACAATGATAAAAGAAAACTAAAGGCCATTGTGCCTGATGAACA
Source organism: Homo sapiens (assembly GCF_000001405.40). NCBI lineage: Eukaryota > Metazoa > Chordata > Mammalia > Primates > Hominidae > Homo > Homo sapiens. The sequence goes on along the minus strand of NC_000011.10, from coordinate 21,377,475 downwards.
TAGCTGCAAAAATTCTCAATAAAATACTAGCAAACTGCATTCAACAGGATATGAAAAAGTTAACTCACCATGATGAGATAAGCTTCATTCCTGGGATGTGAAGTTGGTTCAACAAATACAAATCAATAAATGTTATTCAATACATAAACAGAATTAAAAATGAAAACCATATGATTATCTCCATAGATGCAGAAAATGCTTTTGATAAAATCCAATATCTCTTCATGATGAAAACTCTCAACAGACTAGCCATTGTAGGAACACACCTCAAAATAATAGGAGCCATCTATGACAAATCCACAGCCAACATCATACTGAATGGGCAAAAACTGGAAGCATTCCCCTTGAGAACTGGAACAAGACAAAGATATTCACTCTCACCACTCCTATTCAACATAGTATTGGAGGTGCTAACCAGAGCAATATGGCAAGAGGAAGAAATAAAAGGCAACCTATTAGGAAAAGAAGAAGTCAAACTGTCTCTCTCCATGCACAATACAATCCTATATCTAGAAAGTCCTAAAGACTACCAAAAGGCTTCTGGAGTTGATAAATGACTTCAGTAAAGTTTCAGGATAGAAAATCAATGTATAAAAATTAGTATCATTTCTATACACCAATAACGTTCAAACTGACAGCCAAATCAAGAACACAATTCCATTTACAATAGCCACACAAAAATATACCTCGAAATACATCTAACCAAGGAGGTGAAATACTTCTACAAGGAGAACTACAAAGCACTGCTATAATAAATCATAGATGACACAAACAAATGGAAAAACATTCCATGCTCATGGATTGGAAGAATCAATATCATTAAAATGGCCATACTGCCCAAAGCAACCTACAAAATTCAGTGTTTTTCCTATCAAACTGCTGATACAAGTTTTCACTGAACCAGAAAAAAATATTCTAAAATTCATTTGGAACCGAAACAAAAAGACTGCATAGCAAAGCAATGCTAAGCATAAGGAACAAAGCTAGAGGCATCACACACTACCTGACAACAAACTATATTATATGGCTACAATAACCAAAACAGCATGGTACTTGTAAAAAAAGACAGAGAGACCAATGGAACAGAACAGAGAACCCAGAAATAAAGCTGCACACCCACAGCCATCTGATCTTCAATAAAGTTGACAAAAATAAGCAGTGGGAAAAAGACTCCCTATTCAATAAATGGTGCTGAGATAGCTGGCTAGCCATATGCACAAGAATAAAACTGGACTCCTACCTTTCACCATATACAAAAAATTAACTCAAGATGGATTAAAGAATTAAATATAAGACCTCAAACTGTAGAATCCTATAAAAAAATCTAGAAAACACCACTATGGACATCAGCCTTAGGAAAGAATTTATGCCTAACTCTTCATAAGCAATTGCAACAAAAACAAAAATTGACAAGTAGGACTTAATTCAACTAAAGAGCTTCTTCACAGCAAAATAAACTATCAACAGAGTAAGCAGACAACCTACAGAATGGGAGAAAATCTTCACAAACTATGCTTCCAACAAAGGCCTAATATTCAGAATATATAAGGAACATAAGCAATTCAACAAGCAAAAACAGATAACTCCATTGACAAGAGACATGAACAAACACTTCTCAAAAGATGACAGACATACAAGCAGCCAACAAATATATAAAATAATGCTCAACATTACTAATCATTGGAGAAATAAAAATCAAAATCACAGTGAAATACCATCTCACACCAGTCAGAATGGCTATTATTAAAAAGTCAAAAAACAACAGATGCTGGTGAGGCTGCAGAGAAAAGGGAACACTTATACATTGTTGGTGGGAATGTAAATTAGTTTAGCTACTGTGTAAAGCAGTTTGGAGATATCTCAAAGAACTTAAAACTACTATTTGATCCAGCAATCCCATTACTGTATATATACCCAAAATAAAACAAATCTTTCTACCAAAAAGACACATGCACTCACATGTTCGTTGCAGCACTATTCACAGTAGACATTCACAAATATATAGAATCAATCTAAGTGCTCAATAGTGGAGTGGATAAAGAAAATATGGTACATATACACCATGGAATACTAAACAGTAATAAAAGAATGAAATCATGTCCTTTGCAGACACATGGATGAAATTGGAAGCCATTATTTTAAGTCAATTAACACAGGAACAGAAAACCAAGTACCTCATGTTCTCACTAATAAGTGGGAGCGAAGCATTAGGTAAATATGGACATAAAGATGGCGATGATAGAAACTGGGAACGACTAGAGTGGGAAAGGAGGGGGCAAAGGCTGAAAAACTAACTATTGAGTACTGTTCTCAGTACCTAAGTGACAGGATTACTCATCCTATATCTAGGATTTTATTGCATCATGCAGTATACACAGGTGAGAAACCTGTTCATGTAACTCCTGAATCTAAAATAAAAGTTGAAAAAAGGATTAAGAACACACATTAGGATCAACCTACATTCACATCCATAAACTCCTGCCTTCTTCCTTCTTCTCTGTTTGGATGTGCAAGTCCACACCTGCATGTGCACACACAGAAGACCATACACACACACACACACACACACACACACACACACACACACAGACACACACAGTCAGTTCCACACAGCCTGGTAGCTGAATCCCAGTTTGTGGCTGTTCAACGTCAGATAAGTAAACAATATATCCTGTTCCATGATCAAGAGTACAAGATGTAGGGAGTCAAAGACTAAAACCAGAAAATTTCAAGGGAAGTTTGAGAGGTATGGAAAAGGTTCCAAAGCAAGGAGTTTAAAATCAGAGCCAAGGTTTGAGAATAAGTAACAGGGTTCACAGTGTGGTGGTTTTAAAATATGCCCACAAATACTTTGACAATCGTTTTTTTAAGAGGTGGTGCCTCATTCCTCTCTCCTTGAGTGTGGGCTAGAGTGAGTCTCCTCTAAGGAACAGAACGTGGCCAACGTGAACAGCATTTGATTGAGTCACAAAAAGCATTACAGCTTCCTCCTTGCTTTCACTCTCTTTCTCATCACTTGACGTGCAGGATTCCAGTGGCCATGTTATAAGGCCTCTCACGTAGCCTGTGGAGAGGCCCACAAAATGAAAAACTGAGGCCTCCTGCCAATCGCCACATGAGTGAGCCATCTTGGAAACAGACTCCCCAACCTTCAGACAATCACTGGCCCAGTCAACATCTTGACTGCAATCTCATAAAAGTCCCTGAGCTAGAACCACTCAGCTAAGCTGCTCTCAAATTTCAAACCATAGAAACTATGAGATAATAAACATTTGTTGTTTAAAGCCACTAAAAAAAAATAGAAAAAAGTACCAAATAGAAAACTTAGTCTTACATACTTCTTAGAGGGTGATTTTCTGCTGTTTTGTGGCAGTTAACATATCTCTGGATTTAGTGTAGCTCTTTGATTTTACATGTGAAAATTCTCTAGGAGGACTTTGTGTTGTTTCATGCTGTTTTGTAGGTGGCTACATTACATCCGTGTGGCATTCTGTCCTTTTAGTTCTTAGCCAGGTTGAGAAGAGAGCATTCACCAGCAGCCCTTTTCCATCCTAAGAGTGGCAAAACTACTCCTCTTACTGATTCTTCACTCATCTTTCTCTTTACACATCTCCATGCTAATTGTAAAACCAAATCAAACTAAGCACACAGAGAAGGAAGTTGAAGGGTAGGAGAAGAACTAGAATTATACGTTGTTTAGAAACCAAAGGAGGCAAAGTGTTTGCTTAAGGGGGGTTATGAAAAGTTTAAGGTTACTGAAATGTCATCAATGGAAAGTAAATGCAGAGTTGTTCATCTGTGTGTTACATACCAAACACAAGTGGGATTATTAACATCAGACAGGAATTTTCTTTAACAAATTATTTAACTGATTTTACTAAGTGTACTTGAATTTTGAAAGGCTGAATATTGCAAGCAATGAATAAAACCAGTAACTAGGGGGATAAGAGAACATGCTTCAGACTAAACATAAGTGGATTCTATATAGCTCAAATGGGACCATTTACTTAGTCTTAAAATTAAAACAAATCAAATGAAAGATTTAGTGTAATCATGCCACAAGACATTCACAATTCATTTGCATTTTTCCTTTGGCACTATGAGTCTCAAGGCATCTAGCACAACTATTTGAAGGCAAATAGACTTATTTAATGTTTATTGCTAATGATCAACATGACAAAATAACTCAGACAAGATAATGGCACAGATTTTCAGTGTTTAGCCTATAATTTATTTAGATCCCTTGCACACAACTGACTGAAAACTATGTACTCTATTCATTCCATGAAAAATCTGATAGAATTTGAGTATTGGCCAATATTAAGTGGAATGACTTTGCTACAGATGAAGTATAGCATTAAATGCAGAGAAATCTTGTTTTATTGTATTTTTTCCCTTTATGATGACTGTGCAAGAGTTCAAGAATATGCAATTCTCCATGTCAACTTTAATATTTACATAGGGACCCATGCTTGCCTATCTCTGTCTAACTTTTTCCCTGGTCTTGATTTTCTCCTTTATATTTTTCTGACTTCACATTACAAACCAGACTGTAAGCACTGATGCAATCACCCACTTACTCAGCAGAGAAAAGGACAAAGGACAAATCAAGAAGGCATGAGACACCATAATCAATTCCTCCTGGTCTGCTACTGATCACAGGCCCTGGTCTAAGGTAATGTTTCCCTCCAGTTATTTCTAATGTAAAAAAATAAGAATGTTACAGTAGTTGCTATGGTTAAATATCCTGAGGTGCTTGGTGAAAATGCAGATTCGTGAAACCACCCCCTGATATTCCATCTAGTTTGGAGAGGTGGCCCAAGAATATGTATTTTAATAAAAAATCCATCTAGTATCCTTGAAAAACCCATGCAAGGTTTGATAACACAGGCTTTGTGAGATACAACTGTGTTTTATTCTCAGTTCTAATAATTGCATAAGTTACTTACACCAGCTAAATTTTAGTTTGATTACATATAAGAGTAATAATATCTAACTCCTTTGTTTAATCTTAAAATATTCATTTAAAAATCCTAACAATTATTGCAAATAAATGACATATCATTAGTAGTAGTATTCATGATTATTGGCATCATTATTACCATTCTTTCCCCATTAATTCTGTGTATTCAGTTTAGGGAAATACAGCAGTTCTACAGGAAGCAGTAAGAATCTTTTAGTTTTTGTTTTTTTTTTCATTTTAAAAAACCTACTTAAAATTAAATGTAGTTCAGTAAAGACATGTGTCCTAAGCTACCCTTAAGTTTCTTTGCTTTTAGCAAGAATTCTTTAGCTCTATGTGGTAATTCTCTTGCGCTGCGCAAAGGTAGTACATGGTTCTTTCATATGTTTTTTTTAAGAAAAAACAGTTATTATTTGTTATATTTTTATTTGTTGATAATGTCACAAAATATAGAAACAGTGGTGCAAATATTGTTCACTGACTTCCTTACTGAACAATTTTAGTTACCTTTTGGCATGTCTTTAAAAGGATTAGACTGCCTCATAAATATACAGGCAGTGCAATATAACAGGTTGGTCAGGGTGAGAAATAATAAATGGGCACATAAAAAAATGTTATCTAAATTCAGAAGCTTCTAAACATGAAGGAAAGGAAACAAGAACTTTGCTTATATCTCTGGCACCAGATGAAGACACCTCCCCCGTCATGTAATAGTAAGGATAATAAATGCGACATCCTATTTCCATTTTTCTGTGCTATGATATGAAAAGCAGTAAGTGTGACATTCCAGAGCCAGAACAAAAACACAATGCAGTGATTTTACCCTAACAAAACACATGGAAGAACAAACTGAAATATTCACTTTTACGTGTCATAAACCCCTTGTTTGCACTGACACATACATTGGCATTGAACATCAAATTTCACTTATACACAAATAGGAGGGCTTCTCCAATCAATAAGAGTTGGATTTCACCAAACAGTGCCAAATGTAAACACAACATTTATTGCAAATAGAAAGTTGCACATAATGTAATCTTACTTACGCTAATTGGCTTATATTATCAGGTCTATGAATGATAATGTTCCTAATAAACCAATATTAGAATAAAATCTCAAGCACACCAATAAACCTGCTGCTGGAATTATTTAATGTGGTTTTACGCAAGGAGCATGTGCTGCTAATTTAGATTCCGTTGACACAGCAGATTGTTATAATTCTAATAACTGTGTGTGATGCTACCCAGTAGATGATAAGTGAGGCAGGTCAGTTCATCAGGCTTTATCTCTAATTAGCACTAAAAATGCACACTGAGCTATAGCAGAGAAAATACTTGACCTTGCTAAAATTAAATCGTTGGAGGGAAGGCGAATGAAGCTCTATTTTCAGAGAGTGGGAGGCTTTTAAGCAAGGTACCCACTTTGGGAGAGCTCCATCCACCGTCACAACACAATGTATCAAGTCAACCCACAGTATTATTTCTAAAGAAAGAGCTGTTATTCTTTCTGAATCAATCTTTCTACCAATCTTTGTCCCTATCCCCCATAAAACAAGCTAGATTACCTTTCTCGCAGTGGCTTCCTGTGAATCCAGATGGACAGACACATTTGTTGGGAGCCACACACGTTCCACCGTATCTGCAGCCCTCTTCACAGAAAGCTGTTGCAAGAGAACAAAGTATTTATCTTAGATAAAATGCAATAGATAAATTCACGGTAAACAGCAGGAGCACTGAAGCAATTCTTTCTTTGTTGCATAGGGAATACACATCTGTATTGATACATTTAAAAATTCCATACAGAAAAAGAAATAAATGTAATAATACCTATTTCACTGGTTTATATGAAATCAACTGAAATAACAGATGTAAAATGTTTAGCATAGGGCTGGCATGCGCTAAATGGTAGCTAGTAGTAACCGCTATAACTTTTACTCTCATTTATACATTTGAAATCAAATAGAATAAATTGAGTAACTAGGAAGGGTAGGGTCAGGATGAAGGTAAAGGCCTTTCTAATGTTCACTATTTTGTAACCTAATCTTTTCCACTATACATCTCTTATGACAATAAAAACTTTTATGTTCTTTAAAAAAGATTTCTGATAGTCCATATAGCTTAATATTTATAATATAAATGTAACTAATCATTTACATTTGAATATATAAGCTGTTTCCAATATTTTGGTAATAAAAACAATGCCTTGTCTTAATAGCTAAAATGCTTAGCACAACCTGAACTATTCCTTTATGAAAAATGCCTCAGTGTGGAAATGCTGGTCCCAAGGGTATGGATTTTTAGGTTTTCTTGATAAGCATTGCAAAGCTATTCTTACTCCTTCCCAGTGCTATGCTGTCAGCCTTCCCAGACCAGGTTAGTTCCCGTTAGTACATACTTGCATAGCATAAAATAGCTCCATGAACCTCTCCATTGCAATAGTAAATACAATTGTAAATTTACATATAATTTATTACCATCCCCTGCTTTATCAACTGAACTGTAAGACCCATAAGAATAAGTAGCATAATTGTTTTTACTCACCACTGTATTGTAGCCTCAGTATGTATTCACATAGCAGATGCTCAAAACTGATTTGTTAGATGAATTAATCTACATTTTACAGGTTGTTCTGATAGTAAAACTCTCATTCTAACAATTCTGCAACTCTTCCATCCAGTTAATTTAATATCAAACCTTGCTGGATAACCAAGAATTTAGAGTACTAAACGTGCAAAATTTCTCATTAATGAAGATATTGCAACTGTTAACCCTGAGTTTATTTTATTCACAAGAAAGATAGGTGAGCAAATGTTTTAAATTTTAATTGTAGTTTGAAAAAGTCACCCTAGAAAAATGTCATGGTTATATTTTGCCATGCTCACTCAAAATTAATATGAGTGTAACTTCAAAAGCCACATGATGTGTTCAGAAAGCTGAACACTATTCCAAATACGTAGAACCCCTCACAATATTGTTGTTTTCCACATTATTTAATATCCCTTGAATGATTTAACATTTCATAGCTTCAGCAATTAATTTCAACTTCCTCTGCCTCTGCCAAAGGATAGTGTGTACCTTAGAATTCAAACATCATCTCCTGTTTCTAGCATCTTAGAACACTTCGCCTATGCAAAAAAAAAAAAAAAAAAAATAGTACCTACCATGGTAAGTTCATCACAGAAAACGAAATATATAAAATACACATGTAGAGATGGAGGTAAAATCTCTTGTCCCAAAAATTATACCTTGTGGGCTGTGGTGACTGACATTTCAAAGAACAGTAAAGTGTTTTTGCAAGCTAAAAATAACAGATGGAAAGCCAGTAAGAAAAAGTTTTAAGTAGCACCAAAAGAAGGCAGGGCTTGAAAAGAGAAGGTTCAGCTTGGGTTTCTTTAGTGCAGAGTTGAAACTGCACTTCATCTAAGTTTTGCAGACCTGGTTAGGAGACTTGATGCTGTTTCATCGTAGGTATATGCGTTTGATTTACTCAGTCTTTAAGTAGAAATGATGATACAGTGGAGGGTTTTATGAGGAGAGCACGAGATGTCTGTGATGTTCTAAGGATGTGCAGATATTAGAATAAACAGAGTAGTACGATGATTAAATAAGTTAACATTTACAAAGAACTTAAAATGGTGTTCGGCACATAGTGTTATATAAATATCCTGTTAAATAAAATTAGCTGATAACAGAATTGTTATGACTGTGAAACACGGACACGGACCAGGAACAAATTGTCTAATATCCAGACAATATAAACCTGATACTAGAATACAATGTAATCATCATCATACAAGGTGTTCACCTTCACCAAGATGGGCTTAAGACATACCTTTTCATTTATGCTTGATTTGTTTCCTAACAAGGGTAGTTTTCATTCTTTTCATGGAGGTATCTGATAGGTATATTGTTCTTATTACAGAAATGGTGAACTGGAGGCTCTGAAATCAAGTGCCCTAAGGCTGCATAGGTAGAAAGTAGCAGAGACAAGATTCAAGTGAAGACATCTTTGCCTTCGAAATCTTACCCCTTCCTTGTTTGTTACAGTGTGGGTTAATCTACAATCCGGTGTTCACAAAGGCAGGTTTATTTTATTTTTAAAATAGTTCCATAAGGGCTAAGGGAACTGACTAAAAGTTAAAAGAAAAAAAAAAAAAACCAATGCCTAAATTGCACATGTCGCATTAAAGGATAGGGATGAAGAGCTATTCAAGTTCATGTACCTATTATCTAATTTCTATTTTTGCCTGAGACTAGTCACATTTCTCCCAATCTAGGCACACATTATTTTTAATGATCTTTATCTGAAATAACCAAGAAATCATTCCCTAGTTGAACCTTAGACAATATACCAAAGTAATTTCAACACAAAGCAAATAAAGAAGGGATATGTCATCAAAAACATAAAATACTTTGTGGAAATTAAGATCAATTCAAGCTTTCTTTGAATATGTAATAAAATATCAGAAATACTGATGTATCTTAGTCTAAAGATTGTGCACGGATTATTCATATATGGACAGGCTCTTCTTGATTGACTATGAACTCAGCATTTCAATGAAAAGGACTCTGATATGCAGAGGACTGGTAATTTGCACAGCATTATTTAGTTGATGGCAGAAGCAAAACAAGGAGCTGGGTCACCGCTACATTGCCTTTCCAGTTTGTGAGGAGATGGGCTGGCAGAAATTATATGGTCCTAATTCTGGCTCTATATTTATTAACTGTATGAACTACAGCAAATCATTCCACTCCTCTGTGCCTCAGTTTTCTCAAGAAAAAAAGCAGCTGAGGATAATAATAACACTCATGCTGGGGGGATTAAATTAAGTTACCAATGTATACCCACACAGCATAAGGCACAGCCAATGGAATGTGCTCACGAACTGGATGTGATTGTTGTTATTTATCACCAGGACTCTGCTTTTCCAGATAACGGTACAGTTATGAACCAGTTTATGTTCTAGATTCTAAAGATGCTGCAGTAAGACGGCAAAGATCCCTGTGCCACGGAGCTTATTCTTTAGTGAGGACTCCTCGTCACTCCTTCCTTAACTTAGTGCCCTTTGTAATATCGTGTGGTTTGCAATGCAACTTAGAATCATAGCTCCTTTGAAAACTCAGAGAAACTCAGGTACCATGGATATGTGACTTCATATGTTGGTACTTCTTCAACTGCTACCCAGATTCTGAAGTGTGGCAAAAATAGATTGTGTGTGTGTGTGTGTGTGTGTGTGTGTGTGTGTGTGTGTAGTAAGATAAACCTGAATCTGTCATTATAGTGCCATTTGTTATTAACTTGCTGCACTGGAGGAGATGTTAGATTGGATCAACTGTAAAATGGTATGCTTCTAATATTGAAAGAACTCTTTTCATTGTGCAAGAAAATAAAATCACAAAATTCATATTTGAGAGAGGTTCAATCCACAGAAAGAGTACTTTTTTTATATTAAAATATAAAATATTCTCAGCATGTAAAATAAAATGTGGGTATTAAGGGGAACAAAATGAGAAGGTGGGTTTGCAGATGCCAGGTTTGTGGATGTCCAGTACCATCACCATGTACTCAATTCAACAAAAGCAGTTCTACACTAATAAAAAGTAATAGCCCTTCACTTTCTAAACACTTCTCATAATCTTCTTAAAGTTTATTGACATATATTTAGTTCCTAGGGACACCCTGAAATCCTGAAACAGTAAGTAAACATACAAATTTCAACACCATCTGTTAGAAGGTAAACCTTTTCTTCCTTCCTAGTTTCCTTGAGGAAGAATTTTCCTTGAGGCAGCATTTTCCTGAAGCTAATTTCTGACCTCTGCCTGCTGACTTTGCTCATTCTACCCCATGGAGGTGGAGGGATTTATTTTGTTGGTAAATTTGAGAAAGATAAATATCAGGATGATGCTGCTCAAGTGGAAGAGGCAGAAGGATGGTTTGGGAAGCTCTATGTGCTTCGATGCGACAATTGTTGCATTTCCAGCTTTATTTTGGGTAGCATGTTAGTAGGTATGAATTATATTATTAAAAATAACTGTTTAAATAAATAAAAGCTGGCCCCTATAGACAGTGATTACAAGGTGTCAGGAACCAAAGGTTATAATTAATTTGACCATGTCTGCCTAAAATCCAAAATGGGAAGGAAATCATTAAAATCTGGTCATGTTCAGCAAAGGACCATGCCTGCCATTCTTCTTTCTTGAGAATGAGCTGACTTCAGACATTATCAGTTTTCCTTACTTCTTTAATGACACTTTCCTCTCTGGAACTCAGCGGATAAGTCGGCCTTCTTCTGTGTTCATTTTTATCAAGCCAGCTCAGTTTACAAACAGAAACTCATTTCTCCAACCCAGCTCTGTAAATAATAAGGGTGATATCATCACCTTTACATTTGCTTTTTGGTTTCATTCCTCACCTTGTTCAGAGCATATTTATCAAACGCCCCTCAAACATTTTTGGTTGTCACAAGATGAAGGGAGGAACAATGTGGTCCTATTACTTGGTGAGTCGAGACCATGAATGTTTAAACATCCTACAATGCACAGGACAGCCCTATATGACAAAGAATGATCTGGCCCAAAATGTCAATAGTGGTGATGTTGAGAAATTCTGCCCCAACTTTACACAATTAAGTTGATGAAGTGTCTTCAGGAGCAAAATTGTATTATTTTAATCCTGTTTTCCATTCCTCCCCCCTCAACCTCTCCCCCAAAATAGTTTAAAATATCGAGGAAAGATAAGAGTAAAAATCAGTAACATGGCCAGTTGAATATAAAAACAAACATCCAGAAGTCTACAATACTTGCTTTTCATATTATCATTCTCTTCTAAAGCACAGAGTATATTACAAAATTTAATTATTTACTTCAAAAATCACTTTTGACACTATCAGTTACTATATACGTTTGTATCAGCAGTTCCAGTAGCCATTTCCACTGTCCTTTCAACAGTAATCATAATAATAATGACAGCAATACTAATGGTAAATTCTGTTTGTTGAAAACTTATCAAATGCCAGGCACTGCAGTAAAGCCTGATATCATAATTCCATTTCATCCTTACAGTAACACTGTCGATTAATCATATTATACTCACTGCCAGATGAGAAAGCTGGCTTAGATAAGCTAAATAAGTTATCGAAGTTTGCACCACTGCACAGTGGCATCCTGGGTTTCAAGCCCAGAGTCTTAACCACATCACTAAGCTTTCTCCGTTTAGGGCTCTACCACCTACTATGCGCAGATAATGTACTGGGTGTTGGGAAGTCTACAACTAGTCATGAAAATTGTCCCCATCCCCAAGAATCTCATAGTGGAATAGCAGAGAGAAAGGCATATAAAACCAAGCATAATAAAATGTGATAAATGCTACTGCAGTAGCACGAACACAGTGTTGAAAGAACAAAGAGGAGAAAATGATTAACTATGCCCGGTGGACTGATGCAAAGCTGCGCAAAACAGCTAGCATTTGAGATGGGCCTGGAAGAATGAATGGGCTTTTTGCCAGGTGAAGTACAGGAAAAGAGACATTTCAGGTCAAAGTTTTGTCCTGAGGAAAGGTACTTAATAGAAGAAAATGAAAAGGTGTTTATAACTCACACTGAGGTGAGAGGCTGAATATTTAAAAAGAATGCAGTAAGCCATTCAGAGAAGCAGGAGCATTTTAGAATCTGTGAACCATCCCCTTCACCTTCTCATCTCCCTGCTACCTCTTGGATTTGTTGGTTACCTTAAGGCACAATCATTTACCACCTACATATCTGCATACAGACTTTTGCCCTGTCTATTATTTGAGTTAGTCAGTTTAAGACTATGCATTGCTAACTTTAGAAGAATATGAAATAAAATTTTTATTAAAGACCTTTATATGCACATATAAACAGAAACATAAAATGTATTCTTAGTATGTATAATGCATTCTGATATTTTCTACTCTATTGTACTCTATTCTATATCATTTATAAAGTGCGGCTACGATCCAATGACTTGTTTTTGCAATCCACTAAAACTGAAGTTTAAAAACCACTTGTTTACCCTTTTAGTCCATAGCATTTTGTGATAGGATAGGGGAATGAAGTCTTTTTTTTTTTTTTTTTTTTTTTTTTTGAGACAGAGTCTTGCTGTGTCTCCCAGGCTGGAATGCCATGGTGTGATCTCGGCTCACTGCAACCTCTGTCTCATGGGTTCATGCCATTCTACTGCCTCGGCCTCCCGAGTAGCTAGGATTATAGGCACCCGCCACCACGCCCAGCTAATTTTTTTGTATTTTTAGTAGAGATGGGGTTTCACCATGTTAGCCAGGATGGTCTCGATCTCCTGACCTTGTGATCCACCCACCTCGGCCTCCCAAAGTGCTGGGATTACAGGCGTGAGCCACCACGCCTGGCCTGAAGTCTTTTACATTACTCCTGAAATCTTCAAATTGAGATGTTGCTCTTAGTTTTAGAAATATTTATATAAGAAAATGTCTACAAGTGCTATCTTCCATGAATGTAGGTATAACAGAGACAATATGGCCTCCACAGGTGAAAATATTTATTATCCAGGCCTCTGCAGAAAATCTCTACTATAGAGGATAAATTAGATGGGAGAGGCATGGGTTGAGGAGACAGATAATGCATTCCTCTGCATTTCATTTTTGGCCAGTGTATATGCTTCTCTAACCAGACTGTGAGATTCTTAGGGACTAAGATCACATTTTTTGCAATTCTGAATTCCTGTATATCATCTTGAACCTGTGTGATAATAAACATGTATTTGTTATTGAAGTAAATTTATTATATGAGAAAATAAAAATTTTGAGAGGATAGTCTTATAGTAACTATATCATAATATTTGAGATAAACATTTAAAGTCAGATCAATCCAGCTTAAAATATCAAGAGATTCTGGGGAAGATGGCGGATAGGAGACAAAGCTAACATGTAGCTCCCACATGTATGGACAGAACAGCATTTGGAGACTCACACCATGATCTTTTGTTCCAAGAACCACTGCAGAAACATACCAGGAAAACTGAAGGAATTCACCAATCCTTTGAAAGAAGCAAATTCTGTGAAACAGGTGAAAAACTGTGAGTGCCCAAAATGTGAAAGGGGGAAAAACCTACCTCTGAACACACATCTCCACTTGGCAATCTGAAAATCCAGATCACCAAAGAAGGATTTTACCTTACCTAGAGATGAAATGGGTTTAGGGAGTCGCAAGAAATTTGAAAGTACAAGTAGCACAGGAAGTACCTTGAACATACTCCCAGCCTCCAACTTGAGCCCCAGGAAGCCATCCCTTCACTATATCTCACAGGGGACCTCGGGGCAGGCAACCAGTGGAATTGGGAAAGGGTCTTGGGGCAAAGGAAGCTCTCACCTGAAATTGGCAGTGGTTTTGACTGGGTACAAATTTTCTTGAGTGAAGTCTGGGGGATGTGGGAGCATCTGTAGATAGGAGCTTTCTCAGAAGAGTAGCTCATGGCCTGGGGCAAGGCCTGAGCAGAGCACTGCGGGAGTGAGACTGGTCTCGCCAACTGTATGGGAGCTGGGTGAGACCTCTCGCTATCCCCCACTTCCCTGATGAACCATATAACACAGCAGAGGTGGCCAAGATCCCCTCTGGAACATAACCCCATTGACCTGAGGACCATTCCCCCATTCTCCACTGTGGCTGCAGCAAGCCCCACCCAAGGAGAGTCTGAGCCAAGACTTGCGTAAGCCTCCCCCACCTGATAATATTTATCTACCCACCCTGGTAGCCTAACACAAAAGACAATCTCTTGGGAGTTTTATGGCCCATCCCTTTGCCTGAGAAACCAAAATACTTACCCTGGCCATCTTAGGGCAAGCTTAGAGCCCCCTACTACTACCGCAGCTAATTCTCTCTTGAAAGTACCACCTCTTGGCTGGAGGCCAACCAACTCCATTATAGCAATTCAGGACAGAATAACTCTGATCTCAGAAAGAAGAAGACGACACCTAATTCCAATGCCCACAACATCTTGGCTAACCAGAAGTCGTAAGGGTGTCTATGTGACAACTTCACTGCTAGTATAACCAGCATTCAAGAAAGCTAGCACACTAAACATATCCACAACCAAGGACCCTCATAGAGTCTACTTCACTTCCCTGTCACATCTAACAGAGTAGGTGCTGGTATCCATGGCTGGAAGATTTGAAGACCGATTACATCACAGGACTTTTGCAGACCCCCTCTACCACCAGCCTGGAGCATGGTAGCTCTGCTGGGTGGCTAGAACCAAAAGAGCCATAACAATTACTGCAGTCCAGCTCTCAGGAAGTCCCATCTCTGGGGAAAGTGGGAGAGCATTATATCAGGGGATCATCCTCTGGCACAAGAGAATCTGAACAGCAGGCCTTGAGTTTCAGACCTCTCCACTGAATTCGTCCACTCAAATGAAAAAACAAAAAAAGAAAAGTAAAATAATTCTGGTAATATGACAAAACAGGGCTCTACAACACTCCTCAAAATCACACCAGTTCCCTAGCAATGGAGCCAAACCCAGAAGAAGTCTCTGAATTGCTAGATAAAGAATTTGAAAGGTTGATTATTAAGCTACTCAAAGAAATACCAGAGAAAGGTGAAAACCAACTTAAAGAAATTAAAAAACAGTATAGGATATGGGTGAAAAATTCCTCAGATAAATAGATATCATAAAGGAAAAACAATCACAACTTCTAGAAATGAAAGGAATACTTAGAGAAATACAAAATTCAGTGGAAACATTCAACAATAGACTAGAACAAGTAGAAGAAGGAGCTTCAGAGCTAAAAGGCAAGGCTTTCAAATTAACCCACTAAGACAAAGACAAAGAAAAAAGAATAAAAACATGAACAAAGCCTCCAAGAAATGTGGGATTCTGTTAAATGGGCAAACATAAGGATAATTGGTGTTCCTGAAGAAGAAGAAAAATCTGAAAGTTTGGAAAACTTATTTGAGAGAATAATAGAGGAAAACTTCCCTGGTCTTACTAGAGATCTAGACATCCAAATGTGATAAGCTCAAAGAACACCTGGAAAATTCATCACAAAAAGACCATCACATAGGCATGCAGTCATTAGTTTATCTAATGTCAGGACAAAGGAAAGAATCTTAAGAGGTGTGAGACAAAAGTATCAGTTAACCTATAAAGGAAAATCTATCAGATTAATAGCAGACGTCTCAGCAGAAACCTTACAAGCAAGAAGGGATTGGGGTCTCATCTTCAGTTTCCTGAAACTAAAAAAAAAAAAAAAAAAAAAAAAAAATTGTCACACAAGGAATTTGTATCTAGCAAAGCTAGTTTCATAAATGAAGGAGAAATAAAACATTTTTAACACAAACAAACGCTGAGAGAATTCACCACTACCAAGCCAGCATTACAAGAAATGGTAAAAGGAGTTCTAAATCTTGAAACAAAACTTCAAAATATACAAAAAAAGAAACTCCTTAAAGCATACATTTCACAGGACTTGTAAAAGAATAACACAGTGGGGGAAAAAGAACAAGGTATAAAGGCACCAACTAGCATGATGAATAGAACAGTACCTCACATCTCAATATTAGCGTTGAATGTAAATGGCGTAAATGCCCCACTTAAAAAGATGCAGAATGGCAGAATGGATAGAAGTCCACCAAACAAGTATCTGCTGTCTTCAAGAGACTCACCTAACACATAAAGACTTAAGGGAATGGAGCAGATAAAGATATTCTGTGCAAATGGACACCAAAAGTGAGCAGGAGTAGCTATTATTATGTCAGACAAAACAGACTTTAAAGCAATAACAATTAAAACAAAGAGGAACATTATATAAAGATGAAGGATCAAACAGGAAAATACATATGCACCTAATACTGGAGCTCCCAAATTTACAAAACAATTACTACTAGACCTAAGAAATAAGGTAGATGGCAACTTAATAATAGTGGGAAACTTCAATACCCCACTAACAGCACTAGACAGATTATCAAGATGGAAAGTCAACAAAGAAAAAATAGACTTAAACTATACCCTAGAACAAATGGACTTAACAGATATTTACAGAGCATTCTACCCAACAACTGTATAATATACATTCTTTTCTTCAATACATGAAACATTGTCTAAAATAGACCATATGATAGGCCACAAAACAAGTTTCAATACATTTTTAAAAATTGAAATTATATCAAGTATCCTCTCAGACCCCAGTGGAATAAAACTGGAAGTCAACTCCAAAGGAACCCCCAAAACTATACAAATACATAGAAATTAAATAATCTGCTCTTGAATTATCTTTGGGTCAACAAAGAAATCAAGATGGAAATTTAAATTTTTTTTGAGTTGAATGATAATGGTGACACAACGTAACAGAATCTCTAGGATACAGCAAAAGCAATGCTAAGAGTAACGTTCACAGCATTAAATGCCTACATCAAAAAGTCTGAAAGAGCACAAATAGATGATCTAAGATCACACTTCAAGGAACTAGAGAAACAAGGAGAAAACCAAGCCAAAATGCAGCAGCAGAAAAGAAATAACAAAGATCAGAGCAGAACTAAATGAAATTGAAACAAAGAAATCAATACAAAAGATAAATAAAATAAAATGCTGGTTCTTGAAAAGATAAACAAAATTGATAGAACATTAGTGATATTAACCAAGAAAGAAGAGAGGAGGTCCAAATAAGCTCAATTAGAAATGAAACAAGAAATATTACGACGATACCACAGAAATACAAAAGATCATTCAAGGTTACTGTGAACACCTAATGCACACAAACTAAAAAATCTAGAGGAGATGGATAAGTTCCTGGAAATATACACCCCTCTCAGATTAAATCAGGATGAAATAGAACAAACCAATAACAATTAGTGAGATTGAAACAGTAATTTTAAAATTGCCAACAAAAAAAGTCCAGGACCAGATGGATTCACAGCTGACTTCTATTAGACATTGAAAGAAGAATTGGTACCAATCTCACTGAAACTATTCCAAAAGACAAAGAGGGAATCCTCCCTAAATTATTTTATGAAGCCAGTATTACCCTAATTCCAAAACCAGTAAAGGACATAACAAAAAAACAAAACTGCAGAACAATATCCCTGGTGAACATAGATGCATACATCTTCAATAAAATACTAGCATACATCTTCAACAAAATACTAGCTAACAGAATCCAACAGCATATCAAAAAGATAATACACCATTATCAAGTGGGTTTCATACCAAGGATGTAGGGATGGTTTAACATACACAAGTCAATAAATGTGATATATCACATAAACAGAATTAAAAGCAAAAATCATAGGATCATCTCAATAGATGCAGAAAAATTATCTGACAAAATTCAGTGTGACTTTATGATTAAAACCTTCAGCAAAATTTACATAGAAGGAACATACCTCAAGGTAATAAAAAATCAATCTATGACAAACCCATACCCAACATTACACTCAAAAGGGAAATGTTGAAAGCATTCCCCTTGAGAACTGGAACACGACAAGAATGCCCAGTTTTACCACTTCTATTCAACATAGTGCCGGAAGTCCTAGCTAGACCAATCAAACAAGAGAAAGAAATAAAGGGCATCCAAATCAGTAAAGAGGAAGTCAAATTGTTGCTGTTTGCCAATTGTATACCTAGAAAACCTTAAAAACTCATCCAAAAAGCTCCTAGATCTGATAAATGAGTTCAGTCAAGTTTAAAGATACAATGTACACAAATCAGTAGCACTGGTACATATCAACAATGCCCAAGCTGAGAAACAAATCAAGAACTCAATCCCCTTTACAACAGCTGCAACAACAACAACAACAACAACAACAAAAAGGCCGGGCACGGTGGGTCACGCCTGTAATCCCACCACTTTGGGAGGCTGAGGCAGGCGGATCACCCGAGGTCAGGAGTTCAAGACCAGCCTGACCAATATGGCAAAACCCCATCTCTACTAAAAATCCAAAAAAAAAAAAAAAAAAAAAAATTATCAGGGCATGGTGGCATGTGTCTGTAATCCCAGCTACTCAGGAGGCTGAGGCAGGAGAATCGCTTGAACCTGGGAGCAGAGGTTGCAGTGAGCGGAGATCATGCCACTGCACTCCAGCCTGGGAGACAGTGCAAGACTCTGCCTCAAAAAAAACAAAACAAAACAAAAAAAACCTTACAAATATACCACCTAGCCCCAAGGAGGTGAAAGACCTCTACAAGAAAAACTACAAAACATTGCTGAAAGAAATTATAGATGACACAAACAAATGGAGACACATCCTATGCTCATGGATGAGTAGAATCAATATTGTGAAAATCACATACTGCCAAAAGTAATCTACAGATTCAATGTGATTCCCATCGAAGGACCATCATCATTCTTCACAGAGCTAGAAAAAGCAATCCTAAAATTCATATAGAACCGAAAAAGACCCCACATAGTCAAAGCAATACTAAGCAAAAAGAACAAATCTGGAGGCATCACACTACCCAACTTCAAACTATGCTACAAGGCTATAGTTATCAAAACAGCGTGATACTAGTATAAAAATAGGCATGTAGACCAATGGAACAGAATAGAGAAAGCAGAAATAACACCAAATACTTATAGTCAAGTGATCTTCTACAAAGCAAACAAAAACATAAACTGGGGAAACGACACCCTATTCAACGAATGGTGCTGGGATAACTGGCAGGCCATGTGGAGAAGAATAAAACTGGATCCTTATCTCTCACCTTATACAAAAATCAACTCAAGATGGATCAAAGACTTAAAGCTAAGACTTGAAACCTAAAAATTCTAGAAGATAACATCAGTAAAACTCTTCTAGTTGTTGGCTTAGGCAAAGAGTTAATTACCAAGAGCGCAAAAGCAAATGCAACAATAACAAACATAAATAGATAGGACTTAATTAAACTAAAAAGCTTCTGCACAGCAAAAGAAATAATCAGCAAACAGACAACCCACAGAACAGGAGAAAATATTCACTAACTATGGACAACAAAGGACTACTATCCAGACTCTTCAAGGAACTCAAATAAGTCAGCAAGAAAAAACAAATAATCCTTTAAAAAGTGGGCTAAGGACATGAATGGACAATTCTCAAAATAAGATATACAAATGGCCAACGAATATACAAAAAAATTCTCAACATCACTAATTATCAGGGAAATGCAAATTAAAACCACAATGAGCTACCTCACTCCTGCAAGAATGGCCATAAATAAAAAGTAAAAAAACAATAAAGATGTTGGCATGGATGTGGTGAGAAGGAACACTTTTACACTGCTGGTGAGAATACAAACTATTACAACCACTATAGAAAACAGTATGGAGATTCCTTAAAGAACTAAAAGTAGAGAACTACCATTTGACCCAGCAATCCCACTACAGGGTATCTACCCGGAGGAAAAGAAGTCACTTTATGAAAAAGACACCTGCGCACACATGTTTAGAGCAGCACAATTCACAATTGCAAAAATATGGAACCAGCCTAAATGCCCATCAACCAATGTGTGAATAAAGAAAATGTGGTATATATACAGCATGGAATAATACTCAGCCATAAAAAGGAATGAAGAAATGGCATTTGCAGCAACCTACATGGAGTTGGAGACCATTATTCTAAGTGAAGTAACTCAGGAATGGAAAACCAAATATCGTATGTTCTCACTGATAAGTGGGAGCTAAGCTGTGAGGACAGAAAGGCCTAAGAATAATACAATGGACTTTGGGGATGCAGGATGAAGGAGGGAGCGGTTCAAGGGATAAAAGACTACACATTGGGTAAAGTGTACACTGCTTGGGTGATGGGTGAACCAGAACCTCAGTAATTACCACTAAAGATCGTATCCATGTAACCAAAAACCCTGTTCCCCAAAAACTATTTTAATAAACAAATTAATTGTAAAATATTATCAAGCATCTACTATGCGCTACAGTATTATTATATGCTCTAGTAATATAGATCCTGTTCTCCAGGATCTTTGAGTCTAAAACAGTGTTTGCGCGGAGGACAATGCCCCCCATTTGCAGGAGATATTTAGTAATGTCTGGTGACACTCTCAGTTATCCCAGTTGGATGTCACAACTGCTACTAGTGGGTCTACTGGTGAGCAGAAACCAGAGATGTTGCTAAATATCTTACAGGTTAGCAGTACAGGACAGTCCTGCAACAAAGAATTATCTAGCTCCCTATCTCAACAGTGTCAAAGGTGAAAAAAGGCAGACAGTCCTTCATTCAGTCATTCAATAAATATATATTGTGCACCCTCTCTGTACCAGAGATTACTCAGAACCAGGGCTCAAGTAGTTAACAGAACAGATAAAAATATTTCTGATGGGTTTACATTCTCATAGAGAAGAGACAGAATAAATAAATGTTTATATTCTTATGGAGAAGAGACAGGTAAAATAAATGTGAGACATAGGATATTAGATGATAGCAAGTGATAGGAGAAAAAGCAGACACAGTGTGGGAAGTGTGTCAGTGGGGAAGGTTGCAATTAAATAGGGTGACATATAACGGGTGATCACTGAAAAGAGATCATTTGAGTAGAGACCTAAAGGGGAAAAGAGTGAGCCATGAAATTATCAAGCAAAGAATGTTCCAGGCAAAGGTTACAGCAAGTGCAAAGGCCCCAAGGAATGAAGTGTGCAGATCACGTAGTGACTTAGAGATCCAAGCAATACTGCCTGTACAAGTCAAGAGGAGGTGCCAAGAAGGAAAACTCTTCTGACCAGAAGGTCAAGAATGGCTCCATAGAACTGATGCTGAATTTGAAAAAGTTTTTATGAATTTAAACTCTCCAGAATGTAGAAATGAAAGATTTATTAAAAGGAAGGGCAATTCAACAGATAATCACCAAGAACTTAGGAGTGAGGAGTATTTAATCCTAACCTTGTGGTCAATCATGGACACATTTTCCAAAACAACTCAAGTACCTGAGTACTTCTTCCATACAGCCTTTGGCTTAGTAAAAGCATGATTCTAGAAACAGATCTATCTTCTAGTCCTGGTTTCACTTCTTATTTGCTGACTGATTTTGCCAAATTGCTTAATCTCTATGAAGTATCACCTTCCTTATCTGTATAATCAGGTCAATAAGGGAACCTGTATCATACTGGTAAAACTGGAATTAAATGAGGTAGTGCATGTAAAGCACTTGGCATAGTGCCCACCCATAGTGAGTGCTCAAAATGGTGAGCACTTTTTAAATATATCAGCCCCGTTTTCTCTAGGTTAATTCATATAGCAGAGAATTTTCTTCTCAAATATCAAAAACTCTTTGCAGTCTGCCTCTCACTAACTGGTGCACACATCAGTGTCAGACTTTGAGAGCTTGTTGGGCACTGGAATCAACAGCAAGGAAAATGATGGGACATTAAGACAAAAAGGTATGAAGAGGAATAGAATAAAAGATGATGTTCACATTTTAACATGCAAAATTCAAGAAATTAATTCAGGACTCCCTAGGACACTAAAGCAACATCAAATTATATCTTTGCAGTAAAACCTCTGAAAGCAGTTCAAAATTTGGCATTCAACATTTACAGGAGCACTAGGAAATGGGAGCCTGAAAGGGCTATCTGTGAAAAGCAGTTGAAGAGAAAGCCCCAGGTAAGAAGGTCAGAAGGTTTCCTATTACACTGCTATATCAGAGCCAACGCTTATATTAGCCCTGGAGGTCACAGTCTAGAGACTTTTAAAGAGATAAATTCCAGCAAACTCTCCCAGGTAAAAGCATTCTGCAACTTTATATAACTGCATGGAATTACATGTTAAATCTTGAAAGAAATACGAATCCAACCTGCAGTGATAGTAGCTGGGTAATTCGGGTGGACCAGAGTTCTCAAGAGAGCTTCTTTGTTTCCCATCTCCAACCTGAAACCTGAACAACTTCTCAGATTTGTAAAGCATTTTCTGCTTTTGTTTAAAAAGCACTTCACAATAATCTTAAAAGGTAATTTGTAATTATATCTGCATTCTGGAGTTGGGGAAGCTGAAAGGAGAAAAGTTAGATAGCTAGCCCGGAGAAAGTTAATTATGAGGCTGAGACTAAATTCCAGGTGCTGGGATTCTAGTCACACCCAGGATTCAGCAGAACATCAGGTGCCTGAGAAGCAATGCCAGTTTCACCCAATGAGAGAAACCTGGTTTGAAGTTTTAACTAAGTGAAGCGGGAAGGAGAGGAGAGTAGAAAGAAGGAGGGAGGAAAAGAGGAATAATACAAACAATAAATAAAGAAAAGAAAAAACCATCATATCTCGCAACTTAGCCATCATATCCTGCAGACAATACTGTCCCTGCCCCTAACCCCACCCCTTCAAATACTTAACACATGCAGAGACTTGGTCTTTCAGACAATGGGCTCCTGGATGTGGGGAGCCTCGCACAAATCTCACATATGCCATTTTCTAGCTATGTGACATTGGGCTCATCTAGAAACTGCGGTAAGACTTATCTTCTTTTTGACAAAATAAAATGTTAAAACAGCACCTTCTTTATATAGTTGTTGTGAGGAATAATGTAACCACAGGTCCAGCGTTAAGTTTCAGCTGCTTCAAAGGTACTAATTATTGTTGACATCATTGGTTTATTAGACACATACATGTGGGGAAAGCCATCTTGGGAAAAATACACTGATGTGAGAAATTAAGGCAAATGAAACCCTAATTTATGGGGTTAACAGTCTGTCATATGTATTTTGTTGAAAATTTACTACTTTTAATTCCATGTTTGAAGAGCTCAACCAAGGAAGTAAGCATTAGAATTATTAATTATCATTTTTAGAAAATAAAGAATTCAAAAGAGCTCTGCTTGCTGTAGAATTCAAAAGCATATATTCGACCTTTCTTTGGCTGCCTTCAAAGTCAAAACCCAGGGTCCTCTTAAGCGAGCGTGTCTGATTAATAGCTGCTTTCATGCTGCACACAGCCGCTGGCACTGGAGCCCAGCGATCTGCCTTTCTAGATGTTTAGCTATATCTCATCTACAACATGGGCTGCCCTTGTTCTTGTGCTAATGTTATTTTTGAAAGGTTTAAGCTCAAATCCCTCAAAATGTATTTCTAATTTATAGGCAGCATGGTGGAGGTAAAAGCATAGTCTGTGGAAAAACAGACAAATCTGGATTTAATCACCACCTGTGTGACCTTCAGCAAGTTACCTCCTCTGTGCCTCAGTTTCCTCACTTGTGAAATGAATACCTCTTCTTCAAGTTGGGATGAAGTTTAAATGACAAGGGAAATATGAAAGTAAGTGCCTCATACCTCAAAGATTTTTACTTTCCACTGTTCACCAGTAGCAAGTTCTATAGCCTTATCCAACTAGGTATAGTTCCTCAATCATGCTGAATTTGCTTTTTTTACCCATCTGTTTAGTCCACATGATACTGGCCATGAAGGGATCAAGCAAGATGCCTTGTCTGACTATTTCCTGAGGGTGCTATAATGAAGTTTCCATAATGTTCATCTTTCTGCCCAACTGGAGAGCTATTCTCAACTCAGACTCTCAGCTGGAAAGGAATCTACTCATGTCCTCATGTTGAGATCTTTAAAGTGCTTCTCCCATATCCACAGTATGCAGAAAACATGGAATCTCATTAGTGTATTATGATCAAAACAAAGAAAGGACAGGCACAGAGTACCCAGGTAAGAGGGACAAAAAGAAGTGGCATCTCACGGCTTCATCCAACATTTGCAGAGTACACAGGAGAGAAGCAAAGTTTCCCAGAGAAATCATTTAATAACATTTGGGCCTCAAGGACTATATTCTTTCTTTCTGTAAGAGTAATAAGAATTAAGGACAAGAGAGCTCACGTAAGAAAAGCAGTTTGCAATAGAAACTAGCCTATGGGGGATAAGAACATCACTGAACAGGATCCAAAATTGATCAAACCTGTTATTAAAGCCACACCAATTAAGGGCCATCCCCAATTTATTTGTGTGTATTTTTCGTGAGAAGAAATGAGGAATTAATATCAGACCCCACTGCAGCCTTTGTAATCTGTTTTAAGTAATATTGCACTTAAAATTTATTGAGTTTTTCCTAATAAAGCATGGACCCAGAAATTCTCATCAAACATTTTGAATGCTTCTATGAATTTCCCAGTTAAAAAAAATCTTCTATGTATTGTTCATCCATCCATTCAAAAACTATCAATCAAAATACTACTATGTGCCAAGTACTCTCCTAAGCACTTAACAATAACAATGATCAAAACAGATAATGTTCCTGGTCATATGCAACTTATCCTCTAGTGGAGAAAAATATAAACTAAACAAATAAATACACAATAATCCAAATTATAGTAAGCGATACGGGAAAAACTAAAGCAGGGTAAAGGAGATAAGAAATATTGGTAGAGGGGTTACTATTTATTTAGGATGATCACAAAAGGCCTAATAAACTGACATTTTGGCACAAACATAAAGGAAGACCGAGAACAGGCCAGGCAGATGGTGTGGTGATGAGTACTCTAGACAAAGAGAATAGCTTAGCATAAAGGCTTCATGGAGGACCATACTTAGTATGTCCAGGAATTGCAAAAAGGCCAAGTGAGTCAGAGGCTGAGTTGTAGGAGACGGTAACAGAAAATTCATAAAGCATCAGTTCTCCTACGGTCATTAGGATGTTTAAAGACTTTATTTTATTGTTCTGAACGCAATTAAGAAGCATTGGAAGATTTTGTGCTACAGAATGACATTATGTTACTTAGGTTTCAATAGACGCTCTCTCTGACTAACGTGTTAAGAAAAATAGAACTTGGGCTGGCATAAGCAATGGTGAATGCAAATAAACTAGTTAAAAGCTATTACAATAATTCAGGAGAGAAATTTATGGTCCCCTCAATCAGTGTGATGGAAGTGGAGATGTGAGAGAAGACAATAATCTATGTACTACAGAGATCCACAGAAGGTAGACCACATAGTAGAGATCAGATCTTTGTCCGGAGTAGACAAAACTGGGTGAGCAGCATATCTCTTTCCTTCCACCTATAGAATTAGAAATTTAAAAAGTTTCTTTTTTTTTTTTTTACTGGAAATAATATGGACTGCATTTACACTTACTTTTTTCTGCCTGCAATTATTTTTCCCATTAGTAAATCAGGTAACTCTCACTTGACCTGCAAATCTCAGCTGAAATGTTCCCTGAACTGGGAGGCCTTGTAATTACCTGATGACCATCTCCAGTCCCAGACCTCCAGTCTAGCTTAAAGACCTGTATTAGCTTCCCAGAGTCGCCATATCCAAATTACCACAGACTTGGTGACTTAAACCAACAAAAAAAATATTCACTCAGTTTGAAATCAAGGTGTCGGCTGGATAGGTTCACATTGGAGGATCTGAAGGAAAATCTGTTCCATGTGCTCTGTCCTAGCTTCTGGTGGCTGCTAGCAGTTCTTGATATTCCTTGGCTTGTAGCATTATAACTCCAATCTCTGCCTTCATCTTTATGTGACTTTCCTCTAGGTGCTCTGTGTCGAATTGCCCTCTCATTTTCCTTATTACTGATATCATTTATACCAATCCAATTATACCAGTAATTGGATTTAGGACCCATGCTAAATCCAAGATGATACCATCTTAAGATCTTTAACTTAACTACACCGGTAAAGGTCCTATTCCCAAATAAGGTCACGTTAATAAGTAATGAGGGTTAGGACTTGGACATATTTTTTTAGGTCCACTATTCAACCCAGTACAGAGTCCCTCCTGTATTCCTCCAGGGAATCTTTGTTGTACTCATATAACATTTATCAAACTGTCCTATAATTGTCTTCCCACTGATCTGTTTAGCCTAATAGATTCTTGAGCTTCTGAAACATACAGATGGTGTCTTTCAACTCTCTGTCTCCAGTTCCAAGCAAAATTCCTGCACATAATACATAATCAATCACTCCTTATTGAATAAATTAATTACAAATCCCAGAGTAAACTTAAAAAACCAGCAGAGTTAGCGAGTCTCACCAGGCCATTTAAACCTGCCAGAAGAGTCACTCAGGTGTTTTCACCTAATGTTGGCCTTTTATAAATGCTTTGGCTTCTATTTTGTTCTTCAACAGAATGGAATGCACAGGATGAAATTATAAACATATGCATTGGGCAATGAAGTTTTTTTCCTTTTGGATTCTTAACTATATGGACAATGGTATTTGTTAAATATTAGTGGTTATTAAAGTTTTTTTTTTTTAAAAAGATCTTGCTCAGTAGTTAAATCATTTTTCTCTTCTTTTATTAGCCATTACTAGTGCTGTTAGTTTCCATTTGATGATTCTCAAAATTGGGATCAGGAACTTCCAACATCCAGAATAATACCATATCCAATAGTTATACCCAAGAATTACTGGCATTAAGAAAGACTATCAAAGCAGTGAGCATGAGAGAAAATGTCTAAATAATTAAATAAAGTGAATCAAAATATCATCCAAAAATGTTTTAATTCTGTCTCAAATCAGAAAAAAATGGATGTGATGATCACTGGATATAAAAGTTTGAAGCCTCCCAAGCATGACTGCTGAGGTGTCCTATCATCTATCAGATTTTTAAAAATTATTGGCTATGTTGGACAGCAAGTAAAAGGTCTAAGTCTTAATTATTTTAAGAGGTGCACAGTTAATTGAAATGATTACAATATAGTAGATTGTGAAACATTTAATAAAAGGCCATATCAAATTATATTCATAATATTGGCTTCATAGGGCATTATTGTAATAAGATACAGCCATATTGAGGACACATGGACCTATCTAGGATCTCAGACTTATGTTCACTACAGTAGGTCACCAAGCTAAACTATAATGCAGCAATGTACTGCAACCTACACTGTAGCATTTGCACAAGCAGCAAAGATATAAAGGTCTCTCTATCCACAGACAATATAACATATACATTCCCAAACTCAAGTGATCAAAATCAGTCTCTTCCTCTGATTCACTGCTTTAAAAAAAAAAGGACACTATTTTACTAGGAAAACACAATAGACTGAGTTCTGTATTATTTTTTCAAAATAAAGGCATTTCAGAGTGACAGAAAGCATTGTAGATTTAAAATTAAAACCAATAACCATAACACCATGAATTTTCAAAACCATTTTCTGGGGTTTTCAGCAAAGTCTTTTTTGAATGCAGTACATTCCCTGAGCAGTTTTTCATGCTGATAAAACTAAGGTTGATGCTCCCAATACTTGCCAAATAGACTCAGGCAGGTGTTTGTGAATTACATTTCCCTGCAACTATATAGACCATGGATAGGCTAACTATTGTCATACATGTTAATGCTTTTCCAGCTTCCATAAAATAATATCACTGATGAGTGGCACATTTCAACTCCTACAGCTGTCTAAGGCATCACACATATACCAGTTGCCTTAAAAGCAAGAATTTTTTTTTCCTCTTGTTATTTTCTCTTTCCATTCACCCAAGAGTTGTAGCTCTAATACAGAATCATCCTCTGTGATTCTACCCAGGCACATGGTTGCCAAATGACCTTTTGTGCTTTCCTCTACATCTCATTAGTGTTGGTTCAGACACACCTGATTTCCTGTTATTTCACTCCTCTGCATAAAGACCTGTGAAGGCTCTTCGTAATTACTTAAAGAAGTGTTTCTTGACATGATATATGAAGCCATTCATAATCTGACCCCAGCCCAACTTTCCTAAAGTTTCTCTTAATGTTTTCCATATATGTTACCTAATTGTTTGATAAACAAAATTCTCCTCCAGAAAGTTTCCTAGTATTTCACATGACTGTTCACTCTGTAATTCCTTCCCCATTTATCAATTCAGCCTTCAAGACTTAGTAGTCCTATGGGGATTTTTCCAGGCCCAGATAAAATAAGTCATTTTTTGCTCCATGCTACCACAACCCCTTGCTGGTATCAAAGCCCTTTAAAAATGCATTTAGCATGTAGCATGTGCCAGGTAATGTACTAAACATTTTAACACTGTTTTTTTTCTTTTCTTTTAACCCCACCCCAAAATGCCATAAGGTAGGTGCTATTTTTATCCAAACATTATAAATCAAGAAATAAATGCTTAAATATCTTATCAAATTTATATAGCTCATGAATGGTAAAGCACCAGACACATTTTATTAAAATTATTGGTTTACATGTACTTTACTTTTATTCCAGCTTACAAAAGAGAAAGAGCCCTAAAATCCTCATTTCTGTATCTCCCCTAGAGCTCAGCACAGGGTCCGGTACACATAAGTAAGTGAATACCACATGTTCAGTGACTAACTAAAAGGATGTCAAATTCAAAGAACATTCTTTGTTCTAATATATTCTACCATATTTTTACATTTCATCTTATATCCAAAGTCTTCACTCTACTGAGGAAATAGAAGTAAGGTTTGGGAAATAGCCTGAGCATGCCTCTACCTCCTAATGTTATCTTAATGATTCTATCTAGAAAGCCATATCTTATATTAAATAGAAAAAATTATTCTGGAAGACATTGCAACCCAAGTTGCACAACAATAATTCACCCTGTCTTGGAGCTTCTAGCCACATCAGGTCACAACACTCCTTGTCCTGTCATATCCTTGTTAGCTCAGCCTTTTCAGTTCCAAAGCTTTATCCTCCATTCTCTTTCCAGCTCCTAAGATTGGCAACCTTCTTTTGAACTACTTACTTCAAATCAGACATGCGCCCCTTTTCTGGACACAATTTGGTCCCTTGGCTCCACATACTACCAATGCCAATATAAGGCACCGGTGGTTACCTTCCACTGGCTCCCAGGACTCTGCCTGGAAAAATCTGCACTTGACTCAGCTCCAAACTTTCAAGAAGGGTGACTAAATGGATAGAAATTCTTACTAATAATAATGACTCAGTGTTTAATTTTATATATGTCCATAATTTGTTAAAAGATAAAATTGAAGATCTTAAGAAAAATGACACCTCTAGTAAATGTCCTGTTATGGTTTCTTTTGTTGTTGTTGTTTGTTTGTTTTAGGCAGAGTTTTGCTCTTGTTGCCCAGCCTGGAGTACAATGGCGCAGTCTTGGCTCACTGCAACCTCTGCCTCCCAGGTTCAAGCGATTCTCCTGCCTCAGCCTCCCAGGTAGCTGGGATTACAGGCATGCACCACCACACTCGGCTAATTTTTTGTATTTAGTAGAGATGGGGTTTCACCATGTTGGTCAGGCTGGTCTCAAACTCCCGACCTCAGGTGATCCACCTACCTCAGCCTCCCGAAGTGCTGGGATGACAGGCATGAGCCACCAAGACCAGCCCCGTTATGATTTTATTCTTCAAACAAGCCAAACTCTTTTCCACTTTAGGGCCTTTACACTTGTTGTTCCCTTTGACTAGAACACTCACCTCCAAGTTGTTCACATAGCTCATAGCATCACTTCATTCTCTTCTCCACTCAAATGTCAACTCCTCGGAAATGCCTTGCATGACCTAGGATTTCTTAAACAACACCACTGCCACTCTGTGCCTTTACCCTGCTTTGTCTTCCCTCACAGCACTTGTCTCTCCATGATGTTCAAGTGTCAGCAACAGCAGCAGCAGCATTGTTAAGTTTATAGAGCACATAACTTTTGCCAAAGATTGTCTTAAGCACTTTATATGGATCAGGCATATAATCTCCTAAACTAGCTTAACATTTGGTTATTATTATTGTATGCCACGTTATAATAAGAGGCTATAGAGGTTCTGTAAGTTACCCCAAGATCATCTACATAGTAAATGGCTTTTGAGTAGAGTTAGAAGGTGAAGTAGGAGTTTTTCAAGTAAGTGAGAGAGCAAGGCATTTTAGCAGTGAACATGGCATAGGCATTTTAGTGTGTGTAGTGAATATTTTGTGATTTTTTCCTGTTAAGCATCTATGCTTCATTAATAGTCACACATTATATATCATATATATTATATATTTAATTTGATATTATAAATTGATATTATATCATATAATTAATATATATTTGATACAGCATATATATCAAATATCATACATTATATATTATATTTATCATATATATTATTATATCAAATACCACATATTATTATATATCATATATAATAAATTATATATAATTTATTTAATATTTTAAATTTAATAATTGAATTATATTGATATAATTTATTTCAGGAATCCCTCTTACCCTTTCTCTCCATTTATATGGCTTGGGTACAGTTGGCTGCATGTCCCAGTTCCAAGAATGGAAGTATATAACTCAATCAATTCAAAGAGAATTTTTTCTTGATGCTATTGTGGGGTTGGGGCTGGTGGGAAGTACTCTTGATTCAATGGAATTCACTAGCTAATATAATTCTGGACCCAGCAGTGGCCATCTTTTCTTCTTCTTGTTAGAACCTGCCTGAGAACAAAGTCTAATGCAGAAAAATTCAGATAGAAGGAAAGAGGAGAGAGACAGAGGAAGAGAGAGATGTTTCCTCACACTAATTTGGAAGTCTTGAGTCCAGCCATGCTTGCTCTATCCCTGGATTTTTAGTTTCAGGAACCAAAAAATCCAAGGTGATCTTAAGCCAGTTTGACTTAGGTTTGCAACAGTTCTCAGAGAAACACATTTTACTAATATGGCACAAAAGCAGGCTATCATGTATTTGGGAACTTCAACTAATAGTATTGGTGGAATCTAAAGTGCTAAGAAAAAGTTATAGGACATGAGGTTTGAGGCAGAAGCACACTGTGATTGCAAGTAGGTAAAAGCTGATATGAAGGTGCCAGTTATTCCTATTGCTGGTCGTGCAGATCTCATACATAAGGCTGTAAGTTCTGTGAAAAATTCAAAGCACACAAACAGTGATATTGAAGAAACTGCTCTGGAACATGAAAAACTCATTTGGGAAAAGACATCTTCTATCTTTAGGAAGATGATTTATTTTACAGCAGTCAGCGAAGTCGTGCTACTGCAGAGGTTATGCAGCATTAATATTGCATGTTATAGTAGACAAGGCATAGTCCAATAGCATGAAACATAATGTCTTGGGATGATACTAGGACCTGTGGTCAGAAGATCTGTTTTCATGTCCCAGCATCTTTCCCTGAGCATACACCCACTAAGTGACTGAGGAAAAGTCACTTGACACTCATGAAATGGAGAGAATGGCCCCTGCTCTGTCAACTTCACAGCTTTGGAGATGTCTAAATAAGATATGGATATGCAAATGCTTTGAAAATAGTAAAGCTTTGAGAAAATGTTCATTAATGTTAATGTTGTCAGAAGGTGGGGATAGGGTACACTTAAACACTCATTTTGTGTGTGACATTGAGCAACTCATTAAACCCTTGGGATTTCAGTTTATTTCCTTCTAAGAAGGGATTGGACTTAATGGTGTTCAGTGTTCCTTCAAACTATAACATTATTTCAGTCATTCCCTAAATCTTCCTTTGCAGAAGAGGCAAATAGCCCAAATTAACAAAGTGACTAATTGGAATTTTTCCAGAAGGCTAAACCAAGCTACTTCTGGGCTCAATCACAGGTAAATCCCACAGTCAGCAGCACCTACAGCTACAACATGAATCACAGAAGCAGAAATCCCAGTGTTAACTCTGAGCCATAAATGGGTTCAATTTGCATAAACTATTCAGTTTAATAAAGCAGTTAGTTTATTGTGCATTCTTTGGGAAAGACTTCAATAAAAATTATTAAAATTAAAGGATTAAATTACAAGGAAAATTCACTTAGTGTTGACACATTTTTTTTTTTCCTGGAGAAGCAGAATAATTAAGGTGCTCATAAAACAACAACTATCATTGCAGAGCATTTTCACAGCCAAAAATTGCTTTGAAGTTCACTGAAACACTAATAAGGCAGGCAGGTATAATCCCCATTGTAAAGATAGAAAAACCGATGCGTTGGCTATCACTTGATTCACAGCCAAAACACAGAGTTAACAGGTAGAACAGCTGGAATTTGAAGGTTGAGTCTTTTGACTTCCAATTCTCTTTCTATTAGGTTATATTTCCTCTTTATACCATCTATCCCAGACTTACAATTAAATACCACTGCTATTCCTTTTATGTTATGCACATACAGGATACTGCTGAGTTTTTAAACAGAGAAAAAAAAAAGAAAATTGTTATGAGAGGCCTAGAACAGCTGAATGTTATTCAGCTGAGTTCACATGAGTTTGCTGTCTGGGTTTACACAACCAAATACACATTAAATAATACTATAGCTTCTACACCAGATTTCAAGCCCAGTGCCCACATGTATGACTGACAGAACTCAATTAGTACTGCTCTCTGCTGCCTGATTTCTTAGTGACACCAAGTTATCTCAGCATGTTATGGCTGCTGAAATCTCTCTACCAGCTCCTGCTGCAATTGAGTATTGATTGAAAAATTCTATTACTGTACTTAGTTACACAGCTTTCAATAAACAGTTCACAGACAACACTGGCTGGTTTCAAGGAAAGCCACAACATTTGAGGGCAATAGGATACCCGAGAAAATTAGAAGCCTTAGATGCTCAGACAGAATGCGCAGATCTCTGTGTTAGAATGTGACCTGGTAATTTAGTATGTACTGATTTGCTTCTGTTCTTCAAATGGGGCACATCTGCTTGGTACAAAATTAAAAATGTTCAACAGCAACCTGATTATACTTCAAATAAAAGCAAGAATAAAAACAAGAATCAGCACCTGGCACATGATGATTTGGAGGGCATAGTACACTCCCAGTTCAATTAACATTGATTGAGCCCCTCCTTTAACACAGACACTGAGCTAGGTGCTACAGAATCTAAGAAAGATAAGAGGATCCCCATCCTCAAGAGGCTTAGATTAGGGGTTGGCAACCTACAACCCACTGGAGAAATCCACCCTGCCATCTATTTTTTTGTAAGTAAACTATTGGAACCACAGTGAAGCTCATTAATTTACATATTGTCTTTGGCTGTTTTTGTGTTACAAAGGCAAAACTGGGTAATTTTGATGAAGACCATATGCTACACAAAGCTAAAATATCTAATACCTGGTTCTTTACAGAAGAAGTTTGCCCACCCATGGCCTAGACTGTTGTGGCAGCAACAGACACTAATGGATGATTTGAAGGCAATGTCCTAAATTCCTGATAATCAGATCACAGAGTAATTAAAAAAACATTAAGGAAGGGTACCTAAGCTTTCCAAAGGCTGCCAAGAGGAAGTGATGCATGAGCTGTGTCTAAGAGATTGAGCAGAGTAGGCTAGGTGAAGAAAGATAAGGAAAGAGAGGGAGGCTGCAAAGCAGATGATCCTGCACAAGCCAAAGTGCAGACTCGTTGAGCAACGAGATCATGAATCATATACATTTGTGAAAATGCATCCTGCATAGAAGCAGCTGAATTATATAAGTCTTAAGAGGAAGACAGGGCTTTGGACATGAAGAATCTTGTATGCCATGCTGGGGAGTCTGGACTTTATTTGTATGGAATGGCAATTAGAGTAAACAAAGGAATAATATAGTCAAATTTATATTTTGAATAGAGCTTTCTTGGTGCAAAGAGCAGTATCTATTGCAAGAGACAAAACCAAAAGCTGTTAGACTTAGGAGGCAGTTGAATAGTCCAAGCGACAGGTCTCTGGGGCCTAGGCTGTGGTTGTGGTGAGCTTTCCATTCAACAGTATTAAAAGAAGAACAACAAAGAGGAAGATGTGCTTCCTGGAGGAATTTCCTTATAAATGATGCTAACCAAAAACACAGTCAACATTTCTGCATCTGATATAAAGAGTAATGGAAAATCACTGTAAGGAATGTTCAGTGGATACTGAATGTAATAAGAAAAAGAAGAGAAAGGTAACCAGTAGCTCAGCATTTGTTTGGCACCAGACACAATGCTAAGTTCCTCACATGCATACTATTCTCTTTCTTTCTCTTTCTCTCTCTCTCTCTCTCTCTCTCCCTCTTCCTTCCTTTCCTATCTCTTTCTTTTCTTTTTCTTTTTCTTTTTTTTTTTTTTTTAAAGACAGTCTCTCTCTGTCATCCAGGCTGGAGTGCAGTGGCATGATCATGGCTCACTCCAGCCTCGACTACCTGGGCTCAAGTGATTCTCCCTCCTTAGTCTCCCAGGTAGCTGTAACTACAGGCACATGCCACCATGCCTGCTAATTTGTTTATAATGTGTAGAAATGTGGTCTTGCTATGTTGCCCAGGCTGGTCTCGAACTCCTGGCCTCAAGTGACCCCCCCCCCCACTTAAGCCTCTCAAAGCACTGGGATTACAGGCACAAGCCACCATGCCCAGCAGTATTTAAGTCTTTCTATTGCTATAAACAGATAAGTAAATGCTATTGCACCCATGTTAAAGTGAAAGAAGGGATATCCCTTGAGATTATGTAAAGTGCTTAGTAGGGAGCCTGGGACATGACAGGTGCTCAAAAAGTTTTGGCATCTTTCCTTACAGGAATGTTTGAAAAAATTATCCTTCCTGGATCCAACCAGGAATGAGGGTTTTATCATTCAACAGATGTTTTTTATATACCTTCTCTCACCCAGGCTTTCTGTAGGCACTCCACATACAGTGAAGACAATGGTATTACAGAAGTTACAGTCCATGGTATTGCTATCGACAACTCATTTAGGTTAGTGAAGCTATATTATGGAAGCAAAAATCATTTAGAGAGTTTGAGTCAATCCATATATTAATAACTCATACACATAAACAAGTTTATGTGAACCACTAACAGTGGAAATGTTTAGAAAACGTGAACAAGAAAAATGAGATCTCAATTGATTTCTTCTCCAAAAAAAATGTATTATTACATATAAAGATTTCTTTAAAGGAACTCTAAAAGCTCTAAGGCTCTAAATTTCAAGTGAAGTTTTCTTGCTCTTTCTTTGAAACCAGTATAGATTATACACAAGTTAAGAAAGTGAGTTTTAAGACTTGGTTCCTCATTTAGCATAGTGTGATGTGTGAATAAGCAGTTAATAAACGCCTTTTGATAGATGTAATGGCTTGGTCTGGGGAACAGTTTCAGCTACTGGCCATGCGCTCTTAGCTGGAGAAATTATCCTTCTTTACCCTCCAGTATCAATTCACTCCCGATTAATATAATTCATCACATATACTCCAGACTCCTACAGTCATAAACACTAATTACTTTGAATTACCAACATGAGGCTTTGTTTACAAATGCCTGAGTTTCCTATTTGGAATGATTCCCCTTTGCCTGCCACACACTCATGTGTAAGAATTAAAAAATATGTACAGAATACGCCAAATATGAACTCTTGCTTTTTGGTGATATGAGGAAAACACAGAGATAGAATAGAATTTCTCATAGTCAATAGTTTGTTTTGTAGTTCTGGAGGCTTATGGTGTAACTCTCCCTTTCCTGAACTCTATCACAATGTAGATGTCAAACCTGCAACATTCTGCCTTTGCTGATTTCTAGTGGTCTTACGAATTAGATTAGTCTTGCTGAACACTGTAGGCGTTTTCAAGAAGAGGACATATCATATTTCTTTTTATCAGTCAGTGCTCAACCCAGGTCTAACTACACACTTATTTTTAAATAGGAATAAAGGCTATATTAGCTTATATTTCCAGGGAAACAGAGCTGAGGACAATTTTGAATGCTTACTCATTATAGGGGGGCAGAGATGGAGTTGTCACAATCCAATGACAGCAAGAATAAGAGAATGTGAGAAGTATGGTAGAGAAATAGGTACGTTGATTTACTAGTGTTGCCATAACAAAGTACCACAAATTTGGTGCTAAACAGCATAAATTTACTGTCTCACAGTTCTAGAGGCTAGAAGTCTAAGATCAAGGTGTCAACAGGGTTGGTTCCTTCTGAAGGCTACAAAGGAGGGCCATTTTCATGCATCTCTCCCATCTTCACAATCTTTGGCATTCCTTAGCTTGTAGAAATATCACCCCAATATTTGCCTTCATCTTCAAATGGAGTGTTCTCTCTCTCTCTCATTCTCTCTCATTCTGTGTGTGTGTGTGTGTGTGTGTGTGTGTGTGTGTGTGTGTAACCCGTCATAAAGGGTTAGGTGCCCACCCTACCCTACTCCACTATGCCCTCATCTTAACTAATTATATCTGCAATGACCTTATTTCCAAGTAAAGTCCCATTCTGATACACATTGGGTTACGAGTTCAACACATAAATTTAATTCAACTCATAAAAGTAGGTAAAGCTGGCTGGGCGCGGTGGCTCACGCCTGTAATCCCAGCACTTTGGGAGGCCAAGGCAGGCGAATCACAAGGTCAGGAGATCGAGACCATCTTGGCTAACACTGTGAAACACCATCTCTACTAAAAATACAAAAAATTAGCCAGGTATGGCGGTGGGCGCCTGTAGTCCCAGCTACTCGGGAGGCTGAGGTGGGAGAATGGCATGAACCTGGGGGGCAGAGCTTGCAGTGAGCCAAGATCGCGCCATTGCACTCCAGCCTGGGCGACAGAGTGAGACTCCGTCTCAAAAACAAAAACAAAAGCAAAAACAAAAAGTAGGTAAAGCAAAAATAATAACCTTGTGTATGATGAGCTGGCTAAAGCTTTCCAAGAAAGTAGCAATGGTTTCTTGGTTAAATAGGATAACTCAGGAAAGCCACTGTAGAGCCTCTGCATCTCTGAACAGTTTCTAAGATGGGAGGAAGACAGAACAATTCATGGTCTGTCTCCTTATGACTCCTGTATTCCCTTAAAGTTTGCCTCACGGAGCATTTACTGCCCTGCAACTCCAGTTGATGTTAGCCAGCCCCTGTGGAGCTTTTGGGGAAGCTGGGGCCTCTATAGGTCTAGTCAGGTTGGACTTGGACATGGAAACTGCTGCAGCTTCTGCCAGAGCTAGCATGATGAAGGTGGCCCTAAAGCCTGGCACTTGAGCCCAGAAAGGTGGTAGAATTAGTACATTCTTATTGGTAGCTACAATTTTGATTGTGGGAATGGCAGAAGCCATTGTTCAGCAGTTCCAGCCAGGAAACAGAGCAAGTCACCAAGGACCAGCGGACCCTGATTGCCTGGAGAGGTGCCTAAACTAGGTCTGGTAAACATGAATTTTAAAAACCAGGAAACATAATTATCAGTATTGGCACTGACACGATGAAAAGAAATGTACCAGTTTGGAGAGTTAGCTATAGTGAGTGTATTTGTTTCCTTGGGCTACCATAAGAAACTTAATGTCTTAAACAACAGAAATTCATTGTCTCACAGTTCTATAGGCTGAAGTCTGAAATCAAGCTGTTGTCAGTGCTCTGTTCCCTTTGAAGGCTCTAAGGGAGAAACTTTCCTTGACTCTTCTTAGCTTCTAGTGGTGGTAAGCCATCAGTATCCTTTGGCTTTCAGTTGTGTAACTCCAATCTCTGCCTTTACCTTTATACGGTTGTCTTGCTATGTGTACCTGCCTTCACAGGGAGAATTCCTCTTCTTATAATGGATTAGGGACATCTTCATGATTTTATATGAACTTAATTACATCTGCAGTTACATCCCTATTCCACATACAGTCACATTCTTAGGTACCAAATGTTAGAACTTTGACAATATTTTTGAGGGGACACAATTTAGCCCAGAACAGTGGGGATTAGAATAGGGCTTCAGAACTGGATTCAGCGCTGATTAATTATTTGATCTTAGGTATGTATTTAAATCTATTTAGACTGGAGATTCCATCTTTTTAAAATGAGATTAGTGGCTCTTAATGTTTATAGGTGGACCCTTCTCCATAAAAATGCATAGAACCAAATACACACAAATGTTTCTGGGGATTCACAGGCTTCCTAAAGCCCATCCCTGGATCACTGAGACCAATCTCTGCTCCTCTTGAAACTTTGCAAAGTTACAGTCTTGTCATTTACTTCCATGCTTTATAAACATTTTGCTCAAGTTTTATGAGCCTTTCCAAGTCCTGCTGCAGGGATAGCTCCCTTCAGACATTGAACAAAAAAAAAGGAAATGTTTGTTTCCTCCGTGCAAGACAATTCATGCCAGTAGTTTCAAGGGATGAATGATGTTGGCTATTTTATGAGGATTCAGAGTGTCTCTGTTCCTATAAGTCTGGGGTAAATCCTCATGAAACAAAAGAGTAGTCGCCATCTGTACCCACCCTGGAAACCCTGGAAACTCTGGGGTCAATAACCTTTTCAGGAACATTTATAGATCTGGGCCTTCTCTAGAATAGAAAATCTCACACATTTTAGGCTATACAGAGAATCCCATGTCCATCCAGCAAAGTCTGAGAACCTCTGACACGATGCACATACCCAGTTAAAGTGTGTGTGATGGGCAACCATATGTATTTTCTCCAAGGTTCTCCATTTGTGATTGTCCTCTCTAAAGCAGAAGGATTACACTTTCTTTACCTGTTTAACATGTGCTCACAGTGCTCTGATTTGCATTTAGCAAGCACTGTTGAGTGTAGAACAATATTCAATCAATTCCCACAGCACAACACCTGTCGAAATTGCATGACACCGGCATTTTATTTTTACATTGCATTGTCATTATATCTGTACATCACATCTCTCTCACAGGACGGAAAGCAACTTGAAGTTAGGAATCATGTTTGACTCTTACATATTGCTCAACTTAGAAACAACCTGTCACAGAATAGCAGGACTAGGGCAAGAAAAGCACCTAGGGCACACAGTTTAGGATGCATTCACCCTTAGGGTCATGCAAGTATTCTATAGGATAGATGTATAATTTGTTAAATAGTGGCTAAATGCAAAAGAAATACAAAAAGGTGAAGAAAGACCAGCACTGAAAGAAAGAAAGAAAGAAAGAAAGAAAGAAAGAAAGAAAGAAAGAAAAGAAAGAAAGAAAGAAAGAAGGAAAGCAAGAAAGAAAGAAGGAAAGAAAGAAAGAAAGAAAGAAAGAAAGAAAGAAAGAAAGAAAGAAAGAAAGAAAGAAAGGAAAGAAAGAAAAGAATGAAAAGCGGGAAAGGGAAAAGCAGGGTGCCAGCAGGAAGGAGGGTAGAAATAATTCGTGGGTCAGAGACATCATTCTCTAAATAATCACTTGTTCTTTTACATATTTCTCAGTTTCCCTTGTAGCTGGCCTGGGCCATGTGACTAATTCTAGCCAATGGGCTATGAGCAGAAGTGACAGGGGCCATGTAAGAGCTCCTGTATGCTGTCTAGCCTTCTTTTCTGTTGTTGCAGTGATCTTGGAAGACATATTTTCCATTTGGCATAGCTATAAAATGGAAGAGCAAGATCCAAAGCATATCAGATTTTATGTGAGCAAGAAATACACTTTTATAGAATAAGCTACTGAGATTGGGTGATTTACCATTAGAACAACATAGTTTTTCTATCCTGATTAATACAAGGACATATCAAATGTGATGGATGGAATTATGTGGACTTTTGTTCCTACATTATTTTTCATCATAGAAGAAAAAACAAAAAGAACCCAGTTTATTATGATAGTAAATTATATAGACTGACTAGTACACCCCAGGCCCCTCCATTTTGGTTCCATTTTCAGGAAATACTGCACTCTGTACTCTCAAGCTAAGTACCTTGAAAACTGTCATTTCATTAAGAAAAGCCTAACTAGCTGCCTATTTCTACTTGCATGAAGAATTCTTTCCATTTCAACAATTTACAGAAAAGTTCTTTCTTACAACATCATCTGTTCAAATGGTCACATATTGTTTAACTGAGCATAATATTTGCTGAGATTTCACATGCAAAATTGGTCTCAAATTCAACCCAGGTATCTCTTTATTTAAGCATTATTCTCTCAGCATCTCAATAAGATTCTCAAAGGGAATAACTTTTATTTCCTGTGATTTCTAGAATTTAAGTTGTTCTTCCAATACTTCTTTAATATAATAACTTCAGTAATTAGAATTTTTAAAGGGCCAACTGAGTACAGCAGTGAAAAACAGACAGTAAAACTAAAAAAAGAAGAGTTCAAATACAAAGCATTTCATTCTGATTTCTGTTTAATGTGTGTGTGTGTGTGTATATATATATATATATATATATACACACACATATGAAGCAGTAAGTGTCATGCCAAGAGCAACATGTTAGAAGAAAAAGACCTGAATTCTAGTGTAGCCTTTGTCTGTTCAATTAACTTTATGATCTTGAGCAAATCCACTGTTTGGTCCTTCTTTTTTTTGTGGGGGCAGATAATTTTGAGAAAACCAGGTTAGACTGGAAAGCAAAGTGGAAACAACCTAGATTCTGAATAGAACAGTACTGGGTATAAAACCTAACTTGCCCACTTGTTGACTTTGTCTTGGGCAAGCCACAAATTTCTACAAACCTCAAGTGATTCACTGTTAACAATGGGTACAAACGTATGGAGAGTTGTGAGCTTCAATAAGATACTGTATATAAAAAGGCTTAGCACAGTTCCTGGCTAACAGTAAACACTAAGTATTTGTGTTTCTGTAAGTTCTACATAGATGCAGGATGTTGTTCTTATTACTCATATATACATAAAAAGGTTCTAGTTTAATGTCTAAGGGCAGGTTTAATGTCATAGCCTGAGAAAGTTTACGAAAAAAACACTGAGGCTTTGACATCTCAATAACAGTTTTTATAATAAACTAAGGTTGTATATAAATAATGTTGAAAAATTTTATATGTATTGAATAGTGTACCTTAATTAATGCTATATAAATGTCCATTGTTGATTTCGCATGAAATTAAGACTAAAACAGATTTGTAGTAAACTATGTTAAGGCCTAATATTTATACAGAACTAAAGCAAACTTTGCTTAAGAATGGCAGGCTTTGGTGTCTATTGCCTCTGTCTTTTGGGCTGGGCTGAACATGCAAACAGAGATGATTTATAAAACATGTTAAGGCCATCAGTCAATTGGCTCTCTCATCCATTAAGATGTACTTGGCATCATATACAAAACATAATGGCTTGACCAAAATTTTACTTGCTAACTGAATGTTGTGTACAAATGGATTTGCGTTTTTAGAGGGTGGGGAAAGGACCTAATAATGTCATAAGCTTTATTTGACTGTCTTCAGGTAGACAACTTCCCAGATGCCCTGACAGTGGGGATCCATCTGCTTCTGAAAGATCCCCTGTGAAGGGAATGTTTTAATTTCCATTGGCAGATAACAAATAAAAGGCATTGGAAATTTCACACCCAGATGAAGGGTGATGCTTAATCCAAAGTGATTTATGGCTTGAGCCACACGATTATTATTGACAATTCCTTGATTAGATCTTTGGCATTTTCCTCAGTCATAGCTTTTTCCCACTCTAAATAAAATAGGATAAGAAAAAACTCAGGTACTGACACAAGTAATAGGAAAGTGAGAAAAATAGAGAGAGAGAGAGGAAATAGTTAAAGTCAAATTGATTGCATAAGGATATTTGTCCTTTTCTAGCTCTTGATGTAACTGCAAAAAATATTTAGAAATATCTATAGGAAATATCTCAGGATAGAATTAAAATAGAATGAATAAAATTCAGAACACTTTTAAGTGATTCAGGCATTTAAAATGCTATTTTAAAACATTTCAACTTTTATGTTTTGAAATATCTTCCATATTATGAGTTTTAAAGGGTAATAAGTGGTCTTTTTTTCCTTAATTGAATTTGATTCCACTTTTGGAGCCTCTTCAAATGGCTTAATGTGTTCAGAGAGGACACCATGCCTCTAATTCTGTTGACGCAAAGAGATTTTTTTTAAACTGTGAAACAATGGATAACCAAAACAACATGTTTGCTAATCCTGCTCTGGGACAGCTAGGCATTTTATCTGTTTTTTTCTCTTCCTCTTTCTGCTCCCTCAGTACCTGCTCTCAATCTCCTTCTCCAGCTGCCTCAGCAGATACAGCATATTGACATACAATATATTGATGGATTAACCCAGCTCCTGGTAAAGCATCTACACAATTGCAGTTACTCAACGACACAGTCGCCAGAACATTGTATGAAAACTAATAAAATGGTTAAAATTCTCAGAAGACACAAATAGGCAGCCAAATTAAGATACCAGAAAATTGTAGGCGTGAGGGTATGTATTCCATACATATTTTTGAATTCTACAAAGATATAATAGAAATAGAAAGAAAGAGAGAGGGACTTAGAAATAGGGGAAAACAGAGAGACAGAGACAGGTCTCTTACACAGTCCTTTAGGAGAATAGTGACCACAGAAATTCTTTAGGTGGGGGTATTATCTTAGCATACTCTATTATGAATATAATGTTTGTCTAATCAGACAAACTGTAGCCTGTGGCCTGTTTTCGTAAGGGCTTTGTGACTTAATTTTTTTTAGATATAAAATATTTTTAAAACTTACCAACAAGGCATTTTGGTAAGAAGAATTGTTCCATTTTGCCTATTGGCTCAAAAAGCCTAAAATATTACTGTCTTTCTCTTTACCAAAATAGTTTTAGACTCCTGGCCTCCAATATTTACCACCCATAATATCTGCACTTCTCCTTTGTAGCATTCATTATACCTATGTTCTTTTTATGCTCTAATGTTTGTCTATTCTTCTACACACGTTCCTTGAAGGTAGGAATAAGTTCTATGGTTTTTACATATCAATGTCCTCAGTACCAAACACAGTGCTTAAGACATAGAAATCACTCAACAATGATTTAATTTAAAAATTAATAAATGAATGAACTCCAATGCACATGCAGAAATTTCTATGGCCCTTA
This sequence comes from Homo sapiens, assembly GCF_000001405.40. NCBI lineage: Eukaryota > Metazoa > Chordata > Mammalia > Primates > Hominidae > Homo > Homo sapiens. The sequence continues at coordinate 21,333,992 of NC_000011.10, read as the reverse complement.
AGTAATTGTGTGTTCCAACCCAAAAATGGACATTAAAGAAGAAGGGACCTGCCCCAAATCTCACGACTCAGCAGTGGAGAAAAAGGAATTTCAATTCAGTGATACCAACTCCAATTCCAGTAAAATTCTACCACAGACTTCCTTTGAGCAAACAAGAAAAGAGCCAATTTTGTGTGACCTGGTTTAAACATATGTGCATGGAGAATAGATAAGCCAGGGACAGCAGTCACTTACTGGACAAGGAAAAGTGACACAATCACTACTAGGTCTCCTTTTCCTCCTCATCACTTTCCCCAGCCAAATGCTTCAATGCTTTAGTGAATCTCTTTACAAAGTCCAGGAGCTGAATATAGACGACAACCCATGGTGACAGTAAATGGAAAGAGATGTATCGATGGGAACCATGTGATGAAACTAAATACACACATATGTGTATACATACATATGGAAGAAAGTTTGAAAGCACATAATCCACATTATGCTATTTAATTTATTACAAAGAAAGCAAAGGCTAGATCATATGACTTCATCCTTGTCTACTCAAACTGCATCTTCATCTTTTAATCTTTCTATTTCTATTTCTATAATCACAACAATGATGGTGGCCGTAGTGATGATATGGCAAGAATGGTTTACCTACATTGTCTGATTTCACCTTAACCGTAACCTAGAAAGAAAGGAAGTAAATGATAGAATTCAAAACTAGGTCTTTCTGACTGCAAGTCTGGCCATGGTATCCATTGTCTTAAATGAGAAACACCCACTTTGGATGCTGCTTTGCCCTTTAGTCTTTACATCCTAGTCCTTATGTCCTCATTTTCATTTTTATTGGTTTTAAGCAAATTTTACCTTTTAAAAGGAAGCACACAGTATTATCTGTCTTAATCTTATATCACCCAAGAATGACCTTAAGTCCATGGAACAAAATTGATATACATGAATTCTAAAATAATGAAAAATGACATTCAACCACTTTCCTGTGATATGCACTTATTGATTTATTTATACCACATCATTTTCTACAAGTTGTTTAAAGAAATTTAGAATAAAAGACACACAAAACCATCTTATAACTTATACCAAAAATAATCTCAGTAGACTGAATATTAATTATAAAAAGTGAAGCCCCTCAAACACCCATGAAAGAAATTCTAGGAAAATGTTTGTTCTCTAGTTGGAAGAAATTATTAAAAAAATAATTTCAGTTATATAAAAATTAAAATATGGAAATCATAAAACTGTAAAATAATTTAAAAGTGAATGACACAAAGGAAAATATTGTTAGCTAATACAACAGACAAAAATCAAAATTTTGAATTTTTAAGGAGCTTGGTCAAATAAGAAAAACACAAAGCCACAAAAATCAAAGACAGGACTTCCACTTCTTCCCATGAAGATTTAGTTTGTATGAGACTATACCTTCTACCATAAGCAATCATAATTGTATAAAATATATAAAACAACTGTTTTCAGACATCAAACAAGGAGTAGCAAAGGATATAATGACACATAGAAGGGATACAAATAAAGGGATCCCCAAGATTGCCTCAACTTTGTGTCTGCAGGTATATTCTAGAAAAATGGCATAGGATAAGCAACTCTAAACAGGGCACAGTACTCTTGCTGCAATCAGGAGACAATGATTAGAGTTTGAAGAAGCCAAGGTGACTGGAATTAAGGGGGCAGAGTACCTAACAGGAGGAAACTGTACAGAGAACACTTTGGAAATCTCCATAGGAGCCCCCTTGGACCTTTGAACGCAAAGCAGTGCATCCTTAGAATAATACACAGAAAAGCCAGTCAAAGAATAACCAATGGGGCATTATGACAAGAACGTATGGAAGCTTAATAAGTCTGGGAGACATTAAAGTTCTGATCAGTAAGAGCTGAGAGTCCAGTTGAATACTTGAGTAATTCAATAGAGACCTCAGAAAGACCATCTATAGAAATAGTTCTAGAACTAACTGAGCCCTAGGGTAAAGTCTATATTAGACTGACACGAACCAAACTTAGAAGGAAGCCTCAACATGCCACAAGGGGAAAGAGCGCCAAAGAGCTCCTCAAAATCACTGATTTTATTTAGAAAAGAGAGTGGGGAAGTTCAAGCTTTAGGGCATTCTCAAAAACCAGGAAGATTTCAACAATAAGCAATTAAGAGAAGGCTGATACCTCCATAAGAGCAATAAACTAAACCACAAGTCAGCTAGTTTATCAGAGTGAACTGGGAAAGAGACAGCAATAAAGAGACCTCCTGTGGTTAGAACATACTTCAAAGCCTGGCCTCAAAAAACTTCTGCAAAGAGGTCTGAAATTAATTGGATCAGATTGTAGGGTAATTTATTTCCCACAGCATTGTCCAAAACAATAAAGTGACTGACTGAAAATTAGCAAACACTAATACCTGAGTGTATTACCAGTAGAGTCAGGCAGTTTACCAGCAAGACCAAAGAAGGGAAGAGTCAAGGATAGTTCTGAGAAAACTACTGTCTCCCAGAGTGACTGTGAGCATGCCAAAGCCTGCATCCTCTGAGGAACAACATCAGAGGCTTTACACTGCTTTACACTGCCAGTGTCACTAAATTTATTCAGCCAAGTCACTAAACAAATAAGCATGCAAACAAATAAAAGATAAGAAAAAGCAGTTTTAGGGAAGGGGACACTGCTACATTATATTATCTAAAATGCCTACTGTTCTAAAAAAAAGGGAAACATGCAAATAAACAGGAAAGTATAACTCATGCACAGAAAAATAAAAATAAAAAGCAGACAACAAGAGGTGCCATGAGAAGGACTAGATATGAACATGACAAAGACTCTAAAGCAACTACAATAAATATGTTCAAAGTACTAAAGAAAAATATGCTTAGAGAGGTTAAGGAAGATATGAGGGCAATATCTCATCAAATAAAAAATAAGAATTATTTTTACAAGAATCTAATGGAAATTCTGCAGTAGGAAACTAATATAACTGAAATGAAAAATGTACTAGAGGGTCTCAAAAACTGATTTGAGTGGGTAGAAGAATCAGCTAACCTGGAGACAGACGAATAAAGATTATGCAATCTGAACAACAGAAAAGCAATGAAGAAAAATTTTAAAAGTTTCAGAGATATGAAGACCACCATTAATTGTACCAATATATGCAAAATTGGGGTGCCAGAAGAAGAGAAAAAACAGAAAGGAACAAAAATATTTTTAATAAATAATGGTTAATACTTTGCAAATTTCACAGAAAGAATTGACACATCCAAGAAGCTCAAAAAAATTCCAAGTAAGATAAACACAGATATACACCCAGACACATCATAGTAAAAATGTTGAAAGTAAAATACAAAGAGAAAATCAGGAAAACAGCAAAGGAAAAATGACTTATTATACATAAAAGAATCCCAGGCAGATTAACAACTGACATCTCACCAGAAACAGTGGAGGCCAGAATATAGTGAGATGACATGCATATTCAAAGTGCTGAAAGAATAAAACTAACAAATTTCTCATTCCCAGAAAAACTATCTTTCAAAAATGAAGAAAAAAAGAGCCATTTTCAGAGGAACAAAATTGACAGAATTTGTTGCTAGTAAAGGCACTTGCAATAACTATTAAAAGAATTTCTTCAGTCTAAAACCAACTGACCCCCAAATGGAATTCTATTCCACATGGTGTGAGGGAGGAGAAGCACAAGTAAAGGTAATTAAGCAATTTTTAAAGACAGTATAAATGCATATTTTCCTTTTTTCTCTTAACATGTTTTAAATGGAATTGCATAATATGATGTGTATGCATTTGTATTGTTAAGCCTATAACATATGTAAATATCTATACTTAACAACATATGTAAATATTTATACTTGCCACACAAAGAAGGTAGTTAGGAGCAAAGCTATATTGAAGTAGGGAGAATATATTAATTGGTTACCGAGATCCACAGGAAAAAAGGAAGAGAACCAACAATGGTAAATAAGAAGTTTACTATGACAAAATTTACAAACATATAATTTATTTTCTTCTCTCAGCTACTTTAAAAGACATTAAGCTATATATAGAAATAATTATTGTAATTCATTATTGGGTTTATAACATATAGATGTAACATGTACAGTATAACAACAGTGGCACAAAGAAGAAGAGAAAACAGAACTATGTGAGAATAACATCTCTATAGATCACTGGTATTAAATTACTATTAATCTGACATAGATTCTCATTAGGTACATATGGTAAGCCCTAGAGGAATGATTTACAAAAATTACCCAAGACATCTAGTAAAAAAGGATCATTAAAGTAATTAAAACATTACACAAAAAAGCATTTACCTAATGCCAAAGTATACAGTGTACTTTAAAAAGGCTTATATGTATACTTTAAAAAGTGGGTTTAAAAAGAAGGATAATTTATACTGTATATAGAATTCATGCTAAGTGAGTAGATTCTAGTTGCTATTACAATATTTAACTATATGAGATGATGAATATGTTAATTTGCTTCACTATAATCACCTTTTCACATCTATAGTGTTTTAGTCCATTCTCACACTGCTAATAAAGGCATACTCAAGACTGGGTAATTTATAGTGGAAAGAAGTTTAATTGACTCACAGTTCAGCATGATTAGGGAGGTCTCATGAAACTTACAACCATGGTGGAAGGGGAAACAAGCAATCCTTCTTCACATGGCAGCAGCAAGGAGAAATACTGAGCAAAAGGGGGAAAAGCCCCTTATAAAACCATCCTGTGAGAACTCACTAACTGTCATGAGAACAGCATGAGGGTAACTGCCCTCATGATTAAATTACCTCCCACTGGGTCCCTCTTACAACATGTGGAGATTATGGAAACTACAAGATGAGATTTGGGTAAGGATACAGATGAACCATATCATTCTGCTTCTGGACCCTCCCAAATCTCAAGTTCTCATGTTTTGTAACATAATCATGCCTTTCCCAATAGTTCTCCAAAGTCTTAACTCATTTCAGCATTAGCCCAAAAGTCCAAGTCCATAGTCTTATCTGATACAAGGCAAGTCTCTTCTGCCTATGAGCCTGTAAAATCAAAAGTAAGATAGTTACCTCCTAGATATAATAGAGGTATGGGCATTGGGTAAATACACCCATTAAAAATGGGAGAAATTGGCCAAAACAAAGGGGCTACAGGCCTCATGCAAGTTTGAAATCCAATAGGGCAGTCATTAAACCTTAAAGTTTCAAAATGATGTCTTTTGACTCCATGTCTCACATCCAGGTCATGCTGATGCAAGAGGTGGGCTCCCATAGTCTTGGGCAGCTCTGCCTCTGTGGCTTTGCAGGGTATAGCTCCCCTCCTGGATGCTTTCATGAGCTGGTGTTGAGTGTCTGCAGTTTTTCCAGGGGTATGGTGCAAGCTGTTGGTGGATATACCATTCTGGAGTCAGGAGAACGGTGGCCCTCTTCTCACAGCTCCACCAGGCAGTGCCCCAGTGGGAACTCTGTGTGGAGGCTCCAACCTTACATTTCTCTTCCACACTGCCATAGGAGAGGTTCTCCATGAGGGTTCTACCCCTACAGCATACTTCTGCCTGGACATCCAGGTGTTTCCATACATCCTCTGAAATCTAGGCGGAAGTTCCCAAACCTCAATTCTTGACTTCTGTGCACCTACAGGCTCAACACCACGTGTAAGCTGCCAAGGCTGAAGGCTTGCACCCTCTAAAGCAACAGCCTGAACTGTACATCGGCCCCTTTTAGCCCTGGCTACAACTGAAACATCTAGGACATAGGACAACCTGTCCCAAGCTGCATAGAGCAGTGAGGCCATAGGTCCAGCCCATAAAACAATTTTTTCCTCCTAAGCCTCCAGGCCTGTGATGGGAGGGGTTGCCATGAAGGTCTCTGATAACCCCTGGAGACATTTTCCCCATTGTCTTGCTAATTAACACTTGGGCCCTCATTACTTGTGCAAATTTCTGCAGCCAGCTTGAATTTCTCCACAGAAAATAGGGTTTTCTTTTCTAACACATCATCACATTGTAAATCATCCAAACATTTATGCTCTGCTTCCTCTTGAACACTTTCCTGCTTAGAAATTTCTTCCCCAGATACCCTAAATCATCTCTCCCGAGTTCAAAGTTCCACAGATCTCCAGGGCAGATGCAAAATGCCACCAGTCTCTTTGCATAGCAAGAGTAACCTTTACTCCAGTTCCCAACAAGTTCCTCATCTCCATCCGAGACCACCTCAGTATGGACTTCATTGTCCATATCATTACTAGCATTTTGGTCAAAGCCATTCAAGAAGTCTCTAGGAAGTTCCAAACTTTCCCACATCTTTCTATCTTCTTCTGAGACCTCCAAACTTTTCCAACCCCTTCCTGTTACCCAGTTCCAAAGTCACTTCCACATTTTTGGGTATCTTTCCAGTGGTGCCCCACTACACAGTACAAATTTACTGTATTAGTCTGTTCTCATGCTGCTAAGAAAGACACACTGGAGACTAGGTAATTTATAAAGGAAAGAGGTTTAATTGACTCACAGTTCAGCATGACTGGGGAGGCCTCAGGAAACTTACAATCATGGTGGAAGGGGAAGGAAACACATCCTTCTTCACATGGCAGCAGCAATAAGAAGTGCCAAGCAAAATGGGGAAAAGCCCCTTATAAAACCATCAGATTTTTTTTTTTATACTTTAAGTTTTAGGGTACATGTGCACAATGTGCAGGTTAGTTACATATGTATACATGTGCCATGTTGGTGTGCTGCACCCAGTAACTCGTCATTTAACATTAGGTATATCTCCAAATGCTATCCCTCCCCCCTTCCTACACCCCACAACAGTCCCCCCCACAAAAAAAAAAAAAAAACATCAGATCTCATGAGAACTCACTGTCACAAGAACAGCATAAGGGTAACTGCCTCTATGATTAAATAACCTCCCACCAGTTCCCTCCCACAACATGTCAGGATTATGGGAACCACATTCAAGATGAGATTTGGATGGGGACACAGCCAAACCATATCATATAGGTATCCATAATATCATGTCCTATACTTTAATACACACAATGAAACTCATTTAAAAACAAAAGGACACAAGACGTAGAAAACAAAAAGTAAAATGGCAGGCATAAATCCAATCCAACTATTTAAATAACATTAAATGCAAATAGATTAACCATCCAATCATAAGACAGAGATATTCAGTCTGCATTTTTTTTCAAAGCCAGAAGACAAAGAATGACATGTTTTAAGTCTTAAGAAAAAAAAGTAGTCTATAATTCTATAATCAGTGAAAATATTTAAAAATGTAGGCAAAAGACAGAATTTTTCAGACAGTAAAAACTGAGGGACATTACCACCAGCAAATTTGCACCCTATTAAATGAAGTTCTTCAGGTAGAAGGAAATGATATCAGACAGAAATTTGGATCCAAACAAAAAAATAAAGATCGCTAGGGATGGTAAATATGTGACCAAATGTAGAAGATATTTTTAACTTTTTAAAAATTAACTATTAAAATTTTTTTAAATCATGTATTTGAGAGTTTATAACATGCATAAATTTAAAATGTGTAACAATGAAGACACAGACATTGGACCAGGGAAATTAAAATTTACCCTTTTAAATATTTTAGTTTAAACATGAACAAAAATCCTATTATTTGAAGTTTGTCTCTGATGAGTTTAAGTGAAATACCGCAAATCGTTGAGCAACCATTGGAAAAACAAAAAAAGAAGACATACAGCCAATAAGCCAATAGTGTAGATAAAGTGGAATAGTAAAAACTATTCTGTTCATCCAAAAAGAAGGCAAAAAAAATGAGTAACAAAAGGAACAAGGAATAAGTGGAACAAATAGAAAAAAAAAAATAGCAAAATGGTAGATATAAAGCCAAAAAGAGAATTAGTGTAAGAGTGTTCATTTAAGCTTTACTCAAAATAGCCCAAAAAAAAAAAAAAAAAAAAAAAAAAAAAAAACTAGGATTAACACAAATATCCGTGGTGGATAAACAAATTGTGGGTCTATTCATATAATTAAATACTACTCAGCAATAAAATGGGATAAACTACTGATATACCCAACCATGAGAATAAACCTCAAAAACATACTGGATGAAAGAAACTTGTCAAAAAGAGTTTTATATTATGTTATTACATTTATATGAAGTTCTAGGACAGGAAAAATTATTGTGAAAGAAATCAGATCAGTTGTTGCCTGTGGCTGAGAATTGATGGACAGTGATTGACTGAAAAGCAGCACAAGGGAATTTTCTGAGATAATAGTAATAATTTATATCTTTATAGTGATGAGATTAAACAATTGAATACACTTTTCATAGCTTGTTTAAAAGTACACTTGTGATTTACGTATTTCACTGTATGCAATTTTGCCTCAAAAAATTAAATGAGCAAAATAAGTTAATATTAAAAAAATGCAAAGGACCAGTATAGAAATGGGGAAAAAAATCAATCTTATTAGCAATGAAAAGGTTCACCTTAAAAAATGGAATATTATTTTTGTACCCCAAAATAGGCACACAAATTTAGAAGAAAGGGTGGCAAAACAAGAATTCTCATGCCACACTGGTAAGAAACTAAATTGGTGTAGCCTTAGTGGAAATCCTTTGGTCTAAATTATTGTTTCCAATGATCTATTTAGAGGAAATAAATCAGAGATGTTGACAAAGCTTAAGGTAAAAAATCCTCTGAAGCATTATTTATAATCAGGTAACATCAGAAACAACCTAAATGTTTAATAAATTCTAACAAAAACAAGTCAGAAAACAGAATTATATATTCAGTCTGACAAAACACGATATAAGAGAGATTAAAGTAGTCATACTACAAGGGAATCAACAATAGTACTTTATCTGAGTGATGGAATTATCGGTGCATTTGTACTTTTTTGTATTTTAAGAATTTCCTCCAAGGTGTTTTATTCCAAGAAGAAAAGGAAACCCCTATTTAAGACACACAGAAGGACTAATAAGGAGAAAGTCAGAGTCAACTTGCAAAAAATAAAATACAAATATGCTATAAAACAAAGATGGGGGGAGGTTGGAAAGTAAGGATGATTCTAAAACACTCAGGAGACAGAGAAGAAAGGGGAAACACAAACACATAACTCTCTTTTTAAACAAGGAGAAAGAAATGCATTTCTCAGTGAAGAGTCAGTGTTTTCAAGACCTTACTCTATAACATCAGTTCTCTTTCCTCTTCCTTCTGGGCCTCACCTATTCTCTCTTCCCTCTTCTGTTACTTGTGGAATGAAGAGAGAACAATCATATTTTGAGTGATCTCTGTTCTCTAGCACCTTGGCAAGGAAGTACCAGTTCAATATTTCCATTGAACGGTAAGGTGCTTGAGAGCAGCCTTTGTACTTACTAAATCCTTTCTCCTAAGATTCCCATCATACTGCCTGGAACCTACAGGCACTTACAAAACATCAATGTTGACTGAAAAATCACTAATCTGTTTCAAGGAAGTTGCCACTAGGGTTTCTTTAGGAAGCAGGTATTTGTATCAGCATCACAGTATCTGAAGAAAATGTAGAACAAATATTAGAAGAAAATGTAAAATCTCTTGAGGAAAATCAACAGTACTCCTTTTATGAGAATCAAGATAGAATCTGCTAACTTTATTTTCAATTTTTATCCAATAATTTTTGAAACACTTAATAAGATAATTCTCCATGAAAGGCCCAAAGAGATGCAAATATAAGGGAAAATAAAATAGAGTCAAAAGCTCTTTTGTCCGAATCCCAGCTCTGCCATTTACTAGCTAAATGAATTGGGAAAAAAATTTCTTGAGCTTTTAAGTCTGGAATCCTCATCTTCAAAATGGGGTAATAATGACTGTCTCATAGGGTTGCAGTGAGGAAAAAATAAAACAATGCTAGCAAAGTATCCAGCACCATGACTGGCACATGGGTAGTTTATTACACTCCTAAATTAATGAAATGTTAATCCTTCCCCTTAGGAGCTTACTATTTGGCAAAAGATGTCAACATTTACATAAGAAATGGCCATCCAAAGCAGGAAGTGAGGTAAGAGCAAGTTGCTTGAGAATGAAAGAAAGGAGAGATTATTTTTAGCTTGGAGTTAGGGGGTGGACAGTAAACACCTAATATCATTCAACATATTTTTGCTCAACCCTGATTCTGTGAGGGAGCGTTATGCCTTCTGGGGTACAGTAGGGGGCAGATAGAGTCTTTATCTTCAGTGGAACCTGTATGTCACTGGAAGGTATCAGATAACAAACACAGATAAAAATAAATAAGAAAAATTCAGATGGTAAAAAGTGTTGTAAAATAAAAGAGGGTAACATGACAAAGACGGGAAGCTAGTTCAGTGAAGTGTTTCAGAAAAGGCTTTTTTTGAGGTGACATTTTAGTTAAGAGCTAGATGAAGAGGGCAGCCATCTTGGAGACATGTCAGAGGTAAAATGGAAGGTGTTATCAGAAGTAAATAACCCTGGTTAAAGTGGAAAACCCAATAGATATAAATATTTTACTACATTTATAGGTTTTCCTAGGTCACTAAGAAATGGGGCAAAAATTAAATGATGCCCATCACTAATGGAAGCAGAAGAGAACACCAGAAATTAAGTATTCATGTAGATTTGGCTAAATGACCACTTTCTTCTCCCCTGTCCTTATTATTAGCTTCCCAAGCAATAAATTAGAGTTCCTGTCAGGAAATACTTCATGAAGAGAACCATCAGCGAGCTTTAAACACACTGTTCTGTCTCACAATGTGATGTAGTCACTGTCTGAGATCCCCTAGTGTTTAGAGCTTTCAGCCTCAGTTTAAAAATTTGTTACATTCCCACAATAATTTCTCCATCAAGTGAAAGAGAGACCAACCAGATAATAATAAAGCCACTTCAAAAGCTGCAAGTACTCTACTTCATTGTTTTGTACAGACGAATATGGGTGATTATTTTTTCTCTCCAGTTAAACTCCATGCATTAGAGAATTTTAAAGAGCCCTTTGATGACTGAGTGAAGCAGTTTTATTCCAGGCTGAATTGGCCGATCACTTTTTTATACAACAATGGCTTGTGCTTCTATCCTAAGGGGGCACTTTCAATTCACTTAAAGGATAGCAGAGGGTCTAATGGCATCATGGAGGCAAAGCAGGAAATTGGGAGAAATTGCTTGCCTAGTCAAAGAGGGAGGAATGAACACCCCAGAGGGCAATGGGGCATTTGCTCAGAAGTCTGAGGAATAAATATGTATATTTTTGTTAATCTTCTAAAGCAAGCAGGAGGCAAACATGGCTTGACCTTGAGAAACTCTTCCTGGAAGTCTGGTTTCATGGAACCAGGCTCAGCTAGTGGGTTATTAAATGTATATGAAATCAATTTATTGGATCACAGTCAACACTTGCACAAAAATGAAACATAGTAGACTAGACCAGACTAGAATGGAATACCATAGAGTATTTCAGAGTATATAAGTAATAGCATTTTATACCATTTTCTGATGTGTGTGTATGTGTGTGTGCTTTTGTACTGACTCACAATGTAAAATTTATTTTTTATTATTATTGGTTATAGTCAACAAAATTAAAATCTACTCTTGTAGGAGATACCACATCTTGAAGAGGACAAATGGGTGTATGCCCTCCAATCTCAGGGCATACACCAACTAAACTCATAAACTCAGAATCACAGAGCATCTGATTTAGAAGGAACCATAGATGCCATTTAATTTTGTCTCACAGATGGGGAAATAAGCTAAAGAAGTGAAATTACATTCCCCAAATGACAAGGGGCCCAAGACATGAAGCAGGGTCTTTTAACTCATAGTCTAGTGCTCTGCATTACACTATAAAGTCAGAGCTTAAAATTGGAAAGGGATTGTTCTGAGTTGTCCACGCATTTCCTGTCATTGCAAAACAGGAGAGTTGTCTTAGACTTTAGGAGCACAGAATCCATCATTCCATGGGATCATCCTGGCCCACACATCTCCCAGAAAGTAAGCACAGTCTGATTTATTTGGAATTCATCTATTTATTTCAATCTCTCCTATCTTTCCCAGAGACTACTTCAAGATGAGACTCCAGGAGTTGGTGTTTAGAAACAATAGAGTATAGAAGTTAACAGTTCAGATATTACAGTGACATAAATCTAGATTCAAATCCTGCTGGACTATAAACCCTGTGAGGGCAGAGCCCTGCCCACTTTGTTGACTGCTGTATTCTCAATACCTTACACCATGTGTGGGACTGTGCAGGAGATTGATGCATGTTTGTTCAAAGAAAGAAGATAAAGAAAAGGAGTCCTGGTTCTGCCACTTATCAGCTGTGTGGCCTGGACAAGTGATTTCACATCTCCAGCTGCAGCTTTCTTATCTATAAAATGGAAGTAATGGAAATACTCATAGAGTTATTTATAGGATCAAGTGAGAGAGCTGGAATTTAGTACAATTTTCAGCACGTAGCAAATATCAGTGTCTGTTATTATAATAAGCTCTCTCCTATTCTATATCAGTTATTTTTTACTTTTAACCAGTAGAACTCTTATTTTTTAAGATAACATTTATATGAGATAAAAAGAGAAAACTTGTCTGGCATGCTGCTGGTTGACCTCCTCCCCTGCCCACCACTCCGCGCAGCCCCCCACCCTCTAGCAATGCCCCCACTTCAATCACCTCTGAGGGATCTCAGAGTTAATCAGAATTCTGCATGAAAATCACTCCCCTGGGCCATGATCTTTCCCTCTTCCTGGCAGGATTACTGCTGAGGGTGAGATGGATTGCTGATGCTGGGTAGGAAATGAAGGCCCACAATGAGCACCTGTCAGCACCAAGCAATTACAAATCTCCTGGGAGACAGCATCCCATTGCTCATGTACAGCACCAAAGGTGCATTTTCAGAGCCAGGGAATTTCAGAGTTGCAGAAAATATCATGTCCTGTGATGGAAGACAATGGATGAAGAAAGAGTTCTAAAACAAATCCTAGAACCTGTGGAAATTAATGTCAAAGTCATGTGCAAATCTACTAAATTTCTAGAATGTATTGATTGCCCCACATGTAACAGCTTCCTCCAGGCACACATTTGCATATGGAAATGTGCAATGCTTTTCATTCATTCTCATTTCTTTCTTAATGTTAAATTAACTTGGTCAATAAACCACAGGAAGTATTACTTGAAATTTGACTTTGATCACTATTAACATAAAATATTTAAATGTGCATAGAAAGCATATTTCAGGGGTCTCATCCTGGACAGCAGCAAGTGGAATGGAAAATCAGAATTCCCTGTCAGGTAAAGGAAATAAGCTTTTAGAGCTGATGTCTAGCTGGCAATGAGACCAAATGGAACCAAATGTGGGGGCTTTCGCTATTTGGAAGAGTCAGAGATTCTAAGAGAGCAATTAAGAGCCTCAGCCCTGATGGAATAAACAGCAATTCCAGCCAACCACTTTAGTACAGTGTCTTCATCTGTCAAATAGGAATCACACCATCCACTTTTCAGGGGCATTGTGAGGACAAGATAACATATAAGAAAGTGCATTGAGTTCCTTGCCAGGACAGCACCATATTCACACCAAATATTTTCAATATTTATTCTGATACTTCATCACTGTCTCAGTGCAGCTGTTAGTGCCTCTCTATCACGGTGATGTAAATGCACAATGTTATGTTTAAAGTATTTTAATAAAAGATTAAAGGCTTCCATCTCTTCCCATGATCTCTCGAGCAGTTTTCTGAAGAGTTTAGCATTTGATTTCCAGAGGAAAAACAAAAATAATTATTATTATTATAAACAATACACAGTGACACAGGCTCACATTCAAGTAGATCTGCTTTGAACAGGACCTGAGCCAGTGTTTTGAGCAACCATATAACTGTTATCAGCAGGAGAAGAAGAAAAAGGGATGAACCATCCCACTGAAACATGGCAGCAAGGCTCTGGCAGGCATAGAAGTAGCTGGAGTGATGTAGAAGGTATGAAGTCCCGTGATCTACTGGATAAACACTTTTGCAGGGATTTTGAGGTATATCCCCAATTCCTATACTCTCCCTCCACCCATCAGCCTTCATACTCTCCTATACTCTCTGCTTCTTGTTGAATTTCATAAGCCGGCACAAATAAAAAGGTACAGTCCTAGCTCTCATGGAGTTTAGAGTCTAAAGCAGGTCATAAGGCTGACAGATTTAACAGTTATCAGTGCTTTGATGAGCTGAACCTTCCACATTACCTATATCAATTCTGTTCAGTAAATGTATTTTTAGTAGAGACGGGGTTTCACCGTGTTAGCCAGGATGATCTCAATCTCCTGACCTCATGATCCACCTGCCTCGGCCTCCCAAAGTGCTGGGATTACAGGCATGAGCCACCGCACCTAGCCCAAGAGTTTGTTTTTGAATAGTTTCCGGCTGGGCGCGGTGACACACGCTTGTAATCCCAGCACTTTGAAAGGCAGAGGCGGGCAGATCACTTGAGTCCAGGAGTTCAAGACCAGCCTGATCAACATGTTAAAAACCTGTCTCTACTAAAAATATATATATATATATATATATAAATTTAGCTGGGCATGGTGGCTCATGCCTGTAATCCCAGCACTTTGGAAGGTCAAGGCAGGTGGATCATTTGAGGCCAGGAGTTTGAGACCAACCTGGCCAACATGGTGAAAACCTGTCTGTACTGAAAAATAAAAAATAATAAAATAAAAATTAGCCGTGCATAGTGGTGCACACCTCTAATTCCAGCTACTTGGGAGGCTGAGGCACGCAAATTGTTTGAACCCAGAAGGTGGAAGTTGCAGTGAGCCGAGATCATGTCACTGCACTCCAGCCTGGGTGACATAGCAAGACTCTGTCTCAAAAACACAAAATAAAATAATATGTATACATACATATACACACACACACACACACACACACATATTGCTGAGATGTCACTCTTAGTAGTTAAACGAGGCTCTACTTAGAATATTCTAATTTGAGGAATCATATTTACATGCATATAAGTAATAATGAAGAAACAAGTAACACAATGTTCTAAGCAAGCTCATTACAAGTATTACCTCATTTAATCCAAAGAAGAGCCTTATAAAGTAATTCCATTTCACAGATGAATACACTGAGGGACAAAAAGCCTAGCCATTTACTATGGTTAGTCACACAGCTCGGAAGAACTAGAGTCGGGATTTTAACTCACCCCATCTGACTCTAGGGCAAGTACTCTTAACGATTTTGATTTACTCCTAGCAGAAATAAAGCAAAGTAGGAACACAACAGAAAGAAAAAATGTCTTATTAGGAAAATTAACCCATCACTTATTTCTGTATCTATTTAATAAACATTTATTGAATACCTACTATGTGTTGAAAGTTGGGAAGGCTAAGATATATTACAAGCATTCTGCTCTGGAGTTTGCACACTAGTGAAGAAGATAAATAAATGTTTAATTGATAAACTGGTTATATTAAAAAATAGAGGTATTATGAGGGTGAGGTCCTTCCTGAAAGAAGGAGTTCTCGAGTGGGGCCGGAAGTATGGATAAGACATATATGGTCTGATAGAGCAATAATAACTTTGTTTCAAAGAAGTTACAAAGGTAGCAACTTTGGAAAGATGGAGAAGCCCCTAGAAATGATTTTCTGGGAAGAGGTAAACTATTCTGTGTCCTTCAAACACACAACTTCTGGAAATTACTGGCCATGGCCCCATCCTAAATCACTGCTTCCCTGACCTCAAAGGGCAGATGGTGTCTACTGGATTAAGAACATGAATTACATACTGTCCTATCTCTGCACACCAATGTCAGGTTTGACTTGATTTATGTTTCCTTAATTTTATAAGAAATTCTCTTTACAGTACAGGAGAAAGAGCATGCTATGCTATAGAATCCAGTCAAGGTCAGGGAAACAAATTAATATCCTTATAGGCTGTAGAGGGTAACAGGAACTTTGAAGTCTTAAATTGTTCACAATTGACATATACCACCATAAATCTTCCAGGATTAATAGCTGTCTTCTGGAAATGATAGCCTTCATTTGAAAGCACATAGAGGCACCATGTCTTACCCCATAAGAAATACATATTTTAGAATTCAAGCAACACATAGGATTTTTCTTTCAAGATACGGATAATTTTTACTTAACTTACATGGTTACATAATAATAATATTAGAATTCTGAGGAAGTTTATAATCAAATGATCTAATCTTTTGGATTTATAATCTATTGAGCAGAAGCCCAGAGACTATAAATGCCTTGTCCAGGGTCAGAACTCATTGTTACAGTCACACAAATCACAAACATTTAGAAAAAGTAAACTCTGTGCTCAAAAATCAAGGCCTTTACTTTTTGACATCTGGTTTTGCTAATGTTTCCTCTGCCTGAAATGCCTTCTTTCCTATACCACTCACTTTCTATGTCCATACTTATCTATATGCTGTCAAATGCCGCAAGGAAGGGTCTGCGCTGTCCTGAGGAACATATAAAATATCCTCCTTGGCAGCCAGAAGAGTGCCTTCCACCTAGAATGCTTAGTGTGAGTGCCACAGAGAGATAAAATATGTAAGGCAGAAACTCTCACCAATCCCTGGTGGCAGTGTGAATTACACAAACCTGAAAAGTAAATAGCAAAATTTGTACTAATAATCCCACCTTGATGAATATATCCTAAGGAAAAAATCTATAACAATGAAACAACAAGGAAGCTTTATGTGCCAGGATGATCACAGCAGCATTATTAATAAGTGGAAGGAGAAATAAACCCTAGAAACAGTCCTTTACTTCAGTAAGAGAAAGATTAAGTAAATTTTAATTTATGCAATCAATGGAATAGTATATAGCTACTACAATTATGTTTACGAAGAGTTTTGGAAATAGTAATGTAGTGGCTAAGAGCATAAATTCTTGCTCTAGTCTCAGCTTCTCTACTTAAAATAAACACTATATATGTGTTAATTATTATGATTCTTATTATCAATTCTAGTATTTATACTAACCTAGGACAATAAAATGTTTACATTAGATGAAATATATTAACTAGAATAAAGTGTTATGTAAGAAAATGATAATTACATTATGATCATAATCATACCTACATAATATAAAAACTCATATCAGGATAATAATGTATGTGTTCCCACCCCAGCCTTTGTGCTTATGAATCGTTTTCATTATAGTCTGAAGGCCCACCCCTTTCCCTGCCTCTTCCCCAGCTCTACCTCCAGGAGGAAGCCCTACCCACAAGAGACTCTGAGCATCATTCTCTTTGCTGTCAGTGAGGAGCAGCTGCCAGCATTTTTCCTGAGAATGACCCAGCAGAAATGCCACCTGCTAGAATCTTAAAAGTTTCCCCACTTACATCTGACCCATTTTTAGGGAGACAATTCTCTATTCAGTAATCTGGGATACTGTTGAGTCCCCAGGATCAGAGGGGGCACTCTGGACACCACAGAAGTATGATTGGAGGTGGGGACACCTGACCATGTTGAGACTAGATGAAGCCAGTTTGAGATTTCTTACTAAGACAGAGCATGGCACCCCTGTGACTGGAACTCCACCATAACTGTGACACTAAATGTGAAGAAAAGATTGGAAGGAAATATACCAACACGTAAGCAGTGATATTATCCTTTGAGTGATTTGGCTTCCTTCTTTTTAAGTGTTTTCAAAAATTGTTCAACTGACTACATTTTAATTTTAATAATGGGAGAAAAATTAACTTTTTAAATGTGTAAAAACCAAGCCTATCATCTCGTGTTTTAAAAAAGCTTTGACGGTGTGATGTCAAATAAAAGTCATAACTTGACAGTGTTTTCATGTTATAAATTTTCTTTAAAAAGTCCCCTGGGTATTAGCAGCTTTAAAAATCAGGGATTTAGCTGTGGTGATGGAAGGGATTCAAGCTGTGGATGACACAAAGGGGAGAGAAAGCTGGCATATTGAGGATATTACTATAAGTCAACATATTTTTGACAAATTGATATTCACAAACTGTCCCAAAAATACGTTCTGAGAAACACTAGACCTTATAGAAGGAGAAGAAAACTTATGGAAAGAATATAAAGTAATAGGTAAAAAGTAATATTTGTAACTAAATCTTAGCTTTTAAAACACTCCATAGCCAAAAAACAAAGCAAACACACACACACACACACACACACACACTCACACCACCACCACCACCACCACCACCAACACATTCAAATAAAGTCATTCCTTTCACTGACTCACTGGACAACAGTTTTAAAGCTCTGCAATATGTTTGGAGGGAAAATAAATCCAGCACCAAACACATTGGGGGAAAATGCTGTTGATTATATCCTAGTTTGAAAGTGACTAACTCTGCAGGGGAAACAATCACAAGGTTCTAAATATTCTCCATAAATGTGGCAATCATTCAGAAAGGAGGTATCAAGACCTTAGCAAATCTCCAAGATTCAAGAACACTTTTGAAAAAAACATAACTGAGCTTACTAATGCAGTGATCTGAGAAATTTCAGTGACCTTCATCAGACATTTGTTAAGCATTACCTTAAGCAGAGTGACTGAGAGACAAAGCCTGGCTTGTTTGCCACATCCAATCTTTCACCAAGTTCTGTCCATTCTTTAACCTAAACCCATCCTGAATCTGGTGCACTGCTTTCCTTGGCCACTGTCTCTATACTATTCCAATCGACCCTTGTGTCTTAACTGGGTCACTGAACTAAGCAAGATCATGTAGCTAGGAGCATAGATTCTGGTTCCAATCTCAGTTCACCACTTACAGTTCTGTGACACATAGTTTAATAAACTATAAAAGGTTTCTCTTATCTATTTCTGACTTTTCCACCTGTTTATGTTTGCACTATATACAAAAGTGTTTATAGTTAAGGCAGTTTGTGTACTGGTTAAGAGCTCTCAGCCAGGCATGGTGGCTCATGCCTGTAATCCCAGCACTTTGGGAGGCCAAGGCAGACGGATCACCTGAGGTCAGGAGTTCAAGACCTGCCTGGCCAACATGGAGACACGCCAACTCTACTAAAAATACAAAAATTATCTGGGTGTGGTGGTGGACTCCTGTAATCCCAGCTATTTGGGAGGCTGAGGCAGAAGAATCATTTGAACCCAGGAGGTGGAGGTTGCAGTGAGCTGATATTGCGCCACTGCACTCCAGCCTGGGCGTCAGAGTGAGATTTGTCTCAAAAAAAAAAAGCCCTCTTGCTGTATCCACTGCACTTTCTTCCAGTCCATCGAGCCATCAGCCAATAATCTTTCCAAAGGTAAATCTAAAATGTCAGCTCACCTTAACCACTTCAATGGCTTCCCATTACTCTTAAGTATAAGGCTAAATTTTATATATACAAAGTACCTGTCCTCTGCCTGTTTCACAGGCCATAATAACTTCTTCTGCTTTTCGTACTCCAGGCATGCTGAGTATTCTTTCAGATCCTCAAATACTGGCTGCATAAGGGCAGGGACCATGTCTAGGTTTGCTCATCATTTTATATCCAGCATCCTGTAGAGTACCTAAAAATGCTGCTCTTGGTAATAACAGCTAACATTTATTAAGCCTTTACTGTGTCTCAGATGTTATGCTAAAGTGCCTTATTTCTACTATCTCATTATACTCTCACCACAGTTCTATGGCATCATTACTAATAGTATTCACATTTCACAGATGAAGAGCAAGAAGTCTAAAAAGATCAATAAACTTGCTCAACATTGCAGAGTTATTAAAAGCTATGGTTTAAATATTTGTCTCCTCTGAAACTCATTTTGAAACTTAATCCCCAATGTAACAGTATTGGAAGTGGGGTATTTAAAAGTGATTGGGCCATGAATGGATCAACCCATTTGTGTTAGGTCATTCTTGCATTGCTGTAAAGAAATACCTGACACTGGGTAATTTATAAGAAAAGAGGTTTAACTGGGTCTCGGTTCTGCAGGCTGTATAGGAAGCACAGCAGCATCTGCTCCTGGGGAGGCCTCAGGGAGCTATTAATCATGGTGGAGGTAAAGCCAGAATAGGCACTTCACATGGCAAAAGCAGGAGCAAGTGGGGGTCGCGGGGGGGGGGGGGGGGGCAGAGTGTAGGTTCCATACACTTTTAAACAACCAGATCTCGCAAGAACTTACTATCACAAGAACAGCACAAAGTGGATGGTGCTAAACTGTTCACAAGATATCCACTGCCATGATGCAATCACCTCTCACCAGGCCCCTCCTCCAATACTAGGGATTACAATTCAATATGAGATTTGGAGGGGAATATATCAAGGGTTAATGAAGTAATGGATTAATGGGTTATCACAGGAGTGAGTCTTATAAAGGCCAGGTTTGGCTGTTTCTCAAAAGCCTCTTACCATGTGATGCCCTGCACTACCTAGAGCTGCTGCTGTGAGCCCCCACCAGCAAGAAGGCCCTCACCAGATGCAGCCCTTTGACCTTGGACTTCCCAGCCTCTAGAACTGTAAGAAGTATATTGGTTTCCTTTATAAACTACCTAGTATCAGGTATCCAGTCATAGAAAGAGAAAATGGACTAAGACAGTAGGTGACAGTGGGGATTTAAACCTTGGAAAGCAGACTCTGGAGCTTGTGCCTCAGTCACTGTAACAGGCGCTCTAGAAGTGTTTGTTGAATGCCTAATTGGATAACTCCCTATTTTCGGAGTGCTAATGACTTGATTCTCAAGCCTAAAAGATCCCAATCAGTGTATCATCAAAATTGAGAATTATCCCATGTCAATGGTCTTTGGATTTGCCTAAAAATAGTCAAAGCCAAAAAAGTTAAAGACATGGAAACAAAACATGCATTACAGAGAATCTAAGGTCATCTTGCTGATAGATTCAACAGATCACACTCACTCTAAGCTCTTCTATCTTTCTCATTGAATTTGATGCTTTTTAAGAGAAGAGATCATGCCTCATTCACCTTTATAAATCCTAAATGACAGCTGACAAGGGATCTGTCTCATGATTTTTATTATTTTATTATTTTATTTTATTTTATTTTATTTTATTTTGAGACGGGGAGTGCAGTGGCATGATCTTGGCTCATTGCAATCTCTTCCTCTCAGGTTCAAGGGATTCTTGCACCTCAGCCTCCCAAGTAGCTGGGATTACAGGTGGGAGACTATTGCTATAAAAGGGTTACTTATGTGGAGGAAAGACATCCCCTGATCTCCCTCTCCTCTGAGAGGTGAGTAAGAGGAGATGGCTTCATTAAATGCAGTGACATTTAGGTTTATAAAACTGCAGTGCCATACTTCATATTTTAATAAACTATAAAATGTTTTTTATCCATTCCTGTCTATTTCACTTATCCATATTTTCATTGCATGCAAAGGTATGTGTAGTTGTGGCAATTCTGTGTACTGGGCAAGAACATGTACTTGTGCATTGCTGAGACTTAATCTACAGACTTACATTTGTCACTGAAGGGACAGTTTACTTCAATCCTCTAACCTTCTGTGTGCTAGTCTGAGAAAAGAGAATACTCATACCTCCCTCAAAGATGTAAGAATGAAATGAGAAAATGTAAGGTACTGAAGCCAGTGTCTGGCAGGTAATCAGGGTGTGATTGATGGCAGTTGCTATTTTCCTCCTTCTAATCAATGTTATTAAATTATTTTTCTGGATAGTTAGTTAATTTGGAAAGCAATGTGTTAACTTAAATTTGGACAAAGTAATCATTCCAAAAATAAAGAAAAAACTATCATACAAAAAAAAAAATCCTTTCTAAAAGAGCCATCATACACTGGAATAGAGCTCTTCCGGGTAGTTGCTAAGAGTAGGGACTCACCAGTCAAACTAGCTGGATTCATACCCACGCTCTAACTCTCATTAGTTGTGTGGACTAAGCAAGTTACTTAACCAATCTACACCTCAGTTTACTTACTGCCTTAGTTCATTCACACTGTTATAACAAAATACCATACACAGAGTAACTTACAAACAATAAAAATTGAATTCTCTGGAGGCTGGGAAATCCAAAATCAAGGTGCTGGCAGATTCAGTGTCTGGTAAGGGCCTACTTTTTTGGTTCACAGATGGTGCTTTCTTGATGTGTCCTTGCATGGTGGAAGGACCTAACTAGTTCTCTTTTATGAAGGCACTAATCCCACTGTTGAAAAGGCACCAAGCTTATAACCTAATCACATCCCAAAGATCCTGCCTTCTAATACAATAATATTTGTGATTATGTTTCAACATATTTATTTTGAGAGGAGACAGGCACAGACATTCAGACAATAGTACCATGTATAAAATGAAATAATAATACCTCTGAGTTTGAGAGAATTAACTGAGACAATATGTAAAGTAGCTGGCACATATAGTAGGTGCTCAATAAATGCTAGCTGATATTTTCATGGGCATTAGAAGAAATTATTTGACCTCTTTTTATGAAAATGTTCAGCATTATCCATTATGAAGGATAGGTTCAACATGCTCTAGAGACAGTCCCAATTCTTGCATTAAAAGTTAATTGAGGCATTAATAGTCACACTTTATTTTAGAGGTTCTTAAACAGGATCCCGGCTACACAGTGGCAGGTTGTTAATATTTGTGTAAAAAGAGATAAAAATTATGTATTTGATTTTATGCAAATATAAAAAAGCAGTTCCCAAAATACATATGCCTTCAAAGCCCCAAATATACGTATGTAAACAAGAAGGACAAATTGGGCAAAATAATGCACTTATTTTCCCAGGCATGTGAAATACACACTTTAGTAAAAAGGTAATTAAACCTACCTATCAGTACAGAGTAACAAAATAATCGCCTTAAAGACATATATTCCACACAGATTTATGCTGTCTTTCTGTTCTAATATAATTTTATAACATTTAGTTTACAAAAATTGACTAAAGAGATATTTAGTATATTGCTTTGCAATGCAACATTTAATTTTATAGCATGGGTAATGCATTTCTTTTTACAAATGTATCAGTTTCCTGACAGCATCAATAAGCTGCTTCAGAGTCATTAAACACTATGAGAAGCCAGTAAAGCTACAGATTTTGTTACTGAAACGCACAGATTAATTTTCAGCTCATAAAGCCAGTACATGGGTTACTTGCTTGGTGTCTGCTGCCCATATACCGAAGCTTGAAAAGAAAGCTCAGTCAACTTGAATGACAGATTATATTCAAATTAAAACCTTTCAATGAATTCTCAGCACCCATCAGATACAGATGAATATATCTAACATGCACTCAGGTCTCTGCAGGATCTAGCCCACATTACCTTCTGAGACTTCTCCCCTTCCACTCCAACATGGAAAGTTCCTCCCATCTCTGAACCTGCATAGCATCAACAAGCTGATTCCATTCTATACATAGCCTATAACAACATTTTCTGCTTGGACACCATCTTTCCAAATCGCATCCTGTGTTAGATTTCTATAATGCAACATCAACCTCACAGATGATCAAAAGGAATGTCAGCAAATTTTGATACCTTCTTAGTTCAACCTGTGATTTCCTCATGATGGCCTTCCTTGACCCAGGAGCTAGGTCAAGTTTATAATCATACACTCAATATTACTTCACAGTATGTACCACAATTGTCCTATTATGTGAAATGATACATCTTCTGACTAGATTACCAATATTAGGAGGACCGAAACCATGTTTGTTTTTGCTTTACATTGCCAACCATGATGCTTGACACATAGCAGCCACTCAGTGAATATTTGCTGAGTGAAATTTATATTACTCCTTGCATAGCACTAAATGTCAAGGTAATACCGTAATTATCAGCATGTCTGGATATTAATCACAGTGATAGTCAATGTTAGTATTATTTATTAGGATTGATGTAAAAGAAAGCACACATGTTTCAGGGCCAGGTAGATCTGGTTTCAAATCTGAGTTCTGCCACATACTAGTTCTACATAGGCTTAACAAGTAAATAGTTATTTTGAACCTCATTCTTCTTATCTATTATTTTAAATTAAATAGCTGTTTTCTCATATAGTTCTTTTGAGGTTAAAAAATAATTCATCTAATGTACTTATCAGAACTCCCTACATATTCTATTAAGTAGAAATGCCTTTATGTGAAGACTAAGAAG